>NC_000003.12:148705574-149955574 GCF_000001405.40 Homo sapiens
TGTCCTGGTCTATTATCTACTGAGTTACCAGAGTGGATTTTTGAGAGAACACACAGTTATTCCTATTCCTTTTAATTTCCATTAACTTAAGCCATATGATAGAACATTACAGTTGTTATATATTTTGTATAAATATAAAATGTAATATATAATTTATATATTTTAAAATATTTAGTGGCAAGTAAAGATAGTAGTAAGTGAAAAAATCACTGTATAACATATGAATCGTAAGTGTGATCCCATGTATGTGTATACCTGGTAGATGCTTGTCAAGGTGCCATTAAGGTCTTGGGTTATTGGCATCTTAATGAAATTCATTTAATTATGTTAGGATTGATTTGTTAGTAAAATCACTTACATGTTTTTTAAATGCATGCATATCTGTGGAGCCAATAAGAAAAATTAGGAACAATATACAACAAATCTTAAGAGCTTTTGAGGATGATTTTTTTTCTTTCTTTCTTTTGTATGTACCTACAAAATTTTCTATAATGGATCTCTATTGATTTTATATTTTTTACTTTCTATTTGTCTTGGAATTTCTATTACTTTATTTATAATTCACTCTAGATTTTAGGTACTAGACAACTACTATTAACTCTCTGGAGAATGGTACTATAAATCTGACCCTTTCTGTCATTTTTTTTTCCTGTGGTACACTAGTGTCTCACAAAGAGTCCACAGAATTCACACGGTCATGATATTTTATAGAAGAAATCATTTTATGGGAACTTTCTTTTGTTAATAGATCCTTCCAATGCTAACATTATTCTGTATAACAGTGCTAAAGTTGGTATGCCTAAATGCTAAACTTGGTATGCTAAAGTTGGTTTAAAAATTAACCTATATACAATCTTCTTGAATAACTCTTCAACTTTAAATAAATTTCTTATTTAAAAAATCCTCCTATATATAATTAAAAATACTGATGAATTTGACTACATAAAAATAAATGCTTATACAGTAAAAAGTACCATAAACAAAGTTATCATCTAAACAAGAAACCTGGGAAAGCTATTTGCCAGCCATTACATGTAAAATTTAAGTTTCCTTAACATAACATGAGCTCTTTAATGTGAGAAACAATAAACAACCTAATTGAAACATGAGCAAAAGCCATGGCTGAGAAAACTCGTAGAAGAATTACTATGGAAACAATAAGAAAATGAAAAGAAGTTCAACCTCATTCATAATTAACGAAATGCAAGTCAAAACAAAGATATACCTTTTACTTATCAGATAAAGAAAAAATGATTTGATAAAACCCAGATTCTTGGTATTATAAATTGGTATAACCTTAACGGAGGACATTTTATGAATATCTATCAAAAACTTAGCATATACAAACAATTTGGTTCAACAGTCTGTTAGAATTTATTATATAGATACATTCATATAAGTACAAAAGTGCATATATGTAAATATTATTATTGGGACATTTTTGTAGCAGCCAAAAGGAAAACTGAAAAAAAAGATTAAGGCTCATTAATAGCAGACTGGTTAAATAAACTATGTGTGAGTACAATGAATGAAATATTGTACAGCCATCAAAATGAATGAGGTAGATTTATATATGCTGATGTAGGAAATCTGCTAGCCATCATAAGTAAAATAAATGAAACAAAGAAGAAAATACTATGATGTACAAAAAGAAAAAACTATAGATATACATATTTATATGCATGTGTATGCATTTTTTATGAATATACATATTTATATGCATGTGTATACAAGTCCTAGAAGGAGACATAGGTAACTATTAGTAGTACCTCTGGGAAGTAAATGCAGAGAAAAGTAATAGAGGGTAAGGATATGTTTACTTTTATTTTACATCCTTCTGTAACTTGACATTTATACGACGCGTTAGCATTACTTCTGGGAAAAAGAAAAACAGAAAAGGTAATCTTTTAAAAAGGTATTTTTTAAATTATGGTACAATAAAATGTGCATAAGCTTTATACTAAGTAATAGAATCATTTAAGTTTAGCTGTAGATTCACAAGTAAAAATCCAATCTATTTTCATATTCTTACATTTATAGACATTTCTTACATGTCTATAGAAAGAAATGGCTAGGAATGAGACTGCACTATTTTACCCTAAAACGTTCTTTTTCTCTTTGCCTAATGTATATCTACAAGGGCATTGGGGAAGATGTTGACCACAGGCAGGAAGATGATGAGATCCTGTGCCCACCACTTAATGCAGTCTAGCTCTATATAAGGAAAAATATGTTCTTGATGTGAACCAGATGGTTTCACTCCCTTCAAAAACACTCTTAAGATGCAGTGTGGAAGCTTACTCTGTAAATTAAAAAATAAAAACCTGACTATATTCAGTGGAATGCGTTAATCATTTTTTTCTTTTTAGGTTTGATATTTGACAAATTGATCTAAAATGGCTGGGTTTTTATCTGAATAACTCACTGATGCCATCCCAGAAAGTCGGCACCAGGTAAATGCCTTACATCTACAGCAGTGGGTCTGTCAGCAGTTTTCTTTAATGTGTCAGCAGTGGGGAGAGCGCAAAAACCCACACACACCATTATCTTGTGAAAGAAGTAGAGGAAGCAGAAAATAATGAAATCCCAGTGTTACCACATCCCCTCCAATATACAGATTAAGAGCGTTTGTATTTATATGGTTTTAAACATAAATAACATCAGAATTACTAAGCTATTTCCATTCATGTACTGATAATGAATCATGTGAGAAAGTCCTTTGGCAAGGACTCCACATGGCCACAGGTGATTCCTTTGAGCAGTGTTCTTCCTGTATAGGGCTTAAGAGGACCAGAAGGGAAATGATTGTACTCTCTTGTCAGCTACTTCCTGGGCGATTTGGGTTCTTTGATACCCCAGTGCTCACTTTCGGAAGTGTTAAGACCATAAACCTTAACAGTTGACCTTCTCACCTTCAGAAAACCCAAATGTCTCGGAGTTTCATTCTCACAAACTTCCACCTTCCTCCAATGATGAGATATAGGAAAAAAGACAATGTGAAATTGGAGATGGAGGTGCCCTCTTAGCCTCTTTACAGGCATGAGTCACATGGCAGGGCATTAAACTCTCTCACAACCTGTTGTGGAGCTCAGCAGGGTTAGCCAGGACTGTTTTGTCTATCTAACTCTTCTTACATGGGCCTATGTGATATTTTTCATAACAAGAGTCCGGGATTTACCTAACTAATAAGATTTCCCCACGCCCCTCCTTACAAAAACTCAGTTCAAAGAACAAGCCCTCAGCTTCTCCTAGTCCCCTCCAGGGAAAATGAAGAGTAGCTTGTCCTATTCTGAATATGTTGTGCTCCCATTTTATCAAAGTAGAGGATAGATACGTAGGTGCTGGGTGGGTAGATAAATATTAGAGGGATGCTTCTTCTTTGCTGTAACAGATTGGCAAGTAGGAATCATTTTCTGGAAGGTACTCCACAGTGGTGGTGTTAGAAAACTATTTAGAATGCCTTTAATCTTGGAGATAAAAATAGTAACACTTTACAGAGTTCTGTCAATGGATATCTTTAGGGATGTTTTGTTTTGGGAGGTTTTTTTTCTGATTTTGTTTTTTTCAGGTATAGCGAAGCTTGGGAATCTGGACTGTGCAGATTTTCTGCAAAAATCCAGCTCTGGAAAGAGTGTATTAAGATGCATATCCTAGGATGACACAAAGACAGTATGCTTTATTTTACATCTTAAAAGTATTGAACAGAAGGAGTTTTGTCCATGATATCCCATCAGCCCACTAGCAGGAAAAGCAGGACACTTACCCAGGGGGTTCCTGCTGGAAATGATTCTTGGAATCAGCCTTCCTTCTACTCTATTTGGGAAGTCTTTGGTTTCTAACATTCACACATTTGTAGCAAAGCTTCCAAAATAACTATGATGTTTTGCTTAGGAATAACAAAACATGGAAGAAAACATTCTGTGAAATTTTAAACTTTTTCAAACCTTTAAGTTTCAGATGAATAAGCAAAACATACTTAAGTCTAAGAAGCTATTTTTTGTTTGTCAAAGAACTGATGTTATACCAGTTCTAATATTAATTAGCAACTTTGCCCTGGTTTTCCTGTAAAATAATCTCCAAGGCCCTATCTCAATCTGTGGGCAGTATACTGAAATACAAAAAGTGTTCACAAAAGGACCTTCTGAACTTTGCAATCTCCCTTTAAAACTTTTACCAACTTAAAACTACAGAACTCTGATCTCTTATTGATTTAAACTAGTGATATGTAAACAGCACTTCAGAGCTTGTTTCACAGGACCAAAAAATTTATGCTGAAATCTACTCATGACAAATGGGAAAACCCTGATTAGCACATTTAAATGAATAAATAAAGAACCGTATTCAATGGCTTAAAATTTATAGACCTGCATCATCCATTATGGTAGCCATTTACTATATGTGGCTATTTACATTTAAATATAAACGTATTAAAATTAAACTAAAAATTCAGCCCCTCTGTTGCATTACCCCCATCTCAAGTGCTCAGTAGACACATGTGGTTAGTGGACAACACAGATTTAGAACATTTCTATCATAGGAAGTACTACTGGACAGTACTGCTGTAAACACACTTATTAATAATGCAGCAGACTTTCTTGGCCACTTGGTAAGAAAGTTTTCTGCTCTTTTAAACTTATTTGGGAAGTTTTTAATACTTTTGAAATTATGATTTCCTCAGTGTTAGATTATCTGATATACAGCTCTCACAGACCATTTTTTGTTTTTCCTGTTTGTTTGCATATTAAAATATATAGGATTCAATGTTTCACGTGCTTTTCTAAAGTTGCAGTTCTTGATTTCTTAAAATTGTGAAAAGAAGTACCCACAGTTATATTAAGAACTAAAATATATGGCTGTTGGCTTGGTTACCAACATTGCTGACAGCTCCAAGTAAGCAAAAGTAAAAAAGATGTAGGATCATTTTTAAAGGCCAATATTTTCTTCCTTACTCATTACCTTCTGTAAAATTCTGTAAGATTTTCTTTAGTTTTCCAGTAATGATAAACATTTCACCATTGCATAGACATAATTAATTGATTTTTTAAGCAGTTGGAGAGCCAAACAAAATAAGGGGTAGAATACTTCTTATTTTATTTTTTAATAAAAATGTACATATTAGAAGCCTTTATTTTTATTTAAATTGTATGTCACTGATAAGGTTTGGATATTTGCCCCTCCAAATCTCATGTTGAAATGTGATCCCCTGTGTTGGAGGTGGGGCCTGGTGGGAGGTGTTTGGATCCTGCAGGCGGATCTCTCATGAATGGCTTGGTGCCCTCCCCATGTTAATGAAAGAGTTCTTGCTCTGAAACTGTGACACCTCCCCCCTCTCTCTCTTGCTCCTGCTCTCGCCATGTGACATGCTGGTTCCCTATCACCTTCTGCCATGATTGTAAGCATCCTGTGGCCTCACCAGAAGCAGAAGCTAACACCATGCTTCCTTGTAAGCCTGCAGAACCAGGAGTCAGTTAAAGCTCTTTTCTTTATAAATTACCCAGTTTCAGGTATTCCTTTATAGCAACACAAGAATAGACCAACACAGTCACGGATAACAGTAGTTTTTCATTTTTCATCAATATAATGATCCTGCTGTATTCTTAAAGTTCTTAATCACTATTTGTCACTAATACGATAACATTAATAAAATTTGAGTCTCAGTTACTTTCCAGTCACTTATACCTAGCAGTTCAATAACATTTAGTTCCTGGACTAATGATCATGTGTTATATAAGGCAAAAAATTAAAAACAAATTTGTCTTTGAGTCATCAAAGCATCAAGGGTTTGAAATAGCTATATAACTAGCTGTGAAAAAGGGATATAAATATCCAGCTGATATTTCCTTTACACATTTAATAGTATCATTTTTCAATGAAAGCATAAATAAAATAAGTTTGGAACCAGTTTGGAATTTTTAAATATTAATCGCAGAATCTTACTAACAGAAAACAAAAGCAAGATAAATGCTAGTCATTTGTGCCTGAGTTTTTTTTTCAATAAACAGAAATGAAGCTTGCTTTAGGAAACATGTGTACTCCAAATAACCTACTATTCACACAATTCTCAGTAACATTCTTTCTTTGCTTAAATAATACAGCCAGATGTGCTTAGCACATAACTCTATAGAAAATAATAATTTAAATTAGATTTAAATAGAGATAGATAGACAGACAGACAGATAGACAGATATTTTTGAGACAAAGTCTCACTTTGTCCTCTAGGCTAGAGTGTAGTGGCATGATCATAGCTCACTGCAGCCTTAAACTCCTGGGCTCAAGCCATCCTCCTATCTCATCCTCCCAAGTATCTAGGACTACAGGCACATGCACTATGCCCAGCTAATTATTTTTTTAATTTTTTGTAGAGATGTCGTCTTGCTACATTGCCTAGGTTGCTCATGAACCCCCAGCCTCAAGTGATCCTCCTGCCTCAGCCTCCCAAAATGCTAAGATTACAGGCATGAACCACTGCACCCAACCAATATTAATATTTTTAACAATTGAAAGAGCTCAAAGAAATAGGTTTTAAATTTAGAGGCCCTGTTTTGCTGACAGGAAAGGCTTTTAGCTGGAATCAAGAGTGCTGTTGTCTTTTCCCTTCAATTAGTCATTCCTTTTAAGACTTTTAAGATTTAAATGTATGAGTCATTTTTTAAATCCCAGAAAGATCTAGTATATCTCATAAATGTAATAATACAGTGCAGACCTGGTGGAAAATAATTATTTATCTGAAACTGGGCCTCAGTGCCTTTCCTGAATCTAAACAAATGTTCATCTCACCCAGAGAACTGGGACAACAGGAACAAGGTATTGCAAGTCCAAAATCCAATCCAAAGCAGCGTTCTTCCTCCCCACCTCTAGGCAAGGCCAAAATACTTCTGCACACAGTATAGACACCAGAAAAAAACAGAGCCACTGTAGATGAAACCAGTCAGGGGGTAAGAGCTGTCTTTTGATCTAGAGCTTGCACCTTTGCTCCTCAGTAATACTCCCAGGTCAAAAAGGAAAAATAAGATGGGCAGTTGGCTGCCTCCTGGTCCCTCCAGCCTGGTCAGTGAACAGAGTGGGAAGATAAAACAGCTAAGTATCTTCCTTAACAATGCAAAGCAAGAAATCCAGTCTGCTTTGGGAAAGTGAAAGCAATGCAAATTCAGATTATTAATCATAAGAGCATCTCATGTGATATACAAAATTATTGTATAGCAGTAATGGGTCAGCCGTATTTTATTCAACACTGAACCATTAATGAATGCTAGCTAGTCTTCCTTTCACTTACAGAATGTTTATCTATACATGACTAAACAAAGAAGGAGCGCTGGAAATGATCCTGTGAAAAATACTGGCTCACAATGTATCAGCTGAGTTTGGGGCAACTGAGGTAGTAGGAGGCGCCCCCTGGACTTCTGCTGGAATTTAGATTTAAATAGATGGATGAATTAGACAAAACATACTCTCTGAAAGAGTGAGAAATACAATATTCACCAATTAAGTGAAGGAAAAATCTACACTATGAATAAAACAATAAATGTGGATACATTTGAAAATTTGAATTTCAAACCCCTTAAGATAATGTGACAAATACAACAGGCCTAATTTAACATCTTAAAGAGATCTGTGTGACCTATTTTGCAGTTTTATTTTCTTAGGACAATGCTTCAGTATCTTTAACTTTCATATTTAATCATTTTTTTTCTTTTTTGGTTTCTATGGTATCACCATCCATCAATCCATATTGGTTGGAGGGGGGGAATATATATATATATATATGTATGTCTCCCAAGAGAAAGTAATTCTGCAATCTTCCTCAGCAATTCAGTCTAACAATTAAGAACCCTTAAGCTAAATAGAAAAATTCATTTCACAGGCAAGTTTTACTCAATATGTATAATTAGTTTTAGTTAACTTTATTAATGAAATGTCGCAAATCAATTAGGTTTGCAATAATCAGATGCCGAGGACCCAAGAGGAACCATTCCTCTCACAAGAGGGGAAGGTGATACACAATTTAGTTGGGAAGCAAATGTAATTAGATTTGATCAATTGAGTATTCCTGTCCTGATGTGGAGTCAGTCACATACCCAAGCCTGAGAATATATTTGAAAAGAGGTAGAAAAAAACCCAGTATGACTTAGAAAATGTCCTTGTGGTCCTATTGGCCACAACTGGCAGCCAAAAAGGGCTTTGAAGCCACAGGTAGACAGGTTTTGTTCAGACAGGGCTATGTTTTAGATTTCTCTTTCAAATCTGAATGGTTTTACGTAGGGCAATATATAAACTTTCCTATTTGTCACAGATTCTAGCACTCTTTAATGCCTTATACTGGGTGTTTCACACAGTTATTTAACTGCCCAAATCCCAATGGCACTTCAGTTTGCAACTATCATGACCTAGAAGTTAGTTATTGAACAGTTATGAGGTAACTTAAAGTTTCTTCCCTTTGCCTCTAGAATAAGAATATCAAAGAAATGTCATGATGATAGGAATACTACTGAAAGAGGATATTAAACACTAGGTATTCCTACTTAGGGCTACAGTTTGCAGCAGATTCTATTGTGTTTCAGTCAATAAGTGTTTTTGGACACCTACATGCCAGACACTATTCTCAGCATTGAGCACAAAGTCGTGAGCAAGGTAGACAAAAATGCTTGGCCTCATAAAACTTACATTCCAGTGCATAAAGATGAGAACAATCACGTAAAATTTATAATATGTTGGATGGCATGGAAAATGGAAATAAAGTGGAAGGGAGGCTTCAGGTTAAAAAGAGTGTTTAGGGAAGGTCTTCTTAGGAAGAAGGAGGAAGCTATGTGGACATCTGGGAGAAGATCGCTCCAGGCAGAGGGTAGAGCAAATGCAAATTCCTTGAGGCAGCAATGTGCTGGCATGGTCAAGGCACAGCGAGTATGCCAGGGTCTTCAGAAACCACAGAGAAGAGTGGATAACAAAAGTGAAATCAAGTATTGAAGAGTATGAACTGACAGGAACTAGAGACATATTTAGAATGGATGCCAGAACAGGAGAAATGGGTGGGATTTTAAAAGCTAAATGATTTAAAGACTTAAAATGCTCTGAAGTGTAGTGAAATGTTCCCCAAACTGCAGATTTTCCCAGGAAACCAGGTGCATAATTTAGTCATCGATGACTGGTTCTGTGGCAATGACTCTAGTAATTAGACCCCTGCATTTTATGTCAGTTCCTTCTGGATACTCAGCTACATTATTTGGTGCTTTTGGTATACTTCAAATATGCATTGCCTATCACTGACCTGTAATCCTGTGTCTCTGGGCCTGAAAATATAACTTTTCATGTAGTAGAGAATTAGGGCTGTGCAACATTGCCACTAGATTATTTTTAATGAAAGCTTTGCCCTTTTAGATAAATACAGCAATGTATTCAAACAAGTCCTAGGGATACCACTGAGTGCAAAATGTCATGTACTAGTTATTCCATTTAAATTATTTTATCTTCAAGTCTAATAAGAAAATTCTAAATAAAATTATATATTTGGGATTGTGTGTGTATCATCCATCCACATGTAAGTAGGAATAAAATTATTTAATGGAAAATTTCAAATAGGCTAACTCTAAAAATGTACAGATAATCTGGATGAGAGAAAACTATCCTCACTTTGTGTTATTTTTCAATGGTAGCATTTTCTCATAATCCCCATGCTTTTTTCATGTCCTGCTATTCTTTAAGATTTCCTAATGAGGATTAGGGAATAGGCATATTTAACAATCTGTGTTCGCAGGTTGAAAACAAGAAAATGAAGACTAATAGTTTCTCTCCTGTTAATTTGATTTTCTACAGCTCCTCTCCTACCAGCTTAGGCAGAGGACTTAGTTACTATTTCCAATAGATGGGAGCCAAGGAAAAGACAAGCATCTGTGATGTCATGTCTCCCCCAAACGGGTAGCTGCCTCACCAGCCTCCATTAGAGACATCCCCCAGAGTAAGAAATAAGAAATAATCATGAGTAGAATGAGAAAAAAATGCAGCTTCCTTTATCTGAGAAAAACAATAGTAGCTCAATGCTGTGGCCTAAAGGGCTTTGAAAATAATGCAATTTCTGATAAAAATAAATGCCATTATTCTTGCTTATTGTCACTGTTTTAGTCAAATAAGATTTTAGCAAGCATATTTCAAATTGTTCTAAATCTAAGTAAATTGGTAATTAAATGCTATCATTAGAAAGTATTTTAATATCAGAAAAATTGGACCATAAGAAAGTTAGTTTACCCTTGTATTCATATATACATGTGCTTTGTGCTAAAAATTGTTATCATTTAGTGAGAACCTGTGACTATATTAATTAATTTAATTTAATCTTCATATTTCTCTGACCGTTAGAGAGTTTGTGACTTGGATAACTTTCAAACAACTAGTACCCTGATGGAAATCCAGAATTTTGTTAACCCAGATCACAGCTGCATACTTAAATGCTATGCAACAGTGGCACTTACCCCCAAACCGTATCCTATGGAAATGCCTTTTTAGCAAATTAAACTGAATTGTGTTCAGAGATCCACAGGTCTAAGCAACATTAGGGAAGGGGTAAAGTAGTCCTCAGCAAGGCCCTTTTCAGAGCACTCCACCAGTGCCCTTGTCCTCCTGGGCAGAGCTCCTCAGCTATACTCCCTTTCCTAGTCTACCCTATCCCACAACGGAACCATACTTCTCTCATGGAAGCCCTGGTCTCACAGAACTAAAAAGGAGGCTCCTAGAAATGGGGTTGTGTTGAGTTGACAGAGATGTGTGGCTCTTTAAACTGAAATATAATCCAAAGAGAACAAGATCTAGTAGAATTTCAGGTCCTAAGCCTGGTTAAATTTCAGGTCCTAAGGCTGGTTAATAGTACAAATACAGTTATTTATTTATAACTAGTGCAAATACAGTTATTTATTTATAACTATACAGGAATTTATTTCCCAGTACCTTCTATATTACTAACATCCCATAAAACCAGCCATGTAAGGAACTAGAACATTTTGAGAATATGCAATACATAACCTTAAACAAGAAGTTTTCATTCCTAATTAAAAAAAATAAGCTAGTTCATCACAACTTCCTTCAAATCCTTCTGCCACTGATTTCTCTCCTGAAAAGAGATATTATACGGCATTTTAGAGAAAACAAACATCTCTAAGTCACAAGGAGTGGAATAATCAAAGTTGCATTTTAAGCAAGATTATGGTTTTTTCTTTGAGTTCTCTGAATTTGAATAGTTTCTTAACCTTAGTTTTTTAACTGCTCTGAAAATGGTTTCTGTCCCTGGTGGACTCTTGTTTCAATGCAGTTATTTTGTCTGGTAGAGTCACAGAGTTAAGCTGTCATTCAGATCAGAAAAAATAAAAGAGAGAGATGAATTAATCTCAATGGCACAGTCTCCTTATTCAAAAAATAAAAATAAAAATAAATCTCAAGTCCAACAATGAATCATCTTTGAGACTCTCCCAAGTGATCTAGTTTTAAGGGCAAAAACTTTGGGGAAACTGTTGGGGGAGCAACTGGTGCCCAGTACTGTTTCACACACGTGGTTTTTCTTATCTATTGCTCACACACTTAGACATAACTGGAATTATTGCCTTTGTATTGTTGTTGCCATTTTATAAAGGAAGACAAAAAAGATCAGACAAAATAATAGTGAACATCTATTAATTGGACACTTACTGGTGTCAGGCACTGTGTCATGCACTGTGTCAGGCACTGTATTTTCTTATTTAATCCAACAAAAAAAAATAGGCTAAATTATCTTATTGGCTCAATTTTCTTTACAGAAACTGAGCCTAAATTTCCCAAATGGCTAACCAATGCCAGGGCCAGCAACTCAAATTTGGGAGTAATTCCGACACCTAGGTTCCAACCATTTTTCTCCCAGAAATAACCCACCAAATTCACCAGAGTCTAAGATCTTACTGTTACTGTTTAATTAACTGCTACAATTGCAGCATTTTAAAAAAATATAAATGAGCACTGTGCTAGTATTTAATTATAGCTTTATACTGATACTGGGTACAAGTATAAGCTAACACCATTTTGAATTATAGTAGAAGAGTCAGGAGCTCTGAGAGGAATGTTCAGGATAGAATAAAGCAGATATTTTAATGTCTCATTTCAGTGAGGAAAATTGTTAATTCATATGCCACCAGCCATCGGCAGAAATGTAACAGGAAATGAAGAAAAACTTAATTACTTTAAATACAGTGGTCTGTAGTACAAATTATTGTGCCGTGAATTAGTTTCCTTCTGCTGTAGAATTGATCATTTTGATTATGTAGCCAAGCAGTGTAAGACATTACTAAAATTATTCTTGAATCCTACCTTTGAGATCTATATAAAACACTAGGCAATTTGCCTGCAAATACATAGAAAACAATTTTTAAAAGGATTGGGATGAGTTATTTTCCCCTCTGTTAAATATTAGCCTTTGAAATGAACCCAGCTGATCTGCCAAATAACACTTGGAAATTGTTGTGTTTTAATAAAGTGACAGACTGAGAGGGAAGCCACACTAGACGTCCTTATGCTTTTAGAGGCCTTACAGGGCAGGAACATTATGCAATAATGCCTTTTAAAAGAAGTGAGCTTCCTAGTATTACACCTTGCCTGGCAACAAATGTAGCCACTTACTGAAATGCAGGCGTAATTAGAATCTATGAAAATCTAGCATCAGAATCCCAAACCTCTATGCAATACTCAGTAAATTACAGCTTTTATGTCTGTAATATTTTCAACCATTCTACTTAAATATGTGAATACATGAGTGTGGAGTTCTTTAGGAGGCCTGCTGCATATGCTAGGGAAAGGTTTCATCATTTCTAATCAGGATGGCTCTGTAAATGGGATGCCTCATGTTCAGGTTTCTGGAAGGCTCAGAGCCTGGGCTTCTACTGGCAGAGGGTAGACCCAAATGGACTACTCTAGTGAAAATCTCCAGGTGAACATGGAACGCAGTGAAAACCTGGGGTATCCAACTTGCAGTATAGGCCACCAGCAAGTGTCACCTCTATTATAACTTTAACCAGGCAAGCTCAGTCTCATGCATTAGTTTATAAAATTGCAACAGAGCCTTCTAAGACTGAAAGGACATTAGTTTTTAAACCTATATATTATGACCTAATTAAATGAAATTTTATTTTAAAGCCCTCATAAAAGTAGTAAAATTGGTGTTTTAAATAAACCAAATGGGAATTCAACCACTTTAATTTTTCTTTTGTTCCAATAGGAAAATAAATGCTTTAAAATTTGAAGTTGAAACATGGGTTTTAAATATATTGAGATAAAAACTATTTTGCATAGGCATTTTGAAGAAAATAAATTTTGTTCTCGTGATTTGTGATTGGCCATTGATTTCCGTGTTTAAGATTATGAAGGTGTGCTCAGCTGTCTACTAGAAATAACAGGGGAGACTCAGTCTTGTTTCAAATGGAAGGGCTCCTATTCGGTTTTCTCCTTCATTTCTTAAAGTGTTGTGATTTTTTTATTCCCTGGTGTTATGTCTTGAGATTTTAAATCTTAAAACATGCAATTAGGTATTGAAGTTGAAAGCTGGAAGTCTCAGCCAGCTAGTAATGGTTTTTTAAAATAGGTAATACAGACCTCTAGTGGTTGAACAGTTTGAAAGCCTCTGCAAGAAAAGGAAATTGCGCAGAAAGTGCCTGCATTTTAAGGGGAAAAGTTAGTTAAAATTATTCAGATGATAAAATTCACATATTTCATAGGAAAAAAAAAGCCAGAATGGGCTTCAAGGGAAGGTGGCACACTTCCCATCCTTTTAGATGTTCCTCAATTCCTCTAAATAAGCAAAAACTCTCTGGCCAAAGTCACAGTAAGAAGTCTGGATCTGTATTATTTTTCTCTAAAAGATCTTGTGAACAGAGCTGCTAGATCTCTGTATTATATGAAACATATATTTTTGTACACAGTTTTGCCTCACTGGGGCTTTGCTTCCTTTGTACTCCAGAGGCTCCCCATGAAAACAATCTGCAGCCACCTCAACTTGCCTGTGCTGTTCTCAGGTTCTGTCCATGGGGAGCCACACTTCAGTGAGCTCAGCGATTGGATGGCTTTTTAGTCTACATGAGAGGGAAACTCCATGTGCCTCTAGACTAGTGCTTCTCAAACTCTAATGAACACCCAAGTCATCTGGGGAATCTGCTTGAAATGCAGATTCTATCTCGGTCTGGGGTGGGGCCTGAGGCTGTCTTGTTCGTAAACTCCCAGTTGATGCTAACGCTGCCCATCCAGGGCCACCCAGAGCAGCAAGCCGGTTCTATGACAGCTCTCTTTATTTTTTAGTTACATATTTTGTTTTTACTCATTTCTTCTTTGTTTGCTCTTTTACTTTAATAACTTCTGTTAAATTTTTAATATTTGGATCTGTAAAACATTTAAAGTTCTCTTTCACTTCACTATGTACAAGTATCTCTGGGAATCTGTTATTGAAGTTTTGAGAAGTTGATCTCACATTTTAAAAATAGATTCAGTGTCATCTCTTTATCTTGAAAAGTTCATGGTAGTTGTGAGCATCTCTCTAACCACTTGAAGCTATTGGGTTAGAGGTAGCTACAATTAAATATCTGATTAGCCATATTGGGAGAGTGGGTGAAAACAGGTTTTGTGCATGTGGTAGATGTGTAGGAAGCTAAGGACCCAAAAAACAACCACATCATAAAATCAAGCAGAAACACACACACACCACACACACACACAGAGGCTCAAAGCATAAGTGTCAACAGATCAGAAGAAAACATGGGAGAATGTATTTTTTCATACCAAATTATTAAAATTCCATCATCTAAATAACTTCCTATCATAGCATGTTGTCGACCTCATTTTTCAAATCCATAATTTTAGAACTTATGTCGTGGGGTAGTCTAAAAGCCTCTTGCAAACTTTTAACATCTAGTTTCAAATCAAAAATAATATATTAACAAGCTGTAGCATAGAGGGAGTACATAAATTATCATCATTGCCCTGCATGAATAGTAATTCACAGGTTTGGCTCACACACAACTTAGATGAAATAATTAACTATGTACAGTACTTAACAGTATAAAAGTAATTAATCTAGCTGCCTCGTACCGGTTTGGCCTAAATAAACATGCAATAAAAAAGCCATAGGATTTTATTATTTTTTTACTCACGTTACTACTTTAGTGTGTTGGAATTTTAATATGTCAGAAGAAAGATATCTTTGCATTAAAAAATCATTTTCTTTTCAAATGTTAATGTACTGATTATAACTAAGTGAATTCCATATATTTATAATTGTGGGCAGATGTTCTCAATTAATAGTTTTATTCATTCTACTTCACAGTTTAGTGAAAAGGATTATTTTAAATTAAGGTGTAAATAAGAACAAATGAGATTTTTATTACTACAAATCACACAGAATTTGTTGGTGGTGCTATAATCCTGTGTAGGTATAGCTTTGGCAAAACATTTCAGATAAGCTTGTTTTTTGCCCCATGGGTTCTGGGACGAGGTGAGTTGTCTGTTTGTCCTATAAGGTTCAGAAAGGTAAAAGGGCAAGGTCATTAATTGGCTAGAGGGCAACAAAGAAGGTAGTTATCCCTGTGTGGTCAAGAAAAAGTGGCTCAGGTTATCTTGCTCGGGAGAGAAAATGTTCATTCAGCTCCAGTCCTTTTGGTAAAAGCCCACTCTCAGTGTATGAGTGTTCCTTTGCCTAATCATGTAGACTATAACATGTTTTCCCCTATATGACTCCATCGATTAATCATTGCAGTATTATCCCCACTTCATAAATGGGCAAAGAGGAGGATGAAGCCGAGTAGTTCTTCCAAAATCAAGTAGCATGTAAGATGTAGGAGCAAAACTCAAATCCAGAGACTTCTGCTTCCAGCCAAGATGGAATAACAGGGACTAGATTTACCTCCCCACCTAAAACAATTTTAAAAACTGGACATACATATGAAACAATGGTTTTCAAGAGAGTGGACATCAGATAACAAAGGGCAGTGATCCCTGGAGGATAGGAAACAAATGACCTGGGATTGTCCCAGCCCACTGCCTGGAGGGAGTTTGCAGGCATGATACAGGGATGGTACACCCAGGCAGAACTCGAGGTCCTCTCTGAGTTAAGGACACAGAGCTGGGAGTCCAGAGAGGCCAAGGAGGCTAGAGTTCAGAGTACCAGAGAGTTGAGAGCTGCACAGAGAACCCAGAGATCTGCAAATGGTACCCCTTGTGCTTCAGTGCATGTGGGCAAATAATCACCCAAACGTATTAGAGAGAACAAGCCCCAGAGGTCATCAAGAGCTAGAAAATAGTTGCTATTTCCACCAGCCACAGTGGAAAGTCTCATAATTCATGGAGCATCAGGTAGCATACTCAGTAGGTTCTTGCCTCAGGAATGGGAAAAATTTAGCCCTAGACTAATTGCTGCTCTGGTACCACCTAAGAAACCGTAAAAGTCAGACTCAAAAGAATTAAATTATTTGCAAGTAACTCAACTGCTTTTCAGAAAACAACTGGAGAAATTTTGTAGGAATACAAAAGCATCCAATATCCAACAAAGTAAAATTCACAATGTTTAGCATCCATTATAAAATCACCAGGCATGCGAAGAAGCTGGAAAGTACAACCCATAAAAAGAAAAAAATGAATAGAAACAGACCCAGTCAGTAATGACACAGATGATAGGATTATTACACTATTACATTAAATGGTTATTATGACTATTTCATATGTTCAAAATGCTTGATGGAAGTTTGAACATATTAAATGAAGACATGGGAGATATAAAAAAGACTGAAATTGAACTTCTAGAGATGAAAACTACAATGTCTGAGATGAAAACTTAAACTGAGACTTCAGATGCTAAGACTACATTTGTTTCACATCCCCACAACATTCTTCCCTGGACGCTGAGTTTCCTCCCAGCAGCTGAATACTTCATGCTTCATCCTTTCTTAATGCTGAACTCTCAGAAAAAGTCCTTCATTCTAAGAAGAGGCGGGAGGGTGCCACTCTGTAGCCCCTTTCTCATCTCACTCTGGTCCCTGCTGGCCTGGAACAGATTCCACTCCCTTCATGCACTGATACTCCACTCTAGACTGAGCCTCTTCATGAGGTAGCCATCAAGCCATCCGCAGTCATCAACATGGCACCTTCTGAGTCAGTTACAAGAGTTTGCATCATCAGACCACCATTTTCCGTCTCTGTTTTCTGACTTACCCCAAAACTCTAGTTAAAACTCATGAAATATTATCTCTTCACATGAAATACAATTAATATGGAAGTCAGCATTTTTGCATCTCCCAACGCTTCACATCCAAGGAGCTGTGTATGAAATCATGAACTATGTTCTTCCAGCCAACCAAGCAATTAACCAAAGTATACATGTCCATGTTGTCCTTGTACAGAGTTTGAAATATGCTCATGAGAATTAAACTATTTTTCAGTAAATCTGAAAAATCAACTTGCTTGTCCAGGAAGTTTTATTAGGGATAGAATCCCAAACAATGAATGTGCTAGCCAAGTGTTACTATTAATCAGAAATACTCCATATTCATCCAGGATTAATCCTGTGTAACTCCCTCAGTCAGTGTAGCAATGTGTTCTCTTCCTGCACTTTTTTTATGTGTGTGTATTCCCAAATCTGCAGTGAATGTATTTAGGAAATACATTAGTATCAAAAGGACAAATGTAGCCTTAAAACATAAATGTACAGATAATTTCCTATTTGTAGCAAAGTTCACTTCAGAAACACTTGATAAGAACTATTCAAAAATAAATATTTTCAGTATTTATTTAAAATATTTTAAAATGTAAACTCCTCACCAGTCATCTAGCCAGGGCCACTGAGTGTGGCTCTATGAAATAGCTTCAGTCCCTTTCACTACTGATGACCTTTTGAACACAAGATAATATTTGTCGAGTAAATGTCAAAATAGTATAAGAATACCCAAATCATGGATTCTATGCTGTATTCACTCACATAGAGACTTCACTTTGGAGCACTTCAGAGCAGCAACAGCTCTAAGAGATGTAACAGTATGCTTTCCAGGATAGAAGAACGAAAAGGGAAAAATAAGTTGCTAGCAAGAACAATGAGGGGTAGGGGTGAAGTTCAGGCTGCCATTCTGAAAGCTTCCTCAGACTGAGTCAGGCACATCTCACGAAGTGCAGACTATGCAAGCTGGCTGTGTGAGATCAAGGGTAGACAGTTGACTCATCCTGTCACATCTCTGTGTTTTACCGTAACCTCCAACTATTCAGCCATGAATCGCTGCATGTGGAATGGAAGGGGGAATGTCTAACAAACAGAGACATACTTCAAGTCTTCAGTCTAGTTAAAACATTGGAATGAGGGTCTGCAACATCTTTCTGGGGCTTGGAGTCTCGTCTCAGTTCTAAAATGAGATGGTTGGCCTGGATCCTAAGTTTCAAATTGGCAGCCTTTTTAACTAAATCTAATCTAGAAGAGTTCTGTTAGGTTCCACAGTGTTGGGTTTTAAAATATATATATATATTAGTTGAAAACATTTTAAAATAGGATCTTTCACATGAAATTTGAAATTTTAAGTTTATATTTTAAAGTTAGCTGTTTTCCCCCACCTCATTACAATTGGCACAGTTGACTATAGCTGAGAAGTGACCCCGTGGCCCCCCTCCAAGAAAGGGGGAGGGCCCTCCATTCACCACCATGTCCACTTCACCTATTTCTCCCAGCCTATATATGTATTTGAATATGTGAACCCTGGAATGCATAATGTCTAGGGACCATAACAACAATAGAATGCTATGAATCTCTGACTTACAAGGACTCTCTTATGAATCTCTGACTTACAAGGACTCTCTTATGAATCTCTGACTTACAAGGAAAACAAAAGACTGTAGAGAATAGTAGTTCAACCACATTTTAGGTTAAAATAGACTTTACTTGGATAACCTGACAACCAAAACATCTTTGATAATATAGTAATTGTGTATGTTTACCAGACAAAGGGTATACATGTATATTCTTGTATTTCTCTTAAGAAGAAAATCAATAAATTTGACCCATGAATTTCTTTCTATAGCAGACATTTTTGTGACTTCCTGACTCACAGGAGATACAGCTACCCTCCAAACCTAAATCAAAAGTCCGTAAGTTGCAGAATGACTTTTTATGTAAAGAGAACATACTAGTTTCTGATAAGATATAAAGAAACCATGTAATTTATCTAGGGAATGACTCTAAGCTGATCATTGACTTATTTACACAACTATAGCTACTGGAATAGACTGATTCCAAAAATATATTTTCTCTGAATTAGAATCTTTTTCATATCAAAATATCCAAAATTATTAGCATATTATGTTATTCTCACAAAGTCCTAATGAACTTCACAAATCTGCCTGCTCTATTCTGAGTACAAAAAATATTTAGCCTAATTTGTTTTTCCATTATTTTATATAGTAATAAAGTAATACCAAAAATGTTATTGCCAGAAACAATACAGTGTTGTATAATTATTAGAAAGTGAACTCATGAAATTCTATTAAAAAACAACAATTACCACATGTTAAGTCAGATAATTCACAGAAGAGACTTATATGAATACTAGGGGAGCTGTAGGCAACAAAATTTTTCTCTGAATCCTGCATTTTGAAGGAAGTTTCTGTCATTTAATTAGTTGAGGTTTGATTCACCAACCAAAGGTCTATAGTGTGATATATTTTCTTCCTCCAACATAAAGTTAACTTAAAGTCATTTGTACTTTATGTGTTTATTCTTTCACTTCTTCCCCAAAAGTAATTCTTTAAATTGCTTTATGGGATTAATAACAAATTATATCATTATATATTTTTGTATTATTAGGGCTTCTAACTTCATTATAATCAATTTATTGGCCATATATAATAATGCAACAAATTACATCTGTAAAGTAAAATTTTATGACGCAATTTACTTAGTATATGTATAAGTCTCATTCTGCTGCCCAGGCTGGAGTGCAGTGGCGCGATCTTGGCTCACTGCAACCTTCGCCTCCTCCTGGGTTCAAGCGATTCTCCTGCCTCAGACTCCCAAGTAGCTGGGATTACAGGCATCCGCCACCATGCCCAGCTAATTTTTGTATTTTTATTAGAGACGGGGTTTCACCATGTTGGCCAGGCTGGTCTCAAACTCTTGACCTCAAATGATCCACCCGCCTCAGCCTCCCAAAGTGCTGGGATTACATGCATGAGCCACCACACCCGGCCGGAGACAGGTTCTCCCTGACCTGTGAGACTGCAAAGGTGGTGTTTCCTATGAGTCCAGCCAGATAATAGACTCTGCTAACATTAATTAAATTAATATTCCTTTTTAAGATTCTAGGTGCTGAATATATATCTCTTGGTCTATAAATTAGCTTCGCACTTCAGCTATTTAGCAAACTTGTTTTTTATTGTATCTAGTGTATTCATACTGAATGGGTATAATATACTGTCTTTTGAAAAAGTTATTTTGTACACATAATCTTAAAACACTCTTCCAAGGGCAAGGTAGAGGCTTCATAATATTATTTCCATTTGTCAGATCAATGAAGGTTTAATGATTTGTCCAAGATCTCAATTTCTAGAGAAGCGAAGAAGAATCCCCCAATTCTAGTTCTAAGTTTCTTTTTTCCCTTGCTAAATCCTGCAGTCTACTGATTTTTTTTTTTTTAGACGGAGTCTCGCTCTGTTGCCCAGGCTGGAGTGCAATGGCATGATCTCAGCTCACTGCAACTTCCACCTCCTGGGTTCAAGTGATTCTCCTACATCAGCCTCCCGAGTAGATGGGATTACAGGTGCATGCCACCATGCCTGGCTAATTTTTGTATTTTTAGTAGAGACGGGGTTTCACCATGCTGGCCAGGCTGGTCTCGAGCTCCTGACCTTGTGATCCGCCCACCTTGGCCTCCCAAAGTGCTGGGATTACAGGCGTGAGCCAACATGCCTGGCCTGCAGTCAACTGATTTATGTTCATCACCTTCTTAAGTTAAATTGCTCTTTTACTCATTGCCTTTGGTTTTGTGTGTTAAGATTCAGCATCAGCATTCATGATATCTTTTCACTCTTAATTCTGAGTGTTTCCGTCCGTTTTTTTAATTTTTGTACTTTATGGGCTTTTTCTTCATTTACCCCCAATTATGCGGGAAAGGCTGTGTGCCTCTTTTGAAAGCTCTGATGTTCTCAATGAAGAGACCTTTTAAATGACCTTGTTTGTCCCCCACCGAGTTGCATATCACAACTTCAAATGTCTCACTAAAATGTTACCCATTTGGCATCAGTATACAGAAAAGGCTGCACTCTGAGATAAGAAAGAACAGTGGTGTTTTCATAGTAAGAGAATAGAGTTCTTAATGGGAAAGGGGAGAGTATAATTTCCACTGATTTAGCTGGTCTTTCAAACTTTATGATGCTTTTCTCCTTGAACTAGCCTATAAGAAATTTGTAGGGAAAATACCACAGGAATCAAATTTTGGGCATAGATGTCTATTAATATTGCTCCTTACAAAGCTTTTTCCCAGAATTGTTTCTCCTTGCCTACAAAAACTACTCCATGCCTTTATTAGTCAGAAAAGCAGTTTTGTAGAGAAGGCAAGTAACAGAGAATCAAGCTAAGTAAGTGAAACTCTGTAATTGTCAAACTTCCAGAAAGTAACATTTGTAACTAAGTATGGTATCTTTGTCCTCTCTCTTTCTCTCTTCTCTCCACTTGGTTTCTAATGAAAGCCTTGATTACATGTTATATTTAATGTACTGTTCCACAAAGAAGAAAAGGCCTAATGTGAATGCAAGCTGAATTTACACTTAAATATTGCAGTCAGTTCAGACCGGAAGGATACAGATCGATGCCCTCTGATCCTGTCAGATTCCCCGAAGTGTCTATGGCAGTGATACCACAAGAGGGCAGGGTTTGACTTCCGGACTAGGTGGCTTCCTCCCTTCAGTGCAGACCTTGGGGCCACGACAACAGCCATCAATCTCTTGAAACCCTAATGATGAATCTGAGCTCAAATTCCCTCTTCAGCCTTATCTGTGCAGAATCCTGAAGTTATGAAAAATGCTTACAGAAGGTAATTTCTAGAATGATCTAACACAGCAGATATTTAGTAAACTCCCTGTTTGAGAGCTCCTACTAAGCACCCAACACAGCTTTAGACTTTGGTCACCCAATAGGATTTTATCTTTTGTGAGGGATCTGTAGTTTTCCCCGGAAGATATAATGCATGAAATAAAAGCCTCCAATAAAATTCAGTATACAGTTAATTTATTTCATAAAAGGTGAGAGATATAAATTATCAAAGGTTAAAACAAAAAGTAGGAACCAGAGCAGGGTTTTTCAGTAGCAACTCTATTGACATTTTGGATTAGATAATTTTTTGGTGTGGGAGACTGTCCCACGCATTGTAAAATGGTTAGCAGTATCACTTGTCTGCCTGCTAGATGCTAGTAATACCCCCCACACCTCCCTCTCCCACATTGGGAAAATCAAAAATGTCTCGAGACATTGCCAAATATCCCTGGAGTACAAAATCAGTCTAATTGAGAGGCACTAGACTGGAGTATAAAGAGATGACCATGCCAAAAAGTAAAAATAATAATAATAGAGCCTTGAAACATTACTTACAGAATGTCAAAAACGTAAGGACCTGCTCTCTATTCCTGTTTCTTAACCTGAGCAATGGGAATAATGATGCCTTCCCTCATAGGTCTCTTGTAGAAATGAAAGCAATTAATGCAACACTTGGCACATAGTAAGCATCCAATGAATAATAAGTGATCAGTGTTACTATTGCTAATATTAAGCCACTATTATAAGTCCTTTCTGTTAATCAGCAGAAACAAAAAGAAGTATAAAATAATGGTACATTAAATGAACTTAAACACTTGTATGTCATTTTGTGCTAAAGTTATGAAGCTGAAAAGATTGAATTGACATTTTCCCCATTGATAGAAATCATCTCAAAAATGCTCCATCTTCCTTGTGAAAGCCAAAGGCCAGCAGTTTCCACATACCCAGCATCTGATAAGTAGTTAATGATCCAGAAATAAACTGTTAGGTGCTTCAGGGAATTTCTGTGTATAGAGAAGTTCCATGTAAATATTTCTCCGAGAGGTGGATGGAGAATGATAATTCACTTTTACCCTCTGAATTTGATTTATAAGCTTCACCTATCTGGCAGGAGATAAGAACCAAAGTTAACTGAGGAGAAAAAAAATAAATGATTTCAAGTGACCATGATCTTCAGCTGGAACCAGTTGAAACTGCAAAGCAACTGGGCTGAAGAAGTTCAGCCAAAATTATTTGTTTATAAAAACTAGAGAGTGTTAGATATTTCTATCACATTGGCTTATTTGAAATTTCTGCTGGCTCAAATGAAATTGTATTCTTCTATTTCCTACTGCGGGGTTCCTTCCCTAACCACAATTGCTTTTGGATTGGAGACTTGTAACTTTGAGAACAAGAGCCTCAGCTTAGCTAGCTGGAAGAACCAGAGGAGAGTTTTAATATCTCCTGAAGAAAGAAAAGCACTAACACGGTTATTATAGTTCAGGACAAGTGGAGTCAAAGTTGACAGTTTCTGACTTGAACAGTTTTGTTGCTGGTAATAAAAGCAGAAGTCACGTGCTGAACGTGAAGGTGAGCAGAGGAGAACTTGCGATGGCAAAGTTAAAAACAAGAGGAGATGATGGTCTTGGTGTGGCACAGGATGTTAAAAAAATTCTCCTGTCCTTAAGGAGTTACTGCTATTTGAGTAATGTGCCACTTCCCTACATAGCCTTCTATGCAGAAATGCTATATTTCCACTTCACAACCCAGAACGTGCATTTTATTTTACATTTAGAGGAGGAACAAACAACCAGAAGGCAAAAACTGGTGCATTATTTTTTGCAATTCTCTTGGAAAGAGTTCGTTTTTAACTTCTGCTCAGACAGCACACAACTACTGGGAATATATTTTAATTTCAAATCTGATGTGTGACATCTGGTAACTCATTTATTGCTAATGAAGTTTTCACAGGAAGCAGCAGTCACCAGTAGCTCATCTTATTTTTCAGTTGGCAAAGTGTTGTTTACCTTTTATTGGCCTGGCATCGGTGTCTCTTATCACAGGATATTTAATTAGAAAACGCAAGTAGCCTAACATAGAAAAGAAATGGAGTGGTAGATAATAGTAGATAGAATGGTCTAAATATTTTTATTACAGTGATGTAATATCACTGTAATTTATGTTTAAAAATTATGTAATACTCAAAAGGAATTCTCAGAGCTGGCGAAACAGTCTGGTCCAAGCAGCCTCTCAGCAGTGCCTTTCAGCCTCCCCTCTCTGAGTCTTTCCACCCCTTGCTGGTACTTTAGTTTCTTCCACTTCTAGCACCACGTGTAGTTTCCCAATTTCTCTTACCCAAATTTGCTCGCAGGGAAAAAAATAAATTAAATTAGCCATTTACACCACAGTGTGAACTTAATAACACCAACAAAAGTTCCAAAGCTCTAGGGTCTCATAGCACCTCCAGATCCATGATCTCATTCGGTGTTTCCAACAATGTTTTGCACCAAACTGGACACATGCTTGCTACTTCATCATCCTCATCGTGAACATTATTATTATTATCATCATTTTCCAGATGAAGAAAATGAATCACAAGTCAACTGACAGTCCAAAGGCTCCACAGCTCAGAGGAGGTAAATCATGTGCTTAATTCAGAACTTTTGGCTCCCATCACTATGCTCTTCCCACTGTCTTAACTCTGGTTGTCACCTGAGCCATTGTGTTTCTTCTCAGGTAGATCTTAGTTCTTCCTGAGAAGGTATGAAGGTGGGTATTCCACCCTACCTGAATTATAGGAATTTCAGATATCTGTGAGCAGCTGCAAAGGGGATTTTACTAGATGACATCCTGCTGGGCACACTTTACGCCAGTCCTGAATGTGTAATAGAAATCTGCAGTTTAATGAGTAAGTTTCTCATATTCAGTTTTTGATGCTTCATAAATGTTAAATGAAAACATTTTAGCTGAGGGTACTTTTGTTGTTTGTTGGATTGGTTTTGCCTGTTCATCAGGATTATCAGCATTTAAGCCAGAGTTGCAAATTAAGTTGCCTACAGGGCAGTGCTTTTCAAATATTAGTGTGTATCAGAATTACCTGGAGGGCTCATTAAAAACAGCTTGCCGAACCCCACCCACAGAGTTTCTGATTCAGTAGGTCTGTGGTGGGGCCAGAGATTTACATCTCTAACAAATTTCTGGGTGATGCTGATGCTGTTGTTTCAGGGACCACACTTTCAGAACCATTGCTAGAGGGGCCAACTAGGGGACGTCTGTGAGTAAAAGCACCTACACTGTGCTTCCAGTACAGCAGCCAGCCCCAGTGTGATGAGCACTTGAAATGTCGCTAGTGTAACTGAGGTGTCCTGGAAGCATACATTATACCCTGGGTTTTGAAGACATGGTACAAAAAATGTAAAATATCTTAATAATTTTATATGGATTACATGTTGAAATGACAATAGTTTGGATATATTGGATTAAATATTTTATCAAAATTAATTTTACCTGTTCCTTTTTACATGTCAAATGTTTTTAATAGAAAAATTACAATTATATATGTGTCTCACTTTCTATTTCTTTTGGACAGCACTGAACTAAAGAACCAGAAAATAGAGGGGTGTATTAGTGAACTACAGAAAATTCAAGTCCCAAAAGCTGTAAATACTCTGAGGACCAAAGAAAATATATACGTTGTTCAGATTTGCCCTGAGGGGTCAGTTTGTACCCAAACATTTGCTGCCACAAGTAGTAAATGTAGAAGCAATCCAATATCTACTATTTTACTTTTCTTTCAGGGTTAATCAAGTGCCTTGTTATAATTCTTCAAACTAAAAACATTATTATAATAATGAAAAATATTTCTGCTGAACTTCCGAATAAAAAAATTTAGTAATATTTTGAAAGTCTGAGCTTTATTTAATTCATTTTACTTACCCTTGTATTATAGAACAATTATATTTTTAAAAATGCTTTTATGTCTTCCAAAGAACTTTTTATTTTTAGCAGTCCATGAAATAGAGGTGAGAACAGGTGTTGGTATTCTCATTCTAAATATCTTGTAATATTTAAAGGAAACCAAAGTGAAAGATTAAATTGCCATGTAAGATTGTGTTGCCGGTTACTGGCAGAGCAGACTCTTTGCCAGGACAGCAGTCCAGTGCTTTCTCTTCCAGGCTGTTCTGCTCTTCCTCAATTTTTACAGCATTTTTATGTTAATCAATCAATAAATAAAAAGTAAAGAACTATAATGCATACAAAACTGTGATGGAAGAAAAGGAAACTATGTGATAAAATCAAATAAATATGACCCTTATAGCTTTAGTTTTCTTAGAACAGAGGCCCTTTAACTTCAGAATGTTGAAACCTTCTCTTGAAGTTCTCTTATAATACTCTGCCCTCACCTCTGTGTTTTTATCTGGGCAATTAGACCACATTAACTAATTGCTAAACTTTAAAAAGTTGTATTTTCTTACAAAGAATCTGAGAATAGGGTTGATTTTCTATGTTATTTTAACAGTATCACATTGCGCCCCCCTCTTCACAGGACCATGTAATCTTGACTCTCTAACTTCATGGCAAGCTTTTAATTTTGATTTTCAACCATGTTCCAAACTGTACTCTTTGACTTGGTAGTGTCAATAAATAACGTAAGGGATGTCTGACAGGCTTACAGCCTTTGGCCATAAATGGAATGAAACAAAGTAGTCCAGATAGGGCTCAAACTCATAACATTGACCTCGTTAGTCTAGAACCACAACCAGCTATCCAAATGTGCCTGGGAAATATTTCTTTGAGTAATAGTTAATTTTTTAAAAGAAAGAAAAAAACCTGTGACTATGATAATCTTATGTTGAGTTTCTTTATTCATCTTGAGTAAACAGTAAATTTTTTTCACTTTGTTGTTTCAATACAAAGAGTTCTTGTGTTTAATATAGAATATTATTAAATTAGTGTGGGATTAAAAATATTTAGATAGCTGATTTAACAATATGTGATAGCATTAATCAACTGCCTTGTTATAATTCTTGAAATTGTTATTACTCTACTTGTCAAGCAATTTTGCCCTTCTCGTCAAATGATGCATACCTGTTCAATGGAAGGATTATAAAAGTTCATGCTTCGGAAAATTTTTTTTTTTTTTTTTTTTTTTTTTTTGAGACGGAGTCTCGCTCTGTCGCCCAGGCTGGAGTGCAGTGGCGGGATCTCGGCTCACTGCAAGCTCTGCCTCCCGGGTTCACGCCATTCTCCTGCCTCAGCCTCCCAAGTAGCTGGGACTACAGGCGCCCGCCACTACGCCCGGCTAATTTTTTGTATTTTTAGTAGAGACGGGGTTTCACCGTTTTAGCCGGGATGGTCTCGATCTCCTGACCTCGTGATCCGCCCGCCTCGGCCTCCCAAAGTGCTGGGATTACAGGCGTGAGCCACCGCGCCCGGCCCGGAAAATTTTTTTAAGAGTATAACCAACTCCCCGAGGATACAGGGGTCCAGGGAAGCTAAATGACTGCTTCAAGGTCACCCAGCCAGTGAGTGGGAAAGCTAAAATTAGAACCTCAGTCCGCTCCCACATTTTCCACCAATTTGCAGGCTATCGTTAAAGAATATTTCTTCTGCAATCAGAACATTGAGCAATTTGGAAAAACGTGTACAGTATATCGAATATTCTAGCTTCATTTAAAATTTATGGTTATGTGGCTTGTATAATGTTAAAAGCTTTAATCTAAAATGAATTGCCATGTGGCCAATAACCCCAACATAATACTCATAATGCATATAAATTCTCTAATATTATCATAATTTCTTAAGGGTACAAATTAATTAGTACCTCTTTTCCTGCCCAATAACTTTCCTCACACCCCTTAAAATGGAATTTGAAATGAGATAAACAGTTGCTGCTGCTGAATTAAAGTTTCAAAGAAATAAAAGTGAGGTGGCTTCATATACAAAATCTGTAGTTTTTTTCACAAATTGGATGAAGCAATTGTTATTGACTAAGCCCATATTGGTGCTGCCCTTTTCTCTGTTGAAAAGAAAAGCTTGTGAGTAGTCTCCAAGAGCCATATTATTAAAAATGATGTTTCCTCCCCATGATGGCTGAGATACTAATCCATTGAAATGTGGCGATAATTCTTGTGAGAAAATTCTATGAGTCTATAAGTTTGAAGAATTTAGAAGTGTAAGAGGACAGGGGTTCATTTACTTACAGGCCTTCTTCCAAGTTAGGTTTTATTTTCCTTTTCTCCTAGTCTCTGGAGTCTCCTCTCTCCAGACACCCTGGAAAGCCATTCATGGCCTTTCATATTTAACATAAGAGTATTTAATACTAACACTAACATGTCGAAGGAAGATGTTTAAAGCATGTGAATTAGACTTGATCATATATGTTTCATTGGCACCTGTTTCTCTACTTTTTGGAATAAAATAAAAACGACAAAAACAGCTAAGAATTTTGGATAGTGATGTGGGTGGGAGGGATTGGGGCATTCATCACAACTGAGTTGTTTAATTTATAGTAAGTGGGAACTTTTAGAGTTGAGAGAAGTTTAATTGTAGTTTAGAGTTTCATTATTAGACAGTAGTCTTAAACAATTCCCAAGAAGCTAAAATGTGGGATTAACATTTTACTTTCATTGTAATTCATATCCTAAATATAAATGTTAATATAAATTATAAAGTTTCTGAATTTCCTTTCATAAAACTGGGTTCTTTGGGTTCTTAGTTATTTTGGATGAAACAAGGGGAGGGCTAGTTGGAAATGATGGAACATTTAACCACTGTCACCACAGTTAGTCACAATTGGTACATGCAGAATTAATAAAGCAGCTTGCCTTGTTTTTATTTCTTGTGAGGTCAGATGACAGTGGATGATATTGACTTGGGAAGATGGCCAGAAGCCACTATTTACCATGTACATATATCAGAGAGCCATTTATTAAGTTTGAGGAGATTGGATCTTAAGTACTTAATTAGAATGACATTAATAATTTTAATAAAATGTTTTGCATTGAGAGAACTATTCACTCAGAAATAGCAGGGGTGAACAAAATCATCTCCAAAGAAATCATTTAACATGAAGTTAGTCTAGGATTACCAACCAAGAGCATGGCATTCTCCCATGTATCTGACTTAAAAGCAATACTTGTCTCTTGCCCCATGGTGCCAGGTGGTCTGCCATGCTTCCCTCTTCGTGGCTGCCAGGATTCCCGGTATAGAGGCAAATACAACCTGTAAAGGCTCAAACGCTTCATCAAAAGCCATGACTATAATCCAAAGCTATTAGGTTTAAGCAACTTATTTGGAAATTATCACCTTCAAATAACATGTAGGGCAACCTCAGTAGAGATGAAATGGACGAAGCAGGCATGGAAACTGCCCTTCCTGCCTTAAATACAGAATGCCAGATCACAGCTCTGAATAAAAGTTAAGACCACATTGGGCCAGATCAGGACTAACACTAGATACACAGCTGAGATAAAGTTCCAGTGACTTTGGCAGTGTGAAAGTCAGGACCAGTAGGCACATATACTGAAGGCAATTTAAGCTGTGTTTCCTGATTAAAGCCAGGGACTGAAAAATCACTACCTATTCATGATGAAAGACTAGAAAACTTCTGAAGACCAGACAGAGTTTCAGAGTGGTATAGTTACTAATCTACTAAATACTGCAAATATATAGTATCTGCAAATATATATATAAGGTTGAAAACTAAGCTCAGAAATGAGCATTAAAAACTTTTCCAGATCAAGGGAGTGCTGTACCCCCAAGCTGAGGTTTCATAGGCTACCATCATCCAGGCACTCAGTCTTCCCAAGCAAGTTAATTCCCACCAAAAATGAACACAGTCAAAGATTACAAAACCTAAGCAGAAGTCCATTATCAAGAAACAGTGTCCACAAGTGCAATAAATATAATTTATACCTGAGGAACTATAAATAGTAAAGCAATTGGGTAGGGGCTCTTAACAGACAGATATTCAAAATGTTAAGGAAAATAAAAGAAGAAGTAGACTTCGTAAAATAGGAACAGAGGGCTAAGAAATAAGAACAAGTAGATCTGAAAAAGAAACGAGTAAAAAGCCTAGAAATATTAGTGCCAATTTCTATGGGTCAATGATTTCACAAGTGAATAGCTAACAGTTATTTCCTGTGGCCTTACTTGGCAGAGAGAGGTGGGGGAAGCAACATAGGAGCAGAAACAGTTCCTTTCTAAGTCTGACTTATAAAATAGGAACAATAAAGACAACAGTTTATTGAACAGGATGGTTTATTGAGCTGTCCAGCACTATAAGCAAATGGCTTACAAACATTTTCCTACTCTTTTTGATGCTTGAGAGAGATACTTTGATAGAAGATTATTCCAAAATATAATTACTTGGTCATTTAGTTCTCTCTTTATTATCATAGGAAACTATGGGGAATTTTTTTTTCTTTAGATTGCAAACTAGTTTTAAAAAGAGCTTGTAATGAACAATTTAATTAGATTGGTTTTGGCTTGCCTAAAAGCTTAAGAAGGTATTAATATTCTAATCAAAAGTCTTGGGAAAGCATTCTTAGAATAAAAAAAGGAAAGAAAATCTTCATTCTTATGCTTTAAGAACCAGGAAAGCTGTCAAAGGATATAAGGTAACTCTTACAAAAGCAATTGTAAAATAAACGTGGTTTGGCCACAATGAGCCAACACCTATGTTTGCCACAGACTTAGATTCCCACCTCACTCATGGCAAATTTATTCAGCTGCTTAAGATTATTTTTTACTCATACTTCGAAAGAACAACAGCCTGGAATTTTTAGACTTTTAATGGCAATGGAAGGAACTTACCTATGATAAACATTTTTCTTTACTCTCACGCTTTCTTAACCCATGGCTGTTCTGAGTCAATGTTTGCCTTGCATTCAAAAAATAATAGTAAAGATTCAAGTAAAACATATTCATTAAGCACTATTTGAAAGATATACCAAGTGCTTTAACATTATCTCACTTTATTCCTACAAAGATCATGTGCAATAAATATCACTGTTCATGTTTCCTACAGATGAAAAAAAACTGAGGGTCATGTTCAGAGAAATTGGATGACTTACCCAGAGCCACACAGATTTGTACGTGGCAAAGGAGGATTCCATTTCAAGTCTTTCAACCCCAAATTCATCTTCCTTTCTCTAAGGGGAAATGGTGCTATGGAATTCATGTAAGCCACAGAGCTTGGATAAAAGGAATAGTAAGACCAAAAATAGGAAAAGTAGGAAGAGGTGGATCCTCCTATGTTTTTAATCAGGGTTCTATCTACCTGTAACTCTTCTGGGAAAAGAAGCAGGATGTGACTGAAACATAGCTGCTTTCTAGATCTCACAAATCTGGCTTTTCTAGTCAATCACATCTCTCTCTCCTTCGGCTTCTCACCAAACCAGCATCCGTTCAGCTTCAAAGAAAAAAGAGCCCTACTGTTTCCCACTCATTTATCATCAATCTAAAGTAACTGCCAATCACAAAAGTCCCATCTTTATTTCTTTCCTTAGAAACAAATTTCTCTAGGGAAGCTTATCAGTAGCAGAAGTGCAGACTGGGAAATGGCCTATGTCACCCTCCCATCTAGAAATGCCCAGTGCACATCCAGATCCCACACCCCCAAGAGCGTTGTGCAATATCTGTTAATTTATGAGAGCTGTTTCCCATAGATGATGCTGCAGGCATTAGTAAGGAGGGCAAAGTTCAAGTGATGACACCATCTCTACTCCACCTGGCTGGTTTCCAGGTGCCATCTCCTGATCCCTCTCCCCACCCCCACTGCCCTCTCACCATCCTTCCCCCAAACCCCACACTCCCCACCAATCTGGGTCAGTGATAAACACAGAGTATTCCACATGCCTCTGATATGATGTAACATTCGACACACTAAAGATAATACTGCCTTTAAGGCTCCTGTCCCCCTGGCTAGACTTAAACTGTGTAGAGGAGGAGAACTGTGACTTTATTCCCCTTGCATCCTGGACACCCACACATGGTAGGTGTTCAGTGAATATGTGATGAGTTGGTGAATACCCACTGAATGTGCTATTTGCATTGCTACTTCCTTGTGCTTCCTTCCACTGTTTCTATCGCCTAAAATTCTTCTCCCTTTTTCCTCCACCCTCGAGTAGGAAAAAATTTGTTTCTTTATTGGGCAGGGAGTTCTGGTCATTATACATTTATGTAAAATGTTCTTCTAATTGGCATATTCCATGCTATGTCCAGATTCTTTCAAGCGAATTCTCATTAAGGTAATAATACCTCACCGAAGTTTCCAGGGATGATCCCCTAGCTGTTCAAAGCTACCTTTTATATATTAAATACCAGTCAATATGAATCAATGGTAACTGAAAAAAAGGCTGATAGCTTGTGAAGGAGTTGGAGTACAAAACTATGCCTATAAATTGATCCTCACAAAGGCAGACTTTTTCCCACAGAAATTGTATTATGAATGCTAGTTATAGTTTGAGACTAGTTAATAAAATTCTACTCACTCCAAACATAGGATTAATGGAACCCACATGAGTTGTGTGCTGTCAAAGTCGAGTCAAGAGGAGAGAGAAGGAGAAGAAAATTTCCTCCCTGTTCTCATAGCTCAGGGCACCCAAGGGATTCTAGAGCGTAAAGTGTACTCCCTTCTATTTTTTACTGCCCTTATTCCCAAGCTGAACCAAATATTTACCTCTGCCCTCATTTTCAGTTATGGAGTTCACTCAGGCCCTTTTCAACCTTCGAGGTTCCTTAACCTTTACATTATTAATTCTTTTTCTAAGCAAAATCCAGCTGATCTCTACTAGATGGTTAAAAGGATAGTAAATAGGTAAATTAATCCACATTAAGCCACAAATGACTGCTAGCCCTAACCCTTTAATGACTAATTAATTTTTAATAAAGAATATGTGTCTATATAAATGAATTTATACTTCTAAGTTGGCATAAGTTCAGAAAAAATAGTAAGATGAACTGGAAAATCTACAAGGTATAGGGAAATCCTCTGGGTGAGGAAGAACTAGTCATACCTCCCTAAAAGCCTAGCCCTAGTTTCTGTTACATTATTTCTTCTTTTCATCTTCTGTTTTCTAAACCACAAGTTTCTAAAAGCACCAAGGAATTTTCTACCTGTTTATTTCGTTTTGTTTTTGTTTCTGTTTTTTTGTCCAAGGTGAGGCCCAAGTTGACACTGAGTATTCTCTGTGAAACTCTGCAAGGAGCAACATGTGATTTCACAGAAATTAGTCTCGATACACTATATTCATGGCTGTAAGTTCTATGCTGCTCACCCATTCATTTGTCCATTCAGTCACTCATTCATGAGACATTTATCATCTGCCTCCTGGAACATACCAGGGCCTACACCAGAAAACAAGGAAACAAGTAAACACTAGTAAACTTTAAACAGGCTCTCCCCACAAGCAACTGACAGACCAGTGGAGAAGACAGATATGTCAACAGATGATTACAATAAAGTTTCAAGGCCGGGTGCGGTGGCTCACGCCTGTAATTCCAACATTTTGGGAGGCCAAGGCGGGTGGATCACCCGAAGTCAGGAGTTCAAGAGCAGCCTGGCCAACATGGCAAAACCCCGTCTCTACTAAAAATAAAAAAATTAGCTGGGCATGATGGTACACACTGGTAGTCCCAGCTACTAGGGAAGCTGAGGCATGAGAATCACTTGAACCTGGGAGGTAGAGATCGCAGTGAGCCAAGATCGCACCACTGCACTCCAGCCTGGGCAATACAGTGACACTCTGTCTCAGAAAAAAAAAAAAAAAGTGTCAAACCTACATCCAAAATGTCAAAGTGCTCAAAAAAGTTGGGAAGGCTTCACCAAAGATGTGACATTTAGGGTAGATAACACCTGTTTGTGGATACTAATGTCCTGGTGAGTCAAAGAAGAAAAGGATGTACATTATATAAGCTGGATGCAAAAAGGAACAATAATGAGGACATGCAACCAAAAACTTACATAGGGAGAACAACTTTACTTACTCAGGGAAGGCAAAGAGACCACTTAAGAACTCCTTCACATGTGTTATGTCTTAAAAGCTGACTACTGGAGTTGTATCCCTTGCACAGCATCCCTTTGCACCAAAGTGAACACTACTCTAAGAACATGTGTTCAGCTCTCCTGAATGCCAAGCACAACCATGCTTGGCATGGCAGTGGTGTCTTATTTCTGCTCCTCTTTTTCCCCAGGGCATGCCATTGCAAGAGAATGCTCAGCCATGTTCATCTGGGGACCTGCTCCTGGTAGAGCAATAGGATCTGTGTGCCCAGCACCACTGCCCACCTAGCTGTCCTGGCCTGTGCCCAATGCTGACCTTCACCTCAGAGTGTGGCTGTACCACATTCGGTGATGTCACTCTCACTGAACCTTCAGCCTCCTTCCTGGGACTTCCTGATGGACTGTTATCCAGGGCAGAATGTGTTGATTTTCTAAATCACATAAATGAATAGCTTGACTGTTGATTATGTAGAAAATCAGAGCAAATATTTGCATGGCTTTGTGCAGCCCATTCTTGAGCATCTGATTCTCCCCAGAATTCTAAAAAACCTGCTGCTTTCTCAAGCCCTCAGTAAAGACATGCTTTCTTGATAATCCTAGCCAAACCTATTCATTTGACATCTTTGTTACACAAATGGTTAACCACAGAGTTAACTTCAGAAATGGCTGGCAGGTATGAAGGTTAGAAGATTCATGCACTTTTGCTAGACTGAATTGGAAGTTAAAGAGTAAGTAGTTACTGACTGCAGAGGCCTGGAAAACCATGGAAAAAATCCTATTCCTCAAAGTCGAGCCCTACCTCCTACGCCTCTTAAATCAATTGCCACAGTGACCAATTTGTCAGTCACCTAAAGGCAGCTATCCTGACCACTTAAGGGAGAATACTTATAATCTTTATACCTAAGTAAAGATTGTGAGAGGAAAGAAATGGTTTAAAGAATATGAATGTGTCACACTTCTGAGGTTAATGATAAATGAATTGGTCCTGCTTACCTCAGGAAAAACTTTCAAGTCTTTCTGAAAAACTAATTTAATTCAGTAGTATTTTCTAAGATTTAGGTTATGTTTTTAATCAATTTGGAAACCAAGATTTACTTATAGAAAAAAAGGAAAAGGACCTAGATAGGTTTATTCACATAGAATCCCAATTTCACTTCTCTGGATGATACCATTTTCTACAAAAGCAATTATGTTCTAAAATTTAAGTGTGCTTTCTTAGGCTTTATCAGTTCACAGTGTTTCCTTAAGAAATATGATCCAGTATTTTTTCCTAAGACTAAAGTTGAGTTACTACGTTTATGACTGAGAAATGAATGTTTGTTAGTTTGTTTGTTTACAATAAGAATTTTTTCTTTACCATTTTATTTTTATTTTCCCCAGGTGTATTTGATATAGTGTTTGCAACAAATTCGACCCAGGTGATCAAAATGATTCTCAACTCTTCTACTGAAGATGGTATTAAAAGAATCCAAGATGATTGTCCCAAAGCTGGAAGGCATAATTACATATTTGTCATGATTCCTACTTTATACAGTATCATCTTTGTGGTGGGAATATTTGGAAACAGCTTGGTGGTGATAGTCATTTACTTTTATATGAAGCTGAAGACTGTGGCCAGTGTTTTTCTTTTGAATTTAGCACTGGCTGACTTATGCTTTTTACTGACTTTGCCACTATGGGCTGTCTACACAGCTATGGAATACCGCTGGCCCTTTGGCAATTACCTATGTAAGATTGCTTCAGCCAGCGTCAGTTTCAACCTGTACGCTAGTGTGTTTCTACTCACGTGTCTCAGCATTGATCGATACCTGGCTATTGTTCACCCAATGAAGTCCCGCCTTCGACGCACAATGCTTGTAGCCAAAGTCACCTGCATCATCATTTGGCTGCTGGCAGGCTTGGCCAGTTTGCCAGCTATAATCCATCGAAATGTATTTTTCATTGAGAACACCAATATTACAGTTTGTGCTTTCCATTATGAGTCCCAAAATTCAACCCTCCCGATAGGGCTGGGCCTGACCAAAAATATACTGGGTTTCCTGTTTCCTTTTCTGATCATTCTTACAAGTTATACTCTTATTTGGAAGGCCCTAAAGAAGGCTTATGAAATTCAGAAGAACAAACCAAGAAATGATGATATTTTTAAGATAATTATGGCAATTGTGCTTTTCTTTTTCTTTTCCTGGATTCCCCACCAAATATTCACTTTTCTGGATGTATTGATTCAACTAGGCATCATACGTGACTGTAGAATTGCAGATATTGTGGACACGGCCATGCCTATCACCATTTGTATAGCTTATTTTAACAATTGCCTGAATCCTCTTTTTTATGGCTTTCTGGGGAAAAAATTTAAAAGATATTTTCTCCAGCTTCTAAAATATATTCCCCCAAAAGCCAAATCCCACTCAAACCTTTCAACAAAAATGAGCACGCTTTCCTACCGCCCCTCAGATAATGTAAGCTCATCCACCAAGAAGCCTGCACCATGTTTTGAGGTTGAGTGACATGTTCGAAACCTGTCCATAAAGTAATTTTGTGAAAGAAGGAGCAAGAGAACATTCCTCTGCAGCACTTCACTACCAAATGAGCATTAGCTACTTTTCAGAATTGAAGGAGAAAATGCATTATGTGGACTGAACCGACTTTTCTAAAGCTCTGAACAAAAGCTTTTCTTTCCTTTTGCAACAAGACAAAGCAAAGCCACATTTTGCATTAGACAGATGACGGCTGCTCGAAGAACAATGTCAGAAACTCGATGAATGTGTTGATTTGAGAAATTTTACTGACAGAAATGCAATCTCCCTAGCCTGCTTTTGTCCTGTTATTTTTTATTTCCACATAAAGGTATTTAGAATATATTAAATCGTTAGAGGAGCAACAGGAGATGAGAGTTCCAGATTGTTCTGTCCAGTTTCCAAAGGGCAGTAAAGTTTTCGTGCCGGTTTTCAGCTATTAGCAACTGTGCTACACTTGCACCTGGTACTGCACATTTTGTACAAAGATATGCTAAGCAGTAGTCGTCAAGTTGCAGATCTTTTTGTGAAATTCAACCTGTGTCTTATAGGTTTCCACTGCCAAAACAATGCCCGTAAGATGGCTTATTTGTATAATGGTGTTACTAAAGTCACATATAAAAGTTAAACTACTTGTAAAGGTGCTGCACTGGTCCCAAGTAGTAGTGTCTTCCTAGTATATTAGTTTGATTTAATATCTGAGAAGTGTATATAGTTTGTGGTAAAAAGATTATATATCATAAAGTATGCCTTCCTGTTTAAAAAAAGTATATATTCTACACATATATGTATATGTATATCTATATCTCTAAACTGCTGTTAATTGATTAAAATCTGGCAAAGTTATATTTACTTTAAAATAAAATAATTTTATTGCAATGTATTTATCTTCATTACTTAAAATAGATGCTAATTTATTTTAAAATAAGACTACCTTGAATGAGTATGAATATATTTTTATTTAAATTTTGATACAACTGATAGTTTAATACTATTGGTTATAGATTTTTTATCCTGACATTGAAAAGTTAAAGAAAAAACATTTTGTTCTACTGCATGTCATGGAATAAACACATCGTTTTGAATTTTTCAGTTTTTCACATAACAAAGAAAAAAATTAACTCTTGCTATAATGCTAGAATAATACATTATTTTACAAGTAATTTAATAACAGAATTTTTCTAATTGTATACATTATCATTGTAGGAAAGTTAGAAGATATAGAATAACATAAAAATAAAAGTCATGTTTAGCTTCCCCGGTCAAAAATCATTATTTTAACATTTGGGAACTTTATTTTCTACTTTTTTCATTCATTATACACACATATATGTGTCAATCCTGATACTGAAGTCATGATGTGTATAGTACTTTGTATACAGATCTTTCACTTAATGTCATAGCATAGTAGTTTCCTACCCAATTAAATATTTTTCTAAAACATTTTAATATTTGTATAATACTACAAAATATGGACATACGCTGATATAGTTAACTAGTCACCAAATTGGAAAATTGAGCTTTTTCTGATTTTTTTAGTATCATAAATTACACTGAGATGAGCATTCAAGTATGTGAATCTGAGAAATTTCCCATACTCCTAGAAGTGGTGCAACTGAAATACACGTATGAACATTTTTTAATAGTCTAACTACCTGTTATCAAATATTTCCCAGAAAACATAACAATTTACAATACCACCAACTAGGTATGAATATATATCACCATAACCTCAGAATGGGGTATTTACTAAATTTTTTTTTTTTCAGACAGGGTCTCACTCTGTCCCCCAGGCTGGAGTGCAGTGGTGTGATCTCGGCTCACTGCAACCTCCCACTGCTAGATTCAGGCAATCCTCCCACCTCAGCCTCCTGAATAGCTGGGACTACAGGCCTGCTCCACCACTCTTGGCTAATATTTTTTACTTTTTTACAGAGATGGAGGTCTCACTATACTCCCTAAGCTGGTCTCAAAACTCCTGGCCTCAAGTGTTCTTCCCACCTTGGCCTCCTAAAATGCTGGAATTACAGGCATGAGCCACCACACCCAGCCTAAATTTAAGCAGAAAAGAAAGATTTACCGTAAGGATCCAGCTGCCACATGCAAGGGCCAGGATGCAACTGTGCCTGAAAATTGTACTTTTAACATTTCTGCTCCCATCGGACAGTTGCTTCATTCTTCTATTTAAAGGATTTCAGTGCTTCTGAAGTTCATACAGGGCAGACCGAAGTGCTCATTCTGGTCAAATAAACTGTGGCCAAAGGGTTGGAGTTATGCGTAAAATAATTGATGGTTGCTGTGGGCAAGGGGGTGTCATCTCAGAGAGAGGCCTTGGCCACTGGGCAGAATTTCCACAAAGCAGACTATATTACCTTCACATTCCCAAATATAAAGTTTTTGTGAACAAATATGGTTCCATATGCCTTATAATATTTATATTATTTTTATATTATTTTTAATTTCATTAATGTAATGCCAGCCACTCACCCCAAAGGTCTTCTACTATTTTCACAAAGGATCACCTCAAAAAAATAAATTTTACCTTATCCCAAGTGATAGCATAAATATCCTATATAAAATCCCTCCAGGCCTCCAGGTCAGCTTTATAACTGTTTTTTTTTTTTTTCAGTAGTTGAGGATTTTTTGTGTGTGTTTGTTTTTGTTGTTGTTTTGTTCTGTTCTGTTCTGTTCTGTTTTGTTTTGTTTTGTTTTTTGAGACAGAGTCTCGTTCTGTTGCCCAGTCTGGAGTGCAGTAGTGTGATCTCAGTCCACTGCAACCTCCGCCTCCCAGGTTCAAGCGATTTTCCTGCCTCAGCCTCCCAAGTAACTGGGATTACAGGCACGCATCACCACACCTGGCTAATTTTGTATTTTTAGTAGAGATGGGTTTTCACTAGGTTGGCCAGGCTGGTCTTAAACTCCTGACTTCAGGTGATCTGCCCGCCTCAGCCTCCCAAAATGCTGGGATTACAGGTGTGAGCCACCATGCCCTACTCAATAGTCATTTTAATCCAAGTGATTGTAAGCATTTTAAACTTGCTGAACTATTTCATAGGTTATAGTTGGCAAGATTTCTGATAGATAATTGTATTTAGATATCCCCTATATCATGTATTTATTAATGGTGTTAATAACATGTTCCATTCATCAAATTATATTGGGATTTTACCCCATCTCACTTGTGAAATAGATGTTACTAACCTTGATGATTATTCTTTCTTTTTCAGTGAGATCAACATAATCTTGGAGTTGAGACCCTACTTACCAAAATGTTAGGATAGGATGCCATTATGTATTCTTCATGAAAATATTTACAGGTTAGGTAGACTCCTTATTTTTGGTACATTTAAAAAATACATACAGAAAAGAATATTTACCATAGAGATCTAGGTGCCCAACAGAATGCAAAAGCTACATTTATATTGAAATATATATTTCAATATACACCCATTTACACCCATTTCTGAGGTGTAAATTTCAATATACACAATATTAAAATTTACCTCATTCTAAGCTTTTGGGGAAAAAAAGGCTAGTCATTTCTAATGCTGGCTCTTTCTCATTGTGGAAATTCATCTTTTTGGACATCAGTTACATCATTTTTCAAGTATGGTGAGTTGGCTTGGTGAAAGAAGGCTTTTATATTTTATATTTTATTTTATTTTATTTTATTTTTGAGATGGAGTTTCACTCTTGTTGCCCAGGCTGGAGTGCAATGGCATGATCTAGGCTCACTGCAACCTCCACCTCCTGGGTTCAAGCAATTCTCCTGCTTCAGCCTCCCATGTAGCTGGGATTACAGGTGCCTGCCACCACACCCAGCTAACTTTTTGTATTTTTAGTAGAGAGGGTTTCATCATATTGGCCAGGCTGGTCTCGAACTCCTGACCTCAGGTGATCCATCTGCCTCGGCCTCCCAAAGTGCCGGGATTATAGGCGTGAGCCACCGCGCCCAGCGTGAAGGCTTCTATTTAGTTAATAATTCACTCATTCATGGATTTAATAAGTGTTGTATTGTTTCCCTACTCTGTGCTGGGTAACAAGTGCTGTGTAACATATAGCAGCTTAGCATGTAGGATAAACTTGTTGCTCAGCTGCTGTGAGCAGTGTGAAGGAGAGCCAAGTGAGAAGCAGCTTGATTGCAAATCACAGAAAGGCTCTCAGAGTTTTGATACCACAGGTTTTTCAGTTTCATAACTCTGTATACTGGTGCATTTTTTTCCAACAATATGTGCCAATCTAGGAAGCCCAAGAAGAGAAAATAGATTGAAGCAGGTCACAAAAGTGTGAATGAAGAAAACAAGTTTCAAGGAATTTCGGATACTTGGTATGAAGAGTGAGATATCTGAGGGTAAAGAAAGTAAATCAAGAGTAAGAGAGATACAGAGAGACTGAGTGGACAGGAGGCTGGAAGCAGTCACACACTGCCCCCAAGGCCAGGGTTCAGACCTCACAGGAGAGATACATACAGTCAGGGCCCCAGGACCATGTTGGATCCACTGGACCCAGACCAACCAGAGGAAGAGGGAACCCAAATATTAGGGTGGGAAGCAAGTCATAAACAGTAGACAGAATGGTATGGGGCAAGCCCTTAACCATATGGATTTTATATAGTTCAGGCTGTATGACTGTATATTGGAGCTAATCAGAGAGTCAAATTTTCCAAATTCAAAATCTTGACTGAGTCAGTTAACATATGACATCTGTAACTATATCCAGTCTTGTCTACTTGTGTAGTGAACACTCATGGAACCATCTGAACAGTGTCCATTCTCCCCTCATCGCAGGAATAGTTCTGCCCCACTCAGGGACAGCACCACCTCAGAATGAACCATTTTCCTACCTAACTCCATCCCCAGGCCACAGTTAATTGGTCCAGGCTTGAAGTGGACCAATCACAGTTTTTCATGAGGATTTTTCAAACAGGCGCTGATGAAGAGCTGGCCCCAGTGTTGGCATTTCTGAGACGTAAGCTCAACACCAGCCACATCTCTCACCACGTGGAAGAAGCTAGTCTGCAACAGAGTGAAGTAAACAGAAAAGGCAAGAGAGCCCTGAAGGTGCTTGAGTCCTTGATTCTACCTGCGTCTTATGTCCAGCTAAATCCCTGCCCACTCCTCTCTAATCAAGGGACCAGAATACAGTGATCTATAGCTAAGATCTGCAAGTGTTTCTTCCCGCTTATGATCAATAAGAATTTCCCTTTTGTAGTGTCCAGCACATCATCCATTGGCCACCCAGCAGAAGTGATACCGTCTACATCCCAAAACTTATTGGTCCCTATCTTAATAAGGGGTCACAAGTGCTACCCCACTTCCATATGTCTCCTTGTGAGATGGTAACAGCCAGGACATTCAATAGTGTGTGTTAAGGGGGAAGAGGTGTGGAGATATAGACGTACCAATAGTGAGAGGGGGCTGAGGCTACTACACTATCTACTATTGCAAATTATTGTAAACTGAAGTCTCTCCCTGAGATGGCACAGGGGTAAAATACACTTCTGTTGCATGAGCAATTATAAAAAATATGATTTAGACCATGAAATCATAAGCAGAGAGAGGAAATTAGTGCTCCTCACCACTTGAGGGCCCAAATGCATGGCTTGCATGTTGCCTGGGCTCTCTTTACTTGACAGTGACCTGGGAGTTCTCTGGGTATCATAGAGCCAGTGAGCACAGCATCCAAACCTGCCGAAATCCAATGGAAAAGGCCTTCATTTACCAAGCTAACACAACTTACATGAGAAATTATATAACTGAAGTTGAAAAGATGCATTTCAGCAATCAGGAAGAGCCAGAATTAGAAATCAGACTGTTTTTTTTTTCCAGAAGCTGAGAATAAGAGAAGTTAGCTTTAGTAATATTTAATTCTAAATCATTCCTATACTAGGAAGCTTTGTATAATAATCCTTTAAGAGTTTAAAGACCATGAGATTTACCCTTCAAGCAGTGTAATAGGAAAATATTTATCTATATGCACAAGAGACGTAAATTTGATGAAAAAATGATGTTAATTTTAAAACTATTAAAAGCCAGTTTGCTATTATGATTATTTTGCTTCAAGTATCCAAATGATGATGAGCCAAATATGCCCCTGAGCCCAGTTCTTGATTCATTCCACGTCCTATAAAGATTCTTTAGAAAAATTGAACAAGATGAGAAATAGGGATCCTGGCTCAACCTCCCAGTGAGTTGGGATTTATCTCATGGAACTTTTTCCCAAGCTTGATGAAGTTCTGCTGTGCCATATGGACATGTACAGTTGCTAAATGATAATTTTCCAAAAATAAGCTTCAATTCTCCAAAATGGCAGATAGAAAGCAGCTGGTGTTACTCAACAGAGATAAGCCTCCTAGAGCTCACCACAGAGAGGAGAGCATCATGTCTGCAGATGCCACAGCAGATCTGCTGAGAATCAGCCAGCGCCATGTGACACAAGAACCCACAGATGCGGATTCGTCCTGACTGGTGGCTTTCTTCTGGCCATTGCTGTTACAGAGAAGTTTCTAAGCAGTACTCAATGCACACAAAACTAAGTAGAGGCTATATAGGCAATTCTTCAAATAAGCAATCATTATTCTCAGTAATTCTTGTAGTAAGTGGATGGTAGGAGGAAAAAAAAAATACCTTTCCACTGATGATATCACCTTTATAGCTATTTCTTGAGTCTCCCTATCTTTTCCACCTTCTTCAAGAAATAGTCCCCTATTACAATTTGCATGCCCACTCTTGCTGCAGAATTTGTATAGGGGCTCAACTCTCATTATTGCCAACTATATGATTTGGACCATGGATGTGAGAAGACTTCAGCAAATCAATCCATCACATTCCTCTGGCTGCAATGAGTTGGGCACATAACCTAAATGAACACAATTATGGTGAATTTCCTGGTTTTGCCAGGAGCTATCAGACAAAAAGCTTGTTCTTTCCCACTCTATAGTGGATGTGAGGAGTTGTTGTAGCCATTTGTCACTCCAAAGGAGAGGTGGTGTTTCCAGAAGTTGTCACAGTGTGTACTTATACCATAAGTATGGAGCCAACATAGTGAAAGACTGGACAAAGAATGGAAATGAATCAAGTCCTTATGACATCATTGGAGAGTTGACTTTTTGTGCTAGAAATTTGCACTGTCCTCCAGATCTCCCTATCTTAAGCAGTTGGGGATGGGTTTTCTGTCAAAATTATCCACGAGAATTTAATCTTCTGCAAAATTATTATAGTTATCATTTATTGAGTTCTGATTATAGGACAGGCATAGAATTCTCTGCTTATATGCATTATATTATTTAATCCTCACAACACCCAGTCATGCTATTTCTGTTATTATCCTATGAGACAAAAAAAAAAAACACAGATTTTACATAATCAGTCCAATGTAACATGACTGGTAAATGTTGGTGTTGACATTTGAAATCAGGCATTCTGACTCCAGAATCTGTGCTCTTATTTGCTAAGCTATGTTGCTTTCCTCTGCTCCTCACCTCTCCCCTGACCCCCCAAAAATGGCATTACAAAATATGAGTCATGTAGGTACTTTCCAATATATTATCCAAGCCTATTTATTCAAAATCAATACAGTAATATTTTACTTTGTCTGAAACCGATCTCACTGGATTTCAAGATAGAATTTTAATAGTCTTTGTCCTTGAAAATTGGGCTCACTAATGGAAAGCACTAATTGACCTTAAAAAGCATAACACTGGATTTTACATTTATTGTAATGTGATTTTGGATGAGCTTATATTGGGTCTAGCAAATAAACAGGCTACAACTGTTAACTGTCATAGTAATTAGTTAAATGCTCTGGTCCTTTCTGCAGCCAGGAATTTAGATAGCACTTACTAAATGGGAGGGGAAAGGAAATTCCTAAATTTATTTTCATATCAAAGTTTTAACTTCTTACAGCCTAACAGAATGATGTTCTTTAAAATATATATGTTTTAAAGAAACTACATTATATTCTGAGAAAAATTTCCTTTTAAGGTGTGCAGTACAGGTTTGGCAACAGATTTTGGTGAAGAATAGAACTGGAATAATTAAAAGTATGACTTATTTCAACTGTGCACAGAGACCCAGAGGATAAAGATGTTATGATCATACCATGAGTCCTAAGGACAGTTGTAGCAGCATCATTGAAAACTACCTCAACATGGATGCTATTTAAGACCTTGAGAGGTAAGGAGAGAGTTGCAACAGAAAAGATAAAATATGCTTACTGCTTCACCTTTTGCTTCTGGCTGCAGAACAAGTAGAAAGGAGCAATTACACCCAAAACGTTAAAAAAAAAAAAAAAGCAATTAGGCTAAAGGCTGAGGAAATGATCATAACATGATGGAAGTTCCAGCAGCCAAGATGAATCAGAAAGTAGCTATGTAGCCTATCATGATAGGAAAGCTGGGCATAGACATAGATCAGTGTTTTCCAACCAAGTGTGGGCCAGGAGTGGTGGCTCACGCCTGTAATCCCAGCTACTCATGAGGCTGAGGCAGGAGAATCACTTGAACCTGTTAGATGGAGGTTGCAGTTAGCCAAGACTGTGCCACTGCACTCCAGCCTGGGCGACAGACCAAGACTCAGTCTCAAAAAAAAAAAAAAAAAAAAAAAAACCCCAAAAATGGAAAACCAACCAAGTGTGATTGGCCAAATCCCCAGGGGACATTTGGCCATGTCTGGAATCACTTTTGGTTGTCGCAACTTGAAAGAGGAGAGTGCCACTGGCACTTAGTAGGTAGAGGCCAGGGATGCTGCCAAACATCCTGCAATGCACAGAACAGTCCCACACAACAAAGAACTATCTGGTACAAAATATCAATTGTGCCAAGGCTGAGGTCCCTGGGGTAGATGAGGAAGGGAAGAGCACCATGTGAATGCTGCAGTAAATTGTGCTAAATAATGAAGTGCCAGTCTCCCAGTTCTTATAACCTCTAAAGTGTCTCTCCCTCTCTCTTTTTCCTGTGCTCACACTCACTTTCTCAGATTGCATTACATGTGAACTTCATCCAAATGACCTAATTCATGGGGAAATTGTGTTAAAAAAAATTGGGGGGGCAGGCAGTGTCATTTCTGGGGCTAAGTAGACAAGTCTATTAAGCTTCTGCAAAAAAAAAAAAAAAAAGTTTATTCACTCATTAACGTTAGGAACAAAGGCAGCTGGTAGCATGGGATAAACCTAAAGGGTTATAACCCACTTCCATGGGAGACAAAATGAAGGTGTGGGTTCCAGTGGGAAACTAATCCTCAGAGAAGACACTAAGTGCAGAAATAAAACATGTAAGCATGTGGTGCTGCTGGCTGCTCCACCAGGACACTCTACAGTATCTTAGCATTTGCTATGAGTCTGATGAAAATTTTTATTGAACAAAATCAAAGGTGTATTTTATTTTTACTCTAAATATTTCCATAGGGGATTTGAGTGGCTTTCAATGAAAAGCACATTAAAACAGGGTAATATAAAAGAAACCAGACAGATGAATCACAAAAAGGAAGAAGCAAAACCATTGACTGTACAGACAAAAAGGTGTTGTGACAGATAAGAATATTGGGTTCACAACTTCTTGCAGCCAGGTTGAAAAGGCATCACTAAAACTCCAGTTCTTTTTATCAAAACAAGTGCAGAACAGGTCCCCATATGGAGCAGTCTTTTCGACATTGAATTCCTAAGGAAATTTCTCACGTTGGACTGTGGATAGAGACATAGAGTCACAGAGGGATCGTTTGTAAGCATCATTTTTTATTTCAGCCTGATTCTTAGTTGGTTGTTCTCGGAATGTTCTTCTTAAAACCCAAGAGCATGACACCAATTCAATGAAGCTTGGTGATGTAAGGGTATCCAGCACTGTGAGATAAGAGTCACCCAATGGTGTACTTGACAGGCACAGCAATGTCCTTATGATGTCAATGGGGACCTCTGGGTCCACTGAAACCTTAGATAAGATAGGCTTAGACTCCCTGAAACAGTGCAAGATCTCCAGAAATTTCCACAGAAGCCTGAGGAGCTTATGTGTTCGTGGTCTCCTTTAGTTTTTGCCATCTGCTTTTCCAGTTCAGTTTAGAGATTATGATCTCACTACTCCACACTGTAAGATGCCATATTATTCCATGGCTGTAAGATGCCGTATTCCATGTGAAACAGCTCCAATTACACACACACACACACACACACACACTCAACAGCACACTAACATGCTATGTCATTAGGGATTACCTTTGATTCAAAAAGTCCTTTGTCCCTTGGAACATTTCTCCTCTGGACTCCATGCAGTCCCAGACTTCACTCCATCTCACAGATCATTCCCTTCCTTCTCTGCATCCTTTCCTTTTTTATCACCAACTCCCTTGAAGAAGTAAATCCACTTTGTATTTCCTCACCCCTAGCACCCTAGCCATTCGTCTCATTAACTACTCCCTTCTGAATGTCACACATCCTTTCTTTCCTGCAAAGTTTCCTCTTCTCCCACAAACAGACTTTCAGGATATTTTCTTAGAGAAATTCCAGGCCACACTATGCAGATAATGAATTCTTCACCTCGTCACTATCAATCCAATGGTTCTCAAATAGTAGTACCCAGTGCTAATGGTGGGAAGCAAAAAATTCCTCAAGGAATGAAGTGTCTTCATATTTTGATTTATTAAGAATCCTTGCTCCATCAAACCCCATGTTTTCCTGCCTATCTGATGCATCACCTCCTGCTGCTTCTATTTGACAGGGACGACCCAATGGTTCACGTGTGGCAGGGCCCCTGTGCCCTGTGTGAGCATTCACCCTGAAGGCATGCTCATGGGGCTCATCCAATGGATGTTTTTAAGTCCAACAACCTTCTCAACTTTTTTCTTATCAAATTCAATTAACACATCACTGGACTTAGTTTTTATGTTCTCATATCCACAGATTTTGTAAAATTTAAAACAATATCTTCATTGTAAAATGTAAATCATTATGTGCTTAATACATATAATTACACATTCTAAATAACCACTTTCTCTATTTACACATACAGGCGTAAAAATTGTCAATGTTATTCATATAACCACGCATTTTTTAAAACTACTGGGGGTAGGTGACTAATTTTACAGATATTAAAAATTAACTTTTGTTCCTTTGAACTATATGTTATGTATAAAATTTCGGTGCCACCAAAGAAATAGCACTTGAATATAAAATTTTCTTTTTAATTCTCAGCAAGGCAAGTTACTTCTATAGAAGGGTGAGCCCTTACAGATGGAGCAATGGTGAGCGCACATCTGGACAAGGGAGGAAAAGGGATTCTTATCCCTGACGCACATGGCCCCTGCTGCTGTGTTGTTCCCCTGTTGGCTAGGGTTAGACTGCACAGGCTAAACTAATTCCGATTAGCTAATTTAAAGAGAGTGATGGGGTGAGTGCTTTGGCAGGAAAAAAATGGTTATGCAGGGTGGAGAATAATGAGTCAGGGTGGAGCAGGTGATTGGAATGAGTCTGGGTGGAGCAGGTGATTGGAATGAGTCAGGGTGGAGTAGGTAATCGGAATGAATCAGGGTGGAGTAGGTAATAGAAAAAGGTTACTTTACGAGGAAGTTAAGTTTAAAAGTAGAAGGCAAAGAATTGAACATACTGACATATTAATTCTTTGAAGAGAAATTCAGAATTCATATTTAACGTATATGTTATTTTTATAACTTCTAATAGTAACAGCCATATCCAGATGTTGTTAGAAGCAATAATGTAAAGGATGCAATCCACACCCTGTGCTTATCTAGATTTTTTTTTACTTAAGAATATCAAAAACTTGCATCAAAAAGTATATTTTTCTGATGAGAGCCCAGAACCCGCTCTTTAGATGAGAGAACCCAGTATTGCTCCCCCTTATTTTCCCTCTCCGTATTCAATGCCTTCCAGAAAAGTTATGACTCCAAATTAAATTTGAAATTATTCTCTGAATCCTTTTTCCAAAAAGTCCTTGTTATTTTCTTATTCAAGATATAAACCCAAGGTGTTCTACTTCAAGAAAAGAGATCTGTAATTTTTTTTTTTTTTTTTTACCTGAACCCAGCACCATGATCTGGTGACTATATTGGGAAGGATTCTGGAATATTGCTCTAAGCAAATTCAGGAGTAAGTATAGGATATACTACCTACACGCATTTGGGGCTCATTCCAAAGGTTGCCTGGAGAAAAACACCAGGTTAGAATTATGTAAATAACTAACACCTGGAGTCTTCTGCCACTCTCATTAGATCCAGGTAAAACTGCTGTGACTCCACCTCATCAACCCTAAAATCCATAAAGGTCTGGCCGGGCGCGGTGGCTCACACCTGTAATTCCCAGCACTTTGGGAGGCCGAGGCGGGTGGATCATGAGGTCAGGAGATCGAGACCATCCTGGCTAACACGGTGAAACCCCGTATCTACTAAAGAAATACAAAAAAATTAGCCGGGCGTGGTAGCAGGCGCCTGTAGTCCCAGCTACTCGGGAGGCTGAGGCAGGAGAATGGCGTGAACCCAGGAGGCGGAGCTTGCAGTAAGCCGAGATCGCACCACTGCACTCCAGCCTGGGCGACAGAGTGAGACTCCGTCTCAAAAAAAAAAAAAAAGTCTGGGTCTTTTCCCCTAGATCTCTGCAAATCCTGAGGGGACCTCCAGGTTTCACAGATGGAGTTCCCCTTGATGCTCCCAGGATCAACATCTGGGGGAGAATAAAGGAAACGGGACTGGGAAGAGGATGACTTTGGCCTGCGAGGAGATGATCTCAACGCAGGTCTGAGACAATCCCACAGGGAGTTCTGGGGCGGAATGGCCGTGCACAGTTACACCAGGTTGGGGTGTAACCACTATACCTTTATAATAGAGCTGATCTTTCTACCCCCACATTGACCAGTCTGTGGATGTGGTCTGCCCTCAGGAACGCATTCCACCAAGATAGCTCTCTCCAGCAGAGGACAACTGTCCTGATAAGGAAACTGGGCTCTCAGCTGTGGGCCACAAATCCTCCCAGCCCCTGAGGGATGAGTGTCTCAGCACTGAAAAAAGGATCTGGGCAGAGCCCTGTGGTGTCCACCCCACAGCCTGGAGGAGCGCTTAGCTCCTCCGCCACCTCCTCTTTTTCCCCTTCTCCTTTCTTCTCCTGCTCCCCCATGGGCTCCTCCTTTAGCACAAACTGCTTCCATTCTACACCACATCGCCCTGGGGCAAAACACAGCTCTTTCTTCACTGTGCCTAAGAAACCCACTCACATCAAGTGCTTTTGTGTTTCATTCAATCTCCTCAAAAGGGGAGGAAGGTGTGCCGCATCCTGGAGTGTGGAGCCCTCTCTCGTTTCCCTAGCATCATACTCTTCCCCTCCTCCTTTCTATTCCTCCTCTCCATTCTGGATGCTGGAAGAATCTCCAAATTTCTTCTTAAGCAAGGTGAAAAAATGAGTTGGCTTTCCCCAGATTTTTTTTCCAAATCCTGAAAACCTACATAGCCCACAAGAAAAAGAACACAAGACTTTCCTATAAAAGAATTCACCTTTCATAGAAAACACTTGAAATTTAAAGTGCTGGAGTGATATTCCTGTTTCCTATAGATTGAAAAAAGAGACAGGGGGCTTCAAATAATCATAATCCAAATATTTTTTGAGGCCCCAAGCAATTCTTTTTTCCTATTGTGAAAAATTGTCAAGTCATGAAAACATAAGCACACAATCAGTATTGTTTCATGACCAAACTTGTCATGAAGTTATCCTGACCTAAATACATACTCAGATCATTCATTTTAACTTTCTATGTACAAACCTGAACAAAAGGAAGATCCATCTATCTGTCTTCTGTATTGACACAACTGGCTCTCTTAAAACTCTCTCCTCCCTAGCCTTCATGGATACTACACTATTCCGGATTTCTGCCAACATTCAGCCCACTCACATCTCCCCTTGTTTTGTACCTCTTCTGTCTCCTGTTTACCTGATGTAGGTGAGTACCAACACTAAGGAAGGAAGAAAAGGTATGTAGCTTAAACCCTCCCTGACTAAACAGCCTGGTGAAGACACTCCTGCCATCAATGGTTGACTCAAGTGCCACCCAGACTGTTGGCACTCGACACTGAGTTCTTCCCTCATCCCCTGCCCTCACTGACACTGCTGGACCGAGAGACCTGAGGGTAGGTTTATGGTGACAGCCCCAGAATTTTCCCCAAAACCTGCTGGCTTTTTTGCAGCACCAATTCCATGTTCAGCTGCTGGGCAACCAAAAAATAACAAACGAGCTCTCCAAAACACATTTGTTACCAAGAAGGAAAGGACAAGTTAAAAAATGATAATGATGAGAGTGCATTCTGGACACAATGGGAAAGTCATGACAGTTGCTGTTGGTGTCAGCCTACTGCCTGCCTCTGCATTGGGCTCCTGGCCTTCCTTCCTGTGGCCTCTTTCCCCACATCTCTTCACTAACCAAAGAGGTAACTCTTGGCTAATCTCTTACTTACCACAAAACTTAATTTCATAAATCTTCCCCCCCGTCTCTTACTTACCATAAAACTTAATTTCATAAATCTTCCCCCCGTCTCTTATCAAGTCAGATTTCAGTTACGTCAAAAGGCTCAAATAAACCTTCATATGTTATAAATTTTAGGAAAAGAAAAGTCCTGGGTAAGGTCTTCTCCAACCCCCTTATTTTACAGATGAAGTAAAATAAGTCCAATAAGACACCAAGTCCCCAGTAGGTGAGCCCAGGCATAGAGGAAGGTTTTCTGCTTTAACACAGGACAACGCTTTAAGAGCAACAGACCTTTAGAAATAGAATCCCAACTCTTAAATATCAGACAGAGAGGAGAGAACTTTGGAGCAGAAGATATTTCTAGGGCTCTTAAAATCACACCTTAGGCCAGCCCTGAGAATAGAAAAAGGCAATTAAAAAAAATGACAAATCACCCCCACCCAGGGGATCTGAAAAAGGGGAAAAGGGGAAGGTAGATTTGCAAGTAATTAGGAAGGAGAGGCTTAAAGGTTCATGCAGAAGCCGCTGTAATAAGCCATCCCAGCTCAATAGCAGCTTGTCCTATTTAATTCTTCACAGTGACAATGCCTACTTGCCCCCAGGGGTTACACCTTCCAGCTAGAGAGACACTGAGCAAAGCAAAGGGCCTGTGGCAGCGAGGAATCCAGTCTGCTTCTACCGCAGTGCTTCCCAAACTCTAAAAGCATTCAATACACTTCACCTGGGAATCTTGTGAGGCTGCTGATTCCGCTAGTAGGTCTAGGACAGAGCCTAAGAGTGTGTATTTCTTACAAGCTGCCAGGAGATTCTCTTGTTGCTGATTCGTGGGCCACACTTAAAGTAGTGAGGATCCAGTACATGAGGTCAGAGTTCAGCCAGAGTTTAAACTCAAATCTCCCACTCCTAGGCATGTAAACCACGTGCTCTCACCTCAGAAGTATTTCCTATATGTGAGAGTTATACCAGAATAAAACTTGGGGAGATTTTGCTCAAAACATGACTTTTATTATTTTGGTATGGTGATTATTTTTGAAATATCATTTAGACTGCTTGAGAAAAATAACAGAAATTCAAAACACTAAAAGTGTTCAAGCAAGAAAGCACTTCCAAACCACAAACCAAGCTACTATGCCTATTTCAACACTGGTGCTAGGGTTTCTGTAAGATCGCTCTGAGTCATCAAACATCTCCAAAGCATCTTTAGCTCTGTCCTTGCCATTTAACTTGATATTGCTTTGAGGAACAAGGTGCAATTTCTTGTCTGTAAATGAGAATGCTCGGACTTTTGTGCAGATTCAAAGACTCAGTCCGCGCAGCAACCCACAATCTCAGGCAGACTGTCAATTTAAAGATGGAGGGACAGAGCCATTATATCTCTTTCAGACTTTTATCTTCTCTCAAATGCATATGGATGCACAGCAAGCAAACCGCAATGCCACACTTGCCTGGTCATTGAATATCCTGCAGTGTACTTCTTAATTAAAACCAGCATCACAAATACGACTGCTTAAGTGCCAAAAACCTGGCCCGCTTAATGACCAATCAGAGAACTACATGATCGTTCAATCTATTCAGAACCTTTTTTTTTCCCCTGAGGTAAATATAGTTAAGCTGTAAATATTCTTACTGTTTTCCATCAAGTGTGCTTTTTCTTAAAATACTGCTTCCTTTTCAGCATCAAAAATTCAATTTCACTTTTGTCATCAGAAATCAACGTATGTTATAATAATTTATTACATTTTAAAATCTGGAATTTGTAGCAATGCTGGGGATTAAGGAATAATTTGAGTGAACGACACATACAGTGTTGCCTAGTAACACAGGCTGATCTGTACAAAGCCATAAATTGCAAAATTTCATAGCAGCATAAAAACTTTTGCTGGCACTTAAGCGTATTTTTCCCTGATTGAAGCAGAATTCATGCAACAATTACAACCACATGACAAAAGCTGGTAATGATTAGCCTTCAAGAGCCGCTGTTGTTTCTGACAGTTCCAAAGCTGTTTTTGTTTGTTTCAGGAAAGAAAGTATCAAATCCTTCACTTACTAGTCTCACTGAAAAGACAGGGTTGAGCCTGTTAATTAGCCAGTGCCAGCATTGTAACTGCAGCTCCCAGTGAAGAATGGAAGAGTTATGTAATAATTTCCAATTCCTATTAATTTGTGTCAACCAAAACCAGCTCCATATGTACCTATACACACTTTACAGGGAAGCTCTCTTATTATGTAAAATAAAGGTAGAAACACATAAGAAATACAAATGTGTCTGCAACTATCATTGAGAAAAGAACTTCATGAAGATGAAAGCTGAGAGCCAGGAAGGTTGTTTTCATTTGTTATAACAAATATCTTAAGGAGCTGTCTTAAGATATCTTCAATAGTTACAGTTCTTGAAGTAAAATTACAAAATATAGTTGCTAAAGAGCCCAAAGGAAAATTATATCCACATTGAATTCAAAATAGCTTGCTGAATAATATCCTATAGCCAGCCCAAAGAAAATATGAGTTTGTGGAAATAATACTTTATCACACTCTGATATACACTACACACAGAGAGAGATAAAATAAATGAGTGTTTCACTGATGGGATACTGGGTGATTTTCTCTGACAAACACATAAGTTTCTATGAATAGATTCACCAATGTGAAGGGATTCACACTATAGCTCAAGAAAATTGAGAAATAAATGCTTTGATCCTTTCATAAACTTTTCATTCTTCTAGCTATAGCGTGAATAAAAAACACATAAAAATTTAATAGGTAATGTGGGCACAAAAGAATATATTGTGAAACACAAAGGAAGACTTCTATATTCAGGTTTAGTCTTTCAATCAATTTTGTGGCTGAGCTTCCTGGTGTACATTTCGATAAATCCTAATTTACTTTCGGTCAAGCCTCATAATGTCAAACTTCTGGTTTGATTTCTCAGAATCCCTCACCCCTAACACAGCTACAGCAAGATACTTGGAAAGATCCAGATGTCACCAGAGGAAATGGAACAAGATTACACAGAAAGCAGAAGTGGATGTCTAAAAATAGAATAAAAACGGATAAGGGAATCCACCTAATCCCCAAATCCCACGTCCAAGAAGCACCATCTGCACATCACACAACACTTAGAATGCCTGGAAATGGTCCCAAAATATCATGAGCCCACAATTTAGTGATGGTCAGGCCATGAAAAAGTTGATTAGCCTCCCTGAGTCTGAGTTTCCTCCTCCATACAATTGGGAGATTGGATTTGATGAGTTCTAAAATTTCTAACAGCTCCAAGGTGTTATAACTAAATCCTTCCACTGCTCTATAAGAAAGTCTTCATGGCTTTCCACTCTGTCATTTTACTTATAAGCAACGGAAAGGAAACCAGCAGTCAGGCTGAGAAATTAAAATTGGTTGAGGTATGACACGCTTTACCGATATTGAATGTCACATCACAAAATGAGTCCTACATAATTACTTAGCACAGTGCTTGACATATAGTGGACACTCACCAAAAACCACCTCCCACTGCTGCCCCTCCTCCACACACACATAACCTCCATACATGTTTCACTGTTTGCCCTCCCTTGTGGAGTACGCTTCTATGATTATGAGTGCCAATTATGAACGCTGAAAGTAACAAGTCTGAAAAACCTGTTCGGAATATGGCAGTACATTGCCTGGATTATGTGCACACTTAGAGTGACAATTTACCCACTAATTTCTGATTACATTTTAAGGCTGATCAACTTAGATATTTTGAAAAGAAGTTGACATTTGTCAAATAAGTCCTAATGAGAAGTGAAGCATGTTTTTGTATACTGTGTTAGAAAGCAATAGAAACACTAAATTCTTGAATGATCATTAAATTAATTAGATGGATTATGAGTACTTTATGTTTTGTTCAAACTAATTCATTCTATAAAAAGGCTACAAAACATGGATTCAATACCCTACTGAAAAGAAGAGAAGCTTGAGAGTAATGGAAGCTCTGAGCACCTTTCTACAAATAGCCCAAGAAAAAAATAAATAGATTTATCAAATTGCTGCTTATTTGTGGATAATGAGAATTTTTTAAAAATACAGATTCTAAAATACCTTGGAATCCAACTTACAAGGGATGTGAAGGACCTCTTCAAAGAGAACTACAAACCACTACTCAAGGAAATAAGAGAGGACACTAACAAAGGGAAAAACATGTGATCCTCATGGATAGGAAGAATCAATATTGTGAAAATGGCCATACTGCCCAAAGTAATTTATGGATTCAATGCTATTCACATCAAGCTATCATTGACTTGTCTTCACAGAATTGGAAAAAAAACTACTTTAAATTTCATATGGAACCAAAAAAGAGCCCACATAGACAAGACAATCCTAAGCAAAAAGAACAAAGCTGGAGGCATCATATTACCTGACTTCAAACTACACTACAAGGCTACAGTAACAAAAACAGCATGGTACTGGTACCAAAACAGATATATAGACCAATGGAACAGAACAGGGGCCTCAGAAATAACACCACACATCTACAACCATCTGATCTTTGACAAACCTGACAAAAACAAGAAATGGGGAAAGGATTCCCTATTTAATAAATGGTGTTGGGAAAACTGTCTAGCCATAGGCAGAAAGCTGAAACTGGATCCCTTCCTTACACCTTATATAAAAGTTAACTCAAGATGGATTAAAGACTTAAATGTAAAACCTAAAACCATAAAAACCCTAGAAGAAAACCTACACAATACCATTCAGGACATAGGCATGGGCAAGGACTTCATGACTAAAACACCAAAAGCAATGGCAACAAAAGCCAAAATAGATAAGTGGGATCTAATTAAACTACAGAGCTTCTGCACAGCTAAAGAAACTGTCATCAGAGTGAACAGGCAACCTACAGAATGGGAGAAAATTTTGCAATCTATCCATCTGAAAAAGGGCTAATATCCAGAATCTACAAAGAACTTAAACAAATTTACAAGAAAAAACAGACAACCCCATCAAAAAGTAGGTGAAGGATATGAACAGACACTTCTCAAAAGAAGACATCTATGCAGCCAACAAACACATGAAAAAATGCTCATCATCACTGGTCATTAGAGAAATGCAAATCAAAACCACAATGAGATACCATCTCACACCAGTTAGAATGGTGATCATTAAAAAGTCAGGAAACAACAGATGCTGGGAAGGATGTGGAGAAATAGGAATGTTTTTACACTGTTGGTGGGAGTGTAAATTAGTTCAACCATTGTGGAAGACAGTGTGGTTATTTTTCAAGGATCTAGAACTAGAAATACCATTTGACCCAGCAATCCCATTACCAGGTATATACCCAAAGGATTATAAATCATTCTACTGTAAAGATACATGCACACATATGTTTATTGCAGCACTATTCACAATAGCAAAGAGTTGGAACCAACCCAAATGCCCATCAATAATAGACTGGATAAAAAAATGTGACATATATATGCCATGGAATACTATGCAGTTATAAAAAAAGATGAGTTCATGTCCTTTGCAGGGACATGGATGAAGCTGGAAACCATCATTCTCAGCAAACTAACAAAAGAACAGAAAATCAAGCACCACAAGTTCTCACTCATAAGTGGGAGGTGAACAATGAGAACACATGAACACAGGGAGGAGAACATCCCACACTGGGGCCTGTCAGAGGGTAGGGGGAGGGATAGCATTAGGAGAAATACCTAATGTAGATGATGGGTTGATGGGTGCAGCAAACCACCATGGCATGTGTATACCTATGTAACAAACCTGCACTTTCTGTACATGTACCCCAGAACTTAAAGTATAATTAAAAAATATAGATTCTCTGAAGTAATTTTCTAAAATGTATTACTTGAAATTTCCAAAAACTTCTTAAAGATGAATATTGTATAACCATCAATAACAAAACTAGGAATTCTAAACTATATGGTTATCAGACTTATATGTAAATTATGTTATCTCCTAAACAAACCAACATTACTGAAGTGCTTTAGGCATGTCATTACAAAATGTAATGCACTTTTATTAAAAGTCCCTGGACTTAATTGAAAGGTGAAAAATGTGGTAAATCTGTCTTTAAAAAAAAAAAGTATTCGATTCTTCAACCTCATAACTTAGGAGTAAGTTCTGGGTATCCAAAATTGGGGGAGTTTGGTTTCTTAATCAAAAAAGGGTAAGTTCTGAATTAATTTTTGTCTTATCTACAATGTTATTTCATTTCCAAAGGAATAAATAATATTTTTATTATACTTAAAACAGCTTTATTTTAACTATCTTTAGCATTTCGGAGGGGGCGAGGCTCTCCCCATTTATATGAATAATGTTAGATATATAAATTGCCTGATGTAAAAGTTTGAAGAGGACCAGCTTTCTAAAATGTACTTGAAAGCAGCAAATGTTCAAATAATGTACTTTTCTAAGAGGAATGCATTAGAAGTGCTCTACCTTTTAAACAAGATGCAACAGACAGTATCATTATCACCTGTTAGTCTAGATTTTGTAATGGAAGAACTAATAAAAGGTAACTTAGTGAAGAGGGAGGAAAAATCAAGCATGAGTTTGTTTTTTTCTTCTACTAGAAATAATGACTTTCTACAATCTCATGGAACACTGGAAAGTGGTTTTCAACTTGGAGACATAGAAAGTAAAATAGGTCAACATCCACTGCATCTATTTTCAATTACTGAGACATATAGTCCTTAAGCAGCCAGAGTCAGCCAGAATTGTCTAAGATCTGGGCTCCATAATGAAAATATCTTATAGTAAAATGTATTCCCCATAGGTTAAAATGCAAAATGAGAACCCAACTTTTTATTACTCGTTAAATGAAATGTGCAGTCTTTTTCCCCTTTTAAGGTCAAGTATACAGTATTTTGGAAAACAAACCATAAAAACATGATTAGAGAGAACAGAGGAAGTCATTATTTTCTCCAGTCATAAAGAATGTAGCATCATTCTATCAATCTAATGTATCTTTGTAACGGCAGTGGCAGCATGTGGCAGTGCTTAAATTGCAAATACAGTATTTAAGAAAAAGCACGGATTAAAAGAGCACTCACATGAGCTGGAAAATAGCCACATGGATTATAATATTTTTATAAATTCCATTTCCTTTTCAAAGCACCACTTAACATTATATATTGCTATATTATCTACCTACACAGAAATAATATACTCATCAGGCCAAAATTCATAAAGTAAATCCAAGTGTACATAATTAATGGCCAATGCAGATAGACCCCATATTGTGATATATGGTGAATGTAAAATCAGTGCAGAAATATTGAACCTGAATCTATACATGTATATAAATAACATCCCTAGATTTGGTTTGCCTTTTTGGAAACATTTATAACACAAAATTTGAAGATAGTAAGATGCATCTTCTCAATGTTAACATCAGGACAGAATTCACGCAAAAGCTTATCACAAAGGCAAATATTTCAGAGCATGTGGCTTTTACAAAGCACAACTTTATTGCTGAGACAATTCCAACCCAGTGTCAGTTTTTCAGCAACAGTTGCTATCTATCTGTCATATTTAGGGCAGTTATACTTTCAATATGCTCCACTAGAGGCAGCTGGATAAACTTGAAAGCATTTTTAAAAACATGTTTAGGAAAGTAAAGGAAATGACCTGTAACATGGTAAACACACCATATTGTACATGAGATTCTCACTACTCTAGCTTTATCAAGTCAGGATATCTAGGATGGAATGCATGTTTAAGCCAACACTCATGCTCAGGATTTCATGTTTCAGGACTTAGTGATGGCTTCCATTTCCAGTCGGTCTTCTTTTAAATGCTGTTTGGCATTTTATGTGGGCTTTGGTTGTCAATAAAATAAAATAAATAAGAAGGTAAATTCTACTAACAGCTTAATTGTCTGCAAGGTAAGATGAGCAAAATCTAAGCAGACATTCTGACTGAGAGAGGGCATAAGACAACTTGGAGATTCTGCCAAATCCATAGGAGAGGACTTTTTGTTTGGTTAGTTGGTGGGCTGATTTTCAGCTTTTTAATTTTTTTCATAGAGTGGAGATGTTGTAACCCTGTCTTATAAACTAATAGAATTAGGAAAGCTGCCTCCATCCACAGCAGTTTGTTTTTCATCCCAATGGTTTGTCAACATAATGAACTAGATAAACAATCTGCACAAGAAATAAAACTGTCCTTATAGATAGGCTAGGGAAATGTCAGGCCTCACTTGTTACTGAAAACTCAGCAGAAACTTACAAAGACACAAGAACAATTGGGAGGATGCCAAACACACAAGCCAAATAAACTGAAGATTCTCCTTCAGGCTTCAGTTTCTTTGCTTTTCCTACATACATCTCACCCAGCATTTGGCTAGGCACTCCTAACTAAGAATGTTGAGGTTATCAGAAAAATTGGCCTAAAAGAAATCAAGATTTATGATTTTTAAAAGCAGTCCTTTTTTTAACACCTTTAAAGTGATGTTCACCACACTCAAAGCTGGTTGTCAGACTGAAAACCAGAATATTTTACGTCTTCAGCTTTTTTAAAAAAAACAAAATGCTCCATTTCATTTGGCATTTTAGAATTATTTTTAAAAAGAATAAATCCTACCTCAAAGCAAATTGGGAAGATGATAGTGCCAACTCTTCCTTTGAGCCCTTCTTGGTTCATGCATGAGCCATTCATTTTCAAAGGGAGATGCTAATGAGCAGACAGACACCAACTAAGGTGTCCTGGTCCATACAAATGCATGTGTGCAAATGCTAAGAAGGACTCTACACTGCCCACCCCACATCTCCCGCACCAGCTTGAAGTGAAGTAGTCAAGGGGGTAAAATATTCACATAAATGAGCCAGTCTTGGTAATAACATTACGTACTAAGTGAATCAGTGCTTTCATTTTGCATGAGATCGTATTCCAACATACAAAATCTTGATAGGTTCAGTACACAGTTATTATGTTAGACATTTTGTTGACCTAAATGATAATAATAATTATTATTCTCATGTGTTCTCTGCACTGCTGGATTCTGATTTTTCATGTTAATTTGATATCGCAGTTAAATGAAATGTACCTTCAAGAGGTCAGATGTGCTGGTTGAATGTGCTGGGTGACCGATGTACACAAGGCTAAAAGCTGATGAAAAGAAGAGTCCAACAGACATGCACTTAATCATTCATTCAACAAATATTTTTGAGCACTTGGCACTGTTAAAATTGTTACGTATATACAGCACTTAGGAAATATTAAAAAACAAAAAACAAAAAACTTTGCCATCGTGGAAATTACATTCTAGAAGGAAGAAAAAGAAAATGAACAGGATGGATAAGTAAAATAAGTAGAATATAAGTAAACATATAAAATACATAGAATAAAATCTCTCAGCATTTGCTTGTCTATAAAGGATTTTATTTCTCCTTCACTTATGAAGCTTAGTTTGGCTGGATATGAAATTCTGGGTTGAAAATTCTTGTCTTTAAGAATGTTGAATATTGGCCCCCACTCTCTTCTGGCTTGTAGAGTTTCTGCTGAGAGATCCACTGTTAGTCTGATGGGCGTCCCTTTGTGGGTAACCCAACCTTTCTCTCTGGCTGCCCTTAACATTTTTTCCTTCATTTCAACTTTGGTGAATCTGACAATTATGTGTCTTGTGGTTGCCCTTCTCGAGGAGTATCTTTGTGGCATTCTCTGTATTTCTTGAATTTGAATGTTGGCCTGTCTTCCTAGATTGGGGAAGTTCTCCTAGATAATATCCTGCAGAGTGTTTTCCAACTTGGTTCCATTCTCCCCATCACTTTCAGGTACACCAATCAGACGTAGATTTGGTCTTTTCACATAGCTCCATATTTCTTGGAGGCTTTGTTTGTTTCTTTTTACTCTTTTTTCTCTAAACTTCTCTTCTCGCTTCATTTCATTCATTTGATCTTCAATCACTGATACCCTTTCTTCCAGTTGATCAAATTGGCTCCTGAAGCTTATGCATGTGTCAGGTAGTTCTCGTGCCATGGTTTTCAGCTCCTTCAGGTCATTTAAGGACTTCTCTACACTGGTTATTCTAATATAAGTGATAAGTGCTAGGGAAAAAATAAAACAGAAAAAATAGATAGTAATTGCCATGTTTAGGGGAGGGGACAAATGAGGTGGTATCAGGAAAGACCTCTTTGAGATAGTGACCTTGAGAAAAGGTTTGAAGACAATGAGAGAGTGAGCCATGCAGTGTCTGGGAGAAGAGCATTCCAGGCAGGGAAAATGGCAAACACAAAGAGGGAAAGGTGTATGAATTGTACAGGCATTTGGGGGTATTCCAAAACTTTTATTCTAAGTAATATCATTGTAGATAACTTTATGGATTCATTCAGAGAAGAGATTTACTCTACTACACAAATATTTAAAATTCTAAGTATAGCACATAAGTTTTCATGTCTGTTATCTTTGTAAAATGTTAGGGATAGTGAGAAGTTTGGGATAGCTCACCAAAGTCTCTGATTTCGGCAGCCCAAGAAAGAGAGGCCAAGAAGGGTTAGATGGTTTCACAAGGCCACACCCTTATCTGGTGGCAGATCCTGAGCTAGAATTCAGAGCTCTAGAGTCTTATTCCCATGCTCTTCCTGTGCCTTACAGGAAGATTTTTCTTTTTGCTTGAATTATTCATGGCAAACACTCTGGATTCATTCTAAATTATGATGGGAAATCATTGGAGCATTTTAGGGAGAAGGGGTTTCTGATTTTTTTAACCTGTATAAAGGCTCTCTTGGCTATCGTAAGAAGAACAGACCTTAGGGAAGGCACAGGTGGACACAGACAGATGAATTAGGAAGCCATTATGATGTCCTCTATACCTAGAAAAATGTCTATTGAAGGGATGAGGGAATGAATGAATGAAGGAATGAATGAATACAGATACAAGCCTCACAAGAGATCATATATTTTCTTGCAAAACTTATATGCTTGGCACCTTGCATAAGAACTTGGCACAGTAGGAGATACCAAAAATACCAAAGGAGATACCAAAAAGTCCCTAAAAGGATTGAATAGAGATACTTTTTCCTATTCCTCTCACTAAGTACAACTAAAATCCTGAACATTATATATCAAATAAAGACAAGAAAACTGAAAGATGAAGAGAAGAAGGAAAACTAGCTACAGATCTCAGGACCCTTGGAAACACATGGTGATGAGTTCGTGAGTTTTCTTTCTGCCTCGTATATACCAGACTTGGAGTCAAATAATATGACCACCCAGAAACACCAATGGACACAGACAAAAATAAGCCCAATACAAACCTCTTCTGTCCAGCCAAAGGACCAGGAAAAGAACAGTCTAGAAAAACAGAACACTTTGGATAATAACTGTTCTACTCTGAACAAATACCACAGAAAACCCTGTGGCCTTACCCTCATTCACACCAATAAAGGCCAAGTGCAGAAGCTTCTACCCTCATGAAGCTGTAATGAAGTACCCAAACACCCTTGCCAGTGTCAAGTTAGAGCCAAGTATCAAGCTGGAACCTTCATCTCCACTGGCTGGGAATAAGGTCCTATGACTGTGTAGTGGGGACCACTGGGGAGCCTGGAATTCCTCTCCCTTTCAGAAATAATGAGGCACCTCTTCTCTGCACTGGGACAGTATCAGGGAGGCCTTGTAGAAAGTCAAGAATTTCACTATAGCCCAATGGAGTATCAAGGCCACCCTCCACTGTGGTATCATTGGAGACTACATGACAAGCCAGAACTCCAACCCCTGTCTAGAAGCAAGGAAGAGCTTTCCCACCCAGGTGTCAAAAGAAGCTGAGTGGAAAACATGGGCTTCTAACTCCATCTGGCAGCAATGGGGCGGCACTCTCTCTTTCCCTGACACAGAAAAAGTCAGATAAAACAGAAGGCTTAAATAAGTGTCAGAGTCTCATAATATGAGATTCATAATATGACTTTCAAAGTGTTCAGTTTGCAATTAAAAAGCACTCATCATACCAAGAAGCAGGAAATGTAAACTTGAATAAAAAAAGAATCAATCATCAATAGATGCCAACACTGAGACAACAAAGATGTTAGAATTATCTGATAATGATTTTAAAGCAACCTTAATAGAAATGTTTTACTGAGCAATTATGAACACACTTGAAATAAACTGAATGTTTATCTCTCCTTAAAATACATACAATGAAATCCTAATCCCCAAGGTGATGGAATTAGGAGGTGGGACCTTTGGGAAATGGTTAGCTCATAAGCAAAGAGTCTTCATGAGTGGGATTAGTGCCCTTATCAAAGAGGCCCCAGAGAGACCCCTGCCCCTCCACCATGTGAGGATACTACTAGAAGCCATCATCTATGAACTCTAAAGTAGGCTCTCACCAGATAACAAATTTGTCTGTACCTTGATCTTCAATGTCCATCTCCAGAACTGTGAGAAATAAATTTCTGTTATTTAAAAGCTACCCAGTGTAAAGTATTTTGTTATAGCAGCCCAAATGGACTATGACAACACTTAAAAACATAAAAAGCCTCAGCAAATAAATAGCATTTCAGCAAAGAAACAGAAGATATAAAGAAGAACCAAATAAAAATATTAGAACTAAAAGATACAATAACCAAATAAAAATTTCAATAGATGTGTTCAACAGCAGAATGGAGGCAACAGGGTAAAGAAACAGAGAAATGGAAGATGGAAAACAGAACCTACCTAATAATAAAAACAGTGATAAGATAGGCTGAAAAGAAAAAATAAACAGAGTCTTAGTTACCTGTGGGAGTATAATAAAAAATCTAACATTTGTGTTACCCAATCCTTAGAAAGAGAGGAGGATGATAGAGCTGAAAAAGTAGTGGAATAAATAATGGCTTCAAACTTTCCATATTTAGCAAGAGATGTAAACCTAAAGATTCAAGATAGTTAACGAATCTTAAATTGGATAAAACTAAAGAAATCTATATCAAAATATATTATTGATCTTCTGGAAACTAAAGACAAAAAAAGAAATCTTGAAAGTAGTCAGAGAAAAACTACACCTTACCTATAGGAAAAACTATTTGAATGACAGATTTCTCATCAGAAACCATGGAAGCCAACATCCTGCCCATATATCCTTGAACTTAAAATAAAAGTGGAAGAAGAAAAAAAAAAGAGAAATCATAGAGGGCAGAGGTAAGTGGCAAAATATTTTGAAATTGCTGGAAAAAAAAAAAACCATCAACCCATAATCTTATGCCCAGTGAAAATATCCTTTAGAAAGGAAGGGGAAATTAAGGCATTCTTTGATGAAGGAAAAGAGAATTTTTTACCTGCAGACCTACTTGAAAAGAATGGCTACAGGAAGCTCTCTAAAAAGGAAGGCAAAGGCAAATAGAATCCTTCTCACATCACATCACCCTGGCCTCCTCCTCTGCCCTTGCTTTCCCATTTTAAGGACACTTGTGATTACACTATGCCTACTGAGATAATCTAGGTATCCCCATCTGATGATTACCTAATTAACAACTTCAGTTCTATATGCTACCTTAATTTCTGTTTGCTGTATTAGGTAACATATTCATAGGTTCTGGGGATTAGGAGGCAGGGATCTTTGAGGGGCCATTATACTGTCTACCACAAATGTAAACAGTCTAAATACACCAATTAAAAAACAGAGAATGGCAAGGTGATTTTGAGAAACATGATTTAACTATAGCTATTTACAAGAAACTCACTTCAAGTATAATTATATAGGCATGTTGAAAGTAAAAGGATACAAAAAAGACTATATCATGCAAACATTAATTTTTTAAAGAAGGAAGAGTGGCTAAATTAATATCAAATAATGTAGATTTTGCAGCATAAAAAATTGCTAGACACAGTGAGTGACATTAGATGATGAGAAAAGGGTCAATCCACCAAGAAGATATAGTAATTCTGAATGTATATGCACCAAACAACAGAGCTGCAAAATTTATGAAGCATAAACTGACAGAACTAAAAGAGAAAAATAGGCAAATCTACAGTAATAATGACAGACTACAACACCTCTCTCTCAACAATTGATAGAACAAATAGGCAGAAAAGCAGCAAGGATATAGAAGAACTCAATACTCAAGAATATATGTATTCTGTTTTTGTTGGGTGGGTGATTTGTTGGGTTGGGTGATTCTATAAATATCAAACTAAAGTAATCAACTGAAAGAATTTGATATTCATAGAATACCCCTCCCAACAATGACAGAATATCCATATTCTTTTCAGATGCCTGTGGAACATATAGTAAGATAGAGCATATTCCTGGGCCATAAAATAAATCTCAACAATTTTAAAAGAATTGAAATCATAAACATTGTGTATTATGGACTTAATTATGTCCCCCCTCCCCCGTGCCAAAATTCATATGTTGAAGCCCTAACCCCTTAGTGTGATTTTTTGAAGACGGAGCCTATAAAAAGGTAATTACGGTTAAATGAAGTGAATATGGTGAGGTGAATAAGGTTACATGAGGTGAATATGGTGGAGCCCTAATTCAAAATGGCTTATGTCTTGATGAGAAGAGTAAGAGACACCAGGGATATACACTCACAGAGCAAAGGCCATGTGAGGGCATAGTGAGAAGATCTGCCAGCACCTTGATCTTGGACGTGTGGCCTCCAAAACTGTGAAAAAAAAAATAATTTCTGTGGTTTAAGTCAACTAGCCTATGGTACTTTGTTGCGGCCATGCTAGAAATCAATAATAGAAAGAAACAGGAAAATCTCCAAACACTTGTTAACTAAACAACACAGAGTTAGCTCTCTATATCTATGGGTTCTGCATCCATGGATTCAACCAACCACAGATAGATCATAAATCTTCAAAAAAAAAAAAAGGATGGTTGCATCTGTTCTGAATATGTACAGACTTCTTTTTCTTATTATTCCCTAAACAATACAGCATAACAGCTATTTACATAGCATTTGTAATGTATTCTATATTATTAGTAATCTAGAAATGATGATTTAAAGCATCCAGGAGGATGTGCATAAGTTATATAAAAATAACTACAGCATTTTATAAAGGGAGTTAAGCACCAGTGGATTTTGGAATCTGCAAGGATCCCTAGAACAAATCACCCACCAGATACTGAGGGATGCCTCTACTTCTAAATAATCCATGAGTCAAAGAGGAAGGCTCAAGGAAAAGCAAAAATATATATTGAACTGCATGATAACAGAAATACAATATATCAAAATCTATGGGACTCAACTAGAGCAGTGTTGAGATGAAAATTTATAGCACATTTTAGTGCCTACATTAGTAAAAAGGAAACAGAAAAATATCATATCAATAATCTAAGTTACCACAATCTAAGAAACTAGAAAAAGAAGGATGCAGCAAACCCAAAGAAGGAAGGAAATAATGAAGAAAATAATAAAGAGCAGAAATAAAAAAAGATAGCTCCTACTTTCTAGAAGTTTGTAGCTTATTTAGAGAGATAATATTAATACACAATACAAAACGATGTAGAAGCACAGCCTAAAAGATGAAGAGGGGTTCGGGCAACTTCCATTTTGGCTCCCAATATACTAAAAAATGAAGAAATGACAAAACAGGATTGTTGTTATTGTGAGATTAATATATTTTAAAGTTTTACATTAGTATATAGACCCTTATATGAATAAAAATGAAGTAACTATATTATTCACAAGATAACATAATTTATAAACATATACAGTTAACGAGTACATCAAAGAGCCCAGTGATGGGGCATAAGGCAAACCTGTATAATGAACGTATTCTTCATCGAGCCTGTCTTGGTACATGTGATTATATCTTTAGTCTCATCTAGAAATAATGTCACAAATCTGCACTCAAGAATCTGTAGATCATAAAACATAAAATGAACCGTGGGTTTATTCTATTTTAATATTTCTGTAGAAGACATCTCAACTAATAAAGCCATGTCACATTTTTTTCCTTTGCTGCTAATGGAGTATTTGCAAAACTCTGCACACTGCCGAAAAAACAATGCCATTTGTGGTATTACCATAAAGCCATATTCTGAAATTGCACCAGTCTTGAGTATGACAGTCACATCTGATATACATGAAAATGTCAGTATGCCCCTGTTATGCAAATTGAACAAAGAAGCACTCAATTACTCAATACACACTCACAAAATGCAGATTTTACATGTGAAAATAGTAGTAAAAGTGCACTGTGATAGAATCTGACATAATATTCTTGAAGGGGAACCCAAGGCTTCTCATTGTGTAAACCAGAAATGTATATTCTCTACTTCCACTCTCCCATCGGCCATCGATTACTTTGGAGGCATGCAGCTCTCATAGAGACCACCTTTGACATTGGTTTGGTCTATTGCAGAATGGCATGGCCACAGGTCAAATGGATCACAGTAAAAAGTGCTATTGGATCAGGGGTCTGCCTCTGCAAATCTGCTGTCTTAGCTAAATGCCCTCTTGCCTGGCAAGGCATCTGCTTGTCCTGTCACAGATTCCAAGCTTAGCAGGCAAATTTCCCTATCAAGCTAACATCAATGCCAAGAGCTCTGTTTTTCTATTCTGGCATGCTCAAATGATGGACACAGACCTCTGTAGGTGTAATGGGAGGTTCATGTTTGGTTCACAGGGAGAAATCAGAGTGCAGTAGATTGAGCTGTTTAAGTCTTTGCTCAGTTGCTCATGAGTCATATGACCTTGATCAAGTCACTTAACCTCTTTGAGCCTCAGTTTACTCATCTATAAATAGGGTCCTATTCAACCTCAGGCTTATAAGAAGGATAGAGTAAATTAATGTATGGCAAAGTGATTGATAGATATCAGACCCTTAGCAAATATTAGTGATATTGATGATAGCTCTGTGTTTCAAAAAAGAAAGCCAGAGGGGAAAATCAAAAGGGGTTTTCTTCCTGGTTCCTTAGCTTGAAAAAATAGGGGATAAAATGTTCACACTTGGGTGGTTTTAGAGTGCTTAAAGACATATGTTAGATTACAAACAGACTACTAACAGTCATTATGAGTTCTTAATTGAGTTACTATTCCCACTGCACTTTTTCAATACCAAGAAAATGGAATTACTGCCTAGTAAATTTCTCACCACTGTGATAAAAAGTCAAGAGGCTTCTTACCTCACAATCAACCCTCATAAGGGGTAAATAATAATATTGCCATTTAACAGACAGGAAACCGAAACTTTGAAAGTCTGGAAAACAGCAAAAGCTTTTACTTCACTCTATCTTATGCCAAAACTCATGTTCCCTTCTTAGTACCACACTGCTTTGCATTTCAGTTCTAGCTCTAATAATTCCTCTGAAAGTGGCTCAAATGTTACTAATATCTAATATTTGCTCAGTATTTACAATGTGTCAGCCACATTTATATATTAAATTATATACTTTTTATAACAAACCTAGAGGATAATTGCTATTGTTATCCTCAAGACAAATATGGAGACTGAGACTGGAGAAGTGAAACCACTTGCTCAAGGTCAAATGGCTGGTGAGTGTCAGGGCTCTGATTCAAATCCAGACAGCAAGACGTATCACTGTTCTTCTCAACCATTACATGAGATGGATGCACCACGTAAATCCATGATTCTCAACATGTATTGATCTCACAACATTCTTTCCAGCAAAGAGTAGCCAAGAATTACAAACTCCATCAGGATAGCAAAGTGATTAGTCCAAGATCACACAGCAGCAAGACCAGAACTTAAACCAGGGCTTTGTTGATACTAGTCATAACAGATACTATTTATAAGGAGCCTACTAGGTGCCAGGCACTGATGTAGGTAGCTGATATTTCAAAACAACAACAAAGTAAGTGCCATTGTCTTCTTTTCATATATAATAAAATTGAAATCAATTCTTAAGTCAATTATTTGAGGCAATATAGCCAGTAAACTGCCACTTCAGGATTTGAGCCTATATATTTCTATCTTCAAAGTCCATACTTTTTCCAAACACCCCAGATTATTCCCTTGAGTCTCAGTCTATTGTCCACTTAACTATTATATAAGTTCTTGATTTGCTCTTCAAAATTTGTTTTCCACGATGTTATTTCACAACTGGAGTTTGCATATGTATTTTCAAGATGAAACAAAGTCATTCCAAGGAACAAAGACCTTCTCTATGACTTTTTCCCTTTATCAAATCAAATCTATTATTGTTTCTTATAAACTATTATATTTTCCTTCAGAGAAAAATGCCCCCATAGATCTAGGAATTTACAAAATGCTTATGAAGAGACAAAAACTTCAATTAGTCATTTTCTAGTTTGGAGTGGGATTATCTCACAGAAATGCAAATTTGGTAAGTATTTTGATTAGGACACAAGGAGCTAGAGAAATTACCCTCAATTTGAAAGAAGAGATAAAAGAATTTTGAATATCTGGTAATTTTTAATGTTCTCACTATAAAATAATAGACTATTCCTGGTTCAAAGTTACATTTGAGATCATATATCCCCACTCTCATTTTATTTATTTAGGTTTATTTCATCAGAAAAAAGATTTGAGGAAACGTAATAAAATTACAAATGAACTGATACATTTAAAGACAAAAAGATAAGTAAGAGCCATATAAGAAGGAAGGCGATCATTTCATTAGAAAACTAATGGGAGGTTATGACTGTACTTGAAGATCTGTTCCATTTGTTACATCTTGGCAGCAAGGGCAAAAATGGAAAATGTTATTTGTAGATAATGTAACTTATATTATGTAATGATGCTAATAGTTAATATCTATACGAAAGGTTGAGGTAGTGCCTAGAACAAAGTAAGTTGCTCAATAAGTGTCTCTTCCTGCTTCTCCTTAAAGAGCCTTTTTTTTTTTTTTTTTACGCAAATTCCAGCTTAGGGGTAATATCCCTTTCTAAAGCAGAAATTATTTTCTGCTGGGAGTTGTTCCTAGACACAATTTGCTCCTTATTGAATAAATAAATAATTCCTATTTTGTAAAGTAAAATTCACAAAATGAGCGATAAATTCTTTATAACCATAAATTTCTCAAAAGATTAGACAAAAAGTGAGGAAGGAAAAGAAACGAGGAAAGGGGAGGAGAAATGAAATTTCATCATATAAAAATAGCATTTAGGCCGGGCACAGTGGATCATGCCTGTAATCCCAGCACTTTAGGAGGCCAAGGCAAGCGGATCACGAAATCAAGAGATCGAGACCATCCTGGCCAACATGGTGAAACTCCATCTCTACTAAAAATACAAAAATTAGCTGGGCGTGGTGGCACGTGCTTATAGTCCCAGCTACTTGAGAGGCTGATGCAGGAGAATCTCTTGAACCCAGGAAGTGGAGGTTGCAGTGAGCCGAGATTGCACCACTGCACTCCAGCCTGGCCACAGAGCGAGACTCCATCTCAAAAAAAAAAAAAAAAAAAAAAAAAGCATTTAATTCATGTGCATATTTGTAAACATTTAAGTAGATTTCCTCAAGACCTCAAGATGTGGCTGTCAGTATATTTCCCTTAATCACTCAGAGTAATTGCTCTGGTTTGAATGCTTGCATCGCCACCAAAATTCATGTTGAAACTTAATCCTCAATGAAACAATATTAAGAAGAGGGGCCTTTTGGGAGGTGATTAAGTCATGAGAGCTTTGTCCTCATGAATGAAATTAGTACCCTTATAAAAGGGTTTGAGAGACCTGTAGCTAGACACTTTTTTGTCCTTCTGCCTTCTACCATGTAAGGAAAATGCAGCAACAAGAAGCCATCTTGGAAGCAGAGACCAGGCTCTCACCAGACACCAAACCTGCTGGCAACTTGATCTTGTACTTCCCAGCCACCAAAATTGTGATAAGTAAAATTCTATTTTTGTAAATTACCCAGTCTCAGGTATTTTGTTATAGCAGCATGAACAAATTAAGATAGAAATTGTATAGTTTTAGAAGATGTGTATGGCTGAGAAGTTGATAAAGTGTGGACTTATGTTGGTTAATTTTTGGTGTCAACTTGACTAGATTGAGGGATACTCAGAAAGCTGGTAAAGCATTATTCCTACGTAAGACTGTAGGGTGTCTTGAAAAGAGATTGGCATTTGAATCAGTGGACTAAGTAAGGAAGATCTTCCTTCACTCAATATGGGCAGACATCATGCAGTCAGCAAAGGGCCAGCATAGAACAAAAAAGTATGAGATAGGCAAATTTCCTCTCTCTGATTCTCTTTCTCTCTGATTCTCTCTCTCTCTCTCTCTCTCTCTCTCTCTCTCTCACTCTCTCTCTGTTTCTCTTTTCTGGAGCTGAGATACGCATCTTCTCCTGTCCTTGGACATCAGAACTCCAAGTCCTCTGGCCTTTGGACTTCAGGACTTGCACCAGCAGTGCCCTAGTTTCTCAGGCCTTCGGACTCAGACTGAGAATTCCAACATCACTTCCCCTGGTTCTCAGGCCTTCAGACTTGGACTGAGACATCCTACCAGCTTACCCGCTTCTCCAAGATCGTAGACAGTCTATAGTAGGACTTCTCAGCCTCCATAATTGTGTGAGCCAATTCCTCTATAAATATACCATTGGTTCTGCTTCTCTGGAGAACCCTGACTAATATAGCAACTCACAAACAAGCATCCAGTTATCCCAGAAAAGCCATGCTCATTCATTTATAAACATTGATGAAGACAAATGTCACGTAGGGGATAACCATTTTTAAAAGCTAGATGCATTTGAGGGTTTGATTACTTAAACAATTTTATAAAATGTAAGCATTGATTCACTTAACCAAGAATTTTTAAAGCATTAATAAGGACAAAGATGGCTGAGGCCTATGGTAACTTTGAGACCCCATAGACAAAATCCTCATGAAATAGAGACAAGGTGTAATAACCCAAAGCTTCCCAATGTGCATGCTGTTGTATAGGTGTGTCAACAGGAGACAGGTGATCTGAGATAGTGTCTCCGCAGCCTTGGGGCTACTGGAGCAAGCAACCTGGCCTGTTTATCCACGTATAAAAATAGTGCCATTTTCTATGTGTAAAAAAAAGATAGGAAAGCACTAAAAGAGGCTATAAAATAATATTAGTAAAGATGGACAAAGAACGTTATTGATTTCAAACAGATAAGTGGAAAAGTCTTGAAAAACCATTTCAAATTATTATGGAGATGTAGTCAATTCAAAATAACATAATATTAAAAATATGAGTTATAGTTGTGTGCATTTCTGGACAAGATAATGGAGTTAAGAGTTAAATAGTGAAATAAATACATTAAATGCTCTAGTGATGGTAAAGTGTCAGAAATACTATTTTATTATAAAATATGCTTCTGGGATACATGCACAGAAAAATAACTAAATGCTCTGTTTTCATTTTGTTTTCTTTTGTCTGATTTTCTTAAAGCTGTACAACTCAAAATTGCACTCTCTTCAGTGTAGTCTAAGATTTTATCATTAACTAGACATAGTTATTCAGCTTTCAATTACACAGCCAGATTTTAAAAGGCATTATTTCTTATTGGTTAACTATAAGAATTTGCTTAAATGCAAATATATATGTTTTTCCAGGTACTGATAATTAGTAGTATTTCTTCTTTCAGGAGGTATAAAATTTGAAATTTAGTCCTTAGGGCACAAAGGAAAATAAGTGATTGTCAAAGTTACAGAGAATTTTATTTAAACTTAATTCAGATAATTATGTGAAGGTTGCTTGGTATTAATACTCAAAGTGATAAAAATCCTTTTGAGAATGCTCATAATGGCTTGAAATCAAAGTACCTTTTTCATTTTCAGGAAATTTTATTCAATCTCAAATATAGGGAAAAAAAAGTTACAATTTAATCTCCTAGAAACTGCTTTTACTTTTAAGGCCCAGTCAATCAAGAGGTAAAGTCTTCACAGTTCTTGAACACTCTATGCATTTCCTTCATTGTTTGTTTTAAAACAACATCAAAACTGAAAGAATGAGTTAGTTCTCAAATCACAATTTTAAATGCTTAGTTTTCCCTAATACCCAACTTTCAAGTATTTTATTTCAACCAATATCCAGATAATTAGCTAATATTAGACTTACAAACCACCACTGGGATTGTTATTGTTATTATTTGGGGAACGCTATGATTTATAAATGTTTGTTAAAGTTATTTTTCTTTTATCTCTACCAATAATGAAATTAACTCAATAATAATCCCATAACCCAAAGAGAGCTACTCTTAATATTATAGTATATTCTTATAGACACTTTTCTATATACATGCTATTTTCATTTTTTTACATAATTAACATTCTATAATTTTGTATCATGCTTTCTAACCTAATATGTCACAAGCATATACTATCTACTTTATTATATTTCAACTACATTTTTATAATAATTACATATTATTTCACCCTACAACTACGTTATAATTTATTTCAGCAGTCAACTATTGTTAAACATTTTAATTACTTGCAGTGTTTCATTACTAGAAACAATATACTTCTCTGGTCAAAACATTAAAATGTGCTCTGAAGTACAACTAAAAAATCAAAATTTAAAAAGAAAACTGTTTTAATACATAGTCCAGTGCAAAACACATTAGGGAAGTTTCTAGGTGCCAGAACAAAGAGAAAATGAAAAGTCTTAAGTAGAAGTAGAAGATGAAACCTTTCACCAGGGGTGTTAAAGTCAAATATATGCTGTAAGGGCTGGAGGCTGAGAATAACAGAAGTTGGAAGATGGAGAAGTCATGCCTATGAGTCAGAACTAAACTGCACAAAACAAGGAGACACAAAAGGGTCTGCATTCTAATCTGCAGGCTCTGCTTGCTATCCTGGAAAAGCTGCAAGGAAGCTAGCCACGCGCGTACAGAAGGTGAAAACAAGTCACCTGTAAAGCAGAATGCTAAGCCTGTGCCACTCGTCCTTCTAAGGGTCATATTCCCTGGGTGTGGACATCTCAACATGAGAAGCTAACAGAATAGCTTTCCAAATCAGTAAAACTCACAAATACTTGGCTGAGGCAAATACAAAATTATTCTATAGGAGTGACTCCACAGGGACCAGTCTACAACCCAAGACACTGGGATTTCTCTGGTAAACAATCCCTCTTGAAAAATTACCCACAGTAAAAAAATTATAAGCCCTACATAGAAATGAGCCACGTTGAAGCACAGTGAGTGGATGCAACTAATGGGATCTTTTGAACCCCAAGAACTGAAGATGGTAGAGCGGTCTAAAAAAATACTTGCAAATATAAGAGTTTAAATTGATTAAAGAAATGGGAAAAGAGTAGAAACTGTGTCAAGAACAGAAAATTAAATTAAAATGTGTTTTTGTTAAAAGAGAAAGAAATTTTTGAAATAAATATATGATCAATGTAATTTTTAAAAACTCGAATGTTTCAGTTCAAAAGTCATTAGGTAGAGTTGAGCAAGGTGATTGTCTGGTCAAGGTCAGGGAAGAGGAAGTATAGCTACAATGAGAAATGGGGTACATCCAGGTGGGACTAATGCAATAAATAAATATACTGAGGATAATGAGAGCCAGTTTCCCCACTGTTTGAGAAAACAGTGGCAAATATGAAAAGAGAAAAAATAAAATAGATTAGAACTGTGGAACTCATGGTAGTCAATATAGACAAATCTGGAAGTAAATATAAAAATATATATGTATATATTTATGTATATGTAGATAGATGATAGATACATGCCTTGGTGCAATAGTAATGATTACATTCAACACCCAGATCTTAATTTCTAAATAACCCCTCACCACTAAAAGGAACCAGTGTTCCTTGGTGAAATGGCTGCTTCCAGGGCTGGGGCAGGAAAAGCATAAGGTGACCCTAGAACATCTTTGGGACAGAAAGTAAGAAAATACTCAAAGAATTGTGGGAATGTGTCAAAGACACTATTGTAAAGAAACTTCTAGCCAAATTTTGGACAATTTGAGCATCAAAATAATTATAGCAACAAATTATAATCTGTTGAATAAAAATGTGTAAGTCTATAATGATATAAATAAATTATTATCTAAATCTAGAAAAAGGAAAGCTTTTTCTTACAGTTAACTGCCAAATGATAAATGTAAACAGAATAAAGCAGTTAGAAAATCACAATATGACAACCATCTGAGTAGTAATTAATTCAGCCACCAAACATGAAGGGATACTAAAGCTACTTAGGAAAGGTTTAATGAAGAATGTTGATATTTACATAGTTTCTTTTTTATTATTATTATTATACTTTAAGTTCTAGGGTACATGTGCACAACTGTGCAGGTTTGTTACATATGTATACATGTGTCTTGTTGGTGTGCTGCACACATTAACTCGTCATTCACATTAGGTATATCTCCTAATGCTATCGCTCCCCACTCCCCCAACCCCATGACAGGCCCCTGTGTGTGATGTTCCCCTTCCTGTGTCCAAGTGTTCTCATTGTTCAATTCCCACCTGTAAGTGAGAACATGCGGTGTTTGGTTTTCTGTCCTTGTGATAGTTGGCTGAGAATGATGGTTTCCAGCTTCATCCATGTCCCTACAAAGGACATGAACTCATCATTTTTTATGGCTGCATAGTATTCCATGGTGTATATGTGCCACATTTTCTTAATCCAGTCTATTATTGATGGATGTTTGGGTTGATTCCAAGTCTTTGCTATTGTGAATAGTGCCACAATAAACATATGTGTGCATGTGTCTTTATAGCAGCATGATTTATAATCCTTTGGGTATATACCTAGTGATGGGATGGCTGGGTCAAATGATATTTCCAGTTCTAGATCCTTGAGGAATCGCCACACTGTCTTCCACAATGGTTGAACTAGTTTACAGTCCCACCAACAGTGTAAAAGTGTTCCTATTTCTCCACATCCTCTCCAGCACCTGTTGTTTCCTGACTTTTTAATGATCACCATTCTAACTGGTGTGAGATGGTATCTCATTGTGGTTTTTATTTGCATTTCTCTGATGGCCAGAGATGATGAGCGTTTTCTCATGTGTCTGTTGGCCGCATAAATGTCTTCTTTTGAGAAGTGTCTGTTCACATCATTTGCCCATTTTTTGATGGGGTCGTTTGATTTTTGTTGTAAATTTGTTTGAGTTCTTTGTAGATTCTAGATATTAGCCCTGTGTCAGATGGGTAGATTGTAAACATTTTCTCCCATTCTGTAGGTTGCCTGTTCACTCTGATGACAGTTTCTTTTGCTGTGCTCTTTAGTTTAATTAGATCCCATTTGTCAATTTTGGCTTTTGTTGCCATTGCTTTTGGTGTTTTAGTCATGAAGTCCTTGCCCATGCCTATGTCCTGAGTGGTATTGCCTAGGTTTTCTTCTAGGGTTTTTATGGTTTTAGGTCTTACATTTAAGTCTTTAATCCATCTTGAATTAATTTTTGTATAAGGTGTAAGGAAGGGATCCAGTTTCAGCTTTATACATATGGCTAGCCAGTTTTCCCGGCACCATTTATTAAATAGGGAATCCTTTCCCCATTTCTTGTCTTTGTCAGGTTTGTCAAAGATCAGATGGCCGTAGATGTGTGGTATTATTTCTGAGGGCTCTGTTCTATTCCATTGGTCTACTTCTCTGTTTTGGTACCAGTACTATGCTGTTTTGGTTACTATAGCCTTGTAGTATAGATTGAAGTCAGGTAGCATGATGCCTCCAGCTTTGTTCTTTTGGCTTAGGGTTGTCTTGGCAATGCAGCCTCTTTTTTGGTTCCATATGAACTTTAAAGTAGTTTTTTCCAATTCTGTGAAGAAAGTCATTGGTAGCTTCATGGGGATGGCATTGAATCTATAAATTACCTTGGGCAGTATGGCCATTTTCACGATATTGATTCTTCCTATCCATGAGCATGGAAAGTTCTTCCATTTGTTTGTGTCTTCTTTTATTTTGTTAAGCAGTGGTTTGTAGTTCTCCTTGAAGAGGTCCTTCACATCCTTTGTAAGTTGGATTCCTAGGTATTTTATTCTCTTTGAAGCAATGTGAATGGGAGTTCACTCATGATTTGGCTCTCTGTTTGTCTGTTATTTGTGTATAGGAATGCTTGTGATTTTTGCACATTGATTTTGTATCCTGAGACTTTGCTGAAGTTGTTTATCAGCTTAAGGAGATTTTGGGCTGAGACAATGGGGTTTCCTAAATACACAATCATGTCATCTGCAAACAGGGACAATTTGACTTCCCCTTTTCCTAATTGAATACTTTATTTCTTTCTCCTGCCTGATTGTCCTGGCCAGAACTTCCAACACTATGTTGAATAGGACTGGTGAGAGAGGGCATCCCTGTCTTGTGCCAGTTTTCAAAGGGAATGCTTCCAGTTTTTGCCCATTCAGTATGATATTGGCTGTAGGTTTGTCATAAATAGCTCTTATTATTTTGAGACACATACCATCAGTACCTAGTTTATTGAGAGTTTTTAGCATGAAGGGCTGTTGCATTTTGTCAAAGGCCTTTTCTGCATCTATTGAGATAATCATGTGATTTTTGTCTTTGGTTCTGTTTATATGATGGATTATGTTTATTGATTTGCATATATTGAACCAGTCTTGCACCCCAGGGATGAAGCCAACTTGATCGTGGTGGATAAGCTTTTTGATGTGCTGCTGGATTCGGTTTGCCAGTATTTTATTGAGGATTTTTGTGTCCATGTTCATCAGGGATATTAGTCTAAAATTCTCTTTTATTGTTGTGTCTCTGCCAGGCTTTGGTATCAGGATGATGCTGGCCTCATAAAATGAGTTAGGGAGGATTCCCTCTTTTTCTGTTGATTGGAATAGTTTCAGAAGGAATGCTACCAGCTCCTCGTTGTACCTCTGGTAGAATTCAGCTGTGAATCTATCTGGTCCTGGACTTTTTTTGGTTGGTAGGCTATTAATTATTGCCTCAATTTCAGAACCTGTTATTGGTCTATCCAGCGATTCAACTTCTTCCTGGTTTAGTCTTGGGAGGGTGTATGTGTCGAGGAATTTATCCATTTCTTCCAGATTTTCTAGTTTATTTGCATAGAGGTGTTTATAGTATTCTCTGATGGTAATTAGTATTTCTGTGGGATCGGTGGTGATATCCCCATTATCATTTTTTATGGAATCTATTTGATTCTTCTGTCTTTTCTTCTTTATTAGTCTTGCTAGTGGTCTATCAATTTTGTTGATCTTTTCAAAAACCACCTCCAGGATTCATTGATTTTTTGAAGGGATTTTTGTGTCTCTGTCTCCTTCAGTTCTGCTCTGATTTTAGTTATTTCTTGCCTTCTGCTAGCTTTTGAATGTGTTTGCTCTTGCTTCTCTAGTTCTTTTAATTGTGATGTTAGGACATCAATTTTAGATCTTTCCTGCTTTCTCTTGTGGGCATTCAGTGCTATAAATTTCCCTCTACACACTGCTTTAAATGTGTCCCAGAGATTCTGTTATGTTGTGTCTTTGTTCTCATTGGTTTCAAAGAACATCTTTATTTCTGCCTTCATTTCATTATGTGCCCAGTAGTCATTCAGAAGCAGGTTGTTCAGTTTCCATGTAGTTGAGCGGTTTTGAGTGAGTTTCTTAATCCTGAGTTCTAGTTTGATTGCACTGTGGTCTGAGAGACAGTTTGTTGTAATTTCTGTTCTTTTACATTTGCTGAGGAGTGCTTTACTTCCAACTATGTGGTCAATTTTGGAATAAGAGTGATGTGGTGCTGAGAAGAATGCATATTCTGTTGATTTGGGGTGGAGAGTTCTGTAGATGTCTATTAGGTCCACCTGGTGCAGAGCTGAGTTCAATTCCTGGATATCCTTGTTAACATTCTATCTCACTGATCTGTCTAATGTTGACAGTGGGGTGTTAAAGTCTCCCATTATTATGGTGTGGGAGTCTAAGTCTTTTGTAGGTCTCTAAGGACTTGCTTTATGAATCTGGGTGCTCCTGTATTGGGTGCATATATATTTAGGATAGTTAGCTCTTCTTGTTGAATTGATCCCTTTACCATTATGTAATCGCCTTCTTAGTCTCCTTTGATCTTTGTTGGTTTAAAGTCTGTTTTATCAGAGAGTAGGATTGCAACCCCTGCTTTTTTTTGTTTTCCATTTGCTTGGTAGATCTTCCTCCATCCCTTTATTTTGAGCCTATGTGTGTCTCTGCACATGAGATGCGTCTCCTGAATACAGCACACTGATGGGTCTTCACTCTTTATCCAATTTGCCAGTCTGTGTCTTTTAATTGGAACATTAGGCCCATTTACATTTAAGGTTAATATTGTTATGTGTGAATTTGATCCTGTCATTATGCTTTTAGCTAGTTATTTTGCTCATTAGTTGATGCAGTTTCTTCCTAGCATCAATGGTCTTTACAATTTGGCATGTTTTTGCAGTGGCTGGTACCAGTTGTTCCTTTCCATGTTTTAGTGCCTCCTTCAGGAGCTCTTGTAAGGCAGGCCTGGTGGTGACAAAATCTCTCAGCATTTGCTTGTCTGTAAAGGATTTTATTTCTCCTTCACTTATGAAGCTTAGTTTGGCTGGATATGAAATTCTGGGTTGAAAATTCTTGTCTTTAAAAATGTTGAATATTGGCCCCCTCTCTCTTCTGGCTTGTAGAATTTCTGCCAAGAGATCAGCTGTTAGTCTAATGGGCTTCCCTTTGTGGGTAACCGACCTTTGTCTCTGGCTGCCCTTAACATTTTTTCCTTCATTTCAACTTTGGTGAATCTGACAATTATGTATCTTGGAGTTGCTCTTCTCAAGGAGTATCTTTGTGGCTTTCTCTGTATTTCCTGAATTTCAATGTTGGCCTGCCTTGCTAAGTTGGGGAAGTTCTCCTAGATAATACCCTTGAAGAGTGTTTTGCAACTTGGTTTCATTCTCCCCGTCACTTTCAGTTACGCCAATCAGACGTAGATTTGGTCTTTTCACATAGTTCCATATTTCTTGGAGGCTTTGTTCGTTTCTTTTTACTCTTTTTTCTCCAAATTTCTCTTCTCGCTTCATTTCATTCATTTGATCTTCAATCACTAATACCCTTTCTTCCACTTGATTGAATTGGCTACTGAAGCTTGTGCATGTGTCACGTAGTTCTTGTGCCATGGTTTTCAGCTCCATCAGGTCATTTAAGGTCTTCTCTATGCCGTTTATTCTAGTTAGCCATTCATCTAATCTTTTTTCAAGGTTTTTAGCTTCTTTGCAATGGGTTCAAACATCCTCCTTTAGCTTGGAGAAGTTTGTTATTACCAATCGTCTGAAGCCTTCTTCTCTCAACTCGTCAAAGTCATTCTCTGTCCAGCTTTGTTCCGTTGCTGGCAAGGAGCTGCTTTCCTTTGGAGGAGAAGAGGCACTCTGATTTTTAGAATTTTCAGCTTTTCTGCTCTGGTTTCTCCCCATCTTTGTGGTTTTATCTACCTTTGGTCTTTGATGATTGTGACGTACAGAGGGGTTTTTGATGTGGATGTCCTTTCTGTTTGTTAGTTTTCCTTCTAACAGTCAGGACCCTCAGCTGCAGGTCTGTTGGAGTTTGCTGGAGGTCCACTCCAGACGCTGTTTGCCTGGGTATTACCAGCAGAGGCTGCAGAACAGCAAATATTGCAGAACAGCAAATGCTGCTGCCTGATCCTTCCTCTGGAAGCTTCGTCTCAGAGGGGCACCCGGCTGTATGAGGTGTCAGTCGGCCCCTACTGGGAGGTGTCTCCCACTTAGGCTACTCGGGGGTCAGGGACCCACTTGAGGAGGCAGTCTGTCCATACTCAGATCTCAATCTCTGTGCTGAGAGAACCACTACTCTCTTCAAAGCTGTCAGAGAGGGATGTTTAAGTCTACAGAAGTTTCTGCTGCCTTTTGTTCAGCTATGCCCTGCCCCCAGAGGTGGAGTCTACAGAGGCAGGCAGGCCTCCTTGAGCTATGGTGGGCTCCATTCAGTTCGAGCTTCCCAGCTGCTTTGTTTACCTACTCAAGCCTCAGCAATTGCGGGCACCCCTCCCCCAGCCTCGCTGCCACCTTGCAGTTCGATCTCAGACTGCTATGCTAGCAATGAGCAAGGCTCCATGGGCGTGGGACCCTCCGAGCCATGCACGGGATATAATCTCCTGGTGTGCCATTTGCTAAGACTGTTGGAAAAGCGCAGTATTAGGGTGAGAGTGTCCCGATTTTCCAGGTACCATCTGTCATGGCTTCCCTTGGCTAGGAAAGGGAATTCCCTGACCCCTTGCATTCCCAGGTGAGGCAATGCCCTGCCCTGCTTTGGCTCACACTCCATGGGCTGCACCCACTGTCCGACAAGCCCCAGTGGGATGAACCTGGTACCTCAGTTGGAAATGCAGAAATTATCCATCTTCTGCATCGCTCATGCTGGGGGATATAGACTGGAGCTGTTCCTATTCAGCCATCCTGGAACTTCCCCCCACCAAATATTTATATAATTTCAATACATAAGGATTTTATCCCTACAAAATCCTTATTAATTACAAAGGGATAAAGAGAATCTTCACAGTGGAAAAACCTGACTGTACCACTTTAATAATGGTCATGATTACCAGTAGTGGGACAAATCAACACTGAGTCCCACCTGATAGGATTCAATGAGAATACGGTATCACTTCTATAATACTCCTATCAAAATGCATAATCTGAATCAAACCATAAGAAAATATCAAAGATACAAAAAGTAAGGAACATTCAAGAAAATAACTGGTCTGTCATCTTTAAAAGTCGCAACATGAAAGTCAAGGAAGACTGAGGAACATTCCAAGCTGAGGGAGACGGCAGAGACATGACAGCTACAGGTGATGTATGATCCTTTGCTAGATCCTTTTCTCTAAAGGACATGATTGAGACAATTGGCCAAACTGAAATTGAGCCTGATGAGATGATAGTAATTTATCAGTGTTGACTTCCTAGTTTAGATGTTGGAGAATTTCCTTGTCTGTAAGAATTACACACTGAAATAGTTGGAAGTGACAGGGATTTACATCAGCTACTTATTCTTAAGTGTGTCAAGGGAAAAAAAAAGCTTTTTATGCTACTCTGCAGTCTTTCTCCTGGTTTGAAATTATTTCATATTAAAAAATAAAACTCATGTACCAAACAGTAGTGCAGACACAGTTGAGTGAATTATTTGGAACCTAGAACAGAAACTGTTTTAAAACAAATGGAGTTAAAATATTGGACAAAGACAAAGAAAGTGAGTGGAGGACTTCGGAGTTAAGGATTCCAAAGGGCCTTACACTGTTTCAGAGCAAGATAGATGTGATATTTAACTTCACAATTTAAGAAGTCACATAAAAATTTAAAGGTAATATAGAGCAGAAAAAGAATGAAAAACTTTCAGGCTCATAGAGGAGAAAATGAGTAATAACAAAAATATGATCCATGTTCTAGAAAGCTGCATGGAAGAAGAAAGCCACAGAAACTGAATAAGTATGTAAGTGTGATTAAAAAAATAAAAGTTGGCAACACTATAATAAACATCCTTGGATATAAACCTCTCTCTCTCTCTGTCTCTCTGTCTCTCTCTCCTTCTCTCTCTCTCTCTCTATATATATATATTTAATGTACTTAAAATTATATAATATTTGATATTAATATAGTTTCAAAGTACTTTCCTAAAAAATCTGTATTAATTACAAAGGGATAAAGAGTATCTTTACAGTGGAAAAACCTGACAGTGCCATTTTAACTGATCACCAAAAATGGGACAAGTTAACAACAAGTGCTACCTGATAGGATATTATATAAATGTCCTTAGACATTATATGACATGAGTGTTCTATGTTTTACAAAATGTCCTCAGAATCCCTGGAAATAGAATTGCTATGTTAAAACTACAGACACATTAATGTCTCAATTCATTAACAAGTAAACAAAGGTTTTACTTAACAAACTATAACTTTTCTATTCAAAAAAATGTAACTACATTTACTGTGCTCCACCCTATCAATGAGGCTCCACCACACTATCCATCTACCTACTCTCACAACAGGCCAACCTTTTTCTTGCCCTAGGGCCTTTGTAAATGCTGTTCCTTGTGCCTGGATTGGTCTCCCATTTTCCCCCATCCTTCCTTCATAAACTCACTCCTTTTCATCTTCCCATAATTGCCACCTCCGCGGTGAAGTCCTCGCTGACATTCCTGGGAGATCACCTCCTATGCACCCCATAGCCACACTTTGTGCAAAAAAACGTTCAACAATTCTCTCCTAAAATTGAGGAGTTTAGTGTCACCTTCTTATGTTAATTTTTATAGAGCAGTCTTTCTCCTGTGACACACTATATTCAATTTTTTTCTTTCATAAGTCAAGCTGCTAAGTGCTAATAAAACACGTAATAAAAAGGTAAATGGCCTCTGTATTAATCTTAAGTACTGCTGCCTGTAATATGATTTTTAAAGCTATATTCTCAAATTACATAAACCCCATGGGACTGATTGTCAATGTCTTTCATATATAAGAAAGCCTCACTGTGGCTGTCATATAACTTATGCCAAATCTGTTTTCTTCTCCTTAAAAAAATATGTTTTCAAAAACTTTTTCTAAATATTTTCATGAAGTTAGTGCTGGTCAATGGAGCCACACTAAAGCACTCATAACCTCAGCTTAACCACGGGAAAAGCACTTTGTTATAGCATTGATCGACCTCACATTTATTTCAGAAAATCCACAGTTTTCTTATAAACAAGCATCTAATGCTGGTGAAAATTGTTGCCATTTCCAGCAGGAAGTGACCTAGGACTCCTAGAAAGCAACTGATTTTAAGGGTCTGGTGATGACCACTGGGCATGAGCTGGTGAGTGATTAACATTGTTAGATTTGTCCGTAGTATTTAAGATGTTCAGAGTGTTTTACAATCCCTTTTCTTAGTCACAACTCATAGGCTTGTGAAGGAGGCAGCTCCTGTCATTATTGCTTTGCTATTTGGATGCTGATCCACAGAAAGGTTAAATACCGTTTCCAAGGTCACGGAGCGTTTTCCTGACAGAGCCTACTTAAGCATTCATTGCCGCTGACACAGGGCTCTAGGGAAAAGGAAACAGAGGAGGCGAGGAAAAGCCCTAGGCTACAATGAGAACACAACATCATAAGCACATCACTGGGGATAGTCTTTCTCATGTGCTACTAAAGACCACTATGTCAGCAAACATCCAATTATGTCTGATTCTTGCTAATATTAAATAACATTCTCAGGATTCCTGGGAAACAGCAAAACTATACACTGACATAGAATGGGAGGGGGATGAAATTACATTGACTTTTTCATACCTACCCAGATGTACTGTTTATTTTCTATTTATAGTATGCTAATACTAACACATGTAAGCTTATATTTTAAAATGCTAATGGAATCCTATCATATGTGCTGAAAACAGTAGGCATCGTTTAGTTTTTCTATCTAAGGGTCACAAGTAGGCTTTTATTATCAAAGGAAGACTCTCACTTTTCAGAGTACAAGTTGAATATCCCTTCTTTGAAATTCTTGGGACCAGAACTTTTTCAGGTTTCAATTTTTTTTTAAATTTTGGAATACTTGCATATACATAGTGAGATATCTTGGGGTGTCTAAAGTCAAAACACAAAATTCATTTATGTATCATATACACCTTATATACATATCCTGAAGGTAATTTTACACAGTATTTTTGATAATTTTATGCATGAAACAAAGTTTTGACTGCATTTTGGCTGATATCCGTCACATGAGGTCAGGTGTGGAAATTTCCACTTGTGACATCATGTCAATGCTCAAAGTTTCAGATTTTGGAGCATTTCACATTTCAGATTTTTTGATGAGAGATGCTCAACCTTTAGCACACTATGTTCAGAAAGGTTAACATCACACAGTTACTCAGTGCACCTTTCCACCAGCTCAGCACTCCTCTGTCCCAAGTGGTGTGTCTCCCTGTGGCCATCCCCTGCTGGGCAGTACTGATACGTGTACATATATGAAAAACAACATCCATAAGGAAAGGTTAATTTGGAGAAAAGCCTAAGTGGAGGAATCGATCAGCAACAAGAGTTAATAATCAATTGCAGGTGATTTGGGTAAATGTGAAAATACCCTGAGATCACATAGTCTTTATCACATCACCTTTAAGGAGAGGAACTCATCATTGCTCAGTAGTCACCAATCTCAGTTTACTTCTTATCCTAAAAACATGGACAAAGGGGAGATTGGAAACCCAGATTGGCCCTGGAGGCCGGCCAGCTGTGAATCCCATTCTAGGCTCTTAGTCCTTATAATCATTTGTTTAATCAGACTGCCTTCTGCACATGGAAGGGGGAGTAATGGCTATTTCTCACTTAGAAAGCAAAGTAATAGTGTACAGATCAGATCTCTAGTCTTTGTTCCAGATACTGACTTATTTTCAGTACATTGTGGTTCAAGAACACATCGATCATAAAAACGTGGCAGCTTTAATGAGCTAATGTTGTCTAAACTGGAGAAGAAAGAATGCCAAGACAGAGCCTAGGGCTTCTGAGTAGATTTGGACCTTCAATAAATTTCTTTCAGTCACCCCATACTCTAGACAGAGGCCAAGAATGACCCTTTGATTCCTGTCTTCAGCAGCAAACCAAAGACTTTTTCACTGTGGGGTTTTGGGGTTTGGTTTGTTTTCCCTAAACCCTGTGACCATGACTTTCCTAGCATGTGATAGAGCTCATTGTCTTTCTGCTGAGCTCTCCAATTCGTCCCCACAGAACACATTTGGCACCCACAGCAACACAGGCAGACCACAAAGTCTCCAGAATGAGGAAATGTTGGAAGCAAATAATATATTCAGCTGAGCATTCTTCCTGGCAGTGGGAGCAGGAGCCTGATTTGGACCTTAAAAGCTTAGTGGCAACAACAAATAAGCATTGGCCTGGAAAATCCACATCCCAACAGGCTAAACAAGGCAGGTAATATGAAAATAAGTTTGATGTATTTACAAAATCTCTCTAAATTTTCTTTTTACTGGTCACACTCTCAGGCCACTTTCATGGAATCATTCAGTTCTGCATCCCTTGTGTGGGATCCAGAGCTCTTTGTATCTTTGACTGCCTCCCAGCACCTGAGGGTCAAGTATCCCACTGAGAGCTTGGAAAGAGAAGCCAAGAAGATTTGGAGCTGGTGCGGGTGACTGTCAAGCGCAGATGGCCAGTTACCGACGTAATCTGTGTATCTGGGAGGCATGTGCTATAAGAAGGCAGCTGCTAAAACAAATGAATCAAGCCACAGTTTTTAAGAAGGAAAAGTGTAGATTGGAAAAGGATAAAAGTTTTGAATGCATGCAGCTGTGCAGGGCTATGATCAATGCTTTAAAAATTAGGATTATATGCACTGATGGAGGGTTTTCCCAAAGTGCAACCCTATGTGAGGTCAGAGCGATAATCCATTTCATTTCACTGGCAGAGTTGGGAGAGGGCATTTAACAAGGTCAGCTTTAACACTGTTTTCCTGGGATGCTGAATGTGGTTTGTTACTGTTGATGCTCTGTGTTTTGGAATAAGGTTGTAAGACTAGGTTTAAAAGAAGGTATTGACCTGTCATTTTCCTATAAAAGTGGAGCAGAGATGGCTTTTATTCCATTTATTGATCACTTAGATGTGTGACTTAATCTGTATGGCTGGATAAATTCTGGATTTTCTGTCTATCCATGGTTTAACCCATAATGTTACTGGAAAATGAGCCAACATTACTTTGTTCTGGCTGTGTGCACAGCAGTGAATTCTAATTGTGTTTCTCAATCTAAGCCCCAGAATGAAAACTGCCAAGATCAATTCATTTTGATAAATTAACTGTTTCTGATGGCTATCTACACTGAACTGCAGCTGCTGTGTTTTTTTCTTCCTTAACAAAATGATTATGAAGTAAATGTGCTCCAACTATTGCTCACATTGTTTTATTGAACTAATGAATTGCTCTGGGAAGCTCTATGAAGACTTTTGATCAATTATTGTGCGCAAATTGTTTAAAAGGAAATACATCATAATTAGGCTAACAAATCTGCTGTGATGCTGCCTCTCCTGATGAATAAATTTTGTGTAGATAGAGGGGTAGATACATAGGGGTACTTTGCATTTTTCTCTTCATTGATTTTCATACATCATAATACGATGGATTAACCAACATTGGCTCACAATTGCTCTTTGTCCGAAGTTTAATGGAGGAAAAAATACCTTTTAATCCCTTTTAAAAATCTCCTATAAGTGTGAGACAGATAAGCATATGGTCATCAAGCAATACTACTGAGAACATTCACCTAGATCAAAATGAGGAAATGTATTTCAGCTGTCACTGCCATGTCATTATAGCCCCCCCTTAACTGCATTTATGTTGCCAAGAGGAATCCTCACCAGATCAAACTGACTGGAATGAGGCCCAAGACAGCTGTGGCCCAGATAAAGAAAACCAAATGATTTTCAGTCTCCTGAATACCAAGAAACAGGATATGTCATTGATGTCCAGTTAGTGATCTTGTTCTACACTCAGTACTGCTCATCTGAGTGTGACACTTTCTGTATCGTCATTGGACTACTGTCACTCATTACAGTTTAAAGAGAAAATTATTCCATTTTCTTTAAAGACTTCTACTGCAAAGTTTGGGACTCAGACACCAAGTAATACAGTCAGAGAAGACTTCAGGAGTCTATACAAAGCATCCTTAATTCAATCAATGACAATGCCCATTGTTCTAATAATTTCATTGTTCAAAAACTAAAGATAAATTGGCATGGAAACACATACCAGACTAGAGACTACCAAATAATATAGAGAGTATGTATGGATGGATATATATATAGAGAGAGAGAGAGACAGAGAGTATGGATTTATTAAAATTTGACCTTATATAAGAGGGGGAAAATGACTACATGAAGATAAAGGTTTTAGTCAAGCCTCTCACAGGAAGTTTTGGGCATTGATAAGAAATTAGCCCTTTTTAGCTACCTATCTTTAAAAACACTGTTAGTGTTATGCTCTATGAGATGAAACTTCATGAATTAAAAAATATGTGGTGCCAGCCACAGTGGCTCACACCTGTAATCCCAAAACTTTGGGATGGTGAGGCAGGCGTATCACTTGAGGCCAGGAGTTCCAGACCAGCCTGGCCAACATGGTGAAATCCCATCTCTACTAAAATATATATATATACATACATATATATGTATGTATGTGTATATACATATACACATACACAAAAATTAGCCAGAGTTGGGGGTGCATGCCTGTAATCCCAGCTACTCAGGAGGCTGAGGCACAAAACTGCTTGAACCTGGGAGGCAAAAGTTGCAATGAGCCAAGATCACACCACTGCACTCCAGCTTGGGCGACAGAGCAAGACTCTGTCTCCAAAAAAAACAAACAAAAACAAACAAACAAACAAACAAACAATGTGGCTTTGATGAATGTTGGCATGATCAAAGTCATTGGGACTCTATGTCCAAACAAATAAAAGGGAGTCTCTGAGACCTGGGGATAGTATGTTTCTTAGGAAAAATCTGTGTAACATCATCTCCTGTCCCCCCCCAAAAAAAAAGGGGGGGTGCTGGGCACGGTGGTTCACACCTGTAATCCCAACATTTTAGGCGGCCAAGATGGAAGGATTGCTTGAGGCCAGGAGTTCAAGAGCAGCCTGGGCAACATAATGAGACTCCATCTCTATAAAAATATATATTTTTTAAATTAGCCAGACGTGGTGGTGCACAACTGTAGTCCCAGCTACTTGGGAGGCTGAGGTGGGAGGATCACTTGAGCCCTGGAGATTTATGCTACAGTGAGTTATAATCACACCACTGCTCTCCAGCCTGGGTGACAGAGGGAGATCCTGTCTCAAACAAAAAAAGCCAAAAAGAGTTCCTTTAAGTGAACTTCATTTTCCCTGGCCAGTGAGTGATCTTGTTCTTTTCAAAGGGGCTTTCCCTAAGGAACTCTCAAGCCTCCTAGAGTTTCCTATTCCTCTAAGTTCTTGTCCTTCTCTGTAATAAAGCTTCTCTCTCCCTAAAAGATAATAACATCATATATGCAATAATTTTTTTAATGTGGTGTCTTTAGAAGAGCAATATTTTAAAAGTCAAACCACTAGTAACCTAACAGTTTGCCTAAACTTCCTTTGTCATAGAACACATGAAGTTTATGTTTGCACAGACAAGTCGGCTAGAGGTCAGGGCCTCAGGGCCTCCCCCACTGAGGACCGAGAGCATAAATACCTCAGACACACTGTAAGCCATTCATGTGGGAAGGGTTGCTGTCCAGTAGAGGTTGCTAACTTTTTTGTCATGCTATCTGTTGACATCTATTAACCCCTTCTCAGAATATTTTTAAATGCATGAAATAAAATTTATAGGATTGGAAAGGAAACTGATTATATTGAAATACAGTTAGCAAATACTTTAAAACAAATGTATGATATAATAATATAGGTACTTCTTTTTGAAGTATCAATTAAGATCAGTGGCAACTTCAAAGTAATTGTAAGTATAAGTAATTTTCAAGGTATTTGCAACCATTACATTGTAATATGAAAATATTTTTTGTTTCTATTAGAGACCTAGTCATGGATGTTGCTAATAATACAGAAGTTTGTAGCCTATATTTATAGTTGAGGGAGATGACAAATTTTGAGAGAAAGTAAGGATGCAATTTTTTCAAATGCCAACTCATGGACCCCTAAGATTTTTTTCCCCTAAGAAAACCCTGCTTTAGAAGAGGAAAGCTACAGGAAAATGTTTCTATTGCACTCTCTTCTTCCCTGTCCCCAGACTTTTCCTGAATCACTCATAATCCCTTTACCTATATTCTTTTTTCCTTCAGTTTTATCTATATTTGTTCTCTTTGAATTAGTCTTTTTTCATTATTATCTTGCAAATTCTTTCCCTTCTTTTCCTTCACTTCATTTCCTTTCCTCCCTTTCCATAATTCATTTCTCAATACACTTAGCACATGAGCAGCTCCATCAGGGCAAGCCCTTGAATGAGTCTGTCCATAGCACACAGTAGAAGTTTGAGCAAAGAGGGAAATGCACCAAGAAATGCAGCCAAGGTATAGGAGGGATTCACCTTGCTCCAAGCCAGGCCCTTTGTCATTAGAAGCAGTTTTTACAGCTCAGGATAAAAGTGGGCAATTGTCTGTTTACCTTAGTCAATATAATACAGTCAGTAAAATTACCTAATCATCAAAGTAGAATATTTGCAGTCATTTTTATCACATAAATATCAAGTTCTTCCTGTAGATTAAGGTTCCATTAGTTAATCTCGTATCTTAATAGAAGTGATTATCATTAACGAAACCCTAAAAATATTTATAGACAGTCAAGATTATATGAAATTGCAAGCATTTAAAATTGTTCTCCACATACCTCAAATACACAACCATACATTGGCATTGAAAAATGTCATAACACCACACTCATTTACCACCCTCCTGCTCAAATAATATTCTAGATAAAACTTGTATGATTAGGCAGGGCAGGGTGGCTCATGCCTGTAAATCCCAGCACTTTGGGAGGCCGAGGTGGGTGGATCACGAGGTCAGGAGTTCGAGACCAGCCTGGCCAAGATGGTGAAACCCCGTTTCTATTAAAAATTTTAAAAAATTAGCCAGGTGTGGTGGCAGGTGCCTGTAATCCCAGTTACTCAGGAGGCTGAGGCAGGAGAATCACTTGAACCTGGGAGGCGGAGGTTGCAGTGAGCCAAGATCGTGCCACTGCACTCCAGCCTGGGCGAAAGAGTGAGACTCCGTCTCAAAAAACAAACAAACAAACAAACAAACAAAAAAACTTGTATGATTATGCTCTTAGAAGCCATGAATTATCTGCTTGATCTCTTGGGGCTGCCACTGAGTAATCCAGAAGACCATTAAATTCCCCAGTAAGGGCCAGGCACAGTGGCTCACACCTGTAATCCCAGCACTTTGGGAGGCCAAGGCGGGCGGATTGCCTGAGGTCGGGAGTTCAAGACCAGTCTGGCCAACATGGTGAAACCCCGCCACTACTAAAAATACAAAAAAAATTAGCCAGGCATGGTGGCGTGCACCTGTAATCCCAGCTACTGGGGAGGCTGAGGCAGGGGAATTGCTTAAACCAGGCAGGCGGAGTTTGCAGTGAGCCAAGATCATGCCACTGCACTCCAGCCTGGGTGACAGAGCAAGACTCCGTCTCAAAAACATAAAAATAAAAATAAATTTCCCAGTAAGTAGATGAAGAAAAACACTAAATAAATATGGAAACAATAGGAAAACAAGAGACTCATAAATGAAATTTATTTTTAAATTGTGCTGGATTAGGCTTACCAATAAGGAAAGGGAATTCATTAAATGTTAAGTCTTTCATTTCAGTAAAGCACATGTAACAACATCTAATATAATTGTGTGTACGACCATGTGAGCTAATTTTGCCACAAAAAAACAGCCACCTGGGTAATAAACTGTCTGAAAAAATAATGATAATTTATAAAAATGCCAATTGGGGAAAAGCACTTAATATTATGCTGTCTAGCCAAAGAAAATGAGATCCACTCCAATTATTTCAATACTCTGACATGAAGCATTTTGTGTTACTTTGATAGTCATAATTTATCGTGAGGAAGGGCTGATCAGGAAGTGGACAGAAGCATCTGTATGGAAGCCACACCTCAGTCCACAGGCTTTTTCAGGTGACTCACCTATTTCCAAGCTACCTAGCTCTCCCTGCTGATTGTTTCAAGTGCAAATAAACATGCTGTATGATGCAAATCTTGGCTTTGCTAACCAAATGTGTGACCATAAGCAGTCATTATATTTTTCTCTAAGCCTCAGTTTCTTCAAATGTAATATGGGGTAATTCATAGAGCAATCATGAAAACCAAGTTAGACAACACATGTTAAGTTGCTAGTACTGAGCCTGACACAGAGTAAGTTCTCAATCAATAATATGGTGATGTCCTTTAGCTGATCCAAGCAACTGGCCAGATAATACTTAGAACTCTAAGAAGAAAATATGGTTGAATTTTATATGATGTGTAATGCCTTTTACCTGTTTAGAAATCTATTTTATTATTCTTCTATTTGGTGCAATACATACCAATGGTGATCTAATGCTGTGGTATTTTTCACACACCATAGTGGAAGTATTACTTTAATGTCAAGTGTAAGCAGCTCATATTATGCTTAAGACCATGATATCTGCCTTGAAATAGCATAAAGAAAAATCACATCCACCTGGAGAACATGAAGATAGCTATAACATTGTTTCTATAGGGGGAATAAATTAAAATTTTGTGATTTCTTTACATTAAAATTTGAAGTACATTGACTTAGCCTGGGGATTTCCAAAATAACTTTTTAAGAAGTAATAGGGATCTTTAAAATAAAATGATTAAAAATCCATCTATTTTATTTGGCTCATTCAAATATAATATCTATAAAAGCTTTGTGTTGTGGTAATAATCCCTTACTATTTCCTCTCTCTCCTTGGTCTTTTCATTTATTCATTTCCCATTAATCGTAAAACTGAAATAAAAAGAGAATGAATTTTTTAAAGTCACTTTCCATTCTAAAGCTTTGTTAATTTCTTCTAAGTGCACTTTAGTGCTGTTTAATTTGTATCTAGGGGTAGCGCATTGTTGCTGCACTATTTGCTTATTCCTCCAGATAGAAGCAATTCACTGGGCTAGCCAAATCCTCCACCTGGCCACCATCAGCATATGCACATCACCAGGAGGAAACAGGCAGCTGAGTGTACCTTTGGGCCTGTTTCCTTTGGTATTCAAATTCTCCACTTTCTCCAGTGGGCCCACAGTAGTGGGGGCATATTTATGGAACTCAGATCATCTCTGATCCTAATCCTGGCAGACAATGAACATAGCTGTGTTTCCATTCTGATATTTTAGTACTAAACAAAGCTCTATCTATTTAAAAGCTATTGCGCTGACAAATAAGGAGTCTCCAATGTGCACTTCCGAATTTAACATTAGTTGTTACTGGAACTCACTGTTTTGTTAATGTTATATAAGAAAAGTCTAGAAAGAAACAGGAGTGATCTTGTTGTAGCTCAACCAGGATTATGGATGTCCACACTTTGGAAAATGTATAGATGTTAGACTGTGGTGATATGTTTTTTAGGGTCACTGGGCAACTCCATACCCCTTAGAGCTAGAATTTGGTATGTTAAGTGTAACTTGGTAATACATATGTTAAAAATGGCTTTTATCTTGGATGATAACATCACTAGTTTCTAGGCATAGCATTTTTTCTAATGTGTAAGAAGTTTTACTCCATGGATGTCACCTGATGATTGATCATTTTGATGTAGACGAGTTTGAATTTAAACATCAAATCATGCTTTATCTGAGACTCTGTTATCCAAGAGAGCAGATATTTTTAACTAAGGATGTATCATGCCACATTGAACTGAAACAAACACTAAGCATGTTGAACAAGATCAGTAGTGGCAGTAAATGTGCACGATTGACTAGGACACAGCACAGTATTTTTATTCCAAATGAAGTACTTGTAATTAGCTTTGTATTTTTTGAACTATATTTATATAGATTTCTTTATGTTAAATTTCAACAAAACATGTAGGATCCAGAAGACCTCATCTTGGAGGTCTTGGGATTTTCACCTTACAGAATGATTCTTCTTGTCCTTGGTCATATTTTTCTTGGTCTTAGAACCTGCTAAATACCAAACCTTCAGAAAAAAAAAAAAAAAAGAAAAGAAATGCCAACCAAGCTATTCTACCAAAGAGCTGAAGAAAAGCCCTAATGATCTTTAAATCCAGTAACCAAAAGTTGCCAGCTATTTCTTCTAAAACAAATTAAATTTTTTTTTTAATTAGTTGGGAAAACCATCTGCTACATAGCTTCTTTCTTTGCTGTGTACAACTTGAACTGCTGTTCACATCCATAATCTACATGCCTAGCTTAGTGCCTGGCACATGAAAGGTATCACATAAATATATTTAGAATTCATAAGAATCTAGTTCAGTGAATTGAATGAATGAATGAAGACCATATTCTAAGTCTTAATCCTTATCACTACTAATTTAGCAGAAATGTCCTGAGAAGTGCTGATTTTCACATTCCTCCTCATCACATTTTTCCTATTGATACTGTTAAAAGTGGCAAATGTAGAACTCCACTCCAGATTTCTCCAGTGTAGGAAACCAGGGAGCAAATCAAAGCAAGGGAAGTCTTTCAATCTTTTAGCATCTCTGGTAAATTAGTAAGGTATCCTCCTGCACGTTGCTCTGGGTTTGAAAAGATTTTAAAACAAATTACTTTTTTCTCTTGGCCTGTCTCAGGAGCAACCTAAATTCTACTTTTCAAATGCTGAAATGCCCTTAAAAGGGAGGGGTTGAAATGATATATTCAAAGAATCAGTTTTAAAGAATTAGATTGCTAGCTCTCCTCACAGCAGATAGTCTGGAAATGACAATTGCTAGGCTTTTTGGTGGTATTAGCAGAGTAGTAAATATAATGTATATGTCATTTTTATTCCAGATGGAAAGACCAGTAGTTACTAGTGAATGACAGTAAATTGTACCAGATACCAAGTAAATTTTAACAATTTTATAGATGCTTTTCTCATATTCATATATTCATTAGTATTTCAATGTTTAGGTACATAACTCAAGGTTTCAATATTACACCATGTAAAAAGAAAATTACAAAAGTGTCTACAGAACAACATTCCACTCTTGAGACAAAAATCCATAGTTTGGTCAAGAAATTATTCTATATCAACCCAAAAGAAATGAAAATATATATCCCACAAATATCTATATGTGAATGCTCATAACAGCGGTATTCATAATAACCAAAATGTAAAAATTATCCAGAGGCATGTGAACTGGTAAATGGGTTAAAAAAATGTGGTTGCTCCACACAATGGAATATTATTAAGCAATAAAAAGGAATGAACTACTCATAAATGCTACAATATGGAAGAACCTCAAAAACATTGTGCTAAATGAAATAAGCCACGTGCAAAAGATCACACATTATATTATTCCACATATATGAAATGTCCAGAAAATAAAAATCTATAGAAATAAAAAGCAGGTCTGGAGCTCAGAATGGGAGCAGGAATTGTCTGCAAAGAAGCATGAGGAATATTTTCAGGGTGAGAGGAAGAGTCTAAAATTGGATTTTGGTGACAGTTACACATCTTGTAAATTTACTTAAAAACTAATAAACTGTATACTTAAAGTGAGTAAATTTTATGATATATAAACAATAAAGCTGTTAATAAAAATGAGACCAAACACTTTTGTTACAGATGAAAAGCTTGATTAAAATGCTTACCTGTACAAAAAAAATCACCTGTGAAATATAAAATACTTTTACTAATATGTAAAGCAATTGTCAATGAGAAGTGGTTTTTTTCTCTAAACAATATGATAGAAATATGAGAACAGACATTCCCTAAATTGCCCTACCTTCCAATATGTTCTCTCAACAATGTCACTGAGTAGATACTTACTGGGCGCCTCCTGTGTGTCAAGTATCATGTTAAGTTCTTAAAAAGTGAAAAGATTGAGACAACTTTAATCAAGGCCTCCTTTTTTTAAATTTATTTATTTATTTATTTATTTTTGGCTTTCCAGTCATAGACCTTCTTTACCCTCACTGATCTAGAGACTGTCTCAAAAGGCATAGACAAGCACACTTGTAGATTTATCGTTCCGAATCCAACATCGGCTGAGCCATCTATGTGAATCAGTGTATGCCCTAACCCCTTCCCCAGATTTCGCTTTCCTCACACTCCCTTCCAGCCACATCGCTCCATTGTCTGCAAATAACCTTGCCTTTTACTTCAAAGAGAAAATTGAAGCCACCCTGCAGAAAATGCCTCTTTCCACTCACCCACTGACAATTCCTCACACCTACCAACCCTTCAGCCCCTCCTATTCCCTCAGGGGTCAATATTCAACTCTCTCTAGTATATTTAACCTCTTCTTAATTGGTACTTTTACCTTAAGTTACAAACGTGTTCAAGATCTTTCACTATTTTAAAAGTATTCTTAAAACTTACAAACTCCTCTAGCAACTTTCCTCTTTCCCTCTATCCCTTCATTTCCTTGAAAGATCTGGCTAAATTTCCTGCTTCCTCTTCTTGAGCCCTGTCTAAGATCAGCAATGATGCGCCAGTTGCTATATCACTGTTTCCTCATCAATATTTAGTTGACTTGCTGTTTCGGTAGTATGCTTTTGGGCCTTAGAGTTGATTCTGGAAAGGATCGAGACTTTGGAGAATGCTGGAACAGAGTGAATATATTTTATACCTTCACCTCTCCAAAGACCCAGATCATCATTTCCAACTGCTTATTGTACATTTCCACTTGGATAACACATTGACTGTGCAGATTCATATACTGTATTTCATCAGATCTAAATTTTCATCAATTATAACATAACCCATTATTTTATATACCGCTAAGAAAAAAATGCCACTAATTTGTTGATGCTATGCTATTCATTGTGAGAATCATAGCAAATTGAGAGATGTTAAAAATTGGGATCTAATTAAACTAAAGAGCTTCTGCACAGCAAAAAAAAAAAACTACCATCAGAGTGAACAGGCAACCTACAGAATGGGAAAAAATTTTTGCAATCTACTCATCTGACAAAGGGCTAATAGAATCTACAAAGAACTCAAACAAATTTACAAGAAAAAAACAACCCCATCAAAAAGTGAGTGAAGGATATGGACACTTCTCAAAAGAAGACATTTATGCAGCCAACAGACACGTGAAAAAATGCTCATCATCTCTGGCCATCAGAGAAATGCAAATAAAAACCACAATGAGATACCATCTCACACCAGTTAGAATGGTGATCATTAAAAAGTCAGGAAACAACAGGTGCTGGAGAGGATGTGGAGAAATAGGAACACTTTTACACTGTTGGTGGGACTGTAAACTAGTTCAACCATTGTGGAAGACAGTGTGGCGATTCCTCAAGGATCTAGAACTAGAAATACCATTTGACCCAGCCATCCCATTACTGGGTACATACCCAAAGGATTATAAATCATGCTGCTATAAAGACACATGCACACATATGTTTATTGTGGCACTATTCACAATAGCAAAGACTTGGAACCAACCCAAATGTCCACCAGTGATAGACTGGATTAAGAAAATGTGGCATTATATACATCATGGAATACTATGCAGCCATAAAAAAGAATGAGTTCACGTCCTTTGTGAGGACATGGATGAAACTGGAAACCATCAATCTCAGCAAACTATCGCAAGGACAAAAAACAAAACACCGCATGTTCTCACTCACAGGTGGGAATTGAACAATGAGAACACTTGGACACAGGAAGGGGAACATCACGCACGGGGGCCTGTCGTGGGGTGGGGGTAGAGGGGAGGGATAGCATTAGGAGATATACCTAATGTAAATGACGAGTTAATGTGTGCAGCACACCAACATGGCACATGTACACATATGTAACAAACCTGCACGTTGTGCACGTGTACCCTAGAACTTAAAGTATAATAAATTTAAAAAAATTGGCGGGGGGTAGGGGGAGACAGGGACCAATGAAGTGAAGGAAGGATTCAGTGAAGTGAAGGATTCAAGGAAGTGAAGAATTTAATCAGCAAGGAAGTGGAGGATTCATCTTCAGAAAGAAAGATGTTTCAAGCAGCTGGCAGAGCATGAGCAAAGTCACGGCTGTTTAAAAATGCCTGGTCTATTTGGAAAACTATGGCATCTGGAAAGACCAAGGCCAACTTGTGACAGTCTGTTATCAAAAATATCTCAGTAATTAAGCAGATTTTAAACTGTAGGGAAAGGAATAATAACCCCCATACATTCTTAGTTGGAACAGACTCATTACAACAGACAGATTAACAAGAGAAAAACAAACAGAAGTTTGTTAACATGTATATTTCATATATAAATGGGCGACACCCAGGGAATAAGTTCTCAAAGACGTAGCTTTGAATTCCAGCTTATATAACATCTTCAACAAAGAACAGTAAATTTTTAGAGAAGTAAAAAGACAAAGAAAAAGGACTTGGAGTCTCTAGGGACAGCAACTTCGGGAAGACTAACAGAAAAAGTTTAGTTAGTAAAGCTTGTTAATGTGGATTTCTCTGGCATCACCCCAAGCCTATAAATTGTGTGTATTAGAGGGAAAATCACACCTTTTGTCTTCGTAAATCTATGTCCTGCTTTTGAGCAAATAGAGAGAAGACAGAGAGCTTTCCTGTATCTCCTTCTTAATTGCCTTCAGGTCAACAATTCTTTATATTTTGGGGTGGTATATTCTGGTCTTTCATAGTCCCACCATTGAAACTTTATTTATATAAAATTTCGCAAAATAAAAGTAGGGTTGGTAGCTATGGAAAGATTTGGGTTGCAAGTTGCAAGATCAAAGATGGGCAAAAGACAGAAAAACATAAATTGAAACAAGCAGAAAAAAAAAATACATTGGAGTACATTGTCCCATACCTTATTGAATCAGTCACTTAGTACTAAGAATAAGTCAGTTCAGTTAAACTGAACTGAACTGAACTGAACTGAACTAAGTCAGTTCACTTCAGCGTCTCATTTCAGGAGGTGGTATTACAAGTGGGCTCCCACCAAAGTTAGGCCTATATGGTGCAAGCATACAGTTATTTAATAAGAGGTATTTATATGAAAACAAGAGAAAAACAAAGATTAATCATTAGAGCAAATTTTAAACCAGTTACTGAATTCAGAGGGTGGCTGGTCAGAAAGAATTCTAAATGTTGGGCTCAAGCATCTTTTGCAGTTTTAATGACTCCAGTGATGTCTGAGTGGCCCACAGGCAAGAGGCATGAAGGAAGTCCACATGTGAGCTATTGTGGTTATTTCTCCTAAGTTTATGTTAAGTTGTCCAGTATCAACTTGCAGGGTTTTGGGGAAAGGGTAGATTTTGTTCTTAGTGATGCCAAGTCAGAAAGGTGAGAGAATATTGGAAATCTTAATTTGGAGACCCACAGCCAAATATTGGAGGAAACTAGAAAAATTCAGAATCCAGTTCAGTTCACAGGTAGATAATAAAACCTCAAAAACAATGAATAGGACTAGAATCTAACAATAGGTGCACTGTACTTTTATTCTGAAATTTTTTTTTCTCTGTAATCACCCCTATTTCTACCAAAGAAAATCACAGTAAGGCTAATTTATTTTCAAAATAAGTCTAGTGTTATTAAACTTCAATTGATTATTTATATAAGTGCAGCAAAAACAGTGATTGATCACATAGGCTCTTTTTAAGTCTGCTTTGCTGGAACTTTTGATAAGAAATTTCAGATTAGATTTTTAAAAGGCTTTGACTCAAGGCCAAGGATTTGCTAGAAGACTTTGACCACAATACCTATAGATTTGATTAAATTCTTCTCTTCTTAAGGTTCCTGAAATATTTTGAGGTTCCTGATTCTGCCAGGAAGTGACATTCCGTACTCACCTATAAGGTTTGCAACACTTTTAATTAGGTACTAGGCCAGGTTTTTTGAAGGGGGGGGGGGGCTTTATTGGTTCCATAAAGCCAACCTTAGTTTCTTAAAACTACAGACAGCTTGTCACCCAGGCTGGTGTACAGTGGCCCAATAACAGCTCACTACAGCCTCGAACCCCTAGAGGGGATCCTCTCACTTCAGCCTCCCAAGTAGATAGGACTACAGGCACATGCCACCGCATCTGGCTAATTTTTATTTTTCATTTTTTGTAGAGACGGGGTCTTACTATGTTGCTCAGGCTGGCCTTGAATTTCTGGCCTAAAGTGATCCTCCTGCCTTGGCCTCCCCAAGTTCTGGGATTATAGACATGAGCTGCACCCAGCCCATTTCTTATTTGACAATGCTTCCTATGCAGATTTAGCATATCAAATAAGCTTAATTAATTTAATATGTCTCGTTATAAAGAGAGAGAGTAAATTTTTTGAGATAGTCAAGGGGCTTATCTGAAAAATCCCGAAGTGAATTCTAGGTTTAAAAGAATTTGATTTAGGGCGTTGTTAAAAATGCCAAAATCTTTAAGTCACTTGAATCCATAGGATCACAGATCACTGTGAAATAATAGTCATTCAATTAACCAGAATGAGAATTAAAAGACTTCAAAGGTGGGCCGGGCACGATGGCTCACGCCTATAATCCCAGCACTTTGGGAGGCCGAGGTGGGCGGATCACGAGGTCAGGAGATTGAGACCATCCTGGCTAACACATCTCTACCACAAAAAATTAGCCGGGCGTGGCGGCGGGCGCCTACAGTCCCAGCTACTCGGGAGGCTGAGGCAGGAGAACGGCGTGAACCCAGGAGGCGGAGCTTGCAGTGAGCCAAGATCACGCCACTGCACTCCAGCCTGGGCGACAGAGCGAGACTCCTACTCAAAAAAAAAAAGACTTCAAAGCAAATACAGAAAGTTACATAGTTGCAGGAAACAACAACAACAACAACAACTTTGCTCTTTTAATACAAAGGACTCAGTTGTCTTAAGTAATCAAAGACCTAATAATAGAAAACATAAAGCACAGAAAATTATTTTGATAAGACACAAAATCTTTGTTTTCTAGTCAGAGCCCTCTAAAGGTAAAACTCTTTCAGTGTCTCTTATCAAGAGCAGATTTAATGTTCCAAGAACACTTTGCTTTTTTAACAGAGAGAAAAACAGCTTCTAGTTTTACACTAATAACTTGTTGATAGTAAGACTCATTTTTAAAACCCGTATAATACATTTATTCAATTTTAGCCAGCTTCAGCACAAAAGATAGTCTCTCTCTCTTTGACCCCTCTTCTCTTCCCCCACATAACTTTCTATATCCTTTCAGTTTTCTCCTTCATTTTCCTTTTTTATTCTAAAATAACCATTCTTTTCACTTTAGTACAGAATTAATTACTCTTTTTCCTTTAACAAAACAGATCCTCATACCTTATAACTTTCCTTACCAAAAGCACATCTTATTTTCCTTGTATACTTTGCACTCAGAGTTGTTTCCCTTATTATTTCTAGTAGTTTTAATTATATATGTTAATCCAAATTTTTAACTCGAAGTAACTTTAATTTCTAGAAACATGTGCTTCCTCATAGTATAATTTTTTAATGTGACACATGTTTAACAGACCCAAATATCTTCAGCTTCTCTATACTATATGAAAACAAAATGCCAAAAGTATACAAACTTAAACTTATGCTTAGTAATTAGTGCATCAGTATTTTATCTTATTTGGAAATGATCTAGATATTGAATAAGTATCTATTTTTTAACTTAACTTAGCAAAACTTAAGGGTGTAAGTTACCAAAGAGATTTACAAAACTGTTTTTAAGTAGATATATTATAAAACATAATTATTGTTTGAAAGCATATTCATAAATTCTTACCCCACTTACACCTATTTAATTCACTTATTCTTCACAATTGTGCTTGGATTACCCGTGAAATTTTCAGGGACCTCAGACAAAGCTAAGCATCATTTCAAGTTATTTCTCCATTAAGTATTTTCACTGCACATGCATGTTAGGCAGACGTCACCAAAACAACAACTTAAAAGTTAAATACATCGGATTTTTGTTATTATTAAACTAACAATATTAAAGTAGTCTTATCTACCAAAGGTTTATCCAAGTCATGTGAACTTGAAAAGCATTTGGGTTAGTTCCTATACTTCTGGCAGTTTTAGGGATAATTTATATAAGCACTCATTTTTCTTTAAGCCAATTAAATAGAGCTCTTTTACGTATTAATTTTGGCAATGCCATCCAGAGTTAGGAAAATATCACATATGCTAACATACATACAAAGACATATATAGACATGTAGACAGTAGCAGATCTTATCGCTTTCATTCTAAAACTTCAGCCATGTTCCAGGTACTATAATACAAAACTCACTAGTTTATAAAAGAATAAGCAGAATCCAAATTGTTTCTGACAAATGGGACAAGCCAGGGTTACCTACTCAGATGGCCAAACCTTTCTACCACTATTTTTGGAAAAGACTTAGATTTTTTTATTTGCCCAACTTCCAAATAGCTTTTTTTTCCTTCTGATAATCATCTCCCTGAAGTTCGCATTTCAAAAGGGATGGTTCTCAGGTAAGACAGGGTAGAACATTTATATCTCAAAGGTACAGAAAAAGAATGTAAGTTTCAATCCAAGAAGGAGCCTTGGGGCACATTTTTCTATCATCAGAGCTCAATCCTGTGGAGGCTGTTGACTAAATTTTAAGTGCCAGTATATTTCCAATTAACCTTTGTAGTCTCGGATATATGCTTTGGGGGAATCCTGAGATCCATGAGAGCAGGACTCCAAAGCTCAAGTGACTGAGAGGCTAGAGTGGGAGGGAAAAGGTCCGTCAAAGAAGGACAGAGGGACGGAGGAGGCAGAGGCTGGAAGGAGGCATATCAACAATGTAAGGGAACTGATGGAAGATTTAAGGCAACAAAAGAAAAAAGGAGAAACAGAAGCAATGAGAAGGAAGAAGCCAACTTGGGGAGATCTTAAGTTCTTAAAGAAGCTAATGAAGTTCCATATTACCCTTAACAAAATTTATGCCAATGAGAAAGAAACCTTAAAGTGGCGGCAGAACCTACAGTTAGCAAGGGTTTGAGAAGGGCTTCCCATGGAGGAATTCCTATGGGAGGAGCAGGATCAAATGGAGAGAACAGAGTGGACTTTAAAAAGTTGCTCCTATCAGGCTATGAATATCAGAAACCAAACTTTTTTAACCGAAGGTATTATCTACTAAGCAACTCAGGATCAAAACCAATAAACCTTTTATGGCTTAACCACAGATACACTAGTCATCTCCAGAGGTGCAAAGATACTGCCTCCATGATTTCAAAGTTCACTTTCAGAGATAGCCAAAAAAAATCAAAGATCTTTGTTGCCACAGGCGGTTAAGGATAGTGTTTGTGCAAAAATGTGTCCCAGAGAACGTGGGATGCCTCCAATCACAGCCCTGCTAATTTGAAATACCATGCATGCATTTTACTGGGATAGATTTTCCCTGCACTAACCAAAAGCAAAGAAGGTTGAGACGATGAAAGCCCCCTGTGGACTGGGATCTATTATTAAGACAAACTCCCCTGAGAGTTGGCACAAAGAACACTTAGTTTCTCAGATTCCCAACCCGACTAGCTTCCAGACACAAGTTGACACCTGCAACCCCACCCCAACACCAGCAAGGACCAGAGAAAATATTTTTACCAGTCATAAAGCCAAGCTCTCAGGACATAAACAAGACAAACAGGAAAACGATGGTTGTCCATTGAATGAAAATGATCAATAACAAGTGGGTACCCCAAGATAGAGAATCACATTTCAAACTAAATCATACAAATGTTTTCCTGCAGCTAAAATGAATTTGGAAAGGAAGGGACAAGGAGAAATTTTTACTTTGCTCTCTTAAATGGGCACTATAGATAGAGATCAGGAAGAGCTGACTTTGATGTAAATTCTTACCCTTTTGCCTGCTTCTGCCATTTCCCCAGGATCCCATCTGTGGGCTCTGAAGCAAGTGAATGTCCCAGAAAAATCCCACATCCTCGTCACCAGAAATTCAGCGAAAGGAATAAGAACCTCCCTAGGTTCTTAGTTGGAACAGACCCATTACAAAAGACAGGTTAACAAGAGAGAAACAAACAGAAGTTTGTTAACAGGTTTATTTCACATATACATGGGAGACACCCAGGGAATGAGTAGCTGAGTAGCTCTCAAAGATGTGGCTTTGAATTTCAGCTTATATCGCAGATTTAACAAAGAAAAGTAAATTTTTAGAGAAGTGACATGACAAAGGAAAAGGACTGGGACTCTCTAGGGACAGCAACTTGGGAAAGACAACCAACAAAAAAATGGTTAAGTAAGTAAAGCTTGTTAACTGTAGATTCCTCCAGCATTGCCCCCAGGACTATACGTGTTTAAAGCTGCCGTCAGTGGTTGTTGTTCTTGGTAGAGCAGGGGCAAGATACCTTTTGTCTTTGTAAATCTTCGTTCTGCTTGTAGGCAAGTAGAGGGAGGGTAGAGAGTTTTCCTGTATCTATTTATTCTTAATTGCCTTCAGCTCAACAATTCTTTATATTTTGGAGTGGCATATTCTGGTCCCCCACACAATAATAGTCTATAATTCCTTGCCTCTGAAATTTATTTCAGCCCCATATTCAAACTCTCAGAGAAGTTCTGTCTCATTTTAAATAAAGATGCATCATTCACTTCAGTCTTGAAACTACCCTCTTTTAAATCACACAGTGAGGATTTACACATTTTTAAGAATTCTGTAACTTAGAAATCAGCTAATGATATTTGCTCTTAAGAATGAGAAAGAAACAATTTTCTTTGAAATGTGTGTTAAACATGAAAGAAAAGAAAATGTAAGTAAGGAAGAATGTTTAGTGCTTGCCCAGATTTTTCCTACTTTTATTAGGTAGTCCAAAGTCCACAATGTGTTAAGGTGTATGGGAAAATGTCAAGTATACCAAGAAAACATTTAATTAGATCATAGACAATAACCAGCAAGAAACAGTTTCCCTCTTCATCACTTCTCTTTGAGGATATAACTAAAACAGGAAGAAAACAGAAATAAGTTCATAGCACCTAGTTGCCCCTGCCCAGCATGTCTTCACCTGGAAAGAACAGAGAGAATTGAGCCAAAGAGAGGTAAGAAATAGTAAGAAAGCATCCAGTCCCATTAACTATGGTCACAGCTTCTAGGCCCAGCTGGACTGTGCAGGGAACTGTTTTCCTGGGAGACTGGCAGCGCTTGCAGATGTCAGAAGGAACAAGTGCCAAGGAACTTTAAAGAAATCAAGTTACCTCCATTCAAGAAAAGCCTCCTACTCAGTAATTGCTGCCCTTTTAATAGGCCAACTGCTGTTGCCTTCCAGCTTGCCACATCTCAACCTCAACTCCTCAGATCGTGCTTCAGGGCTCTTTTTTTGCCCTGGGTACCGTTGTTCCACTTCATCTCACAAATCCGTAGCTGCCTCCAAGGCCACCAACCTCTGCTTTGCACAGTTCCAGAGAAGAATCTATTGCAGCAAGCAATGTGTTCATGCTGGCATTTAAGTGCCTCAGTGTCTCTGGTATTGTCCTGTTATTTAATGCCTTAATAGGTTCTTACAGATGCTGCTGGAGCCATTCAAAAGCCATGGACAATGTCTAAGCTAAACTTTCTACATATATACCTTTCTCCCTGATTTGTGTCTCCATCTGTGTCCACAATCATACTGAAGTTCATGTAAGCCATAGCTGGATTTGGAAACAGATAATCATGTCAGTAAACCAGTGGACCAGTGATTCTCAATAGGGAGAATAGGATTTAGCCCTGAGGGAACATTTGGCAATGTCTGAAGGCATTATTGGATATCACAGTGATATCACAATGATATGGTTTGGCTGTGTCCCCTCTGAGAAGAGGGCTACCATCTTCCAGTTAAATTGGACTTTAACTAGAAGTCCAATTAAACCTCTTTTTGTTCCTAGTTTCAGGTATGTCTTTATTGGCAGCATGAAAATGAACTAATATGGTAAATTGGTACCAGTAGGGTGGGGCATTGCCGAAAAGATACCCCAAAATGTGAAAGCGACTTTGGAACTGGGTAACAGGCAGAGAGGTTGGAACAGTTTGGAGGGCTCAGAAGAAGATAGGAAAATGTGGAAGAGTTTGGAACCTCCTAGAGACTTGTTGAATGGCTTTGACAAACATGCTGATAGTGATATGAACAATAAGGTTCAGGCTGAGGTGGTCTCAGATGGAGATGAGGAACTTGTTAGGAACTGAAGCAAAAGTGACTCTTTTTATGTTTTACCAAAGAGACTAGCAGCATTTTGCTCCTGTCCTAGAGATTTGTGGAATTTTGAACTTGAGAGAGATGATTTAGTGTATCTGGTGAAGAAATTTTTAAGCAGCAAAGCATTCAAAAGGTGACTTGGGTGCTGTTAAAAGCATTCCATTTTAAAAGGGAAACAGAGCACAAAAGTTCAGAAAATTTGCAGCCTGAAGATGCAGTAGAAAACAAAAACCCATTTTTGAAGAGAAATTCAAGTCAGCTGCAGAAATTTGCATATGTAGCAAGAAGCCTAACGTTAATCCCCAAGGCCATGGGGAAAATGTCTCCAGGCCATGTCACAGACCTTCACAGCAGCCCCTCCCATTACAGGCCCAGAAGCCCAGGAGGAAAAAGTGGTTTTGTGGGCCGGGCCCAGGGTCCCTGTGCTGTGTGCAGCCTAGGGACTTGGTGCCCTGTGTCCCAGCTGCTCCAGTCATGGCTGAAAGGGGCCAACATAGAGCTTGGGCTGTAGCTTCAGAGGGTGGAAGCCTCAAGCCTGGCAGCTTCTGTGTGGTGTTAAGCCTGTGGGTGTGCAGAAGTCAAGAGCTGAGGTTTCGGAACCTCCGCCTAGATTTCAGAAGATGTATTGAAATGCCTGGATGCCCAGGCCAAAGTTTGCTTCAGGGGTGGAGCCCTCATGGAGAACCTCTGCTAGGGCAGTGCTGAAGAGAAATGTGGGGTCAGAGCCCCCACACAGAATCCCTACTGAGGCACTGCCTAGGGGAGCTGTGAGAAGAGGGCTGCCATCCTCCAGACCCCAGAAGGGTAGATCCACTGACAGGTTGCACCGTGAGCCTGGAAAAGCCACAGACACTCAAAGCCAACCCATGAAAACAGCCAGGAGGGAGGCTGTACCCTGCAAAGCCACAGGGGTGGGGCTGCCCAAGACCATAGGAACCCACCTCTTGCATTAGTGTGACCTGGATGTGAGACATAGAGTCAAAGGAGATCATTTTGGAGCTTTAAAATTTGACTGCCCAACTGGATTTTGGACTTGCATGGGCCCTGTAACCCCTTTGTTTTGGCCAATTTCTCCCATTTGGAACAGGAGTATTTACCCAATACCTGTACCCACATTGTATCTAGGAAGTAACTAACTTGCTTTTGATTTTACAGGCTCATAGGTGGAAGGAACTTGCCTTGTCTCAGGTGAGACTTTGGACTGTGGACTTTTTGGTTAATGCTGAAATAAGACTTTGGGGGATTGTTAGGAAGGCATGGTTGGTTTTGAAATGTGAGGACATGAGATTTGGAGGGGCCGGGGTGGAATGATAGGGTTTGGCTGTGTCCCCACCCAAACCTCAGTTTGAATCGTATCTCCCAGAATTCCCACATGTTGTGGGAGGGACCCAGGGGTAGGTAATTGAATCATGGGGACCGATCTTTCCCAGGCTATTCCCATGATAGTGAATAAGTCTCACGAGATCTGATGGGTTTATCAGGGGTTTCTGCTTTTGCTTCTTCCTCATTTTTCTCTTGCCTCTGCCACGTAAGAAGTACCTTTCACCTCCTGCCATGATTATGAGGCCTCCCCAGCCTTGTGGAACTGTAAGTCCAATTAAACCTCTTTCTGTTCCCAGTTTCTGGTATGTCTTTATCATCAGCATGAAAATGAACTAATACATACAACTTGAGCAGGTGGTTGGGTTGTGCTATTGGCATCTAACTGGCCTAGTCCAAGAATGCTCCAAAATATCCTACAATGCACAGGGCAGTCCCCAACAACAAAGAATGATCCAGCCCAAAATGTCAACAGTGCTAAGATTGAGAAACCCTGTAGTAATCTAACAAAATATTACTTATTCAGTAATTATGATCTCATTTCTCATGTCATACATTCTTGGTGAATAGAATTGCAGCACCTAACTTCAAAGATTTATCAATGAAAAGAACCAGAATATGAGCCTGTTCTGCATACCTGCCATGAATACATTTAAAGCATATACAGAGTTCAGCAGTATCAGAGAAACAAAATGTCAAAAACATTGTCTAATCATTTTTTTGTTTGTTTGTTTGTTTTGAGACAGAGTCTCTCTCTGTCACCCAGGCTGGAGTGCAGTGGCGCAATCTCGGCTCACTGCAACCTCTGCCTCCCAGGTTCAAGCGATTCTCCTGCCTCAGCCTCCTGAGTAGCTGGGATTATGGGCGCCCACCACCATGCCCGGCTAATTTTCATATTTTTAGTAGATATGGGGTATCACCATGTTGGCTAGGCTGGTCTCAAACTCCTGACCTCAGGTGATCCACCCACCTCGGCCTCCCAAAGTGCTGGGATTACAGGCGTGAGCCACAACGCCTGGCCTGACTCATATTTTGTTTAATTTCCAAAATACATGTAAGCTGTTGATATGCATAAATCATTAACAATTCATTTCATAAATGCATAAAAGAGTAAAGTCACTAACAGTTGCTATCCATCTGTCTCGAGAGTGGTTTCTCAGCCTCACTAAAACCTTTCCTTCATTGAACATCATATCCCTCACTGTAACTAGGGAGAATGTATGAAGTCCCTCTTTCACATCAGGAGATCTGAGCTACACACCTGACCCTGTGTGGCCAGAATGGACAATATTCTGGATCATCCTGGTATCATTTATGATGCTCCTACACTGAAGGATTGATTTTTGTGAATATTTATTAGAAAAAAAATGCTAAGAGGAAATACGAGCAAACAAATAGTTTCAAAAATGGGTATAATGCAGGAGTGAGCAAGTGGAGAAGGAAGAAGACTGGGAGCACAAAGAGAGGGAGAGGCATTTTTTTAATCCTTTTTTTAATGCTTGTGCAAGAGATGTTGGGGGTAATTGCTTCAGCTGTGTTCTTCACACTGCCTCTGAAGCCCTGCCATGGCCAACAATTTGTGACTTGGTCCGTATTTCTCTTGATCAACCTGTCACTCTGTCAGTTAAAATTTGCCATCAAATACAACTTTTACCAACTGCTACCCTTATGCCCATTGGACTTACACCAGCTATACTTCCCAACATTTTACACTCTGAACTAAATTGTGTGTGAAAATTACCTTTTATTGACTTTAGTGAGTGCCTTATACAAACAACTGAGGGCTGATTTCAACTGCCCACTGCCAAAATAGCCCTCTGTCCCATCTGTTGGATGCACATACCATTAAGACTTTTATTAGCCTCAGAAATAGAGAACTCATTTTATGGTGTTAGCTAAAAAACCTGCAAAAGTCCTTGAAATGCAGCACTACTAGTCCCTGGTAACCACTGTGAGCAAATGATGTTAAAAAAACCAGGTTGGCATCAATATTAAAAGATAAAACCGCCTCCAAACGAGAGCACCAAAACGTAATTTTATGTCTGTAAATTCATACTTTACATTGGACTACTCAAGGAAAATATACCTATTGCCCTTCCAAGAAATGAAGAGTTTTAAAAATACAGGTGTTGAAAAGAATAAGAAAATGTCTTATTCTATTTATACTGATTTGGTAAGAAAAATGACACAAAATTTCAGTTAGAAAAAAATAAGTTTGAGAGATCTGTTGTACATCATGATGATTACAGTTAATAACAATATATTGAATATTTGAAAATTGTTAAGAATACATTTTTAATGTTTTCATCACCAAAAAAAAGACTAGTATGTGAGGTAATGCCTGTGTTAAACATCTTAGCCATTCCACAATGTACATACTATATCAAAACAAGTAATACACCATAAATATATTTAATTTTTACTTGTAAAGTTATTTCTAATTTACAAATAAAAATTACATAAAAGAAATAAAGGGAAATTTCCTCAGAAGCACTAAGAAAATATAAATTCTTAATGAAACCACTGGGGAATAAAGACATGGCATAACAGTTACCATCAGAAGAAATCAAGAACTTTCTTAGAAAAGTAGTAAGAGGTTTAACCATTAGGGGCCCAGGGAGAAGTAATGATCTTTTACCAGAAGAAGAGAATAAAATCATGGAAGCCTAATATGGCTTTTTACAGTTCTGCTTACAATTACGCATTAAACAATTTACCCCTTGCAGATGAGTTCCTAAAGCCTGCTGAGATGTTGCACTCGGAGAAAATAGTACATGCTGTTTTTTCTTCTGTTGTGGTTTATTTTTATTAAAACAAAAAACTTACAACAACTAAAAAAAAAATTCACTTTTGCTGAATTTTACTCTTTCCAAGAAGACCAACAGCTTGGATGAACATTTGTCCAATGTTTGTAGTAAATCTGACCATAAAAGACAATGGCTTAGACATTCATGCCCAGTCAATGTCCTATGGGCTGGAATTCATAAAATAAAGGCAGCAGATGGCATACCTAAATTTAATTTGCTATTTGATTTATCCTTGTGTTACCACTCTGAAATGCAGATACCGAATGTTTATCTAATAACGCTGTTAGAAAACACAAGACCATGCTTCAAGCAAGTTTATCATGGAATCTGATGCTAGACCATCAGTCCTGAGAATGAAAACTGTAGCCCATCCACAGAGGCACTCTCCTCTGACTAAGTAGGACCTGTCAACAGCCAATACTCCATGGATCAGGGAAAGCATTTCATGTGGTTTAGAATCACTCTTCTGGCTGTAATGCAATACCGGAGACCATCAAGAGGAAGAATACGCCTTTGATTCTTTTATTCCCATTTGAAATTCGAGGGGATATTTTTGTGTGCTTGGGTTTATCTCCTATTGTTCACTGAGAAAACTGATGCTTTGTTTAATTGTTGTGATCACTTTTCCTTGTGAGTTCTCTTGAACGTTATGCTACTGTCTGATTGTCCGTTGGCATGTATACATCACACCAATATTCTGGAACACCACATACTAAAATGAAAACTTTTTGAGTCTGTGTTACTGCGCTGGCAGCTGTCAAAATAATTCTTGCTGACATCATGTTGAACAGACTTGCCTCCGAGTCAGATCAACGTTGGGGAGCATCATGCAGTGCGGCAAAATTAGGTCATTAATTGTGAAGCCAGCACAACCCTTCTTGCATTTGGAGATCAAAATTCTGACATAAAAGAAAATTGAACAATCAAAAACTCTGGAATCATCTTTTAAATCTCAAAACAAGTTGTCAATTTAGCCATTTAATTCTCAGAGTTCTTTGGAAGGATTTTTATTACATAAAAGTATGGTAATATAATACCTAGTTTTCCAAAGGAACTATGAAATATCCCAACATGAAAATATTTCACTCTTAAAGGGTAAAAATCCATGTCTAACATCCATTACACTGATCATATTTCTGAGCACTCAAATGCCAACTTTTTCAAATGACTCCAGGAGAACTTATTGTCAACCTGTTTCTCTCAAGTATCACCATGCTGATTATAGGTTTGCTTATAAAATTACCTTTTGGTAATATAGTAGGAAGAAACTAGAGTCTCAATGATTAAGAATCGGAAACAGAAAAAAAAAAAAAGAAAGAAAGAAACCAATCTGGTGGTTAGAACTGGATTGCCAAATGACAGCATCACCGGCATTATCTGTGTGCCTGGGGCTTGCCCTTCCAAACTAATTTTTAAAATAAATTGAAATTGAACTGGAGCCATGCAAAGTAGAACAAAGACCTTTTTGAAGATTCATATCAGGTAAACAGTAAACAGGTTGTCAGAAAATATTGACATTTGAATTGACTTTATGCTTTTATTTCCTACCCAATATGGCATTTTATATTATTAACATTTATTTATTAAAACCCTGCCCTTTCCTCAAAAGGTTTTAAAGAGCTTTAATGTTCTGTTACAGTATTTTAAGAATAAAAATAGTTTCCTCTTACCTTATAAACTGGAATAAAACAAATATTTCTCATATTTGAATTAAAAGTAGAAATGTACCTCTTCTTATAAGTTTGTTTCCAAGAAATATTAATATGAAAATATAACATGTAATTTATTTAATAATTCAAAATACCTAGGAATTTTTTTCTAAAATTTATTACCTGTTACATGAATCAAAGATCAGACTCTTAAGATGGCCTATGAGAATTAACAAAGATAAATGTAGGAACAAAAACAGGTTGATTTATTTGGCAGCATTCCAGTTTACCTCCCGACTCTTCTGTCCTGATTAATTGCCCTCAGCGAGGAGCTGGAGCCTAGTTATGCTGTTTTCTTAATTCCTGTTGATGGAGTGTTGATATAAGAATAGAAAGAGAACCAACTGCCTTTTAACTAGTCCATTCTTCATGCACTAATCAATCATAACTTGTCCATTTTAATTATCTCCCAAATTCCAAATAGAGATACGCTTGGAGTTTCCAAATATTTGCATGATTAAATATGTTTTCCTTATTTCAATAAGGAACCTCAAATTGATGACTCAGGTGGTAAGATTTATGGAATGAAGCAATTGTGTTTATCTCCCAGCTTTCAAAATACTGGTCTGCAATTCAGTAACAAACAACATTCCCACCAGAGATGTGCAGACTATGCCCATTAATGATGATGATCATGTTTGGAAATAAAAATAAAACCATATACCAACATTAGTAGATGCCAAAAAGGAAACCCAGCCAAGAAAATGTTTACTAGCCTCTCTTTTCATAACCATAAAAAGACAGTTTATTCAAATATTAAGTATAATTATACAAAACTAACTGGCCATAGGTGCACCTGTACAACATTTTCGGGTTGTTTTTGCCCTCCTCGGAGAAATACCAGCAGATCAGGTCATCAATCAGTTATACCCATCAAGTTACAGGGTAATTCTGGCTGCCTCACAAACAACTGGACAGTTCAGTTAAGAAAGGTGCATAAAAGGAGAATTTTTACTGAACTGACTGAATGAATCAGTTGTTTTGATTGGATGCAAACAAACAAAAGCTAACTCTTTTCTGAAATAACTCCCCATTTAGGAGCTTGCCTCTTCTATAATATAAAATCCTATTGCCTTTTTAACATCAGAATTGAAGCAACAAAGTTCTATTTTCATAGTAAGTGGTCTAGGAATTGATGACAGAATATGATGATGAAAAGAAGGAGGAGGAGGAAATAATGACAATAATAATATGAGAGGAAAAATAATTTTTCCTCTTTCAATTGGGATGGATCCCTGTAACAAAAGATAGATTAACAAGAGAAAAACAAGCAGAAGTTTATTAACATGTATACGTCATGTATACATGGGAGCTACCCAAAGCAAAATGAGCAAATATCAAGAATATACATCTAAGAAGGTAGAGTAAATACCATCATCCACTGAAACAGAGAGAGGTTTACTATGCAGGTTTCAGTCAATATTCTCTATTAATAATACTTCCTAGTGATTTAGAGTCATCCTTCTCTTCCTGGAACAAAGCGGAGATACTCATACAAAAGGAACATTTTTTAAAAGATGTAACTTTTTTACAAATGGTAACTTCTACTCTATTTTTAAAGTTTCTCCTGTGTCTCTCGTTTCCCGTAATAATCAACTCAAAATAATCCTTAAGCTTAAGAGGCATATTTTGAGGTGGCATATTTTGTTCTTCTAAAGTCATATTTTGGAGTAGCATTTTCTGAACTTCATCAATGATAATGATAAAATGCAGGATTTCTTTTTTCAATTCTAGATTCTGAGTGTACATGTGCAGGTTTGTTACACAGGTGTAGAGCATGATGCTGAGGTTTGGGCTTCTGATGATCTTGTCACTCAAGTAGTGAACATAGTACCCAATAGGTAACTTTTCAACCGTTGTCCCCCTCTACCTTTCCCTTTTTGGAGTCCTCAGTGTTTATTGTTCCCATCTTTGTGCCCATGTGTACCCAATGTTTAGCTCCCACTTGTAAGTGCCAACATGCAGTATTTGGCTTTCTGTTACTGCATTAATTCACTTAGAATAATGACCTACAGTTGCAAAGAAATTTGCTGCAAAAGACATAATTTCATTCTTTTTTATGGCTGTGTAGTATTGCGTGGTGTGTATATACAACATTTTCTTTATCCAATCCACCACTGATGGACACTTGGGTTGAGCTCATGATTTTGCTATTCTGAATAGTGCTGCAACACACATACAAATGCAGGTGTCTTTCATTAGAATGATTTATTTCCCTTTGGGTATATCCCCAGTAAGGGGATTGCTGGGTCAAATGGTAGTTCTATTTTTAGTTCTTCAGGAAATCTCCAAACTGCTTTCCACAAGGGCTGAATTAGTTTGTATTCCCACCAACAGTGTATAAGCATCCCTTTTTCTCTACAACATCCCCAACATCTGTCATTTCTTGACTTTTTAACAGTAGTCATTCAGACTTGTGTGAGATGGTATCTTATTGTGATTTTAATTTGCAAATGATGCAGGATTTCTGAAAGAATAATTTTCAGATAAAAATGTTCCTAGTTGTTTATAGACAAATTAAATTTAACAGAGTTTAATTGAGCAAAGAACAATTCATAAATCGGGCAGTCTCCTGAGCCAGAGTAGGCTCAGAGACTCCAGCGCAGCCACATGGTAGATTTATGGACAGAAAAAGAAAAGTGGCATATAGAAAATGGAGGTGAGGTACAGAAACAGCCAGACTGGTTACAGCTCAGCATTTACCCTATTTGAACATGGTTTGAACAGTTAGCCCCCTTTGATTGGCCAAAACTCAGTTATTGGCACAAGTGTAGGTTACATCTGTATACAACTCTGTTTAGTTTGTACTTCAGTATGTACAGGGAAACCTGTAGGCCAAACTTAAAATATGTAAGTAGTCAGCTTTAGGCTTAACTTGATTTAGCATACTCAATATCTAACAGACACAAATACATGTACAAAGTACTTGAACTTCTCCAGGTAATTAGAACTGTTTCCTCTGACTTAACAGGAATTACTCATTCTCTGATTTCTCTCTCTTCCCTGGTATCATCTGGCCATTTTAACAGAGAGGAAGACAGCCTTCTGTTTACTCCTTACTCATCAGTTCTAGGTAGCACTCAGGTTGAGAGAATGGTTTTTCCAGAATCATCGTTTGGCCCAGTTGTTAAACTCACACCTCAAAAGAAAAAAAAAGCGTCAAGAGAACTACTCCTTTAGTTTTTGTGCCTGTTCGCCTGCCTGGCACTATAGGTCTCAAAGAACACAATTAAGCCCTTTTCATCACTGAATACCCCATAACACTTAGCTCAAGAACGTTAACATTGAAATCACAATAAATTCTTCGGTTTTGAACAAAAGAGACCATGAATCCACAGGGCCAGATGTTTTAAGTTTACGTAATTGTAATTATGTACTCTGTCTAAAGATCCCAAAATGTATTCTCAAAATAACTGGTCTGAATTGATGCTTTTGAAGAAAATATTCCACAGTCAAATGCACTGAAATCACAGGAGTGGTCGTAAGTCTTCTAATTTTAGCTGGACTTGGTTATCCCAACCCTCTACTGTGAGACATGCTTGGGAAATAGCTGTATGGCAGAGTCCCCTTTTGATGATTTGTAATGCATATTAAAGACTCCAAGAAACCTTACACTAAAGGAGCTTGTTTGTTTTAGTTTAAAGCAAACATATTTGACCTCAGAACCCTTTTCTACTTAATATTATGGAATGCTTGGGGAAATCCTTTTCCAGAAATTGAGACATCACATGGGATAAATTATCACACCATGGACAGTTTGGAGAGTCTCCAAAATCTCACACTGTTACATGAAACACAAACAGACACAAAGGTGCCACTTTCCTTATTAATCACCAAAGCTTTAAGTAAAAAAGAAATTTAAAACATGTACGTGAGACGGAAAGCAGAAATTTCAAAATCTACGGAAAAATTATTGTGTGCCTGTAGAGGCCAAGGAAAAACTTTCCCTTTGCCCTCCGAAGTTTCGCTGAAAAATCAACTCACAAAATGCAGATTACCTGGAGAAAAGATAAACAAATGTATTAATGTGCACACAGGGAAGAACTACAGACTGATTACTCTCCACCTTCCAATGGGGTTCAGAAGGTCAAATGCCATCTCGAGGTTACAGAAAGAATGAGGGCTTGGACTATGACAAAACAGGTTATGGGAGGGGAAGAAGAAGAGGCAAGGCTAGCAAAAGTGGCCTTGTTATGCAGATGAAACCTCACAGGTAGCAGCCCTCAGAGGGAAGAGATAGTAAATGTTTTTTTCAGACCTTTAAAGGGGTCAGACTCTTCAATTAATCTTTCCTAGATCTAGATAGATGAGAGAAGGAAGTCCTCATAGAAAAACTGGCTGCATCAATGTGGATTCTCCACAGATGCAAACCTCCCCCATGAAAGACTTTGCAGGGCTACTTCTGTTTGCAGGCCTTCTGAACAGACAACTCAAAATATGTCAAAGAAGTATATTTGGGGGAAAGATATTTTGATTTCCCTCACACCTAAAAAAAAAAATTTAATTACTAACTGAAAATCTTAATTGCCCTCCACTTGGAACCACAGTGTATGGATTGAGATAAACTTTCCAGTGTGTTTACAGTTCCAATTACAGCACACCACAAGCCATCCACAAATAATTATGTCCTCCTTTAGTGGATATTGGTCACTCTTTTTAGCTGTCCAGATCTGAACCCCACACCCTAAGACTGGGGAAGGCTCTAGCTAAGGAGCCATAGGAGGCAGACACTTCCTACCATCAAAGTTAAAGTCAGACTCTCACTTTCCCAGCCTCCTAGTAGCAAGGGCACTAACCTATGACTTTGGAAGCTGGTGACAAATGGAAGTGAGGATTGCTCAAGATCTCTTCTGGAAAGGGTGGCAACAGCAGCAGCAGTAGTAGCTGCATTAAGTATTTTGTATGGAGTTTATGCCAGAGTTCTAGGGATGATCCCGTTACCCTGGCCTGGCAAACCAGCACATCCCACCATCCTGACCACAAGAACTGGTTTCAGAGAGAGAGGCACATGTCTCAAGTTGGTCCACTGAGAATCAATCTAAATATTTGGTTTAGAATTTGGGGGAAAAGACCGGGCGCGGTGGCTCACGCCTGTAATCCCAGCACTTTGGGAGGCCGAGGCAGGCGGATCACAAAGTCAGGAGCTCGAGACCATCCTGGCTAACACAGTGAAACCCCATCTCTACTAAAACTACAAAAAAAAAAAAAAAAAAAGTAGCCGGGTGTGGTGGCAGGCGCCTGTAGTCCCCGCTACTCGGGAGGCTGAGGCAAGAAAATGGCATGAACCCAGGAGGTGGAGCTTGCAGTAAGCAGAGATTGTGCCACTGCACTCCAGCCTGGGCAGCAGAGCAAGACTTGGTCTCAAAAAAAAAAAAAAAAAAAGTGGAATTTGGGGGAAAAAGAAATTATCTTTTCAATAGGGTTACCAATCCACTAGGATGCAAAACTGTACTTATTAGTGGCCATCCTGTAACTACATGACACAGGTGACCAAAAATAGAGGCCTAGGCTTAACAAACATTGTAACTGCCCAATGGGTTCATTTTGCTCACTGCCCAGATAGAGTCAATTTATCAAGACAGAGGAATTGCAATAGAGAAAGAGTTTAATTCACCCAGAGCTGGCTGAATGGGAGACCAGAGTTTTACTATTACTCAAATCAATCTCCCTGAAAATTTGGAGACTGGATGTTTTTTTTAAGGATAATTTGTTGGGTAGGGGGGTCAGGAAGCAGAGAGTGCTGATTGGTCGGGTCAGAGATGAAATCATAGGGAGTCAAAACTATTTTCCTATGCTGAATCAATTCCTGGAGAGGGCCACAGAATCAGATGAGCCAGTTTATTGATCTGGGTGGCACTAGCTGATCCATTGATTACACGGTCTGAAAAATATCTTAAGCAACAATCTTAGGTTTTACAATAGTCATATTATCCCCAGTAGCAATTGAAGTGGTTTAGAATCTTGTGGCCTCTAGCTGTTTGGTTCCTAAGCCATAATTTCTAATCTTGTGACAAATTTGTTAGTCCTACAAAGGCAGTCTGGTCCCCAGGCAAGGAGGGGGTTTATTTCGGGAAAGGGATATTATCATATTTGTTTCAAATTTCAATTATAAACTAAAGTTAATTCACCCCACACTCAGGAATCAGGAATAAACAAGAACAGCTTGGAGGTCAGATGCAAAATGGAGTTGGTTAGGTCAGATTTTTTTTCACTGTCATAATTTTCTTGCTGGTATAATTTTTGCAAAGGCAGTTTCAATATCACCAACTAAACCTGTGATGTCAACACTATTGCTAAACGTTTTAGTTATATTAATAACAAGTTCTGTCATTTAGCTAGTTTACTTTTAGTTTTGGTTGCAAACAAGGGGAAATTAGGGATAGGAAGTGAAGAAAGAACCCAAATTGGGGTTGATGGATTTCAAAAGTTGAAGCTAGAAAGACATTAACAAAAGCCAAATCCAAAAGGCAAGGTCAGTGGGGAGGAAAATACACAAAGCAGAACAGTGAGCAATGAGGTTAGAATCTGGAAGAATCAGCAACAGAATAAAATGTGGTGTACAAAGCAGATTACATTAGGATAATTTAGAACAAATCCATGAATAATAAGCAAATGTTGTGATGTATCATTTTTGTGGTACCCAAAGCATAATATAAAAAAGACATCCCATGTGTCCATGACCACACCACCCTGAATGCACCCAGTCAACTGATCTCGGGAAAAAACATTTTATATGTACACCACTCAATCATTAATTCTGAAAATACAGAAGATTCTAAGACACTAAAAGGAAACTGTCAATTCTAAGAATATACACATGGGTCAGAGTAAGATGATTTTATGACTTCAGATAAGTTTATAATTTTTATTTATGTAAATTTTCATAACCAAAAGGGAATTCTGGAAGGTATGTTTGCTATTAACCTAAGGGAAGAATAAAATTTGACCTTCCTAGGAAAGCAATATTTGTCTTAATATTTTTCTCCCTATAATGTTACTATTGAACAATGTCAAAATAATTTGACTTTCTTGTGAAAATGTCATATTGTCATTATTTCTATATCCTTCCACTCAACAAAGTACCTTGTGCTTGCTAAAAAACAAATTAAAATGAATGAGACAGTTTGATATCTCAAGGAGCTTGTAATCTCAGGGAAAGGAGAAGGCTTCACAAATATTCAACTAGAATACAAAAATAAATAAACAATATGAAGAAATAAAAGCAAAACACTATGAGACTATATAGAAAAGGAAATAATTAACACCCACAAAAGAAGCAGACTTGTCAAAGTCAATGAATTGCCTAAATTTTCAACTTTTTAATCAGTTGTGTTGATAGAGTATCAATATATAGACCATTTATATCCTTTATATCCAGAAGGTTATGTAAGTGGGCTTTAATTTGTTTAATAAAAACATTCAGAACATCAACAAAACAGCTGTAACTTTTTTTTTTTTTTTGCAATTACAGTGTGGTATTCAGTTAACTAAACAACAATTATTTTTTATAAACTGCATCAGAGACAACTGAAGATGAAAAAACTACCATCCTCATATACAACTAATTTGGGCTGTGCACTGACAAGAACCTACTTTAAATTTCCACACCCATTTACAACCCCAGTACTGTAGCAGGCAACGTTAGTGTCTTATTGAAAATACCACCAGGACAGGACAATCAGAAGATACATTTAGTAGTGTGTTAACCATACCGAAAAAGATAGTATACAGTTTAAAAACTTATCTTAGGCAGCCTTACCTTTCAATTTTTTCTTTAAAAGGAGTGAGGGTTTACAGGGGATTTAAATGCTTTATAGACTAGGGGAACAACTTGTACTAGAGCCAACTTATTTATCATTATCTTCTTCATCTTCAATTTTTCATCTTTCTCCTCCTCATCTTTTTCATCTTCTTCATCTTCCTCTTCCTTCTTTTTCTTGCTTTTTTCAGACTTAATGACCCCTTTTTTTGCTACATCAGGCTTTCCTTAGCCCAGAGTGCAACAATATCCTTTTCATATTATTCTTTCAGCTTCACGGCCTTCTTTTCGTAAGTCTGCTTGTCATCTGCAGCAGTGTTATTTCCTATCTCTCCGAGTTTCTTTACAACATCACTGATGGATAGGCCGAGATGTTCTGCTTTGATTTGGGGGCAAAATCAGGAAAAAGGCTGAAAGTGGCCTCTTGGGCACATTAGGATCCTTGAACTTTTTTTCCCCCTCTTAGGAAGGATATAGGTTTTCATTTCCTTTTCACAACAGGCCCTGTCTGCCGTTGCCATGTATTGAAATTTTCCTTTCTCTTTAGCAGAGAGGGTCTTCCACTTCTCTGAGTGCTTCTTAGAAAACTCTGAGAAATCGACTGAAGCATCTGTGTGCTCCTCCTGGCAAATTTGCACAAAGAATGCATATGATGACATTTTGTCTCTTGGCTTCTGAGGTTTTCCTTTGCCTATGTTTGGTTATTTTTCCTCAGTGAGGCATGGAGTCATCTAGTGCCTGACCAGCTCTCACTTGTTCTAGCACTTTCTCTATGGATCTCAAATTATGGTAATGGCTCTTTAACTTTTAAAAAAAATTTGTTGTACGCAGATTATTGCCTCAGGTGAAGTGGAACAGTCAATACTGAAACTTAAGGAAAAAGTTGCCTGTCTGTCTAAGGCAGACATTGATGGTTAACTATTGTTAACAATATTGACTATTGCACAGAATCTACCATGGCCTGCAAGGAGGAAGTCTAAGGTAATTCTACCATCCATGACAACCCTGGCCAGTGAGTTGGGGCCGCCCTTAATGCCTCCCAGGGCTAACGTGGTGTTTAGTGCATTTTGTGTGTGTGTATGACTTAGGATCCAATCTAGGATGTCTCTTTAGTCTTCTTTAATCTGGACTAGTTCTTCAGCCTTTATCCTTCATAATATTGACATTTCTAGAGGGTAAATGTCAGTTTTTGTGAAGGATGTCCCTCATTTTGGTTTGTCTCCTTGTTTCTCATGAGAAACAAATTATCTTAAAGGTTAAAGAGCCATTACCATACATTGAGATCCATAGAGAAAGTGCTAGAACATGTGAGAAAAGCCTTTTCAACAAATAATAGTGGATCTACTGAATATCCATATTTTAAAAATGAATGATTCATATCTTACACTAAAGACTCATATCTTACATAAAGACCCCAAACTACAAATCTCTTATAAGAAAAAAAATAAGTGAATGTGTTTGAGACCTTGAGATAGGAAAAATTCCTTTGAAAAAATGTAAAGACACTAATTATAAAAGAAAAATGTTGGTAAACAAACTTTATCAAAATTAAAAACATCTGTTCATCAAAACATAACATTAAGAAAATAAAAATGCAAGCCACATACTGGGAAAAATATTTGGAACATATATTTCTAACACAGGTCTTGTATCCATGCTATATAAAGAACGGCTACAACACAAGAATTAAAAGACAACCAATTTCTTTAAAAAGGCAAAAGACTTCAATAGATGCTTCACAAAAGAAGATTTACAAATGATCAATAAACACATGAAAAGATGTTCACCACTACTAATCATCAGGGAAATACAAGTTAAAATTAGAATTAGATACCACTTTATACTCATTAGAAACACCAAAATTAAATACTAAAAATAACAAGGTGTTGGAGAGAACATAAAGCCACTAGATACTGATGGAAGCTTAAAATGGTACAAACCACTATGGAAAAATTGTTTAGCAGAATCTTATTGTGTTAAACCTAGATTTACACTATTACTTAACAATTCCACTCACATGTCCACCCCCTTAAATGAAAACATATGCCAAGAAAAGAACTTGTACAAAAATATTTATTGCAGCCTTATTAACAATAACACAAAATTGGAAACAATATAAATATATATCAACAGTAAATAGCTAAACAAATTATGACATATCCATACAATGGAATATCACTTATTAATAAAAAGGAATAAACCAATAATACCAACAAAGCCGAGCACAGTGGCTCATGCCTGTAATCCCAGCACTCTGGGAGGCCAAGGCAGGCAGATCGCTTGATGCCAGGAGTTCAAGGCCAGCCTGGCCAACACAGCGAAACTGCACCTCTACTAAAAATACAAAAATTAGCCAAGCATGATGGTGCATTTCAGTAATCCCAGCTACTCAGGAGTCTGAGGCACAAGAATCACTTGAACCCAGGAGGTAGAGGTTGCAGTGAGCTGAGATCACACGCCACTGTACTCCCACCTGAGTGACAGAGCGAGACTCTGTCTCAAAAATAATATCAATAGTAATAATGGTAATACAAACAAAAATACTGATAAATCTCAAAAACATTATCTTGAATGAAAGAAGCCAGAAACAAAGGAATATATATTGTATAATCTCATTTACATTAAGTTTAATACAGGCAAAATTAATGTATAAAGCCAGAAATCAGAGTAACATTTGCCTGAGAGGAGTACAGAAGTAGACTGGAAAAGTGCTCAAGGGAACTTGTTAGGGTGATGAAAATGTGCTATATCTTGTTTGGGATGTTTATTACATGGGTTTACACATTTGTCAAAACTCATCAAACTTTACACTAAAATCTGTAGAACTTATTGTATGTAATTCTCAATTCAAAACAGAAAAAAATACAAAATAGATTTTATTTAAATCTAATTTACTCTCAGACTATTCAAGTTCTGATCCAAATTAAATAAGTTGAATTTGAGAGTATTTACTCTATTTCCACAGGTGTTGAGAGAGATACCCTCTCAGACTTTACACAGCTACCAAGGCAACAATGCCAGGAAAACTATTAATCAAGATATGATAGTTCCTGTTTGCAATCAGGAGAAGAAAGCAAAGAACACTCAGGATTATAAAAGCAGATGAGACCTACCCACTAGACCTGGTCAGACACAATGTTGGCACTCTTGGTTCTGGTGACTGTGGCCCTGGCATCTGCTCATCATGGTGGTGAGCACTTTGAAGGGTAAGTAAGCCATCTTTAAGGAGCAAGTCCTTCTTCCTTGCTAGCCCCCAAATTTGGACACATTACTCATTTCCAATTCTCTGTGCTTCTATTATCTCATTATTCAGCGAGAAGGTGTTCCGTGTTAACGTTGAAGATGAAAATCACATTAACATAATCCGCGAGTTGGCCAGCACGACCCAGGTAAGTAACAATTTTGATTTACTTCACATCTAATTTAAAATCTTAGATCGCACTGTGATTCCGACAATGGAAAAAAAAACATGAAATATTAACTATAGCATTTTGGTAGCAAGAAATAAAAACTTGGAAAACATTTAGTGCCATAATGTCTTCTTTTTCTGCCTAAATTAGATTGCCATAAGCCCTGTAGTATTATAAATCCATGGTAACTTTTAAAAGAGCTGACAGTGTGACAACTGGATGAGTTGCAACTGTCACGAAGGTCACAGAACATCTAATGTACAGTCACTTTCCTTCTAAGGCAAAAGAGAAAAATGATCAACTTGGATATTACTGAAAAACTGGGCTTTTGTCCAACTTCAAATTCATTTCCACATCCCATGTATCATCTGTCCTCTTTGATTTTCTTTCATTCCAAATCAAACAGCTTGGGTTTTCATGACCTTGATTCAGGTCCCCTTAATGATATGACGTGAGGGGGAAAAAGAGGGTAAAAAGCCATGAGTGATTTTCATACTTTTCTTTTGCTTTCAAAAAACTGACATCTCTGTGCTAATTTTTTAATCCACTATATATGAGGTGAGAACTGACATTTTAAACTGCGTATACAATGTGGCAGGAAGCTATTGCTGACCACAAATACAGTAGTTCCACTTGGGCCAATGCCGTTTCTTCATAAATATATAAACTAAAATAATCTGCTAGCTTATACACACACACACACATATACATACATAAACATATATAGTCATTTTGTAGCTTTTAAGGCATAGAGGAAGGAAGAAGAAGGTGGAGAGTGTCATAATCACAGGCTCAGAAGTTCAGAATTGAAAGAAATATAAACTCATCTATTCCAGCAATCCACTCAAATCTGGAATTTCCTTCTGGGAAACAGCATCCCCAGTTACTACTCCTGGTAAAACCTGTTTGAGTACTTCCAGGAATAGTTTGTATACTACTTTTTGGAATAGCCCACTTGCCTTACAAATCATTCCAACTGTTTTCTTCCTTATTCTGAGCTGAAAGCTTCCTTCTCTAACTTTGACCTGTTGGGCTTAGCTGAGTCAAATATCATGTTACCTCTAAGATTTATCTTTTTCAAGCTTTCCGTAATTTTTCTTAGCACTGGTATACAGACTCTTGATCATTCTGCTCAGATCTAGATACAGCTCAGTCTTTCTGTCTATATTTCTTTTTTTAAATGTAGTTACCAGAATTGACTATGGACCTCCAGGTGTGTTCTGATTAATGTATACTACAGGGCCATTGCTTGCCTTCATTTGTAAAGCAGACATTTATTAATGGTGCCTAAGATTCTTTTTAGCATCTTAAACAGTCATAGAACACTATGAGCTTATATTAACCTGTGTTCAGTCAAAACCATTAGGTAATTTTTTTTCCTCACATGAATCACCCTCAAACAGGATGTCCCTCCTTTTGTGCTTACCTAATTGACTTTTTTCACCTAAATGTAGGATTTTAGATTTACACTTTTAAGATTTATCTTGACAGCCTGTTTTCAGCATGTTGAGATCTTTTAGAAAACTAATTCAGTCATCCAGGGCAATAACTCTTCCCCTAACTTTGTCTCTCCAACAAGTTTGATAATCATGTCTTTTTGACTTTTATCCTTGTCACTGATAAAAGAAAACATTAAATAGGTCAGGAGTCACAGAATTAGAGGCCTTCTTTACGTTTCACTCATTCAGTACATATTTATCATGAATCTCCAATGTGCCAGACATAGTGTTAAGCACTGAAGAGATTCATTAACCTATTCTGCTTGCATAAGTTTACTCAACTACCCAAGCTAGGGGGGTGTTACCTAGGGGTAACTCTGCCTGGTGCTTTCTGGTTTATAAAGAAAGATATCAATGCAGAGACTTCATCAAATGCTTTACTAAGATCAAGATTCAACATTCTACCAGGTTAGTGCTCTCATCCAAAACTAAGGTGAATTTAATTGGGCCTGACTTATTCTTGCTTTAAACCATACTGGCTCCCAGAGACCACAGCTTCCTTTCCTCAGCATTCACAATCCATCTGCTTCCAGTTCACTCTGCAGCTTTGCCAGAATCCATGCCAGGCCCCAGCAGCTCCTGCTTCTGGGCTTCACCTGTTTTCGTGTTTATAAAATCTAAAACTTGCCCCCTCTACTCGCCAGTGAGCCCTTCGAGCTCTGATTCTTCCAAGATTGCTGAGAAAGTTCTGCAATCACATCTGCAGTATTTTTTTAGTTATCTAAAATTCAGCATTTCATAGTGGTCAAGAGCAGAGAGTCTGGACTTAGACTGCCTGGGTTCAATTCCTAGCCTTTCTACTTGTTAGTCAAACTTGGACACCTCTCTGGGTCTCAACTTCCTCATTTGTAAAATGAAGATGATAATACTATTTACATAGGAGATTGTTGTGAGAGGTAAATGAATTAATATAGGTAAAGCAATTAGAAAGAACTTAAATAGTAAGAATTATATGTGTTTGCTGTTACTACTATCATTAGGTCTGGGATTTTGAATACAATTTATATGGCTAGTATAATCAATCACCTATGTCCTCATCTACCTTGGGCCTCAATGTTCTCTTTCCAAAGAAGGTATTTCTGTTTAAATCATAACATGAAAAAATCTTTACTTATCCTTGTGGTAATTTCATCTCTCAGTAGTAATAGAATAAACAAGGAATAGTGTAACTCTCTCTTGGAAAAGACAGAAGCCAAAAAACAGTTAAATAGGGCTTCTTTCTTTCCTCTGGCTGCAAACATCATGCTTTAGCTCCAAGCAGTGGGACACATATTTCTTCTTTATTCTTTTATTTTCAACATGATTGAAATGAGATTTTCATTCTCCTTAGCAGTTACGGGAACAGCATATTCTGGGCTGTAGCCTTCCTGATAAGATCATTACAAGGGCATCCAGTCTTTGTATTCATCCTTGGCCATGTGTCCTTCCTCTCAGCTTTTGAACATGTCCTTTTAAATGCTGAATATATTGGGCAGATCCGTGACCACACTGTACTCCAGCAGCCCTTCTTTTGTCATCTATAATTGAATATTAAGGATTTTATTTTATCTCCTCACAATCAGGGTTGTGCTTGTTCCTTTATTGAAGGCATTCACCATAAAACCTATTCACTTTTCTCTGGACTGTCTTGAAGTCTGTGTTTCTCAAATTTAAGGTGCATTTTTCTCTATGCCTGGAGTAACATGGTTACTGTCTTCCAATGTTCTTATCATTCCTACTGTACCAGTAAGTTCCTCACTGCTGTCTGGAATTGGGCCTTGAGTAGAAGTTGTTTTCTTTTCCAACAAAAAAGGAAAATTTCACCAAGATAAATGAAAAGTCTATCAGATGTTTGACTTACAGTCAAATGCAATGTGAAGAAACAAATTCATGCAAATTTTTGAAGAAAAAAAGATCCCCAACACCAATATTTATTTTTTTATTGGCCAATCTTATTCCTGGAAAAATTTCAGGTTGGCATGCTACTTTATCTTGCTTTTAGGCTAGTTTTCTGAGATATTTTAGGAAGGATTCTTTAGTTGTTAGGCAGCCGGCTGATTAAATTGATATTCTTATAATGCTATCATTTAAAGATATCTCTTGATCATCCAATAAGTGTTCTATATGGTTCTTTGTCACATTTATAATTTTATAACTTCAGTTTTCTAACTTCATAATGTATAGTTTAATTCCCTACATCTACATCCTATATTTCACTCCATGTTTATATTTCAGACATACATCTCATTCACAAGGTCCTGGTAATTTCTGAAATTTATATTTATCACCTTATGTTATTACTTTGACTTTATTACCTATATTCATATTTGGTGCATTGGTAAACAGCTGTGAGGCTATAGCATTGCTCCTGATTTCCAGCCATGTTTCTCCTAGGAAGTATCAGAGACTAACTCCAGTATAGTGGGTCTGTGTCACACATGCAACACTCCAGAGTGTTGTATGTATGTTGATAGGTTTGCTAACTGGTTTTCTCCATGTCAAACTGAAATTTTTAAGCAACCTCAGGTTAGTTCTGTAAGTTTCTGTCAAACATATTTATGAGATTTATTTGCCCCATCTTAAAGAATCCATAATTCTTGCACTGAAATCTTAAAAGTAACACTTTCTCTAAATATATAGACTCTTCTAATATTTGGCAGAGCTAGGACCAATGGGTAAGAGCTGAGGAGGATACAGATGACAATTTTCAGTTTAATATTAGAAAGAAAACCATTTATAAGCAATTAAGCTGTTCTGAAGTGGCACTAGATATACACAAGGTTCTGCTAGAACCACCACCAAGAACATCATGCAAGCATTTAATGCTTTGAGTGGAAAGCTAGCATCTTAATACAGGCTCTTCCAAAGCAGACCCTGAGACAAAGATTCAAGGGAAAGAATTTTATCTGGGAAGTGCAGGGAGCCCTGGTGAAGAAGTGGGGAGTGCTAAATAGAAGTAAAGGCAGCCAACAAAGGAAACAGTGTTAAGCCAGCTACCACAGAGGACAACTGGCGGTAAACCCACAGGGAAACTCTAGGAATGTGTGCAAACAACACACTTCAGAATTATCCCACCTGAGAGGTGAAGGAGTTGGAGTAATTCATCATTCGCTTTTCAGGATTCTTGGTTGAACCACAAAGAATAATTTCCTTGGTACCGCCTGTCTACCTGGAGCTGATAACTTGGCTTTTCCCAGTTCTACAGGAAAGAGCCCTCAGGTACAGAGAGGCAGATCTTAGCAAGGGGAGTACACTGAGCACACTAAAAGGTCCCAGCAATTATGTGCCAGCGGGACACTGTCTGGTCAGCTACAGATACATGGAGGACTTTATGTGCTTTGCCAATTCTCAACCTTGTCGTCTATAATAAAGACATATCTCTCTCTCCCACCACACCATAGAATGACAGGTGTTTATTAGGAACACAAATTCAGAGCTAAGTTTCAAAAATATGCTTTCTCTTATAATGTGCTTATCTTCAATTGCCCTTCTCTCCACAATGTTGGCTAACTAGAAGTTGTCACCAGCCCCTTGCTTTCTCTGTCCTTATCTTAGCATGTCTTTATACTTCCTCACTTCATTTAACCTCTCATCCTTGACTCACTAGGTCACCTTCTACAGCCAATCCTTATCCAAACATTGATACTCTATCCTTTCAATCCCTTTGTGACAACCTCACTCATGCTTTTTTCTTCTGGAACACCAGTATCCCTGCCTCCCATTGCCCTGACATTCCTTATGGGCCTGATTCGTGACTCACCACCTCTAGATTTCTACAGTGGTTTGAAGCTTACCAGGACAGAATATAGGTTACTGGGAGCCCCACAAGTGTATCTGAAACTGAGATGCCTTACAGTATTACCTTGTCAGTTTCTGCTGCATAACCTCTAAGTCTGCCCAAACTCCCTTCCAAGTTTCCAATCAGTGGTCCTAAATATCACCATCAGACATATCTCTAGCCCCAAAGCAGTGCGCAAACATCCGAACAGAGATTGGCTGAGACACAGGGAGAAAGAAAGACCCAATGTCAGGCTGACCTCAGACTTCTAGGCTTCCACTCGGCACAAGCAAGGAAGAGAATAACAGACACCTACAAGACACAGTATGTTTTAGTTAATATTTTTCCACTGAAAGGTGTTACTTAAAACCACACATCCACAGATTAAAAAAAAAAAAACAGCTATTTGGGGCTTCATCTTCTCTAATGTCTCCCCCATAAAGACAAAGGCCATGTTTGATTTGCCCACTAATGTATTCCTAGTCTCAGACACAGAGCCTAGCATATCGTAGGTTCTCACAATAGTTGATGAGTAACTGAATAAATGAAAATGTCAGTACATGACTGGATCCCCAAGAGCAATTTGTCTCCAGCCACAGTGTCAATATACCCATTGTGAAAAGATGCCATTTTTCTTCCTGATGTATCCACCACAGGTCAGGGATCCTCCTGGTTCCACATATTACTGTGACTTCCAAGATAAACTCATAAAATAAGTCCATTAAAAAGTAAAACAGCTTCATATTTCTCCATTAAATTTTGTAATTCTAGTTAATTCATCATTCATCTGGCACATAGATCCATTACCACATAGCATCTATTCCAACAAGTTAGTGATCCAGAAAATCAATAAATAGAAAAGAACAGTTACAGAATACAACCAACTAGCATTATGGGAAATGATTCTATGTTTTTTCATGTTCATTGATAATCAATCAAGGTTATGTATATATTTGTTAACACTTTTATCAACATCTAACTGCTTGGTTCCAACCCTTGTTCACTCAAAGGAAATATTTTCAACAGATTTCATGGATGATTTGATTTTGAAAATAACTCAATTCAGTAGAGCAATAATGTGCTCGCAGATTATCCTTCATCCATTGAATTATAGGTATCCAATATATCTTGTCCTTTATTCAGATTGACTTCTGGAAGCCAGATTCTGTCACACAAATCAAACCTCACAGTACAGTTGACTTCCGTGTTAAAGCAGAAGATACTGTCACTGTGGAGAATGTTCTAAAGCAGAATGAACTACAATACAAGTAAGTTTATGTTTTATAAATATTAAAATTCTCTCCCATGCATGCTTTCATCTGAGCCTTTGAATAACTCTGGGAAGGAAGAAATGAGACCAAGACCAATGCCTTCCCCAGGACCCCACAAATAGGTAATGGCAGAGCTGGCCCTGGATTCCAAGTCTTAAGACTTCAGTTCTGATGGATTTTGTGTTTAGTTATTGCTCTAATTAAAATGGTTTTTATTCTTGACCCCAAGTCTTCTGCCAGATATCTGACTTGGTCCATTTTACAAGCAATGTATAGAGTACAGGCCTAGCCAATGGATACTCTATTCTCAGCTAGACATAGTTTTAACCCCAAATCTTATCAGCTCTTCTTTCCAGGGGATCAGCGAGACCTATTGTGAGTTATGAGGGCTATTTGTGCTTTTTTTAGCAGAAGGATAAGTCTAGAGTCAGTCTGAATGGCCCTTCTGTCCTTTTTTCTCTAAAGTCCCACCACTATCTCTAATGGTAGGAGAAGGCATGGAGAGAAAGACGCAAAGAAAGGACTAGAGTAGTTGGCTAAGCTGATCCTGTCTCCCTCACTGAATACCACTTTCGTTCATCTAGGTCTTTCATGACAAGAATGTCTTCCTAAGTAAAGGCAATTGTCCATTTGCTGATCCAACAAATCAATATTGAATGTCTACATGTATCAAGTTCCAATAAGGACAGATATGACCTCACATCCTTTAGGGGAAAACAGACTTTAAATAAGGAATTGCAGTAGTATTTAACAGATGGAAAGAAGAGTAAAGTGCTGGAGTTCAGAAGAATAGAGCAAGTCTAGGGGTCAGGGAGGGCTGTCCTAGGAAATGATTCTTCAGCTGAGAACTGAAAGATGAGTAGGAGTTGATTAGCCAGAAAAAGACAAGGAAAAACCATACTTTAGGAAGAGAACAGACCATATGCTGAGGCTTAGAAGTGGGAGAGACCATGCTAACCCAGGACACTTGCATAAGAGGGAAGGAGGAAATAAAGTCTCTAGTACAAAGCAGAGGTCCTCCTCCAGGGGGTAGATTAGGGAGGAACAAAGACAAAGTCTTGGGCTCCGGTCCTGAACATTCAAATGTTTATCCGGCAATCCCCCATCACAAGCTCAAGTCTTCATTATGTTTTGGAAGAATGTAGCCTATATAATTTTAACAGAAATTTCTCTTGTTTTTCACGTCTTAAAAATGTAAAAGAATAGTATCTGTGCCAGTGAAGATGTCAGAATTGTCACCTATAAAATCTGTACCTCCATCAGGAGAAGTGGGTAGCATAGTGCAACAAGTAAAGGCTTTGGGAAAAAAACAGATTAGATTCTAATCCTGGCTTTGCACATTGCTGTGTGATTGTGGGTAATTTGCTCAACCTTTCTGAGCTTCAGCTTTCTTATCCATAAAATGAAGATACAATGCCTCTCTCAAAGGGCTGTTGTAAAAATAAAAATATATATATAAATAAATTACAACTGGTATTATATTGCTGAGAATGCTGCTATGGTTTACTGTTGTACAAAGAAGGAGATTATACGTTTTTTTTTTTAAGAGTCAACAGTAACTGCTATGTTTAACCCCATTATCATGCCTCACAAAGCTTAGCTATGTGCTTTCTGCCTGAAGGAAGTGTCAAAATGTGACCTTAAGAATTGACTGTCTTTTTAAAACAAAGATATAACCTGGTAAGTCTCAAAATGTGATTAAGATTCATGTCTATAACATTTTGCTCTTTTTATTATACTGAAAAGGACAGCTAAAATTCTAGTCCTTGGAGCCTTCAGTAGCATTCAAAAAGATGAGTTTCTTTGTAATTCTTTAAGAAAAACAAAGATCAGCGACCATAGATTAACCCTAGCTACCTGAATGATGTCTTAATTCTACCCTTATCACAAAACAGTAAAATGGTTTCTGATAGAATTTCAATCTCTATTTATAATCAGATAGAAAGTTCACTTTCTTTTTTAGTGGTGAACTTTTTGGGAATTGTGTATGAATGTTGTCTCATCTAGAACATAGGACATCCCCTGAGGGCTAAGAGCTTGTTAATTTTTGCTTCGCTGTTCACTGCTTAGCACATTTGTAGCATATAATTTTCTAAATATTAAATAATAATAAGTCCCTGGAAATCCTGGAGAAGCATACCAGCAATATCCTTGCTGGGGTTGCAAGCAGTCCCTGTGCATCCCATTATTACCTCATATGGTAACTAGTATTTAGACGATTTCCTGCTGGCAAAAATTTGCAGTAGTGTTTGTATATAACAAGAGCCATCCACTGCACACAAGTTCTACCAAAATAACTTTTCAGATTTTTTCAGTGTTTCCAACCCTCTTCACCAAGACCTGTATTATTTGGCAGCTTTAATCAGATCCTGAATTATCATAGGAAAAAAATCAAAATGTGTGCAAAAAGAAAGATAACTGTAATTTTCAATGACAAAGTTTCACTCTTAGTAACAGAAAGACTAGGAATCAGATAGTGTAAATCTCCAACTTATGGTTATGAAGCTAAGTTGACAGAACCTTTAGGTGGCCTGCCCTCCATGGAATTCCTTGCTACAGACTGTAGAAAGATTGCTTTGCCCTACTTGATTCAGGGAGACTGATTGTTGCTCACACGTATATCAGCATTTTTCTGCATATTTCAGAGGCGTACAGGAAGGTGTCCCAGGACAGCAATAGGCACATAGCAATGTTCTTCAATAACAGTGGGCGCAAAGTCCAGGTACTGATCAAATATTCTATTTTCCAGAAATCTGAAAGGGGGATAAAACTGAGTCATGTCTTTCTTTACTTCTCAGACATTGTGTTCCTTACTTTTTTGGGAGTCCCAGTTATCTAATTTGCTTGTGTGTTAGAAAAAAAAAAAAAAAAAGGAGAAGTTGGATGGCACTATAAAACGAGCATATAAAAGTATAAAATACTATACATGCTTCTCTATTTTGGAGCTGTGAGGCATTGTTTTAATCTTCTAGAATGGAAGCTCATTATTTAGTAATAATATTTTGTAATATAGCTAAAGTAGTACTTTGTCCTAAATCTAATAAAATCAAATAACCACAGGGCTGGGAAGGATCATTTGAGGTCAGTCCCCCGCCTTCAAGCAGAAGTCAGCAACACATTTCAACCTCACTCTGATGCTCTTTTGCAAGTTACTAGAGGATATTTTTACTCTTGGGTGTCATCTTCAATTTAACTAACTGGTTTTTTATGCTTCTTTGTCCTGGATATTGATGAAAATGTTTAATATTTAAAGTAGTAATAACTCTAACAGAATGTCTCTTAGTACCAAACAAAATGCCAGCCCCCACACAGTCACTGATCCTCCTAAATAATTTAAACTCGGCCAGGCGAGGTGGCTCACACCTATAATCCCAGCACCTTGGGAGGCCTAGGCAGGTGGATCACGAGGTCAGGAGATCGAGACCATCCTAGCTAACACGGTCAAACCCCGTCTCTACTAAAAATACAAAAAATTAGCCGGGCGTGGTGGCGGGCACCTATAGTCCCAGCTACTCGGGAGGCTGAGGCAGGAGAATGGAGTGAACTCAGGAGGCGGAGCTTGCAGTGAGCCGAGATCGCACCACTGCACTCCAGCCTGGGCGACAGAGCGAGACTCTGTCTCAAAAATAAACAAATTAACAAAAATAATAATGATAATTTCAACTCAAGGGTTGGGTGCAGGTAAGAGGATAGCAATATGTTCTGGAAGCTTTGAAATGAAAGAGGATGTCATTTTCTGGTCCTCTTGGGTTTTTTTTTTTCGTTCCGAGAAGCTCATCCTTATTAGGTAAGATTTGTTCTTTCACATTATGATATCGAGACATAATTGTCCTCTTAGCAGTTTCTGTCGGTTGATTTTTTTGTTTGTTTCCAGGTTTTTGTCTTACTTGGCTTGCTTTGTTTTGGTTTGGTTAGTCTGTTTTTAGTTTTTTGTTATCCTTGAATATCATTTTCCTGAACTATTTTTTAGTTTTCCTCCACGTTTTCCTGAGTTATGACAGTGGTAACTGGGAAATTTTTATTTTTTTCATAAACTTGGAAGACATGTATGTAAATGACTAAGGCTTATAGATTGGAATCAAGTCACTGCATTTTAGAATTGAAAAGGATGTTGGATATTTACTAATCAAATGACCCCCTTCTAAAACTTATGACATTAAGGTCCAGGGATTAGATGACTTTTCTAAAGCCAATTTATGAGTTAGGCAAAACTATGACCTTGATCTTTTGATTCCTCATTCATGATTCCTTCTACTTCCACCCTATTCCTTAACAATTCAACTGGGATAGTAAATATAATTATAGTGCTGACTAAAATCATTGTTCCTAACTATAAGAGACAGACTGATGGTCCCCAAAAAACTCTACAGAACATGTGAATATGTCATGTTTATCACAAAAAGGAATTTAGGTTATAGATGGAATTAAGGTTCCTAATCAGCTGATGTTAAAATAGGGAGATTATTCTGGATTGTCCTATATGTCCACTGTAATCATGAGTCTTTAAAGTGAAAGAGAGAGGGAGAAGAGGTCACAGTGATTGGATGTGAGGACTTTATCCCCTGTTGAAGCCTTGAAGGTGGAGAAAAAGGGTATGGCCAAGGAATGCAGGCGACCTCTCAGAACTAGAAAGGGCAAGGAATTAGATTCTCCCCTAGAGCTTCCCTGTTGATAACTCTTTTTTGGCCACACCTCATTTTTATCCCAGTGAGACTTGTGTTGGAATGCTAACCTACAGAACTATAAAATAAAAAATTCACGTTGTTTTAAGCCACTAAGTCTGTGGCAACTGACAAGAGCCATAGAAAACTAATACACTCACAAAGCATTGGCAGCTGCTCAATAGAAAATATTTCTCCATGGAATAACTTTTAAAATCTGCATTTTTTCCTTTTTAAATACTACCTTAAGATAGTTAAGACCTTAAGAAAGTGTTTATCTTTTGCTAGGAAACAGATTCCAGTTAGTATTAATTTATTACACTTTCCAAAAACAGACACAAGTTCGTACCCAAGTTCACCAATTGAAGGAGTGACCAGGAGGAAGGTTCAGAGGATGTCCCTGACATACTTCATCAGAATGTCCTTGGGGCAGCCAGAGGAGAAGCAGACTTTTGATGTGTGTCTGAAATTCTCTGTATGTCAGATAAAATCATTTCAAGGTTTAACTGTGGATAATAGAAATTTCTGCAAAGTGGCCTCTGTCTGTAATATTCACTGTACTGTGATCAAGGATACTAATGATCATAAACTTTTCTCTCTTCCAAGCATACTTTTCACTCAAAGTAGAAAGGGAAGTGAAGTCACACACACATACACACACACACACACACCTTCAGACTGGCCTCATAATAGAAACTATCACCTGGACAATTCATTTCTCTAAATAGTAGGCCTCAAAGATTTCTGTTACCACTTTTCATATTACCTTGCTACAGAACTATTATTAGATTACTTAACCCACCCAAAAGACAAGCAAATAGAAACTAGTTTTTTAAACCCATTCTTCTTTTACCAAGTAAATCTTCAGCTTGTTAATATTTCTGAATTTCCAGACAAGATATTTTTCTCAGAACCTAGAGACAGGTCCAAAGTGACAACTCCTCCCATTTACCCAGGACTGAGTAGCTTCCTGAAACGCAAGACTTTTAGTTCTAAATTCAGAAAAGTCCTGAGGAAGAAAGACCAAAGATAGGTTTTGAGTACATAGTGTTGTGTGGAAGCCCAAGGCCCTGACCCAAAATGTCCCAGGTACCAGGAGCAACCATTTTCCAAGTTTAAGGTTCACAGATAGTCAAATACCTGAGGTTTGGGCTGTGGAAGATCCTACCTTGCTTGCATTCTCCAGTATCCTTCTTAGTGACTTACTCACTCTTTATGGTCAGTAACAGAATCTCTCTGGAGCAGCTGAAGGTCATCAGGAAGAACCAGAGGACAACATGAGAATTTATGGAGAGTGCAATGTGCCATCTACTAAAGCAGTGGCTCTGGGGTTTTATGTGTGTTCACTGGAGAAAAATACACTTATGTTCATAGGAACACCCACTTTGGTTCGTTGCAGGGTACTGATAAGCAACCTGAGAAATGTGGTGGAGGCTCAGTTTGATAGCCGGGTTCGTGCAACAGGACACAGTTATGAGAAGTACAACAAGTGGGAAACGGTATGATGTGCACATGATTTAGACAGATATTACTTTGGGAATTGAACCAAGAATGCCACATTGATCTACAAATGATTCCATTTGGTAGATAGAGGCTTGGACTCAACAAGTCGCCACTGAGAATCCAGCCCTCATCTCTCGCAGTGTTATCGGAACCACATTTGAGGGACGCGCTATTTACCTCCTGAAGGTAATCATTTTTAACCATGACCTTGCCATGTCTGAGGGCTTTAAATCAATGAATTCTAACACATGAACATCTGTTTCACAGACACGCTTATCCCAAACATTGTTATAACTCTTTCCTGCCTACATCCCCGAGGGAACCAGATTCCCCAGCTTCTTTTATCATATGTGGATTTTTAAATCATTATTTTGATTTATTCAAAAGGAAAAATGCAATAAAATAAGAGAAGACCTATAAATTTAACCACATTCTTGTAAGCAACGTAAATGATTATCTACCTTGATGAAATTCTTCTTTCCCAGCTGTGGTTTGCAAATCCATTTTTAAAGAGGTTCATAAACTTCATGTCTATCAGACAACATTACAAAGCACATCAACAATTTGTTTCTGTCATTTTCTAACACCATTTTTGTCACGTAATTCTAATGAAGGAAATAAAAAGACAGGGAATAAGTGAGAGAGTAGTAAAAATTCTTACAAGATTAGCGACAATCATGATTACTTCTAATTACTCATCCAGTTGTCTTGGTCATGTCACCTAATAACAGCAGCTGAAAATAACCTCCACATGAGTACAATTAAGCAGGGTAATCAAGCATCATCTGAAAATATGAGCTTGTCAAGCTTAATAAAAATAATAAACAGCCATATAAGCTTTCAGCTCAAACATTGTGAGTCTAGAAGCGAGAACATACTGTGTTAGTATTATATTTTAATTTAATCATGGGATCCAGCTCTTGCTGCTGTCGGGTTTCACTTGTTGAGTCTCAAGCCCAGATGGGTAGTGGAGGTTAACCCCTGAATGTCCTATGATGAATCATGGTTTCCCTTTTCCTTTTGTTTGCAATAGGTTGGCAAAGCTGGACAAAATAAGCCTGCCATTTTCATGGACTGTGGTTTCCATGCCAGAGAGTGGATTTCTCCTGCATTCTGCCAGTGGTTTGTAAGAGAGGTCAGTGTGTAGAGTGGTTTTTGGCAAAGAGAAATGTATGTTTTAATTTTCAATTAATTCCTTAAAACCTAGAGAGAATAATAACACAGAAAAAAATACACAATTACAAGTGCCCAATTTTGGAAATTAGTTTCAACTTCCACCAACAGACCTTTATAAGGCAGAAAATTCTATTTATGGGCCAGGTGCAGTGGCTCATGCCTATAATCCTAGCACTTTGGGAGGCCAAAACAGGTGAATTGCTTGGGCCCAGGAATTGGAGACCAGCCTGGGCAACACGGTGGAACCTCATCTCTTTAAAAAAAAAAATTGTATTTATTTGAATTTCACTCATCTGAACTTTCTCACCCACATTTGGTAGAGAGTCCAACAACTAGCATAGTGATTGGTCATGTAAAAGCTAATGGTTGTGGTTAAACCAATTTGATCATTATCTCTTGGCTAATAATCATTGTACACTTCAGATTAAAAGAAAAGAGTGCATAGTAGTCCTTACTCTAAATGACACTGTTTTTCATTCCTTATCATTCTAATAATAAGATGAATGTAAAGGCCTTTTAAAAACAAGTTTTAAAATATGCATGAGTCTATACTGATATGCATAGATGATGCAATAAATAAAAGAGAGGCAAAGAACAACTCCTTCTTGCAGAAGAATTACAACTAATATATGTACAAAGAATGAGCAAAACATAAAATCATCACTAGAACATCACAGCAATAATCATGTCAGGCAAATCCACAGATGGATGTAAAATTAGTGGGTAAAAGTTTAGGGAGAAACAGGATATTTACAGAGTCTAAAAGTTATCTCCTCGCAAAAAGTATTAATTATAAAGGGAAAACTTAGAGTGGATAAACCTAGCAGAAGGAACTACCTTAACTAAGTGATCAAGGTTAACATCACCAATAATAAATAAGACATATCAATATAACGTAGCTTCAGATATGCTGTGAAAAGACATATCACCTTTGTGATATTCTTCCTTAAAATAAATGACCTCCCTTTAATCATAAACAAAATTTAATTTTGAAAAATAATTTAGACAAACTCAAAGTAAGGGACATTCTGCAAAATAAACTGACCAGCACTCTTCAACAGTGTTAAAGTCATAAAACACAAAAAGACTGAAGACCTGTCACAGATCAGAGAAGACTACGGAGACGTGACAAATAAAGGCAATGTAGGATCCTAGATTGTAACCTAGAATGGAAAAAGGACATTAGTGGATAAACTTGTGAAATCTGAATAAAGTCTACAGTTTAGTTTATAGTATTGTATCCATGCTAATTTATTCACTTTAATAATTATACCATGGTTGTGTAAGATGGTAACATTCAGGAAGCTGGATGACGGGTATGTGGGAACTACTTTTGCAATTCTTCTGTACGTCTAAAATTATTTCAAATTTAAAAGTTGAAAACATTGAAGTGCTTTAAATATATAATAATATTATTATATACAACATAATTTTTGTGTGAAGCACTTCCGTACATATTTGTTATGTAGTCTTGGTTTCTAGACATTATGTATCAGATTGGCATCACTTAGCTTCACTATGTAGCTCACCATCTGCCTTTCAGAAGAGGATAACTGGATGTTAGAATTAAATTTTACTATTTTTCCAATTTGTAGACCATTAAAAGAACATGATTGCATAGCTCCTCCAACCCAAAAAGCACATGCTTTATCATGTAATATTGTAATTAATTTATATATATAATTACAAACAGTATATAAAAACTGTTCACACATAGAAGTCTAATCTACTTTAAAGTTTATTCAAGCAAGCCTAGGGAAGGGTTGAATTTAAGTTTAATATGATGCTGGAGCAGAGGGACTGTGACTACGAGAACATATTAAATGGGCATGATGTCCCTCATTCATAGATAAGTATCTACATTATTTAACAGGGACAACAGGATTGTCCCTTCTTGAGAAAGACAACAAAGGAAACTCCCATCACTATGCAGCTTGGAGTGTTGGTGAGAGCCTCCCCAAAATCCATGAGTGTGAGCTTATTTTGAGAGGCATTCTCATTACCTTGTTATATTGGACATTCCCTCTAGTGAGATCATCTACAGGAGGTTTTATAGAAAAGAAATACATTTCTAAATGACATTATTAGGAACATGCACAGCTATCCACAGACACGTCTTACTTACTAGAACTAGTAAGTTCTATACCTTACTTACACTTATACCCTACTAACTTTGTAAAAAGCTATTGTAGTTGTTATCTTAAAAGAAATGAGTATATATGTTCTTTAGAAGTCTTTAATTAAATAAGTTTCTCATTAAAGTAAAAAGTTAAAATAAGAAGGATGCAATAGAAATATCCTGGAAGCAGAGAAGAATTAGAAATAACAATTATAAATAAAAATATCAAGTATTGGTAGTAATTTGCTGATTGCTTTTTAAATATTAATATTGTCCACCTCAATAGGAAATGCTGCTCTTATTACCAAAGTTAACATTCAACAGTCTTTGTAAATTTTAACAGCATCATAATTCCATTTTTCCATGAAATTCCTCTTCATAATTCACATACAGGCTGTTCGTACCTATGGACGTGAGATCCAAGTGACAGAGCTTCTCGACAAGTTAGACTTTTATGTCCTGCCTGTGCTCAATATTGATGGCTACATCTACACCTGGACCAAGGTATATGCACCAATACTGAGAGAGGCTGATGAAATTAAAACCAACGCCTCTCTATTATATTTGTCCTAACTATGTAGTCCACTTTCAGAGCCGATTTTGGAGAAAGACTCGCTCCACCCATACTGGATCTAGCTGCATTGGCACAGACCCCAACAGAAATTTTGATGCTGGTTGGTGTGGTAAGTATCTGGCTAGCCATTTTGCATGTATCCATTGAAAAACATAAGAGGAAAAATATGAAAACACAACAGTATCTAAAATAAAAAAAGCAAGTTTTATATTTTAAAGTTCTAACCTTCTAAAAGCACCAAAAAAAAAAAAACCAGTTTAATTCATTTGACCAAAACATATTGAGAACTCTGTTGCGTTCCCAGCTGTGCTAGATGCTGAAAATATAAGGCTGAACAAACCAGACATAATCCTACTACTCATGGAATGTATAGTCTAGAGGGGGAGACAGCTATTAAATAAATAATTATTTACATAAAATCGTAATGCAATTAAGAATGATCATAGTAATAATTTTTTCATGGATATTAGTTTGTCCCTTACTTATTAATTTTCTTGCACTATATTGATATCATTGTGTAATACTACACGGAGACACATTGGTGATTCCATATGCAACTTCTTACCAGGTTAGCTTAAAAACATACCATCCTAATCCTGTGATTAAATGGATATTTTACTATATAATATATACATAATAGGGACAACTTTAAGGACTCCTTGATAAGGACTCCTATGAAAACAACTCCCTAATTTGAAAGTTTAAAACATCCCCACAAGAACTTCACTAGGTGATCCTTGCCATTAACATCATATGTTTTTCCAGAAATTGGAGCCTCTCGAAACCCCTGTGATGAAACTTACTGTGGACCTGCCGCAGAGTCTGAAAAGGAGACCAAGGCCCTGGCTGATTTCATCCGCAACAAACTCTCTTCCATCAAGGCATATCTGACAATCCACTCGTACTCCCAAATGATGATCTACCCTTACTCATATGCTTACAAACTCGGTGAGAACAATGCTGAGTTGGTAAGTAGCAAAGTAGTAGGTATGACATTTTACTATTGAGATTTTTTAAATTCTAATCCTGAAAAAAAAATCATTATAAGAACACTTTCTGGAAGTCCCTTTATTGATTTTTTTGGTAGTAGAATTGAAAAACTTATTACAGATTTATAAGGAATCTGGAGTTGGCTAAAAGAAATACAATTTTCACGCAGGAAATTGTTCCCCACATGCGATTTATTGACTAATCTTCAAAATGACAATAGTTCCATTTCCTCTGGCTTCACCACAATGCTGACTTACATGATGATTTCAGATGCATATGAGATAATCAACAAAGTTGCTTGATCACATACATATTTTTTTTTCAGTCAGTTTTGTGAAGCTGCCCTGAGCTGAATTTGACACAGATCCAGAGCATAGCAGAGCACAGCAGATGTCATTAGGAATTTGTCACATTTGGGTGATATCAAGTTTAGTCATTAAATACTAAAATTGTTTATTTCACTTTTTGATTGGGTGAGACTCAAAAGTAAATCAATCAATGAACAAATAATGTGAATGAGTCTTTACCACATACAGGGAATAAAGCAAAGAAATGTAAGAATCTCTGACATCAAAAAAAGCTAGCAATCTTATTGAACAATCAAGACATAATCACTTGAGCAGCTAAATAATGAGTTTTCTCATAGAAATATCACATGTCAATGAATAATTTTTTAAATAAGCATGTTTGAACCTTTCAAACAATATTTCTTTAATTTATGAAACATCTGGCTGCCAGAAATTGGCACCAATAAACTAAAAGAGCAAATATAAGATTTAAAGCATTTGAGTTATGCCAAAAAAAAAAATGTATTCCATTTAGACAATGACATGGATATTTGGCTTACCTAAATGCATAAATTTGAAGACCTAGTAACTTTAAAACTGAAAATTGTTGTTTTATACTTTCAGATTCAGTCTTTCGGAGACCAAATAAAATATGTAATGCCGTAAATATTTTGAGAACAAATCAGAAAAATAACCCAGTCTCCTAGAAAATTGATAGCTAATAGTTGGATGGGCCCTTTTCTTTAAAAAACAATACAATTTTTCAAAAAGCTTTTCATTTTTCCCCATCCATGGCCAAAAATATATATATATATATATACATATATATATATATACACATATATATGTGTGTGTGCGTGTGTATATATATATATATATATATATATATATATATATATATATATATGTTAGCACCGCCAAGCATTTCAGTTTTTCACTTAAGCTTGGTCTGTATGTGTTCCCAATGGGTGCTCACAGTATTGCTCTCCCAGAGATGGGTGTGGTTGGCTCTCATTTCTGTCCAAAATTTCTGGCCACCAGAAAAGAGGAGGTGGGGGTATGTAGTTTGTATAACTCATGTAAATATATTTAAGTTGTGCCATATCAGAAGAGAAAAAGTCAAAGTCATAACTACATACTAATGAGTTAATTAAAATAAAAAAATTACAAAACACATTAAGGGTAGCAATAACATATATATATCCAGTTTGCTTCAATATCAACTAGTTTTAGACATAACTACTAAAAGACTAACACTAAAGAATAAAGTTTAAAGTGTTCCTGGAAGCTGAGCTACCAAAGTTTTCTTATTCAATACATTTTCTTATTGGAGGAATAAGTTTAAGCCCTTTTAGTGATGAGACAGCTTTGTTGCCACTAGTTGTATACAATAACAACCAGAACCTGGGCTACTCTAAAAGTCTCCAAATCATTCTTAAAAAAAAAAAAAAAAAAAAAAAAGACAAGTAAGTCCTGCCTTTAGAATATTATGAATAATTTTTGCTACTTCCTAAGGAAATTTTCTCCAGTAAAAGAACCAAGCCTCAGAGTTAGCAAGTTTAATGGGCCAATTCACATGTGTGCCAAATGGTGTAAAAATGTTCCAACAGAACATGAGTCACTGATACTCTTCCCTAAGAGTCACTTCTTTGTTTAAAGTCAAGGAGAGGTAATAGTAAAAGAGATACTATTCAAAATCCTGTCCTCCAAAATTGTTAAATTCTAATTGCCAAAGAAGTAGAGTAAGTAGAATTCTACCGAAGTAAAATGTTCATAATCTATTCTCAAAAGGAGAAAAAGCACAAGCCACAAAATAATCTTATCTTGGATGTTTGTTTCTACACATACAAAACTAAAAAGTTCAAATAAAAATACATGCCACTTTTATCTTTACCAGAGTACAAGACAGGTAACTAAAATGCAAAAATTTAATTTGATGTATCATACTCATTGATTTAAAAGTTATTTTTAATTTCCAATAATTTTCTCTATTGATTAAGCTTTTCTCTAGTATCTTAAAAGAAATATTTAAATGCCACTAGTAAGTGGCATGCTACTTAAGGTGACTGTTATTTGATTATCTGATTCATTTGGTGTCTGAATTTAGTTTAGCACGCCAAAGCAACTTTAATATTTTGAGTAGCTGGAGATCCTTCCAACTTTTTCTTATATTGTAGAATTCTAGTTTACTTACTTCCAGAGCACATTTTGCTAAAACAAGCTCATTAACTATAGTGCAATTACAAATATATGTATAGACAAAAAAGAATATGAGTCTCTCAAAAATAACAGTATTAACAGTTTTACAGTTTTTATTTACAATGAGGATTTCAAGGGGAAAAAAATGTCTTGGTCTAGAAAAGTTAATTTTGCACCCAAATCTAGTGCCTCCATATTAATTCTTACATAGAGAAATGTGACTCTGCTGCAGAAAACAAAAGGTAGTAAAACATTAGGAACATGATTTCTTGCATCATACCACATTAAAATTTAAAGGAAACAATGAGGACTTACAGCGTTCTGCCAAGTCATTGGTGTACAAGAGATTTCTATTTTTCTTTATACCTATAAAATTATTATTTTATTTATAGCAAAAAAATATATATGTTTCAAGGAGAATAAGACTAGACTAAAGGAAATTATTTTGTGCTTATGTTAGCATTTTCAGCCCAAACTTAGGACATCCTATAAACAGCAGTCCTTTGATATCTGAGTCATGATAAAAATGTATGTGCCTTCATTTCTGAATGATTTTACATGTAGCTTGCCTAATAATTGCTCATATCATGAGACAACCTTCAGAAGAAAGAAAGGCAGAGATAAGAATGCAAAAGACCAATGAAGTAAAGAACAGGAAAAGTATTATATGGATTGCAGAGAAGACTACAATGTTTCTCTAAGATATGTTTAGCAGAGCAGTAGAAAGTAGATGGAATAACAAGAATATCTTACACATATAATGCTTTCCCATTTGCAAACTGCTTTTACTCATACTATATTGTTTAAAGCAAGAATACAAAGTGCACTCTGAGCTTCTAATGGCCTCATAAACTGTCCAGTCTCTCAGTGTAGACCTCTTTTTTTTTTTTTTTTTTTTTTTTGAGACGGAGTCTCGCTCTGTCGCCCAGGCCGGACTGCGGACTGCAGTGGCGCAATCTCGGCTCACTGCAAGCTCGCTTCCCGGGTTCAAGCCATTCTCCTGCCTCAGCCTCCCGAGTAGCTGGGACTACAGGCACCCACCACCGCGCCCGGCTAATTTTTTGTATTTTTAGTAGAGACGGGGTTTCACCTTGTTAGCCAGGATGGTCTCGATCTCCTGACCTCATGATCCACCCGCCTCGGCCTCCCAAAGTGCTGGGATTACAGGCGTGAGCCACCGCGCCCGGCCAGACCTCTTTAATATAAAGTTGCCACTACCGTCAAAGGAAGTTTTGAGACTTAAAAGAAAAACAATGAATTTAGATTTCCAAAATTCTAAAGGACAATGAAATATTGAATTCTGTGACCTTGTTATTGTCAGAGAAATTAAAACTGGGAGAAAAGGCTCTCAAACCTAGCCATATGGCTGCACTTATTGGGCAGGAAGAAGCTCCCAATCTTTGGTGCACCTCCCCTGCAAAGATGTCTACATGACACTGTTAATAATAATAATAATACAACTTCAAAGTGAAAAATGGGAAGCCAGAAGAATATCCAGCCAACAAGTATCTTGTCCCTCTCCACAGATTAACAAAATGGAAAGCAGAGCGCACTACACAAAGGTGCCAATCCAGGGCATGTGTCTTGCACCATTTCTCTGCATTAGAAGCACAGAATGTTATGCCTAGAAAAGTCTTAGAAATTCTCTGGTCTGTTTCTCATTTTCCAGCTGAGGCATGGAATGCTTGGCGAAGCCAACACTAGTAGTCAGGGTAGCCCTGGGTCTAAGGCTACTGGCTCCTGAGGAATCTTCTAGGCTGCCTCAATTTCCAAAGACACACAGACACATATTTAAGTGGCCACATGCTATGGTGGTACCCCATATAACTGCTTTGCAGAATAACATTCATCAGAAAGTCTTTAATCCCACACAGTACATCATAATTACCTCTGCCTCTGGACATTAATAAAGATGTACTCTGGTTAGCTAAGATGACTAACTTCTCATGGCCTAGTCTTTATGATTCTGGCCCATTCTTTTGAGAGATATATATTCATTAACGAGGAAAAAGATAACAGTAACCAGAAGAAGAAATATGACAGACTTTCTGAAAAATTATTAAATGTGAACAAAAGATAGAAAGCTACTTCCAAATTCTAACACCTTCCAGTCCAGTGGCAACTCAGTCACTGCCTCTTAATTGAAGTTTTTTTTGTTTGTTTGTTTGTTTGTCTGTTTGTTTTTGAGACGGAGTCTCGCTCTATCACCCAGGCTGGAGTGCAGTGGTGCAATCTCGGCTCACTGCAAGCTCCACCTCCCGGGTTCATGCCATTCTCCTGCCTCAGCCTCCCGAGTAGCTGGGACTACAGGCACCTGCCACCACACCCGGCTAATTTTTTTGTATTTTTAGTAGAGATGGGGTTTCACCGTGTTAGCCAGGGTGGTCTCGATCTCCTGACCTTGTGATCCGCCTGCCTCAGCCTCCCGAAGTGCTGGGAGCCACCGCGCCCGTCTTAATTGAAGTTTTAATTAAGGCATTACTAAGATAGAAGTCCACTGCTCTCCTCAAGAATTTGAGTATAATGCAAGATTATAACTAAAGATAAACGTAAAAATCAGAGGGAAGAAATATTGTGATTAGAAGGCAGACAGTTGCAGGGCCATGCACACACCCATGCACATCACTCATCACAGCTGTACCATGTCCCTGCCTAATAGCAAGAGTAGCAAGCCACAATTCTGCTTCCAGGCAGGCTTAGGTGAACAGGGCTTTAGGCACAAAACATCTGCTGCAGGAATTGTCTCCAACTTTATACTCTCATTTAAAAGACAAAAATTTTAAATGACAAACTCAGAATTCATTTAATAAACTAGTCATTTATTCAACATTATGCTCTTTAAGTGACTTCTTGGCCTGATAAAATTCTCCTACCAGGCTTGCTCAGTACATGGCTTATCAATCATCGAAAATTTCATGGCCAAGCCTGGTGGCTCATGCCTGTAATCCCAGCTCTTTGGGAGGCCGAGGCAGGAGGATCACTATGGTCAGGAGTTTGAGACCAGCCTGGCCAACATGGTGAAACCTCTTCCCTACTAAAAATACAAAAATTTGGCTGGATGTGGTGGCACACGCCTGTAGTCCCAGCTCCTCGGGAGGCTGAGGCATGAGAATCCATTTGAACCCAGGAGGCAGAGGTTGCAGTGAGCCAAGATCATGCCACTGCACTCCAGCCTGGGTGACAGAGCAAGACCCTGTCTCAAAAAAAAAAAAAAAAAAAAAAGAAAGAGAAAGAGAGAAAAAAAGAAAGAAAGAAAGAAAGAAAAAGAGAAAGAAAGAAATTTCATTGAGCACCTATTAAGTGTTCATTATAAAGTATGTTTCCTGCCACTGAGAATTTACAATCCTACTGAAATGATAAGACTTGGGTACCAGAAACCATACAAAAGGAGAACAGAATTGGGAGTTTCCAGTTAGTGCAATAGTAAGAATTCAGGAAAGGAAAATAGCAATGTTTGCTGAAGCTGCTCAGTGAAGATTATAGAGAGGGGATGCAATTTGTTCTGAGCTTTGAAGTCTGGGCAGGATTTGAGTGGCAGAGAAAGGAATAGGGTGTTTTAGGCAGAGAAAAGAGCCAACAAATGAACAATGGAGAAACTGAAAGATGAAGTTGAGGAAGAAAGTAGAAGAGGGTCATCCTGTATCGAGTGTTCTCCTTAGGGAAGAGTCGGGGCAAGGGCCAATCAATGAGGTAACCAGGTTGTGTAGGCACTTGAATGCCAGGATGAATCCTGTGTCACAGTGGGCCCTGGAGCCAGGGACCTGGAAAATAGGATTGCAGGTCCATTACAGGACTTCCAGTAGAATCTGGAATTCAAACAACAAACAATTTTTATTGTAACCATGTCCAAATATTTCATGGGACAGACTTATACTGAAAAATTATTGTTCCTCTGAAATTTAAATTTAACTGGTCAGTCTGTATTTTTTGCTAAGCCTGAACGTTCTGGGAATAAAGTGATGTTTTAGCAACAGTGACCTAGCAGAGGTGTTTAAAAGATAGCTGTAATGTCATCAACGAGAAAAAGGCATTCTCATAGCACCTTTAAAATCAGTTGTCTTTCTTTTTAATCTTTTTCCTAAAATAAATTCTAGTTTACCATAACTAAATATTTTATATGACTTCCATTTCAACTAATTTTGCCCCCCACTCCCACTCCCACCCCCAGATGACATTTGGCAATGTTTGGGAGACATCTTTGGTTGTCATAACTGTCGAGCTCTACTGGCATCTAGTGAGTAGAGGCCAAGGGATGCTGATAAACATCCTACAATGCACAGAACAGCCCTCCCATCCCCAACAAATTATCCAGCCCAAAACGTCAAGAGTGCCAAGGTTGAGAAACTTGCTTTAAATAAATATAAGAACAAAGTCACATTCCTGGACAAAGGCTCTCGCCTTTCACAGGATCTTATACTTTCTTCACAAAACTTTACAATGTTCTGCAAATTACAAGTGCAAGAGAACCTACAAATCCCCCATTAGACAGTATTTATTTATTTGGGAGAAACTCCACTTCCACCAGAAAAATAAATAAATAGGTAAATAAATAAATACATTCTCTAGACTTTGCAATTTCAGCTGACTCACACTTCACATTTCCCTTGAATTTCAAAGAGCTTAAAAATATGTATGCAGATCAGCCAAATAAAAAGTTTGGTTTTCATCAGTGAAAGCGTTCCCACACTCCCCGTGGGCTCTGTGGAAATCGGCAGGCCTGGTTCTCCTAAGCCAAACTTTTTCCTAACTCCTTGCCCTTCTCTAATCTCAGGGCCTCCTTTTTCTCAAAACATATTTGCTTTTTCAGGTCTCAAATGCTTTCTCCTTGGTTCCTGCTTATAGACCGTAAGGGCTTCTTCTTTTGCACCAAAATTATAAAAGTTAAGTTTCTTATTGGTCCCTTGGTGTAATTTACCCATTATCGCAGGACAGAAGGAAGGAAACTGCAGTTAAGGATTATTTTGATGTTTCTCTTATCACAAATATTCACCCATAGGGATGGCTAAACTCAGAACTTTCAGTTAGAAACAAAGTTCTACAGAAAATTTTCTTTAAATTGTTTTATACCTTATAGTTGGTTTGGAGCTTTTGTTTTCTTATGCTGTAATAATGGGTCACTGGAAGATTAGAAGAGGCAGCCCCCTGTCATGATGCTGGCTGTGTACAAGAGATTGGAACAAGGGCTATGTGCACAGTCACGAAAGGGGAGTTTCTTTATCATATATTCGATGGGAATGCAGGTCAGTGGAAAAGAATATCCTCTCCTTATTCATCTCACCAGGTCCTTGGAACTCAATGCCTGGAGAAACATTACACTAAGCTTTTACTTTGTCTCTTGGGCTACGAGCTAGATGTGACATTTTAGACTCTCTCTGTCTTTTGCTCTAGGACCAAGGCCTCATTTTGAGGAAACAGATGACAAAAGAGAACATGCATAAGATGTGAAAATTCATAGCTAAGGATTAATAAAGGCTGACCATGTTTGGCCTTGACTGAAAGCAAAGTTTTCTCTCAGGCTGGTTTATATTTAGCTTCCTTCTGTTCTTTACAATTGGTAAAACCAGCTCCAGCAACACTTCTTTTGAAGTATTCCAAGGCCACAAGGAGAAGTGAAAAAGAGCAGAGGATTTAAAGAAAGAAGAACCTAGCTCAAGTCAGCCACTTATGGGGCTGTGTGCCCTTGAGCAAGTTCTTTTATCCTCTGTGAGTGTTAGTTCTTTTATCTGTAAAATGGGGATAAAAATATCTAGCTCTTATCAAGAGCTCTTTGTAAAGCTTAAGTTTTTATGTAAATGTTAGTTCTGATTTTGAATCCACTGAGAAACAATGTAAGATGTCCCTCAAAAGGCAAGTTTTATAGAAATCATCACTAATTGGAGTTTCAAGATATGGACCGAGTTCTCTGCTGTGTCGTTGCTTCTTGGTTCTTCCATCATCTGCCCTCATCTCTTTTTACAGAAACATGAAGGGAAAAGAGTTACCACTCTAAATTGTAGCAAATGCAAGAATTACCTTTCTCTCTACCATTCTTAGCAGGGGTCAGTCATCTGGGTTGATTGGAACATTCCCACTGAGCTTGCTGCCCCAGGTGGAATTCCATTCTGCTAGAAAATTCTGTGTTGGTGAAATATGGACAGATAATGTTGAGAAGATAAATGAGTAACATTTGTGAAATTATTTGAACTCTTCTAAAGAAAAGACCCACACTGATTCCAGGGATTTTTGTTAAGATAATTGGAATTTAAAATATGATATTTTACTTGATTAATGTCTGTTCTGACTTTTTTTGTCTTTTGGCCTTGGAGGGGCTAAGAGAAAGGATTCATAGACTTTTTTTTTTAATTAATAGAAATAAGTAAAATGCACAGAAGATGTCAATGTCTAAATGTGGCATCCTATCAACCATCAATAAATGGTACCACTGCCCTCCCCCAGAAGCATCCCCAATCTCCACTCAGGTGGGTTCAGCCTCTGCAAAGCTCAGCACTCTGTACCTCCACCCAAATCTTGATTATTCATAATGCCCCTAAGCCAGAGTGTTAGACTCAGTCAACTAATCATGTGCTAGGTGCTGTGCAATCTGCTGAGGATACAAAATGAATAGCCAACAATTCCTTCCTTCAAGGAGCTCACCTGGTGAGGAAATAGATGCAAAAACAACTGATTATAGCATACAGTGAACCCTGATAAAAGTGTGGGCCCCCAAAAAGGAGAGGGGCTCAATGCTTCCTAAGAGAGTAGAGGCAGCTTCACAAAGAAGATAACACTAAAACTGAATCTGGAAAAACAATAGCAATTATCCATATTAGTAAAGAGAGAAAGAGGATTCCAGTGAAGAGAAAAGGGTACCCACAGTCATGGAGGTCAGGAGAAGCAGGAAAGGGTGTACAGGGAAGTAATTCAGGAAAATCTACCTCAGAAGGAACACGGGAATGCACAACAAATAATGTAGCCTGAGAGACAAGGCCGGACCTGGTTTGCAACAACTGTTTTTGCCAAAAGAGGTTTGACATGATAGAGCCATCGAAGACGTGGTGATGAGGTGATCTTCAGAAGATGAGAGATGAGGTGGATATCAAAATGAGAGAGCAACTGAGGACAAGAGCTGAGAACTTAGGCATAAACTAAATGTTCCTCCAGTGTGCACCTGTGACAGGAATAAAATAACAACCTTTTTAAGCTCACATCAACCTCAGATATTGCTTCAGCATCAAAAAAAAAATAGAGCAACTGTTGCCAAAAGATGCCGATGACGGTGTAGAGAGAACTTGGATGTCACTTCACATGCCCAGAGTGTGGTTTGAGGAAAGGACAACTAAACATTTTTCTGTGGCCTTAATGGAAATCATGTCTAAATTGATATAATAAGTCAAAAGAGATAACAGATCACAAGTAGCCCCCTTTGGTTTTGTCTGAAAACTGTATTACTACATTGCACCAGTAAATATATTGAGAGACTTGAAAGACAATCAATCAACACACGAGTCCAATAGATAATGACAATGACTATTAAATCTTCTCTAGTCTTCGTAACTTTATATGTTTGGAACTAATATTGAAGAATCATATTTCTACTAACTAAAAATAATAATTCAAGGCTTAAGGAAAAATTGAAGTAAAGCCTGAAGAAGGCAACCAGGGAAGGAATAAGAATTCTTTAAGATCAGAGGTTCTGCCTTTCAGATAAATAACTAACTGGAGATTTCCTTTGATAAATGGCAAGATAAAGAAATTGTAGAATGGTAGAAAATATCATGTTTACCTACAAAAAGAACTATTGCCTCACCATGTTTCACATCTCTAGAAGATGGTTTTAAATCTATTATGAGCATTATGTAATGTTTAACTGGTTCTGGTTTCAATTGGCAGTGGAACCTAAGGGTTTAAACAAAGGGTTAAAAAAATCTAAATCTAGTGTCTTCGTTACAATAAGATTAAACAAGAGGAGCAATATATTTAGGCCACAACAGTAAAGATTTCATGCAGTTAGAGAAAGCATGTCTTAGTTTATCAGTTTAGAAATAGGAAAATGGAACCCTAAAATTTGCAAGTACCGACCCAAAACTCTGAGAATAATGTTAGTTCCAGGAAGCTGATTGCATCATTTCAGTGGACCAGAACAGAAAATAATGAGTTACATTTAATAACTCTTTTTAAGTTTTCTAATTTACCACCTGGCTGATAAAGTATTAATGCTATAGGAATTGGAATCCTTGAAGTCTTACGGCCACGCCCTCATCAGTTTGACATAAGATTCTACTAAACTAGTTTCAACATTAGAATAAGGAAAGGAAAATTCCTACTTTGTAAAAATCATATTATTCTGATTTCATCACCAACCTCACAGTTTTCCAGGCATATGTAGAAGAAGTAATTATAATGCCAAAGTATGAAATATAGCCGGTTTCATAACCGGAATGAATTATGGCTAATTCTCCTGCAGTAAATAATTTGTTTTTCAAATCTGTATTCCCCAGACAGCTGAGCCAGGCCTTGCTTCTCAAGTGTTTTATTTAAATAGGCAGTATGTCAGTGGAGTTTTACCACAGAGTTTCTGAGCGCAGAGAGCCTTTCCCTAGGAGTGGGGTGCAGGGAACTGGAGGGCAATGGTTCTTATGAGAAGGTGATGATGCTTCTAAGAAAAAAGATTACACGTAAGTTAATACCTAACAATTTTTTTTAATTCTGAAATTCAAATGTTCTGCATTTTGAAATAGAATGAATATTCTCTAACTTTTTAGTCTAAAAAATTTCCAAGCTGGAGCTACCACTCATCCTTGGAACTGCCAATTCCTAAGCATTTTCATGCTGGCACTGAATGTTGCATTGACTAGCCATTCCTATGTGCAGTTTCTAATGCTCCTGCCCTAACTCACACAACCCTATTGTAACTTAATCTGGCTTTATAAACTGCCACATTGCCAAGTGTTTTTTTTTTTTTTTTTTTTTTGCTTTGTTTTCTTTGCGTTTTTGCATGCGTGTGTTTTGGTTTGTTTGCCTGCAAACAGGTAAACAACTTCTTTGCACAACCATAAAGACTTCCTTGTCTCCTGCTTTTCTGTTACAAACTCTTACAAGACAAGATAAATAGAGGCTCAGAGTGAATGCTTGGGGAGGGTATTAGGGAAGACATTCTTGCACAAGAATTACTTGGATCATATCACTAGGTTAAGTAGAAAAATGAAAATGGGTCCTGAATAAGCATATAATACGATCCAAATTGTTACTTACATGCTTTGAATGCCTTAAAAATAATGTACAGGGCATTTGTTTGGCAGTGTGCTTTTATTTATTTCCTTACTTATTCCTGTTTCTTTTGCAGAATGCCCTGGCTAAAGCTACTGTGAAAGAACTTGCCTCACTGCACGGCACCAAGTACACATATGGCCCGGGAGCTACAACAATCTGTGAGTCTTGGCTTCAGAACTGTGCAAAGAACCATGTGCCTAAAAAGCCAACGAAAGGTTCCTGGGGCCTTTCTTTTCTGATAGTTTAAAGCATGTGGCTTTTGCCTCACAGCAAATTTTTCTAAAATATGTAATCAGTTTTCTGTTCAAAAAAAAAAAAAGGAGGGAAAGCCTGGACAACATAGCAAACTTTTCTCTAAAAAAAATTAAAAAATTAGCTGGTCATGCACACCTGTAATCCCAGCTACTCAGGAGGCTGAAGCGGGAGAGTCACTTGAGCCCAGGAGTTCTAGGTTACAGTGAGCTATAATTGCACCATTGCACTCCAGCCCGGGTGACAGAGCAGGACCCTATCTCAAAATAAAAAGGGAGGAGGAGAAAAATATCCTTTTCAACCCACAGAGACATTTCCTCCCTGTAAGCATCTACTGAGCACTTACTATGTGCCAGGGCCTTACTAGGCACTAAGAGAACAAGAAAGTAAGAATAGAGAGAAGAAAAGATGAAAAGAGAAAAGGAAGGAGGGAGATCAGGGCAATCTTTAAAGAACTAGCAGTAGGGAAGCAGCAAAAATAAGCAGTCTTTTGTGATACAGGTGCTAAGTGCTGTGACATTAGGATGCACAAGGAAAGAACACACCCAAAGACCAACCAACCCCACAGTATCAGAATTAACTTCCCAAGATGATGACACAAAAGTTTTATCTGAAAGGATTGTTGCTGGAGGAAAATATAAGACAGAGTGTTTTCAGCCGGGTGCAGTGGCTCATGCCTATAATCCCAGCACTTTGGGAGGCCGAGGCAGGCAGATCCCGAGATCAGGAGCTCGAGACCAGCCTGCCCAACATGGTGAAACCCCACCTCTACTAAAAATACAAAAAATTAGCCAGGCGTGGTGGCGGGCACCTGTAATCCCAGCTGCTCGGGAGGCTGAGGCAGGAGAATCGTTTGAACCTGGGAGGCGGAGGTTGCAGTGATCTGAGATCCTGCCACTGCACTCTAGCCTGGGCGACGAGAGCAAAACTCCATCTCAAAAAAAAAAAGACAGAGTGTTTTTTTGGCTAAACAGACGACAAACAAGTACCAGGGCTACCTGAGGCACAAGTCACCTTCAAGAGGTAGACACCAGTCCCTCTAATTAGACACTCAGTGTATGCAAGCAAGTGGCTAGAGTGGTAGGGGCTAGACCCAAGAGCTGTGGGTGCTGCAGCTTAGATTTATCTGGAAGGCACATTCCACAGGCCTCATTTTCAATTTCTACGTATATCTTCCTTTGCCTTCAAATGGTTTCTTTCTGCCTGAGGTTGGAAAGAAATTGAAACACACACATGACAAAAGACCCAGTCTCATCATCAAGTGGCCTCCAGTGCAGTTGGAGAGGCTCCAGTCCTGAGTTGTTGGGATTTATTTTAAGCCTTTATGCAAAATACAATTTTCTTTATTTTTATTATTTTTAAAAAACTGCTCTGAATCATATGAGGCATACTGTTTTCTTAAGGGGTTTCTAGCAGAGATAGCCCACCTATTTATATATGGTGAACTTGGTGCATGTTTTATTCAGTTCAACTAGGCTTCTTTTTCCATTACACTGTAAGACTTTGGAGGGCAGAGCCAACATCTCTCCTTTGTTCTGGCATCTTCAGAGTTGAGCCCATAGCCTGCTGTTCAGTGGGGGCTATACAATTGTTGATTGAAAAAACAGATGAGTGAATAAATGAACAAATGAATTAATTAGTACATATTCTATGTGTTAGTGACAACATGATTGTTATTGAATAAATTAATAACATATACCTTATCTACACCAGGCCCTATGCTAGATAAACACTAAAAATATGAAAATGAAGGCATAGCCCTGCCCTCAGCTTCTTCAATCTTATCGTTTGGCACAGTTTCAGCCGGGTTTAGAGTTTTCTCCTCTTGCCAATCATCATACGGCTTTCCTTATTTTCCTGAGAGATACACATCCTTTCACATATAAAGTGTAGTTTACCATAGCATACAAGCACACTGGGAATTTTGCATTACAGATTACGTACTTTCTGAAGTATTAAACACATCATTTCTACAAAGTGAAGTGGTGATACGTTTAATAAGGTTGGAGTAATTTTTTAAAACAGCCCCCATAACATTTATGATCCAGTTTACTAGAAAATTGGCCTACTCAAAATATTTTGCACAGTGAAACATTTGTAATGAAAAAAGAAACTGGCAATTTTTTAAAGCTCCTTCCTAGATTTAAAGTTTTTTTTCACTGCTGTTTGCACATTTCAGATCCTGCTGCTGGGGGCTCTGACGACTGGGCTTATGACCAAGGAATCAGATATTCCTTCACCTTTGAACTTCGAGATACAGGCAGATATGGCTTTCTCCTTCCAGAATCCCAGATCCGGGCTACCTGCGAGGAGACCTTCCTGGCAATCAAGTATGTTGCCAGCTACGTCCTGGAACACCTGTACTAGTTGAGAAAGCTGATGGCCTTGTTTCAAAATTCTCATTTTTCATTTCTTTTCTTTCTTGAATTCTTATTTTGGTTTGCCTGGATGTTTTGCAGATCCCAATCTTTCTTTTAAGCTTCTGGGTCTATTAAACTAGGTAGATCTTTTCGTATTGATCATAATAAAAGTGAATCATTACTATTGGAAAACTTGACATATGGTCTACTTCTTTGGGGAAACACTGATGTGAATGAATGACTAAGCAAGCCGTGCACAGTGAGGATCCGGTCAGCTGTATAGGAGTTAACATCCTGGGGTGCTGGCTGAGACCATCAGGGTGTAGATGCACTGATTATAGTGGGAGGCTTGTGAGCTAAGAAGAAATGTAAAGGGAAATTTAGGACTGTTAAACCTGGCATACATGAAAAGACACCATCTTTCTTGGTCTAGCTTTCATCTCAGCTCATTAAAGTTATTTTATCGGCTGTCTACTACATGCCATGCACTTTGCTAAGCAATTGAAGATGGAACAATGAAAAAGAAAGATAACATTTCTGCCCTTAATGGGTGTATAGGCCCTTTGGAAAGACAGACATTACACAAATAATTAACTCATTAATTAACAATTTATTAATTAGTAATCTAATTTACATTAATCAAATAAGTGCTGGATGAACTACACAAAAAGAACATACAAAAAGTCTACCTGCTTGATGTACGGGAGAAGCCTCCCTCAGAAACTGCTGTAACCTGAGAAATAAGTCACAGTTAGCTAGACAAAGGGAGCACCGCTTCCAGGCCTGTGGCTATCCCAAAAGTATAAGAAGAAAGCCAGTGAGGGTGAAATTTGGAGAGCTGAGGAAAGAGGAGCATGTGTACAGGCTGGGGAGGGTGGTAGGAACCATGTCAGGCAGAGCTTAGAGGTCACGTTAAGGACTGGGGACACTGGTCTAAGAACAATGAAAATCCATTGAAGATATTAAGTCATCAATGACATGGTTACAGTGTTTTTGGAACACCAACTAGGCTAGGGTGTGGAAAGCAGATCAGAAGTGAGACAAGAGGATACCAGGGACCCTGACTGGACCACTTGGACCAATGAAAGTGGCAAAAATCACTCCAGAACTTGATGTTTTCCGGGATTGGAATTGGACATGCTGTGTTGGGAAGTATTGTGCCAAGTTCAAATTTTAAAATAGAATGAGATGTATTAAAGTTACGATTTGGGGGCATCTCTTACTTAAAAATGATAGACTATTAACTCATTACTTTCTATAGACTTTCTGTAGTCTACTTTCATAGACTCTTAACTTATTACTTTCTATATGGCTTCAAGAAAAATGAGACTCCATATAGGGAGGGCATGATGTGCTAAAATATCTATAACAGTGTTCTATTCATAAAGAGAATCCATTGAAGTAACAACGGTTTGTGAAAGTTGTCAAGCCAAAGAATAATTAATTGCATTAATTGTCCACTAGGTGGTAGCAGTGCAGCTGCTACAATGTGTCACACACTCATCTTCAAACTCATTTAGTAATACATCATTTAAATAGACAGAGAACCATATGTGAAAAAAAAAAATCCCATTAATTTGTCAGCAACATTGGTGGTAATTTAAAAATAGATGTAATTTAGCTAAATATTCTTCCTCCTACTCTTTAAGTTATATCCACTTTGTGTATTGGAGGGCTAACATAGCCATAGTTACCTGAGTGAGGTAATCTTGCTGGAGGTGTATCATTAAACTCCTGTTCCACAGGATACTCCCTTGCTATCTCTGGCAAGTAACACCAACCCCTGACTAAGGGAAGCTGTGGCCCAAAGTATGGAAATCTTGGCAAACCACAAAGAACTCTCCTAATTCCCTAAATTGAATGCTTTAAAATAGAAATTAGGAATAATATATGTGGACTGCTTTTTTAAAATTCCAAGGAATTTTTAAGGGTAAGAACAAAGAATAGGAAAGCAAATATGCAAATATTCTTATTTGAAATCCCATGTATCTGAGATGTCCTGCACCTGAGAAATTTTTACTATGACCACTGTCTACTGAAAGTTAACAGGAAGCTGGGTAGAATTTCCACTTGCCTGGGCAAAACCAAGAAAAACAGAAAGAGAAATCTGCCTTAGTCTTCACTGTAGTAGTATCTGACCAGCTAATCAGAGACTGCTGTGAGTCCACCCAGCCTTGCCCACCTGAGAGCCCCAGGTTGGGGGGATACCTCTTCTTCTCCCTCTTTTATCCCACTCCCACCCTGAGATCCCAGAGCAGGCTCTGAGCCTTTCCTTCAGCTCCAAGCTCTCAGCTCCCAAAGCAACAGTGAACCAACAGCACAAGAGTAGCCCCTGAATCTTTCTTTCTCAAGTGGTGTGGGTAGAAAATAGCAAGACTGATTTTCTCATCTGGATTATGGAATTCCTACATACCTAGAATCATATGCCATTTGTTCATCTTATTCTGCAAGCTGACCTATATGAATTGGTCAAAGAGAGAATTTCTAGAAGGAAAAGAAGGCAGACCATAGCAAGTTAACATGTTAATTTGGGGGCAAAAAGGGTTCTGCTGAGTGATAATGATTAAAAATATATAGAGAAAAGCATAGCTAAACTATATGGTGATATTTTAAATCATGGCTAGACGTGCACTACTACAAATACCATAGAAAGTGCAGAGCTCAAGAAAGATGGAAAATTATGGCTGCATGAAGTATTCACCTCTAAGTCACTTTTTAAAGAGGTTGATTTAATCTGTGAAACATCACAGTCTTACATAGTCAATCCTAAAATGATACGGGGTTTGACAATTATTCATCCTACCCACACATATGCCAAGACCTTTTATAAATCTTGATGCAGTAATATAAGGCAGCACTGATCTATGCTTGCCAAGAAATAGCGCTTGTTCTGAGAAAAAGCTCTAGAACATTATTGAAATCCATCTATTGTATTTTTCTTCAGAGGCTAAATAGATTGGAGAGGCAGTGGGAGTCTCAAACACATCACATGTTTATATCATATTCCAGAAAGAAGAAATTGCCAATATGTAATCTATTAAGAAGCCAAAGATGTACTTTTATTTATTAACAAAGTCTTATCCTGAGAAATACCAAAGTCCTCAAAGCACTCACCTAGATTCCCCAAATAAAATAAAAGTGTTCTTCCTACTTGACCTGAAAAACAGACATAGAAGCTTTCTCCACACAATTTTAAAACCAGTCACAGAGGAAACAGCTTCAAGAAAATATAACAGAATTCTAAAATTAAGAGGATTTCTATTTTTCCTCTTTCACCTTTCCTGTATTTTCCAGAATCATTTTCAATGGGCATTTATAATTTTTAGAATCAGAAAATAAAACTCTAAAAAGCAAAGCTATAACATTAAAAAAAATTATTGAAGTAGTCCACATGAAAACAAATACAGAGACATATTTTATCCCTAAAGGTCACGGCCACCACTTTAATCTACCACATGATCTATTTTGATACCGGTTCTGCAGGCTGGCAGTGGCCCACTGGAAGTCTCTGTTGACAGCACATGAACATTTTATCAACTGTCTAGAGAGCATGGACGTGTTTTTTAGCACCTACCACGAAGTCCCTAACATATCCTGTCTCACTAAGCCTCACAGCCACTTGTTAGAGTCACATTAGCATTCCCATTTTACAAATGAGGAAACCAAGGCCCAGAATAACTAGGCAGCCTGCTCAAGGGGATGTAGCTAGCGTGTGGGAGCCACATTGAAGTGATGTCTGTCGAAACCCAAAGTCAAGGTCTTTCTTTTTCACTGTTCCCTGGTCAAAAGTATCTTTAGTCAAAAGCAATGGAGCAAGCATTTGCTTTGGGAGTTCTCAGTGCTGGTGAGCTTGCCCAGTGTCAAGAACATGAAGGCATTTGTAAAACCCTCCTCTTCCTTACCTGCAAGGCTGGAGCCGGAAAATCCATTTGGGGAAATAAAAAAAAGTCCCGAGTTCTACCACACACCCATCAGATAGAGAAGAATGGAATTACTGCTGCTGTATATATAACAGGGGCGTGTCTCCAACCACACTATTTTGATAGTACATAAGCGTGACTCTGAGAAGTTTTATCTACAGTCAGCTATACGTTTGTCAATGTGAAGAGGTGGTTTTCAAAAAGGAAATTCTAATAAGTTAACTGATTAGATAAATTCACTTACTCTTTTAGGTTACCTATGATTCTAGGTAAAGGTGTTATTCTCCCATAATTAACCAAGTTGTGTTCAAGACTAAACATCCCTCCAGAGATGGTTGTGAATGGTCTATAGGTGGCTTTCATTAATTCAACTCTCAAAAGGCATTATTTGGCAATTACAGCATCCAGGCTCTGAAGACAGTGTCCAATTAATAAACATTACAGCATTGATATTTTCTTGCTGTCAGGTAGTTCTCAAGTTGCCTTAGAAATAGGGGTCACCTCTGAGGACAGAGAGAAGAGAAGGGCAAAGAGTTAGGGCAGTGCTTTAGGTCTTTAGTGTTTATTTCTTTACCCAGAGAAGTACAGGAAAAATATAACAAAAATGTTATCATTGTAAAATCTAAATGGTGAACATTTCAATGTTCGCCATAGTACTTACAGCATTTTTAGTACATTTATATTTTGTAATTTAAATTTTTGGGGTTTTTTTTGCCTCCCAAGTAGCTGGGATTAAGGCACCTGCCGCCACGCCCGGCTAATTTTTGTATTTTTTAGTAGAGACAGGGTTTCACCACGTTGGCCAGGCTGGTCTTGAACTCCTGACCTCAGATGATCCACCCGCCGCGGCCTCCCAAACTGCTGGGATTACAGGCGTGAGCCACCGTGCCCAGTCAATTTAAATGTTTTTAATTTCACAACTTACATTCTAGCTTCAAAAATATATTTTACATTATTACGAACCACTCACCAAGATTTTATGGCCAGATACCCAAATTCATCTCAGTCTCCAAGTGCAAATTTTAAAACTAATTTCTTCCATCATTCAATTCAAGCAGAATGGTAGAGTAGTATTTTAGAACAGATAGAACTAGTAAATCCCAGCTCTGTGAACATACTTTCTCTGTTACCTTGGCCAAGTTATTTGCTAAAGGCATTTGCTTCCCATCCTGTATCTGTAAAATGGGTATTTCCTATTGCAAAAGGTAGATAAGTAGCATGTGCTTGGTGGGTTAGTGTTTTTCCCTCTCCAGCTGGAAAAAAAAAACCTGGTGTGGGGGAAGAAGGGGAACAGTTTGTGCAACAGAACCCTAAGAGGAAATCAGCTGCTCATCAAGATAAGGGCTGAGGCATAAAACTGCCAGAGGGTCTCAAGGCAGGCAAAGAAGAACCATGAGGCTCATCCTGCCTGTGGGTTTGATTGCTACCACTCTTGCAATTGCTCCTGTCCGCTTTGACAGGTAAATCTTACTTCCTGTGTTCCAGTCTCTGTGTAGAAGAGAATTAAAGGTTGTTTCCTTACAGTTCACTTTTTTTTTTTCATTTGCCTCCACAAAGGGAGAAGGTGTTCCGCGTGAAGCCCCAGGATGAAAAACAAGCAGACATCATAAAGGACTTGGCCAAAACCAATGAGGTAAGCATTTAGAGGGATATTTTATCTTTTCTTACTGTTCTCTAAAAGATGCTTCTTCTTATTTTACTGTCAATGCCCATGGGACTACAAAAGACTATTGAACATAAGGGGAAAGCAGGAGCTATCTGGATAATTCAGCCAATGGCCAATACTTCACCTGTTCTGGTTTTGGTCTTGGTTTCCAAGACTACCACTTCTGTTTTTCCTCCCAAAAGCTTTTCAAACACCAGCTTTTTCAAGGTAAAACTATGAAATCAGGAGCTGTTCTTGGCCTCCTTATCAGGGCATCTTTCTCTTGCCTACGGGTGCCATTCCCTCTCCATTCTCCCCACTCCGACCCTCATCTCCTCTGGTGCCATAATTTCTCTTGAGTACTAACTGAAAACGTTGAGGCACTGGCTAATATCAAGATGTGACCCTTTCCAAGAGCAGGTACATTTTCAAATAAGACTTTTAAAGTTAGATCAATCCTTTAAAATCCAACAGCCTAATATAATTTTATCATGTATTCAGCTGCTCCTATTTATGTTGCACCAGCCACCTTATATATGCCATTTCAAATTCTCCAGCAGATTCTCAATGTCAGGGTTATAATGTAACTCATTTGAAACAGAAGAGCTAAAGTGCAAAGACAATAAATTAAATGACCAAGATTACACATCAAATTTAAACCCAGAACTGGGTCTGGGATTTATTCCAGTCAAACATACAGTTACCTCTACATCAAATCAATCAAAGGCCCTGCCTATTCTAACTCCCAAATGTTTCTCAAATCCACACATTGCCCTCCATTCCACTGCCACTGCCAAGTTCATGTTCACTCTACCTCTTGCAAGGAGAATTTCCATAGTCCCTTAACTAGCAATCAGGGCTCTAGTCTTGACTCCCACAAAGCCAACTCTGCATTGCAACCTGATTGCTCACTCTAAAACTTGACAATTGCATTCCTCCGTTTGAGGGTCATTACTAAGAAGCAGCCTAGTACGGAAAAAGCATTTTCTTCAAAGTCAAACGCTTACATTCAAATCCAAGCTCTACGCTAGCTCTGTAGCCTTAGGCAACTTACTCAACATCTCTGGGTCTCAATTTCTTCTGCTATAAAATGGGGATAATAGTCATAGCTACTTCCTAGGGTTGCTACAAAGACTAAGTAAGCGTTTGATAGCACTTAGAAGCAGGCCTGCCATATTAAGCACCATAGAAGCGTTTTTTGTTTGTTATTGTTTTTGTTTTGAGACAGAGTCTCACTCTGTCACCCAGGCTGGAGTGCAGTGGCACAATCTCTGCAGCCTCCGACTCCCAGGTTCAAGCGATTCACCTGCCTCAGCCTCCCTATTAGCTGGGATTACAGGTGCCCACCACCATCCCCGGCTAATTTTTGTGTTTTTAGTGAAGACGGGGTTTTGCCATGTTGCCCAGCTGGTCTCAAACTCCTGACCTCAAGTGATCCACCCGCCTCAGCCTCCCAAAATGCTGGGATTACAGGCATGAGCCACCATGCCCAGTCAGAAGCATTTTCTTTTGGTATTGGTATAGCATTCAAAGCGTTTTATGATCTGCCAAACTACCAGCCTCTTCAATATCCTGCTCCTCCACCTTCTTCCACACCCTTCAAGCCCCATAAACACCAAAATCTCACCCACCTTGGCCCTGTACATCTTTTCTCATGAAAATGTGTTTCTCTCCCTTTTGACCTGGGTAAGTCCTACTTATTTCTCAAGATCCAACTCAGGCAGTGTCTCCTGCAGGACGTCTCTTCTGTTCATCAACTCTCGTGACTCAGTTTTGGCTGCTCCTTGTGCTCCTGGAATACCCGGTTCCTTCCTCTGGCATTGGTTAACATGTGGGAAACATGCATGTATGACTCTGTGTTCCACACCAAACCTTTCACATCTCATAAGTCCCTTATTAGTCTCTACAACTGTGGCACCCAGCTCTTTGCCTCCTGCTTAATACATGAAAGTTCACTAAGCTCTAAGCTCCTGCTGCACATTACCCTGCTAGAACACAGAAATGTCTATTGTGATAAGATGGCTCTGCCTAACTTGCCTTTGCATCACACTACATCTCTCATATGTCCAACTCATGATGTAGCTTTTTGATCAAAATAAACATTGGTTGGTTCATAGCAGCCTCATATTGTCACTTGATTGACCTCGAGGTAGAGGGGGACTCAACCAAGAAACAGCCAGGCAGACCTGAACACATACACAAGCAGGGGTGGAAATTGAGCTTTTCCTTCACATTTCCCAGGCTGGGGACTTGTACTTCATTTAGTTTCACAATTGAGTATGATTTTGAAGAACCACAAGAACTGGAATCTTTTCAATGTTTGCTTTTGTTTTTGTTTTTTGTGTTTTTTCTGAGACAGAGTTTTGCTCTTGTTGCCCAGGCTGGAGTGCAATAGCGAGATCTCGGCTCACTGCAACCTCCACCTCCCAGGTTCAAGCAATTCTCCTGCATCAGCCTCCCGAGTAGCTGAGATTACAGGCATGTGCCACCATGCCTGGCTAATTCTCTATTTTTAATAGAAGTGGGGTTTCTCCATGTTGGTCAGGCTGGTCTCGAACTCCCGACCTCAGGTGATCCGCACCTCAGCCTTCCAAAGTGCTGGGATTACAGTCGTGAGCCACAACACCCAGCCTCGAAATTATTTTGATCTGAATGCTATACTTCTGAGCTCATATACCAAATTTTTGAAATTGTCAGCTAGAGGAAGAGAAAGGAAAAAAAAATCTGCACCTGTTAACTGTCTTCATGCCCCAGACCTCAGACCTATTTCACAATCTTCACAACACTTCCCAGTGGACCCTCATTTGCCCCATTATTTCAGGAGAGAGGAGTAAAATTTAAAGAGTCCTAGTAACTTGCCCAAGGACATATTGCTAGAAAAATGACTTTGCTGGGGGTCTATGCCAACTGTTTGATACAATATCTTGTATCAGGATTTCCAGAGTTTATAGGGACATCAGGTTTTGAGGACTAACTAACCAGATATTTAACTTAAATTTCCAATTAGAGGCAGATTCTGTGGCTAGATGAATTGTGATCCCATTCAATCCCAAAATTGTGGAAGAAAAAAATTAACCAAAAGATCTGCCCATCCTTTTTAACTTGATAGACCTGAAGTCCTTAAAAAAAAAAAAAGTGATCAGGCACTAGGAAGGTTTCTTTCCTCCTCCCTAATATTCAACAGTTCTTAAATATATTTGCAAAAATCCCATAAACTTATTAAAAGAAGGGTCTGTATCTTAGTTATGCTGAGCCCCAAATTCCTTTCATGGTGTATGAGACATGATCATTTCTTAATCAATAAGTGTTGGGTAAGCAAATAAACTCTGACTAACATTGAGCTTATCTCTGCAGCTTGACTTCTGGTATCCAGGTGCCACCCACCACGTAGCTGCTAATATGATGGTGGATTTCCGAGTTAGTGAGAAGGAATCCCAAGCCATCCAGTCTGCCTTGGATCAAAATAAAATGCACTATGAGTAAGTCCTTGGCAAATATTGAAATTTGTTGGATATTCAAAGTTTTGGGAGCCTTGAAGTAGAGGAAAGTATTACAATGGACCTATTTTTAATTGGGCCCCCCAGAACGAAAGCTCTTTCTGTAAGATACAGATCACAGTTACTTCCAAACACATTATCGAAGCCTGTTTACAGAGGTGATAGAATCAAACTTGGCAGTTCAACATCTACCTTACATTTGCTCTTAGCTATAAGAATAACAATTACCTATATCTACCATCTCCAAAACCAGCCCCTCATAAGCACAGAGCCCACATGAGCAGGCATGAATGGTTTAGCCACATGTCATCACTACTGACAGGTAATCGGCCCAGATCTCATGAGCTACTGGCGCTGGCCTCCTTTTATATATTTGAATTTTCCTGATACATAAAAGGAGACCAAAAAAAAAAGTCATTGGTATGTCAGAAATACAGCAATTGGTATGTCATTGGTATGTCAGAAGTACAGCAATTAAAAATATACAATAAATAATTCTTTATGAAAAAAATTCTTCCTCAGAGAAAGCACAAGCAGAGCAGTAGAATACAGTTTAAATCAAAGAGAAAAGAATCTCAAATAGCCAAAGATGCAGAAATGAGTCATTCTGGCCCCACAGAGAAGTAAGAGAAAATCTGAATATATTGAGCAGCAACCATGGGCCATGCCCAGTCTGGGCCCTGGGCAGTGAATGAGAAGGAAGCCCAGCAATGAATATCATAAATCAATGTGTAATTTAGAAAATAAAATGTGTTGGCCATGCGCAGTGGCTCACGCCTGTAATCCCAGCACTTTGGGAGGCCAAGGCAGGTGGCTCATGAGGTCAGGAGTTAGAGACCAGCCTGGCCAATATGGTGACAACCCATCTCTACTAAAAATACAAAAATTACCTGGGCGTGGTGGCGTGTGCCTGTAGTCCCAGCTACTCGGGAGGCTGAGGCAGAAGACTCACTTGAACCTGGGAGGCAGAGGTTGCAGTGAGCCGAGATCGCGCCACTGCACTCCAGCATGGGTGACAGAGCAAGACTCCATCTCAAAAAAAAAAAAAAAAAAAAAAAAGAAAATGTGTTTTTATACTTTCAAACATTTCATAGTTTGATGTACAGAGGGATCCCATTTTAACTTCCCCAGGCCATGTTATGCCAGGATTCCCCTTTGTTGAGACCCTCATTGTCAAAACACTGCTAAACACTAGTTCATTTTTTTTTTTTGAACTTGCCATTTTATACCTCCATTACCTGACTTGGTACTTTAACTCAAAAGGTCTGCTTCTGGCTGAGATAAAGAAAGAGCCTGTTGATGTCAGTGATGTTATATTGCAGAGCAGGATTTACTACTGCTCACCATAAACTTGATTTTATTTATGATATTGCCACAATATCTCAAATAAACTCCATTGAAATTTAAAAATCACGTACATAAGTGAGCAAAAAACATTCTTATTCACGGCTTTAAAGATAACATTCTATTATTTGTGATGGTTATTGATGACTTTTTCGGTTTTGTTACTGTTTCAAGAAGGTTGTGGCAGAAATGTAAAAGTTAACAAATTGAAAATATATAATTCACGCTGTGCACATGTACCCTAGAACTTAAAGTATAAAAATATATATTTATAAAAAAAACTAATTGATACCAGCTTTTAACCCTTTTAACTTAATATACTAAGTTTTTCTGTTTTTATAAATCACATCATTAAAATTAGACACTTCAAAAATGTAACTACAAGACTGCAGAAATTTGTATTACATTATCTGTTTACATTAAGGTTCAGATAATGTATTGACTCTTTCATCTAAAAGAAATCAACCCTCTATCTTAAATAACCCCTGGTTACTGTGTCTCTTGTTTTGTTTTTTGAGATGAAGTCTCGCTCTGTCACCCAGACTGGAGTGCAGTGGCGCAATCTGGGTTCACTGCAAGCTCCGCCTCCCGGGTTCACGCCATTCTCCTGCTTCAGCCTCCCGAGTAGCTTATACTACAGGCACCTGCCACCATGCCTGGCTTTTTTTTGTATTTTTAGTAAAGACGGGGTTTCACCATGTTAGCCAGGATAGTCTTGATCTCCTGACCTTGTGATCCACTCACCTCGGCCTAGCCACCGCACCAGGCCTACTGTGTCTCTTGATTCACTTCATTGCCAGCTTTCTAGTATATGTGCCTAAATTATTACACTCTTCACTTTACTTCAATAATATAGACCTGGTCTGGATTCCTATGATAAACTAATTCTTACAAAGCATTCAGCCCAAGGTAAAATAAAGTAGTGGTGTGGCCAAATTTTATATAATTTGGCTTGAACAGCAAGGTAAAGAATTAGGTATTATGTTTTCCTTAATAGCCCTATAACGCAGTTACAATGTAGAAAATGTATCTAGAAAAGCTAGTTGCTTGGCATGAGCATGAATAGTGGAGTAAATCACTGTAAGACACCTAGGCAGGCAGCTAGCATCCTTCCAATTTATCAAATAGCTCACATCAGCCTTTTTTCTCCTTTGGTCCTCTAGGCCTCTTCTATCCTGAAATGATTCTGATTCAACTAGATGTCTAAATCCAGATCCTCAAATTAGTGTGTTTTTCACTCTGTCTTATGACAAAGGAGTTTCTTGCTTTCTACGTCAAGTACCAAAGTGTTAAATTACCTACAAAAATTGGTTTTATCAAATTAAAACATGAATTCTACAAAGTGGCCCAAATCAGCCACAGTTATGGGAAAGCCAAATAATTAGATAGTTACCTCCCTCAGAAATATAAATATGTAAAGTGATAAGTGCAGACAAGAACTACTTAAAATCTTGTCTCCAAGTACTAATTATATAGATAATTTTATTTGCATATTAATTATATGCATTACTTGGTGTCAGTCAGTAACAGAAAAGAGTTCTAAGAACAGAAACATCTGGTCGGACCCAGGCACCAGGCTGAATTAAACCATATTAAAAGGCTGGTTTGACACAAAGATTTACTTACACACCCTTCATTAGACAGGGTATATCAACTACTATTTAGTTTAAAGCATCTGTGTGGTTTTTCTTTAATTTTTAGAAAATTAAGTTAGTAAGCCAGATTTTATTTTAAAGTAGCATACTTGTTTCTTTTTTTACTTATTTACAAAATCATAAAAGGCCAAGTTCAAAAAACAAACAACATGGATATACTAACAAACCCAAACAGACTGGCAAACAAATATCAAAGGGAAGGCACGTCCATCGGACTGAGCCTCTGGGGCAGACACTATACTTGGACTCAGCAGTTAAAAATCCTAGTGTTTTTAACATTGTTCACATTTTAGACAGTCAATTTTTAACATTGTCTTTTCTTTGATCAAAGGTTAAAATTAGAAAATAAAGAGTTGTTAATGAAAGGTAACTCAGAAAACAACTATTAATATAATAAGAAAACTCAAATGGTACAATTAAGTAAAATCTTACGAGGATCCATATAAGATTATGTGAGAAATGCAAAAGAGATCTATGCCAAACTGACACAGTGATAATCAACACCTAATATTAATGTCTAACTGCCTAATAATAATGTTCAGTCAGATACAAATTCATATTCCAGGGATATACACAGTCCTATCCAGTGTTTCAATCAAATCATTCTAATGTGTCATTCCATTCATTTTTTTCTTCTGCTTCACATTTTTACGTATTACTTACCTAAGAGTATAACATGCATGTTATACTACAACATGCTACATGGTACAAATGTTGAAGTTACAATTGGTCATGTGACAAACAGGAGTGTGGAAGGTAGGAAAGTGGGTTCTGAAGCAACGCTGTCTGGGTCCAGTCCCACTGAAGCCATGCATTAGATACTCAACATTGGCAATTTATTTAACTTTGCTTTACCTCATACCTCATCTATAAAATGGGAATAATAATGGAATCTATTTCATAGGGGTTTCATGAAGATTGACTGGGATCGTAAAGTTGCTGTCTGCCTGGTCCTTTACTTCTATGAATACACACACACACACACACACACACACACACACACACTCACACAGAAACAGGGAATAACTAGAGGCTATCACCAGATGTTCCATTTTCCTCCCAGTGAATAAATGAGTAGTATTCCTCAAACTTTGAGAAATCCATGTCAGTAAGTGTAGAATTTGATGTGTGGTAACCAAATTAGGGAGTTACCAGGGGGATATTGAATCTTAGGGAAACCTGAAACCATGCTTTTTGAATAGCACCATATCCTGATGTAATGTGGGCATCAGGAGAATCCAGTCCCATTTATAAGTCACCCTGACAGTGACTCTGCCTTCCTGAAACATCTTTCCCCAGTGCATGCACGCGCGCACACGCGCACACACACACACACACACACACCCCAGAGCCTACGATAGTCACATATATTGGCCCATAGTTCTCCAGTCCTTTGTTGCTTTCTAAAAGCAGCAAAGGATGGGAGCCTTGAAACTGTCAAAGTAGAATTTATCTCATCTCTTCTCTGAACCTCTTACTTGCTCCCTGACCTTGGGACACAGACTTCCATGAGAGTTGGTTGATTGGGCCAACTGTGCACCAACCTCCGAAGACTAAGGAGAGTGCAGATCTGACGGCAATACCCAAGGATTTCACTCTCATGATGAAGGCACTATTGTACAATGGCTCACAGCTACGGTGCTGATGTCAGACCCTCCAGGTTCAAATTCCAACTTCTGTATTTTAACAGTTGTGTCCATTTTGGAAACTGGCCAAACCTTCATAAAAACAAGAGCTGATAATGGTACCCAGTTAATCATGTTGAGTGATAAAATGTAAATACAGTGCTGAGAAAAGTGCCTGGCACATAAGAAAGGTTCAGTAAACATTAAACATTTGTATTATTCAATACTCAGTGATAATTATTTATCCTTTCACCTATATTTAGGAATTTTCTTAAACAAATTAAGCAAATTTTGGAGCTCAAAATAATATTTGAGAAAAAGTAATTTGGTTTCATTTGTTTATGCCTGGCTGCTGGTTAGTAGAAGGGCTTGTGAAAATAACATCTGGCCCCAGTTCTTAATTTCCAGCCTTAGGCTTAATTTCTAGTCCCTATCAGCAACAATCTGGCACCGTTCTGATGTTCTCATGCAGCTACATCATTTGTGGAAAGGTTGTACTTCAACTCACACTGTTTTTTTTGCTTTGTTTTGTTTGGTTTTGTTTTGCTGCTGTTATCATAAGAGCTAAATTGATATGTGTAAGTCTAAAAATATTCTTAGATACAAGCTTCCTGTGACTAATTAATACTGCCTTATGTTACAAATCAACCTCTGGGACCATAAAATTTCTCTTCTGCCTGGTTTCTCCACTTCTATTAATGCAGGTGGAGCAAAAGCCACGTGCCCTTTTTAGAGCTTAAAGCAATTAGTTATGTCTGTAATGACCACCCAAAATATAATTTCAAACCTTCCCGGGTTTTGTGTGAGTTTCAGTGCAACATGCTCCACCTGATTCCAAAATTGCTGTCACAAGTTTATTTTCTCAGAAATCCTAGGTTCATCATAAGTCAAAAGCAAAGCATACAGTGAGTTAGATATGATGTACATAATGATGTGCTTGTCAGTGCTGCTAATAGGAATCAATATTCATGAGCAGTACTTGGTCCCATGTGCTAAATAAACTCTAATTAAGGGAATACAGCGTTTGTGTTCCACATCAGAACTCAGATCAGTCAGTCAATCAGCAAGGAGAAACCAACAAGTAGAGTGGAGCTCAGCAGTGTCAGTGTCATAGCTCATTATTATAAGAAATTGAAGAAATCAAAGAGTCAAACATCTACATACCATCAAAGCCTGCTTTAAAAACATGTTATGACTGTAAAATGGTTGTCGATTTTATGACCCAACTTCACTATTATTCTGAAGTTCAATGGGAGCCTGAGGCCACCAAGCACTTAGGTTTTACTTCATTTCATCCTCACCACAAGCCTGGTCACCACAATTGTAAAAGTTGGAAAACTGAGGTTCAGAGGGTAACTAAGCCACCCAAGATCACATGTTCGTATTATGTAGCTGAACTGGGGTTGGAACCCAAGAAGGTCTGAACACAGGTCACTCACTGCTTCCTTATTTGATAAGATTTATAGTGACGGAAAGAGTACATGATATTGTCCCAAAGACTAGAGTGAATGTTAAAAAATAGACTTCTTCCTGCACCCAGGACTCACTGCTAACAGCAGAAAAAAAAATACATGTGCATTTCATTACCAAAAGGTGAGTAATTCCTTTATTTATATAGAGTCAATGAGAAATGAGATAAGCCAAATAAGAAAATTGTTCAGATAAGTACGACTTCAAGAAATCCTTTCTTTTTAATATTTTTATTGAAACATTTCCATTATAACGATAATTTTCTGCCCTACAAAATAGAGTATATTGAATATGGTTTACCTTTGGGTAAAGAATTATCATTATCAATATGAATTTTCATACTGTGCTATGAGACCACTGACCCATGTTTTCTAAGTCCTTCTGTCTAGGGAGTTTTTTAACTTTTCTCTTTTTTTTTCTTTTTGCTGTCAGCTATCACCTACTGATAACAGTGTGTTCGCTGCTTGCTTTCAGCAAGTCATTTTCCCTAGATCCAATGCATTCCTTCTGGGTTAAACAAGATTTTTAGAACAGTATCTAAAATAAGACAGACAAGATTTTTTGTGAGGGTATTTGTAAATCTCCTACAGCTGTAAAATAATATTTAACAAAATAAGGAATCTAATAATAGGTTTTAATGCAACCATACATCAACGGACAATAATTTGATCATATAAATTGATACTGCCATATTAATCTCAAAGTGGCATTCAACATCATTCTTAACAGTGAAAGATAAGTTTTCCTGTAAAAAGCAGAAAAAAAGAATGCCGTCTATGGCTACTATTATTTATCATAGTTCAGAGAGTTTTCCAATGCAAAACAGCAAGGAAAAAAAGAAATAGTTATTAAGAAAATTAGAAAGTATAGATATTGGCAGAAGAAATAACACAGAAAATACCCTAAAAACATAACTAAAATTCTTAAAAGTATAAAGATAGTTTTTTAATCTAATAAAATAGCTAAGTGTAATCAAAGTAAATGGTTTTTTAATATATGAATACTGTAATAACCAAAAATGTAGTGAGAAAAAAAGTCAAAAAACTGGTAAAATATATATATATATAAATAGATGATCAAAATACTTAACATTTTACTGAAGAATCAAAGATACAATTATGTTATGATCCATTATTAATAAAATTCTTATATTTATTTATAATTTAATGTCTATCAAAAAATCCCATTTTTTCTGATCATTCTAATTCCTAAAATGATTCTGATAAGACATTTTTTTTTTTTTTGAGACAGAGTCTCCTCTGTCACCCAGGCTGGAGTGCAGTGGCACAATCTCAGCTCACTGCAACCTCCACCTCCTGGGTTCAAGCAATTTTTATGCCTCAGTCACCCGAGTAGCTGAGACTACAGGTGCCCACTACCACACCTGGCTAACTTTTGTATTTTTAGTAGAGATGGGGTTTCACCATGTTGCCCAGGCTGGTCTCAAACTTCTGGCCTCATGTGATCCAACTGCCTCAGCTTCCCAAAGTGCTGGGATTACAGGTGTGAACCACCATGCCCAGCCAAGACATTTATTTAAAATAGGTGAAATTACTCAAAATTTTTGGAAAAAAAGAATAAGATACATTATCCAGTATTAAATTTTACTGTAATTAAATATGATTTGGTTTCTATTAAGGCATAAGAAAAAAGATTAATGAAGCAAATAGAAAATTCCCAGACAAAATAAATAAAATACTTGCATATATGATGATGACATTTTTTAAAAATAAATCTTGAAATGAGGCAGTTTGTATTCAAATTCCCAACTCCATCTCATACACTGTGAGTATTTAAACCTTCTGAGCACTAACTTCCCCATCTGTAAAGTGATAATACTGACAAGATTAATTAAATAATGTGTATAAAGCAGTACCTGGCCTGTATTACACATATGGATATCTGAATCCAAGTGAAAACGTCATGTAGGCAGTTGGATGTGTAAGCCTAGAGTTCAGAGGAGAGTCAAGTATAAGTGACCATCAGGTGACCATTACAGCCACTGGACTCCATAAAATGATGACATGAGATGGCTCAGAAAGAGATGAAAATAGGAAGATGAGGCCGGGAGCAATGGCTCACGCCTGTAATCCCAGCACTTCAGGAGGCTGAGGTGGGCAGATCACCTGAGGTCAGGAGTTCGAGGCCAGCCTGATCAACATGGAGAAACCCCGTCTCTACTCAAAATACAAAATTAGCTGGCGTAGTGGCACATGCCTGTAATTCCAGCTGCTCAGGAGACCAAAGCAGGAGAATCACTTGAACCCGGGAGGTGGAGGTTGTGGTGAGCCGAGATCACACCATTGCACTCCAGCCTGGGCAACAAGAGTGAAACTCCATCTAAAAAAAAAAGAAAGAAAGAAAGAAAAAGGAAATAGGAAGATAAGGTGTAAGCCGTAAGCCTCTTGACCCTCAACATTAGTCTCCTAGTGATTTTTCCCACCTCTTATTTCACCCCCTTCAAATCATGTTAGCCATTTTCTAGATCCATCACTATAGGCACGTTGTTTCAACACTTTGTACCTCATTTTTCTCATCTGTACAATAAGCATAATAATCTAATGTGAAGATTAAATGAATTAATAATGTACATATGGAGGTCAGAGCGATGCCTGGCACAAGGTAGTGCTAAGTACCTGCTTACTATTATAATTATCATTATTATTCAAGTTTCTCCCAGCTCAGAAGGTGTGAAATTATAAGGTATGATCTGTAGATGTGTGCATGAAAGAATCCCTTGTTGCCTGTGTTTATGTGGATGTAGATGTGTGTGTGTTTTGGAGAAGGATGGGGAGTACTATAGCAGTACAATACGAGCCACATGCATAATTTTAAAATTGTGGTAACCACATTAAAAAAGTAAAAAGCAACAGGTAAAATTAACTGTAGCAATACATTTTATTTAGCCCAATATATCTGAAATTTTTATTCTACACAACATAAAACTTATTAGTGAGATAGTTTATATCATTTTTATACTATCTTCAAAATCTGGTGTATATTTTACACATACAGCAATCTACTCTTGGACAAGCCCCACTTCACATGTCCTGTATGCACTTGGGGCTAGAGACTATCACACTGGACAGCACAGCTCTAGATAAATGGGGAGATCAGAAGCCAGACACATGATATGTCTAAAGGAGATAGCTAGAGGAGAATAATGAAGAAACAGAGCAAACTTGATTAAAGATAAAGGAGAAGGAAGAGAAATTTCTGCAAATGAAAGATAACTGTGTTTTCCTTTCTCATGATAAAACATGTATTTTATCATTCCCCTGTCAAACAGAATCTTGATTCATGATCTACAAGAAGAGATTGAGAAACAGTTTGATGTTAAAGAAGATATCCCAGGCAGGCACAGCTACGCAAAATACAATAATTGGGAAAAGGTACAGTAAAAAATGCCTGTACTTTTTTTTAAGTTACCCTTAATATTTATTGTCATTTTGTTTTCTTTTATTCTAATTTCTCAAAATTGATTTTGCTCTTAAGATTGTGGCTTGGACTGAAAAGATGATGGATAAGTATCCTGAAATGGTCTCTCGTATTAAAATTGGATCTACTGTTGAAGATAATCCACTATATGTTCTGAAGGTAAAAATAACTCAAGAACCACTAATTCTTATTACTGTTGAAAAACATGAATTTAAAAGTTACTTTGTAACACAACTAAGCTAATTCTGAGCTAATACATATTATCTCTGAAAGAATATTTAAGCTCTAGACATCCATTAAAGAATAGAAATGACAAGCGGTTTTGGTGGAACCAAGAAAGTGTCTGGATAAACATTTGTCAGAGATTGCACAGTGGACAAACCCAAACAAATATTTCATCCCACAGCTTTATTACAAGAGTCCATGATGTCTCTGGTATAAAAAAAACCCTCATCCCTTAAAATGCAGTGAAACTGATGAATGAATGTCATGAAGGGAATTTAAATATCATAGCATCATAGGACTGTAGAACAGTGTGTTAGGCATTTCAACCATGGATTGCTTGAGGGTTCCCTATATCAGAGCCAACAATTTCCACTCCATTGCTGCTGGATTTTTGCACATCCAAAGATACTGCTCCCTGAAGCAGCCACTTAACAAGTGAGAAGCCCATCCACATCCCAAACCCCCATTCATTCATTATCTCCAACCACTCAAAACAAACCTGCACTCTCTTCAAAATGACAGCCATTCAAGTATCCAGTACTATTTCCCTTCCCCACTCCAACACAACACAAGATCTTCTCCATTCCAGGGTAAATATCCCCAGTTTACACAACCAGAAAAACAAAAGGAAGTGGCAGAAACAAAAGTGACTTTATAATAAATTTCTCAGAACACAGGATGTTAGTAATAAAATAAAAACAATGGACTACAAATTTTTTTCAAAATCCTACCAGCTGCCCTGACACTAGAAAAATTTTTTGAAAAATATGCATTGTAATAGATTATGAATTATGTATAGACATTTAAGGATATGTCCCATGGTCCCTTCTGAGAACAATATGTGCATACATGGTTCTCATTCAACAATAGACAGGGGAAATAATTGCTTTGAGAATATGAATGAGTTATTGGTCAACAAGGGATCAATGTGTGAGTTTGTTCAAAACAATATCTCAAGTTTACTTTTAAATAGATTGGGGAAAAGAATGAAAGAAGAAAGGCTATTTTTACGGATTGTGGCATTCACGCACGAGAATGGGTCTCCCCAGCATTCTGCCAGTGGTTTGTCTATCAGGTAAGTGAATCAGAAGACTCCCAATTCTCCTTTGACTGCCAAGTCTCCAGCACTTCACTAAGTGGCGACATCTTTCCAAACACGCAATTCCACTTAGCTAGAAGAGCCCATACTTGGTGCTGTCAGGGAAGAAACGCTCTGAATTTTACTCATCATTACAGTTTTTATGAAATTGACAACTTCCCTCCAAACAATTCTTAAACTCAAGCTAAGAGTTTATGAAACTCACACTTTTCTTGGGCTATCACATGAAAGTTTTTACTGTAGTCAAGTATGGAAAATCTGAAACAACCTTCACATAACCTACAAATGTAACTTTTCTTCAATGAGCTCAAAACATAGATATTTAATTTTAATTCCTCTTTAGATAATACATTGGCCGCACATGTACTTGGAATTTTAATATTTAAGTTTCCTTTCTGAGTGAAAAATAACTCACTTTTTTCTTTTTTTTTTTTTTGAGATGGAGTCTCACTCTGTCACCCAGGCTGGAATGCAGTGGTGCAATCTCGTCTCACTGCAACCTCCGCCTCCTGGGTTCAAGCAATTCTACTACCTCAGTCTCCAAAGTAGCTGGAACTACAGGCATGCGCCACCATGCCTGGCTAATTTTTGTATTTTTAGTAGAGACTGGATTTTGCCATGTTGGCCAGGCTGTTATCAAACTCCTGATCCCAAGTAATCTGTCCCCCTCGGCCTCCCAAAGTGCTGGGATAACAGGTATGAGCCACCACACTGGGCCTACAATTCACTTTTTTAAAAGGTTTATCTAGTTTATATATTCAATATTCCTCTCACTCTATTGCCAATGTATTTTGACTCCTACCATATTTTAATTTTCTCTTTCTGTCAGCTTTTGCACATGGCACAGTGGTGAAATATGTGTAACAATGGTTTTCTGGGCATAGATATTTTTCTAGAAAAGAATCCACCAGGAAGTGACCTGTAGTTACTTTTGCTCTCCCAACTGAGGGCCAAGAGCTCCCCCTACTCAACACATAAAGGAATGCACATCACAGGTCTACAAAAAATCTTGTCTCCAATTCAGATGTACCTAGAAGGACTTCCCAAGAGTGGTGAGAGAGATTTTAGGTAGCTACAGAAAGTGCATGTGATTAGAGAAATTTCAGTCAGATATAGAAAAAAAAAAGTTGTTCAATCTCTGAATTCTTGGGTATTTTATTAATACAATTTTTTATTTAATCCTGCTTATAACTATCTCACAAATTCTCTCCAATATTTTCATATTCCTGTGCTTACAGACTCTATCTATATTTATGTAAAAGATGTGAGAGAATCAATTAAAAATAAGTTGTATTACAAATTTTCCATTTGGCTTCCAATCTTTCTATGAAACATATCTCTCATGCTACATTTGGAATGCTATAAGTCTCGATAATTAAATGCTCCTTTAAAGACTATTCATTTCCATTAATGTCACTAGTCTAAATAAGTTAGGTTTTTTTCCCCTTTAAACTATATGGATTGTTTATTTTTGTTCATTTTAGGGAAAATATGCTTGAAAACATGTGACCTTGGGAAGTGACTCAAGTTATTACTATTATAACCACAGCTTTCCACATAATAGCTAAACTTCATACCAATAGCTTAATTTTTTTTCACCTCCGACAGGCAACCAAAACTTATGGGAGAAACAAAATTATGACCAAACTCTTGGACCGAATGAATTTTTACATTCTTCCTGTGTTCAATGTTGATGGATATATTTGGTCATGGACAAAGGTACTGCTCTCTACTCTCTTGTTTGCATTTAGATATTATTTGCTGGCTTTAATACACAATGTTATGCATTCAGCTTAGGGTTTAGGTAACTAGTTAATTCTAATTCAGAAAAGTATATTTTTTAAAATCTCAGTTTCAAATTAAGTATGATTTCTTGGTTGCATAGGTATCCTTGAAATAATATAAAATTTTTGCTGCTGAAGCTAGTTATGTGGGAAAATGAAATAAAGTAGTAATTACAGAGGAAATGTATGATTGCATTATATGATATGGCATATCTAGCTAAGAATAAAGCCAATTAATTGATTTTAAAACAAAAACCTTTGTATTTCATCAATTTTGAATAGAATTTGAGGTAGAATCATTGTATCAAAAAAAATAAAAGAGAGGTACAGATACCTATTTGTCTTTTTACAGTATATTTTATTATCCTGCTTTTGCTAAATAAGAACTCTCAGGCAGACACTGTCACATCAAATTATTTTCTGCAAATAATGCTCCAACAGTAAAAATTTGACCTGCATTATATCTGAATCTATATATGGTGAACAAGCTAATGAAGTTATAATTTAAATTATGGTTAATTTCAGAACACCGTTAGTCATCTTCTAATACTGTGAACTAATCAACAGTGTTTAAAATTAACTGAATTATTTCATCAAAGCCTAAGGATATAATATTAAAAACCATGATTCTGAAAATACTACAAATTATAAGAAAACAATATTTTTTTCTTTTTATAATAAAGGGCCTCAAGTTAACTAGATAGATTTCAAATAAAGTTGCAGACACCTGCAGAGAGAATTTGAAATGATCAAATTGAAAAATGCAAACTGATCTTGTGTAAACACTTACGTCATTCAATCTGGCAGAACCGCATGTGGAGAAAAAATCGTTCCAAGAACCAAAACTCCAAATGCATCGGCACTGACCTCAACAGGAATTTTAATGCTTCATGGAACTGTGAGTAGCAGACTTGCTATCAAGGAAAATTGCTATAAGGAATATTTAGGTCCCAAACTTAACTAAAACACCTACTTGTTCAGTAAAAATAGTTATGCTTTGAGTGAGTGTTAACTTTTGTATCTATAACATGAAAGACAATCATCACTACCATTGAGGGATGTCTTGCTGTGTGGAAGGAAATGAGGAGGAAGGGACTGTTTATCAAACCATCTCTTACTTACTATATCTAGTTTGCTAAAAATTAAGCACAATCCAAATGTATAAAAATTCAGATAATCTGAATAAAGACCTCAGATTCCTCTGCTTCCTGATGTGAGAAATGTCAGTGGCTAAAAGCAACATACAGACAGTTTTTCAGATATTTAGTGAAAAGAGTCATCTGGAGCAAAGAAAGTGAAAAAGTTTAACAGAAATACGATGATAAGCAGAGGCCTGCTACATCAGACGATGCTTTAGTTGCTATACAACTATGACTTCATCACTGCACACTTTCAAGGAGAAATTACCATTGCCCCAATTTATATATTTCTTCTGTGCCTAATTTTGTTGAAAACATCACCTGAGCTTTTAACTGTATTCTACCATAATGAACATAGAAGAGCAGCAGCTATCTCTAATTGAGAGCTTTCTGCTGAAAAAGGCTGAAGAAACTTGTGCCCAGGGAAGGTAATTCACACCAGCCCCCAGCGCATTAGAGCTGGGGTTGAATTAGAACTGGAGTGTATCTGGCTCCAAGTCATGGCTGCTTCTGATTTATTACTCCTGTGGCCTTGGGAAAGGACAAGGAAGTAAACAAGGCTTAGAATATTCCAGTGGGCTAAGTCTGTTACAATCTGGCATGTGTGTGCAATGTTAATCTGTAGTGACTATGATACAAGAGACATTGAAGCAGCCCTGTAAACATGAGAGGCAAAAACATTTAAAACATTCTGTGAATCTATAATACATTAGAAGAGGCAGGAGCTATATGGATGGGGAGCAGACTGTGGTCTCATCCACCTATGTCTTCTGCAGCCATTCCTAACACCAATGACCCATGTGCAGATAACTATCGGGGCTCTGCACCAGAGTCCGAGAAAGAGACGAAAGCTGTCACTAATTTCATTAGAAGCCACCTGAATGAAATCAAGGTTTACATCACCTTCCATTCCTACTCCCAGATGCTATTGTTTCCCTATGGATATACATCAAAACTGCCACCTAACCATGAGGACTTGGTACGTAGACAAAAGTTTGCACTTCATGCATCGACAATACCATTGACTTTCAGTCTGTTCTTCATTAACTTGGGTATGTTGAAAGAATTTCACATTTTAATGTCAAAGAAAAGAACTAATGAAATTTGCCTTGAAGTTAAAATCATGATCTTTAGATTGATTTTTCATTGATAAAAGTATATAGATAATAAATTCCTTTAATGTGATTCTCAGGAGGAAAAAAAAATCAGGAAGAAATGTCTAGGAAAGGCATAATAGAAGTCTATTACAACACAGCTCATTGTGGGGTTTAACATTTACCATGGGTTGTACGGTAAAACCATGCACGGAAAAAGCCCAATAGAATAGCAAAGACATTTACTAGTCCTGCCCCCCAGATATCAGATTTAAGAAGATACATTGTATTTTTATCCTGATCAACTTGGAAATTATATTCTTTTACAATCCAAAGAAGATTATAAATGTTTGTGAAGCTTCTTCACTAAGAATATGTTATCTTTCCAAAACTATGATCCATTAAGCACCATTTTGTTTATAAAAACTGATTTGATAATGTGAGCTTTAAAAAAAAAGTCTGCATATGGGTTCCAATGAATCACAGGAAGTGACAGAGTGAATGGGTGCATAGAGGGATAAATATTTTGAATTGCTATAGAAGAAAATAAATAAAACAGAAAAAGTTTAGTGGCCCAGATCCCATGGTGATTGGCAAATATAGCACTTTCAGTAATAGCTGTGGTCCAAATACTGCCTCATAAAATATTTTAAAATTTTTAAGAGGTTACAATTTTCATTCTGACCTCAGTCCATTGTATTTAGCACAACAGCATTTAATGTTAATTGGAGCAGAGACCTGAATCAGTCATTAAAATCATCTCCATATATACAACAAAGAAGACATACCAGCAATATATGGCCCATAGTCATTTATTATCCAATGTAGGTGATAATCTGAGGGCGTGAGTTCAATTAATGCATACCAATGTACAGCACTGTGATTTCAATCCACTGTTAGGAAAATGATATTATGGGTTAAAAAAAATACATATCCACAAAAAAAAAAACCACTTTGAGTAAAATGAGAGTTCTTGCATAGCAACTAAATTGATTAAGAAAAAAATTATTTATTGGTTATATACGTTATATGTATAGTCTTTTAAAAATCTTTGTGAGTGCAAATATGTTAGTAACTATATTCCATTAAAATTCATTCTGACAATCACTCTCATAGCACAAAACACTAACGTGTATTAAAAGGTCATGACAAAATGCCACTCTGAAAGAGACACCCTAATTAACAACTATTTTAAAAAGCGGTCAACCACCCTTCTTCCCTTGGTATGCTGAAGTCAGATGAGTAGAGAAGATCCTGTAGCAATATGAGCCTGTTAGGGACCAAGGAATGTAAAACATGGAAGAAAATGGAGAAACTGTCAGAAGAGACAATTATCTGAAGCCAAAAAAATTGACAGGAAAAATAATGTATATTTTATATTTTAGAAGAAAGGAATGAGGAGAGAGAGAGAAAGAAGAGTAGAAACACAAAATGAGATATGGCATTACTGTATATAATCGACTGCATATTTAAGTCTTTTTTTTTTTTTTTTTTTTTTTTAGACGGAGTCTCGCTCTGTCACCAGGCTGGAGTGCAGTGGCGCAATCTTGGCTCACTACAACCTCCGACTCCCTGGTTCAAGCGATTCTCCTGCCTCAGCCTCCCAAGTAGCTGAGACTACAGGCACATGGCACCACCCCCAGCTAATTTTTTGTATTTTTAGTAGAGACGGGGTTTCACCATGCTAGCCAGGATGGTCTCCATCTCCTGACCTCATGATCTGCCCACCTCAGCCTCCGCAAGTGCTGGGATTACAGGCGTGAGCCACCGTGCCCGGCCAAGTCTTTATACTTACCACATATATTACTGAAAATAAGTTTCTCGTTTAACCATTTATTTTATTTTGATCTTCAAATGCCAAATACCTGGTAAATTTGACTTTTTTCATCCCTAGTAATTTACATATTTACATATATATATGTATGGGCTTTGGTTTTGTTAAAACCAGGAACTGAATTCCGGCTTCACCAGTTGCAACTAACCAGGAAATAGTACTGTCCATCTCATAGGGTTGTTATGAGTCTTGAAACTAAAGATCAAGGGATAAGCACAGTGCCTAACCTGTAAGACTCCATTAAAAAATTGCATACATACATAATTACATATTCCTTGGTATTTACACAGTATCCTATTATTTCACTCTAACTTTCCTTTCTCTCCAGGCCAAAGTTGCAAAGATTGGCACTGATGTTCTATCAACTCGATATGAAACCCGCTACATCTATGGCCCAATAGAATCAACAATTTGTAAGTCATTCCTCTTATTTACTGAGCCCTTTTCCCTAATTATTTTTTACAAATATTAAAGAAAATTATGGAATTTGCAATTTAGGTTAGAGCATCTGGAATTGCTAATTTAAATTCTACTTTTTACAGGATATTCTGAATTATACGTGAATCTAGGGGATAGATTCTGACCTTTTCTTGGGATAAGATTTTTCTAGAAACAAATTATACTGAACTTTTACAGGGTTACAAGGTCAACGGAAGCTATTAAGTCAAGACAGATTTACAGTTTACTTTATCTACCTTCCTGTTTCCCACCTGTACCACCAACAATGTTGTATCCTTCCAGGAACTAATGAGAATTCACTGGAGTGAGAAAAAAAAAAAAATTAGCCAGGCATGGTGACCTATGCCTGTAGTCCCAGTTTCTCTGGAGGCTGGGGTGGGAAGATCATTTGGGCCTGGGAGGTCAAGACTGCCATGAGCTGTGATCGTGCCACGGCACTCCAGCCTGGGCAACAGAGCAAGACCTCATCTAAAAAAAATCACATAAAAGAAATTAGATGGAGTAGAGTCTACATTTTTTTTAACCATTTAACTTTAACTGGACTCTTTCTTACTTGCCTTGTCTACATGTAAGTATGGTCTTTTCCCTAGCTGAAAAACAGCTAGGATAGGAAAACAGATAGAAAATCAGTTTCAGCTCCTCTGGTCGTGTAAAACAAGTTATCTCTCCTTCTCACTTGCTCCTTCTCACTATGTTCAGCCGAAATCTGTATGGTGAACTAGAAGGGAGATCACAAGACTCTAGTTCTGTCACTTTTGTTTCATACTCTCAGCACCATTTCTTACTCTTCCCTATTTTTAAATTTATGTTGTCTTTGTGTGTTTTTAAGTTATTGACTTGGATTTCTTGGCCTTGATTTTCTTGTCTCTTATTCTATATAAAAGAAATCAGTAATTTTTTTTTCTGTAAAGGGCCAGATAGTAAATAGCTTTGGCTTTGTGGAGGTACAGTTTCTGTTGCAGGTACTCAACCGGAGAATCATAGCTCAAAAACGGCCATAGACAATAAGTCAGCAAATGGGTGACTATGTGCCAATAAAACCTCATTCACAGAAACAGGAGGCTGACCAGGATTTGCCAACTCCCATACTTTATACTAAATAATATCTGCAAATTTTTATGGAGTCTTTACAAGTTAGGCACTGTGCTTACCCCTTGATTTTCACAATCTCAAGCTTCACAACAACCCTATGAGGTGGGGAGTAGTATTTCCCAGTTATTAGTAACCGGCGAAGCTGGAACTCAATCTCAGATTTTAACAAACAAAAGCCCTGATCCTGACCACTGCACATACTGTTTGTGCATTTGGATTTTGTAGCTGAAATATCCAGGATTTTCTATTTGCAATGAACAGCCAAAAAATCCATTTGAGTATCACCGAAGACAATTAACTCAGATCCTGGGAAGTGAGACCACTTTCTGCTCTTACAGCAACTCCCACTAAGCTTAGTTTGGGAATTATTTAGTAAAAACTACCTTTTCTCCAAACCAAGTTCAAGCTTCAGTTCTTAGTCTCAAAATTTATACAAAATTCCCCATGAAACTTCTCAAAAGCAAGAATTATGCTTCAGATTTCCTCTTAGACCCTGTAACATATAGTACAGTGCACGGCATGGAACAACAGCAGAATTAGTTCCCATAAACTTGCTCAATGATAATGGTGTCCTGGCTTATTCAAAAGAAGTGAATGTGAGTTGAAACCACAACAGTACTGGACTTGATTAAGCCTGCATCACTCTCTAGACCAAATATCCAACAGTGTTTAGCATTAAGACTACCATTTAACTTTTAAAAATTTCATGAACAACCCTTCCACCACCAAAGATACACTCATATTTTTATTACACTTTTAGAATCTGTGCATTAAAAAATACATATGTGCATATGAATTCAGGATTCCTTGCAACAATTTTACCTGACCACAGTTTTTAAGTCACTTTCGTATTCCAAGCTGAAAGTATAAACTTTGAACTGAAAGTCTACATCCTCAGCAATTGCGATGGAATTTGAAAATGCCGGAATCAACATATACAGTTTCTAGGACTTACTTATTAGATGCTTCTTTGGCAGAACTGGAAAATGACTAAAAAATGGACAAGTCCCTTTCCTCGAGCACATTCATTAACAATCACCTATCAACCAGTCACTGTTAAGGTGCTGAAGAAAAAGTGTAGTGATACAGATGATCCCCAGCATCCACATAGATCTTGCTACAACCTAGCCATGCTGGGGACTCATTACACATACAGGTGGATGACCACAAGATTTCAAAATACATGTTATGTACCCAGCTATGTGAGTGGACAAAAAGTAAGCAAAGTAAAGAACAAGAAGACAGACTAGAAGATCAGTTTAAAATGGCAGCCCACTTAGTAGATACTAATAAATAGCAGGGCCAGATTGGCCACCCAGACACCACATGAGAGCAATTCCTCTAAGCAAGAAAAACCCACAGATAGTCTTAGAGGCAAAGAACAAAGCATTCCAAACAGGAACAAACTTTGCAAAAGGCAATTAAAGCATCAAATAATTATCCGTGTGTGTGTATCCACAAAAGTATGAGAATACAGAGCTGTGCATAGCATTGCATTAAGACCTCTTAATGAACAAAAATATATGGTGTACCTAGCTAGCAGGCTAGCACTTTGGAGCTTTCAGAGATAAATGAGAGGACTTAGGACACAATAAACTACTCTTAAGGAAGTCACATTCTAAGTGGAAGGAGCGGAGAGCCAAAACTACCATAGCTCCATGCCATCATGTGTCACTTTCAAAATGGAAAGATACAGTCAAGAGGGATTACTATTCTGTTTAACTGTGCAGCATTATTTAAAATTTTTATTACATTATACTACAACATTTTAAAGGCATTGAGATTTAGAAAGAATTGCCTTTGTCACGCAGTGCTGCAGCAGCTTGATAAACGATCAAGATTTCTAGAACAGACTGCTTTAATAAAGCATCTGATAGAATGTTAATCAAACATGCATGAGAAACAGGGTAGCAAAGCAGTTGACTTGGTAAGAATAAAAAATAAAAATGTGATTAAAGTTTAGTCATTCCAATAACCTGATTGTCACTTAACATGTCCCCAGATTTAGGAACAGCATCTAGCATTTGTCAGTGATTTCCTGTCTTCGACTTGATGAAGACAGAAAAAAAAGGACTGGGGGAGCATTTTTTAAACTCAACTTATGGAGGATCTCTGGCCTTTAGAAAAAAATATATATATGTTTGCTCTTTGAACATGAGAGGCAAACATATCAGATAAGTTAAAATCATAAATTTTGAAACCAGGGAGAAACATAGGCAATGATCTATTCCATGGTTCTCAAGCCTGACTTCCCATTAGAATCATCAGGAAGCTGGCCAGGCCTGGTGGCTCACTTTTGTAATCCTAGCACTTTGGGAGGCTGAGGAGGGCGGATCACAAGGTGAGGAGTTTGAGACCAGTCTGGCCAACATGGTGAAACCCCATCTCTACTAAAAATACAAAAATTAGCTGGGCGTAATGGTGGGCACCTGTAATCCCAGCTACTCAGAAGGCTGAGGCAGGAGAATCACTTGAAACCAGAAGGCGGAGGTTGCAGTGAGCCAAGATCACGCCACTGCACTTCAGCCTGGGTGAAAGAGCAAAACTCCATCTCAAAAAAAAAAAAAAAAAAGAATCATCAGGAAGCTTTTAAAATACATGAATGATTATACCCCCAGCCCCCAGAGATTCTGATTTCATCAGTCTGAGGAGGAGCTCGGCACTCAATTTTTTTTTAAGTACCTTAAGTGATTCTAAGATGAAACTAGGGTTGAGAATCGCTGATCTAAGCAAAACTTCTCATTTATAGACTGAAATTCAGATACAGAAATATTTCATCACTTTAGGGCAGAAGAAAAACAAAAATCAGCATTCAACACCAGAGTTAAAATGGTATACCTACCACTTTGCCCCAAAGCAGCAATATTGAGATGGCACAAAAAAGTAAATAGTAATGTTTAATGTGAAATGATTATATTTGCATATAAACAGCATATCCAATCCTTCATCATCTTAGAAATAACTAAACATAGTACCTAGTGAGCAAGAATAGTTATTTGAGTTGATAAGAACCAAGATTGCATTAGTAATAAAATTCATCTGTGAGTCACATCATGAATTAAAAAGTTAATTTCAAAGTACATTTCTTGTAGCTTCCTTTGTGTACCAAAATTGCTAGATCTACCACTGATTCTCAACCCAGTGCTCTTTTTCCATATTCTACATATTCTACTTTTTCAAAATTTACATTCTGAAAAAGAAAAGTTAAGACTTGTAGTTCATAACACCAGATCTCTACTTACTAAGAGACATTCAAACTGATATTACAGAGAAAATATTTCAGTGTATGCCCATGTATCTCTGGCTTCAGCTCTTGCTTCTAATATAATTTTCACTTAGTATTAATATAAAAGTACAGGTTATTATATTGAATACATTTAAATAATATTTTTTAAAACGATACAATTTTTCAGAAAACACTGTATCAAGTAAGCAATAAATGCAGCACACATTAAGTCACCAACGTCACTTTATATGGATCCCTTTGGGCTGAAATCAGATTTCTAGTTTGGTACGGTTTCATTTTGATTTGTTCTCATTGAATTTGTTGCAACCAATATTGTGCCTTGAAATAAGTAGGAAATATTTTCTTAATGTTGAACATACTCAGAATATGCTGTCAACAAAAACAAAATTATCTTATAGAACTGAGTAAAGACTTGGTATTGGCTAGTATATAGAGTGGCACATAGGTAGCACAGTACAATGATTAACAACATGAACTCTGAAGACACCACCTGGGCTTGAATCCTGATTCGACCATCTACTAGCTATGTGTTTTTCAGCAAGTTGCTTAATCTCTCTGAGCCTAGGTTTCTTCTTCGGTAAAATGGTAATTGTTACTTACATTTGGGATAGGAATTAATTAAATGAGTTAACATGCATAAAGCACATAGAAGGGTACTTGGTATTTAGCAAGTGATTATTACTGTATTTTATAAATGCATACACATGTTTTAGTAGGTACACATGGAGATAAAGAAAAGGCTAAGTATCATGTTAAACAAATTAAGTTCTGGCCAGGCACAGTGATGCACACCTGTAGTCCCAGCTACTCAGGAGGCTGAGGTGGAAGTATCACTTCAGCCTGGGACGTCGAGGATACAGTGAGCCATGATCATGCCACCGCACTCCAGCCAAGGTAACAGAGCAAGACCCTGTCACATACACACACACACACACACACACACACACACATACACACACACACACACACAAATTCTATATTTTTTTCTCAAAGTAAAAACTTGCAATGTTGTATTTACTTTATGACTTGATATAGTTTTGTTTGCAAATTTAAGATCTAGAAGATATGAAATGTATTCTACTTCATAGCATCACATAATTATGAAAAATCAAATTCCATATATTCTCAATCACCACTATTAATCTTAATGACAAACTCCACATAAAGTAAATCTCTCAAAATAGAATAGCCATGCCCTTTAACCCTTGGAAATCACAGCAGTTTACTCGACTGCAAATAGAGAGCTACTGCAACTAGGAACTGGCCAAGTTTATTAAAATGTCTAACATATCCTAAATTACAAGACATAATTCCTATTTACTTTACCTCCTTTGCTACCAAGCTTGCATCTTAGTGTGATTTCTTTCTCATGAACTTAAATCCAACTAGCTAAAAGTGGCAATCTGTTTGATCACTGAAGCCAGTCTCTATATTTCAGCTCACGTGCTCCATAAATTACATGCAATATTTGACCCTGTTAATAACTTCTTGCCATTCCTTTGGCTTCCTTGACTTTGAACTCTACTGGTTCTCTTCTTCCTCCTCCTCCTTTTTTTCTACTCTCCCACTGACTGCTTCTAAAAGTAGACATTTTCCAAAAAATAGGGTACAATATATGGATACTTCCTCAGGTTCTCTCCTCAGGTCCCTCCTCTTACTTCTGACTCTCCTCATCAAGAAATAACCTCTATCCCCACAGGCTGGAATCCCTCATTTGTTACCTAGGGCACCAGGCAATCACCTTTTACCCACTAAGTGAACCAACCAGACCAAAATAGCAATGCAAAGGCTTTGAAAACTATATTGTCAGCTGAGCACGGTGGCTCATGCCTGTAATCTTAGCACTTTGGGAGGCCAAGGTGGGAGGATCACCTGAGAACAGGAGTCCGAGACCAGCCTGGCCAACATGGTGAAACCCGGTCTCTACTAAAAATACAAAAATTAGCTAGGTGTGGTGGTACGCACCTGTAGTCCCAGCTACTCAAGAGGCCGAGGCAGGAGAATTGCTTGAACCTGGAAGGCAGAGGTTGCAGTGAGCTGAAATCGTACCACTCCACTTCAGTCTGGGCAACAAAGTGAGACTCTATCTCAAAAACAACAACAACAACAACAACAAAAAACCAAAGCAAAACTGTCTGGGTGTGGTGGCACATGCCTGTAATCCCAGCACTTTGGGAGGCCGAGGTAGGCAGATTGCCTGAGGTCAGGAGTTCAAGACCAGCCTGACCAATATGGTGAAACCCTGTCTCTACTAAAAATACAAAAGTTAGCCAGGTGTGGTGGCAGGCGCCTGTAGAGAGGAGAAGCACTTGGACCTGGGAGGCAGAGGTTGCAGTGAGCCAAGATTGTGTCATTGCATTCTCGCCTGGGTGACAGAGTGAGACTCCATCTCAAAAGAAAAAAAAAAATACTATATTGTCATCAGTATCACAAGACACAAAAGTAGGCCAGGGCCTGTTTACTAAACCTGAACAGGGTGATTACCTGCTAAATTGAAGATTTAAGTTACAATTTATTATTTAATGTAATAGCTAAAATGTCCAGAATATAATCAAAAATCGCTTGTAATACTAAAAACAAGAAAAATTACAGCTTGAATACAAAAAGATAATCCACAGATGCCAACACTGAGATGATTGCAGTTTCAAACATTGGAAAAGAATTTCAAAGTTGCCATCATTAAAAAAAAAATGCCTCAACAAACAATTACAGATGGCCTTGAAACAAATGAAGAAATGGAAACTATCATCAAAGAAATAAATATAAGATACAAAAAGGAACCAAATGGAAACCATAGAACTAGAAAATGTAATAACTTGAACAACAAAAAAACTGGAAGGGCTTAATAGCAGAATAAATATGACAGAGGGAAGAATCAGTGAACTTAAAGACAGAGCAATATAATTCACTCGCTCTGAAGACAGAAAATAAACAAAAATAAATAACTAAACAAAGCCTCAGGAACAAATGGCATAATAAAATATCCAACATTCATGTCATCGGTCCAAGGAAAAGATAAATAAAGGGAACAGGAGCTGGAAAAAAAATGTTTGAAGAAATAAAAGCTGAAATATCCTACATTTGACAAAGACATAAACTAACATAGTCAAGTAGCTGAGTGAAACCCAAACAGGAATAACCCAGAGAAACTCACATCAAAGTACATCATAATTAAACTTCTGAAAACTAGACAAAGAAACAAGTCGTAAAAGGAATCAGACAGAAATGATCTAGAGTTAAAAACAGTTCCAGTGACAGCAGATTTTTCATGTGAAACCATGGAAGTCAAAAGGAAGTGACATTTTCTCAAGTGCTGAATGAAAACACCTATCAACCCTAAATTCAATAAATTCAATGTATTGCAAAAATATTCAGAAATGAAGGAGGGAATAAGACATTCTCATACAAAGGGAAATCAGCAGATGTGTGCCCCGCACACCTACTCTTAATGGCTAAAAGAACCCTCTGAACAAGAAGGAAATAATCACAGCAAAAGGCTTGGAACTGCAGAGAGGAAGGAAGAAAAATGGATTCAGTATAAATAAATAAATTAAATAATAGACTATCTTTCTCCACATGATGATTGAATCAAAAATTGTAAGTCTGTTTGATGTGATGTTCAATGTATGTAGAGAAGTACTCAAGACAATTGTACTTTAAAAGTGGGAAGGGAAAAAGGATCTGAAAGGAAGTAAAGTTTCTACACCTCACTTGACATAGTAAAATGTCAATACCATTAGACTGTGGTAAGTTATGTATGTGTATTATAGTACCTGGAGCAACCATTAAGAAAACTAAGCAAGTGAGACTATAAATCAATCAAATGGAATCCTAAAAATGTCATGTAACCAAGAGGAAGGTGTAAAGCAAGAAAAAAAAGATAAAGGGATAAAAACAGAAAGAACAAAAAAAAAAAAAGAAATAATGGCATGTTTAAGTCATATCAATAATTTACCTACACGCACTAATTAAAGACACATGGGCAGAATGAATTTTTTAAATTATAATTCAACAATATGCTGTTTATAAGAAACTCATTTCCAATATAACAACACAGATAAGTTGAAATGAGAATGATGGAAAAGATATACTATGCCATAGGAAGAATAGCTACATTAAGTATCAGATAAAGTGAATTTCAGAGCAAAGAAATTTGCTAGTGACAGAGACATTAACAATGATAAAAGGATCCATCCCACCAAGAAAATAATGATCCTAAATGTGTGCACACCAATTTCACCTATGATGTCTATGCCAATAATTTAAACATTCATTTTTCCAAGCTCTTTCTTGAATGTCTGATTGATGTTAAACGTATCACTTTGTCTTCCTTTGCCTTTTCTTTTTCCCATCCCAATGCTCTCTGAGTTCCCATTTAACAGTATGTTTTTTCCAGCTACCCAGATTGAAACATCAATCATTTTTATGAAATCCCAATGTTTCTTATGTAGAATCCCTCAGTTGTTTCTAATGTGGTGACTCTACCCTAGTCAGGCTTTCATTTCACACTACTTCATAACTGGTTTCTATTCTTTTCAATCCAGATTAACAAACCTAAAGTACTAGAAGGCCTCCAAAAGAAAATCTAAACACCTAGTCCCGATTCACAAGGTTTTCCAAGCTTTACTCACAAACTCTCACTGCTCCCTTTGCTCTGGTCCAGCTGGATCTCGTTGGTTTCTAACAATGCCTCCATGCTTTTCTATCCTTGTAGTTCACTGGCTAGAATTCCTTTCTTCCATCTCCAGCTGAAAACACACTAGCCTTTCTTCAAGGCTCTCCTCCAATACCATCTCCTCCATCATGAAGGCAGTATTTGAGCTGGCACTGGGCATGAAAGGCCATACTCCTCATCAAGAATAATCTCTTTTTTCTTTTAAATCTTGGTAAAATATTGTACCTTTTCTATGGTACTTAGCATATTCTGCTCTGCCTCTATTGACTTATACCTTGACTTCTGCCTCCTAAATTGTAAGTTACTGAAGACACCAGTGGCATCTTCTGCATTTTTGTACCCTGCAACAATTACTCTCCCCAGTGCCAAGAAATGTGTCTTGTAAATATTAAAGGTTTAATAAATATTTGGTGACCAATTTAAGAGCCAACACTATCTCTTCATCAAAATATCCCTTCTCTCTTTCATCGCAGCTTTGAATTCTTATCTTTCAAATTTTTCAGATCTTTCAAACTGTTATTATTAGTTAAACTCATTACTTGTCCTAGAACATAAATGCCTTCACATACAAAAAAAACCTTTTATATCACATAAAGCAAAATGTGAGCACATAAATGCAATTATGATATGTATATGCACTTGTATATGTATATAGCCTCTAGATGTGAGTTATATGTATATAACCTTTAGATGTGTGTTTATATTTCCAATGTTTTTACCAAAAAATAGAACCTTGAGTTAAATTTCATAAAAGTTGACATGGAAATTTTGAATTAGGAGATTAAATATGTCTTTAAAATAACTAAATTACATTTTCTTGGTCTTTTGACTATGAAATAGTTTACCCTAGCAACATGAAAAACAAGAGACCTAAGCTATTAGAAGAAATGCAATTCTATGTATCTTGTGTGTATAGTTTTTCCCTGGTGGTTTTCAACGACCAGTGACTCCTTAGCTGGTTTCCTCAGCTGCTAGCACTTGCTCTGGGTACTTGTCCTCAACACGTCCATCTGCAACAATGTGTGCCTAGGAAATAAACTCAACTTACTACTCACCCAACCAAAATGTAATTTTTTAAACGCAGCACACACTGGGTGGATTCCAAAGTCATGATTATGCTTTACTATGCACTCTGTACTATTCAGACCACTACTCTCATTCATTACTGCAATTAACTGCACACATAACTATTTTTTATTGCTAATTATACACCACTGATTTCCACTTTAAAAAAACATTAGCATTTGTCTCTAATTAAATATTTACTGCTTGTGTTTTACAGACCCGATATCAGGTTCTTCTTTAGACTGGGCTTATGACCTGGGCATCAAACACACATTTGCCTTTGAGCTCCGAGATAAAGGCAAATTTGGTTTTCTCCTTCCAGAATCCCGGATAAAGCCAACGTGCAGAGAGACCATGCTAGCTGTCAAATTTATTGCCAAGTATATCCTCAAGCATACTTCCTAAAGAACTGCCCTCTGTTTGGAATAAGCCAATTAATCCTTTTTTGTGCCTTTCATCAGAAAGTCAATCTTCAGTTATCCCCAAATGCAGCTTCTATTTCACCTGAATCCTTCTCTTGCTCATTTAAGTCCCATGTTACTGCTGTTTGCTTTTACTTACTTTCAGTAGCACCATAACGAAGTAGCTTTAAGTGAAACCTTTTAACTACCTTTCTTTGCTCCAAGTGAAGTTTGGACCCAGCAGAAAGCATTATTTTGAAAGGTGATATACAGTGGGGCACAGAAAACAAATGAAAACCTTCAGTTTCTCACAGATTTTCACCATGTGGCTTCATCAATTTATGTGCTAATACAATAAAATAAAATGCACTTAATGCTTTAAAATTCATCTTTTTATGATAAACTATATTCTCTGTATTTCTCTATAGCATTAATAATCAATATTAATGCCATTCATTCAGTCTGTTAATAAGAAATAATATCTTCAATTTTCAAAAACATAATTTGTCTATCTTTTTCTGATAGAAGTAGACATTGTTTATATCTTCAAAAAAGCAAAAGGATGTCCTAGCAGGAAATAAAGTGGTTCATATAGAGATGAATCTCAGTCCTTTAAATAACCGATCCAGTTCTCATCAGCATAATGTACATTAAATTCAAAATAGTTTAATTTAACCTGCCATAATCAGAAGAAACCACCTGCTAAAACATCTGTTTGCCGGTACAGACACAGACAAGACAGTCTGGTCAGCTGTGACCCCTGCCCTCCTAATGGATAGAAAGGAAACCTGGAAACATACTGTAAGTTGAGGACGGAAAGTCATGTTGACCAAAGGCAATCAGGGTAACTTGCTGCATTTGTACCATTTATACTCCTATTATTTAAGATAGTATTATTGGATAGCTTCTCCCCAACACCAATACCTCAATGTGTGATCAAGTGGCAACAGTGGCAGTGTCTACATTCCCAGAATCCAGACACAGATGCCCACCACAGGACTGACTATAATTTGAGGGACAAGTAGAGAGTTCCTTGACTTCCAGTAAACTTACTTCTCAGAACACCCCAGACAGTTTTCAACGACTGGGAAAGGTCCTGAGAAGTCAAGTCAATAAACAATCTGGGACATGCCTCATGAATCCTTTAGGGACACATAAAAGAAAGGATGGCATCAAAGCTACAAGATGATGGTGTGTTCTGATAGTCATGAGGTAGATAAAAGTTTCCCATGCAAAATTGTCCAGGAAAAGCAAATGTAAACTAACAAAATTGCTTTACAAGGGGAGAAGGGGAAGGTGACAGAGTCAAGAAACTAAAAGAGAAAAATGTGGCTATGAGATTATATTGTCTGATTAAAAATATGGTATCTATGTCTAAATATTTAGCATTCCAAACTAGCTTCAGAACGTGGGAATGTAAATTTGTTTCATTATACATGCCATATTGGAATTATATACTCATTCACACTTACTTACTCAAATGAGAAAGGACTGAAATATATTCTAACCCTAAAATTCATATAAATACCTCTAATTCCATTGAGCCTTTAGATGGAGGAGATAAAAGAGATAATCCCAATTGCAGAATATTATCCCATGTCCATCCATTATTCAGTTTATAAAGACACAAAAGTTGAACACACTATTTGAATTATTATGCAGCTTAATATTTTTTCTCAATCAGAAAAAAAATTAGCCTGAGTGGCTAAAAATAAAAAATCCTAACAAGATCTCATCCTAATTAAATAGTTTTTGAATGGCATCTGAGGGCATTTACTTCTTTCACTGCATATGAATTGTGAAAATAAATATGTGAAGACAAATATCTACATTAAAGTTAAAAAACTAAAATTTTACCTTATTTATGAGAAAGTTTGAGTGGCAAGTGCTGTGATTCTTCCCTTTTCATTTCTCATCTATCAGTAAAAGGGCTTTGTACCCAAGTTACAAGTTGTGCTATCACATAACAATATTCTTGACAGAGGCCAGGCACGGTGGCTCATACCTGTAATCCCAACATTTTGGGAGGCCAAGGTGGGAGGATCACTTGAGCCCAGGAGTTCAAGACAAGTCTGGGTGATAAAGTGAGACCTTATCTCTACAAAAAAATAAAAATAAAAAATTAGCCAGCTGTGATGGCACATACCTGTGGTCCCAGCTACTTGGGAAGTTGAAGCAAAAGGATTGCTTGAGCCCAGGAGGTCGAGGCTGCAGCGAGCCAAGATCACACCACTGCACTCCAACTTGGATGACAGAGCAAAACTCTGACTCAAATATACATATGCACACATACACACACACATACATATGTGTATGTACATAGATACACAAAATATATATGTGTATATACATATATACAAAATACATATGTAAATATATATATATCATCATTCATTTTCCAATTTTCTTGCTATAAAACTCACTCAAGAGGCATTGTTTCATATTTTGAAAATGTGTTCTTTTATAGCAATATCTAATTGTTGAGGTGCACATCTGAGATGTACATCTCTATTATGAAAAAATGAAACATCTTATTTTTACTTATGCAAATAAATGTTTCCAGTAAGTCTTATGACTCCAAACTGATCTTTAAATGTCATATCAGAGGTCCCTTCCCCACATTTGACACATTGGATATGTTCTTTGACCACAGAAGTGCTCATTGGCTAAGTGAACATTAGGCTTACTGACAAGAGTATCTGTTTCTCATTTAACACAAACATCTATGCCTGATTTTCTTTAGATGAAAAAATAAAGAAGTAACCCCCAAAGAAACTTAGAACATGTCACTGCAAAGACACAAATTTTCTCTGTCCTCATGTTCTCTCCTAGCCTCCTTATCTCAAAAAAAAAAAAAAAAAAAAAAAAAAAAAAAAAAAAGTTTAAATTATTTTGACCTTTCCAAAGGGACGGATGTTGTGCTTTTCTGGACACGGGAAAAGGTCAAGGACAGAGAACTCTTCTTGGCCCCACCATGTGGTTCCCAGTGCATAAACTAACCTTTTATCTTTAATATAGAAAATGGAAATGGGAGGTTTTCTAAAAGAGAATATGCATTGGTCCCCCAAATCTACAGTGAAGTATTGCAGTATTAAGTTAATGTTAAATTTCCCAGGATATAAATCATACAAAGCAGCAGCAGCAAGGAACCTTACTTAAATACTCATTTATTTGAGCATCTAAAAGACGCAATGGAGTCTAGAAACTGTTCCTGACCATTGACCCTCAGAGACTGCATAGTGTTCTCTAAAATCTCTCCTCTTTTCCTTGCCCTCTTTCTTCATTCTATTCTCCCTTATAATAGGTTTGAAGCAGGCAGTTTTGAAGCAGGCACATGGCCATACAAATAAAGGTTCTATTTCCAAACTCCTTGCAAATAGAATCATAGGATTGACTACTCAAATTTTCTCATAAGTAAAATAAAGTTTTAGTGTTTTAACTTTAATATAGATATTAGTCTTCACATATTCATTTTCACAATTCATATGAAGTCAAAGAAGGAAAATACTCTGGGATGCCATTCACAAACTATTCAGTTAGAATGAGGAATGGTCTTGTTAGGATTTTTTATTTTTAGTTACTCAGGTAATGTTTTCTCTCTGATTGTAAAAAGAAATATTAGGCTGGGCGCGGTGGCTCACGTCTGTAATCCCAGCACTTTGGGAGGCCGAGGCGGGTGGATCACGAGTTCAGGAGATTGAGACCATCCTGGCTAACACGGTGAAACCCCGTCTCTACTAAAAATACAAAAAATTAGCCGGGCATGGTGGCGGGCGCCTGTAGTCCCAGCTACTCGGGAGGCTGAGGCAGGAGAATGGTGTGAACCCGGGAGGTGGAGCTTGCAGTGAGCCGAGAGCGCACCACTGCACTCCAGCCTGGGCGACAGAGCGAGACTCTGTCTAAAAAAAAAAGAAAGAAAGAGAAAAACAGAAATATTAAACTGCATACTAACTCAAGTAAAATGGTGTAAAGCTTTTGTACCTTTTATAAACTAAATAATGGATGCACACAGGACAATATTCAATAATTGGACTATTCTGGTCTATGAGTTGTAAGAAGCAGCATCATATTGCAAAGTCCAGAAAGCTCACTTCAAAGACCTCTGGAACACTTTGGCTCTTTTTTCTCTCTCTTCTTTTTGGCTGCAATATAATTGTGATGGCTGACGCTGAGCAGTCATCTTGGACCACAGATGATCTTGAAAACTGAAGCAAAGAAAATGACAAAAGGAGCCTGGGCCTTTCAGGACTTCACCAAGCAGGGATGCTAATCAAGGCTTGGACCACCTACCTTAGGATTTGAACATGAAAAAGAAATGAAGGTCCTCTTTAGTGAAACCACTGTTAATTTGGATTATTATTCTTTACAATCAAGCCTAATCCTAACTGATGTAGCAAGCCAGAAACAACAGGTATAACAGTTCCAGATGTGTCACAGATGGAAATCCTTGGAGGATAATGTAGTGTTATGCAAAATCACAGAGCGAGAAATCAGGAGGTTTGGGCTTGAATCCTGACTCTGTTACTGAATGATATCTAGCAAGACACTGTCACCTTTTACCTGCCCTGCTTATCTCATAGCTTTTTATTAAAATTTGAGATAATAGATACTCACCAAGTTAACCCACTAATTTCCACTTTGTATTTGGGACAAAGTACACTTGTCTTAAAAGGAGTTGGCTCAGGTGGTTCCTACTTGAGGTAAGTGTTGGACAGTATCAAAACAACAGGTGCAATTGCTGCTCTCAAGTGTGGTTCTTCACCAAGTTCCACTACGATGGGGTATAAAGTAATGTGTGCATGTGCATGTGTACATTTTCCTGTGTGCAAAATTTTCATCAGATTCTTACAATATGGGAGTTATGGACCCTCAAAAGTTTAAGCATAATTGAATACAAAACCAAACATAATTTGAAATCACGTTTTCACACATTAAAGTAAAAATTAATTTTAACTCTGGAATTTTTGTTTGTATAGTCATTTGCCCCCTTTTTATTTTTGTTTCTTACTATTGATTTTTTCTTTGTTTTATGATGATCTTTTGAAAAGAATATAAAATTTCCCTTAGATGGCTGGAAAATATAAAACAGTTTTACTGAACAAAACCAGGAAAATTAAATATCTCAAAATTGTACGAAATGATTAAATTCTGCCAACTTATTTGTAATAATATTGTGGTCCTTACAAATGATGTAATATTTTTAACTGGGCATGCTATGATATTTTGAGGGATCCTTACATGTTTCCCTCAAAAAACATTAACCCACCGAAATGGGAAAAGCAGTGTTCTATTATTAGGGAAGAACAAACTCATGGAGAATTATGTAAAGTTCAGATTACCTCTGGTTGCATAAGATGCCTCCTTTTCATTCAATTGGTGACATACAGAAAATTATGCGTGGAACTCAAATTAAGGGAAAGAAATACATGGCCCCTTCCAAACTAGAAGATTTTATTGCATAAAACCACTTTGAAAGCTACATTTTCTAAATAGTTAGGCTAATATGAATACATGGCAATATTTCAAAGATTATGGCTTTACACTTCTTTCTACTCCTTTTTAACACAATTGTATTTCATGATTAAAATGCCAAGCCATTTTTCTATAATGAGTCATAATAGCATCTTGAAAATTTCGTCAGCATATATATAGGCTACTGTCAGAATTTTCTTAGGCAAAGCTTTTGGGAGACTCTCTTGCATTTCATTGTCACAAGATCCATTATACCAGGACAGATCTCAGCCTGCCTGAGTAATATCTATCTGAGGGTTATAATTTTGTCATAAAAATTTACTCTCACATGAACTTAGCATAAAAGGTCTCCGTCCAGAAAACAGGAATTGAAATGGATATATTATCACTTAAACTGCTTTTTTGCTCACTTATCCTTCAATTACAAGCCTCAAGTTCACTGGTGTCAAGAGAGGTTAAACCAGAAAAATGTAAAACAATTTTTGAAATATGTGAGGGAAATTTGACACTTAACATTCCAAATGCATTATTATTGCCATGGTATCACTGAAGTGTGCTATTGCTTCATTTTACGTGGTGGATTAAAAGCTTAAAAGACTACTCATGAAACAAAAAAAAAAGATCCATATGTACCATTTCATATATAAAACAATTTGCGAGAACTCTGATTTTTTTTTCTTATTCAAAAAACCTCTAATTTCTTTTTTTTTTAATCTCTACTTTGCAAAACTTAGAGAGATAATTAAATTTTCACAGGGCAAAGAGTGGGGAGGTGAGAAAGGCAAGTTTTGAGAATTGCAATCATACTGGCAGTAATGTGCTTATGAAAAGTAACATTTGCATAGTACTGGTAATGTTTTAATTGCCTTTGCATGCACATCTGCATCTGATCACAAGTCTATGAGACTAAGTTGGGGGAAGGTTATATTATCCCCTTTTATATATTAGAAACTTATGACTCAAAGTACTTCAGTGACTCACATATATAAAGTTGCAACTTGAAAACTAGATCTTCCCACTTTAAAATTTAAATTCTTTCCATTACACTACACTGTCCAATGGTCATCATTTCTCTATAAGGCAGAGAAAGCAAGATTGTCTAATTTATGAGTCATCAGTTTAAATTCTAATTGTCAAGACAGGCTAAAGGTACATCGTCATAATGACCCATCAGACACTCTTCTGAACTAGGGATTCTCACACTTGAGTATGCATTGGGAGGCTCACTAAAGCAGACTGCTGAGCCTTACTCACGGAGTTTCATAAAACAATATGTCCTGGATGGGGCACATAAACCTGCATTTTTAATGAGTTCCCAGGTAATGCTGATACTCCTAGTCCAAGAACCACACTTTGAGAACCACTGATGCAGAATAATTTTAAAATTTTCTATTTTTTCAACTATTATTTCTTCAATAATTTTGGCGATCTTTATTTATTTATTGCAGTTTATTGGCAAAAAAATTTACTCATAGGTTTTATCTTTAATTAAAATTACAGACAAATCAAATAAGAGAAGAAATTAGGATAACAGTTCCATTTCAATTCCTATCTTCTATTAAAATGTTTGTAAGAAACAAAACCAGGTGTGGGAACACAGGTTTACATATTTTAAACCCATTACACATTAAAACAGTTTAGAAATATACAGAAATAATTAAATATAATAAATAGTCCTTGCTCTGAAATATTGATTCTACAGATTTTATAACTGACAATTTTATTATTCATATTCATATTTTACATTTTATGTATTAATTTATTGAATTTTAAAATGTTTTAAGTTTTATGTTAAATGTCATATCCAAATCCACTTTGGGAACATAAAAAAATGTAACTTCTGCCCAGGGGTGGGTTCATTATGGCTACATCCAACTGAGAAAACTCTGGCTTCAAAATCATTATAAAAATTCCTTTGGTGGTGAGCAGTCACTTTCTTAATAGTAAAACTGGGAAAATTCTGTGAGAAATATTTGCAGAAGTATTTTTGGAGTTAATAGCATTTGTTTCATGAAGAGTAAGGAAAGATTCCAACTGATTTGATTCTTTGGCTGTCATAGAAACAGGGTAATGGGATAATCTGAGGACTTTCTTAGGTGCAGGCATCCCCTGATATTGCCACTTGACAAAGCTCAATTGTGTCTGCTCCAATTAATCTTTTACAAAGACCGAGAAATGAAGAAACTGTAAGAAACAAGTCTAGGCTTTTTGGCAGAAGACTGGAAAGAGAAGAATTGGGAAGAAAAACTTAATACAGGGGCCGGGCGCGGTGGCTCAAGCCTGTAATCCCAGCACTTTGGGAGACTGAGGTGGGAGAAGCACCTGAGGTTGGCAGTTCGAGATCAGCCTGACTAACATGGTGAAACTCCGTCTCTACTAAATACACAAAATTAGCTGGGTGTGGTGGTACATGCCTGTAATCCCAGCTACTTGGGAGACTGAGGCAGGAGAATCGCTTGAACCTGGGAGGCAAAGGTTGCAGTAAGCCGGGATAGCGCCACTGCACTCCAGCCTGGGCGACGGAGTGAGACTCCATCTCCAAAAAAAAAAAAAAGAAGATTAACGTAATACAATCCTATTCTCCCTAGCCCCCTTCCCAAATTTCCACTTTCTCCCAAAATCATCTAAATAGTCTGCTTCCCAGCCTCATTGCAACCCAACTGTTCATTGTATTTGGTCCATAGAGAGCACGTCTGAGATGAATCGCCTTTCCTCAGGCCTTGGATTAGGGCAACCTTGGATTAGGGCAGCCTCACGATTTGGCATGTCCAGTGTATTTCCTATTTAAGTATTAATTTTTTAATAAAATAACTTCATAAGAGTTAAAGATCTTTTATTCCTTTATCTTATTCTAAACCAAATACGTTTCTGGTATACATTTTGGTTTTTGTTGTTGTTTTTTGTTTTTTGTTTTGTTTTTGAGATGGAGTTTCGCTCTTGTTGCCCAGGCTGGACTGCAATGGCATGATCTCGGCTCATTGCAACCTCCGCCTCCCGGATTCAAGTGATTCTCCTGCCTCAGCCTCCCGAGTACCTGGGATTACAGGCACCCACCACCATGCCCGGCTAATTTTTATATTGTTTTGCAGAGATGGGGTTTCACCATGTCAGCCGGGCTGGTCATGAACTCCTGACCTCAAGTGATCCGCCCGCCTCAGCCTCCCAAAGTGCTGGTATTATAAGCGTGAGCCACCATGCCCAGCCTCTGATATAAATTTTGAAAGACTAAATAAGAATAAAGGAATGACTGTTGAATGTACAATAGATGTTGCATACAAAGACTTTGTAGACACCCAAAGGCAGGTTTGAATACAGGCTTCACCACTTACTAACCACGGCCCATCAACCTATCTGTGAAATTCAAATAATGGAACCTATATCTAGAGATTATTATGAAGATTACAAAAGAAGTATATAAAACATATGGATAACGAATTGTCCCAGTTTGCTCAGAAATGAAGGATTTCCCAGGATGCAAGACTTTCAGCACTAAACCAAAGCAGTTCCAGGCAAACTGGAATGGTTAGTCACCAAGCAGCAGTGAAATGTTTCTCAAGTAAAAATAAATCAATATTAGGACTCCTTTTTCTCCCCTTCTAATTTTCTAGAAGCTATTTTCATCAGAAAAAATTATATAAACTATACTGATTAGCAGCCATTGCTTTTCTATCATGTATTAAATACTTTACACAAATTATATCAATTATTCTTTAAATAAGCCCTATGAGCTAAATACCACTTTAATCACTCCTATTGTGACAAATGCCAATGTGGAGGCATAGAGCAGCTAAATGTCCTCCTCAAAGTCACACAGGTAATGCACAGTAAAACAGAAATTCAAGCCCAAGCAGTCAAGTTTAAAATTGTGTGCACTAAACTCTTTATTCAGACCAACAAACTTAGCATCACCTGGAGCCTGCTGGAAATGCAGACTCTCATCACCACACCCACCCAAGACTAACTGAAGCAGCACCCATGCTGAAACACAACGCTACATCACCTGGGACTTTTACAGTTGGAAATAATTTAGCATCTTGAGCTACAGAGAACATTAGCAAAGTCCCGTTTCATGCCCCTGATTTGAGGTCACAAATCTAATGCCCAGAACCTCTAAAAACCACACAAAAACTTAATGAAGGAAACTAAAGTTGAACTAAAGTAAAACTCACCTCTCTGAAAATCTAGCCAGAGCTTGGACCACAAAGTAGACTTAAACACACTAAGAAAACCTGGAACTGAAACAAACCCAAAGAGTGGAAAGCACAGGGTGGTGGCTGTTGTTTTCCTTCAAAATATACCTGCTTAACACATGACCAAAACTGTACCTTTTTCCTAAGCCAATGCATCAGGAAGCAGGGAGAGAAAGAGACCAAAACATTAAAGCATTTTGAAAAGAAACTTTGAGATGATCCACTTTTTGTGCTGTTCAAGTTCATAGCTTTGACATAAAACTGAAAATATGAGGAAAATTCATAATTAGGAGACTTGCTTATGGTTAGCATGAATTTAGAGTTTTAAAGATAAATATAAATTAACAAGTATTTAATGTTCTTTTCAAAAGCAAGATCTTAGTAGCAATAATCTATCAAGCACTCTTACCAAAAGCTGAAAGCACAGCAATAAAATCTCATTCAGCACTGAAACCAGACATACAAAGTCAGAAGTGATGAAGTCATTATCGTTTGCTAGATTAAAAACACTCCGTCTCAATAACAACTCAGACCCAGTTCAGAGTAACAGCTTCAGTCTATCAGAGTAAATATTTTATGTGCCAAAATATGTTGGGTACACAGTCTGCACCAAATTATGTGCTTAATTAGCTGCATTTCATCAGATGCCTTTATACAAAGGCTACCTCTTCTATGTGACATATTTTTTCTATACAATGTGAATAAAATAGTCACTGAAAACAACTGCATTTGGGAAATAAGACTATAATTCTATCTTCAAAATTCCTCGGCTAAATCTAAAAATTTTTTCTCATGGTTTTTCTTTTTTAAAATAGTGCATAAATATCTTATTTTTCATTAAATTTAAATTGAATTTTTAAGGTTTTAGTATCAGGAATCACAACTGACATCCTAAGCTATATTAGAAGAGAACTGATGTTTCTAAAGTTTCATGCCAGAGGCTTTACATCAGGATTTTATTTAATCTCCCAACAACGTTATGAGACAGATATAATCAGCCACAACTGATAAAGAAGGAAACCAAGAGTCCATAAGAATCGAAGAGAAGCACTGGTGAGTTCACCTGGTGGCAACATTAGGATTTGAACCCAGGTCTGAGACCCAAGCACAATGCCTTCCAAGCACTATGAGTCATTCAAGGCCCCTGGGGTTGAAAATAGTAAACTGTTGCCGGGCACAGTGGCTCAAGCCTGTAATCCCAGCACTTTGGGAGGCCGAGGCGGGCAGATCACGAGGTCAGGAGATCGAGACCATCCTGGCTAACAGGGTGAAACCCCATCTCTACTAAAAATACAAAAAAATTAGCCGGGCGTGTTGGCGGGTGCCTGTAGTCCCAGCTACTTGGGAGGCTGAGGCAGGAGAATGGCGTGAACCCGGGAGACAGAGCTTGCAGTGAGCCGAGATCGCGCCACTGCACTCCAGCCTGGGCGACAGAGTGAGACTCCGTCTCAAAGGAAAAAAAAAAAAAAGAAAATAGTAAACTGTTTTCCCTCTAACAAGTAGGAAATTACAGACAACATAGACTCACAAGGGATAAGTAAACAAAGAGAAGTTTTAATGCCCCTCCCAAACACCGTTAGACCCTTAACTCCATCCACCATAGCCCAAGGAAAAACAAAAAAACAAAAAAAAACGGTTACAGCTCTCTCTTAATGATGAAGAAGAGGGGTCATGGCTCCACTGAGTGCAGGTCCACCCAAGAAAGCTGGTCAGCCTTATCCAACAGGGCAAGGACAGCAATTTCCGAAACAAGTTCCCAAACACGCGACACAATGGCTTGGACCAGAATGCATAGACCATAGTACATCCAGCTGCCCCAGGGAGTGAGCCACCAGGTTTTTCTCCTTTATAGAGTCCTCTGTATCTGGAGACTTTATCCGAAGCATTCAGCCAAGCATTCAGAAATTGAGCTCCCCATGTCCAAATACCCCACCAAGCCTGTCCAAGGACATTGCTAAATGTCAGTCACCCTCTTACTAAGCAAACATAGCATTGGTACCTACAGGTTTCAACAAACTTACTGGACAGTTTCGTTATCAAAAAGGAATAATATCATATTTTAAAATGACATTTTCTTGAAAGTCTCAGCCTCCAAAAAGTGTCTTATCAACACGACTCGCTTAATTCAAATTCTATCCATTCTTCAGGGCATGCTCAGACCTGGCCTCTTCGTGGGACTTTTCCAAAAGGTTCCGGTCTGCCTATGCTCTCCTCTCTCTCAATTGCTCCCAGAGTTTGAGTTGCTGTCTTTAGTAAACTGCCTCATGCAGATTTATTCCCAAGCATGCTTCTAAACTCCTGGAAACTGGTCATTATCACGCAGACTTTTTTTAATTCCCCATAGCACCTAACACATCTTGGACATAGTAAGAATAGGGCTGATTCTGGCAGACTGCTTCAGCAGGGCCTCCTGGGATGGCAACACCTAGGTGGAGTGACCACAGTCCAGAACTGATGTGCAGAAATGTCATCTGGAGTAACAGTCTCTTCCAAATAAGTGCATGTTAACCAGACTCACTAGGGGCTGACTTCCACATGAGACTGCCAAATTATTAATAACTTACTATAGGCTGGCCAGGTGTGGTGGCTCACACCTGTAATCTCAGCACTTTGGGAGGCCGAGGAGGGCGGATCACTTGAGGTCAAGAGTTTGAGACAAGCCTGACCAACATGGTGAAACCCTGTCTCTACTAAAAATACAAAAATTAGCCGAGCATGCTGGTGCTGGCCTGTAATCCCAGCTACTTGGGAGGCTGAGCCAGGAGAAGTGCTGGAACCTGGAAGGCAGAGGTTACAGTGAGCCAAGATCACACCACTGCACTCCAGCCTAGATGACAGAGCGAGACTCGGTCTCAAAAAAAATAAAAAATAGCTTACTATGGGCTGGTAGGGGTTTGGAGTGAATCAGAGAATGTAGAGTAGATACATTTAAGATAGACAGAAAGCATTCAACCCAAGCAGTTGTTAAAGAGGCACAAATGCATATGGGATGGGAAAGCATACGCTGTAAAATCATGCTGTCTCAACTTTATACATTTTGATCTGGCAAGTAACATGGAAAAAGAACAATACCAGCATAGTGCTTTCCAGTGCCATCTTTTTCTCTTCATCACTGTTCTTTGTACTCAAAAACTAAGGTCATCTTTGCTTTGCTTTTCTACCTCAAAGAGCCTAGAAGTGGTGGGTGGGGGACAGTAAATGCCCCCAGGGATGAAGTTAATCCCCCTAGAGGGTCACTGCTTCCAGTGATCACGTCCTAAATACGTATTCACATCTTTGTCTCAGACTGTGCTTTCAGTTGAATTAAGGAGGGAAATGAAGGCAGGGAAAATTATCAAATTAACCAGAAGAGATGAAAAAGAAGCTTGTGTGATTAATTCATGCTGTCATCCAGGCCCTAAGTATCAATTTGTCAGAAACTTTTTACTCACCATAAACAGAAGTTAGTTAATTTGCAGCAACATATGATTCAACTAAGAAAAATAATACAGCAGTTTGTTTGGTCAAATATAGGATGCTAAAGAAACCCCAGTGCTTATACTACCAATGCTGAAGAGATCAAGATCATGACACAGATTACAAAAAACAGTCTATACAGCCGGGCGCAGTGGCTTACTCTTGTAATCCCAGCACTTTGGGAGACCAAGGCAGGCGGATCACAAAGTCAGGAGATGGAGATCATCCTGGCTAACATGGTGAAACCTGGTCTCTACTAAAAATACAAAAAAATTAGCTGGCATGATGGCAGGTGCCTGTAGTCGCAGCTACTCGGGAGGCTGAGGCAGGAGAATGGTGTGAACCCAGGAGGTGGAGCTTGCAGTGAGCCGAGATCATTCCACTGCACTCCAGCCAGGGCGACAGAGCGAGACTCCGTCAAAATAAATAAATAAATAAATAAAACCAGCCTATACATACAACGCTATGCATAATTGACAATAACAGTGTTGTTATATTTAATTTTTAATAGACTTTATCTTCTAGAGCAATTTTAGGTTCACAGCAAAACTGAACACAAAGCAGAGCTCCCTTCCCCCACAACACACAATCTTATCCATCAACAATATCCTGCACCAGTAGTGTCATTATGACAATCAATAAACCAACATTGACACATCACTATCACCCACAATTTAGATTAGCTTCACTCTGGGTGTTGTACATTCTATGCATTTTATATTTAATTTCAGGTATTTACAAAATGATACCCAAAAATGAGATCTTTCCCCAAAGATATGCTCAAAACTGACAGATGGATTGCCACTGAGCTGACAGAAAATCTTCCAGAATAGATATCCAGGAGCCCTACACAACCACTAATCAGGTTCGTTCTTGGTGCTTTACAGGAACATGTATTAAGATGGGGAAAGAACAAGTTCATTGAGAAGTACAGAATCATTCCCATTGGTTTATCTAAACCATTGCAAATTCTCACATTTTGAATCAACAAACCATTTAAGAATTCTTTGAAGACGGATAAAATCAAGATAACACCAGCAAAACTTTCAGAATAGCTGTTAGCAGCTTGGAAGAAAAGGCAAGAGTTAATGGTGGAGCACTCTTTAAAGAAATAATCCTTCACCAATGCTCCTGGTGCCTCCTGAAGAGTGGGAAAATATAGATACTGATGTCTCTAACTGGAAAAAAAAAAGATTCACAAGAGCAAAATTCTACATGTGAAATAACACATGTATTGTGCTCATATTTGCATTTATATGCATGTAAAATTGTGATATTTACTTTTGAAAACTTGTCTAAGTAGGTCTAAAAGAGCCTTTTAAGTATAGAATTAAAATCTTAAAGATAAAAAATTGTAATCTTATTGGTAGCATTTTATTCTTTCTTGACAGAATTGATGGCATCTTAAATGCAGTAAAATAATACAAATACTTACAAAATTATGGGTTGATCTGTGGGAGCAAAGGTCTGGCTTTCAGAGGTCAGAAGGCTGAAGGAATCACAGCAAACCACCGCTGATGATGTCAGCTCCCTGCAGCACCAAAGCAAATGATTCACAAAGGAATGCCCAGGAGTCAAAGTAAACCTCATGACTACCATTTGCCATTTACCTGCCCACCTGCTGTCAGAGAGTAATACCTTCTCCTAATTTTCCACTTTCAATATCCCAAGTAAGTGTTTCTCATTAACAGAATCTGAACCAGAATTCCATTGGCAAGAGATTCTGGGAAATGTTGTTCCTAGGCGTCTCTCCTAAAATGTAATACTGTCAGCCCCTTTTATATAAAATAGGGGATGGGGGTGATAGTGCGTTAACAGTAGACAATCTGCACAGTGGCTTTGAGGATGCTGATGTCTGGGATTATTGTTCTCAATTCTTTACTCACTCCTTGATAGCTGGACACTCACAGTCTTTCCCATGTGATTTTGCAGTGCCTCCCACTGTGGGTGGAGCATATATCCCAGCCCACTGCTGTTGGGCTTGGTCAGGTGACTTGCTTGGGCCAACAGAATGTTAGCAAATATGAGGCAAGCAGAGGTTTTAAACATGCCTGTGTGGTTTGGCTTCCCTGTTTGCACATCCGTAATCTTCCATTAGAAGAGCATGGCCCCAGGTGGCTCATGGCACTGGTAAAGCAGATGAAAACCCACCTCACAGCCTGGAGCCAAGGCCAGCCAATCCTGGAGCCCAGCGGAGCCCCCAGACAACCACAGACCCAGAAAAATTAATACAAGGATTAAATGTACAATATTTAAAAGAGTGCTTCACACATATTAATCATAATTTTTTCAAGAATCTTATAAATTATATCATACTATAAAAATGTAACACATTCAGTCTTTGTTTAAAGACAATAGCAGACATGAAGTGCTGCGTGACCTTTAATATGTTAAAGTTGCCTTTTTAAATTTTTCTGAATCAAATTAAATCTAGTTTCAGTGCCAAGCATTAGGGTTGCAAGAAGTCTAATAACTGTCCTTTTTTCATCCCTGTTGCTCTCTTGCATGATAGAAACCCAGGGACTTGAATGGCTCCAGACAGAGGGGAAGGGCCAGACTTTCGACAACTTACGGAAATAACTTCCATAAGTTCCACACTTTCAGACAACTTATGGAAATAACACAAATTTCAAAAAAAAAATTGTACCTTTCTGGGACACCTAATATTTCAAAATATATGATTACTACGTGTTCTCTATATTGTCAGAATCTGAAGGAGTAAATGTCACCCGTTGTCTTAATTTATATTTATATTCCTAATTACTTAAATTAGAATTAGAATTAAGAGGATTTTACAGGGCTATTTGGAAGTAATAGTGCTTTTAAAAAAAGGAGATGGTCTATCACCATTTTAATTTAATGTATCCTTTAAAATTGTAATCAGAGTAGTGTAAAAAGACAGAAGAAGATTTGTCTTAAGTGACATATGTGCAGATGCAATTAAGTATACATCAGAATAAGTGTATAGAAAACCATTCAAAGAGTAACATCATTCTTTGAAGGGTAATTTGGCAATACTTATCAAGAGCCATAAAGTGTTTACATCCATAGACCTTGAAATCTCATTCTTAGGAATAAATCTAAACCAATAAATCAAAAGAAAAAGAATATATGTATAAAGATGTTATACTCATCTCTAGTTATAAAAAGTAAAAATAATTTTTCTACAATAAGAGTTTCAGTAGGTTTGGGTATATAAATTTTTTAGAATTTTATGCATTCTAAAAAAATCCATGTCTAAAAATATGTCTAAAAACACACACTGAGAACTATAAAAATAAACAAACAGGACAAACCAAAAGAAGTACAGTCAAAGTAATATAGAGTGAAAAAAACAGTAAAAAATATGATTGCAGTTTTTTACTGAAAACAGTAAAAAAAAATGTGACTGCATGTGCTTAAAGACTGGAAATAGAACACAAAGAGCCTGGATGTAATATTTTATATTTTACATGTATATTTATATTCTAAACACGTTTTATAAAAATAAAGCCATCACACAAAACTGTATGTTACTTTGTATTGAAAAAAATATATATTGGCTCCTAAAAATAGTAGCAAAGGTGTGGGTAGATCCATTTCTAGATCCTACTAGGAAGGTGAACAGGCACTATTATTGGTGCTCACTCCCAGCATCAACCAAAGAGAGAAAGAAAGGTATGAGAAATTCCTGCGATAAAGGCAGAGGGTTTTTTTTTTAACTGACGTGGGAGGGAAGGAATGGATTTGTCTAGCACAAGAGACAGATCAGTAGAATATAGAGAGGATAAAATAGAAAAGATGCTATTGTGACAAACGGTACACACCCCACACCTGTAGCAACTCAGGTCTCTCATCCAAGTGATCCCAAAAATAAAGGAAAATCACTGACAGAAGCCACTCTGTGAAAAACGAAGTAATGACTTTGGGAAGTTGCTATGCTTAAGGAAGATCCCCACTTAAGTACTTTTTCCTAAGGAGGCAAAGATCAAAGAGCTTTCTTTAGTTGTTTTTTAGATTGAGGAATAATTGACTCCGGTTCTTCACTGCCTGGACCTCTCCACATTAGGGCTCATGCCTGCACCCCACCCGCTTCCCCTGACCTAACTGTGGTGACAGATGCAGAGATCCAGCCTTTCTTTGTATCATTGCTTGACAGAGTTGAAAATATCCCCAGGAAAGACAAGCCCCCACAAACCCAAGGATAAGATAATTGAGGAGCGCAACTATCTGAATTTAAGATTGTATCCTAAGCAAAAATATTTAAATCAATAATTTTAAATCGCTTTAACAAAATTTTTAAAAGGAAAGAATGTATTAATATGATTTTTAGAGATGCACAAACAGAGAAAAGAAGGTATTTTAAAGAGAAGTTTATAATAGTTAAAGAACACAAAGATAAGATACATTAATAAAAGCACACCATTGATGAAGGAAGAACATTAAAAAAAAAACGTAAATAGGTATAAGAATAGGACCCCACGTGTTATAATTCAAATAATAAGAATCACAAAAGAGAGGAAAATTTATAAAAGTAAATATTTGGGCAGGGTGCAGTGGCTCCTGCCTGTAATCCCAGCACATTGGGAGGCCAAGGCAAGCAGATCATTTGAGGTCAGGAATTCGAGACCAGCCTGGGCAACATGGCGAAACCCTGTCTCTACTAAAAATACAAAACTTAGCCAGGTGTGGTGGCTGGTGCCTGTAATCCCAGCTACTCGGGAGGCTGAGGCACAAGAATCACTTGAACCCAGGAGGCAGGGGTTGCAGTGAACCGAGATCACACCACTGCACTCCAGTCTGGGCAACAGAGCCAGACTCCATCTCAAAAAAAAAAAAAAAAGAAAAAAAAAGAAAAGTAAATATTTGAAGAAACAATGTAGATAGATGTCCCAGATTTTTAAAAAGATAACAGGCCCAAAACTGAGTCTATAGAGTGCCAAAAAAGAGAAAGAAAGAAAAATCCACATCACATTATACTAAAATTTAAACATAAATATTGTCTTAAGAGACAAAGATAAAAATAAAATTCTAAAAGCTAACAAAAAGAAAAGCATACTATATGAAATAATTTAATAATTTAATTCTTTTTTCTGTGGTATAAGAATTAAATTGTTTAATTCTTGATTACATTTTACCACAGGAATAAGAATTAAATTATTTAAAAGCAAAACTGACTTCAAGAAGACTATGGAAGCACAATGTCCAAACTACTGGGAAAAAAAGAACTTAGAATTTAGAATTTTGTATCCACCCCAAATATCAGTCAAATCTAAGGGCTTGATGAAATCTTCTGAGGCATGTAAGACCTCAGAATATTTGTTATGCAATGACCTATGTTGAAAACATTGTGCGGATAAAATTCTCAAATAGAGGAACAAAGAAACACAAGAGAGGTGGCAAGTGATATATAAATAAAAGAGATCAAATACCTTTGTGTACTTGTTTGCTATCTTAGAAAGAGAAAGCAAGCTGTTACAAAAGTAACAGAGGAATCATATTTATAATAACTCCTAATTAAGAGAGCCAAAGGACAAGGAAAAAATAAATAAATAAAAATGAAAAATATATTTATATTAAAAAAAAGTTTAGGTACTGTCAGTATGTTGAAGGTTGAGCTCTCACAAGAGATGTGAGAACATGATAACACAATATTTCTCAGACTGTAGTCCACCAGGCTGGCCTGTGAACTTTTTTCATCAGTTCTTGACAAGAGAAAGATCTTGCACCAGAATGCACATTAACTTGTTACTAAGCACACTGCTTAGTTCAGTTGACAGGATTTTCATGTAGAGACTTTCTCAATGAAGGGAGCAATGCTTTGATATACATTCTGGTATAAAGTGCTTATCTCATTGTGAATCAATAACAGATAATTCCCTAATCAGCATTTTGGGCAGATACAATAGCAATTTAAAGCGGGAGGGAGGTGAAGTGGGTAAAAAGAAGTAGAAACAGAAGAGAAAAGGCCAGATGCGGTGGCTCACGCCTGTAATCCCAGCACTTTGGGAGGCCAAGGCAGGAGGATCACGAGGTCAGAAGTTCGAGACCAGCCTGGCCAACAAAGTGAAACCCCGTCTCTACTAAAAAATACAAAAAAAAATTAGCCAGGTATGGTAGCACACGCCTGTGGTCCCAGCTACTCAGGAGGCTGAGGCAGGAGAATTGCTTGAACCCGGGAGGTGGAGGTTGCAGTGAGCCGAGACTGTGCCATTGCACTCCAGCCTGGGCAACAGAGCGAGACTCCGTCTCAAAAAAAAAAAATAAAAAGAGGAGGAAAAAACAGAAATGAAACAGAAATAATAAGCTATTTAAAACTGTTCCATATATAGGAATTAGCATAAATGAATATAAACTAAAGATAAAATTCACATTTTGGGTCTTATAAAAATCTAAACTAAGCTGTTTATAAAAGACTTACCAAAAGCATATGAAAACACAAAGGTTAAAAGTAGAAGGATAGAAAATGAAATATGAAACAGATACAACCAAAAGAAAGTTGTTGGCCAGGCATGGTGTCTCATGCCTGTAGTCCCAATACTTTGAGAGGCCGAGGCAGGTGGATCACTTGAACTCAGGGTTTTTAGGCCAGCCTTGGCGACATGGTAAAACCCTATCTCTACAAAAAACAGAAAAATTTGCCAGGCATGGTGGCACACACTTACAGTCCCAGCTACTTAGGAAGCTGAGGTGGGAGGATCCCTTGAGCCTGGGAGGTGGAGGTTGCAGTGAGCCAAGATCATGTCACTGCGACAAAGCGAGACCCTGTTTCAAAAAAAAAAAAAAAAAAAAAAAAAAAGAAGCTGTTGCAGCTATATTAATAACATAAAAAAAATGTTAAAGTAAAATATTATTAGAGGACAGAGAATTCAATTTACTATCTAATTCAATTCTCCAAGAAGAAAAAAAGTAATTTTAAATGTGTAGTTACCTAATAAAATTGCCTTAAACTATATGAAGTAAATTTTATTGAAACTTCAGGAACAGAGTAATAAATTCATCATTGTAATGGGAGATTTCAGCACACCTCTCTCATCTATTGACAATTTAAATAGGAAAAAAAGCAAAGATATACAAGATCTGAACAACACAATTAAAAAATTAACCTAAAGAACATATATTGAATTATATATCCAAAAACTAAAATAATACATATTTTTTCAAGTATATATGAATATTTATAAAAATTTATTATGATTTAGGCCATAAAGAAATCCACAACAATTTTATAAAAACAAGCATGCAATGAAGTTGGACAATTATACAAATATAATTTTTTTAATTCCTACTTATTTAAAAAAATTTTAAACATCTTGATAAACTACTCAAGTTAAAAATGAAGTCATAATGGAAATGTTAAAACATCTAAAACTGGCTTAAAATTTTTTTAACTACGTATCAAAATTTATGTGATGAAGCAAAAGCAGTGACATAAGGGAAATTTGTAGCTTTAAACATAAATATTATGGGGGAAAAAACAAAGTCTCAAAATTAATGAATTGATTTCCCATCATCAGAGTTTAGAGGCCAGGCCTGGTGTCACACACCTGTAATTCCAGCACCTTAGGACGCTAAAGCAGGAGGACCACTTGAGTCCAGGAATTTGAGACCAGCCTAGGAAATATAGTGAGACTCCTGTCTCTACAGTTTAAAAATGAGCCAGGCATGGTGGCATGTGCCTATAGTCCCAGCTCCTCCGGGGGCTGAGGTAGGAGAATCGCTTGATCAAGGCTGCAGTGAGCAGTGATCATACCACTGCACCCCAGTCTGGGCAACAGAACAAGATCCTGTCTCAAAAAAAAAAAAAAAAAAAAAAAAGGAATTTAGAAAAAGAACAATAGGATAAAACTAAAGAAAATACAAGAAGGAATGAGGTAAAATAAAACAACGATAAAATAGAGAAGACTAACGAAGCCAAAAAATTAGCTATTTGAAAACTTAACAAAATGAACAAACTTTGACAAAATTACACAACAAAAACAGAGAAGGCTCAAATGATTTCAGAAATTTTAAAAAACAGAAAAAAATTACTACTGAAAAGTTAGAAGTTATAAAATGAGTTCTGCTTTCAAACAAACTGAAGAATCAAGGCCCAGATTGACCCTCCTACCAGAAACAACCAAAAAAAAAGAAGTCACAATATATGAAACAGTAGTTTTCAGATATTGATCATCAGGCATAATTGACAGTGATTCCTCCTGAGAAAGGAGGAACAAATGAGGGAAGTCTCACAGTTACCTCAGCGTACTGTCTGTAGAGAGTTTTCAGGCTGCAGCTTAGGCAGGATCTGTAGTATCTCGATCACATTACTAGTGGGAATGTAAATGAGTGCAACACTGTGGAAAATAATTTAGCACTATATTGTATAGTTGAAGACATATGTATCTTGTAGTCTAGCAATTCCACTCCTAGGTATATATCAAGAGAAACTCTTTAACATATACAACTTGATACATGTACAAGATTGTTCACAATAGCAAAAACATGGAAACATCACAAATCTCCACCCACAGCAGAGTAGATGAATAAACCATGTTATATATCTACAGCAGTCAAAACTAATAAATTATAAAGAGACATGCTGCCTATGGATGAATTCTAGCAATATGATATTAATGCAATAAAAGAAATTCCCCCAAAGAATACTTCCAGCATGATACTATTTTTGTAATGATAAAAATAAGTAAAATAAAGCAATATAGGAACAAATAAAAATGTAATTAATCTATATTTTTAAAAAAGCAGCTTCCACTTCCAGGAAGATAAAGTATATGTACTTTTCCTCATCCCTCTCACCAAGCACAATTAAAAACCCTGGATATAACATATAAAACAAATATCAAAAGACTGAAAGGGAGAGAAACTAAAGGAGACTTCCTTGGAACGTTGGGCTCAAGGAAAACAAGTGGTGGGTACCATGAACGTTTTTTTCTACCAGACGTAAAACTGAAGAAGCCAGAAACACAGAAACACCAATGGGCACAGAGGAAAAAAAAAAAAAAAAAAACACCCTAACAAAAGAATACTCTCCCTAGCCAATAACAAAAAAACAGGAGACAGCCTAGCAAGACAGAAAACCTGTAGGCAATAATTACTCTACTTTAGCAAAACACCACAGAAAAACTATGGCTTGCCCCATGCCAGCAAAGGCTGAGTGAGGAAGTCTAGATTTCCACCCCTAATAGGAATCCCCTTACCAAACCAGACAGTACAAAATGAAACTGATGGACCAAAATCCCTTATGAATATAGATGTAAAAATCCTCAACAAAATATTAGCAAATAGAATTCAACAATATATAAAAAAAGAATGATGTATCATGAACAAGTTGGACTTTAACAAACTACGAAAGAAAACTTCCATTATTGTATGAATAGATGCAGAAAAATCATTTGACAAAATTCAACGCTCATTCGTGACAAAAACTCTTAGCAAAATAGTACTAGAGAGAAACTTCTTCAGCTTAGTAAAGAGTATCTATTACCAAGAAAATCCTTACAGCTAACATTATACTTAATGGTGAAAGGCTGAATGTTTTTCCCTGAAGACTGGGAACAAGGCAAGGATGTCTGCTCTCACCACTCTTATTCTACATAGTGCTGGAAGGTCTAGCCAGTGCAATAATGCAAGAAAAAGAAATAAAAGCATGCAAATCAGAAAAGAAGGTACAAAAATGTCCCTATTACAGATGACATGATTGTCTACATAGAAAATCCCAAGGAATTTCAAAGAAAAAAAATTTACAAATAAAGAGTAAATTCAGTAAGGTTGCAGAATATAAGAGAAATTTACAAATATGAGTTATATTTATATACCACCAATGAACACTTGTGGACACTGAAATTAAAAAGTATAATATTTACTATTACACAAAAAATTAAAATACTTAGGTGCTAAATCTAACAAAACATGTACACTACTTGTATGCTGAAAACTACAAAATACAATGAAATAAATAAATAAACCTAAATAAATGGAGAGACATGTTTATGGATTGAAAGAATCAACTTAGTAAAACTATCAGTTCTCCCCAAATTGACATACAAGTTTAATACAATTTCTATCAAAATCCAAGCAATAATTTTTATGGATGTAGGCAGGATTATTCTAAAGTTTATATGTAAGTGCTCGGGAACCAGAATAGCTAAAACATAACAGTTTAGAGGTGATTGTCAGCAAGATTGCAGAATAGAAAGCACTGGATCCTCCTTTCCTCCATAACACACCAATTCAATAACAATTCACAGAACAATCCCTTTGTGAGAAATCCAGAAATTGGTTGAGAGACTCCTGCATCCTGGGCAAGCATGAAACCAGCCACACAGAAGCCAATAGGAATAGTCAAGATACTGTCTAGCTGTAGCCCTACCGCTGGCATAGCACCATATGACTGGGAGAAAACCCTCAGCTCCTAACTTCTTCCTGGGGAAAGAAAAATATTCTGATCCTTCTGGGAGCTACCCAAAGCACTAACTTCTATTTTACCTGTCTCAGAATACTGACAGGAACCAGCATTCTCTAGTCACTGGAGGCCACTGGGAAAAAAGACTGCAGCTTGAATTAGCAAACTAGCACATGCTGCAGCCCCACTCTCTGACTCAGTGCAAAGCAAGCAGGTAAAAAAAAACTCAGCTTCCAGCTTCTCCCTGGAGAGGGAAGGAAATAACTAAACATACATTCAATGTTCTTATTTTTCTGTAGGCTACCCAAGGCACTGCCTTCTGTCTCAGGCTACTGAATGGACACAGCAAACTCTAGATGCCTGGGGGCCATTGGGAGAAAAGATAATGATTTAAACTATTTAGAATGAAGGTTTTAGAGACCCGCAGTACTTCTGGCTGGGCTGATTGGTCAGAGTCTTCTGTATCAGACTAGTCCCTGAAGACTGATAAAGGCTATGTGTGAAAAGCCTATAGCTAATATCATACTTGGCAGTGAAAAGTGAAAACTTGTCCTCTAAGGAATAATTCAAGGATGCCCACTCTTACCACTTCCATTCAACATAGTACTGGAAGTCCTAGCCAGAGCAATTAGGCAAGAAAAAAGAATAAAAGTGATCCAAATGGAAAAGGAAGAAGTAAAATTATCTGTTTGCATGATTTTTTTTTCTTTTTTTGTCTTGAGACAGAGTCCTGCTCTGTCACCCAGGCCGGAGTGCAATGACACAATCTCGGCTCACTGCAACGCCCAACTCCCCAGTTCAAGTGATTCTCCTGCCTCAGCCTCCTGAGTAGCTGGGACTGCAGGCGCCTGCCACCACACCCAGCTAATTTTTGCATTTTTAGTAGAGACAGGGTTTCGCCATGTTAGCAAGGCTGGTCTCGAACTCCTGACCTCAGGTGATCTGCCTACCTCAATCTCCCAAAGTGCTGGGATTACAGGCATGAGCCACTGCACCTGGCCTGTTTGCATGATGTTATATATAAAAGCCTTAAAGATTTCACATGACAAAAAGCCTTAGAACTTACAAATAAATTTGGTAAAGTTGCAGAATACAAAATTAACACACAAAAATTAGTTGTGTTTCTATACACTAAGAACAAACTATCTGAAAAGGTTATTAGCAAAGCAATCTTATTTGCAATAGCACCAAAAAAGAAAATATGTAGGAATGGACTTAACTAGTAAGGTGAATTACTTCTTCATTGAAATCTATAAAACATTCACAAAAGAAATTTTAAAAGACACAAACAAATGGAAAGATATCCATGTTTATGGATTGGAAGACTTAATAATGTTAAAATATCTATGCTATCCAAAGAGATTTACAGATTCATTGCAATCGCTATCAAAATTCCAATGACATTTTTATAAAAATAGGAAAAAAAATACTAAAATTCATATGGAACCACAAAAGACCCCAAATAGCCAAAACAATCTTGAGAAAGAAGAACAAAGCTGGAGGCACAACATTTCTTGTTTTCAAAACATATTACAGAACTACAGTAATTAAAAGAGTGTGTTACTGTTGTAAAGACGGACATACAAACCAAGGAACAGAATAAAGAACCCAGAAATCAATCCACACATATATAAACAACTGATCTTAAAAATGGATGCCAAGAATAAACAACAAAGAAAGAATAGTCTCTTCAACAAATGGTGTCAGAAAAACAGGATAGTGACATGAAAAAAAAATGAAATTTGACCTTTATACCATACACAAAAGTCAACTCAAAATTGATTAAAGACTCAAACATAAAACCTGAAGCTATAACACTCCTAAGAATATATATAGAAGGAAAACTTCATAACACTGGTCTTAACAATGATTTCTTGGATATGACACCAAAAGCACAGTCAACAAAAGCAAAAATAATCAAGTGGGATTGTATCAAAGTGAAAAACTGTACAAAAAAAAACAATTAACTGAGTTAAAGGCAACCTACAGAATGAGAGAAAATATTTGCAAACCATATATCTGATAAAGGGTTAATATCCAAAATATATAAGGAACTCCTTGAACACAATAGCAAAAAACAAAAAACAAATAACCCAATGTAAAAATGGACAAAGGACTTGCATAGACATTTCCCCAAAGAAGACATCCAAATGGCCAATAGGTATAATATGAAAAGATGTTTAACATCACCAATCATCAGGTGTAATACTATGATAAAATAAAAAAAAATAGATTTTGGTCTTTATTCCTGGCTCCTGAACAGAACTTCTAAAACGCTTATAATTTCCTAAATGACAAGAACAAAAGTAGCATATTTTGTCATAAATTTGGTTTTTGTCCCCAGTTTTTAAAATAGCTCCAGAGTGGTAAAAGTGGAAGGAGCATCTTTTGTTGTTCATTACAAGCCACTTTCAACCACATCTGAGTTTATATTAATGAGATAACTTTTGGAAAGCCCCTAAGAATGGGGCTGATTGCCAGGGAAACCAACCATATGATTAGAGAGTTGGAACTTTCAGCCCCACTTCCCCAACCTTTGGGGAGGGGAGAGAGACTGGAGATTGGCCTAAACACCAGTGGTCAATGATTTAATCAATTATGGCTACATAATGAAGCTTCCATAGAAAAAAACAAAAGGATGGAGTTCAGAGAGCTTCTGGGTTGGTGAGCACATGGTGATACTGGGAAATGGCATGACCAGAGAGGGCATGGAAGCTCTGTGCCTCTCCCCCATACCTTGCCCCGTGCATCTCTTCTGGCTGTTCCTGAATTATATCCTTTTATAATAAGTCAGTTGACGCAGGGCAGGTGATCCCCAAAATCGGGGAAACCCCAGGGCGGTATTTGGCTTCAACCAGGAAAGAATTCAAGGGCAAGCCAGTTGTGTTAGACAGCAACTTTAATTGAAGTGGCAGCGTACAGCAGCAGCAGAGGCACCGCTCCTTGCAGAGCAGGGCTACCCCACAGGCAGTGTACCCAGAGTAGCAACTCAGAGGCACTTCCACAGTCATATTTATACCTGCTTTTAATTATATGCGAATTAAGAAGTGTATTATGTAGAAATTTCTAGGAAAGGGGTGGTAATTTCCAGATCATCAGGTCGTTGTCATGGAAAGCAGGGATAACGTCCTTGTGCTGCTATGGCAACGGTAAACTGACACGGTGCACTGGTGGGCACGTCTTATGGAAAGCTGCTTCCACCCTGTTTCTGTTTTAGCTAGTCCTCAATTTAATTCGGTGCCAGAGCCTTGCCTCTGTAGTCAAGTCCCACCTCCTACCTCACAGTAATCTAGTAACTGTTTTCCTGAGTTCTGTGAGCTATCCTAGCAAATTATTGAACATGAGGAGAAGATTACAGGAACCTTTGATTTATAGCACGAGTAATAATGTGGACTTGTGATTGGCATCTAAAGTTGGGGTCTTGTGGGATTGAGCCTTTACTCTTTACATCTGATGCTAATTCCAGGTACATAATGTCAGAATTGAATTCAATTGTGGGACACCCAATTGTTATCCACTGTGAATTGGAGACTTGGTTGTTATGGGGGAAAACCACCCCACACATTTGGTATCAGATGTGTTCTGTGTAAGCATAGAAATAAAAATAGTTTGTTTTTGTTTTTATAGAGAAATGCAAATCAAAACCACAATGAGACATTGCCTCACACCTGTTGGAATGGCTATTATGAAAAACATAAAAGGTACATATTGGAGAGGATGTGGAGAAATTGGAACTCTTGTGCATTGTTGGTGGGAATATAAAATGGTACAGCCACTATGGAAAATAGCGTAGAGGTTCCTCAAATATTTAAAAATAGAAATGCCATTTGATTCAGCAATCCCACTTCTGGGTATTTATCCAAAATAATTGAAATCAGGATCTCCTAGGGATAATCGCACTTCCATGTTCATTGCAGCATGATTTACAATAAGTACAATGCAGAAATAATCTAAATGTACCTCAATATATGAATGAATAAAGAAAATGTTGTATATACATAAAATGGAATATTACTCAGCCTTTAAAAATAAGGAAATCCTGCCATATAAGAGGAAATTATGCTAACTGAAAGAAGACAGTTACAGAAAGACAAATACTACATGATACCACTTATATGAGGTATATAAAACAGTCAAACACATAGAAGCAGAGTAAAATGGTGGTTGCCGGGGCCAGGGAAAGGGGGAAATGGGGAGTTGCTAATCAACAGGTGTGAAGTTTCCATTATCCAAGATGATTAAGGCACAACATTGTGCCTATAATTAACAATACTGTACTGTACACTTAAAATGTTTTAAGAGGATAGATGTCATGTTGAGCATTCTTACCACAATAAAAAATATATAATATGATTCACCAGTTGCAGTTCTAGACATTTATCCTAGAGAAATGAGGACATATTCACAAAAAAAAACTGTACGTGAATATTTATAGAAGCTTTATTTGTAATAGCCCAAAACTGAAAACAACCCAGATGTCATTAAGTGGGGAAATAGTTAACAAACTGTAGCACATCCATACCATGGAAACTCAGCAATAAAAAGGGTTGGACTATTAGTGAACACGACAATCTGGATGAGTCATCAGAGAATTATGCTGAGTGAAAAAAAAATACTAAAGATTGTTTACTGTTTGATTCCATTTATATAACATGCTTGAAATGACAAAATTACAGAAATGGAGAATAATCTAATGGTTATCAAGAGCTAAGGCGGAGGGCAGAATAAAGTTGTGACTATGAAAGGTCAGCATAACTGATCCTTGTGGTGATGGAAATGTTCTGCATCTTGACTCTATCAGTTTTAATATCCTGGTCGTGATGTTATACTGTAGCTTTTCAAGACGTTGCCATTGGAAGAATCTGAATAAAGGGTACAAGGGATCTCTCTGTGTATTTTTACAATTGTATGTGAATCTAGAGTAAACTCGAAATAAAAACTTTAAAAAACAAAGGAAAGCAATAGAATGATCAATGCTGCTCTCAGGAAGATGGTCCTCTTGTGCAGAGGAAGTCAGGGAAATGAAGGAAGAGAAGACCATGTAGTTAGACGTAGGTTATTGTCCTCTTATTTTGGGTGCTAAGTTTACAGGTGCTTATTATATTATTGATAACTAAGTAAATAATTCAAAGCAAAAGTTAAAATACAAGACACTGGTTTTACATTTTGTCTCAGTGTCTTATATTCTAAATAAAATATTGTGGCTAGACAATGCTATGTATGCATTCAGCAAACTGTTTTATTTTCGTCTCAGGCACAAGGAAAATCTACATTTCCTATATTCCTGTGCATCCAGATGGGACTGTGTAACTCAGTTCTGGCTGATGGTATTGGCCAAAAGTGAAGTACATGACTTCAGTACTGCCCATAAAACATCCTTTACAATCTGCCACCATATTCCTCCTTCATTCCCATGGCTAAAAAGTGGTAGAGCTGTACAATAGAGGAAGCGTAGATAAATGAATTTACTGCCTGGAGGAGAGCCACTCAGGAAAGCCTTCTGACCGGGAATATCTGTATTGAATTCTGCAGGAGCTAAGAAGAAATTTCATTGAATTAAGCCACTGTGATTTGAGTTTTTATTTATTATTACAGAATAATCTAGCCTGCCCTAATATAGATGCCAAAAAGATCCCCCCCAAAAAATGATGGAAACTCAAAATAGCAAAGACTAGAATGTCTGATGAATTGCCCAAATCTGGGAGAAATAGCCACTATTGCAAAGTCCTTAGAATTAGATTGAGAAATACAACTGGTGATCCATGAACGTGTTGGCACTGGGTTGCAGCAAACCTGATGGCTGAAAAGAAGGTAGAAAGATGCTTTGCCCCTCCCAACTGTCTGCTCTGGCTCAGAAATGCAAAGACACTGCCAACCAAAAAATGGAGCAGCCATTCCTCTACTCCTACAGTGCTGCTTTCAAAGCTGCTTTTAACCAGTTCTGTTACCTCCCCTTCCACCTCTATCCCATTCTCGCCAGAATTTTTCTAGTTAAAAAAAAATTACACGCTTGGGAGGCTGAGGCAGGCAGATCGCTCGGGCTCAGGAGTTCGAGACCGGTCTGGGTAACCTGGTGAAATCCCGTCTCTACAAAAAAATACAAAAATTAGCCAGGCATGGTTGCGCCTGCCTGTAGTCCCAGCAATTCAGGAGGCTGATGTGGGAGGATCGCTTTAGCATGGGAGTTTGCAGTGAGCCAAGATCACACCTCTGCACTCGAGCCTGGGTGACGAAGAGAGATCCTGTCTCAAAAAATACATAGATACAGATATATTTGGAACCCCCTTTGTAATCTTCCCAAATTCTTCATCTGTCCTTATTACCCTGTTCTGAATATGGTGCCCATTTTTTCATGTTTTCATACTTTTACTACATATGTGCTTGCCCTAAAGTAATATATAATAGTGTGGAGTGTATTTTAAAAATTTACCTAAATGTGAGCTGTGTTAGTCAGAGTTCTCCAGAGAAACAGAACCAATAGGACATAGACAGAAAGACAGACAAGCAGTTCTGAAGATTTATTATAGCAATTGGTTCATGCAATTATAAAGACCAAGAGTTATAAGTATCGATGTGAATAAATGTAAAAAGTATAGTGTCAAATGAAAAAATAAGTTGCAAAAGGATCCATAGGATAGGCTTCTATGGTGGCTAATTTTATATATCCACTTGACTGGGATAAGGGATATCCAGACAGCTGGAAAAAGCATTTATCTCTGAGTGTGTTTGTGAGGATATTTCCAGAAGAGATCACTATTTGAATTGCTGAACTCAGCAGAGCAGATGACTGTCCTCAGTGTGGGTGGGCATCTTTCAACCGATGGAGGAACTGAATAAAACAAAAAGACAGAGGAAGGGTGAATTTGCTTTCTCTGCTTGAGCTGAGATATCCATGTTCTCCAGCCGTCAGACATCGGAGTTCCTGGTTCTCAGTCTGGTAGACTCAGATTGTGTCTAACACCAACAGTCCCTCAATTCTCAGGCCTTCAGACTCACACTGAATTACAGCAATGATTCTGGTTCTCCAGCTTGCAGACAGCATATCATGGGACTTCTCAGCCTCCATAATTACGCGAACCAGTGTCCAAAATAGCTCTCCTCTTGTATATCTGTCTGTCTATCTATTTATCCATCCATCCATCCATCCATCCATCCATCCATCCATCCAAGTCCTGTTGGTTCTGTTTCTCTGGAGAACCCTAATACGGAATGCATGTTTTATAAGTTTGTTTTCCTATCTGAAAATTACTATTTGTCTTGTCACTGATTTAGATATTTTCTTATAACCTTTCATCTGGCTTTTTAATTTTCTTCTTTAAAAAGTCTTGCACTGTTCTTACGCACTTATTTTCCTGTGTTGAATGATATTATGGTAGCTAGTCTTTTAAGATAGCCCTCCAATGAAATGTGCCTTCTGCTCTTGGTGCCCTTATGCAGTCTTCTTTCACATTGATTTTGGACTAGTTTTGTATCAAAGGTATATATAATAGCCTCATAATATGTCTTGATAGCTCTTCCTCTTTTCCTGTTCTGTGGAAGAAGTTGTGTATAATAGAAATTATCTGACCCTTCTCTTTTTAAAGACAGCACTTTCCACTCTTGAGGAGCTTCCATTATTAAACTCCTTTCTTATAAATAAACTAAATTTTGATACTATATAACAAATTGTTTAATCCTGTCCTCTAGAGCTAGAAATAGTTACAAATGAAAACTTCAAGTATTTTGGTGTGGCTATTATACCTCTACCCATACCCAAAGATTTTTTTTTCATTTTTGAGCATAAGTAACTGCAGTTGCTTTAACCAATTTTTCTGAAGGCTGCGAATACATGACCTCATCCCCCTCCACTGGACATGCTCCTGTTTATTGCACCAAAATTCATGAATAAAGTTACAGAAGAAAATCATCTAAAAGATGGAATTGGCATGAGAGATGTGATCAAATAACAGATTATTATAATTGTCCCTCTTCTGTTTTTTAGTATGTTCAACATTTTCCACAAAAATAGTATAAACACTAAGAAAAAATGATAAGGAAAAATTAATTACCAAAAGGGAATGATATTATTATCTTAAATCCTATATATCAAAGAGCTGTTTTGCAAATATTCAGTCATGAGAAGGGGCATCATTATTGGTAACAAAAGTAGCCTTCATTAACATTGTGTTTTCCATGGCAGTCATACAAATTAAAAATGAAAAAAAAAGTCTTGAATGTACAGAAGTTCTTAATCCACAACACACTAATAATTTTTTTAACTATTGTATCTAGATATTTGGTTTATACTTCATCCTAAGACCTCCAAATTCTAAAATTAAATACATTTATGAGTTTTACAGTATACCATTTTTGTGATTCTATCTTCTAATGGCTCAATAGTGATAAGAATGTCGAAAATCATGGGTTTATTTCTGAAATTAACTATCACTAAGTGGCCAAATTTGCTTTTGGTAAATATTAAGCAATAAGAAACCTAAGATTAGACACAGTCTCATGTTCACTCAGACAACGAAGAACAAAGAACATTTGGTCCTTAATTAATCCAACAAGTATTAGTTTGAACTCCATTTCCCCTAAGATGAAGGACTCTAACAGAGGATCTTAAATGCATTTCAAAAGGCTTTTTAATATTTACAGGAAAAAAATAAAAAATTTCTTCTATACAATTATCTTTTTAAAATCAGCAATATAAAGAATGCTGGCAAATTAATGCTTTACAAGAAAATATTAAAATAATAGCTTGTGTTATTAAACAAATGTCTTAAGTTATCTGGAAACCATCAGGTATTCCTTCAACTTGAAGTTCTTGGTAGGGTACATGGGGCTGCTGGGTTGGGAATAGCAAATGTGACTTCAATTTTTTGAATCCCAAAGATTAGTAACCTATGAAGAAGGCATAATCTTTCAAATTGTCAGTCTAGTGTTTTTTATTAAAGGCTTCTTTAATGGAAGAAAAAAGATAAGCTACCTATGTTCCTCTGAGGTGCTATAGATAGCACTTTGATATTGCACCATTGATCAGAATTGATCTTTATTTTTCTGAGCCAAGTGCAAGATAAAATAAAATGAATTTCCTTCAATTCTCTGTCACTGAAAAGATTTGAATATTGAATTAGTCAGGGTTGTCTAGAGAAACAGAGCCAATAGTAGGTGTGTATATAGAGAGAGATTTAAGGAATTGGCTCACACAACTGTGGAGGCTGACAAGTCCAGAACCTGCAGGGTAGGCCAACAGTCCACACCCCCAGGAAAGAATTAAGGTTACAACACAACTCCACAGGCAATGTGCTGGTTAAATACCCTCTTCAGGATAGATCAGTCTTTTTTCTTAAGACCTTCAAAAAGCCTTTTTTCTTAAGACAATCAACTGATTGGATGAGGCTCACCCACATTATGGAGAGTAATTTGTTTACGCAAAGTCTACTGCTTTAAATATTAACCTCACCTAAGAAATATCTTCACAGCAACATCCAGACATGTTTGATCAAATATCTAAGTACAGTAGCCTAGACAAATTGACACATAAAATTGACTATCACAGATATTCTGATCTATTTCTGAATGAATTTCTTAAAATATATGAAACTAAGCCAGGTGCAGTGGCTTACACCTGTAATCCCAGCACTTTGGGAGGCTGAAGTGGGTGGATCGCCTGAGGTCAGGAGTTCAAGACCAGTCTGGCCAATGTAGTGAAACTCCATCTCTACTAAAAATACAAAAAATTAGCTGGGCGTGGTGGTGGGCGCCTGTAATCTCAGCTACTAGGAAGGCTGAGGCAGAAGAATTGCTTGAACCCAGGAGGCAGATGCAGTGAGCCAAGGTCGCGCCATTGCATTCCAGCCTGGGCAACAAAAGCAAAACTCCATCTAAAAAAAAAAAAAAAAATATATATATATATATATATATCTAGTAAAATACTTCAGGAAACACTTCCAGCAAGAAAAAAAATTAAAAATTAGCATCAAATATAACAGGATAAATTCTGTAGTATATTCAAGTTAAAAATAGTTATTGCAAATGAACAGGTTTTCTGATATTTCTAGATTAAATACAAAACAGAAGAAAATGACAAAATTTTACATCTCACACTGTCTGTCAACCCAACATAGAGTTCGCAGTGTCATGATAATTGACTTTCACCATCTGTAACCTTGCTAGGAGGTTAGAAAGGTCATTCATACTAGTACTTTTCCTAATATACTTTTTTCAGTTTGAACTACATTCTTTTTATATCTGAATCTCAAGGGGAAAATATTGACTATGTAACAATACCATACCAATTTTTTATTTCTGTTGAATATATAATCTTTTTCTTGTTCTAGTATTTCAAGAACTGAATGGCTGTTGAACACAAGCTAAAACCTGACATCCTATGATCACAAAAACTCAGATGGAATCCTAAATAGTTGTATTGATGTTTGGCAGTTATAGCTGGGTTACTTTATTGCTGGTATATGCCCCACATATTTCTTCTTTATAAAGAAAATAGTTTGAAAAAAAATGTATCCAGTGACACCCTGCTTTTCCTGCCAATGATCTAATTGACTGTAACTATGCTCTATTAGCTCTGTGTATAATACGCCAAATTTGCAGACCAGTCAATAAAGAATTGTACGAGCCCCTATTGTGTGTGCTGGCAAGAGGGAGATGACTGACACTTGCTTTCAAGTTTCCCAAGGATGAGAAGGTTGGTTTTCTTTCCCCCTACTGTTCCACTGTGTGTCAGTATTAAACAGACATACCCTGCATATTTATAGGTAACTGCTCAAGCTAAGGGCCTTCTGTATTCTTGGCTCTTAGCCCCACCAAATGACATCCCATCAACGGAATTTTTTTAATCATCCCTTGAACTTTGTGTGGATTCTGACTGACTCACTTTGTACTGGTTTTCTTTTACCTCTTTTTCTAATTTTTAAGATTTTGTTTTCATTTTCTTTTTAAGATATTTCTCCAAATCCATTTTATTCTTCTGAACTTTTTAATATTGTTTTACCTTTATTGTTTTCAATTCCTTTTCTTAGTCCTTAATTCTCTCTACTTTTGTGTTTTCAACTTTTATATCATGGATTTTAGTCTTTTATGTTAATCTTTTATCTCTCTTACTATTATATTTTTAACTTATGATTCTTTGTATCTTTATTTCAAATTACTTATTTTATCTATAATTTTAGTGCCCAATCATTTGTCTTTATTGAGATTTAATCATCATGTTTAGATATTTTCCCTTTTAATTTATTCTGCATCTCAAATTTTTGTTGTAATCGCCTCATAATACTTTACAGTAACAAGTAGGAACACTTCCATGAAGACAGCCCTCACTCAAAACGGCTGAACAAAATAAAGGGTTAGAGGGGTAGAATATATTAACTCACATTACTGAAAATGTCATCTTGTAGGCTTGGTTTTAGACATGGCTGAATTAAAAGTTTTGAAAACTCATCAGGATCCCGTTCTCTCCATGCTTCCTCTGTAATGCCGCATTCTAGAGAGGCTCACCAGCACTACCAACAGGGCGGCAGAGTTCCAACCTACTACCTCCTTTCTCATTCAAGTTCCTCAAAAGAGAGAGGCACTTCTCCTTCCGGGTCAGTCCTACCCAAGAAACAAGGATTCACTTGAAGCCAGAAGCAACCAATGTGACCAGGTAGAGTTTATTAACTGACTCAGACCTATGTCAAGTGTCTTCTCCCAGAACAGAGGGTGAGGCAGCCTCAGCCAAAGCAACTTGATTATTAGAGGAGGGAGGCTCCTCAAAATGAGAGAAAGTATGGCGGGTAAGCAAAAGAAAACCAATATCTACTAAATCTAACATCCTTTTCTATTGTCTTTAAAATGCTCCTCAGGATTCTTGACCTCGGAATTGTCAAATAAGCCTACAACATGAGAGGGCAAGCTGGAGACCTTGTTTCTTTCCTCTTTTACAGCAGCCTCTTCTCCAGCTTCCCATAGCGGGTGCTCTAGCATTTTTGGGGATGATTCTCCAAAAACAAAAACTTTCCAGAACTGTAAGTCTTACCAAACAGCCAAAACATTGTTAAGTGTAACAAAATAGCTTCTTGACATGTCACACCATCTAGGCTTTAAAAAACAACAAAAAAGCATCAGGTATTCCTTTAACCTTAAAATGTTAAAATCCAATGGAAATGGAGTCTGTATGGGCCAAAGGGAGCTGATATGTGAGTCCTTCCTTGCAGAAATGCCCTTTTTGCAACATCACTGGCCTGATCTCAGAACCAGAGGCTCAAATGAGTGAAAAGCATCAGGATAAAGCCAACAGTGACACTTCTTAGCTCTGGTAGATTTCTTGGAGTGTACTCCTCAACAGCAAAGACTCCTTTTAAAATTAGGCAAAGACTGCATTTTTGACTGATTTTATTAGCATTTTATAACTTTCCCCCTTCATCTTTTCAAATATTAGAGAAAACAACTGTGGCAGGTATTAGTGTGCATTAGCCACCTTCATTGCATCCAGGCTGCTGTCCTGTTTTACACTTCATTTCATCAGAACTCCTTTCTTCCTAGTCTAATTCAGTTCCAGGAAGATGATAGAGTTATAACTCCCTCTCAAGTCACTGTCTGCACACAGAGAATCCCTTTGTGATGGTTTTATTATTTTAATTTACTCAACACTCTCAAGAATAGAATTAATCATGTACGGGGAAATGAACAACCCATACATAAATTTAACACATGCATAGACTATAATGACCTCTTACTCTTCTTCCCATTTTTCTTGAATCCTTTCCTGGTATTTTAGGGGTGATTTCTACGGCCTAAACATATGCATGAGGAATTACATAAAATGTCACTAGCCAAACTATTCTGCATTGCCTCTTGACTTAATGCTTTCTACAATTATATAAATCCCAAACCCCATGGTTCAGCACTAAGCCAAAAACCTGCCACATCTACATGACACAGAAGAGCTTAACCTTGAAATGCACCATACCAAATGGAACCCCATTCCTTGCCAAAAGCTTTGCAGACATCTGTCACAACATTTATCTCCCTTCAAGCAACAGCATCAGCGGCTCACAATGGTTTCTTACATTCCAAGTCTCTGGTTTCTCCCACTCCTTTTACAGGTCTTCCTCTACATTTATAGAACAGGTTTCCATCTCAAACCCAGGAAATTCTAGCTTCTTCCTATTACGTGTTTCCCTGGTTCAACCTACAACAATTATTTTTCCCACTGGTAAGAAACTCCTTCAACTTAGAGTTGACGTTTTTCAGGGTTGCTTCTTAACAGCATTCTCCATTAGTATCATACTGTTTTAATTACTTTAGTTTTAAACTGCTTGAGTATTTTTAAAGTAATACATCTACATGGTAATTTTTTTTTAAGTTCAAAGGGTTTAAAATGAAAGCACATTTTCTTCTTACACCAATTCTGGTCCATAACTTCCCCTTCCCTAGAGATAATTCCTAAAAACAGCTTGTGGTGTTTTCCAAGATATGGTTCCATATCCATAGAAAGAAACAGATATTCAATTTATTGAGAAATATCAATTTGGTGAAGTTTAAATTGACATAGCTTTATTTTTTCAATCCCTATATTCATCTGAGCTCTGAAAAAAAAAACTTTTCTACGTAACTTCTTAGGCAGATCCTATAACTTCTTTGGCACTTTCAGTTAAATTCACCTTATTTTGATTTAGAACTCCCACCTCATATCCAGTTTAAATTTCATCTCCTCTCTTCTTCCCAGTGGATCTTTCCTGGGATTGCCTCACATGACTTGGAGTTAGGAAGAGGCTGATCTCATTCATTGGGTAGAGGAAGAAGGAGAGAGTCTGGGTTGTTTGTTTGTTTGTTTGTTTGTTTGTTTTCTGGATCAGGCATTTCAGATTGAGAGCTGGGGATGCAGGAGAAATAGGAGAAGAAGAGATGCTCTTGGGTCATTGGTAACCAGTGGGTGCTTGGGAGGCTCCTCTAGTATTCCTCTGGCTCAATCTTGTTCTACCTGCTACTGGTAGCCTCTGCTAATGGAGAGGTCTCTTCATATGTGGGATGATTTGCTTGGAATGGTGCTCAACTCCACCATGCCTTCCTCTTGCTGTTAGAAGGCAGCTCAGAAAGTGGCAGACTCACTAAAAGACTAGGAGCCTGTTATGGGCTGAACTGTGTCCTCCCAAAATTCCTGTGTTGAACCCCTGAAATCTAGTATCTCAGAATGTGACTATATTTGGAGATAGGACTTTTATGTAGGTGATTCAGTGAGTTAGGGTGGGCCTCAATCCAATCTGACTGGCCTGACTGATCCTTTCCAAAGAGAAAATCTGGACACACAAAGACATGAAGGCTGTAGGAACCCAGAGGAAAGACCATGTGAGGACACAGCAAGAAGGGAGCCATCAGCAAGCCAAGGAGACAGGCCTCTGAAGAAACCAACATGCTGACACCTTGGTCTTGGACTTGTAGCCTCCATAGCTGTGAGAAAATAAATGTATTTTGTTTAAGTTACCCAGTCTGCGGTAGTTTGTTATGGCAGCTCTAGCTAACTAGTATATTCCCCAGCCCCTATATACCCGCTAGGACAAGAGGCTGCTTGGACAATCTCATTCCGTGTACTCAGAACTCTCCCTCATGCTCTTTTACATTTAGATCCAATACCCTGTAAATGAATCTTCCGTTTTTCCAAAGGACATGAGGAGCTGCAGATGGGGTTGTTCTATTCCTTTTCCCATACAAGTTACCCCCACATCCCTTCTTACTTCTCTGCAATAAATGACTCCTTCAGGCCTCCTGCTTGCAAGAATCTCTACATAAGAAGTAATCCCTGGGTTCAGATTGCCTCCAATCCCTGGAACGCCTGTTAACCATTCCCAAGAGGTAAACTTCAGTCCAATTTGGCAATACCATAGTGAGCCTTCAGATAGAAATGCCATCTAGCCAGGAGAGAAAAATGCCAGACTCACCCCACTTCTTACAGGAGGCCCAATCACCACAAGTGAGTCTTCTGAAGCCCCTTCTGTATTTCTTGGAAGACAGAGCCTTGATGACTGGACCTATTCTCTAATCTTTTTATATAAGCAAGTGGGAGCAGAGGTGATGGTTGCTCTTGGTAAGCCCAAACGGAAGTGTCTGACCTTAATTGTCAGACACCTGAAAGGCAATCGAAAGGATCTTTCAGCATGTGGGGACTGAATACCTCTTTGTTCTCAACCTTGAGTCTTGGTCACCAATTCGAAGGCAATAGGAAAAGTCCAACTTCACACACAAGTATATATTTCACATTTTTTAATCAGAGGTGAAAAGAAAATGTAGTTTGTTTGGACTATAACTGATTTAGTCTTCAACTTCAGCCCCTACCTTCTAAATAGTGGGACACAAATCAACTTTTAGTCCTATCTGGTTTGAAACTTTATCCAATGTCTTCATTTAATTTGTACCCTCAGGTAATGCTCAATATCTTGAGATAACTGCTCAGTGTTTTGCCACAATAAACAATATTCATGTCACTTTGTACACATGCATAAGTGTATCATCAAGTAAATTCCTAGAAGTGGAATTTCTGGGTCAATTCCATTCAATAAAAAGTCAATAAATATTGAGAAACATATTTATAAATAAATATTTGACAGCTTGCCAGACACTGTTCAGTGGTGCATCAATGAACAAAACAAAAAAATAAATATCTACCCTTGTGGAGCTTATATTCTCATGGTAAGGAACAGATAAAAACACAATAAATAAGTCAGTCATATAGTACGTGAGAAGATGATAATAGCTGTAGAGATGAATGAGAAGAGTAAGAGGGAATGGAAGCAGGAAGTTGTGATTTTAAATTGAGTGATCAGGAAAGGCTGCACTGAGAAAGCAACATTTCAGCAAAGACCTGGAGGAGGTGAGGAATGTGGCCCTACAGATAACTAGGAAAGCCTGTTTTAGGCAGAGGGAACATTGAGTCCAAAGGCTCTAAGATGGAAGGATCGCTGACAAATTCAAAGAAAAGCAAGGGGGCCACTGTGGCTGGAGCAGAAGGAACCAGAACAGAATAAGAGATAAGATCAAATTGGTGCTGGGGCCAAGTTAGGTAGGGCCTTGCAGCCCAATATAGGAATTTTGGCTCTTGCTCTCAGTGAGATGGGAAGCCAATGGAAGAATTTGAGCAAAACATGAAACATGATCTAGCTTTTAACACACTTTCTGTGACTGTGTGTTGAGAGTAGATGTTGGGGACAAAGGTGATAGGAGGGAGACAGGAGAGGAGACCAGGGTAGCAATCCAGGTGAGAGAGGTCTTGGCTCAGACCTGGAAGGCAGTGGAAGAGGTGCAAAAATATGGTCAGAGTCTAGCTGTACCGTATTTTGAATGTATGTGATAGAGGTTGCCAAAGTGCCCCCAAAGGGGTTACACCAATTTATCTTCCCACCAGACATGGAGGCTTCCTGCTTACCCACACCCTGGCCGATGCAGCATATTATGAAACTCCTGAGGCTTTGCTGCTCTGGTAGGTAAAAAAGCAGTGCCTCATTTTTAAACTTAATTTGTATTTTTCCATTTGTGAGTGAGCATAAATATTTTCCACATGTCTATAAACTATTTGTATTTGTTTTTACCTGTTCATGTCCTTTGTCCATTTTTCTGGTGGGTTGGTGATGTTAAAAATTGATTTGTAAGAACTTTTTCTATATTAAAAATTAGCCTTTTATCTGTCATCCTTTCTCAGTCATTTCTCCTTGATTTTTTCTATAATATTTTTTCTGTGTATACATTTTTACCCTTTATATACTTAAAATTACTGATCTTCCCTTTTAGGATAACTTCTTTAGACAAGCATTTCTTATCCACCTATACTCCTTTCCCCAATGTCTCTTCCGAATACAGTAGTCCTCTAAGTTTCCAAAAGAAAGATCCTCATGGTCAAAATGTCTAGAAATAATTGTAGCCCCATCCCCTTCCTAGAGGCTTACAATGTACATGAGTTTTTTTTTTTAATCTCTCAGTAAAGAAACATCAAACCACAAACCATGACCATCACCCCACTGTTCTCTTATTTTCTATTAAGTTCCATAGAACTGGTAATACTTAGAACATGGTTTGGAAAACACAACATTAGATATTCTTTGGAAAATACCACATTAGATATTCTAAAATCTATCCCCCAGTCAATCCAGCCATGAGTAGTGCTCCTGGGTTACATTATTTTTCCTACTCTCTCCCTCCACATGGCCCCACCCCACTCCACCCACCCAGATCCCTCCCTGTCACCAGCAAATGTGCTGGGCACATGTAGTGTTGACCAAACTTGTACATGATTTCGTCTGACCTTTTCAAATTCATTTTCCTTCTGCCCTGCCCTCTTCATCCACTTATTTTGTCTCATCATTTTGAATTTATTTTGCTTATACATGAGACCCCCTTTTACATTATTTCTGGAACATAGCAGAGAATGAGTAAACATAAAGAAATCCCATCTATGTACCACAAATATTGGGCTAGCACGTAAAATCCCGAAGATATAAAGATAAGTTTCTTGAAAGGGAGGAGCCTGCCAAAGTGAGGCTGAAGGTTTGAGAAAGTGGATGGGGGAGGAAAGAAAGAACCTCTGGCTTCAGCAGCATGCCATGGCCCTGGAGTCACACAACCCGCAACGGCAATTGCCCCCTCCTGTCCTCATCTGTCACAAGGAGAGTAGGGTCCACCAGAAGGCATGCGGGACCTCTGCTGTGGTCAGGAGAAAGTGAGAGAAAGTTGAGATTGGAGGGGACAAGGGCTTGAGGAATTGACCCAAATTAGGAACTTTGGTGCTGCATTACCTGGATTGGAATCCTGATTCCATCACAGACCAGCTATGTAAGCAGCCCTCTCTGAGCCTTAGTATCCTCATCCTTAAAAAATGGCTAAGAACATAGGACTTAATGAGTTGGCACACATACACACTTCGAGCAGCATCTGGCATAAAGAAAGAACTAGGAAAAGGAACCCAGCAAGAAACATTAGGCTCAGGACAAAGAAAATGGAAATCAGAGGAACTGAAGAATGCAAAATCGTTCGTTCCATGTTTTGTTTTTTGATTTGTTTGTTTGTTGTTTCATTTGGAATGATCGGCAAATTGGGAGAAAGGTCCCAAGCACAACAGGATACAACCAATCCAAACCTAGGAGTACAGGAGCAAAAATAAAACTTATAAATATTAACTCAGATTCAGAGCCACTGCCTTCCCAAATGATGCCTTTCTGCAAATTAACGGGGTGGGGTGGGGTGGGAAAGCCCCTTCTCCAAGACATTTCCAAGCCACTCACCAAGAAATTATTTTAATAAATATACAAATATACACTGGCGCTAATATGGAACAGTTCCCAGTGTTGTGCAGTGTACATCCCACAAAACCACACACCAGCCCTCAGTTCTGGCTGAAGTTTGTTTTCCTATCTTTATGCAATATGTTACATATTCTTTATCATGAAATGTTTAAACAAGAAACAGGAGAATAACATAAGCCATGTTCATCTTTCCTCCTATTGTGGCAGGCTAGAAATTTTTAATGCTTATCAATTTTTCAAATAGATTTCTGAAAATGTATTTCACATGAGATGTATCTACTTCAAAACATAATTTTGAAAAAAGGAAATTAGCTCAAAAATTCAAGCTGTTGAAAAGTTGTTGAAAAAGATTGACTACGATCCAATGTTGGAAAAGCTGTGTTAGTAACTCCATTTTTCAATTAACTTCTGGAGAGATTTAACAAAACCTGAAAGGCTTTGAAAACATTTCTGCAACAATTGAGGTCCGCAGAAATATGACAGGGCTTGAAGTAGTTTGGCTGAAACAAACACAAACTAAACTTCTGGTTTGAGTAGAGGGTTTTTTTTTTCCCCCTCAAATTATTTTCCTTTCATCACAAAATAGAAAACCTCTTTGTTTCATGCATCCAGCTGAGCACCCATAGGCATTCATTCTGGTTTGGTCTTGGCTAAATGTAGAGAAACACAGTGGACCTGTTTCAAGTCGACGCTGCCGACTCGTCATGAATTCATCACTATACTGTCACAAATGTCCTCCTACAGTGCTTTTCATTGCCTAGTGGTACCAAAAGAAAAGAGCCAGTATTGTTTATGAAATGGCTGTGAAACAGATATTTGATTCTTTTTTTCCCCCTCCGAATCTGTTATAAGCAACGGAAGCAAAGGAAGGAGGAAGAAAAAGAGAAGGGCAGGCACTTCAGTGGTGTCAAACTGGGCCGGAAGGAGAAGGGGAGACAGAATAGAAGGAAAGAGTTGAAAGAGAAAAGAAGAAAGGTAGAGGAAAAGAGAGAAAGAGGAAAAAATCTTAGTTCTCCATCCACACACCGGGATATAAACAGACACTAATTTGGAGGATGATTTTTTTTTCACTTTTTTACCTTAAACCACAAATGTGTACATCTTGGTAAGTCGTGAGCCATATTTTTACTATAGAATAAGCCCTATACTCATAGGAGAATTTCTTTCCCAAAGTTGTGCTATTTCGATTTTTATCAGAACCTCTGGGTAACCAAAATAGGAGGAAAGTTTGAAACTGTCTTGGAAAAACAAAATGTTGCTCCATCTTACTGTACTCTCAGAGCCTGGACTAGGATGAACAACTCGAGCATCTGTGATGCCACACTGAAGGAGGCACTCACTCTCAGGTGCCACCCCTGCACTCACGCGCCCTGACTGTGGGTGCCTCCTTGAATTTAGCACCTGGGTGTCTCACTTGCCTCACCCTAATCTGGGCCCTGCCACCCAGTCCCACAAGTGCTCCTCTGCCCTTGCAGGAATCTGTGCTCTTTCTCTCACTTCCAGCTAAAAACCAGTTGCAGCGTCTCCTTTCCCTTCTGAATCTCCAACTCCTTAACCACTGCCCACTTTATCCCAAGCCTTATTCTCACCTCCCACAATCAAGCCTCTTTTGTCCTTAGGCATCTATGGCTGAGTTTTAAGCAAGCCACCAAGAATTTTAGAAGTTAATCAGTAATTCCTGGGCCTCGTTTTGATTCAAAAAAAAAAAAAGTTGCCAGGCACAGTGGCTCACACCTTGTAGTCCCAGTACTTTGGGAGGCCAAGGCAGGCGGATCGCTTGAGCCCGAGTTCAAGACCAGCCTAGGCAACATAGCGAAACCCCATCTTCACAAAAAGTTAGTCAGACATAGTGGTGCACGCCTGTGGTTCTGGCTACTCAAAAGGTTGAAGGAGGAGGATCACCTGAGCCAGGGAGTTCAAGGCTGTAGTGAACTGTGATCGCATCACTGTACTCCAGCCTGGATGACACAGTGAGGCTCCATGTCAAAAAAAAAAAAAAATCAATAAAAGAAATTTTGTGTTATCCTGTGAAACTATGAAACCACCTTTAGTGATCTCATTCCCTAAAAATAAATCTCCGAAGTTCTTTCCAAAACAGATTTGTACTTAAGGATGACGGAAAGTCTAACATGATGTGCCTTTCTACTTAGTTATTGATTGGATTACTTTATTATTAGGTTAGATTCAGAAAATGGTTTTCTAGAGGAAAAGATAATGTCACAGAGACACCTCCTGGGGTTTTCTTCAGTCACCCAGAACCATCCCTTTTCCCACTCAACTTTCTTCCTTCCCTACAGGCAACTGCTCTATACCAGGCCTCTCTTAGGGAGACATGTCTTATCCCTCAGGTGTGCGGAAAAACACGGCTTCTGCTGGAGATGGAAAAAGGACTCTGGGGAGGACAAGATGCCTCATGTCAAAGCAACAAGGTTCCAGTGAAGAGCTGCAGGCCTCAGAGGCAGGTAGGCAGAGCCATTTCTTGGTCTGAACGTCTTTCTTCTTCGGTCCCCAGCAAATCATCACAGTGAGCTGTCAGCATTTTCCCCACATTCTCCAGAAGCAGCCTCTGGATCCTAAACACAATTCTTCCTTTGATTCTTTTGATGACGGTGCAACAGCAAAATGCTGTGGCAATCAAAACTGCCTGAAAACAGCAGATTAGCCATTCCAAGTTTTAACTGAGTTAATCAAAGAACTGTCAGCACAGATGCTGTCCATGGTTCTCCTAGAGATGAAATCTCGATGCTGTGTCCTTGAGACTTCTCATTTAGAGGGCCTCTTCCAGACAGAAGTTTGGGATATTCACAAGACTAACTTCTACATGTGGTGAGGTTGAGGACGAGGATAGCAGTGAAGATGTGCCAGACACTTAAAAACACTATCTCATTTAATTTTCCAAAGAGTCCAGCCAGACACATACCAATGTCTCCATTTTGCAAAAGAAATTGAGGCTCAGAGAAGTTATATGGTCACTCAGCTAGGAAAAGCTGGAATTAGAATTGGAGCCTATGTCTAATGTTCTTAGACTTCACACTCTTTGCCCCTGTTCACCCCTCCTCATTTTTTCCTCCCATATGCAATGTGCCTAATACTCTTCTCAAGAGCACACATGCTTGATTCACAGCTTGGGCCTTGGCCTTTCTTTTCTGAGTTTGAATCATAGGCAGCTAATGCTAAAGGGGTCTTCTCACACAGCTTTGTGCAATCCTCTAAATTATGATGAGAAAACTAAGGAGCAATAGATTAAATGGCTGTGGCTCTAGTGAGCCATTGAGTCAATGTCGGCACCAGGACCACCACTGACTCTGGGGCAGTATGCTAGCACTTCATAGTGCTCTCAAAGTTGTGCAAGGGCCAGGCATGTGCCTCACACCTATAATCCTAGCAACTGGGGAGGCTGAGGCAGGAGGATCCCTTGAGGCCAGGAGTTTAAAACTAGCCTGGGCAACCCTTTTTCCTAAAAAGTTTTAAAGCATGGTGGTGCACACCTGTAGTCTTAGCTACTCAGGAAGCTGAGGCAGAAAGATCCCTTGAGCCCAGTAGTTCAAGGCTACAGTGAGCTGTGACCGCTGTAACGCACTATAGCCTGGGTGACAGAGCAAAATCAAACTTTTAAAACATATATATACATAATATATATTTTTAAATATTGTACAAGGAGAGACCCATGTCATGGATGTGGGGAGCTGATTCTCTCAAGCCTTTAACTTTTCTGGGACACACAGGTAAGTGGGGAGCTCTGGAGTGACAGTGAGGGGCAGCACTCACACATGTCAATCATGTTTGACTCTGGCACTTGCTGTTACTTTTCAGCAGAGCAATTCTAGTCATCAAAACCCATAGAGAAAGCACATATTAAACAGAAACAGATTTTCTAGCACTTTTTCTGGGTGAGTTCTTTCATTTTCTTCTAGGACTTTCTGGTTTTCTCATCCTGGAGTGTGGCAGTACAAGGTTTAAACTACTCTTCAAATCACCACCACTGTCTACTTCTTCAATTCCTTATTACCTATTTTCCAACATGGCCCCTTGGGCTGAGTAATCCAGTTTATATAAACCCCACACACCCTCTACAGGTGATTTACCTGCTCCTAGATGACTGCCTCCTCCCTCTGGTACCCACCTCCTTAGTTCCTCTAAGCCAGAAGTTGTAGTCACAAATGGCTTCAGGAGCTAGGAAGATAAAGAGAAATGTGTAAAGTGCCAGGTGTATGATGATAGGGAATGGTGAGGAGGGTAGCAAACTAGAAGGTGCATGCCCCATCTACAGAAATACAAATTTTAAAAAATATAAAGCATTCTGCTGACCAAATAGAATACTTGTACAGAACTGGATGCAGTGGCTCACATCTGTAATCCGAGCACTTTGAGAGGACAGGGCAGCAAGATAGCTTGAGGCCAGGAGTTTGAGACCAGCCTGGCCAACATAATGAGACCCTGTCTCTACAAAATTAGAAAATAAAAAAATTAGCTGGGCATGGTGGCACACAACTGTAGTCCTAGCTACTCAGTAGATTGAGCCTTGAGTAGCTACTCAGGAGGGCTGCTTGAGCCCAGGAGTTTCAGGCTGCATTGAGCTATGAATGAGCCACTGCACTACAGCCTGAGTGACAGAGTGACAGCCTGTCTCCAGAAAAAAAAAAAAAAAAAGAATCCTTGTGCAGCCTGGATTCACTTGGATTCAGTGGGCACCAGTTTTCAATCTTGTCAGGTCCCTCCTCTAAACTGCTGGCATTTCTTTCTTTAAATCCTTTCTCAAAGTCAAATTTGTTTCCTGAGTATTTTCTTTACTAATCACCGCTCCTTTACAACCCTTTAATTGTATATACAATTTGTACCCTTTTATCTGACTTTCATATTTTATGTATTTTAAGGCAAGAATGGTTTATCTATGTTTGATATGTCGACTTTACTTGAGGCCCTACCTCAAATTTAGTTAATCAGAACCTCCAAGGAAATATAGTGCAAAGTATACAAGTCTTATAAAATAACTCTTATTTGGTACAAGTTCTATTCCTAAGTGTTTACATTTGTGTCACTGGAATCTTTGGAAATTCCTAACAATGGGGCAGAAGTTAATTTTCTGCATCCCCATAGTTTGGAGGAAAGGGAAACATTCTGTTGTTAATTTGCACAAATACAAATAAACCATATGGCTTTCTGAATGACTGAGTCACTATGACACCCAGCCAACTATGCCTCTACCATTTCTCACATGTCTCCCAGAAAGCTGTCAACACAGTTCATCTTAATGACTCATCATTCTGTCATCTGCTGCCCTCTACTGGAAAAGAATACATATAGCCAACAGTGTGGTCCAGAATCCAGACCAACCTCCATAAAATATTAACTGTCACACAGAAAAATCGTCCCTACCTCTGTGGTTGGAGTGTTGGAATGATATAACAAGAACATGACAAATGTCATGTAACAAAAACATGTCATATAACAAATGTCATATAACAAAAACATGACAAATGTCATCCCTACCTCTGTGGTTGGAGTGATATAGCAAAAAACATGACAAATTACAGAAGAGTCAAGCTACAGGTTTTTTATTATGGAAAACTAAGTTTGCGTTGAAGTAAAAGAGACAGGAATCAATGATTCACTGGTGGAATATGGAAAAAAAATGAGGCTGGGAAGAAGCCAGAATGAGATTTTTATACAATGCAACAAACATGCCATTTAAAAAAAAAAAAAAAACTTTTATTGGTGCTTTTTCTTCATTATAAAAGTATATAAACTCTATGGTACACATTTTTAAAATTATATAAGTATGTGTTTATCTTAAAAAGTATAGATAAGTGACCAAATAAAAATTCAACCATCCTCTATTAAAGAAATACTACTGGCAATATTGCAAGTATATCATTCTATATATTATATAATGCGTAGGTAAACAGATGATTTTGTTTCAACAAACGTAAGGTCTGGCTGGGCACAGTGGGTCACACCTGTGGTCCCAGAATTTTGGGAGGCCAAGGCAGGTGGATTGCTTGACCCCAGGAGATCGAGACAAGCCTGGGCAACATGGTGAAACCCCGTCTCTACAAAAAAATGCAAAAATTAGCCAGGCGTGGTTGTGCATGCCCATAGTCCCAGCTACTCGGGAGGCTGTGGAGGGAGGACCACTTGAGCCTGGGAGATGAAGGCTGCAGTGAGCCGAGATCACATCACTGCACTCCAGCCTTGGTGACAGAATGAGACCCTGTCTAAATATACATTTTTTTTAAATTTTATATCACATTGTGCACATTTATATATCACACTTTGCATCTCATTTCACCCTCTGCTTCTTACAACAGTATGCTGAGGCCTGAGAAGATACCTGTTTTCTGAAGTCATTACCTACCTTTATGTTTCAACCACTCAGAGTGTGAGCTCTGTGACTGTGCTATGACAGACAAAGTTACCTGCATTTCTCTTTTGGGGCCCTCTTTAATCTGACTATTCCAGCTGACAAACAAGTGACCAATCATAGCACATTTTATTTCCCATATCGTAGTTAAAATAATCAATCTGGAAAATAAATTACACTGTGTAATGCAACTATACTCATCATGGTAAGTTGTTTAATTGTTTACGATCCACTACAGTACTGGATTTAAACTTTGTGGATATGGCACTCTATTCCTGCCTTAATAAATATTTTTAAAGTTATATCTATATGGAAGGGGCATTTTTCCTAAAAAATTAGGAAAGACATTTATCTCTCTTGAGAGAAAATTTCAAAACTAACCAATCTGCAGTTATCTAAAAATGAAACAGGATCATCATTTCTCCAGGCATGTGTGGTTTGTTCCCATGTTATACACACAAGAAAAAGAACAGCATCTGCTTAAGGGAAAGCCCTGATGGTAGGAATGAAAGACAGCATGGCCAGATTTAATGTTAAAGCAAAACTAAAACCTCCAGGATGGTACTTAAGTGAGTGTGATGGGAACGTATTGTTTCCTTATAATGATTTTAAATGGAAATTACAATTCAATCACAAATAAAAGTAAATTGTAGACAGTGAGGGGAACAAATCTGTTTCACTCGGATTCACGGTGATTATCAAATTAGCAGCTACTCATTCACCACTAACCATTTTCACTCTTCTCAGTCTCCCTAACAGCCCTGAACTACAGCTTCATGGTGATTGCAATGGTGGCAGCTCATCAAGACTGTATTTTAGCTGTGCTTTTATCTTCCATGTTTTTCTTGCTCATTGTTTAGCAAGGTAGAGGGGGGAAAAAAGCACTGCCCCTGTTTTAAAGGAGTACCTGCGCCTGTTTTAAAGGTTGTACAGCACCAGGTGAAGGACTAATATCTGGCTCCAGGCTGCCCTCCTGACCTGTCTCTAGTACTTCCCCTTCACCAGCCCCACTCTAGCCACACTGGTCTCCTCGCTGTTCCTCCACACACCAAGCACGCTCCTGCCTCAGGGACTTTGCATCTGCTGTTACCTCTGCTGGAACCCCCTTCCCACCCACATCCACGATATTTACTGCTCCTCTTCACTATGGTCTGAGTCCAAATGTCCCTTCGCAGAGAGTGTAGCCTTCCTTAACAGGCGCTTTCTAAAACAGCACCACCTGTCACTCTCCACCCCCTCACTCTGCTTTGTTTCTTCCTAAAACATTTATTTGTCCCCATACCTGACGTGATATTTATACCTAAAGGGGCATCTCTATTTTCTAATTTGTATTGATACATAATAGCTGTACCTTTTCATGGTACATGTGGTAACTTTATAGTCATATAATCACATCAGGGGAATTGGGATATCCATCACCTTAAGTATTTACCTTGTCTTGATGCTAGGCTATGTGTTTCTTTATTGAAAGAATCCAGTATCAGCCAGGAGATTCTGACAAAGGAGGTCCAGGGTAGATCTGGCCGTACATATGTTGAAAAGGTCACCAGGAAATACTGACGCACACCCTGGTTAAGAATCACTGGCTTAATGGCTATTACAGCTTCTGGGGTCATGAGGTCTTGATTAAAATTTCAGCTGGACGGGCATGGGATGGTACAGGTCTAGGCCCAGTCAGTGGCATGGTAGCAATAATACCCATCTCCCACAGCTGTGCTGAAAATAACAGGAGATAATGGATTTGAGCAACCTCCTGAACTGGAAAGTGCTATATAAACACTTATTATTAGTGCCCCATTTCTTTTCTGAAAGTGAATTCCTTATATTTTGAAGAAAGAAAAATTTTAAAACAGTAATAAAATATATTTTTATTTAGAACCCCAGACAATATTTCTGAATCAGATTGATCAAATCAGTTGCTTTCCTGTTAACTCAAAATTGTATGTCCATTTTTATCTCTAAAGGCAGTGCAAAGGGAAACAAATAGAACTTAGCCAATACTTGTAGCCGATCTAAATAATTCCAAATTCTGAAATTCGAAATATTAATAATAGCTAGCTGCGATTTGGCCTGCATCGCCCCGGCGCTGCTCTATGGGCGACGGGGCAGCCTCCCGGGCTGCGAGTTTCCTGAACGTCACCCGTGGGCCCGCTGCTCCATAAGGTGGGAAGTGGCAGCTCTGCCCGCGGCGCATGCCCAGGAGCGCAGACAGGTGGAGGCGGGAAAAGTGCTGCCTGGAAAGACTAGGACACAGCACTTCAGAAAGCAGCAAGCAGAAATAGGGCGTTTTGTAAACACTGGCTCTAATCACAGGAGAGTCCAATGTGATCTCCGAAGGGGCGGGGTCCTGTGTCATAAAAAGCAATCGGTGAATTGAGGAGGCTTCTCCTCTGGCCGCTGGCCTGCGTCGTTGAAGGAGTGGCATGTCACCTTCTGTGATAGAAATTAGTCCTCCAGAGAACTGATCTATGGTCGCCTTTTATGACAGATATCACCAGGAAAGGACTTAAGAACACAGAAGTGGGGATATTTTGTTATTCATGTTTATAGAACCAAGGTAATAAAGGTATATTTTATAGATGTGCTTCTTATGTCACTAGCCAGGTTTCATTGGATCAAGGGTGACACCTAGTGGGGAGACTGTGCTAAACTCTTATTTTCTGTCAAAAAATTCAAATTAGTTTGTAAAATTATCCCACATATAACCAAGGTATCATAAAACCAATGTCTTTTACAATTGCACCCAAAATCCTGTGACTTCAATCTCCATAGGAACAACAGAAAAAGGGGACTGACACACTGAAACTAGATTTAAACAAGCCAGAAAAATATATACGCCTATGAAGAAACAGAGAAGGAAAGGAAACAGAGTTAAACTGAAACCCTGTCTCTACTAAAAATACAAAAATTAGCCAGGCGTTGTGGCTTGCACCTGTAATCTCAGCTACTCAGGAGGCTGAGGAAGGAGGATCTCTTGAATCTGGGAGGCCGAGGTTGCCGTGAGCCAAGATCTTGCCACTGCACTCCAGTCTGGGTGACAGAGTGAGACTCAGTCTCAAAAAAAAAAAGAAAAGAAAAAAGAAAGAAAAGAAAAGAAAAAAGAGAGAAAACTAAGCTTTGTCCCAACCTTCCTCAACATGGTGAAAATTTTCCATCAGAGGGAGAGAGGACAATTAGGATTTGACTAGGAATCTGTGGCAAGGACTTTTTAACTGAAAGCAGGTGAAAAACAGTGGCTAGTGCTGCCGGAAGCCCTGCTGAGCAGCCTGGCCTGGGGCAGTTGTCCCCTTTGCCTTGTGGGATCCCTGGATCCCACAACCCTTGCCCTGCAATTCTGAAGTTCTGCAATTCACATGCCATGTTACACCAACCAGGACTATCTGGGGGCCACCTTGGGCTTCACACCCCAGATGCTATCACCATTTTTTTCTGACTCTCAAATCAGGGCATATAACCTAACACCTACCAAGTCAGACTATAAAACAGTCATTGAACTAAGTAAGGCCTGCCTCCAAAAATTTAAGATATTAACCTGTAACTATATAGATCTGTACTTGAGTTTTTTTTTTTTTTTTTTTTAGAGGATTCCCACTCTGTCGCCCAGGCTAGAGTGCAGTGGCGTGATCTCAGCTCACTGCAACCTCCGCCTCACAGGTTCAAGCAATTCCCTGTCTCAGCCTCCCGAGTAGCTGGGACTACAGGCACCCACCAGCACACCTGGCTAATTTTTGTATTTTTGTAGAAATGGTGTTTCACCATATTGGTCCAGCTGGCCTCAAACTCCTGACCTCAGGTGATCCACCCGCCCTGGCCTCCCAAAGTGCTGAGATTACAGGCATGAACCACTGGGGCACCCAGCCTATATTTGACCTTTTTGCTTTCCATCAAGAACTTATTCTGCTTTCTAATTCCCTCTGGGATAATATTTTGCTTTTTTTTCCCCCCTCAGGAATAACCATTTGCTGTCATTCAGGAAAAGGATTTTATCAGGTGCTAACAGTTTCCTATTTCTCTTTTATCCATGATTTCAGCTTTCTGGTTTCTCACCTCCTTCTCACCCACTCCCCTCTAAGTCTCTAAGTCACCTTCTCACAGGATTCTTGAGGCCCCAACACAGGGTTTCCATCTCAGAGTCCTCCCATACAGGGCCTTTCTTCCAGCTGTCTCACAATGATTCCTCTGAAACTCACCGAGTAAACATTAATTTGCCATGAAACAGCTCCCACTCGAGCATCTTCCATTCCACTAGAAGCGTGCACTTTATGACTCCCATGCCTGGTCTGCATCACGCTGTTGGTTTGCTCTGGCAGCCCTGTTGAGCCTAATGGTATAATTCATTCCCGTTTGTTTTATTGGTTAAATCAAATTAAAATGTGTATTTGGCCGGGATATAGTGTGCTCACTTGTGTGTATTTTAATTTACACACATGAACCCAGTTTTGAGACCCAGAGGCCCAGTTTAAAAATTAGAAGTTTTCAAAGCCATACTGCAACAATCAACAACAGTTAAAAGACTTCACAGACAGCAAATATTTAAAATAAGTTTAATTACCAAGAACTACTGGTCTTCGAGCCCAAGGAAGTATGACTCCCATCTGCAAGGTTCCCACACCTGATTGCAACAGAGTGACCGGATATCTTTCATAGATCTCCTGAGCTGAAGTCTCTAGGCAGGAACCTAGAATCTCTATTTTCCACAAGCTCTCAGCCAGCCCCACATATTTTTCAGTCCAGTGTTTGAAAGCACTGCTCTGAATTGCACCTCTTTCTCATCTCAGAATTGCTCTGAATTTCTCACCTCTTTCAGAAAGATTTGATAAAACAACTTCTACCAGTGTTTACCAGCCTAAAGTCTTGCATACCGTCTTGATTCTTGTCATATCTGTGTACCACCTCTACTGTAATTTACCTAATATGTGTATGCCAGTTGGCTTATATTTTTGCATAAATGAACTTAGTTGTTTAAAAACTATATCATTGCCATGAAATCACGACTTTGGTGTATATATATATTTTTTATTTATTTATTTATTTATTTTGAGACGGAGTCCCACTCTGTTGCCCAGGCTGGAGTGCAGTGGTGCAGTGGTGCGATCTCGGCTCACTGCAAGCTCCGCCTCCTGGGTTCACGCCATTTTCCTGCCTCAGCCTCCCAAGTAGCTGGGACTACAGGTGCCCGCCACCACACACAACTAATTTTTTTGTATTTTTAGTACAGATGGGGTTTCACCATGTTAGCCAGGATGGTCTCAATTTCCTGACCTCGTGATCCGCCCGCCTCGGCCTCCCAAAGTGTTGGGATTACAGGCTTGAGCCACCTTGCCCGGCCATATTTTTCTAACATACAATACAATAAAATGTACAAGTAAAAATTGCTTTCAAATGTTCTTCCCTGTAACAGTAAACATAGTTTTTACATCAATGGGGTAGCCTTACAATATCTGAGAAAACACTAATAAAAGGGAATAATCTGATCCCACCTTTCCTCCAAAGATGGCTCTAAGGAAAAATGTAAATAGGGAAGTTTTGTATTGAGGGCCTCATTCCTCATCCATGTTCTCCTTCCTTTAAACAGTAATCACATAAATCACTGGGGGTGGGGCCTGGGTATCGAGTAATTCTAATATGAGCTAGGGGTAAAAGCCATTATGTCATTTCCCTTTCAAAAGACATTTCTCCTCAACAATGAACCTCATTCCTCCTACCACTTCCATAGGGCCAGCCTTTATGCACTGAGAGAAAGCCAATTTTCAGGCTGTCCTAAATTCATACTACATCAATATGTCTATACATCCACTACTGACAGGCTTGTTTTACTTATTTCATTCTTCCTTTCTTCTTATTCTGTTTCGTTATTTTATTAGCTAAAATAAATGACTTTTCTGATTTTGGAAGCAAATGTTCAACGAAAGAAAATTTAGAAAGTAAAAATAAGTAACAAAAGTAAACACTTTAAAGGCCCATAATACCACTTTTAACACTGCAGGACATATATCAAAACCCTTTCTAGAATATGAGTCAGAGTGTTATTTAGAAAATGGTATGTGCTGAATGCACCACTGTAAAAGAAGGAGAGATGCTTTTTCCTCCCTCACTCCCAAGCAAATTTCGTGTTCTAAGTCTGAGCTTCCTAGCCTCAGCCACTTGTTAATAAGTATAGTTGCAGAGCTACAAACCAGAAGCCAGGAGGTGCTAGAAAGCTAACACTCTATCCACCCAGAAAGAGACTAGTCCTGAGAGTGGAGGCCTAAGCCAGGAGGACAGAAGTTTTGCCAAGGAGGAGACCAGTGGCATTGGGTTCAAGAAATGGTGAAGATCTATGCCCCACTCCCAAACAGTCCTCAAGCAGTGACCTGGACTGAACCCCAGGTTTTTGGCCTTGGCACACAACAAAAAATTCCCGTGCCCAGCTTGGTAGAGGAAAGGAAGCTGCCCTCTTAAAAAGGGCAATGAACATCCTAAAATCCTCAACAGCTTTATAAATCAAGAAGAGCCTCCTAAAACTCAACTGAGATGGAATGTCCTGCTAGTTGTGGTCGGTGGGAGGGGACAAATTGATCTAATTTGGAATTGTTAAGGCCCATTGACCTAAACCACCAGATTTCTGGAGCCTCTTGATAAGAGGGAGTTGAGAGGGCTTCTTATAAGATCTGGGAATTTAATGGATAAATTTAAGGAGAAATTAGGAAAGTAGGGATCAAATCTGGATGAGATTCTGTCAAAATGAAGGTACAATTTTTATCTTAGCAAGGAAAAAATTTTTATCTTAGCAAGGAAAAAATCTAAAGTGGGTAAGAGTTGTCATTCATTTAAAAAGAAAGAAAATAGCAGTCACTTCTGTTAAAAGAAGAATGTATCTAGTCATTTTTATGGTTATAGAGTGGCCTCATCTTTATCTTGTTCCAAACATAGTCACAGAGTGGCCTTGTCTGAACATTGTTTATATTCTGTAAGCATTGTTAGTGTTCACTTGGGAACGTCATGATCCAGCAGCCAGCAGCACAAATTTTTACTTTCCTAAACAAATAAAGGAATGTATCACCACTCAGACCAAACTAATATTTACTTTATATATATACACACACATACAAATAAAATATTATGCTATACATACTATTGGATAATATGCTTTATATAATGACATAGCATCAGTAGCTTTCCATGACAGTGTTCATCAGCATCACTTTAAATGTAGGAATGGAGCTCCATCATGCAGATGAGCCAAAACGTGTTTCATTAATCCCCCATTGCTCAACATTTAACATGTTTTCCTTTGTGTGTGTATGTGTGCGTGTGTGTGTGTGTGTGTGTGTGTATTAGTTTGCTAAGGCTGCTGTAACAAAATACCACAGACTGCATGGCTTAAATAAGAGAAATTTCTTTTCTCACAATTCTAGAGGCCAGAAGTCCCAAATCAAAATGTCAGCAGGATTGATTTCATTCTGAGGCCTCTCTCCTTGACTTGTAGATGGCTTTCTTCCTCCAGTGTCTTCACATGGTCTTTCTTCTGCGTATGTCTATGTCCTAATTGCCTCTTCTTATAAGGTTACCTGTCATACTGAATTAGGACCCACCCATTGGACTTCATTTTACCTCAATTTCCTCTTTAGAAGTCCTATCTCCAAATACAGTCACATTCTCCACTACTGGGAGTCAGGACTTCAATATATGAATTTCGGGAGACCCAGTTCAGCCCATAACAATGTGAACATCTCTGTATCTATGATTTTGTGTACATCCATAGTTATTTCCTTAGGATAAATTTCTAGAGGTGAGATTGATAGGTCAAAGTGAGACCACAGTTTGAAGGCTTTTGGTAATAACATCAAATTGCCCTGGAAAAGTTGGCACGATCTATGCCCTCACCAAGCAGTACAGGAAAGTAACTTTAGCCCTGTTTCCTTCATTGTGCTTTGTAGTTTTGTGATCTCTTTTTATTGGTTTCATATTTGGCAGATTTGCCTATCTCCACATGAGTTCAGATAGCCCAACATGTTAGTGAGACCAAGACTGTAAGTTTAATAGCTTCAGTAGGAGTTTTTATCAGTAGTTATATAAACAAAGAGAATATCCTATACATAGTAAATCAGGACTGTCATTTCTATACACAAAGGACAGCAAAGTTAGATTTTTTATTGATAGAAATAGTGCCTTGATTTTTATATCAAGCATTTAATACTCTATTTTATACTCTACGACATCTCAATAAATGTTTGTTGATTATCTTTTAAATACCAACTAATTCAATTAGAAATCTTCTGGTTTCAAGTGACAGAAAACCCAACTCTAAATGGCTTAAGCAAAAAAAAAAAAAAAAAAGGAATTCATTGATTCATATTGATTCATGTAACTGAAAACCCTGTGAGACAGGGTAGCCACAGGTGAGGCTTCATTCTGAAATTAAAGGCTGCCACCACCAGGGCCCACCTCTGTTTGGCTGCCTTTGGACTAGCTCAATGCCTAAGCTCTCTGTGATGGCCTCTGGCAATGCCAAGCTGAGTCACAAAAATGGCTGCAGGAGAATCAGAAGAAAGTCACTATAGACACTAGGCAGAAAAGCAACAAATACCACTATTCTGGCTCCCATATAGTTCTAGAGCTAGCAGGAAGTTTAGAAATCATTTAGTCTAATAATTTTTAAAAGTTTTTTTGTTATGTTTTGTTTTGCTGGTAACCCTTTCTTCAGACAAGAGCTTATGATGAAGTCAAATATATAAAATAGAATTAAAAACTGAAAGGGTAAGTTGAAACAGAGGTGAGGATCCCTTGCCCCCTCGCTGCTCATTCTCCATGAGGCACCTCCAAGGAGCACACTATTAATTACTTTAGAGATAGAGAAACTGAAGCTCAGAACACATACATTGCTCATTCTGGAACATCACCCATGAATGACAGAGCCAATGGAACTCAGGAGCCTTCACCCTGTCCCGTCAGTCTTGCCGCTTCCCTCACTGGTTGCTCCTCACTGCCATTTTGAGCATTATGTTTAACTGATATCCTTGATCTAGCAACTCTGCTCCTACCAAAAAAAAAAAAACGGAAGCAGAATTGAAAAGCTCAATTGCCTGCCATCTGTGTATATGTACAGCCCTTGTGTCTCCAGCCACAGTTGGTTACTGAGACTAGCTCAGAACTGAGCAGGCTCAGAGCTACATTAAGCCTCTGTTCCTCCAAGTCCATTTGAGATTTTTAATTTCAAATCAGAAAAACAGTGCCTACATCAGTGTTTCTCAGGGTGTAATCTAAGAATTTTGTGGATACCTCTCGCTCCAAAGCCCCCTTAGGAATTCTTGAGTTTAGAAGATATTTTTGGACAAGGTATAGTGAACCAAAGCTGGAACCTAGAAATAGATGTCCTATGAGAAAGAAAGCTTATCAGTTCTAATTTAAAAGTTAGAAGTCCTTTCTTTAGTACATGATTGAGAGTTAAAACCAATACTGGAAAAAGAAATGAAAAAAGCGACCAGATTTATGCAGATAAATTTGCATAGGCAGTTAAAAATAAAATAAATATTTTAAATAAAGTAAAATAAGCAACACCATATATACCTGATGAGAAGCATCCCCTAAAATATCACTGACATGTTTTATCTGAATTTATAGCCAAGAGATGGACACAGGAAGACTGCTGTAGCTCACAAATGAATTCTCTCTTTCCTCTCTGCCTCCCATCTCCTTCTCCTACTTTGTATTAAAGCTTTTCTTATGCAAAAGATCCAGGACATAGAAGAAAACAGAAAATTTCATTAACAAATTTTCTAAAATAAAACAAAATACAACCTTAAAGGCCATTGGGACACTAAGTAACATCCTGAGCTGTATATATGCAAGATTATGGGTTAGAGCCCACAGAGAAAAGTCACAAGAGACCAGAATGGAAGAATGATTTCTGGAGAGTCTCATGAAATATAACTCTCCCTTTATATGGAGGAAAATTGTTTCTATTGAATCTATGATTTCTAGCAAACCCCACACAGAATTGTGCATTGGTATTCCACAATTAAAACCAATTTTAATTACTTGAAGCTAGATATATAGAGCCTCTCAAAATGTTCCTTGTAAAAGAAAATTTTTCCCTTGACATAGAAAAAAAAATGGAGAAAACTGACATATTTTCATGTCCCTTTTAGATCTAAAATTATTTTTGGGGTTTAGTAGAAGAAATATATTAAACCCATCACGATTTGCTCATCATAGAGCCCTGGATCTAGTACATAAAGAGATGTGACTGTTACAGGAACAATTCGAGTTGAGGAGGCATTGATTTTTCTCACATTTGGGCTTGAATAACCAAAGAAATTCCTTCATGTCCCCCTATAACCACCTGTTCACATCTCAGTTATTTGTCAGCTGATGTTGTAATTTTCTGTTACTCATCTATATTTCCCACGACATTCTTAGCAAAGGCAAGGGCTGTATCTCATTTATGATCTTGGAGGGCCTAGGAGAATGCTTGGCCCTCAAATATTCAATAAATTGAGTAGGCACTTAATAAATGGCATAGAAACAGAAGCATAAAAGTGACCAGACGAACCCATTGCAACACCCGTTCCAAGCTCTGAAATGCTACTATTTTTACCTGTTTTTCTGGATTCGCAAAAGGCTAAGTGTAAATCCCAAAGAAAGTCTGGGTCCGAAATTTCAGAAAATATGGCCAAGTAAGAATTAGAACTGTGGAAGGGGTTCTAGAAACACTGGGTGAAATGAATGTATCCTCAATGGTATTTTTTTGCTTTTTTTCTTTGCTAGTTTATTTCATCAAAAAGATCGGAAGCCTAAAAACAGCATTGTTAGGGAACTGGCAGCTCAAGACAAAGAAGCCGAACCAGAAGAGGGCACTCTTACCACAGAGATTTACAGCTAATGGTTTTTTTTTTTTTTTTTTTTTAATGTTTGCCCCTCAGCAGGGCCAACAGAGAAAGCAGGACATTCTTTCCTAAGGAGCTCATAACTCTCCCAGCCAAGCAAGAAGGAAAAGGCAAAACACCAAGGGTGAAAACTTAGCAGAGAATGCCAAAGGCAATGACCGTGCTCTCTGACCATCACACGCTGGAGGCAGAGCTTTATATGGTTCTCAAAGGATTGTTTACCTCCTCCTCACTAAACCTTAAAAAAAAATGTATTCCAAAAACGAATTACACCAAGCCAACCCACATTACTCAGTCTACGAAGCCAACCCACATTCTGGCCTGTACTGCCTTTCAACTCTTCCTATTTCCACTTGCTGGAATAAATCATTTCACTCTAGGGCCAAAACAGGTTTGATTTCATCTGTCAGAGGCCTGTAACATTAAGCGGCAGTGTGGTGCTTGTTAGAGGAGGAGCACTTGTATTCTCCCGGATCCCCTGTGGAACCGCCTGGGCTTCTGAGCTAGGGAAGCAGATAAACCCTGTCCCTGCCTTCACCCTTCTTTGGGGACAGTTATAGGCTGACGGTCTGAACTTTGGGAGAGACAGGACTTCGGTTATCCCTCTCCACTGAGGGCTGCCACCGCACACAATTGATCCAGAGATTGGGAGATGGGTAATCCATCTCATCCTGTCCCTAAAGCCCTGTCTTCCGCAGTCAGCTCTGTTTGAGGACTTCATTTGTGTACTGGTCCAAAATGTGCCCTTCTCCTAGCCTGTGTATGACTAGGAGACTACTTCAACTTCCTTGCCCACAATTCTTCTCATTGCTTACTCTAGCCAGACCGGCCTCTATGTTGTTCTTTGAACACAATTGTGTTCTTGCCTCAGGGCCTTTGCACTTTGATTGTCCCTCTATCTAGAATTATATTCTCTCAGATACCACATGGTTCACCCTCTCGCTTTCATTCAGGGTTATGCCCGAATGTCATGCCTTCCCTGAGCACGCACATCTACACTAGCACCCACAGTATTACACTCTATCCCGACACTGCTGTATTTTCTTCATAGCACTCCTCACTGCCTAACGTTGTTATAAATCTAATCATCTATTTCTGTCAACTCCGCAAAGGCAGAGACTGACTTCTATTTGTCCACAATTGGATCTGCCGTGCCTCGACACAACGGATGTTCTCAGTAAACAGAGAATTAATCAATTAAAATATATCTTTCAGCCCCTGGGTTCCCTCTTCCAGCTTCTCAGGTACTCCTCATTCACTCCAGAATTAAACTAAATCCTATGGCGTGGCATTCAGGGCTCTGATCAGACCCTGTCCTCCCTTTCTGGCCCTGTCTCCGATTGCACACCCTCCACCTGCAACGTACCCTGGAACTCCAGTCAAACCTGGATTACCATCCACTTTCATGCCTGGATGCCTTTGCTCCTGCCCTTCATTCCCTCACCACTTGCTGAAATCCTCCTAATCTCTGAACACCCATCTGACACGCTCACTCCTCACAATGAAGAGGCATTGTCCCTCCCATCCCAGCCACAGACAGTTCTTCTGTCCTCCAATGCCAGTTTGTACATCACTTGTATGATGCCCTCTGTTACAAATTATTTCTCTCTCTAACTTTCTCTGCCAGTAGACAAAGTAGAGGAACAGGATAATTCGCTCTTTTAACTTCCACACATAGAGCAGGGGCCTCGACACAGATAACCTCAGAAGCTAGGCACAAAGTAAGTGAGGTGCATGGCTGGCTTCATCAGCTCAGGCTGCCATAACAAAATGGCACGGACTGAGTAGCTTAAACAACACAAACTTATTTTCTCACAGTTCTGGAGGCTGGAAGTCCAAGTTCAAGGTTCCATCAAGGTGAGTTTCTAGTGGGGCCTCCCTTCCTAGCTTGTAGCTACCTTTTCACTGTTCCCTACAAGGTCTTTCCCCTGAATGCATGCAGAGAGAGAGCTCTCTAGTGTCTCTTCCCCTTACCCTCGTGACCTCATTTAACCTTAATTGCTTCCTTGAAGGCCCTATCTTCATTCAAATCAGTCACTATGGAGGTTAGGGGTTCAACATGTGAATGACAGGAAGTGAGGACACAACTCAGTCCTCAACAATAGGCAAGGCAGGACTCAAAGGAACTGGAGGGGAGTCCCCCATCCATAGGGGGAGCTGCTGCTCAGCTCCAGCACATGGTTCCAGGCCTGACATGCAAGCCCACTATTCCTAAACCGCCAGTTTCACAGAAGCTGGAACTCTGGATGATTCCTAAATCAAATTTCTCATTTTGAAATGAGAGTCAGTAACTAATTAAAACATTATTTTTAACAGTGTGAGCAAAACAAGCCCTGTCCACAGGCAGGATTCAGCCTGGGGACCAAGAGTTGGTAGTTTTTGAACTCCAGCAGTAGTACTGGGCCCATGGCAAAGTCTTGCTCAATGCTTCGGCAGGAAATTGTCTATCGATGTACGTGCCACTGTTTCAGAAACTCTGAAATAAAATGAAGTGGAAAAAAAAAATCCTGACTTCTAACTGTTATACAAAGACTGCCTACTCCTCCCATCTCTCCCACCTTATAGGTCTACTAACAAGTAACTGCTGTCACTGTCCGCCTCTCCATTCCCATCTCCCCTGCCCAGCCACACAAACCTGGGCAGACCCTGGGTCTAGTTCTGAGGTCTGCAATTAATGGGAGAGAGAGAAACTGGGGTCAGTTGAGAAGCAAGCCACAAAGTGATTAGAGATCTGAAAAATAAAGATCAGGAGAGGTTAAATGAACCAAGGTGATTCCCTTTGGAGGAGAGAAGGTTACAGGGTGAGCTAGCGACGGTTTTCAAGTATATAAAAGGCTCATGCCTAGGACAGTAATAAGCGGTTCTCCCTACTGAGAACAGAACAAACAGAAAACACACTCCAAATGCAGCATGGGGATGTGGATGTTTCTTCCTCTAACACAGGTATTTGTAAGGACTTTTGAATCTGAATGGACTTTTAGAGTGGAAAAAGTATTTTTTCTTTGCATTCATTATCTCTCTCCTGATGGAGCAGGTTGTTAACAATGAAAGGAGGAGCCATATGGTAAAAATACTTTCATCTACATAAGAGGACAGTGATGTGATGTTTCTCAATGAAGAATGTATCATTTCTATATTTGCCTATGAGATCCACTTCATACAGGAAGCAGCTGAAACACAAATTGCTTTGGTAACATGTTCAAGGTCAGAGGGCTATAAACAGCCACATTTTCCCCGTTGCACACTTTCCAGTTACATACCAAGAAAACTGAGTTTTTCCTAGTAAATAAGGAGTGTAGAAGATATCAATACATAAATAGATATACATAAACAAACAAGCAACCTCTTCCTTAAGAAGTGTAGAAGCAGGCTGGGCACAGTGGCTCATGCCTGTAATCCCAGAACTTTGGGATGCCAAGGTGAGCAGATCACCTGAGGTCAGGAGTTCGAGAGTGGACAACATGGCAAAACCCTGTGTCTACTAAAAATACAAAAATTAGCTGGGCATGGTGGCACGCTCCTGTAATCCCAGCTACTTGGGAGGCTGAGGCAGGAGAATTGCTTGAACCCGGGAGGCGGGAGGCAGAGGTTGCAGTGAGCCGACACTGCCACTGCACTCCAGCCTGCGTGATGGAGCGAGACTCAGTCTCAAAAAAAAAAAGAAAAAAGAAAAACTATAGAAGTAGAGTCCTCCAGGGCAGAGGTAAGCTGCCTTCATAGGGAAGCATGGCATTTCCCAGAGGCCTCCATGGTGACTGGCATTTTCTTAATTTTCTAAGTTGAAGGTAGAGCAAAAGTGAGCTTATCTCTGGAACTCTACCCAGACTGACCTTCAAGAAAGCCCACGGAAATAAAGTCTTAGCTGTTTCCTTTGTGCTCCCTTTCTTCTCTCAGCCCCAGAACCCTCTTATTCCTGAACACGTCCACCAATATCCTCAGGGCCCCTCACAGAGAAGGCTGACCAGACCCAGAAACCAGCTTGTTACCCTACTTCCTCACAGCATCACTCTTCTTTAGGATTTCTAACCAACATGATATAGCCTTATGCCTCTTGTTAAGAATGCCCATTGTTACATGGGAATAAATTTTGGAGGGTTTCCACTGAGCAGGTGGGTTTCAGATAAACATGGGCCCTTGCACCTCTCTTCATGCGGGTAAAATCTGCCCCACCTAGTTAGTCATGGCATTTACTCAATCCTGATCTCTTTTCTCCTCCCCTTTCTACCACTTCCCAAGATGTATTTATTTGCCCTGATATTGCCTGTATTAGTCTGTTTTCACACTGCTGATAAAGACATACCCAAGACTGGGCAATTTACAAAAGAAAGAGGTTTAATTGGACTTACAGTTCCACATGGCTGGGGAAGCCTCACAATTATGGTGGAAGGCAAGGAAGAACAAGTCATGTCTTACATGGATGGCAGCAGGCAAAGAGAGCTTATGCAGGGGAACTCCTCTTTTTAAATCCATCAGATCTCGTGAGACTTATTCAGTATCACGAAAACAGCACAGGAAAGACTTGCCCCCATGATTCAATTACCTCTCACCAGGTCCCTCCCACAAGTTCCACAGGTTCCCTTCCCACTTGGGAATTCAAGACAAGATTTGAATGGGGGCACAGCCAAACCATATCATTGCCTAATTGTATTTTTCTTCTTGCTGGATTATTAAAGAGCCTCAGTATCATCTTTAAATGTTATTAGCTTAATAAGAATGAGAATGTGAGACTGTCAACATTAAATCAAAGAAGTGTTTTGCTTCGCTTTGTTTCATGTGATGGGACTATATCTAGAAGGCGTGATAAAAGGAGGGTAGCCCATTTAATTATACATCATAAATTGTTACCAGACATTTGGAATTAGGAAAAGTACATCAGGAATTACAAGGGCCAGCACATGTGAAAAAGGCTTAATTGAGACCATGAATTTGGAAATAGCTAAAGAGGCAGTTTATCTTACTGCTATTATATCTTCTAGTGTTGTTATGCTCTGGATTGGCTTGAATCACATAAAAATGGTTCTAAAAGGGATATGGAATCCATGTTTTATGAGTAGAGATTAAGTTATTTATTTGATATTCCATCACATAAATTTGGGAGCTAGACAAATCTGCATTCAAATCCCAGATCTCCCATTTGCTGTGAGAATCTGGCCAAGAAAGTTCATCCACCTCTAAAATAAGCATAAGAACACCAACCTCCAAGTTTTTCGTAAAAATTAACTTATGTAAGATACATCATACACATAGCAGTTTGTAGCACATATTAAGCTTTCAGCAGGTGGTAATGATTACCACCACTAAAATAATAGTAATAACATTTTCACCCCTCTTTGCTTTCTCAAACACTTCTCTAGATTCTAATCAGACAAACTTACCTTGAAAGCAGATATCAGCAACCTGGAATATTGTGGCAAAGGCAGCCCAGAAATTGTATCAGACATTGTACTTCCAGTGTCTTCCACTAACGTGCAAAAGTGTGCTCAGTGTATCCTGGGCCACCCTCCTCTTCATATCACCCTCCTACCACCGGGTCTCCTGAGTCCTCCTCTCCTTCCAGCAAACCCATCCATGCATACCATCCTCTGCCCTGCCCCAGTGTTACTCCTTCTCTCACCCTCCCCTCTTTAATCAAAACTCTCTTTCCTTCAGGATGGTTATATTCTTTGTGTGCTAGGACAAAAGTACCAGCAGTTTCCTCATCAGCCAACTGAGAGAGTAAATGAAAAGCTCCCAACTGCGCCAAGCCCTCATGTGGCCTCAGTAAATGTGAGTGCTCATCCCTCTTGTGTAAGATAGGAGATCCGTACAGGTTTACCTCTAAAACCCTGGGATTACACAGAAATTTAGAGCAAAGTATGAAGCCAGGGTAGTTTGTATGCTGGCAGAAAAGTTTTCTTAACCACTTTCTCCCCAACCCACACACCTCAACTAATCTTTATTTGGTAGACTATGATATATTTAAAGATATCTGAAGAAACTGTGTCACCACCCAGCCAACACAAAAAAGCCAAAACACTATCAAAATCCTCACCAGCCCACTTCCGAATAGTGGCTGGCCCCTGCTCCCCATACAAATATTGCTAGAGTATTTAAAAATAGAGTTAGCACCTGTTAAGGATGTTTGTGGACAGTCCAAGAAAACGTAGATCAGCTTCATCCTGGAAGGACCCTTGACCAAAAGCTGTGACCTCAAGCATGACAAGCTTTTTTGAGCAGAACTAAGAGCAAGATAGGCACCCCGTAACTAAGAGCAGCGTGGGTACCCCAGGGTAAGTATTCTGGTAACATTTGCTGAATTCAGGCTGGAGCAGTGACCTGATCGAGAGGTGGCATTTGCCATTAAGGCAGATTTGGAATTTGATGGGCTGGTTTGTCAAGCAAAGGACCATCCATGGGACTGATGGCTCCGTAAGAACCTAGTAATGGAATTATGTGCCTGGGATACACAGCTGGCAATTATATTCTCCACTTCAGGCAGCAATAAAGATAAAGTGCTTTATAATGTATTCATTCATTTCAATACAGTCAGTAGTGATGTTAGAATGGGGTTCCTATCAAGAAAAGGCAGAACTGCATTTGAGAAGGAAAAATGTGCTTTCTTAAAGAGATTATTTTAGAAAACACATGAATGTACATCAGAAATTTCATTAAATAAGTCAATTTGGCAGGTGATCCTAATGGGCTACTGGAAAAGGGGAATTAGAGCAATTGAAACAGCGGAAACAAATGAGCTACAGGTGTGCCTTCTTGTTGTCTCTGTTCTCATTTGGATTATTACAGGCTATGTCAAATACATTTTGAAAAGTTTGTAGTGTATCATCCCAATAATTATATCTGGAGTGTCTAGAAAGCATTGACTAGTTATATGATGGGGAGCTTAAGAGAGGAAATGTGGTTTCTGGGTTGTCCTCTCATAGGCTCAGCAGCTTCTTGATACTTCCCCTTATCCCAAGGCTGTCCTCCCCTCCTCTACCCAGGAGGAGATGAGTCACACAGGGAAAGAAAAGGACTCCTAATGCAAGAGGAAAAACACTGAGATAACCCCCAGGGAGGGGCGCTGTCCACAAGAGGCTGTGCTGATGCTCATAAAGAAGTTAGACCTGTGAAGGCACAAAGCTGCACTCCTAGCCTTGACCTCTTGCCAATATCAAAAAATGTTGTCTTTTAGGATGATGTGAATTTAAAGCTAACTCATAATCTTCCCCCTCAATTCCCAAATTAGCCTCTTTTTTGAATTTGCCTGTTTCACTAATTTAACTAACACATATTTATTGATAATTTACTATGTGCCAGGCACTGTATTAGGTGCTGAGGATAAAGCCATTAAAAAGGACAAAGTCTTGTCCATACACCCTTACATGCTAGTCAGAAAAAAATGACTTAATATATGATATATCGTCAGGAAGGATATAGTCAGGGAAGTCTTTCTAACCAGGGTACATTTTAGCCATCTCTATAGCTTAAGCTCCCTATCTCTATGAACCTGCAAGAATTTTTAGGAAAAGTAACATTTTGAAATATAGTGTATTAATTGAAAATGCCCATTTTTACAGGCATAAATGAGTGGAGAGGGCCAGGTAGGGGCTGAAAGTGAAGAAGCAAGGGAGGTGGGTCTCTGGAGGAAGAATGTTCAGAACAGAGGAATTGACAGGTGCAAAGGCCTTGAGTAGGGGTGATGCTTGCTTTGCTTAAGGAATAGCAAGGAGACCTGTGTGGCTGGAGAAAAGTGAGCAAGGTGGGATGGGAGGCAAGGCATGTCTCCCAGTTCTTATTCCCCTCCAGGTTGGAAACTGCAGGTAAACTACAGTATCTTTTACTCCTTCCACCTTTCTTTCATCCAGCTACATTTGCTTATCTTTTCTAAACAATGATTCTCTAAAATCATCCCTTCCCTACTTCCCCTTCCTCTCTCAACTTAAATCAGCCTCCAGTCACTTTATATCCAGATTATTCATGAGCCTCCTAACTGGCTTTCCAGCCTCTTGCATCTTCAACTGCTCCAATTACTTTACTAAGCTTCCAGATTAATCTTCCTAGAGCATTGCTTTTATCACATCTTTTCTTTCCCTGCATAAAAATGGCTTAGCATTAGCTGTAGGATAAAGCAGAAGCTCTTTAGCCCACCCCCGCCTCAATCTGGACCAAATCTCATCACCCTATGATCCATTCCCACCTTTCCAACTCCAGTGGCCTCCCCGCATTGTGCCATACTCTGTGTAATCACTCTCAACCTTGAAGCCCAGACTAAGACACATGTTAGCCTACACTGTGTGACCCAGCCAGAAACAGACTATCCCCTTTCTTTAACAGTTGGAGCACTAAGTCACACACACACACACACACACACACACACACACACACACACACACAAAATGTACTGTTTAATATACAGCAGATATATTGCTTCCTTCTTTAGTCCTGGCTCACCAATTGGACCAAATTCATTGCAACCGGGAGCCATGTCTTAAACATCCTGTACATCATTTGAGTCCATATATGTATATGCCATAATCTATATAATATGTGGATGATAAATATTAACAAACAAAGACTTCTGGGTTGTCAGGCATTGAACTGGGTAAGAAAAAATGAAATAAAATGACCATATTGTGTCCTTAAAGCCCTTTCTTTTTTGCAGGGAAAAGGCACTGTTTAGTGCAAGATCATTTTCCTCTTAATGGGAGCAATAGTAAGGTCAGAAACATGGTCATAAAAATCTTATTTAGCTCATCCCCTATGCTCAGTAGCTAGTTAGCCAGCTATCTAACATATTTATTTCAATCACTGAGCATATGTAACTATAAACTCTCTAGGGAATATTATCAACATGGTAGAACCAAATGTGGAAATGTGGGCACCTACATGGGCCTCTAATACGTAAGGCTAAAAGATCTGAAAAGCCTTATAAAAGTGAGAACAAGATATATTTCTTCAATCCTCCAAACCACTGTTAAAAGCTAGGCAATAGCAATATTTTGTCCACACACAGAAGGTTCACATGGGTACAATAAAAACAGAGCAAGGTTCATAAATCCTGCTTTGTTATGGAGAAAATATAAAAATTGCATTCTTAAATAGAAAGGTTTTCAACAAGAGGCTAATGTAAAATTTCTTTTCAGCTTTGGATGCCTGATGGCCTTGCACAGATTTGCCCAACAGAGTTGAACTGTCTGGACAGTGTTTTATGTGGGTGCTTTCAAGTTAGCACCTGCCAGCTTCTTTAAAGTCCTGTCTTTCACAATAATAACCACAATACAGTTAAAAATAATGGATGCAGGAATTCTGTATTCCATTCATATTCACTTGCTTTCAGCAGGATGAAGCACTTGAAGGGAAGGCGGTGCATCTCTCCTCTCGCTTTCCACCCACCTTTATCCTGGAAATTCAGACTGCCCTGTTGCTATTCACATGAAGCCTCAGTACAAGCCTTGCTCATAGCAAAAGAAGGCACAGGCCTTACTTGACATTATACGCAGAAACCCTGATATCCTACAGGACCTCCTAATGGCTGAAGCCTAGAATACCATTATGAGTGCAATCTCTGCAGCTTCCTTCCTTCTCTGTGAAATTGCAAGAATTTGGGGAAAGGATAATACTTTAAGCTGTAAATTATATCTTAATGCAAAGGTTAAAATCCTAGTGTTTACAGGGCTAGATAGGAGGAGGGGACTAAACAGCCTAACTCACCTCCAGCCAAAAGGATTCATGTAACATGAGCCCAATGCCTTCTGACTTTAAGAGAAGCCAGAAATCCAGATATTTGTGTGAAATCACCCAATTTTTTTTTAAATGATGACAACTGACTGATTTTCTATGATGCTGTACAGATCAAACCAAACCCACCTTCAGGCTAGCAGCAAAACATGTTTGCAACCTTCCTCAGCACAGCCAAGGCATGAAAGAAGAGGAGAAAAGCTAGCACCCACTTGGTGGCAAAGGAAGGAAGGTGGGGGTGGGAGGCTCTAGGAAGAAGCCAAAGGTCCAATAGTGAGTTAAGCAGCTTTGCCAAAGATGAGCTCTGCAGCAGCTTGCCTTTACCCCAGCATGGAGAGTGGAGGAAGGGACCAACCACACAGCGATCCTCTGGAAAGACCTCCAAGCAACAACTTTGTCCCTATCCCATCTACTTCTATTCTACCCTCCCATCAGGCCCCCGTTATGACTTTCATGGGTCCTAGGCACTTTTGCCTTCACGGGTGACTTCCTCCCTAAATATATAAAATATTTTATGGCTATGCTGGTATAAAGACAAATACTATTCAGGCTAGATCATATTCATTTTTTCCTTATGATTTTAAAAGATATTTTCTTAGGTCCCTGAAAATATCATGGGCCTTAGATCCTGGCCTATTGAGCCTAAAGGCTAAAGCTGGCCCTACCTCCAGCTGGGTGGTGCTTGGCTTCAACACTGGATGAAAGCTCTCATTACTTAGCAGCTGATGTTTTTCACTGTAAATATGGCAAATCACTCGCCATGTTGGGAGGTAACCGTAATATTGTGGACATAGCATGGGCTGAAGTCAGACTGCAAAAGTTCAAATCCCAGTTCTGCCATTTATAATTTAAGTGACTTTAGGCAAATCATTTAACTTCTCTGTGGCTTGATTTCCACAACCATGAAACAAGAATGATAATAGTACCTACTTGAGAATTGCTATGATGATTAAATGAGTTAATACATGTAAAATGCTTACAATGGTACCTAGAAATAGTAGAAAATAGATGTTAGCTATTTCTGTGTTCTGTAGTTTCCCCACGACTGATTGACTTTATGGTTTTGGATATTGATAAAATTATTGAGTTAACACATAAGTACTCTTGAAGAGCTGACCCTTCTGAGGTCTTGAAGGCAATAACTTCATTGTGATTTCCCAAAGATAACCTAGTTGCACAAAATTCAACAGACGGATGAAAGTCCATGCAGGCTTGCCTCAGCTAGCTTTTAGTTGTATCTTACATTCTTCCTGTTAGCTTCCTGAGTGCCCCCATTTGTCTATAAAAGAAATTCAAAGTGAAGACTTGAGCATAAAACCTTGTCCAGGGGGCGGGGGGCGGTGGCTCACGCCTGTAATCCCAGCACTTTGGCAGGCTGAGGCAGGCGGATCACTTGAGGTCAGGAGTTGGGAGGCTGAGGTGGGTGGATCACTTGAGGTCAGGAATTCAAGACCAGCCCAGCCAACATGGCAAAGCCCATCTCTACTAAAAATACAAAAATAAGCCCAGCGTGGTGGCATGCACCTATAGTCCCATCTACTCAGGAGGCGAAGGTGGGAAAATCGCTTGAATCCAGGAGGCGGAGGTTGCAGTGAGCTGAGGTTGCATTGCACCATTGCACTCCAGCCTGGGTGACAGAGTGAGACTCTACCTCAAACAAACAAACAAAACTTGTTCCAGGGATTCTAAAGAAATGTGCTCTTTCAATAAATATGCTTTGCATTCATCAATAAAGTGCCTAGCAGCTTTCAAAGCTCAAACATTATATAATGAGATAACACACTCAAAGCATCCAAAGACAAGAGAGAATGTTAGAAAACTTCATGACACTGGGAGGCCCCAGAGTGTCAATCTTCCCTATTGTACTAGAATAATTATCACTAATGATCTGTTATGATCCACAGAATTGCAAGGCGGAAGAGCCTCTCCATTCATTCTTATTGGCTGAAGACACTAAGGCCGAGAAAATTCAGTTGTTTCCTCAAGGTCACGTAGATTAGTCTCCTGTTTTCCTCTGTGGCTACCCCAGCCATTTCTGTTATCATTTTTTTTTAATATTGTTTATACTGAGTTCTTTAAATCAAATCTATATCTTTCATGCTAGAATTGTTACAGCTAAAGATGGTTAGAGACTTTTGTGCAGATTTTAAATTTCTTTTGGTGGAAAAACAAAACAGTGGTCGAAAAAGTACTTGTTGAGCCAGGCATGGTGGCTCACGCCTATAATTCCAGCACTTCGGGAGGCCAAGGTGGGTGGATCACCTGAGGTTGGGAGTTCGAGACCAGCCTGACCAACATGGAGAAACCCCGTCTCTACTAAAAATACAAAATTAGCTGGGTGTGGTGGTGGGCGCCTGTAATCCCAGCTACTCGGGGCTGGGGGCTGAGGCAGCAGAATTGCTTGAACCCAGGAGGCGGAGGTTGCGGTGAGCTGAGATCGCGCCATTGCACTCCAGCCTGGGCAACAAGAGCAAAACTCCGTCTCAAAAAACAAAAACAAAACAAATAAAAAAGTACTTGTTGAATGAATGAAAATTCTTTAAGCTTTTCTGTCCTTTTTTCTTTTTTTAAGACAGGGTCTTACATTCCCACCCAGGCTGGAATGCAGTGGTGCAAACACAGTTCACTGCAGCCTCAACCTCCTGGGATCAACCAATCCTCAAATAGCTGAGACTAGAGGAGTGTGGAGTGTGTCACCACACCACCATGCCACCACCCCTCGGCTAATTTTTTTTTTTTTTAAGATATGGGGGTCTCGCTATGTTGCCCAGGCTGGTCTTCAACTCCTAAGCTCAAGCAATCTGCCCACCTTGGCCTCCCAAAGTGCTAGGGTTGCAGGCTTGAGCCACTGCACCCAGCCTAAGCATTTATTTTGTACCCTCTGTGATCTCATTGTTGAATTCCTCATCGTTTTATAAAGTAGAAGGAGGAAATGGAGACTCTCTTCTATTATCATGTTCTTGCTGTACATATAATCCAAATGGTTCATAACCACATATGGTTGATGTGTTGAGAAGGCATGACATATTCATATTTCTAAATGTTTAAAAGATTATTTTAAAATGAGTGTTGTTTGATTTCAAAAGACTTGATGAAAATGTATCTAAAGACACATGATTTGGTGATTCCTGAAGACAAGAATAAGGGAGGCCATATGGAATCTCTGGCTAAGCTGAGCCTACTTTCCTTGCTGTTTCTACACAGTGTACTTTTAACTGCTCCAAACTGCAAAGAAACAAAAAACAAAACACTTATTCTCATCTAATCAAGAGGAAATGGCATAATTTTAAATCTCTTACATCAGCTAAGAACAAATGCATTTTTCAAGAGACATATTTCCTATTTACAGTTCCCATTCCAAAAAAAAATCAGCAAATATCCCTCGTGCATTTGCAAAATATTGTAAAATTACTAATTCCTCCCAATAGCATTGACAGCCCGTTAATAGCAAAGGTGCTAAAGAAAGAGGCATATTACAGAATTTTATGTAACTCAAGTTCTAGTCTGTTATTGAGTCCAGTGAGCCATGCTGCATTCCTAATGTTCACATAGATGTCTGAATCTTTCTTTGGGCCAAAATAAACCTATTGGTTGCATCTGAAATAGCTGTTTTGTTAAAATTTGGAGTCATTTATAAACCAAATGGTTATTTCCTTATAGCAAAAGAACAAAACCCATTCCTAACCTATGCTCATATATGATATTCAGTTCTATGGGCCCAAATGCAATTCCTGAACATAAGCCATGTCAGCACTGAGTGGTTAATACAGGCTAATATATTGGCTTTTTTTAACTGGACTATTAAGTCCATTAACATTTAATGAAACAATTTTAACTGTATCCACAAAACACTCACAATGCCTTTCCATCAACTCCCTAAAGGCAAAACAACATAAATTTAAGAGAAAAATAACTACGAAGATTTAGTAAGTGCAAATGATTTCTGTAGAACAGGTTAAGTCTCAAATTTCTGTCTCAATACAGTCCACATTTGATTTTTACTACAAAGATAAGCCCAAACCCTACCAAATAATCTCAGCATGAAGACATTGGCATTCCTCTAGCTACAATGTAATATATATAGAATTAACACATAATTTCACAAAGAGTCTTAGAAATCCATTGCAAAATTATGCGGTAAAACATTTTCTTTTAAAATATCATGTTAATCCTTTTCCCTTTATAGAAGTCTCAAAGTAAAATTATATTCATTTTGCCTTGAATGATTAAGATCTAGAAACCAAAGTCCTTTACAGAGATTCGACTGTCATATTGCCACAGAGAGACATATACGGAACACAAATAAATCAAATTGTTCATTCATTTGTGCTTTATTGATTGTTACCTTCAACACATACATATACTAGTTTAAGCTTATGTTTGTTCTGAACCTTAAATCTGAATCTTTTTATAAATACATTTTTTCCAAGGCCTATTTTGAAACTTCTGAAGTAGAGAGAAGTAACATTGGCCCCCTTATTAAGATTTTAGAAAAGAAACTAACATATTCTTATTCATGTTTCTTAGTAGATGCCACTATCTGGACAATTCTATAGATCTAACAACTCTACATTCACTCCACCCAAATTTGATCCCTTTGAAAATAGCTCCTCTCTCCTCAATAAAAAAAAATAAAAAAAGCTACTAACAGCCCCCCTCAATTAAAAAAAAAGCAACAAAAACATGGACTTATAGCAATATTTTGGTAAACTTATTTAATAACCTAATGATTAAAAAAAGAAGTCATATATTTTTTAACACCTGTCTTGAAAGACCTCAAATGGCAGCTTCAGGGATTTGAATACCTTTGAGAAACCTGAACATCTAAAGGAGTTAGTGGGACTGATTAGGTCAAAGCTCAGAACATTTGACGTGGCAGTTGTAGAAGTTGTAAATGTACCACAGTAGGAAACAGCTTTCCATGGACTTCAAAGCAAATGACAGTTAATTATCTAGCTTTCAGGAGCAGCATGGACTTACTGTGACAGCTGTTAGGCGAGGACACATGGGTATCTCCACAACTGAACATCAGCCTTCAGATTGTGTCATTGTTCAGCTTGGATCTCATTGGAACGAAATGCTTAAGGTCTCAGCTTGGTTCAATTCAAATTAGTCTAAGAGTTTTCCCAGATGGTTTCTCAGCACAAGCCTATTTCTCACCCCAGAGCCTGCGCTTCACCATCACTCAGAGCCCCAGTCGACATGCTGTTTGCATATGCTCAAGCTCCGTTTTTAATGCCGTGTATGGGATATCCATTTGAACTTTCTCCTCCCTATCATTACTGAATTCAACCTGGTGGTCTTATAACTTGGTGAGAAAAGAAATGCTTCTTCTTTGGGGGGATTTTTAATCAATTTCTCTCTCTCTCTCTCTCTCTCTCTCTCTCCTTCCTTTGTCCCCTCCCCCTTATTTTTTAACTGACAGAGAAGATTGACTGTCTCTGCCTTGTGCTTAACAGGTGGGATGTCTTGGGGTGTTCTCCATGGCTGACCAAATACAGTAGGCCCAACAATTATTTGACTTGCATGAATCCAAGCAGGGCCTGGCATGCTCACATTTTCCCAAAGCATCCGCTTCTATCTATAACCTCATCATGGCTCCAGATCAGCCATGTGAAAATTCCCAAAGTAACTGAGTTTATTCCTGGCCGCCCTGATACCACCTCCAAATCAAGGGTTGTGATAAGAATTGTGTAATTTTTTGTATCTGGCACCTTTGTAAGATCATGAACTCATCTTTCTGGAACAACATCAGGTAGTCCATAAACATAAGATGTGTGCCCTAAAAGAAAGAAGACAGAAAAAAAAAGTAGAGTATATATTCCTCATATTCCTTTGATTACAGCTGCTGAAGATAGGAAAGAATAAAATTTGAAGGGGGAAAATGAGAGATAGAGTTACAGAGGTCAGAAAGCTAATTAGGAAAGAGTTAAGAGAAGGAAAATTGTTCCAAAAAAATAAAATTGACACGACAGACTGTTCGGTATGACCTAAACTAACTTTATTCCTTTTAGAAAATTTCCGACTTTAGATATTCTAAGTTGGTGAAGACTTGTTCTTAAAATTGAAAAGAAAAAAAAAACACTTGAACAAAAATCCCCAGCAATTGTTGACCTCTTACTGCCCTGTGTTTCTAAGCCATTCACTTCAATCAGCCACATACTGTTTCTTGACATGTCCAGAGTCCCTAATGAGGTCTTGCTGATTCTGAGCAGTTGGTAACTATGTGCAATATATGCAGAACCATCTTCTGGGGGCTTCAGGAATCCAAGCCTCTCCCTGTCCCTCTACCTCCAGGAAACAAATATTAAATGCTTCATCATTCTACTGTGCAAATTGTTTTCAAGCTGCCTGTAAAATGTGTGATGCCAGCAATTTGGTTAAAAAGTTATACATATTTATTAATTATGTTTAAACATGTTTCCTTACATTTTTCAGTTCATCTTACATGAAGTGCTGAGCAGAAACTGACTTTGTTTCTTGCAGCCAAATTACACAAGAGGTATAAATCTTTAATATCCTTGGCTTCCTTTACTTTCTTCTAGAAAGGTCTAAATGCCTCTGAAAAACATGCTGGACAAATTCCCAAGATGCCAGGCTGCTTGCCAAAATACTCAATGGTGATAGGCCACAGCTGCCTCCTTTCTTCCTAGGGAAAAAGGTGCAGGATACTGGATACTCAACAAATTTGTGACTACCAAACATTCAGGCTCTGCCTTCTAAGAAGATGGTAAGTAAACCATGTTAAAGCAGGTTGCTTCATATGAAGAGTTTGCATAGTTGAACAGGCCTAGGTTTTCTGGTCTTAATTAATGAAACACTATTCAATAAATCATAAAAGCTAAAATGAAAACTTATTTCAAAAGTCATGTTGCCCAGACATCTGACCCGTAAATGCTCCCTACTATACCCCTAGTAAGTAATCATATGTTTGAATACCTCTGGGGCAAATAATTTATTCTGTGTTAAAAATAGTCTAGTTATACACACAATTGTAATTCATATTAGACAAATAGATATCTCTATAATATGTAAAGAGCTACTACACCTCATGAACAAAAATTCTGAGTCCAATAGAAAAATGAGCAAAGGATATGAAAAGAAAAAGAAATATAAATGACTCAAATATAAAAAGAGGTAGAAGATACACTAAACCTCACTGATAGAAGAAATGTAAATCAAAATTTCACTGAGATAACACTTTTCAGGTATTTCATATGTTACTCTCATGAGTGTAAATTTGTATAAGTCCTAAGGGGAGTAATTTAGTAATCAAAGTAACAAGTGCACATACGCTTTTACTTACCATTTCAACTTTTAGAAATTTGCACACATGCAAAATGATCTATGTATGTGGAAGTTATTGTTTTTATTTAAAAATCTATTCATGGCCTAAGATGATCTGCTATTCATTCACAGTATATTGAGGGAGAAGGGGACATAAGTCTCCATGTGTATTACTGAAGAATTACTTTCCTTTAGTATGCCAGTGACATCGGCTTCTGCTTGTATCCAGCACATGTACTTTCAGGGCCTCATTTAAGAGGGATTAGAAAAGATGATCCCAAGGTTCATTACAATCCAGATTTAGTGATTCTGTTGACTGCAGGGGTTTTGCCTGAAGAGCCAAAAACATGGATAGAGAAAATGTTATTGTTGCCAAACCTCTAGGTCACAACAATAGGAAAAGCACTCTCCTGTGGATTGACTCATTTGACCCTCAGAATAACCCAGCCCTGAAACTTCAAGGTGAAGGTGAGGGTGAGGCTGAGGTTGAGGGATGGCTATTGTATACAATGTTTGGAAACAAACAAACAAAAAAGTGTTTTGTTTTTCTTTTCCTTGGGGTGAAAAGGACTTTCTTTAGTGCATCCAGGATTACTGCCCCATATTAAAGATGATAAGACTGAGACTAAGAGAAGTTAGAACATTTCTCAAGGTCATTTCACTAGAGAGTGGTGTGTCCAAGTCTTCTTAAACTCAGCTGCTTCATGGAAATTTGAGTGTCATGCAGAAAAATCCAGAGTTTGGAACCTCAGAGATACTCATTGCCAGTGTAAGCAGTCAGTATGTCAATAAGCTCCCACCCTCTGCTTCTCTGTTTGATATACAGGAAATGGCAAAACGAATGGGACATTGGATATTGCCCCATATAGAAGATAGACGCGTGCATAGAGGAAGCCTGAGAGAGGCTCCAGCCCATGGGCAGGCAGAGAAAGAGTGAGGGTGGAAGGACAAACAGCAAAGGCTCCAAGGTCCTGAAAAGTCATTCTCAAAGGAAATGTGTTGCTTCACTCCCAGTAATTCTCAAGCAGCTCCCGGAATAGATTCTACTACTTACTCTTGGTACCAGGAAAGGGTCATCTGAATAAAGGCTTAATGATTTATTGGAATATCCTAAACTCCTGAAATATCTTCATCTACCTGAAATTCCTTTTACAAAGAATAAAAAAATTTCCCCTACAATTAAAGAGAAAAATAAGTTCTGGTTGAAAGAGAAGAGATATTAATTTTGAGAGCTAATTAGTATCAGGCACAGTAAAGAATAGGTATTACATGTATAGTTTCATTTAATCTTTCCAACAGTCCTGTGCAGGAGATATTATTAGCTTCATTTTGCACACAAATATGTTGAAACTGAGAGGTTAAGAAACTTTACTTTCCATGTGAATATGTCTTTTATGAGCCAGTAAATAGACTCCATGTCCAGAGTTATTTCCATAATATATAAGTACACATAGTTTTGCTTGAAATGATTACTGAAGATTTTTGAGAACAAACTTCTTAATAAAGCAACATGTTTTTAGAAAACACATTGATTGAGGCCTCACTATTTTGTGCACAGAGCTATTATAGTAACACCGAATTCTTGGAACCATGAATAGCTAGTGCTGTTGTGGCCATTCATAAATTGAAGAGGTGTTAATGTAGAAGTGGAAATTTACTCAGTGCTTGTTCTTAACTTTTAAAGGGGTATTTAAAGTTTATATATATATATATATATATATATATATATATATATATATAGAGAGAGAGAGAGAGAGAGAGAGAGAGAGAGAGAGAGAGAGAGAGAGAGAGGGACAGAGAGAGAGAGAGAGAGCATTTTTTTAAAAATAAGGTGATAGTCCCAGCACTTTGGGAGGCCGAGGTGGGCGGATCACTTGAGGTCAGGAGTTCGAGACCACCTGGCCAACATGGTGAAACTCCGTCTCTACTAAAAATTAAAAAAATAGCCAGGCGTGGTGGCGGGCGCCTGTAATCCCAGCTACTCGGAAGGCCGAGGCACGACAATCACTTGGACCAGGGAGGCGGAGGTTGCAGTGAGCTGAGATCACGCCACTGCACTCCAGCCTGGGCAATAGAGGGAGACTCAGTCTCAAAAAAATAAATAAATAAAATATGAAATAAAATAAAAGTAAGGTGAGAACAAGTGCCTTTTTATTATTACACACAGATCAATATGGTCTTTGAGTTGTAAAATATTTCCTCACTTCTGCTTTGTGTTACTTGATACATGCTTCTGATTGCTTTCACTTTTGGTTCTGATGAACTGGCAAGTTCTTTACTTTTGGAGTTTCTTGTGATAGTAAGATATATGCTCAGTTCCAAAAATATTTCATGTTTCTTTCTGTCAAATTATCGAGATAATTTTGTATTTGGGTTTAAACAGATTTAAAAAGTTACTGAAGTATTCACCATGTTAATCTCCATCGGCAAGTATTTAGGAATCACGGTCTGTTAATATCTATATTCTAGAAACAGATTTGCAATCAAAAGTTTCAGAGCTTGTGAACAGACTAACTCTATATAGCATAGGCTAACCTTGAGCCAAAGATTTTTTCCTGCCAGTTTGCATCAGGAAAACCCCTTCTGCAGCTCAGGATCTTCCTTGAATACTACAGAGCTGAAAGCTGTCACCAGAATTTGATACTACACCATTCTATTGCCAAACGGGGCGCTGCAGCCAAAACAGCTTGGCCACTGTTAAGCACTACCTAGCTTTCGGCCTGGCCAAAAGCTTAGGAGCAGTGACAGTATCTAACCTTATTGGGCCTATCAAAAAATCAGCATGTGAACTCTTTGGCAAGTTCTGTTGGTGTCAGCCGAGGGCAGCACTTTCTGGAAGCAAGTGAGTTCTACCACAGGGAGTGAGACAGAACTTCCCGGCCATGGGCCCTGAAATGGTACTCATTTAAACGTCTGGTATGTTAGCCTAGCATTGGATTCACCAAGAAACTGTGAGACCACTGTATGTGAAACTCACAGGGAATATCTATAAGAAAGGTACTTAACATCCTTGGGACATACGGAAGCACCCCCTTTTATCAAAGATAGCACTTCTGACAATCTATCTAACAGACCACCTGGACAAATTGATTTTGGAAAGAAACAGCATTTGTCTCGAAAAGGTGTTTGGCTGCTTTTTGAGGTCAGGAGAAAAATACTTCAGAGAGCCAGAGGCCTTGCTGCTAGTAGTTTCCAGAGACTCTGCTCAGCTGGTAAGGACAGCTGTATGTGCGCTGGCTGTTTCTGACACACCCGATACAGACAGCACGATGTGTTCCCTGCCTGCAGAATCTTCTGGATGGGAGGATTAAAAGTTAAATAATCAAGAGAATCAGAGAATTAATCAAGACTGATGAATGACGTTTAAGGTGAAGTTTTAAATAAGGACAAAACTGGAAGACAGAGGTTAGCATACGAATCTATAGCCTTTTAGGATTTGATTTTTCTTCTTTGGAGGTTTTAGAACATTTTCCTTATACTTTTATTGGTTTCTAGAAGATGGAAAATTGGATCCAAACTTTCAGGGTTAAAATCGATAAACTATTGTGTGATTGTCTTAGTTTTAAAAAAATATGAAAAGAGTTATTTGGGGCAGTATTTCAGTAGAGAAATGGGCTTTATAACGGACTATAAGAAAGGGATGGGACAGGCCATTTTGATGTACTTTTGAATTATTTAATTCTTGAATAGATAATATTTTAATCAATTAAGAATAAGTATAAAAAGGTCTATGGTGAAAAAATCTTCCTCCCACCCTTGTCCTACTCCTCACAAGTAATAATTTCATGCATAAGAAAAATGTACACATAAAATCCCTTTACCCCTCTTTTTTCATGCAAATCACAACGTCCTATACATCTTGTTATGTGATACTTTGCTTTTTTACTGATAAACTTTATTTTTTGGAGCACTTTTAGGTTCACAGCAAAGCTAAATGCAAAGTATTATACTTTATAATACTTTATAGTTCCCATTATACCTTGTGTTCCCACTTAAACATAGCCTCTCCCACTATCAGCTTCCCTCACCAGACTGGTACATTTGTTTTAGTTGACGAACCTACACTGATTGGCACATCGTTATCACCCAAAGTCTATAGATCACGTCAGGTTTCACTCTTGATGTTGTACATTCTGTGAGTTTTGACATGTATCATGACATATATTCACCATTATAATATCATGCAGAATAGTTTTATCATCCTAAAAATCTTTGTGTTCTGCCTATTCATTCCTCTTTCCCCCTAACCCTAGCAATTACTGATCTTTTTGCTGTCTCCATAGTTTGCCCTTTCCAGAATGTCGTATAGTTGAAATCATCCAGTATGTACCCTTTTCAGATTGGCTTCTTTCATGTAGTAATATGAATTTAAGTTTCCTCCATGTCTTCTCGTGACTTGATAGCTCATTTCTTTTTAGTGCTGAATAATATTCTATAGTCCAGATGTACCACAGTTGATATATCCATTCACCCATTCAGTTGGAAGGACATCTCAGTTACTTCCAAGTTTTGGCAATTATGAAAAAAGGCTGGTGATACGGTTTGGCTGTGTCCCCACCCAAATCTCATCTTGAATTCTCATGTGTTGTGGGAGGGACCTGGTGGGAGGTAATTGAGTCATGGGGACAGGTTTTTCCCATGCTGTTCTCATGATTGTGAATAAGTCTTACAAGATCTGATGGTTTTAAAAACTGGAGCCTCCCTACAAAAACTCTCTTCTCGACTGCCACCATGTGAGATGTGCCTTTCACCTTTTGCCATCATTGTGAGGCCTGCCCAGCCATGTGGAAGTGTAAGTCCAATAAACCTCTTTCTTTTGTAAATTTCCCAGTCTCGGGTATGTCTTTATCAGCAGTGTGAAAATGGACTAATACAGCTGGTATAAACACTTATGTGCAGGTTTTTGTACGGACATAAATTTTCAACTTCTTTGAGTAAATACCAAAGAGCATGACTGCTAGATCATATGTTAAGAGTAAGAAACTACCAAATTGTCTTCCAATGTGGCTATATCATTTTACATTTCCACCAGCAATAAAGGAGAGTCCCTATTTTTCCACATCCTCATCAGCATCTGGTGTTGTCAGTGCTCCAGATTTTAGCCATTCTAATAGGTATATAGTGGTATCTTGTTGTTGTTTTAATTTGCATTTCTCTGATGACATATGATGTAGAGCAACTTTTCATATGTTTATTTGCTATCTGTATATCTTCTTTGGTGAGGCATCTGTTAAGATGTTTGGCCTATTTCTTCAATTAGGTTGCTTGTTTTCTCATTGTTGGGCTGTAAGAGTTCTTTGTACATTTTTCATACAGTCGTTTATTAGTTATGTCTCTCACAAATATTTCCCAGTCTGTGGTTTGTCTTTTCATTTTCTTGACAGCGTTCTCTGAAGACCAGAAAGTTTTTATTTTAATGGGATCTAGCTTATCAATTCTTCCTTTCATGGATTGCGCCTTTGGTGTTGTATCCAAAAAGTTATCATCAAACCCAAGGTCATCTAGATTTTCTCCCATGTTATTTTTCTAGGAGTTCTATAGTTTTGCATTTTACATTTTTCATTTGTCTGTGATCCATTTTGAATTAATTTTTGGGAAGGGTGTAAGGTCTATGTCTGGATTCTTTTTCTTTTCATGTATGAATGTCCAGTTGTTCCAGCAGCATTTCCTGAAAACAGTATCTTTTCTCTATTGCCTTTGCCCCTTTGTCAAAGATCAGTTGACTATATTTACGTGGGTATATTTTTGAGCGCTCTATTCTGTTTCATTGATCTATGTGTCTGTTTTTGTTTGTTTGTTTTTTGCCAATACCACACTGTCTTGATTTAATAGTAAGTCTTGAAGTCAGTCCTCCAACTTTATTCTCCTTCATATTGAGTTGGCTATTTTGGGTCTTTTGCCTGTCTCTATAAACTTTAGAATCAGTTTGTTGATAGAAAATAACTTAGTGAGATTTTTATTGGGGTTCCATTGAATTTATACATCAAGTTCAGAAAAACTGACATCTTGATAATATTGAGTCTTCTTATCCTCTATAGTTGAATGTTTGTGTTGCCACAGAATTCAAGAGTTCAAATCTTAACCCCCAAAGTGATTGTATTAGGAGATGGGACCTTTTGGGAGGATATTAGGCCATGAGGGATTAGTGCCCTTTATTATAAGATAGTTCCTAGAGAGCTCATTCATCCCTTCCACCATGGAAGAAGACAGCAAGAAGGCAACATCTATGGACCAGGAGACAAGCCGTCACCAAACACTATCTCTGCTAATTCTTTAATCTTCAACTTCCCAGCCTCCAGAACTGTGAGAAATACATTTCTGTTGTTTTTAAGCTACTCAGCTTATCATATTTTGTTATAGCAGCACAGACTGAGATACTATTCATGAACATGGACTATCTCTCCATTTATTTAATTATTCTTTGATATCTTTCATCAAGTTTTCCTCATATAGATCTTGTACATACTTTCTTAGATTTCAACCCAAGTATTTTATTTTTGAAGGTGTTAATGTAAATGGCATTATGTTTTTAATTTCAAATTCTACTTGTTCATTACTGATATATAGGAAAGTGATTGATTTTTATATATTAGCCTTGTATCCTACAACCTTGCTATAATTGCTTATTAGTTCTAGGAGTCATTTTGTCTACTCTTTTGAATTTTCTGTATAATCATGTCATTTTTTAACAAAACCAGTTTTACTTATTCCTTCCCAATCTGCATACTTTTGATTTTATTTTCTCCTCTTGTTGCTAGGACTTTCAGCACAATGTTGAAAGGCAGCATTGAGAGAGAACAGCCTTGCCTTGTTCCTAATCATAGGAGCAAAGCTTCCAATTTGTCACCATTAAGTATGATGTTAGCTGTAGGTTTTTTGTAGATGTTTTTTATTGAGTTGAGGAAGTTCCCCTCTATTCCTAGTCTGTCGCAGGTACCTTATTTTTTTCTTTTACAATATAGTTTGGAGAACATTCTATCATAGACATTAAGAGCAGTCATTATTATTATTGCTTTCTACAGATGCATAGCATAGTATTTTATTGCATGGATATATTATAGTTTATTTAACCTGACCCCTATTAACGGTTATTTAGGTTGTTTGCATATCTTATATTGGCACAAACAGTGCTGCAAATGTCCATCTTCTGGCAAGTGAATAAATACACTGTGATATATGCACACAAAATAATTCTGCTCAGCAATACAAAGGAATGAACCAATGATACGTTCAACAACATGAATAAATCTCAAAAGCATTACACTGAGAAAAAAAAACAGACACAAAAGACTACATACTCTTTTATTACATTTGTATTAAATTCTTGAAAAGGCAAATCTATATGGACAGAAATCAGAGCTACATTTGCCAGGGGACAGGGAATGGGATTAACCATAAAGGCAGAGAGGGAAGTTTTGTGAATGATTGTGGAGATGGTTATACCTGTGGTGATAGTTTATATCTATCACAGCTCATTGAATTTTTTACTTTTAAAAAGTGACTTTTATTGTATATAGATTTTATTTCAATAAAGTTGATTTTAAAGAAAAAGTAACTGCCAAATGATTTAACCCATGAACTAAAAGATCACAAATATGGTAACCAAAGTTTGAAAGGTGAAATATATTTGAAGGACTGAGAGTTAGAGATCCTGGACAATCTTATCCTTCTTTTTGACCACTATCATGTTGTTATTACATTACCGGCAGAACACGTAATAAAAGTAAGATGAAAAGATCAAGCATTCACTGTATTTTTCTTTTTATTTTTTTAGAGACAAGGTTTTTGCTCTGTTGCCCAAGCTGGAGGACAATGGCACTATCATAGCTCACTATAATCTCAAGCTCCTGGGCTCAAAAAAAATCTTCCCAACTAAACCTCTCCCTAGGAATTATAGGCACCCACCATCACACCCTATCACACCCAGCTAATTTTTTATTTTTTGTAGAGACTGGGTCTCGCAGTGTCACCCAGGCTGGTTTCAAGCAATCCTCCTGCCTCAGTCTCCCACAGTGCTGGGATCACAGGCGTGGGCCCCTGGGCCCAGCCCAGGATTTTAACTAATTACAGAAAATTATTCCCGTGTCTGGATCAATAACTATGCCTCTTTAATTTATGAAATATTCATTTTACTAACAAATCACTAGAAAAACCTCCAAAGTCACCGAAATTGAGCTGAATTTCATCTTTCCGTTCTACTCCCACTAGAAACCCTCTTATCATTTAATTATTTACTAATTAACTCCCCATTCCCTCCTACTTCCAAAGGATCTCAAACAACTTCATAAATAAGTGAGGCAAGTATAATAATGGGAAAAAAGTTAAAGCATAGATAAATAAATGCAGGGTAGAGAGCCTAAATAATGACTAGAAGTGGCTACAAATTTTGCTCCAAGTTTCTAATTGGCCTCCCAAAAGAGGAAAACATGTATTCTATGTGTTTGATATACTTATAAACATCAAAGTTTCTATGAAATAAAGAAAAATCTAAGTGTTAAGGAAATGCAACATTTATTTTTGATATGATGACCAGTGTGACAATTTTCCCATGGATCTTTCAATAGAGGAAATTGCATAACATAGTGAATGTCTTCAATGGCACATTGGAAAAGCCATGATAGTGAGATTTCTGAGGCACCCTTAGAGCCACAGAGAAAGCCAAGAACAGAATGCCACTCTAGGAAAGAGAACCTGGTGGCTGGAGGACAAAGGTGGCAGATAAGAGTTACTTCATTGTACACATACCCTTTTGCAGCTTTTGAGCAGTGGACACCCCATACATATTACCAAACAGTGCTTAATTGTACAGACTGGGGAAGCAGGCTCCCTGGTTCAAATCACAGCTGTACAAACTACCAGTTACAGTATAGTGGGCAAGCTCTGTGCCTTATCTCTGAAGTGGGGATTGCAGAATATCTGCCTCATTCGATCACTGGAAAGGTTAAATGTGTTAATATGTAAAAGAACCTTAGTATCAGGTTAAGTGGTAGTTATTACTAATGATAATGCCAAAGTACAGTTTTGTAAAAGTTGTCTTATGAAGGACCAAAGCAATGTTACTCTATGTATAAAGCTCCATGATAATCAGATTTTAGATACCAGCATAAATTTAGAATATCTGACACACATGAAAATCAGTTGTCATGCCCATGGGGTTTATATAGCGAACAGACCCAATTTTGGGTTTTGTTACCTGTTTTAAAAGGCAATGCACAGGCTGGGCACAGTGGCTCACGCCTGTAATCCCAGCACTCTGGGAAGCCAGGGCGGGTGGATCACAAGGTCAGGAGATCGAGACCATCCTGGCTAACAGAGAAACCCCGTCTCTACTAAAAATATAAAAAATTAGCCGGGTGTGGTGGCACACGCCTGTGGTCTCAGCTACTCGGGAGTCTGTGGCAGGAAAATCACTTGAACCCAGGAGGCGGAGGTTGCAGTGAGCTGAGATCATGCCACTGCACTCCAGCCTGGCGACAGAGTGAGACTCCATCTCAAAAAAAAAAAGGCAATGCACTACAAAGCATTATTGGAAGAAACTGAAGACTATCTCGGTAAATAAAAAGACATCCCATGTTCATGGATTAGAAGGCATAAGCTGTAAGGCTGGGCACGGTGGCTCATGCCTGTAATCCCAGCACTTTGAGAGTTCAAGGCAGGTGGATCACCTGAGGTCAGGAGTTCAAGACCAGCCTGGCCAGCATGGTGAAACCCTGTCTCTACTAAAAATACAAAAATTAGCTGGGCATGGTGCCAGGTGCCTGTAATCCCAGCTACTTGGGAAGCTGAGGCAGGGAGAATTACCTGAACCTGGGAGGCAGAGGTTGCAGTGGGCCAAGATCGCGCCACTGCACTCTAGCCTGGGTGACAGAACAAGACTCTGTCTCAAAAAAAAAAAAAAGCAGGTTTAAGCTGTTAAGTTGGCAATACTCCCCAAACTGATCTACAAATTCAATGAAATCCTTATCAAAAGCCCAGCTTTCTTTGTTTCAGAAACTTATAAACTGACCCTAAAATTCATATGGAAATGCAAATTACCCAGAATAGCCAAAACAATCTTGAAAAAGAAGAAAAAATTTTTTAAGATTTTATTTTTATTTATTTATTTAAAAAAATTTTTTTTGAAATGGGGTCTTGCTCTGTCACCCAGGCTGGAGTGCAGTGGCACGATCTCGGCTCACTGCAACCTCTGCCTCCTGGGTTCAGTGATTCTCTTCTTGCCTCAGCCTCCAGAGTAGCCACCACACCCGGCTAATTTTTATATTTTTAGTAGCGACGGTGTTTCGCCATTTTGGCAGGCTGGTCTCAAACTCCTGACCTCAGGTTATCCACCCATCTCAGCCTCCCAAAATGCTAGGATTACAGGTGTGAACCACGGTGCCCGGCCCTCAGAAGAACAAAATTCGTTCACATTTCCAAATTTCAAAGTTACTAGAAAGCTACAGAAATCAAGATGGTGTGGAACTAACATTAGGATTGACATATAAATCAATGAAATAGAATTGATTCCAGAAATTGAATTTAGTCACATTTATGATCAATTGATTTTTCATAATCGTGCCAAGACAATTCAGTGGGAAAAGAATAGTCTTTTCAACAGATGGTATTGGAACAACTCAATGTTCACACACAAAAGAAAAAACCTGAACTCCTACTTCACAACATAAAAAACTTAACAAAAATTAACTCAAAATGGACTATGGACATAATTTTAAAAGCTAAAACTACAAAACTCCTGAAGAAAACATAGGAGTAAATCTTCATGACTTTTGGTTAGGCAATAGTTTCCTAGGTATGACACCAAAAACAGAAGCAACAGAAGAAAAATAAATTGGACTATATCAAAATTTAAAACTTCTATGCTACAAACAATACTACCAAGAATATGAAAAGTTAACTCGCAGAATGAGAGAATATATTTGCAAATCATATAGCTGATAAAAGATTTGCGTCTAGACAAAGAAATTTTACAACTCAATAACAAAGTAAACCCAATTAAAAAGTGAGCAAAGGGTTTGAATAGACATTTCTCCAAAGAAGTTGTACACATGGTTAGTAAGCACATGAAAAGATAATCAATATCAAAAGTCACTAGAGAAATGCAAATAAGAATCACAACGAGATATCACTTCAGACAACAACAAATGTTGGCTAAGAAACGAAGAAATTTGAACCATCATACATTGCTGGTGGAAATGAAAAATGATACAGATGTTCTGGAAAACAGTCTGGCAGTTCCTAAAATGTTAAACATAGAATTACCACATGATCTAGCAATTCTACTCTTTGTATATATTTAGGAAAAAAAATATGTCAATGCAAAAATTTGAACACAAATGTTCACAGCAGCATTATTCATACCAGCCAGAGTGGAAACTACCCAAATGTCCACCAACATGTTCATCCATAATGAATGGATAAACAAAATGTGGTATACCCATAATGAAATATTATTTGGCAATAAAAAAGAAATGAATTTTTTTTTTCACAACAAAGACCACGCCATTTATTTACAAAGGCCAGTGTGGGAGCTGGGGGAGGCAGGGAGGGAAAGCCACACAGACATCTTCTCTGGACTGCTTGGGACCCTTTCCCACTTGGAGCAAACTCTGTTCCTCTTGCCGTCATATTCTCAGCCATGGGGTCGGTCCTCCAAGCAGCTGGGCCAAGTAGGAGAGGGAAGAGGTGATATGAGCCTCCTCTGTGCTCTGACAGAGCAATGTCCAATTCCAGATCAAAGGCATCATTGCCACCCTCTCCTCTCCTTCCTCAAAGAAAACTTTCTGGCCTGGAGGGAAATAGTTAAGAACTGAAAGGCCAGGGGCTCTGGAGGAAAAAAACCCTCTACTATTCCCACAAGGCAGTGAGGGGTGATAAGGGTGCTAGTCACAGCCCTGACAGCTTCAGAAAGGGTACCCACATTACCTCTGGGTTACCCAGCATCCAGAGCTCCAAGGGACCTAGCTCTCCCAGATATATATTCCTGCAATGGACTGACCTTTTTACCCACTTGTCTCTGGTGGTGGGAGAGCACTCTGAACCAGAAACCAACAAGGAATCCACTTCCCACCCAACTTAAGAGTGTATGCACACATGTGGATACACATGCACCTCCCCACTACTCACACAGACCCCAACCCCCTTCATGTCTTTTGAGGGGGGCTCAAATTACTGGTGCCTGGGGACACAAGCAAGACCTGGGTCCATGGAAATGTGTGTGTGTGTGCATATAAGCACATGTGCTTGAGGAACTAAAGCCAATATGACCCCTTGTGGGGCGTGGCGCTTAGCTTCATTGAGCTCCTTTCTTCAGTTTAAATTCCATTAGCATCTCTAAGTCTCTTCTGCCAGCTTGGGCCTGGATTCTTCTGCCTAAAAGAGCTACGAGTGCTTCTGCTCCCCACTGTTAATTCCAACTTCCAAGCCTTTTACTCAGGCTGTCTCCCCCATTCCCCTCCTCCGAATAATCTCATTCCCTCCTCTTTCACATCAATTTCCTCTGAGCTGCTCCAGGGTTTGTTAATTCCTGTCCAGAGAGCTCTCTCATCTCCCTCTTCAGACAGGGAGAACAGGCGTCTTCCTCCTTACCCTGGAATTTCCAACAGTTCCCACCAAAAAGTGCTGAATGAACCAGAATAGGGGCCGAGGAGGAAAATTACCACCTGTTTCACCTGCTCCTCCTTCAGAGCGAGAAATTCTAGCATTGGTTGGGCTAGGGGTTGGGGGGTAGGGAGAAAAAGAAGGAAGAGAGTTACCAAAAGTAAACATAAGACAAAACCCTAGTGGTATAGATGGAAGACTATGTTCCAGTAAACCAGAGAGCTGGTTCCTCCCTCGACTCTGCACAGCCACTGAAAGTTTAAAGATTGCAAAAGTGGTGTGGGGCAAGGAGGTAGAGTCAATCAATGAAACTGTGAAAACTGTTTAAGTAGCACTGCTCAAGGAGACCAGGAGAGAAGATTCTGTTAGAGACGTAGCAGTAAAACCATAATTCTCAGACAGAGCTAAGGGGTTGGAGCCCATGTCTCTAAAGTCACCCTGCTGTTTGGAAAGGATGAGGGAGAAGACGGAAGGGATGACAAGCTGCAGAGGGTAAGGATTGACAGAAGAACCGAATGCTGACATCGAGGGAGGGGAGAGGCAGGAGGCATGGGACGAGGGATTAGGAGAGCTGGGAGCCCAGCAGTCTCTCGATAGCTGCGTTGATGTCCCCTCCTGTGGCAATCAGGGCCTGCAGGTTGGCCTCACGATTGATGAAGCCCATGGAGTTGAGCTGCTCCAGCTGCTGCTGAAATCTCACTTCTGACGTCTGCACCTGTGAGTTTCCACTTCCAGCCAAAAGCTGGATCATCTGCTGCATGAGTTGCTGCTGGGTGCTGGAAGCCCCTGTTGGAGAAGATGTGGCTGGCGTGGCTGGTGAGGAAGTGGGGGCCTCGGGCGTAGACCCTGCGTTGCTGCCTGCTGAGGGTGCTGGGGTCCGGGACATCCCGAAGGAGACAAGGCTGGGTACCAGCCCAGGGGCCTCGGTCTGCAAGGTCTGTAGTCCCTGCTGGATCTGCAGCAATGCCTGCATGGCTCGGGGATTGGTAAGGATGGAGAGTGACTCTGGGTTCTGCATCTGCTGCAGGAAGACTGGGAGCTGCAGGCGGAGCTGCTCCTGCAGTTGGGGGTTCCCCGCGAAGAGCGGCACATTCACCATCATCTGAGCAGCGAAGTCGGGGTTCTGGGCAAGCGTCTGCATCATGCTGCGCATGTAGGGTGCTGAGATCACATTCTGCATCAGCTGGGGGTTCTCAGAGATCTGCTGGAGGAGGGCTTGCATTTCTGGGCTATTGAACATCCCTGACCTCAGGCTAGCCGCATTGATCCCAAAGGGGTTCAAGACTGTCGGGTGCACCTGGCTGGTCCCCGATCCTCCGGTGCCCTCCCCACCGGACCCGGGGGCCTGGGAGGTGGGGGGCGAGGGGCTCCAGGGGTTAGGGAGGGGCTCTCGATTCTCAGTCCGCAGAGGCTGGGAGGATGAGCTGTCGGAGTTCCCGGCCAGGGAAGAGAAGGGATTGTTGCCAAACTGTTCCCGGGCAGCACTGAACATGGGCTCCTGGATGTCCGTGTACATGCGGCGGAGGGCATTATACCCTCCAGGGATGCTCTCAAGGTTGCTCAGGGCCCGGTCCTGGTTCCGCATCATCTCTTGCATCACGGCTGGATTCCGAGCAAGCTCCATTGTCTGCCTCATGAGTTCAGGGTTATTGAGCATGTGGCTGATCTCAGGGTTCCGCTCCATCAACTGCTGCATCTGGGGTTTGGCAATAATCATGTGACGCATCAGGTCAGGGTTAGACATCATATCCTGGACCAGGGGGTTCTCCATGATCTGCAACAGCATCTCAGGATTGGACATCAGCTGCCTCTGCATCTGCTGCTGCAGCTCCATGAAGTTGGCAGAGCCCAGGCCCAGGCTGCCCAGCCCCAGGATGCCCCCAAAGCCAGAGAGTATGGACGCAGTAGCACTGGGGGATCCCTCCCCAGTCCCTGGAGAGGGCCCCCCACCACTGCTCCTCCGGCTTCCACTGCCAGCATCCGAAGAGGCACTGTCAGAGGTGGAGGGCTGGGTAGGGGTGGTGGGTGAAGCAGGCGTGGTGGAGGGTGCTGAGGCAGGGTCAGGTGTGGAGGGGGAAGAAGCAGTGGCAGCAGCTGGATCTTGAGCCTTCTGAGGGGTCTTGATGACCAGATGGACAGTGAGCCCGTCCTTGATTCCGTGCTGGTTCAGTGTGTCCCCATCCTTGAGGATCTTGCCTGACAAGATCAGGACCAGCTGATCCTGCTGAGCCTTAAACCTCCGGGAGATTTCCTCTTTGAACTCCTTGACCGAGGCTCGATCGCAGATCACAATTTCCTCCTTGTCCTTGGGGGTCTTGACGGTGACCCGAATGGGGGGCCTCGTCTCGGCCCCGCTCGGCTCCGCCATGCCGCCGCCGCCACCCGGCCGCCCGCCAGCCCGCCCGGCTCCTCCTCCTCCCCGCTCGCCCGGCCGGCCCGGCTCGGCTTCTGCCATTTTTTTTCTTTTTTTTGAGACAAAGTCTCACCCTGTCACCCAGGCTGGAGAGCAGTGGCGCAATCTTGCCTCACTGCAACCCCTCCCGTGTTCAAGCGATTCTCCTGCTTCAGCCTCCTGAGTAACTGGGATTATAGGTGTGTGCCACTATGCCCGGCTAATTTTTGTATTTTTAGTAGAGATGGTGTTTCGCCATGTTAGCCAGGCTGGTCTTGAACTCCTGACCTCAGGTGATCTGCCTGCCTCAGCCTCCCAAAGTGCTGCAATAGAGACGTGAGCCACTGCACCTGGCCAAGAAATGAAATATTGATACGTTTCACAACATGGAAGAACTTTGAAAACATTATGCTAAATGAAAGAAACCAGTTACACAAGACAACATATAGGTAAATCTCAATAGACAAATGTTTAGACAGAAAGTAGATTAGTAGTTGCCCAGGACTGAGGGAAAGAAGAAGAGAGTAAGGAGTGACTGCTAATGGGTACAGATTTCTTTTGGGTTGATGAAATTGTTCTAAACTTAGATTGTGGTAATAGTTGTACAACTCTGTGAATACACTAAAAACCATTTAGGTATACACTTTAATTCAGCACAAGTGGCTGAATTTTACACAATGTGAGTTATGTAACAATAAGGATTAAAAAAAAAAGCTATGTAACCAGCCATCAGGCTACTGCAACTTTTGGAGTTTGGGACTCTAGCTTTCAAGTGAAGAACGGACTACTTTGGGCCTCCAAGGATATTATTTCTTGAAACCAAACTTTTGCTTGATATTGTGATTACCGACAACAATCCCAGGTACAGATTGTGTATGTTATCAATTAAGGGCAAAATTTTAAGTTAGTTGACTAGTTAGTTCCTGTGTCTGGCCAGATGTGGTATATGTATTTCACAAACTTTCCGTGGGAACCATTTGATTCTCAGGCGAGTAGGTTGCCCTCTGCTCCGGAATATATTTCCAGGTCAGTTGCCCCCACCATCAATTAGTGTGTGTGCTCAAAAGAATGCAAACTGATTTCAGCATTATCTTAAACAAAACTTAATTAGGAAGGTAAGTATCCTGCCAAAAAAATTACATAATGCATTACAAAGCCAATTTAAAATGAATTTTGGACCATTCCGAATATATGAATTCAGCATAGGTTTAAATGGTTAATAGTCATGCCTACTGATGTAGGGTATAACTTATCTTTTTTAACTTAAATCTTTCTTTTAGGATTCTGTAATTTTACTAGTTCAAGTTTCACAAGAAAAAAAATAACAAGCTAAAATCTGAAACATTTGCCTCACTATACCATGTTTATCCACTACCTCTAAGGCCTTACAATCCAAAATGTTTGAACACCTCACTATTCAAAGTGTGGGTCCATAGCCTGGGGATCACCTGGGAGACCCACCCCCAAACTACTGAGTCAGAATCCGCATTTTAATAAGATCCTTGGGCAATCTGTGTGCGCATTAAAGTTTGAGAGGTCTTGCTCTCACACCAGACTGAAGCTCACTGCAGGGCAGCCTCAGGAAAAGTAGGCAGTGGGGTCATTATGATCTATATTAAGACAATGAAGAAGAACAGATTGTAGCAACCTCAAAATGTCCCTATTTGATTCAAAGTGGTAAAAGCTGTAAACTTTCTATTTGTGTAAATATACATGAAGCTCAGGAAGGGAAGCTGTGGTAACCGTTCCTTTTACTTAAACGTCCTGGGAGTTGCAGCAGAGAGGAGCTTGTTCTAAGGGAAGCTTTTCTGTTTTTCCCAGTTGTCCCCAGTTCTACCTCCTGGCTTTGCCCTTTCAGCCCCATCACCACATCCCTGGCTAAGTCCAGCCTGAGATAGTAGGCTGCAAGAAGTAGATGGTTAAGGGTCAGCTGATGGCAGGAGGGTTCTGGGTGAAAGATGGAAATCTCACTCTTCCAAGTTCACCTCTCAGTCTGCAAAAGAGCAATCAGACTGAGAAGTACCTCTCTTTGTTTTCCCTCTCCCCACTTAAGATACAAAAGTGTAGCCTTTGTGTTCCTTAAAGAGCTCCAACTCTTCTATGTCTATATCTTTTGAATAAGTGGAAACCCATCTATTGCCCTTTCCACTTTTCTGTTTCCTACAACGGAAGCACATAATGCCAAGTAACTGGGAGGGCCTCCCATGTGATCAGCGGTCTCTAGGCCATGGTCAAGACTAGGAAGGACTCAAGAGAGGCTCCTGGAAGGTGATATTTAAAATACTGATTTTAAGGTTCTACCCTTAAGATTCTTTTTGTTTTGTAACCTGTTTTTCTTCAAATAATATATTTTGAACAGCTTTTTATATTAAAAATATATAATGATTATGCCTACAGAGTATTTCATTACCTCAAGAGTATATGACGCGACTTCAAAAAGTCCATAGAATATACATATTATAAAAAAAAAATGCATGGATTTCAAAATTATTTTGCACCAAAATAAACCTACCCTTAAGATTCTGATTCAGGAGGTCTGGGCTTAGGCCCAAAAATCTACGCTTTAACCAGTGCCCCCAAGTGATTCTGATGTAGGAGATCCACACCCACACACGAGGAAACAGTGATATAACTGGTTTGAGGACAGCAGTACCACCTTTGCAAATAAATCACTTATTCTTAAGCATCTGTTTTGCTTTTTGAACTGATGTCAACTTCCTGATTGGTTTCCAAATGGCTTTGCAGTACTCATTCAACATTTACCGAGCAATTTCAGTTTTCAGTTTGCAGAGAACTGAACTACCCGAGGCTTGTTCTGTGTTTGGACTGGGGATGGGGAGCAGAGAAGGATGTGATCACATTAAAGCTATTTCTCAACTTCCTAGAAAAATGACAAATTGACCATTTCAAGATTTGTGAAACAGGTTAGCATTGGCTAACCACAGTTACAATAATTTACTAACCTTTTTGGAGCCCCTGTGTACAAGAGGCACCAAGACTTTCTGGGTGGGAAGGTTGATTCTGTAACCAAACTGCCAGGGTTTAAATCCTACTTTCTCCATTTATATTATATGACTATAGAAAAGTTAGCACTTTGGGAGGCTAAGGCTGGCAGATCACTTGAGGCCAGGAGTTCCAGACCAGGCTGGCCAACATGGTGAAACTCTGTCTCTACTAAAAATACAAGAAAAAAAAGAAAAGAAAAGTTAATTTAACTTTTCTGAGCTCAGTTTCCTCCTCGTCTGTAAAATGAATATGTAACACCTCACTGAGTTCGTACAAGGATTAAATGAAGCACTTAAATGCCTAATTGATGCAGATGGCTCCAAGAATTTAACATTTACGAAATATTCACTATATTTTTTAGGTTAAGGGTACAAAACCATTGTGAGTACACTAAGGAATGATTATAGAGGCTGATCGAAATTCTGCAAAAAAAGCGTAAATTTTACGTTTCATTCAAGCAGTTCAGACTCACGATTTTAACTAGAGTAATCTGGGGTTTGTTTGCTTGTTTTTTAAGGTTCCCTAACCCTTGGCTTCTTGGGGAGTTTGATGCCGCACTCAGCCCCAAAGTCCCCCTTAACTCCCAGGTTTAGCGGCGACAGGGGGCGCGCGGTTGACAAGGGCAGGCGCCCCGGGGAAGTAGGAGCAGGGGCGCCGGTGAGCCGCAGCCGCAGCGGCAGCCTAGCCCCGAGGGAGGGAGGAGGAGCCGAGGGAGACGCGGGACCCGGAGCCCCGCGGGCCACCGCCCCTGCCGGCCGCGCAGCTGGGAGGATGCGGACGGCAGCGAGAGCGTGCGCGGCCACGTGACGGCCGCTATAAGAGCGCACGGGGCAGACGCTCGGTTCCCCGCCGTGCCTCCTCGCTGGCCGCGCTCCCTCCCGGTGCCGGCTTCTCTGAGTCACCAACCTGAGGCTGCCCCGGCCGCCTGCGCACCCGGCAGCACCATGACAGGTACCGCCGCGCAGCCCGCCGCCGCCAGCCCCGGGACCCCGGCTTCCTGCCCAGCCGCCGCCTCCCTTCTCCTCCGCCCTCAGCCCCGGAGTGTTCCCGGCAGGACGAAACCGCCGCAAAGTTGCTGGCTGGCCGCAGCCGGGCGTGTTTCTGCCTGCGTCAGCTGCCGCCCCGCCGCCCCCCAGAGTGCAGGGATGGGGCAGCCGGGCAGAGCCCGGGCCCTCGGCCGGAGCTCTCGTTCCTGCTTCCGTCTCCTCGTCCTTCCTCTTGCTCTCACGGCGAAGGGCCGGCGGGCGGAGCAGCTGCGGCGGGGCCGTGTGGGGGTGGGGAGCCGGTTCCCCTGGGGGTTCCAGGCGGGAGTCCGGGGCGCAGCGGCATCGTGGGGAGCTGCCCCGGCCTCTGGCGGCCCGGAACCCCAGGAAGCAGGGGCTCCGAGGCGGGGATACTGCGGCCTCCGCCCGGCTCCTCCGCCGCCCGCCCCGGCCCCGGCCGCCACGCTGAGCCTATTTTTAGGCCTTTGGGGCCGGGTTGCGGGAAGCCGGGAGTCGGACTAGCGTCCCCGGGCGCGAGCCCCGTCTGGTGGGAGGGCGCCGGCTTTGGCTTCACTTGTTGCGAGGCGTCCGGGCCACTCCACGAGTTAGCCCCAGCACTGGGAAGCTCCGAGTTAGCTGGTCCTTCCGTGTCATTGAGGCTAATAGCCAGGGTTATTACAGCAGTTGAACTGCCACAAAGATTGCAGGTGTAACCCAGAGTTCAGCCGTCTTTAGGAAGATTAAACTCCTACCCAGCTGTCATTGGTCTTTCTTGGTCATTTGTAATGTTGGCTAGTCTGGTGTTCTAACCTGTGTTCTATCCCTTATTTAATCTTGGAAATCATCCATATCCTTGCTTCCAGAAATCCTTGAATCCTGCTCACCTTATTACATTTTTCTCCATGATCGCCTGGAACCTGGACTTCATTTGAGTTAGATGATCATTCATTTTGCCTAGCTTAAGTATTTTTGGTACAGATTGACAGCGATGTTACCCATGTTATAATGGGCTGAAGATAATAGAAGCAAGTACAGGCGGATGTTGATGGGCCTGTCAAGGGACAGGTGCCACTGTTCAGAGCTTTCCTAGAGTGTGAGTGACTGGGAAGCTGGTGGCCCTTCGGGGGTGGGGAACTGGTCTTCCTACAACTTAGTAGTTGGCCTGCCGTGGGAGAGGGCCTAATAAAATGTGTGAAGATGGCTCTCAGGTCAGCAGCCGAGGGATGCGCTGGCCCACTAGGCAACCCACAACTTCCTCTCATGTCTCGGTGGAATTTCTACTGCTTCCAGCCTCCACCTTGGAAAACGGGCAAGGGAGAATGAGGGAAAGCCAGGTCAGAAAGAGAAGGACTTCATGACAAAATGTCCCAACTCGCTGGTTAAGCAACTGACTCCTACCAGAACTTGATCCGAAGTGTCCTATGCATTTGGATGCCCACCAACTTGCTAATGTTTCTTGGAGATGGAACATGGCCCAGAATTGTCCCAGGGAATGACTGGAGAAATCTTGAAGCCTGTGCTAGGGGTCTTGGGAGGGTGGGGACTGTTCAGCAGGAGGAAAAATCCATGTATTTACCTTCTCTTCTGGCAACTAAGTGATTATTGGAGATTGGGGTGCGTGTCTGTTGGTTTGGGCGGGGGGAGGGGGAGGGTGCAGGATGGACCTGCACCTTCTTCTCCAAAGAAAAGCAGGCAGTTGTTTAGGGCTTCTTGGGTGATCTCCAAATCTATTTATCAGTGATTGATAACTATTTAGATAGAAGCATCAAGGAGGGAAAGCCTCTTTGAGGAGCTGATACTTGAGGAGAGACTCAATGTTATTTTTCAGGGATATTGGGGCAGGGGAGCTTTTGCTCCACGTTGAGGAAACAGTTATGTATAAGATGCCTGGAGTTCGAGGCTGCAGTGAGCTATGATCACACCACTCCACTCCAGCCTGGGTGGCCGAGTGAGACCCTGTCTTAAAAAATACATACATACATACATTCCTGAGGCATGGCATAAACGTAAGCACCAGAATGAAGAATATGGACTCTGCTTTCAGACTGACTGAATTGAGTTTGACGGTTGGTTTTGTGCTTGTCTGAAAACACTGTCTACAGTACCTTGTAGAAGAAACAGCAAATGTACTACTTGATCTCTTCATTACCATCTGTTAGTTGCCTGGAGTTCAAACTCTTGGTATTAAGCTATTGTTTTGTCTGAGAATTTAGCGTGTCGGATTTAATTTCTATAGCTTAATCAACCTGTTGAAGGTTGCCATATGTGCCTGCTATGATCTTGAACCATTCTTGAAGTGGGCACTTGGGGTTTTCTCCCCAAAGGGCTACAGCTTGATTCATAGAGAAAGTTGATGTTAGAGGAACTGGTTTTGCTGAATTACTGTTTGAATGGGTTCCTGGGGAAAAGGCTTTCTCCAGATAAGATACTGTAATGAGTGTTTTTTTTTTCTTTGTATTAAGATCAGGCCTTTGTGACACTAACCACAAACGATGCCTACGCCAAAGGTGCCCTGGTCCTGGGATCATCTCTGAAACAGCACAGGACCACCAGGAGGCTGGTCGTGCTCGCCACCCCTCAGGTCTCAGACTCCATGAGGTGAGGACCTCGCTGCCACCCCAGCATCCAAGGGGCTCTGACATCCTTCTCCCTGTTGCTGACATCATTGGACATTGAGGCCATGCTCTTTTCAGGAATTGAGCACCGGGTAGAGAAAAATGAGAGATGCTGAGTGCAGGATTGCTGTATTTGAAACCTCCTCCTAGCTTTTGGGAGATATTCCAACTCAATTCTTTTCTGGAAGGTGTTATGCTGGCCCACACTTTCTGGTTCCAACTAGGAGGGGAAAGAAGGAGTCGTCTTCCTTCACTCCATCCCCTCTGGGTGATCTGAAGGAGTGTGTCAGGCATTCCCTGCTTACATACACCTTTACACAGTCACAATTCATGGACATTCCTTTCCCAGGATGCAGCAGGGGCTACATTGTTTCATGTTGCAAACTAGGGAAACTCTCAGGTGACTTAGAAAAGTAGTTATTTTATCCATTGCCAGTTGATATTTGTAAGCTAAATATCTTTATTTACAATATAATACACTAGAATCTTTACCAAAGGGCTTTCCAAACTAGGTTTTACTAGGGGAAACACACTAAAGGGTATAAACTGCTTCATGATTGGTTAGTTCACTTTGATCCGATGGAATTAAGTTTTGAAGTATTTGGGCCAGGTGTGATGGCTCATGCCTGTAATCTCAGCACTGTGGGAGGCCAAGGCAGTTGGATCACCTGAGGTCAAGAGTTCCAGACCAGCCTGGCCAACATGGCGAAACCCGTCTCTACTAAAAATACAAAACCTCATCTCTACTAAAAATACAAAAATTAGCTAGGCATGGTGGCGCGTGCCTGTGATCCCAGCTACTTGGGGTTGGGGGCTGAGGCAGGAGAATCGCTTGAACCCGGGAGGCAGAGGTTGCAGTAAGCCGAGATTGTGCCACTGCACTCCAGCCAGGGCAACAGAGTGAGACTCTGTCTTAAAAAACAACAACAACAGAAAATCGAAGTATCTGAATGAGCTACCTAGTCTCTAGTAGTAACTTAAAAAATATCCGGGCACACTAGTAACTTTGTGATGTGTTTATTTTTCTGGTCTCCTGGCCCTCTAAGAAATTGAAAATGCCCTTTTTGTGACTTTTTATTTTTTTCCCAAAAAGTATAAGCACAGGCCAAGGGTCTCTAAAAAGTAGACGTTCTGTATACATACGTATATCTTTCACACTAATACCTTTGTTCCTAAATGGTAATTTAGGAAGATGCCAAAAAGGCTGTCTCCTAATGTGTGTGCCCTAATTTGTAGTCTATTAGGATATGTCTAAGAAACCAGATCTAGTCTTGCATTTCCTGTAACCACCATCAGTTGACTTTGGTCAGTGATTCTCCTAACCATTTCTCTTCAAAAACGTCAAGTTTACTGTGTGAACTGTACCATATTTTTGTACAGCTTTGGAGACAGAATACAATACCAGTTTTGTTCTGCATCTCTGATGTTATAAACTTTCAGTATGATACGTTTTTACCCGTGCTCAGTTTAGTGTCTTACCCAAGTCTACCCTACCGATCCACCATAAAGAGCTTTCTAAAATAAAGCCTTAGTTAATCTGGGGCATAGAGAAGTGTTGTACCTCACAAACCAACGTGAATCTCATTATACTTAAACAGCGTGCTCAGCATGTAATAAATGCTGGTTATATTGGATTCTACAAAATGGCAACCTGATGAACAGAGCCCTTACACATTTTTGCAAGCTATTTCCACAACCTGCCTGCTATTCAGTGATACAATAAAATACAAAAACCCAGAAAATGTCTTCTATAATAACGTTTTAAGATGAGCATTTCATCCTCACCATAAGCAGTTCTTACTACTTTAGTGACGTTAACTGGACATGCAAATAAACACAGTTTGTCCTGGAGTAAAATTAGAACAGATTTAAGGGTACATATTCTACCAAAGCAATACATTGTTCTAGTAATTGATGGAGAAGGTAATAAAGCATCAGTCTTACAGCAGATGGGTCACTTGTTCTGAAAAGATGCTAAGTGTGGTATTCTGGATTTTATTTTGACAGAAAAGTTTTAGAGACAGTCTTTGATGAAGTCATCATGGTAGATGTCTTGGACAGTGGCGATTCTGCTCATCTAACCTTAATGAAGAGGCCAGAGTTGGGTGTCACGCTGACAAAGCTCCACTGCTGGTCGCTTACACAGTATTCAAAATGTGTATTCATGGATGCAGATACTCTGGTGAGTGTGGCTTTGAGGGTAGAAAAGAAAGACATATATATATATGGTGATGGAGACCTGTAGGCATTTGAGGAATGCTGTCAAGACTTGACGGTAAAGTTCAGATAGAACCACTGTCATGAAATATGTCAGGGGATGAAGGAGAGGAGGCCCAGGCTGCCTTACAGCTGTCACCATCTTTTGTGTTGGATGACATAGGAAGAACTCAAGAAGGGTATTCTGCAGCAAAAACATTTCTGTAATGCTCTTTCTCCCCTTTGATCAGGTCCTAGCAAATATTGATGATCTTTTTGACAGAGAAGAATTGTCAGCAGCACCAGACCCAGGGTGGCCTGACTGCTTCAATTCCGGAGTCTTCGTTTATCAGCCTTCAGTTGAAACATACAATCAGCTGTTGCATCTTGCTTCTGAGCAAGGTAGTTTTGATGGTATGTATTTGCTATCTTCATGTCTGATAAGCTGTTAATAGTAATTTCTAGGGGCTGCTCTTCTCAGGAATATAATTGCTGTGGTTTATTCTGCCTGGAAGATATAAGAGATGGAGCAAGCATTTTAAGTTGTGCTCTTCTGGGAAATATTGTGTGTGTGTGTGTGTGTGTGTGTGTGTAAATGCATCTTTTTCTATAGATGTGAAAGATTAACCTAAACTATGATAGGCAATTTTATAGGATTGTCTTTAAGTTGTCTTCCTGTATCTAGAGTATGATAAATGTACTGTGATTATTCAAAAATTCAAAAGACTGAAAAACTTTAACATCTGTCTTTAAACCTAAGTAAACGTAAGCTCAAGAGAGTTTGACAGCCATTCCAGGAGGATCAAGCATTGTCACTATGGAAACTTGAGGAATAAGCCTGATAATTTGGGTCTCATTCTCTCAGGCGGCATAAAAAAGAAGAAAGTTTGTGTGAATAATCTTTGCTTCCAAACTCTCATTCTCTATAAGGCTGTCAGAGTAGTATCTGCAGGGCCAAAAAGTAGAACATTGGCAAAGTCAGCATCCATTTTCTATAACATATAAATGTATTTATAGTTATATTTATATAATGGTTCTGTCTGTGATATAGGGCCTCACATCTTTTGGAGAAGTTGATCAAATGAATTAGTAAGTGTGCTTTCGTTTCAGGCCAATTTCTGAAATAACAAGCCATGTTTTTAAAAACAAAAACACACAGGACAAAACCAATAGTTAATATGCAGAAGGAGTTCTTTGAAAAATTATTTTTGATGGTTCTTTTGAATAAAGACCCAGAATAGAGAAGAAGGAGGACATTCTCTTAGAAGCCCTCCCAGCAGTGCCTCACTATCAGATATGTGACATTGTAGCAGGGCACAGTGCTGTGTGCTATTCACATGGGGTTGGGCCAGAGGCCCAAGCTCTGCTGGAGACACAGCGGGGACTTCTTTCCTCCTCTCCCCTTTCCAAGAGTAGATCTGAGATTTGCAGTAAGTAGATCTTTTGGAAATAGCAGAAACAGCCTTTCTCATTTGACAAAAGATTCAGTCCTGGGTGCAGATATGAGAATTCATTTTTATTAATTGGTTAGAAAGTTAAAAAAATATTAAACTTTAAAAATGAAAACATTAGACCTATAAGTTTGTTAGATTGCTGAGGTGAAGATACTGGAAGTTAAAACATTTCAAATTATACATAAAGCTGAGATTGGGTTTTCATTGTTGCTATTCACAGAAATTGAATTATTTTTAGTTATTTGGCTGAGGATTTGGGAATTGTGGCTATATATGAAATGTAATTGAAAATAATAGGGAAGTTTAAGTCTCAGTTTTATTTCACTATTTAGCTTGTTTATGCTGTAAGCTAATAGTTCTCAAAACAAGGGTGATTATGTCCCCCAAAGGACATTTGGCAATGTCTGGAGACATTTTTGGTTGTTACAACTGAAGGGGGAGGGTGCAAAGGGCATCTGATGAGTGGAGGTCCAGGATGCTAAACATCCTACAATGCACAAGACGATTTCTTCCAACAAAGAATTACCTAGCCCAGCATGTCAGTAGTGCTGAGGTTGCGAAACTCTGCTCTCTACATGCTCTAAAACAGAGCAGGAGTATCTGAACCATAATGTATGGCAGCATCTAACAAGAAGTGAAGTCTTGTTTTAAGCAACCTTAAAATAAGAAAATAATAATGTGTTAAATGTTCACCGTGGTCAAGGCCGAATGAAACTTCTTCGCTTTACTGACATGTTTTTAGCTCCTGCTATTTTCCTTTCATAGAAGGAATGAAAGCTGTATTAGCCTTTAAGTTCAAAAGATGTATTCCTTATTTCTACTGCTTATACTGAAAGTTACCTTTGCATAAAAGAGGAGAGTGTTTTTAGCAGAAGTCCACTGTTTGTCTTAACCTTCTCGTCAGAGTGTAGCTTTCTTCACCTCCTCTCCTAATTTGAAGGAAGTAAGTGTAATCCTGCCAGAAATTCGGTGTAACTCTTTTCAGCTTTAGTAAGTGAATCACATTCTAAAGTATATCTTGTGGCCTGCCAACTGCCTGAAATCCACATGATTTTAATCATGTAAAGAGAATCCAATTTCTAACCTAGAAAACGATTAGATGTTATTGAGAGGTAAGACTTTGATTACCAAACAGTAGTGTGCCGTGGTAAATTATCTAGGTTATAATTTGAGAATATGAAACTAACTAACCTATTCTTTGTTAAGAAGCTTGGATGCGTGCAGAGTGCTCGACTAGGAAGCACTTCCTGCTTTTTCAGCCAGAATCTGAAACCACCGTGAGATTCTGTCTGTGCCTCTAGCACATTTCATTATTCAGCAGCAGGTTTCCAGGTGCTGGCCATCCTCTGAGGTATTCCATTTACTGGCTCATTGGTGGTGAAGGACTGAATCTTCTCTGTTAATAGAAATTGAAAGAGGTAAAAAGTCATCTATGCAGCTGAGAACTTATGGTTCTCAATATGTTGTTTAAATTCAGCAGAAGAATGAATTAGCAGTTCTCGAATCAAAGGTTGTGTTCACTTGAAATATGTGTTAAGCTTTACTTAGCAAAGAAAGCTCACTCTATACCTTGGGAGGCTGCTTCTCTCTGGAGGGGTTTACTATCCACTTGAATCAATGTGTGAACTGTGTGACATAAAGATGTGTTGGACTTATGCTTGATAGCAATAAAATATTTCTTTATGGACAATGACTTTGTCTAATGGCAGTAACCTTTGCCTCTGGTTTTCAATATGTTATTATATAAAAATTATAAATATAGTAAAAGTAAATAGTCTTAAATATAAAAATTAAGAATTATATAAAAATAATTTTGGTTAGGTGTTGTGCTGTAGGCACTGATGAACATTTTCAGGTGTTCCTTTCACAGTTACCCACATTTTCTCACAACCATAGTTTCTCCCTCCACCACCCCCATAGTCAGTTTTAAGTCCCGGAATTTTCAGCTCAGACCAGTTTTACAGATGACTGTATCTCAGTGTGAATATCTCGCAGGTCATGTTTTTAACCTCTTTCCTGTGTTCATCAGAAACTGGTGGGGCCTGATGTCCACTGACAAGCCACACAGGCTGTTGATGGCTGAGCATTTGCAGCTGCTTTTGCAACCCTTCTCATGCAAAAGAATGTGGCTGTCATTCTTCTAATCACCAGCCCTCTATTCACAGCCTCTCCACCTCTCTATTCTGTGACTCTGGCCAAGAGAATAATCCTAATATGGCAAACCATACGAGGTACCTGGACTTCTCTTTCTTCCTAAAATTCTATAATGTTAGATTTTAGAACTGGTGACTACATAACCGAATTCATGGCTGGTGTCTAATTTTCCATAATGAAGAGTCAAACTTCTATACTGTTGTATTTTCAAACTGTCTTGGCACTTACTTCATCACTGTAATTACATATTTCCCGAAAAGTTGAACAATAGCTGTTGTGAAATAGTTCTACACTAGTATTGTATAGGATGTGACAAGATAAGGTTAGCTTCTGGGCATGTTAGCACTAAGAGGGGAAGAGAGAGCTCATTATATTGTAGGTTCTAATCAGCAGTTTTGCTTCTGCCACATCGGTGAAATGAGGCTGATGAACTTGACTCTGAAGAAATCAACCTGAATGCAAGTTGAGGTTTATTTTCTTTTCCCCTGTGACTAATATATCTTAAGAGTGCTTGTATAGTTGAAGAGTTAAGTGCTTAAAAATTGTCTATTTTGTCTGTATGTGTTAGTTTCAAAAACCTAAGTCAGAGGAATTCATATTTTGTAATTTGGAATATCCTTAAAAAACATCTTATACTCATTTTGATTACTGCAGTGTAAATATCCTAAGCTTTTGATTGGTGTACTGGAATTTTGGTCTGTAGTTGAATTTCTAGAAAGAAGAAAACATAGGAGAGAATAAATTAGTAGCAGAATATTAGGTATGATTTATTTAAGTAGAGTCCAGGATCCGCTTTGAGGTCACTATATTTGTGTGTTCCAAATTCTAAGTGGTCATTGAGTCCCATAAGCAGAGTACAGTAATGTTTTAAAATAATGTTTAACAGAAATGATTTGGTGCTACATTGTATTAAAGTGTAAAATTGACCCCAGAGCTAGATTTTAAAATCTTTGTAGTTAATTAGGCTTCATGTTGGACCTGCCCAAAAAAAGAATGAAGGACTGAGATATTTCAAGATGGTACTTGTCCAAACCAAATGAGCTGAGAGATTTTGGTGTGCTTCACTTGGTTCCCTGACTTGATAGGTCAGCCCGGACAGTTATCTTCCCATGGTGACTTCCCCCAGCCACCCAAGCACTAGGCTGCCTGTTCTAGTAATTTATCAGTTGTTTTGGAAATGACTGTGTTCTCTTGCATTTGTGTCATTTTATTGATAGTTTGGATAATAAGTATCTTGAGGAAAAGCAAAAGCCATATCATGTAATGGCAAAATTAATGAGCACACGTAAGTTTTTTTAAGAGCTATTGTTATGTCACTGTACCCGTGAATATACTTTTTTAACTTAGCCACCTGTCTCCAGCTTTGTAACTGTCAGAGATCATGAACCCTGTGAGAAATAGAGGAGGAGGAAGGGACTAATGTGTTATATGTATGCAGGCTTGTATGCTGGTCATTTTACCTACTTTTTCACTTATTTCTCAACAGTCCTGTGAGGTAGGCATTCATACATCCATTCATATAACAAATATTAATTGAGAGCCTGCTATCTAGCTAGCACTGGGGACCTGCCATTGGTACAGTTCAGGGCAGCAGCTTGCCTGATGTCTCTGAGCTAGGCAAAGTCAGGTCTGAACCAGGGTCCTTCTCAACTCTGGTTGGGTTATGTGTTGTGGTGGGGTGGGTGGTGGTGGTGGGTGGTTTTTCCATTCCCAATTCTCTCATATGGCAGCATTCTTGAGTATGTATCCTGAGAATAATACGGGATGGAGGAAGATCCCTATTACCTTGGCTTTATGACAGATGAATTAAGTAATTTCTCTGAGTAGACAGAGCAGCTGGTATATTCCTCATTTTACAAATGAAGGAATGGAGGCTCAAGTCTTCTATCTCTATTGCTACTGTTCCTCCCCTCTGATCCAAAATACCTAAAAATACTTTGTCGTTTAAAATCAGCAGCACAGTTCATCGTCTTGCAGTGTTTTATGGAGTCTAGATGTATTCTTGGAAGGGTTCCTCTCACCTATATTTCTGTAGTAGGTCCATTCATTATTTCAAACATAATTTTAATTTCTAATCTGGGCAAAATCCTAAATTGAAGGGGCAAAAATAGACTGGTAAATAATACAGATTTTATTCCTGCCTCTATAAAGTTTATATTCTGAGACCTTACAGACATCTAACAACTAATACACAGTTATGTAATCATGATTCTAGTAAGTTCAGAGTACTAAGAGTCCAGACTAGGAGGACCTGCCTTAGACTGAGAAACTGACATTTAAGCCAAGAATAAATGTTTCCTTGCAAGTATGTAATAATTAATAGCTTGATACTTAATAATCTTTTAACAAAGTAGTGAAAAACAAAAGCTATAACATGAAGTAGTAAAATAAATCAGTTATTCTTGGCTTAAATGGGTTGAGGCCAGTGAGATGCCGTGATGCTGGGGCCCAAGCTCCAAGTGCCTGGATTTCCATAAGCCACCTTGGGTTAATCTAATGATCCTCAGTAAATCTCATAAAAATATCCCCAAGAGCTGGGCTTTCATAAGCTGTAATTTATTAATCCTTAGCATGCTCACTATAGGCAGTAATGATTATATCCACCAAGCATTTTGTAGGAAGTTAGTTTTAAAAAGAAGTGTCCAGGCGCAGTGGCTCACACCTGTAATTCCAACACTTCGGAAGGCCAAGGCAGGTGGATCACTTGAGGTCAGGAGTTCCAGACCAGCCTGGCCAAAATGGTTAAACCCCATCTCTACTAAAAATGCAAAAATTAGCCGGGTGTGGTGGCACATGCCTGTAGTCCCAGCTTCTTGGGAGGCTGAGGTGGGAGAATCACTTGAACCCTGGAAGCAGAGGCAATGAGCTGAGGTACGCCACTGCACTCCAGCCTGGGTGACAGAGCAAGACTCTGTCTCTGTAAATAAATAATAGATAGATAGATAGAAGTGAGTCACATGTTCATGTCAGTCCTTGTCTCTAGCTCAATTACAATATAAAGCATATTTTACTATAATTTTTTTTTTTTTTTTTTGAGATGGAGTTTCACTGTTGTTGCCCAGGCTGGAGTGCAATGGTGCAATCTCGGCTCACTGCAACCTCTGCCTCCTGGGTTCAAGTGATTCTCCTGCCTCAGCCTCCTGAGTAGCTGGGATTACAGGTGCCTGCCACCATGCGCAGCTAATTTTTGTGTTTTTAGTAGAAATGGGGTTTCACCATGTTGGCCAGGCTGGTCTTGAACTCCTGAGCTCAGGTGATCCACCCACCTCGGCCTCCCAAAGTGCTGGGATTACAGGTGTGAGTCACCGTGCCTGGACTTTTACTTTATTTACTTTGTCCATCTGTCCCTTTTTGGATTTTGAAGTATCTGAGAGTTGGAACCTATCTGAATCTTCCTATTATGTGAATACCAAATTTATAAAATGTTAGACATTTTTTATAGAAATGATATTTTTAAAAGTTATTATCCTTTGTTATAATAAAGAAGTCGTTCTTCAAAAGACTCTAGTACTTCTCAAATTTAATATGCAGACAAATTCCCTAGGGATTAAGATGTGGCTTCTGATTCTGTAGGTCTGGGGTGGGGCTCAACAGTTTGCATTTCTGTCAAGCTCCCAGGTGATGCCCATGCTGCTGGAACCCGGGCCACAGTTTGAGGAGCACTATTATAGGGGGAACATTCCTTTGGCTGAGATGCTGGGGCTCATGTCTAAACCAGAATTAACTCACTGCCCTGTTATCCACAGTAGACAAGCCAGCTGCCAGCAAACTGTGGAAGAGCACGCAAAGTACACAAGCATTGAACAAATGCACAGATTTAAAAAGACACCACTTAACTCTTGTTTCTGTCTTAGGAAACAAATAGGCCCAGTTTCTGATAAATGCATCCATGGTTACCAGGTATGTGACCCTGCTCAGAAGACCTAGAAAGTACCAAGTCTGTAGTTGCAAGGTGATTACACAGCATTTGCATTTGGGCAGCCGGGTGGAAGGATGATTCAGAATGAGATACTTGCTTTTGTTCGCAAAACAGATGCGATGTGCCCCTTGTTCCATTTCCTTTCTCCCTGTCTCTCACCTGTGTTACCACACCCTGGTGTACCGGATCACAGCTGCTAGTGATGCCTGCTAATCATGTTTGTTGGCTCTGAGATGAGTGAGATTAAAATTATCTTAACCTGTCAGATTAGATAAAGCTGCCTCTAGAAGTCTGACTAAAATGTATCGGACAAAAGTTGTAGGGTTTTTGTTATGGAAAATCAGCAGTCTTTAGGGCATCCTTGTATGTTTTCTAATACAGATGTGCCTAGATTTGCATTCTGCTTTGAACTGTCCTATCATTTAAAGATTTTTCTAAAGAGAGGATATTGGTAACACCATACATAGATTTTTCTGATGACGTTAAAACATTTGCCTGACCTTAAAATGTTGAACTGTGCATTTGGGAAAAGGTGGTTAAGATTTCTAGACCGCTGAATTTAAAAATTCAGCTACGGACTTCTACATGGCATTTAATTTATTTTTAATCCACAATTTTGGACTAAATGATAAACCTTTGTAGTCACATAATGAGGTCAGTGGCCCTGGAAGTTTTATGACCTGTGTTGTCCCCTCTGGAGCCAAGGTTCTTGTTGAGTGTTTCAGGATTTGCCAATTTAACAGGCACTGTTGATTCACCAGTTCTGCTTCAGTGCCTTTTCTCTTCCTTGCTTGTTTTCTGTACACCCCGTGCTTCCCAGCCTTCCTGTGGCACACAGCTGATGGGCTGATGATGTTTGTAGGGTACCTGAGGGTAAACAGAAACGGCCTTTTGTGGCCAAAGGCAGCCAGCCAGGGACTTTGAGGGATCAGCAGCTCTGACTCCTGTTTCCCAGGCTCATGCAGGTCGGATTTGGAAGTTCTACTTTACAACTACGATTTAGGCCTCTGTGGAATTAGATTTCTTTACTGCATTATGGGTAGCTGTTAGTCATTTTAAGTGGAATTGCTTCAGTTAAAGAAGGTGTTATAATGTCCAGGTTCTCAAATTGGATAAATGTGTAGAGTTTTATTATTAATATCCTTTATAACCTACACATATATTTTTTTTTTGGTAGTATACTTCATAATAAAAATTAAAAGTAAAGAGTATTTAGAAAGAAAAGATCTAAGCACAGTTCTCATTCTTGCCCCCAGTTGTATTACTAATATTTTAGCATTAAAAGAATAATAGGAAAAAGAGGGGGGAAGGAACATCTATTACACCAATCCCCTAATGCAATTACTATTATTTTATTTACTTTCTTGTAATATAAATGTTAATTAATGTTTATGTTCTTAGTTATAATCACAATGTATGTAGCTGTATATATTACACAGTGTACTGAAGTTGTCTTTATAGACATTAGTTTTAATTGCTGAATCATATTCCATGAGTAGTTAGTATTAATATACTAACCATTCCTGTATGGTAGAATATAAGTCGTTTAAATTTTTCTGCTGTTACAGAATATCTTCAAGATTCTTGCATTCATTCCATAAATAATTTGCCTATGTGTAAGGCATTCTGCTACATGTTAGCATCATAATGGTGAGCAAAAGGCCATAATCTCTGTTCTTGTGGAATTTAGCATCTAATTCCTGATTGTATTTTGCACATTAATTGTAAGAGTTTTTTAAAAACCTGTTCATTTTGAGAGAATTTCCATGCAGTTGTAAGAAATAATACAGACAGATCCCACATATGCTTCATCTGTTTTCCCCTAATGGTAGTACCTTACATAACTAAAATGTATTGCCCCAACCAGGAGATTGACATTGGACCAATCCACCAACCTTACTCAGATTTCACCAGTTTTATATGTATTCCCTTTTCTGTGTGTATGTGTATATGTATATGCACTTTTGGTTTTTATGCAACTTTATCACATGGGTAGATTGGTGTGACTACCACCATAGTCAAGATGCAGAGTAGTTCCATCACAAGGACCCTTCATCATATTCTTTTTTTTTTTTTTTTTTTTGAGACCGAGTCTCACTCTGTCACCCTGCCTTGAGTGCGGTGGCGTGATCTCAGCTCACTGCAACCTCTGCCTCCCGGGTTCCAGCTGTTCTTCTGCCTCAGCCTCCCAAGTAGCTGGAACTATAGGCGCGTGCCACCATGCCCGGCTAATTTTTGTATTTTTAGTAGAGACGGGGTTTCACCATATTGGTCAGGCTGGTCTTGAACTCCTGACCTTGTGATCCACCCACCTCGGCCTCCCAAAGTGCTGGGATTACAGGCGTGAGCCACTGCGCCTGGCCCATCATATTCTTTTACAGCCACAACTACATCTGTCATTCTTTCCCTCTCCCCTGGCAACCATTAATTTGCTTCCTATCTCTATACTTTTATTATTTGATGTTATATAAATGAAATTACATAGTATATAACTTTGTGAGATTGGAGTTTTTCACTGAGTGTAATTAATTTAAGATTCATCCAGGTTATTGTATCTCTAGTTTGTTCCGTCTTATAGCTGAGAAATATCCCACATGGATGTACCATATCCATATACCTGCTGAGTGACATTTGAGCTGTTTTCAGTTTGTACCATTATGAACAAAGCTGCTGTGAACATTTCCTTAGCCTTTTTTTCTGTTCCCATGGAACCGATTGGCAGTATTTTGATGATTATGTGTAAAAGGAAATTAGTTAAGACTTCAGGCCTCTGTACCTCAGCCATTAGTGTCTAGTCCCACATTTGGGTATCTTTGTAGAATCCAAAATAAGCCTTTAATGAATGGCATGATGTTTTGGCTTTGATAGTTTGTGCCTCAGAATACATTAATTTGCCTATTAGCTAAAATTGTCTTTGGTTCTCATATCTGTCCTTTGTCTTAGCCTATTCAGGCTGCTATAATGAAATATCATAGATTAAATGGCTTATAAACAACAGAAATATATTTCTCACAGTTCTAGAGGCTGGGAATTCCAAGATTAAGGTGCCAGCAGATTCAGTGGCTGGAGAGGGCCCACTTCCTGGGTCATAGACAGCTTTTTTATTTTTGTTTTTTTGTTATAACTGCTGCATGTGGCAGAAGAGGTGAGGGACCTCACTTGGGCCTCTTTTATAAGAGCACAAATCCTATGCATGAGGGCAGAGCCCTCATGACCTAATCACCTTCCAAAGACCCCACTCCAGATACCATCAACTTTGGGGTTAGGATTTCAATGTAGGAATTTTGGGGTATCTAAACATTGAGTCCATTGCATTTTTATAACAGTGAAGCATATTCTGTTGCCATCTTTATTGTCCTTTAGAACTTATAAGAGTGAAACTGATTTTCTGTTGTTCGTCCTTTGAGGAACAGAGACCTGTCAGGGGTGCTGTTTAAGGAGGGGTTTCCTCAAGACAATAAGTGAACGCCTTTGATTCTTAGAGTTGATTGAAGGTATTTGGAAAGGATAGAATACGCAGAGGGTGGATAAGGTACACTTGGACTTTAAACCTAAAGTCCTGATCTTACTACTTAACTCCAAAAATTAAATAGATCTCTAGATTTTTAAAGTCTCCTTGAAAAGTAAGGAAAATTGAATAGTAACGACAGCCGACTGGACTTGCTGTATGTTGAGAAACGACCTGGATTTTTTGGCAAAGGAGACTGAGGAGAGGAGTGACTATGCAGTATTCCTGCCTGATGCTTAGAGCAGGTGTCTGCCTGCCTGCCATCCCCATACACACTCGCACATATGCACTCATGCACATGCACACACATCGTGAACTCCTGTTCTGCTGCTTGGGAGACTCTGGTTCTGAGTGTGTTTTCTGAAATCTCATGAGTCTAAAATAGAAAGCACATGAAATATATGGAAGAATGTGTCTTGTATTGTTTTTATTTCTTTTGAATGAATGGCCATGATCCCCGCTTTCTGAGGAAGATATGAAGTCCAGGAGCCCCAAGGGCTGAGCAGACACTTTGCTGTATCATTGTAGCTGACGCTGGCCACAGTGGTGACTGAGCAGGATCTGCCCAGAGACTTTTGGTCAGTGGTGGGAGAGTGCACCATAGGGGTAATGTGGCCTTCTGGGCCCTCTGTTGATAAGCCAACAGTTGTGGGCCCTGGAAAACAATTCCATTGTTCCAGTTTGCTCTCTTTTACTTTTTGATTCTTTTTGTCCTGTTATACTCAGGGGAAAGTCTGAAATCTTTAACTGGAAATAAAGTGTACAACCTGATCCCTATGTGGTCTGGTCCCTGCCGCCTTCTCTGAGACTCACCTGGTGCCATGCAACTCATTCCCGCCGAGTCCACTTACTCAGGCCACCTTCCAGGCCTTCTATCCATAGCCTCATGCTCCTGCCCGCCACAGGTCGGTGGTGTGCACTATTTTTGTTCTGCCTGGGACACGGTCCCCCGTCTTTCCCCCATCGGCATTTTTCAGGTATGCCTGTGCACCCCTCAGATATTGGTTTAAACACAACTTCCTTGTGGAAGCCTTCCTTCGCCCATCAGATGTAGCTCAAGCCACTTCCACGTGTGCCTGTAGTGCCACGTACATTCCTTCACTGCATTCATCTCCATCTGTGTGATGTTTGTTGATTTGATTTGCTGCTGTTGGTGTCTCCCACCTGACCCTTGTGAAGACAGTGACCATATCTCTTTGTGCACTGTTGACTCTGCAATGCCTAGTACAGTATCTGGTACATAGTAGCTGCTCAATAGATATTTGTCGAATTAATGAGTTAAATCAGGGAAATGGCCACTCCTTAAAATGTTTTTAATTGGTGTGTCAAGGAACTTAACTCAAAAATGAGGGCCGGGCGTGATGGCTCACGTTGGTAGTCCTTGCACTTTGGGAGGCCAAGGCAGGTGTATCACTTGAGATCAGGGGTTCGAGTCCAGCCTGGCCAACACGGTGAAACCCCATCTCTACTAAAAATAACAAAAAATTGCCTGACGTGGTGGCATGCACCTGTAGTCCCAGCTACTCGGGAGGCTTAGACAGGAGAATTGCTTGAACCCAGGAGGCAGAGGTTGCAGTGAGCTGAGATCGTGCCACTGCACTCCAGCTTGGGTGACAGAGCGAGACTCCGTCTCAAAAAAAAAAAAAAAATGGAATTAGTGTCTATTTTTAAAGGTCCAGTTATGTGCTCCTATAAAATTATTAAACTGTCTAGAGATCTGTTAACTAATTTATATATTTTTTTCTTTTAGGTGGGGACCAAGGCATACTGAACACATTTTTTAGCAGCTGGGCAACAACAGATATCAGAAAACACCTGCCGTTTATTTATAACCTAAGCAGCATCTCTATATACTCCTACCTCCCGGCATTTAAAGTGTAAGTGCAGATGGTTTAACTATTGTTGGAGATGTTGAGGGCAGAGAATTGGGGTGTACAATTTTGGGGCTGCTTCATTGTCATTCCGAGGGAAATAACAGATAGACACTTTGAGGAAAGTTTCTCTTGTAAGAACCGTGGCTGCAATGGGGAGAGGCCTTGATGTTATCGGTTGCCTCATGCTTGACCCTAGGGTCCTTAGTTGCCTTTGGGACAAGGTTCCCATCAGTTTCTGGGGTTCATGGCCCTCTGGTAAGTTATTAATATGTCATGGTCAAAAACACAGACTCTTAAGCTCTGCAGACTTACAACTTGGAGGAGCTGAGTTTGTGCCCTAACTCAATGTCTTCCCCATACTGGCTGCTGAGCTTTGGTTTCCTTCACCTGCAAAAAGGTGTTAAAAGCTCCCTCATAATTGTTGTGGGGATTAAGCCAGATGCAGGCAGCAGTGTGCTGCTGTGGCTAAGAATAAGGGCTCTGGAGCTGGATGACCTCACTTCACATCCTGCAGTGACCACTTCCTGGCCTACTTACTGAACTTCTTTCTGCCTCCATGTCTTCATAGGGTTATTGTGGGTAGTAAGGGAGGTAATCATGTAGCATGGTTAGAAGAGGGCCTGGTCTACCCAACTGCTCAGTACACGTTAGATTGTTAGTCATTTTTATTTGAGAGAAGCAATATAGTGTTCAGAGTAATTCGTAAACCAGAAAGGCAGGGCATATGTCCTCACTCTGTCATTTATCTGCTACATGACTTAAGACTTGGTGCCTCAGCTCCTCCATATGTAAAACGAGGAGGAAAATAGTACCTACCTCATAGGGTTGTCAGGAGGATGAAACAAATTAATACATATAAAGTGCTCAGTGGACATTTGTTGTTTTTGGTAACGTGCTTGTTTAGCACGCACAGTCCCTGGTGCAGTTCTTTTTTTTTTTTTTTTTTGAGACGAAGTCTCACTTTGTTGCCCAGGCTGGAGTGCAGTGGCATGATCTTGGCTCACTGCAACCTCCACCTCCTGGTTCAAGTGATTCTCCTGCCTCAGCCTCCCTAGTAGCTGGGATTACAGGCACGTGCCACTACACACGGCTAATTTTTGTATTTTTAGTGGAGATGGGGTTTCACCGCATTGTCCAGGCTGGCCTTGAACTCCTGACCTCAGGTGATCTGCCCACCTTGCCTTCCCAAAGTGCTAGGATTACAGGCATGAGCCACTGCTCCCGGCCCCTGGTGCAGTTCTGATACACCTTACAACTAATACAGCCTTGCTGCACTGTTTATCTCACTGTTAGGGACAGGATCCTATTATTTAGCCTCTGACTCATTTGTGTTTAACTAAGAAGATGATTTAGATTTCTTGAACAGGGGACTAGCTGTCAGGTCGATCCTGAGACAGTTGTGAGCAGCACAGCCCTTCACTGAGTTGGGCCAATCTCTGTCCCATATGGACATTCCTGAGTTAGCGGAAAACAAAGGGCCTTTCACTCCTCATATTTCATTATCCAAAGTCCTCTCCGTAAGTCTTACACCACGGTAATAAGCATGTCTGGCTTTTTGTAGCAGCAATGTTTCCTTTTCTGTTCTTTTCTGGGAAGACTCTATCAACATCCTCCAGATAAGGATTAGAAGCATCTCATGTTCTTTCCTCCCTAACTGTTCCCTTGGTATATGTCTCCAACATATTACATTCTCTTCCCTTTGTACAATGGGAACAAGCAGACTCTTAAACACACCAACTGTGTTCTGAGTAAAGCAGACAACAGGATTCACTGTCAAGGGAGGAATAGGAGAAGCATTATTTTCACCTCTCAGTCCTTGGCCTTGTAAAATACAAACGTGTCTCACATGGAAATGTGAACCTGATCCATTTTAATCCTTACTTATAACCCTGCTAGTCTGAATAGTGTTCTTGCAAACCATGACAGTGTGACCCCTAGAGCCGAATTTGTCTATAATAGGACATTTGCTTATAGTTTAATTGACTGAATTCAGTTTAGCAAGCAAAAAGTTGACAGTGCAGAGGAGAAAGACTTTTGAATAGTATGACCATTCCACTCAGTCCTGCACAGTGAGCATGTGGTTCTGTTTGACTCCATCTGATTTCCACCTTAGCACCATTGAGCACGTTGTACCTTTCGGGGATAGCCTGGTTTATGCAGACACTGCTTGCAGTACTTTTATTTTAACACACAAGAAGCAGGTGGAGCAGAGTTAAGTTTTGAGGGGTAAGACAGACTTAATTTGCTAGAACCTTGGCCCTTTCTCTCAAGAACCCAGTTGATTTTATATCCTCCAAATGAATTGCCCCCAAAAAACCAGTTAGAGATCTAAATTACTGAAACAGGATGGTTTTCTTCTTCCTGGCTCAATGAATGAGTGCTAATTTTGGAAATCCCCCGGGTTTATTGTAACCATAGAGAATATGACACACTGGGAAAGTTGGGAACAACTCCGTCCATTAGCCGGATTTCAGCTGGCCCAGGGCCGGCTGGAGATGCTGCTGCTTCAGTGCAGCTTGTGGGGGTCAGCTCTACGTTTCTGTGATAAGGCTGCTCAGAGCCATGCTTTGTCTTGCCCATTGCTGCCTATTGAGGAATATTGAAACCAGATCACAGAACTCATTTTCCCTTCCCTCTGCCAGAAAATATATTTGCTTTTCTTGTGGAGACCCATCCAGAGACATTTTTCCTTATATTCTTTTATATTTGGGAAAGGCTGAAAAGGTACAGGTAGTTACATTTCTTTTTTATTATAAGGTAATATAAAATTGTAGTCCAAATGTTTTTTAAATGAAAGTAACCCATTACAAGCATTTCGGTCATCATTGCTACTCTCCAAAGATCCCTGTGAATTTGAAGGCCCACTCTTGGGTTCAGAATAACCTTGGTGGTCTCCAGGACTAAGTAGCCCTATAGTATGCTGGCCTTCCCTAGGACAGCATGGGTGGTGGCAGGTGGAATTAGAGACCATGGAGTGGTCTGGAGCAACTTCGGCTTCATGGAAGGAAGAATGGAGTGTTTGTCTTGCCAACTCCAAATAACCATGCACTAGGATGTCCCCAAAGCAGTATTTAGACACCCCAGAATCTTAGAGTTTTGGATATCTAGAACTTTGTGGCCTTTGGTCTTACATGAAGCTTCAGCTAAAGGATGCCCTGGTATAAAGCAAACTTAGTATGAATTTAAGCCACAAAATAGCACATCTAGTGCCTTTCTCTCTGTATCATTTGGTTAGAACAAAAGATAAAGGAAACAAACTAATAGTTTTATCACTTCGAATGACTACTCAAATATAAAAAAACAGAATTAGTATTTTTTTTTTGTAAGGGAAGATCCTCTTTAACACGGCATAATTTGAAAATTAAAATGCTTGGTTTAGTAATTTTTAAGTTAGTTTGTAGTATTGCATCAGAAAACAAGTCATAAATGCATTTTATTTTTTTGAGACGGAATCTTGCTCTGTTGCCTAGGCTAGAGTGCAGTGGTAGAATCACGACTCACTATAGCCTCGACCTCCTGAGGCTCAAGTGATCCTCCTGCCTCAGCCTCCTGATGAGTAGCTGGGACTACAGGCATGTGCCACTATGCTCAGTTAATTTGTGTGTGTGTGTGTGTGTGTGTGTGTGTGTGTGTTTTATAGAGACACGGTTTTGCCATGTTGCCCAGACTGGTCTTACTCCTAGGTTCAAGTGATCCTCCCACTTCAGCCTCCCAAAGTGCTGGGATTACAGGCGTGAGCCACTGTGCCCAGCCCATAAATGCATTTATTAATAATATTTTTGAAAGTGCTTAGCATAATGTTTGGGATATATAGTTAGGTTTCTTAGGCTTTTAATAAATACGTTTTTTTAAGTTTTCTCTAACTGAAGGTTTTGTTTCATCCAGATAGCATATAGTATGGTTTGTGCATAGCACTGCAAAAAAAATCTTATTAGTCTTTTAAAAATCGTTTAGTTTCATTTTTGCTTTCTATTATATCCACTGACTAAACGCTCTCTAGGAATCTCATGCTATATAAAACACACCTTAAAGCAGAGAGACAGAATTCTCTGGTATTTCTTCAAACCACTACATAAATTAATTGGTCAAATTGAGTACAAAGCCTCATTCACCCAATACTTTCCATATAAATATTTTGTTTTACCCTTTACTTGAGTTTAGATATGACTAGAGACCTGGCCTAGTAAAATTAAATATTTTTTCATTTATTCTACTCTTTTAAACAGTTCTGAGGATATTAATATTTCTTTCTTTTTTAAGAATCAGACTCATTCACTAAGACCTTATCAAACCTATTTATCAGTATTTTCCCCAAAGAAATTAAACCTTCAGTGTTGTGAATTCTATCGTCCCTGTGTAGTTCTGATTTGGTTATTTTTCTTCGCTCCCTGAGACACCTCCTTGGCTCCAACTCTCCACGTAACTATTGTTATTGGAAGCCGTAGTCTATTTTCATTTCTTTTCACACTCATACATATTCACTCAACCCTGAGGCTGACTCAGAAAGAGTTTGGGTCACTCTTTTTTTCCAGCCATTTGTTGGCCTGCTGATCGTTCATTCAGTTGGCAAACCTGGAGCGTGTACCTTGTGCCACACTTTCTGCTCACTCAAGGCCTCAGAGATGAATAAGGGAGCTTGGAGTCTAATCCACTTAGCCACTGCTTAGGTGTACAGTTTCTTGTATGGCACATGGCACAGTCTGTCATGGTTTGAGTGTTAAGAAGAAGAATCAAGCAGTGGTTGCACAGATGTCTTGTTCCCTCTTTCTCGGTGATAGTGATGCCTCTTGGGGCCCCATTTCACAGAGTGGCTATCTGGTCATTCTGACCTCATCCGAAGTGTTTATCTCTATCAGATGATCTGTCCTCAGATCTCACTGCTGCATATTCTGGTGCCTTACCTAAGTCTTTATCACCAAGAGAAAAGCTTCCATATCGGACCCAACCCAGCCTTTAGATGCTGCTCTGACAATAGCAAAAAGGGCACAAGGAGTGAGATCGCATGGGCAGAAGTCTGGGGGAGGAATGCCATCTCGGTCGAAGAGGGAGCTCATGGGAGGTTAAAGGCATGAGGATTGAGTGGAAGAAGACATAACTTCTTTGGGAGGCCAAGGAGGGTGGATCTCTTGAGCCCAAGAAGACATAACTTCTTTGGGAGGCCAAGGAGGGTGGATCTCTTGAGCCCAAGAAGACATAACTTCTTTGGGAGGCCAAGGAGGGAGGATCTCTTGAGCCCAGGAGTTTGAGACCAGCCTGGCCAACATGCTGAAACCCTGACACTACTAAAAAAAAAAATACATATATATAAATACATAAAAATTAGCTGGGCGTAGTGGTGCATGCCTGTAATCCCAGCTACTCAGAAGGCTGAGGCAGAAGAATGGCTTGAACCAGGGAGGCAGAGGTTGGAGTGAGCTGAGATTGCACCACTGCACTCCAGCCTGGGTGACAGAGCAAGACTCTGTCTCAAAAAAAAAAAAAAAAAGGCATAACTTCCTCAGAAGTCTCAAATCTGTGGGCCCCAGACTGTATTTATCACACAAGTATGTTTTGTTTGTGCTACACAGAATTTTTTTTAACTTAATTGTCAATGCTTTAAAAATTAGGGAATTTCACATAAAACCCAGGTTTCCAATTTCTTTGGAAAAATCAGGTATTTGGTAGGATATGTCAAATGTGACTGTTACAGGTTTGTGGTCTAAGTGACTGGAATGATAGAGTTGCCATTTCCTGAAATAGGAAAGAACATGGGGGAAGCAAGTTCGTAGGGGTAGGGATTGGTCAGAAATGAACGGAATGTATTAGGTTTTAGATGTATGAAGTCTGAGGTGCATATTAGCATCCTAGTGAAAGTATGAAATAGCTAAGTAGAGATAAAAGTCAGGAGCTCCAGAGAGAAGTCTGGAACATATGAGAGTTGTCAGCATATAAATGATACTTATAGTCACGAGACAAGATGATGTAGCCAAGGGAGTGATTATCAGTAGAAGAGTCCTGAGGATTGACCCAATGGCAGGAAGATAATAGGGACAAGAGAATAGAAGAATAGGAACAAGAGACAGCAAGGCAAGTGGGAACTCAGGGAAGTGTGGTATTGCAGAAGCCGAGCAAGGAAAATGTTTCAAGGAGGAAGGAGTGATCTGTGTCTGTGTCAGATGCTCACAGATATGAGGTCAGATACAAGACAACTGAGAATTGGCACTGGATGTGGAATGTGGAGGTTCCTGGTGACTTTGGCAAGAGGACGTCTGGTGGAGTGGTGGGGGAGAAAGCCTGACAAGTGGGTCCAGGAGACTGAAGGAGGAGAATTGGAGGCAGTGAATGTAGACAGCTCTTCTGAGGCATCTGCTCTAATGGGGTGGCAGCTGGATGGGAATGTAGGTTCGAGAGAGGGCGGTGGTGATTGTTGTGTAAAGATAGATGTCACCACAGCATGTTTTTGTATTGATAGGAATGATGTTGGGGGTGGGGACAATGCAGAAAACTGTGGGGAGATGCTGGAGTGATGTCCTTGGATAGGTGAAAGGGGATGGCACCTAGAACACAAGTGGAGAGACTGGCTTCAGATAAGAGCCAGGACAGGCCGGGCGCAGTGGCTCACGCCTGTAATCCCAGCACTTTGAGAGGCCGCGGCAGGCAGATCACGAGGTCAGGAGATCGAGACCGTCCTGGCTAACAGTGAAACCCCGTCTCTACTAAAAATACAAAAAAATTAGCTGGGTGTGGTGGCGGGCGCCTGTTGTCCCAGCTACTCAGGAGGCTGAGGCAGGAGAATGGCGTGAACCCAGGAGGTGGAGCTTGCAGTGAGCCGAGATCGTGCCACTGCTCTCCAGCCTGGGTGACAGAGCAAGACTCCGTCTCAAAAAAAAAAAAAAAACAAAAAAGAAAAAAAAAAAAGAGCCAGGACAGTTTATCCTTGGTAACATGAAGGAAGGCAAAGTGTATGGGCACAGATGCTTGTAGGCAGGTGTTATGTTTTGGCTGAATGAATGAATGAGCAATCAGCCAATAGAGGCTAAGAATGACATGCTGCCTCCAGGAGAGTCTCCCTAGTGGCCTGGTGTTGTAAGTCCTTCCCTGACCTGGTCTGTGAAGAGAGGCCAGCCTAGAAGATAATGTTGTTGACTAGGTCCTAGTGTAGGTTATTAAAGTCTGGGTTCGAGTGCTGACATTGTTCTGATTTCCAGGGTATTATTGGGAGGATTAGTTTGCAAGGCAAAGAAATTGGGTGGGTGTCTGGTCAGTTGTTTGCTGGGGGTAGCAGCTATCTTCTAGTGATGGGATATGCACCCTTTGTGTTCCTCAGGCCCCACCTCAGCAAGTCCATTCCTCCTCTCCATGATCAGGCCCACTCCTTGGTTACTTGGGTTTGTGACTCCTAACTTAGATTGTGAGTGCGTGAGAGAGGAGAGGTGTGCAGTTGGTTGTGGGAGAAGGGCTTGTGTGTGGCTCTGCCCATGTGGGCAAGTGAGTCTGAGAAGGTGCATGAGTGAGTCGCAATATAATAGAGAACATGAGCCACAGAAGTGGGCAAGAGGATGCTTGACATTGCTGCCATGATTCCCAGAGAAGTGTCGCACAAGCAGTGCCGTCTTTCTCGGTATCTGACTGAACAATGCACGTAAAGAGCTTAGTGAGGACTAAAATTGCTCCTGTGTGTGCTGTCATAAACCAGTTCCTTTTCTGTTCTAAACAGTTCTGTAGTCTCATCCACATGTTACTGGCTGTTTCTCAACTACTAAACTAGTCATGAAAATTCTATCTGATCTTTTGGTAACATCAGGTCACAGGGATAATTTTAACGGCTCACATAAGCAGTATTATTGCTGGCTTGTGTTCAAACTATGTCTTGTGATCTGGACGACCCTTTTGAGATTCTATCAAGTTAAAATTAGAACATTTATTTTAAGAGATGTATGCAAGCTGAGACAAATCCCCATTACTGGGTCAGAATGAATGGCTCTCAGTAATGTAGAGACAATTGTGACATGTACTCAACCTTTTTTTTTTTTTAATTCCTGGCTAGTAGTTTAGTGGTAAGTCAGGGAGTGAGTCAGTGAATCTTATGGTTATCCTTACTCTGGGTTGAGGTCAGTTCAACGCTATCTTCTGACATCAACATTTCCCCTTCTTATTCATTGGTGAAGTATTTTGCTTTTATTTATTTATTTCTTTTATTTAGGTTTTTTTTTTTTTTTTTTTTTTTTTTTTTTGGAGACACAGTCTCGCTCTGTCACCCATGCTGGAGTGCAGTGGTGTGATCTTGGCTCACTGCAACCTCCGCCTCCTCCCAGGTTCGGTTCAAGTAATTCTCCTGCATCAGCCTCCCAAGTAGCTGGGACTACAGGCACACACCGCCATGCCCAGCTAGTTTTTTTTTTTTTTTGTATTTTAGTAGAGACAGGGTTTCACTGTGTTGCCCACGCTGGTCTCGCACTCCTGAACTCAGGCAATTCTCCCGCCTCGGCCTCCCAAAGTGCTAGGATTACAGGTGTGAGCCACCACGCCCAGCCTCTATTTTGTTTTTAGCCATGCAATGTAAATTCTGACTAATAACTGCTGGTTGCATTTGGTGGGAGAGAGAAAACACTAGAAAAATATTCTGGGTTAGCCTTTTAAGTGTTCCCCTAAATTTGCATTTAGGTTAACTTAAGAAGTAGTTTCTCCTTTTACTTATGACGTTTGCCCTTACTTCATTTTGGTATGGTAATTCTCGATTTTCATAAATGACTAAAGGGTAAATTGATTATGATAGAAAATGATCTTTTAAAGACATTTCTCAGAGAACGTAATTGAGACATAAAAATAATTACTTGAAATTAATATCTAGATTGAAACTCTAGATATGAAAACAGACTAGTGTTCAAGACCTGTTGCTCATTCTTTTTGTGTATGATGTGTCTTATGAAAGCTTATAGAGCAAGCCCTTCAGGTTCCTTTGCTGTGTAAATAACTGTTTAGTTGTACAGTTAGAGCATAATGGGAGTTAAAAGGACTCCTGAACCTTCATATAAGGTGGCCATTGTTCGGTCCAGGCAGAGATCCCTCATATCAAGCCAAGTGCTGCCCTAGATGAGTTCTAGGAACATTCTTGTGATATGACTGCCTTACACAAAGTTGCAAAATCTGGCTTCACTTCTCTCTCACCCTCCTATCCAAGCCCCATTTTTCCCCCACTTAACAGCTGCCTTATTTCTCACTTTTCTGCCCTCTTCCCACCCCCAAAGGGCTCTTGGGCTGGTCTAAACCTTCCGTGTTCAGTGACTTATCCAGGCCTGCTCTTCTCATAAAAAGCTGGTCCTCTAAAACCTCTGACCATTCACTACCACTATCCATTTCCATAGATAGTAGGTGTGTAACAGTTTGATTAAAGTAGTGTCAGGCCGGGCCCGTAATGTCAGGCCCACACCTGTAATCCCAGCACTTTGGGAGGCAGAGGCAGGTGGATCGCTTGAATAGCCTGGGCAACATGGTGAAACCTCGTCTCTACAAAAAATAAAAATAAAATAAAAATACGAAAACTAGCCAGTCATAGTGGCCTGTGCCTGTAGTCCCAGCTACTTGGGAGGCTGAGGTGGGAGAATTGCTTGCACTTCAGAGGTTGAAGTGCAGTGAGCTGAGATTGTACCACTAGACTCCAGCCTGAGTGAGAGAGTGAGACACTGTCTTAAAAAAAAAAAAAAAAAAAGAGAAAGTAATGTCAATACCTAATGCATCTAAAAGCATTTCCATTCCTTACTGGACAGAAACAGGGCTGAGCATACCTATGATATCTGAATCCTTTGCGTGATTTCTGTATGCCCCAGAATCTTTCTTACCTCCTCGCTCATGCTTCTCTGTGCCTTCACACTTCTGAGTCTGTTTCAAGTTTGCCACTCAGTAAACTGGCCCCAACTAATTTGTAAAGAAACCTACTTACATCCTAACACTTTGTGATTTGTTTCATTGCAATGTGGGTAGCTGTTGGGAGGCTACATCACTGTGCAGTACTGCCCTCCACAGTCCTGCTCACCTCTCCCATCTCTCCCCACTCACCCCCTGTCTTGCTGGCACCCAAGGGATTTCTTGCCTTAGGGCAGAAAAAGCAGTCTCACCCACATTTAGGACCCCTTAAGATCCCAGTTTCTACTTTAAACAGCCTTACCAAGGGATTTCTTAAAATGAAAACTGCCCTGTCTATGAAAGGACTATCCAGTGGATACAGTTTTTTCACTTTGTTAGGGTAGAATAGGTAAAGAAGGTAATTTGAGGAAGGAGGATCCTTCCCCTGACTACAGGGAGTAACAGATTTAGAATTAAAGAGATACTCAGGGATTCATGAAGGTAGAGATCAGTGCCTGAGTCACAGTGAAATGCAGGGTGTGGATTGTTTCCAAATGGTGTTCTTGTTGACATTCAAGAGGAAGGCCACAGGCCATATGGAGAGGTATTTAACCGGCATGGAGCTGGTATCCAGGAGGGCTGCAGAATCCTCTTGAACCAGTCGTGTGGCGGTCCAGAGCCATGCTGGGATACGGACAGAGCCAGAGGCTCAGGTGTATATTCTTGCCTGCAGCAGAGGGCAGTCTGTGTGCAGGTGGATTGGACCATTGTGCCCTTCCTCTGCATGAGCTCTGACACCCAAATCCAGAGACAGGAGCTGGGGAGGCCCTTAGACAATGTCCAGCACAGTCTACTTGTGGGTCACCTGCTGATCTTAAGCACCACCCATTTCTTGTTGTTATTCCATTTTTTCCTTAACCTCTGTTGCAAACTGCATCCTTCTGAAAAGTCTTTCTTCAGTCTTCTTGAATGCTAAGTTGCTTACTTCATAATATGCTTTCCTATTGGTTACTTTCTGTTGCTGGGACCTTAACTATACTTGGGGGATTGCCAGGATTCTTAGGCATACCTTTTTCACTTTCAAATTAATTGTCCATAGGCAGGAGTTAATCCATAAATTAACAAACGTCACTCTCAGACAATACCCTTATAATTCTGGGAATGTCTTACAATAGCAGCCTAGTCATGGCTAAGAGCCTTGGCTCTGCAGCCAGACTGCCTGGATGGAATCCCAGCCTTGTCACTCACCAGCCATGGGATCCTGGAGAAGTTATTTAACTTCTTCATGCCTTGGTTTCCTCACATTGTCATTTTGGAGATTAACTGAGTAAACCAAGCAAACACTAACCAATGCCTGCGACATATGAATACTTTATATTCTTATTATGAGCTCTTATTATTACTACTGCTTAGTCATTAGTAAACTGTCAAGAGAGCAGGTTAGAAAAGAATAGTTTACACTATATTCATGTTTTAACTTATTTTAATTAGTATTACTATCATGTTATGACTATGTATGACATTTATATTAAGTCTAGGCAAATCATGGGCGGAAGCTTAGCAGTTAAAACAAGAGGATCAAACAGTTTAATACAAGAGGATCTAAGTAGGTGCTGTGGCTCCAGGCCGGGAAGTTGAGTCAGGAGGGGTGGGCGTCCGAGGAGGTGGAAGGAATATCTCATTCTTATGTACTCTGTTTCGGTTTTAGGCTTATGGGTTTGTATTGCTAGGATGGGGCAGTGCCTTCCCTCCACTCTGCAACACAGGTGTCAGATCTCTGTGGTGGGTTCCCCCATCCTCATTAGAACATTTGTTGAAGGCAGTCATCTGACTCTTTCCCATGCATTGTCCCTGCCCCCACTTCCTGCACAAAACCACCTCTGAAAATCCCACCTGCATTCATTACTTTGGAATTTCAGTAGCCCTTAATGTCAGTACTGCCCTGATAGCCCCAACTTGTCACCTTGCTTATTTTTATGCAGATGACCCATCTTACTGTTTGAACAAAAGCCTTTTGGGGCCACACACTGAGCATAGTGCCATATGCATAATAGTTGTTATTTAATCGATAGCTTTATCTGTGCACAAATTTGGGCATTATGATTTTTATCCTTTTAAGGATTAAATAGAGCAAGAGTGTTGTGTGTGTTACATATACTTACGTGTATAAAATAAAGAGTAAGCTTGGGGATATCAAATATCCTCTTCATTTATCAGAAGAAACAAACCGTGGAATGATCAATTAACCTTAAGAGGAAAGAGCTTTACAAATAGGCTGTATTTTTCTTGCATGCTTTTTGGAGCAGCAGCAGCATGGTAGGATGGTAAGTGCTCATGCCTTAGAGGTAAAACCATGTCAAACCCCATCTCTGCCACTTAGTTGTGTGACCTTGGGCATCTCACTTCAGTCTCTCACAGCCTCAATTATCACATTAGTAAAATTTACCTTGTAGAAATATTATTATTCCCCATCATGTCCTTAAAGAATTTGGTCTCCAAATATAGTAAACTCTGATGATAGCTTTTTAACCAGTTCCTAACTTTTTTTTTTTTTAATAAACTTTAGGGGATAGGAAAGGTTACACGAGTTTGTATTATTTTGAACGGTATATCATGCTCAAATATCTTGGTTGCCTGTAATATAAATCTACTGAAATCTAACACTTGAGCCCAGTACCTGAGGTTCTGTCCCATTTTACTTTTCTTTCCCTACTCAAAGCCTCCTCTCTGGCTCTAACAGAGGATACCTGGTCTAGCACACAGGTGCTCACCTGATACCTGCCATTGCCTGTCTGGAATTCCCTACATTATCATCAGCTACCCAGATCACATCTGCTGTATAAGCTTGAAGTCACATCCCACTATCTTAGCACCTCTGCTCCCATTGAAGCTGGATAGTGCCCTTCCTGCTGTGAATTCCTGAGCACCCACTGTTCCTATTTTTGCTTTGACACTTGTTACATTCACGTTTGGTTTTTGTTTTTATATACATAGATTTCCTGCCAGCTAGAACAGGACTACGCTTTACTCCTACTTTTTTAAAGATATTCTTTATTGTGAAATGGAGCATATGTACAAAAGAATACATATTTTAAAATGTGCATTGTTTAAAAATACCACCCAAGTTAAGACATAGAACACAACCAGTGCCTTAGAACCTCTTTTTGTCCCTTCCCAATCATAGCTTCGCCTTTCCCCCAGAGGTAACCAGCATCATGAAATTTATATTGATTATAGTTTTCTGATCTTTAAACAGTACCTTTTTTCTTGTTTTGCCTTTTTTTTTTTTTTTTTTGAGATGGAGTCTCACTGTCACCAGGCTGGAGTGCAGTGGCGCAATCTCGGCTCACTGCAACCTCCGACTCCCGGGTTCAAGGGATTCTCCTGCCTCAGCCTCCTGAGTAGCTGTGATTACAGGCACGTGCCACCATACCCAGCTAATTTTTGTATTATTAGTAGAGACAGGGTTTCACCATGTTGGCCAGGATGGTCTCCATCTCCTGACCTCGTGATTTGCCTGCCTCAGCCTCGCAAAGTGCTGGGATGACAGGTGTAAGCCACCGTACCCGGCCTGTTTTGACTTTATGTAAGTGGAATCATATATATGTAATTGTTTGACCCGTTGCCTTTTTCAACAGAAATGTTTTAAAAATTCATCTTTTTGCTGCATGATGTGTATAGCTATAGTTCATTCATTTTAGATTGTATTCCATGCTGTGAATATAGCAGAACTTTTCCTTTAAAAAAGATGGCTATATAACTATAAAATCTCAGTCATATTCAACAATAAGCAAATATTTCTTACATATATGTTGGTGGGTTGGCTAGGACAGCTCTGATGATCTCAGCAGGGTTTGGAGCTAGGCTACAGGTTTGGTCCAGATCTGTTCCATGTTTCTTTTTTCTGGAAACAGCAAGCACCCAGGGCATATTCTGCTGGCAGAAGTTGTAACTTCTCAGAGGGTGAACAGAAATAAGCAATGCTTCTGTAAGGCACAATGTCACTTCTGCTCATATTGCATTAGTCAAGTCAAGCCAAGCCATAGGACATGTCCAACATCAGGTGGGAAAGTGTCCTCCCCCTGAGGAGGCTGGGAGTAATGTATACTTGCTGAGCAGAAATCTAATACAGACATTTGGGTTGTTTCCAGTTTTTGACTATTTCAAATAGTGCTGGTGCTGCTGTGAACATTTTGATTATATCTCTTGTTGCACATACACAAGCATTTCTTTAGGGTATATGCTTAGGAGCTGAGCTGCTGGATTGTACAGCATGAGCATTTTTAACTTTACTAGGTAATACCAAATACTTTCCAAGTGGTGTGCCTGTTCTGTCCACAATGGATTGGTGCTTCAGTGTTGCACTGAACCGATGCTACATTTACATTTTTTGTATGTATTTAACACACAACTGAATAAGTACTTTTAAAAGTATCTGTCTCACAATGTCACAGTGAACTCAGTTTGATTTTGAACCCTTACTGCAGGATGGAAAGTACACTGTTAAAGCCACAGAATAGGGAGGCCAAGGCAGGAGAAATCACTTCAGGGCCGGGAGTTCAAGACCAGGCTGGACAACATAGCAAGACCCTGGCTCTACAAAAAAATATTAAACATTAGCTAGGCATGGTGGCCTGTGCTACTCAGGAGGCTAAGGGTGGGAAGTTAGAGGCTGTAGTGAACTGTCATGCTACTGCACTCCAGCCTGGGTGACAGAGTGAGACACTGTCTCTTAAGAAAGAAAGCTATAGAAAAGTGCTACTAAGTGCTGCTTATCTTTTTGTCAGTACTCAGAATCCACTAACTGTTTCAACTTGCGTTCACTTGGCAGGTTTGGTGCAAGTGCCAAAGTTGTGCATTTCCTGGGACGAGTCAAACCATGGAATTATACTTATGATCCCAAAACAAAAAGTGTCAAAAGTGAGGCCCATGATCCCAACATGACTCATCCAGAGTTTCTCATCCTGTGGTGGAACATCTTTACCACCAACGTTTTACCTCTGCTTCAACAATTTGGCCTTGTCAAAGACACCTGCTCATATGTAAATGTGGTAGGTTCTGTTTCTTTTCTTCAGATCATTTAATGCTGCTTTTTAAAAAAATTGTTGTATCAATAGAGATGTGGAATATTTAGCAGCATTTTAAACAAAGAGATAAATAAAATTTTGTGGAAAGAAAACAATAACCATCTTAGGAGAAACATTACCAGCAAGAAGTAGCAGAAATAAACTGTGTGGCAGATTTCTTTGGATCTGAGAACACAGTTATTTAGAATTTTCTGTATATACCCATATATTTTAACTTTAGAATTCTTAGCCCATTCTCCTCTGAAAAGATTTTGAGATTATTCCTAAAGTAGTGGTCTATAAAAACAACACCCCATTGAATGTTTTAGGAACTGCAAACATTTAGATGTATCTACTTTATATTTGCCATCTGCTTAGAAGAATGTGTTTTCAGTGAAAATGACAATATGAACATACAGTAAATACTTCTATAGGATTGTTTTTATTTCCTATGTTTGTACTCCTATGATTACTATAGGATCTTGAAAAAGAAATATCTTTGTAGGAGGCAGATGACATGTTAACATTTATAACAACCCTCTTTAGCATCTTTTCTGACTTTAAAGGTCTTCTCTGAGGTTTGTTCTTATGAAAGAATTGGAAGAGGATGAGGAACGAAACTGTTACATATTCAGATATAAATAAGAGAACAGAATGGTGGTGAATTATAATCAGATAATCAGCTAATCACCTGGCTGTGAGATTGTAATATTATAAGAGATTATTCTCTTTCCTGTGGTATAGATTTTAGCCTGAAATTTCACTTACTAGCATTTACTAAGATATAGAAAGGAGAAAGGGAGAAAAACTAACACTTGCATTCTTACTCTGAGTTCTTTATATGGATCATGACATAATATTTGTACAGCAGTGGTCCCCAACCTTTTTGGCACTAGACACTGGTTTTGTGGAAGACAGTTTTTCCATGGACCAGTATGGGGGATGGTTTCAGGATAAAACTGTTCCACCTCAGATCATCAGGCATTAGATTTTCATAAGGAGCACACAACCTAGATCCGTTGCATGCACAGTTTACAATAGAGTTCACGCTTCTATGAGAATCTAACCACCTCTGATCTGACAAGAGGCAGAGCTCAGGTGGTAATTCTTACTCGCCTGCCACTCACCTTGTGCTGTGCGGCCTGGTTCCTAACAGGCCATGGACTACTGCTGGTCCGTGGCCTGGGGGTTGGGGACCCCTGTCATACAGTACTTGAAACCACCTGGCACATAGTAAATGCTTAATGAAAGTTAGCTATTCTTATTTAACCCTTAAAACCACTATATTAAGTACTATTAGTAAGTATTGTTAAGTATATTAAGTATTATATCTCCTTTTATAGGTAAATTAACTGAGGCTTAAAGAAGTTATATAACTTGTCTTAGTTATGTAATAGACTAGTCAAGCAGCAGAATGGGCCTCAAACGCAGGTCTGAAGAGACTTATCCTTATGAAAATTTGAGATGGACTATGCTTAAAAGTAGCCATCTACAGCCCAGAATTAAGAAAGTACCTTTTATGGCAGGTGAAGGGAGAGTTACACTTTAAATGCTAAACTATTTTAAGTTATGTCCAGTATACTTGGCTTGACCTCAGGGGCCTCTCTTTTAGGGTGTAAATTCACAGCCCCCATATTGTGAACAGAGAGGACTCTGGAAATGCCTCTGTATCATTACTGTTGCCAAGTGCAAGGCAAAGGCAGGACTAATCCAATGGAAGGACTTCCTTATGTTGCCTCAGCTATAATGCAGTCCTATACCCAAACATCTTAAAGTTCCACTGTATTTAAATACATACCTATATGCTTACGTATATACGTAATTATGAACCAAGGAAAGGTGAAGATGGGAATTGAAAGTTGTTCAAAACTAAGCAAATTAACAGAAGCTACAAGAACAGATGCTACTTGGTAATCCAAATGAAAGCTTGAACAAGCAGAGAAGTTTGGTACCTAGTCTCAAACCAGTTTAACTTTCCTTCTTATAATGTGATAACTGAGTATGTGTTGCGGCTCTCTAGTTAGATTCTTTCTGAAATGTAGCCTGTTGGGTATCATTTTGTTTAAGTTCTCAACCTTTCAGAGCCCACACAGATTGAGAATTTATCTTGAGACTTGTGTTCCCTTGCCCATCCATCTTACACTTTCTAATGAACTGTTTGCAGCTTTCAGACTTGGTCTATACACTGGCTTTCTCTTGTGGCTTCTGTAGAAAGGTATGCAGAACTTAAAGATTAACCCTAATTACTTTGTTCTCCCAATGTTTTCACTGAGTCAAGAAGTCTTCATTTTGTTAGGAAAAAATCATATAATCTATATTTTTGTGTCTTTTTTGTTTGTTTCATGTAATACTTTTCAGTTTTTGCTACTTTGCATGATGATTCATCCTGGCTTTTCTGTCTTCAATTTATTGCATTCTTTAAAACAGTTTGATTTTCAGCTCTCATAGAGTCAATTATGCTTTCCTTTCTAGGAAGATGTCTCAGGAGCCATATCACATCTGTCCCTTGGGGAGATCCCAGCTATGGCACAGCCGTTTGTATCCTCGGAAGAACGGAAGGAACGATGGGAACAGGGCCAGGCTGATTATATGGGAGCAGATTCCTTTGACAACATCAAGAGGAAACTTGACACTTACCTCCAGTAGAAACACTGCATTTTTCTGTGAACACATCCACTTCACAAGCCTTGTTTCTGATACTTAGTATCTAGAGCTGGGTTGAGAAAAGTCTGTTACAGTTGCTAGAGGTTTTCATTAAAACTTATCAGATGAGAGGCTTTTTTAGGATAAGAGGTGAGAACTGGGCAAAAGTTGTGAAGCAGCAATTCTGTTATATGGACAGTGTTCTGCTTTTTAATCCTATTTAGCTTGTTTCAGAAATTCTCACTTTTGTTGACTGCCAACATACAAAGTAAGGGAAACTCAAGATATTAAGATGGCTGTATCAGTTCTTAAAATCTGCAGAGCCTGGTTCAAAATCAGTCACTCCCTTCAGAAGCAGACATGGCATCTGTTCCTTGCTTGCTTGTTGGTTGTGTACCTTTCACGAGACCTGAATTTTAGAATTGCCCAGTGCTGCCAGAGTGAGTGAGTGTAATTCTCCTTTCAGGTAAAGATAGGCTATCTCAACACTGCTGAGTGATTCATAAACATATCAACCAATAGCATTAACCCATTTTATTTCCTGTCCTTAGTGTCTGAAGATGCTCACCAGTTTTCTGTGTACAGTAAGGCAGCATGCTAAAATGCTTTTGTTCAGTTCTGTATATTTGAAAATAGCAGTGTGTTCTCTGATGGTTACCTGCAGTGGCACCCTGTACAAAAAATAAAAGACTTATTGCTGTATCTTGGTTGTTTAATTAAATTAAGGAATTTCACCATACACCCTTGAACAAATCTATTAGGGAATTTTTCACAATTTTTGGAATTTGTCATAGTTTTAAAAAAGTGTAAAGCTTGACATTGGGATATATGCTTTAAAAACTGGTATCTATGATTTCAATCTAATTGTTTTTCTGTGATGGTGATGGATCTGACAGATCAGAACAAACCGAGATCAAACTTACATAGTGTCATCCACACTGCACCTCTCTATTAAGTGGGTATTTAGCTATTTAGAATATTTTAACCTTAAAGTCATTCCTAACTGTCAGAATCAATACTGGGTCCAGTCCCTACTAGTATTTTATCTATGATTTAAAATGATAGAATGGAAAAGCGTATTTATTAAATTTATAGATCATTCTAGGTTGTAAGAGATGGCAAGCTAAAGAAGGGTAGGATCCAAGATGACCTTTTAAAACTAAAATGAGTGGTCAGAAATGATTCTATGGAAGAAAACAGGACAGTTAACCATGACAGGAAGAAACTTTAGAGGTTTGATTGGGCAAAAGCTGCAAAGCTTTTGTGACTTAGCCTTCAAAGTCACCCTCCTTATTCATATTGATGTGAATTAATATACAAGCATATAGACAGCTTAAGTCAAGAATGGTTGGGGCCACCTTGAAGGCTGTTACCATAGGAGCTCAATAAGAACCTGAGGATTTACCTAGAATTATAAAATATTAAATGATAAATGACTTCTGAAACTAGCTATTTGGACTGGTGAAGAATGAGTCGCTATTGATCTTCAAGTACAATGAAGCATTTACCAAAGATTTATTTAAGTGCCTCCATGTGTCAGATGCTGTGGTACAAAGAAGGACTTCTCAAAATTTTAGCTAGTCAGAGGTCTTTCTGGCTTCCGAGTCCCTGGTTAAGATGAACAGAAACACAGTCTTCAGATATAAAATGTCTTATTTTTGTGGCCATTCAGTTGCATTCAACGTTAATTTTTTCTATTTACTACCGTTCATTCTCTATTTTTTACACAGTAGCATAACAAAGCTCTAAGGTGGAAAAGCTGACATAGTTTTAAATTTTTTTTTTTTTTTTTTTTTTTCTTGAGGCAGAGTCTTGCTCTGTCAGTCAGTCACCAGGCTGGAGTGCAGTGGTGCAGTCTCGGCTCACTGCAACCTCTGCCTCCTGGATTCAAGAGATTCTCCTACCTCAGCCTCCTGAGTAGCTGGGACTACAGGCACGCACCACCACGCCCAGCTAAATTTTGTATTTTTAGTAGAGACAGGTTTCACCATGTTGCCAGGATGGTCTCAATCTCTTGACCTCGTGATCCACCGGCCTTGGCCTCCCAAAGTGCTGGGATTACAGGCGTGAGCCACTGCACCCAGCAAATTTTTAAATTTCAAATAAGTAGTGAAGGCTATTATTAACTTTTGGAATCAGAAAGAATGACAAGCTTACCATAAGACATAGCATATAATGCTGTCAAGTTATTTGGCTAGAAAATCACTGAACTAAACATTCTTTTCCTTCTATGATCTATGTCTTAAGGTGAAGTATTAACTAACTTTTCCATGTAAAGCTATACAAATATTGGAAAATCTTTTCTAGGGAGTCCAGAATACTAAGGGTTACTTAGTAAAATGTATAAAAAGGCAACAGTAATTCAAATTACAAGATTTATATTTGCAGAGGTGATCCATATATACTTATCCCCTTGCAGTGGCTGGTATGACCTTTGGTTGTAAGACAAACTTGCCCACAACAGAGGTCAAATCCATGCCTTTGGAGATTAGCTCCATGGTGGATGGAGCTATGGTTTATGCATAAAGTAAATGTTTGTTTACCTTAATTCTCCTTATACCCATATTGTCCTGCTGTATAACACATTTTGCAGATATTTTGAAGTTAATGTGTTAAAAACTTGAGGTTAAACATTTGAGTTTTTGTTAAGAGCCAAACATCAAATGTGCCCTTATATTTTTAATGAATCTCATCCAAATGCTAATGCATAAACCTTGACAAGTAGTATAAATAAAACAAGAAAAAAATACAGCAATGTCTTTGCCATTCCCCAAAACAAAGCACACACTGCCGAAGATCATTAGTACTCACTGGTAACAAACTACATAGGGTTAGTTTGTATTTCCAATTCTAGAGCTGTAATTTTAAGGACAAAATGTACAATGATTGATTAAGAGTGCTATCTGTGTATATATAGGTATTATCACAACTCCTTTTTTTCTTCCAGATGAAGAAATTAATTGGGACCAATGTTTTTAGATCAAGGCATTTTAAATAAGCACTCTTGATTTCTGAACAAGAATTTCAACCAGCTAAATTGAGCAAAATAAAGTTAGTTAGGATATGAGGACATTATTCTGTTACAGTAATCTTCATGTACTCTCAAAAAAATGTAACACTTGCATAGAAATGTCACAATTAATGAAGGATTTTATTTGAAGATAAAGTCAAAATTATGGCACCGAGGAAGGTAATAAACATTTGAAATTTTTATTGATTTTTAAATTTAAAATCCAGTTTTAACCACAAAATTGTTTGAATCACAAGTGGTAATACAATGTCTTCAATATTTTTCTAAAGTTATTTTTCTATATAATAATAAGACAACAGCATAGCATATAGGAAGTTTTCATTCCAGTGGCTTTTTTATATATTTATCCTTCTTAGGAAGGACAAATTAAATTTTTTAAATTAAACTTTTAAAATATAACAACATCTAACAGAACTGTACAAAACAAAGAGACATTTTTTAAACAACTTGCCAAACTTACTTATGAGTGTGTTTTAAAAACAACTTTGTAAATGTCTGGGCAAAGAAGCAAGCTGTCCTCCCTTTACCTTCATAGTGAGTTTGTAAGGCTTTGTCTTTGTAAGCAGAAAGAGTAGACTGTGTTGTTTTTTGCCAAAAACTGTTTATACTTAATCTCACTGAAGTATTGCTATATGGAGAACCCATACTCTGATCAACTTGATTTTTTGTGTGTAATGCTTGATCTACCAGGTAACTTCCCAACTGCTCCTAATGCTAGCGGGCTAATCCCACATTATTATTCCACTATCATCCCTGCAGAAAGGTCTTGGTTTTGATGAAAATCAGCCCTTTCCTTACCTGCTACTGCCTCAAAAAGGGACCAGGAAGATTCTAGCTGGCTAATTCACTGTTCCCTTTGAGCAAGAAAACGGCACAGGGAGAAAAGGACTTATCTGGTGAGAGATTTGGCATATACCTTCAATGTGTGCCCTATAACACAACATTGTCTCCGATCTCATCTTTCTATCAAATGACTTCCAACACTCTTAAGTCTCAGGTATTCTTAAATCTGTATCATCAAACATGAAGCTTCTCTTGTTTGTTAGAGTAATTAATCTTTCTTTGGATTAAAGTTTCCCTTTGAAATAAAACCACCTACCTAATCTGACTGCTAAATTTCTAGCTTCTTTGTTTTAAATATGCTCAGGAGTCAACCCAAATTCTGCAGCAAATAAGTTTGCTTATTAACAAAAAAGTAAAAAAAAAAGAAAAGAAAAAAGATGACTAATTCTACAGATAGCTGTAAGGATGAATTACTCAAGTTCAAAATCAAATTCTGATTCTAAACACATAACAATTGTTTACATTCAGGATTAAGATGTCTTTAAGAGTTGAAACGACTTTGGAGATCATCCAGCCCAACTTCCATCCAGATATCACGCCTCTCACATATAGTAGTCTTCTGAATTATAAAAATTTATAAAGTTACTTCCAAAAAAAGCTACATAAATAAAAATTATCTATTTATAGAAATATCTATTTAGCAGTTCCATAATTTAAAATATTCAAATCAAATTGGGTAGGACTGGTTTGCCTCTCACTCCCACAGACTATATTTATACCTCAGACACAGCAAGTTACATTTAAACAATGAGTGTAGTACTACTTAACTAAAATGGAAAAAATAGTACTCTTAACATAATCCCTAATTTTTTCATGAACATAAAACTCCAAGTCATTTATGTGAACTATATCTCAATGTAGCTGTAGGAAAAATAAAAACCTGTGCTAACCTGGACTTTGGTCTCATTTAAGATTTGGTTCTGGAATGCAAATATGGTTTTTGAAAGCCCAATAAAATTAATTCTTGTATAGTCTGTATATATTGTTTACAAGGACTACAAACACTGCATCACAAATCGGAGGCTTTGGTAAATAACTAAGTGTCCAACATAGAAAATAACTATTTGGTCAAAAGTATAAAAGGTCTGACCTTATTTGAAATACGAAAAAGCTGAGTACTTGGAAGATACGTGAAAATACTCAGCATAGATATTATGAAAAGCTGAATAACAAAGTAACCTTTTTTCTCAAATTATTTCAGGCCACAGTATATAACGGAACTTATTGCTATTTGAAGTTTCATTAAAAATAGGTTCATATATAGAAGAAATTGTGTCAGTAATACCTCTTCACTAATATAAAATATGCCCCTTTTAGAAGACGTGTTCTCTAGATCTCATTTCTAAAACTCTGTATTTTTCTCATTTCTAAAACTTAAGTATCCAATCAAACTGACCTTACTAAAATCCCACAAATTATAAGTCAATTAATGTTCTGATTTCATTAATTTTGGCTTGTTTCATTTCGTCAGCATTTGGTTTTTTAGTTCCAAAGGCTCCTGCTGCAAGTTCTCTCTTTTTGTTTTGTATTTTCAGCATATTTTCTTCAACAGAGTCCTTTACAATGAACTTTAAAAAGAAAAAAAAAAGTTAAGTAGTTTTTAAGGCATAGTATTTAAAATCTTTATTAAAAAAACTAAATGAAAGATTTGCCTAATGGCAAAAACCGCAATTACTTTTGCACCAAACTATAATAACTATTTAATAGAACTGAACTTTGCTTTCCTTACCCAATATGGTTTTCTTATATAAAGAATATGGCTGTACGAATAGAAGTTACAGATCACAAGATAAGCAAAGCAATAAAGAAAAAAAAAGCAAACTATATAGGCAACTCTGGCAAAATGACTTCAGCATTGTATTAAAAAGGCCATTCTGGCCGGGCACGGTGGCTCACACCTGTAATCCCAGCACTTTGGGAGGCCGAGGCGGGCAGATCATGAGGTCAGGAGATCGAGACCATCCTGGCTAACACGGTGAAATGCCATCTCTACTAAAAAATAGAAAAAGTTAGCCGGGCATGGTGGTGGGCGCCTGTAGTCCCAGCTACTCGGGAGGCTGAGGCAGGAGAATGGTGTGAACCCGGGAGGCGGAGCTTGCAGTAAGCCGACATTGCGCCACTGCACTCCAGCCTGGGTGACAGAGCGACGTCTCAAAAAAAAAAAAAAAAAAAACAAAAAACTATTCCCAGAAATTCAAGAATGAATCTTTAGTATAATTCACAACACTAACAAAGAGAAAAATAAAACGTGATCATCTCATTCCTGATAAAAACTTGATTTTAAAATACCCCAACTAGGAATGAATGTCTCAACCTTACATATTTAATGTGAAACAATAAAAGTATTCTACAACAAAACAGAAACAAGTCAAGAATGGTCACTATCTGCTACTATTTAACATTGTTTAAGAAGACCCAATTACTGCAATAACTAAAGCTATATAATAAAATTTTACTGAAATACATATAAGATCTACATAAATGGAGAAAGGATACTATGTTCCTGTATGGAAACATTCGTTACTTATAAAGAAAGATAGTTCTCGAAAGTAATAATAAATTCAATAAATCTCAAGATATCTTAAATGGGATTTTATAACTAAAATCTAAAGTTCAATTCAAGAGCAATAATAATAACCACCAATACAATTTTCAAAAAGGGTCATCAGAACATTTTACCCTATCAGGTATCAAAACTTACTTTAGGAAACCATAGTTGTTATAAGAGTAATACTGCCCTAAGAAAAGGAAAAGAGATCAATGGAACAGAATAGTCTAGAAAAAGACCCAAGTAATATATATAAATTAGTTTATGATGAAAGTGACATTTCATACTAGTAGGGAAAAAGTTGGAATTTTCAAAGAAAAAAAATGATGTGACAGAACAAATCGTTCTTCATCTGATAAAATAATAAGCTTAGACTCATGTCACAAATCATAAAACAAAAAATAAAATCTTCCAAAAGAACCAGAAGTAAATACAGAATAGTTGAAAAAATGTGAAAATAAAGCCTTCTGTCCTAGGTAAGACCTTAAAACCTAGAACGTATAAAAAAGGCTGACGTTTTAAATCATAAAAATTTTAAAGCTTTTTCATGACCAAAAAAATGCAGTTTAAAGACAAGGAAGAGTATGGGATAAACCATTTTCAACATACATAAACAAAAGATTTCAAGTCAGACTGTATCAGGGAGTCCTTTATACTATAAAACTATTTGTACCATAACTATGAGAACTGGACAGAAGATATAAATAATTCACAGAAAAAATGTTAATAAACAAGATATGTGAAATATACTCAAGGTTTTAGGTAAATGCAAATTAGAACAGCACTTTTTTGGCCACAGAAGCATAAATTAACAATTTTCATATAAATCCTATTTTGAAACCAACTCGATAGTTGATAAAAATTCTAAATCCAGAATTCTAGTTTTCTTAACTTATCCCAAAGAATTACTTGCATCTATGTGAAAAGATTTATATATAATAATGCTCATTATGGCACTGTTTTTATTAGCAAAAAACTTAATGGGTTAAATATATTACGATATATCTATATGGTTTTGTAGAGTAGTCAAATTCAGAGAAAGAAAGTAGAATGGTAGTTGCCAGGGGCTGGGGGGAGAGGAATGGGAAGTTATTATTTAATGGATACACAGTTTCAGTTTAAGATGATGAAAAAGTTCTGGAGATGGATGATTGTGATGGCTGTTGCACAACAACATGAATGTACTTAATGCATCTAAACTGTATACTTCAAAATGGTAAATTTTGTATTTTACCACTATTTAAAAAAAGTGTTCATCTAAATGTACTTATGAGGTAGTCTCCAATGTATAGTTTTAAGGGAAACAAATATGTTGTAGAATAAAGTATAATTCCATTTATCTTTAAAAGAATGTTTTTAAGGAGATGTACACATAACTATAAATGTAGGTGCAGAGAAAGGCCCCTTAAACAGCATATATTAAATTATTGATGAAGGAGGAAAAAGGTGACTTATATTTTGCTCTGCATAATTACACTCAATCATAATAATATATTCATGCATTACTTGCTTAATTGTAAAAATCGTATCAACCTAGTCTTAAAATAGTTTGTTTAAAAACTCACTTTTGTGATGATAACTTCTTGCTTCTGACCAAGTCTATGGCATCTGTCAAAGCACTGATCTTCAGCAGCAGGATTCCAGGCCTAACAAGAACATGGATGAGTTACTTTACTACTGCCCTGATCTTTCAGTGTTTTGCATTTGTCCTTTCATTTCACTAGTATTCATTCATCTTTTTCTGACTGAAAGTTTTCTGCCTGAAGTCAGATACTAACATCACAAATACTCTGGGGAAAAATCCACCCTCCCAATCACTATGATGATAGGCATCCTCCCCCTACTACTACTTCTAATACCTAATACAGGCCCCGACATATGTATCAGCACCCAAAATAAGTATTTGTTGATTAATCAATTTGGTTTTTTTTTTCATTTTTAAAAGAATCTATGTGTGCTTAACAGCAGAAAAAGGTTATACATCCTCTTAAATGACTTAATTTATATGAGAAAAGACACAATTCTTGGGCCTATTTAGTTTTCTCCCCCTTTTCTGGTTTTCTTTCACTTTCCTCTGTTCATGAAATAAAAGTATAAAAAAAGGGTTTCTCCTGGCTAACACAGTGAAACCCCGTCTCTACTAAAAATAGAAAAAATTAGCCGGGAGAGGTGGCGGGCGCCTGTAGTCCCAGCTACTCAGGAGGCTGAGGCAGGAGAATGGCCTGAACCCCGGGAGGCGGAGCCTGCAGTGAGCCGAGATCGCGCCACTGCACTCCAGACTGGGCGACAGCGAGACTCCGTCTCAAAAAAAAAAAAAAAAAAAAAAAAAAAGGGGGTTTTAAGAGTCAGTAAGTCCTAAAAATTATTTTTTTGTTGATGCTATTTTCTGTATCAGTATTTGACGTTAGTTTGACTTTAAAGCTGAGCTAAAAAAAGTACCATTAGCTAATTAACACAGACATGATCATGAGAACTGTTTTAAGCTAAAAAATAAAATGATGGGTCCGGCACAGTGGCTCACGCCTGTAATCCCAGCACTTTGGGAGGCCGAGGCAGGCAGATCACGAGTTCAGGAGATCGAGACCATCCTGGCTAACACGGTGAAACCCCATCTCTACTAAAAATACAAAAAATTAGCCGGGCGTGGTGGCAGGCGCCTGTAGTCCCAGCTACTCGGGAGGCTGAGGCAGGAGAATGGCGTGAACCCAGGAGGCGGAGCTGGCAGTGAGCCGAGATCGCGCCACTGCACTCCAGCCTGGGCGACAGAGCGAGACTACATCTCAAAAAAAAACAAAAAACAAAAAACACAACAACAGCAATAAAATGGTGCAACAATGAAAAGGGAAGAATAACCAAAAAGATATAGACCCCTGGTAAGTGGTTTTTAAATAGTATCATGAATTGTTTGGATAAGGATCATTAAATTTTAAATTAAAACTATGAGGTTTTTTTTTTGAGATGGAGTCTCGCTCTGTCACCAGGCTGGAGTGCAGTGGCACGATCTCAGCTCAGTGCAACCTCCACCTCCTGGGTTCAAGCGATTCTCCTGCCTCAGCCTCCCAAGTAGCTGGGATTACAGGCGCTTGCCACCATGCCCCGCTAATTTTTGTATTTTTAGTAGAGACGGGGTTTCACCATGTTGGCCAAGATGGTCTCAATCTCTTGACCTCATGATCCGCCCACCTCGGCCTCCCACAAAGTGCTGGGATTACAGGCATGAGCCTCCGCGCCAGGCCATATTACCCCAATACTTATACAATGTTCAATGAAAAGGTAAAAGAAAGCTGGGCACAGTGCCATATGCCTGTAATCCCAGCTACTCAAGAGGCTGAGGGAGGATTGCTTGAGCTCAGGAGTTTGAGACCAGCCTGGGCAAAAGAGGAAGACCCTGTCTCTTAAAAAAAGAAAAAAAAATTTAATGGTAAAAGACTTTCATGAGCAAATTTTTATTTTTTTATTGAATCATTATGTTTCTCGGACCTGACTTTTAAGTTAGAAACAACATTGGAAAGCTTGATATGTTCAATGAAGAACACTCAACTTACTATAAAACTGCTAAAACGTTCTGTAAATTTTTAAAAACTGTTAACACGTTTAGTCTCTGATCAACTTTTTCATACTAATTATTTTGGTATTAACCTCTTTGGTACTAAGATTATAAGCAAGAAAAATAAAATTTGGGATTTGTTCTAAAAATCAGCTTCTAGAATTATCACTGGATTAATTAATATTCAACAATCTATAGTTACAAATATTTTTTATAGTAGCCATAAAATACTGCAAACAAAGATTTCAAACTTCATCCACAGTACAAAGGCAAGAAAATACAACAGACCGGCTGGGCGCGGTGGCTCATGCCTGTAATCCCAGCACTTTGGGAGGCTGAGGCAGGTGGATCATGAGGTCAGGAGTTCAAGACCAGCCTGGCCAACATGGTAAAACCCCGTCTCTACTAAAAATGCAAAAATTAGCCACGCGTGGTGGCAGGTGCCTGTAATCCCAGCTACTCAGGAGGCTGAGGCAGTGAACCGCTTGAACCCAGGAGGTGGAGGTTGCAGTGAGCCAAGATTGTGCCACCACACTCCAGCATGGGCGACAGAGCAAGACTCTGTCTCAAAAAAAAAAAAAAAAGAAAAAAGAAAATACAACAGACCATACCATATCCATGATATTCACCCATGAAGGCCTAAGTATGATGACCCTAGTTATAATCTTACTGAGAAGGATACCGTCAGTTGAGGGAGGAAAAAGGAAGCCTGAGTAAACATATATGCATCAACAAGGTAGCCTCACCCAAGTAACTAAAATTTATATCTCAGTAGTATTCCTACATGTATCTCAGTAGAATTCCTACATGTTAAAAATCTTCTGAGTTTCAGGTAACAAGTTACAACCACAAATCTTAAGTCTGAATGCACAGAAACAGCAGAGGGTTGCCTTTAGCCCACATAGTACCCAGTGCAAATTAGAAACTGAATTAGTCCAAGGTCCTCTCAGGCCAAACAGCCCCTTTGTACACGTAGAAAAACACGCTCCTATGTGAATGCACGTCCAGGTCACACAGCTTGGTGAGTAAAGTTCAAAGTGAATTTTAGCCTCTGTTCTACCTTCATGCCTGTACTACACAACCACAACTGACTGCACTATATTAGGCATTAAAACGTACTCAGAACATTCCATTAATGATAATTTGTTTCTCAAATTGTGATCCTAGACCACCTGTACCTCAATCACCTATGATATATGCTAAAAATGCAGCTTCCTGGGTCTAATCCTAGAACTCCTAAGTCTCTACGTTGAATGCAAAGGAAATTGCATTTTACCTAATTCTTATGCACATTAAAGCTTAAGACTACTAGAACCGTGATGGTAATCATTTTGTCTATCTTGTTTATAGTTAGATTCCCAGTGCCTATAAAAACTGACGCAAAGCAGGATCTCATTATTTGCTGGCTGAATGAACCACTACCCTAAAAAGCATTACAGTTAATATTTATTATAGAAGAAAAGTAGAATAGCATAGCATAATAGTACTTAAATATTTACATGGACTATGATTCTGGTTTTGCCTATTACTAACTGTATGATACTGGGCACATTATTTACTTTTCTGTGCTTCAGTTGCCTCTTCAGTAAAACAGAGCATTTTTTTTCTTTTTTTTCTTTCAGAGACGGGTTCTTGCTCTGTCACCCAGGCTGGAGTGCAGTGACAGGAGCATGGCTCACTGAAACTTCAACCTCCTGGGCCCAAGCAATCAATCTTTCCGACTTAGCCCTGCAAGTAGCTGGGACTACAAGCACAAACCACTACACCAGAGTAACTTTTCTGGTACTTTTTTTTGTAGAGATGGGGTTTTGCCATGTTGCCTAGGCTGCTCTCAAACTCCTGAGCTCAGGCAATCCATTCACCTTGGCCTCCCAAAGTGCTGGGATTACAGGCATGTGCCACAGCACCTGGCCAAAACAGAGCATTTAATAATGGTATCTACCTCATAAGGATGTTGTGAGGATTTCAGTAAAGTGCTTAAGAGAAAGCTCTTAATCCACATTTACTAAGTTTTTGTTATTTATTTCTAAAGTTTGCCTAAGAATTTTCACAGTTAATTATAACTATGAAGGTATTTACCAAATAGTTTTTTGTCTTATTTTTTTGAAAGAAGTACTAAGATTCTGAAAAAATTTACAGAACTACTTACTGGATCCATTAAAAACACTCGAGAAGCTGCAGACAGATTCAAACCAACTCCACCTGCTTTTAAGGACAGAAGCATTATAGTTGGAGATCCTGCTTCAGTGTTTTGAAAACACTGAATTGATTCAACTCTTTTCTTTTGGGCCATGGAACCATCCAAACGAGTAAACACAAATCCAGAGGCTCTAAAGGGGGGAAGAAAAGAGACAAGTAACAAACACTATTATTATAAAAATAAAACAAAGTTAAGTAACTACAAATCTCTTCAATAAATTCTTTCACTCATTTATTTTAACAAATGTTTATTGAACACTTATTAATATGCTAGGCACTGAGTCAGTCATTTTCTGATAAATTCAGGACTTAATCTTTAAATTCTTGTGCTGCCAGGAAGTATTCTCTATTGTGACTCTGAATATCTTTCAGATAAAATGACTAAAACTGGCAAAACAAATTAAGTTTTTTTTTTTGCTATCCAAATCAATATGATTATATAAAATCCTTTTACTGAAAGTGAAAAACACTGTGGAACTTACTTAAGTGGTATTTCTATTAAAGACAGGAATGTTGTAAACTGAGAAACAACCAAACTTTTTATGTTGGGATTCTTCTTTCTTAAGTCAGTCAATGCGTGCATTAGCGCATTAATCTGCAAAAAATATTAAGATGTCCATTAGATTCCATTTTAAATCAGTAAAATTAGTCTAAAAGTTTTTATCATAAAGAAAAGGTCCTGAAATGTTATTTCCCTAAAATGCAAAAGACTACTCATTTAAAACAAAAAATTAAGACTGAAAGAACACTCTAATAATCTGAACCCATTCCATTTCCCCTCAAATTCACCACTAAAAATAAAAAGCCAGTGGTCAACAACAGAACACTAAAATGACAGGAATGAAAGCAGAATTACGATTTTGATATACTGTGTATATTTCCTTATATAAAGGTAAAACAAATACTCAAATATTTGCACATGAGTACTTTACCTTTGAACTGGATGTCCATTCCATATCAGACTTTTTCTCACTGTCACGTGCTAATTCTTCTGGAGGACATTCTAATAAATTATCTTCATGTATATCATTTCTGCATAAAGGGCATTTAGCATGTGGCTATATAAGAAAGAACGAAGTATGAGCAACACTTAACAGAAGAACAAATATAAATATGCCTAAAAATTTTTAAATGTATGCTAAAATCTGTATCTCTCATAGCTAACATTTTATTAAACCTTTTAATGGATTTCATCCATTTAAGAGACATCTGAACATGCTGAACTCCAGACATAATGTGGTAAGTAGAACGGATAAAGGAGGGAGCAAAAGTATGTGATCTGGACTAGCTAGAAGCAAGAGCAAGAAACCAAAAATTATAACATTGTAAGCAAGTTTAAAAAAAAAATCTATGAATAACAATTTATTGAACCTAAATACAATACAGCTACACTATTTAGTACTATTCTTTAAAAAAAAATCCATCTTAATGGCTTATAAAGCTATTAAGCTTATAAAGCTTATAATAGCTTATAAAGCTACTAGGATCTGTTAAATCCTATCAAGTTCATTCCAAAGCAACATCTGTTGTACCCGTTTGAACCTGTTAATAAAATAAGATTATATCTTAAATAACTATATATAAAACACCATTACAATTAAATAATTCTGAAGCTAAAATTATTTAAAAGTCAATACAGTGGGGTTACTTTTGGGGAAGAGGGAGAGGGTAAATGGTTGGGAGGGGCCACAAGGGGACCTAGGCAGCAGATACAGGAATATGTTTACCTCATAATTGACTGAGCTATTTAATTATGAATTTATACATTTTTTCTACATATGTTATATATCAATTTAAAATGTTTAAAAAAATTCTACCCCAGCTGAATGACTGCTTAACAGACTAGTCAACTTCAAAAAAATTCTACCACACAAAAGAATCTAGACCTACCTTATCCAACACAATAGCCAATAATCACATGGGGCAATTACGTCCTTGAAATGTGGCTAAGCCAAATTGAGGTGTGCTGTAAGTATACACCACCACCAAATTCTGAAGATTTAGTTTTTTGTAAAAAGCACATTAATACTTTTTATATTTTAGATATATTGGGTTAAATACAAATGTATTAAAATTAGCTTAATGTTTCTTTTTACTTAAGAGTATGACTACTAGAAAACTGAAAATTATCTTTGTGTCTCACATTATCAATCCATTTATTGAACAGCAATGATATAAACAGCGGAATTAAGATATTGACTGTGAACATCTTTTTATGTTGCAAATGTTGCATTAGAAGAAATATATCACCTATTAAAATACTGGAATAATTAACTATCAAAGGTATATTATTAAATCCAAGTGCAAAACTCCATATACTATCTTTTATTATATTAAAGACAGGTACACTACTCTATCAAACACTGAACCTGTACTGAGCAAAAAACTAACCTGCTCATTCTGAATGACTTGGCAAATACAGGGTTTACAAAATACATGTGCACAATGTGTTATCACAGGAACTGTTAAAGAATCCAGGCAAATTGCACATTCCTCATCTGAACCTGAGCTCAGAATTAACTTCATCTTCCTTATTAACTTCTTTCTCAGTTCTTCAGGTGTATCATTTCCTAGAGAAAAGGCTGAAAAATTAATTTCAGAGCAAGGTTTGTAATATGACAAGTTAATCTATCTTATAAGGAAAAGTTTCGCTTGCCAGTAGGGAAAGTCTCTCATCATTTTCTGCCATAGGCAAAAAGCATAATTTAAATTTGAAATTTAAGAAACATTCAGAAGCCAAAATAGTAGCCAACTCACATAATATACCTCATAGAGAAGCATCATTATAACATGACAATAACATACCACCACACAATAAAAGGCAGATCCAATATGAATCTTTCATCAAAGGGTATCTATCACCGGAATTCCTGGAAAGACCTCATTATAATTCCATTTCATTGGTAAAAAAATTATTGGATGTATTCCTAGCTGAGTCTCACACTAAAAGCAATCTCCATTTGACAGAACAAAATAAACTAAATGTATGCCACATAAAAAAAATTTATCACTCTTATTTAAGTATCTCTGACAAATACAATGATATGAAGCAATCAAATTTACCTACCTGAGGGGCCATTGGAAGACACTGCATTTGTAAGAAGGTAAGTATGGCAACAAATTTGCCGCAGTCTAAGCAAAAGACCCAGGACATCTGCATAATGTGCCAGGACAGTCCCTTCATTAAAATACCTAGAGATTAAAATGTCAAATATTATTAAGTCCGCTAAACAATAATAACTTCCTATTCTAAAACAGCAGAGTAAAATGGCATTTTTCTTTTCTTCTCTAGAAATTACTCCAAAACAAGAATGAAAAGCAGAAAAGCAACTCTAATAAAACCAAGAGAGATCTATAACAATAAGGCACAATATATGAGAAATGGCTGCCAATTGCAGTCTAAGTCAGATAGGAAGATGCTGAGAGGGATGACTGCAGATCTCAAACAGAGCTGCCAAAACACAATTCTTTAAAATGGATGGCATGCCCTGAGGGGAAAATCAATACCTCTCATGTGCAGAAACAGGAACAGGGTGCATGCTTGGTGACTTGAGCTTCCATGGAGAAATTTATATCAAAAAAAGAGGGAAGGTAAACTGAATACAGAAACATACAGGTGCACTGTATTTTCAAAAAAAGACTATGGGCACAGCACTCTACACTCCAAGCACCCCTAAAGTTTCTGATCTCTGTTTATGTGTACTAATAAAACCTAAAGTAACTCAACATGTAACCCTGAGTCTTAAGTAAATTGGGTTATTTCCTGCTGGTCGGGGACATGATTGTGACCTTTCCCTTTTGTATATCTGGACTAGCAAATAGCTAGTCCAAGAAGAACTCAAGATATTCAAATATAAGTAATAATCAGCAGAGAGCAAAGGTAGGGGACACATGGCAGTGAAAGAAAACTCAGCAGAAAAATGTTGCCACAGAGCAAATAAAAATTATGACCAAGGATACTGTCACAATTTAACACCACTCAATAAAACAATTCCTCCAAAAAAAAAAAATCTTAAAGCAAAGACAAAGAGCTTTGAAAAAATATGGCAAGAGAACAGGAAGAGATGAAAGATGAGCTGGTATGGCTCAAGAAAGTGAAAGAAAACAGTGAATCATCAGAGAAATGAAAGTCACACTGAAACCAATATAAGCCAATATAAAAAAAGACTAGTCACTGATAAAAACATAGAAAAGGATGTAGGAAACAGGACTGAGAAAATCAAAATTAAACAAAAAAATGTAAAAGATCAGAAATAAAATGATACCTATGGAACACAGATAAAAGACATCTAACATACACAGAGAGAAATAAAATAATGGAACAGAAAACAATATTTAAAGAAAGCTTTCCAGGAAAGAGAAGGGGGGAAAAGCCTGGAATCTAAAGATTTAAATAATATCACATGTCCCAGGGGAAAGTCAACAAAGAAGTTGCTGAACTTCAGAGGGAAAAAAAAAAAAAAAAAAAAAACCAGGCTTCCCCACAGAAACATTCTATACAAAATACAGTGGTACAATGACAACATAGATTCTTAAGGAAATGGGTGATCCAAAAATTATATAACCAGGCCATCTGATATTTAAGTATTTTAAGGCAACAGAAGAAATATAGCCTAACGGCTAAGAGTACAAATTTTTAGAGCTAGCTGGTCATGAATTCAAAACCTGGCTGTGCCAATTTAATTATGTAACCTTGGACAGGTTGCTTAACCTATGTCTTGAGCTTCCTCAGTTCTAACAGTGGCATTGTAAAAGTACCTACCTCATACAACTACTGTTATTTAATTTAATACATGTAAAGTATTTAAAATAGTGCCTGGACTATATTAAGTGCTATACATGAATCTGTTGCTAGTATTAGTACTGGTAGTATTATGGCAACAAACATTTCTGAATATTCAAGAATGCAAGGAATAGGCAAAATAATACAAAGATTAAACTTACAAGCTCTAAACCAAAGTGCCAGAGTTAATCTGTCCTGTCACTCACTAGCTGTGTGACAACAGTGTAAGTCACCTAAACTGCTCTGTGCCTCAGTTTCCTCACTTATAAGATGTGGATAATTATACTGACCTAATAGGATTGCTGTGAATACATTTAAAGCACTAAGATCAATGTATAACACCTAGTGAGTGCTAAATAAATGTTAGTAAATATATAGCCTATTAAAAAGAATACTTTAAAAATAACTTATTTTCTGAGAACAGTTTCAATAAAGTTAATCTTTTTCAACTTTTTCAAATAGAATAACCTTTACTAACACTAATTATTCCCTGGCATGGTCATATCTTACTGATACTCAGCATTTCAATTTAAGAGATCTCTTTTGAGTGCCTACCATGTGCTAAATATTAGAAGCTTCCTTCCTCCTATTTCACCAGCCATTGCTATCTTCACAGTTAGATCTCTTTCACTTTACTCACTCCCTTGGTGATCTCATGGCTTTAATTACCATCCACACATAGCTGACTTTGAACTCGACTCTCCTATCCAACTAATTATTTGATATCTCTACTTGGAAAATTCACGGGCATCCTATGATCAATGTGTCCAAAACTGAGCTTCTGATCTTAGCTTAAAAAAATCTCTGCTCTTCCCATAGACCTGTCTTGGTAAACAGCAATTCCAGCCTTCCACTTATGCAGGTAAAAAGGCTTGAAGTTATCTTTGATTCCTCTTTCACATGCCATAACATATCAACCAGCAAGTTCTGTTGGTTCTACGTTCACAATTTAACAGAATCTAATCATTTCTCACTCCCTTTATCACTACTATGGTAAAAACCACCATCATCTCTTGCTTTGACTGCCACTGGTCTCCCTACTTCTGACCTTATTCCTATTCAAATAACCTAAATCTGAGCACAGCAGCCAGAGTGATCTTTTAAAAATATAAATCAGATTACGTCCCTCTCCTGGCTCAAAACCCTTTAAGGTTTCCTGTCATAAAAAGTAAAAGCCAAAGTCCTTGACATATGCGTTACATACCCCCATTCCAATAAATCTCTGATATCATGACTATTTTCTCTCGTTCATACTATCCAGCCACACTTGCTTCTCTGTTATTCTTCAAGCTCACCAGGCATGTTCCCAACTGGGAGCATCTACACTTGCTCTTCCTTCTGGCTGAAACACCCCTTAATCCCAATCTCCTTTAGATCTTTACCTATATATCATCTTCTCAGTGAGGTCTTCCTTAATACCCTACTAAAACAGCTTTGGCATTCCCCATCCCCTTTCGTTGCTTTATTCCTTAAAACTTAATCATGTTTTTAAATTATCTGTTTCTTCCCATTAAAATATAAATTCCTCGAGTGCAGGCATTTTTGTCTGTTTTATTCTGCTGTATCCCAATGGGTATAAGTGCCTGGCACACAGTGGGCACTTAATAAATTTTTGTTGAAAGAATATGAAAAGAAAGAAGATTTTGAACTCAGAAATCTGCTGCTTAGAACAATCTTTCCCACTCTCTCTAATTCCTATCAAACCTGCTTTGTACCTACCTCACTGAAGTTTTTATGTTTTGAAGATTCCCCTTTCACAGTCCTATTCTGCTTTCACTTGTCTCTTATTCATTCTGTTCCCTGTGGGCTCACATTAAACCTGATCTTGCTTGGACCAGAATTTCATACCTTCTACCAATCCTTAATCTTCTTGTTAAACCTATTTCATCAGTTCCTATTTCCAGATTTCCATACGATTTTGGAAATAGAAGCAAGCAAAATCTTCTGGCTAGCAATTGAGAACTTGTCATTTAAAGTAAGCTTTAAATTATTTCCTAACTTAAAAAATTACTTACCTGGTGAATTATACTATTATTTCATTCACTTTATTGATTTGTAAAAAACACTGTAATTCATAGAAGCAAATTATCTTTCAGTATACTTCAAACTATTGCTAACACATCTAAATAATGTCATTCAGTGAATGGGAAACAAAGTAAACAAAAACTAATTTTTAACATGGTTTTCTTTCTCCATACCTTCCAATAGTGGCTCTGCCTTCATTTTTCACAGACTGATAAATCTTTCTCTCTTCATCTGAAAGTGTAATGTGCTGAATAAATACTTTACGTTCTGGTAACTCCAAAACAGGTTTTCCTTTAATTTTGCTTGTCTTTGTTCTTCTAAGTGTAATATTTTTAATTAGGGACTGTAAACGCCTAATCAGAATAAAACAAATAATTATGTAACTTTTAATTTCTACATAAATTGATCCAAGAAGAACGAAACAGAACATTTTAATTTGTTACTGTTTTATAGCTTCTGTAAAAGTGTTTTTAAAATCCCTTATTTGGGATTTTAACCAATCTGATAATCACAGAAGTATTCTACAAAAATAAAATTATTAAAACAAATGTATGGAAATTTCCCCTCAATACCTAACATAGTTTAATCTTTTTATATCCTGTCCTTATTTTCGTAAGTTCTGTTCCCCATTTTTGTTCCAATCACTAACTCTTTTACTTCTCAACTGTCCTGTCAACTCCATCACCGAATAGTCAACACTCAAATTCTAAGTATCTATTAAGTGCCAGGCACTGAATTAAATGTTGTAAGAATACAAATATGGGTAAGATACTACATTCTGTAATATTAAAATCAAAAGTATATAAATAAGTAATTGTATAAAGTAATGAGTGCCCCCAAAATAAAAAGATAATATGGTAATTCAGAACACAGAAAAATGCTTTACAGGTTCCACAATCTTTACATTTCTTTCTCAGTACTGGAAAAAAAGAGATGTATCAATTCTTGTTTTTTCCCAACATTGAAATATAAATACAATTTCCTGGAGTTTAAATAGTTGGTTTTGAGGAATCAAGTGGATAGTACTGCCAACTAGGTTAGTGGCTCTTGAAGCTTTCTCACTATAACTCACAGTAAGAAACACATTCTATCCAGCAAAAATATACAAACACATACAAAAGAAACAAATATTTCACAAAATAATACTTACTATGTATCATGCACTCCGATATTTACTAATCTCTTCTCTATTTCATTGTCTTTTTAAATGCTGGCTACCACCTTTATAATGATTTTATATCCCACTAATAGCTCTCAAATCTTCAGTCTATAAACCGGTGCTTTAGCCAAAAAGTTGAACCACATTACATCTTGCAAAATGGCTATCACTGAGTTTTAATTTATGTTCTCAACTTTTATCTATCTCCACCAGAAACAACCACATAAAACTTTCCTATACAACTTTTGCTAAGGTCATGGTACCTCACATCATTCACTATATAAAGCTATGTAAGGCCAGGTGTGGTAGCTCATGCCTGTAATCCCAGCACTTTGGGAGGTCGAGGCAAGAGGATAACCTGAGGTCAGAAGTTTGAGACTAGCCTGGCCAACATGGCGAAACCCCATCTCTACTAAAAATACAAAAATTAGCGGGGCATGCTGGCGCAGACCTGTAATCTCAGCTACTTGGGAGGCTGAGACAGGAGAATCGCTTGAACCCAGGAGGCGGAGGTTGCAGTGAGCCAAGATCGCGCCACTGCCCTCCAGCATGGACGACAGAGCAAGACTCCATCTCAAATAAATAAATACATAAATAAATAAATAAAGCTATATAAGATATGAAAACTTAATGCATATTAGATCCTCAAAGGATATACGATGTTTCCTGCTAAATCTGTTAATGCTGGTTTTGGGGCTTTGGGGCTTAGCAACACACAAAAAACAGTTATGTCTTTCCTTTCAGTTTAGCCACAACAGGGGAAGGGTAGTTATCGACAATTAGAAATCTTTGTCTTTCCAAACAAGCATCACTAGGTTCTGAAAGACAAAGGTACTGAGCCATAAACACTTTTTAGAAGGAAAAGTTAAGAGTCAAGTTAAAATAGTAAAGAAAGTGCCAACTGGTTCAAGCTACTAACAGTTATTTGTAACTAATATTAATCACTGTCTGAAAGTACTTACCTAAGTCCTCCTTCATCTCCCATTGTGACAGGACGCTGTATTGTTCTATGCCACCATTCTCTATCAATAAATGGTTTAAGTTTTAAAAAGGAAAGAAGAGACCACAAGTCCTTTAAAGAATTCTGGATTGGAGTACCTAGAAATAACAGGAAACTGTTATAACTCTTTAACCAGAGTATCCAGTAAGAGTATCTATTTGGCCCAATCAGAGAAGACAACAATTGAAAATGGGCACTCTGTACCAGGCTCATCATTATCAATTAAATTAAACTATCAAGTGTTGACTATAATCATTTATTAAAAATATACACATCTCAAGATACAGTTTTGCTCTAATTTTTAGCTCTCACATGACACACTAGCCAAGAAAAAGACTGGAAAATTCAACTTTCTCCTTATCAAGTACATCTGCTTATTTAGTTTTTAAAGCAGCAGCACTAGCAGAAGGAAAAAGCAACTAGTTTAAGTTTACATTCTTTTCCTTACCTTCTAGTAAAGGTACTGTGAATGGCAAACAGGTTTGAGGATGGGAAACAGAAATCAAGATTATGACTGGATGACTAGAGTGTCTACTCCATTTCCACTAGAGTGTCTACTCCATTTCCAAGGTTCAAGAATAAGTCTAGTGACTGTTCCATAAATTATCAATAAGTCAAATGTTGTTATATCACGGGCAATTATGAAGAACAACTCAAAACATTTGATTAAATTATTTATATGATTAATTTTGGGGCAGAATTTACACCCACTTTAAGTTTACAAAGTTACTTTACTAACTTACATAATGATATATTTTAGAGATTTAAGGTTTTAGTAAGTTTAATGCTATGATTACCTGTCAAAACCCATCTTCTTTCTGATTCTAAGTCAAGTACAGCTTTTGTCTGCTGAGCATTTGGATTTCGTATGGCATGTCCTTCATCCAGGATCACTCTTAGCCACCTTATGCTATGTAATGGACTATCTCCTTTAGTCTGAAATAAATGTTTTATATGAATTAAAAAACACAGGAAAGTAAAATAGTACTTAATATGATTTGCTAACTAGTTGTTATCATTATTTAATATCAAATTTACTATGTGCTAGGTACTGCTTTAAGCACTACATTAATTATTGAATACTCACAAGTTTATAAAATAAGTACTTATTAGCACACCTAATTTTACAGATAAGAAAACTGAAGCACAAACTGCTAAGTAAGTATGTTACCCAAAGCACCACAGGTGGCAGAACTAGCATTCAAACCCAAGCAGCAGTCTAGCTCTCTGTTGAGTCACTGGTCAATACACTGAACTGTTCTACCTCGGATTAAAACATAGCAATGATATAGAAAATGGCAGTTGTAAGAATTACTTGAATTCAACATTACTTTCTTTTATATAAAAGGTAATATTTTTACTAGAAGACTGAAATTTTGATAGCAAGGTATTTTTCAAAAAGTTTTAACTTTTGAACAATTGGAATTATAAAGGTAAAAAACAATTAGACTAACTGGAAAACTTATGAACTGTAACTACAAAAAAAGCATACCTTCAAACTGAGATATTAATCAAATCATTGTGATAGAAAACAATTTTCCAGAATATTAAAAAAGAAAATAAAATTCATTTACAAATTGCTTCATATACTTACAATCCAAATTTAAAATCTTAACTTAAAATGTTCTAAATGAAAAATATTCCTGTCTGGGTGTGGTGGCACACGCCTGTAATCCCAGCACTTTGGGAGGCCAAGGTGGGTGGATCACCTGAGGTCAGGAGTTCAAGACCAGCCTGACCAAGATGGTGAAACCTCATCTCTGCTGAATAACAAAAATTAGCTGAGTGTGGTGATGCATGCCTGTAATCCCAGCTACTTGGGAGGCTGAGGCAGGAGAATCATCTGAAACCAGGAGGCAGAGGTTGCAGTGAGCTGAGATCACACCATTATATTCCAGCCTGGGCAACAAGAGCAAAACTCCATCGAGAGGGAGGGGGAGGGGAGGAGTGGAGAAAAGAAAAATACTCCTAAATTAGCATCTAAATAAAATGCAACCCTTTCACGCAAAAAGTCAAAAAAAAAAACCATTTATTTTTCTATATATCGTTAAGTATCTAAAGAGAAAAAAAAAGTATAAAGCCTGAATTTTGGAACACTCTAGAAACCTGTGGCATATTTCTTACATTCAATCTTTAAAAGATCTGTTAAGTATCAACAATACTTACTCCATAGTCATGAGTTAAAATATTATACGTAGTCAAAACAATATCCTGTTTTGAAAGTAAGGCCGGTTCTCTAATACGATCAGGACCATAATAAACATAAAAATTCAAGTGTACATCTGATTTTATATGTTGTCCAAACTGGTCCTAAAGAAAAATTAGGAATATTTTTAACAATGAGCAGATTTGTGTCAGACTTAATAGATGTATAAAAAAGTAACTGCCCTGGCAGTAGTGTGACAAATCCAACTACTAAAATTGTATGAAATCAAGTTTCCTTCAGTCTAGACCAAAATAATAACAATAAGAAAAATGACACATACACAGTAATAATAAATTATTTAAAATTTACTTGGCCCTACCAATCAGCAACTGCTTCATTTTTAGGAGGAAAAACCAAAGTTATTGAAAACAATAATGAGTTTTATAAAAATATTTTAATTAGAAGGCCCTTTAATGCTGCATTAGTTAGCAGACTTAATAATATAAAAATTAAACAGTAAAAGAACAACAACCAATATTTCCAAGGATGTGGGCAGAGATTCAAGCACTGTAGCCACTTTCTTTCACTCATTTATTATTGGCCTACTATTTGCCAGGTATCAACCACAATAGTGATGTAACTAAAAATGAAGAACAAATAATCATCCCTGACTTTCTTGAGGACATGATCAGTTTTAAAAACTTATTATTATTTTTTTAATCATGAAAAAAACCAGACCTAGAAGATTTTCAGCAGAAAAAAATAGTCTGATTAAACTGAAAAGAGAAGATACCAGGGAGACACAGCTGGGAAGCTATGAGGAGAGAGATGATGAAGTCCTAAACCAGCAAGGTAGAAGTAGGAACAGGGTGGAAAGGACAGGTGTGAAAAACAGAAACTAAGACAAGACTGATAGGACTTGGGGACTAATGAAATATGAAATATGAATAATAATAATAAGACTAAGATGCTCTGATACTTGAATGACTACCTAGAATTGTGTGATAAAAATATAAGGAAGTTTAAAAAAAAAAAAAAAGAAGGGAAAAGTGGGCATCCAAGTAAGAAAGAGATGAATATTTTAGACCTTTATCATTTTTGGTCACTATAGAATACCTAACTGAAGACGTATACTAGGAAAATGTAAATAATTACCTATAGATAGAAGTGAGAGGTGTAGATATGAATTTTAAAGTTAACAACAGACAGTATTTACAGCTGTAAGAATGAATGAAATTTCCTAAAGAGAGCATGTACAGTGAGCAAACGTTAGGGACAGAGTCTACAGAATACCGGTATGTAAGGAGAAGACTTGTTTTTATTGGGAGAAAACACATGATGCCTGGGGTATAATTAAAAATATTCCAGGCCAGGTGCAGTAGCTCATGCCTGTAATCCCGGCACTTTGGGAGGCCAAGGCGGGTGGATCACTTGAGGTCAGGAGTTCGAGACCAGCCTAGCCAACATGGCGAAACCCTGCCTCTACTAAAAATACAAAAATTAGCTGGGCATGGTGGTGATGGTGATGCGCACCTATAATTCCAGCTACTCGGGAGGCTAAGGCATGAGAATCACTTGAACCCAGGAGACAGAGGTTGCAGTGAGCTGAGACTGTGCCACTGCACTCCAGCCTGGGTGATGGAATGAGATTCTTTCTTTAAAAAAGGCCGGGTGCAGTGGCTCACACCTGTTAATTCCAACACTGGGAGGCCGAGGTGGGCGGAACGAGGTCAGGAGTTCGAGACCAGCCTGATCAACATGGTGAAACCCCATCTCTACTAAAAAAACAAAAATTAGCCGGGCATGGTGGCATGTGCCTGTAATTCCACCTACTCAAGAGGCTGAGGCAGCAGGATCACTTGAACCTGGGAGGTGGAGGTTGCAGTGAGCTGAGATCGCGCCATTGCACTCCAGCCTGGGCGACAGAGCAAGACTGTAAAAAAAAAAAAAAAAAAAAAAATCAATCCAGCAAAGAAAAAAAGGAAAGCACATGTGTCAGACTTTTGGTAATTTTTGAATCTTGATGAGTAGATGGAGATCTCATTAAAATTTTTTAAAATACTCTTTTTAAAAAATTATATGTTGTATGGAAATACAGAAAAGACAGATTTAATAGGAACCAGAACAAAGACAGAGAAAAAGTTAGGACAACAAATATAAAGGGTAAAGGCCTGGGATCCAAAGAATATAAAAGTTTCAAGAAAAAAAACCAAGGTGGACTTTTAATTTGTCATCTATCTTCATTCCAGTTCTTTACAAGAAGGTTTAGAGATAGCTTACAAAATAAGACATAACAAATAATAAATGAATAACATATTCAAGGCAGAGGAAAAGGGGAGCTCATTGTACATGGCAATATTGAAGTCTGAAGATCTCTGCAAAGGGAGTTTCTGTAGTGAGTGGAAGCAAAAACCAGACTACCAAGGACTGAAGAAAGTATTAAACATGAAATAAAGGCAAAAATGCAGAGAGGATAAAACATGAAAAAGTAAAGCTGAAAATGCAAAGAATTTCTTATAGAAATTTGGTAAAGAAGAAAAGGAAATTAGAATCCAGCATGACAAAGAATCCAATATGAGAAAACTGAATCAATGGGTGGCCTTGAAATGGGACAGTGCATTATTTGTAAAGGGATTACACTTGGAACAGAAGAAAATCAGCTTTTCTGGAGAATAAAGGGAGAGAACTATAGTTACTCCATCTCTAGACAGTGTTAGGCTCTACTGTATATGTATGTATGTATCATCCTCTCAATAGAAAACGAAATAGGTGTTATTTCATGAGATTACTTGTCTAAATATCCAGAACAAATATGTGGTAGAAGTAGGATTGGTACCCAGGTTCTATTCCTTTACCTGGATTATTTGAAGACAAAAAAGGGAATATAAGTCAGTTCTAGCCTGCTCTGTAGAATGCTAGATCCTTTACTTGAGAGCCAGGAAGACGGTATCTTGTTCAGATTGTGAAATTTTAATTCTTGATCATTGAAATCGTTTGGATGTTCATCTCCTCCAAATCTCATGTTGAAATGTAATCTCCAGAGTTGGATGAGGGGCCTGGAGGTGGAAGGTGTATGGCTCATAGCGGTGGATCCCTCCTGAGTGGCTTAGTGCTATCCCCTTGGTGATGAGTGAGTTCTCACTCTAAGTCCACACGAGATCTGGTTGTTTCTAAGTTTGTAGCACCTCTCCACTCTCTCTCTTACTCCCACTCTGGCAATGTGATGCTGGGTCCCCATCACCTTCTGCCAAGAGTGTAAGCTTCCTGAGGCTGTGTAAGCTTCCTGTGGCCTCACCAGAAGCAGATGCCAGCACGATACTTCCTGTAAAGCCTGCAGTATCATGAGCCAATTAAAACTCTTAAATTATCCAGCCTCAGTTATTTCTTTATAGCAATGCAAGAATGGACTAACACAACCATGAATCCCTAAATGCCAAACCACCTCTCATTCCTTTAAATTCACAGAGTGTGCATGATCTCACTTGGCAAGATTTTGCCACACTTTCCTTTCTGAACTTTACATTACTTGAACTTTCCTAAATATAAAATTATAATTAAATACTGATTACCCATTTTAAAAATACATCTCTATACCCCAAGCCCTCAAATAATCAGTTAGATAGTTTATACCTCCATTAATACTCTAAACCTCATCCCAAAACTGCCATTCAAGTACCCATGTACTATCCTTCCCATAACAAACAACAAATTAAAGAAAGAACAGTTTCGTTGGAATAAAAAAATAGCAACAGACCATTAACATTCATTCTTCTGGTCCTAAGAGGAAAAATGATACACTTATCAGGACAAGGTGTAATTTAAAAAATAAATAAATAAACCAAAAACTTATATAAAAAAAGATAATTCATGTCACGGAAAAAAAGACTATAAAGCCAAGAAGAGGCCACTAAATTTGACAATTAAACTATCACAAGTAGTCTTTTCCAATGCAATTTAGAGAACTAATGGTACAAGCCAGATTACAATGAATTAAGGAATTAGTAAGTAAAAGCACAAAGTAGAAATTAACCTCCAAGAGTATGACAGTGAAGGAAAGCAGAAGAGTAGCAACTTTTAAAGATGCATATCAAGAGAATGTATTTTAAAATGAAAAAACCTGAGTATGTATCAGGAAGAGCCAGTGGGAAGAGACTAAATAAACAAGGGAAAAAAGAACAGATGAGCAATGTGGGAAAAGAGAGAATCCAATGTAGAGACTAAATACTGGTCTTAAAAAGAGTAGGATCTCTTCCTCCTCTGACATAAGAAGAATGGCGATGAGAGATAAACAGATAACTTGGAAGTGGCAAGAACGGTGAGTGGTCCTTATATTCACAGGGATTCCAAGAGAGTCATTATTTCATCATAACAAGAAGTTTGAAGCTCAAACTAGGAAGAAAACATATCCAGGCTGCAAATAAACAATTAATCAAGAGGTTCCATTCCAATGTCAATGTTTCAGAACAGAAAAGCAATCTGGAAAAAAAAAATTTCTGATGGGTAGTGTTAAAAGGACAGGCTCTAGATTCAAAATGTTGGAGACTATATACAAGATCCATCATTTATTAGCTGGATGACCTTAGGCAACTTAACCTCTCTGTGTTTCAATGTGGGCACCTGGAAAATCAGGGTAACAGTTATGAGAATTAAATGAGAAAAATCCTTAAAAGAGGTTAAGGACAAACCAAATAAACAGGAGTTCACTAACTGTTGTTATTGTTATAAAAATAAGTTATTGTTGGTATAGCTCTTAGAAAAGACAGTTCCAACAGTCAATCTGTAAATGTAGAGGAGTCAAACTATACATCTTTCCCACTTTGGGGGACAAAAATAGCAAAGGCAGAAATACAAACCAAATCTTATGTTAGCAATTGATTATGTTCCTTTACCTTCTTCTCTACTACACATCTTCAAAGAAAAATTTCTTCAATTCAGCAAACATAATCCAATTCACCTGATGATTATTTGAACTTAGATACGAACTGATGACCAAGTATATTTACCCCAATGAATGACTCTTTAACAGAATACTTTCTACCTTGTAGATAAAATATAAATTATGTTACATTTTTAAAGGGCTTAAAGACTTACAATCCAGTTGCTTAACACAGAAAGCGGACAGATGATCAGTGTTGTTCTTGGTCTCTCCTCAACATCAGTTTTCTTTGACCCCTCCACTGCACAAGCTCCTAAAAAAATGAACCACTGATAGAACCTTTAGCTGTTTTTCTGAAATATATATGTCAATAAGGAGATGGCAATAATGTGCCTCCATGAAAAGATAAATTAGGAACAATTAAAATGAAGCAGATGGACTTTTAACAGGGAATAAATTTTACCTCATCACTTAAAAAAACTAAAAATCCACATAGTGATTATGAGAAGAACCAAAGGACTATGACAGAGAGTAGGTCACAAGGAGGAAGTCTCTAATATTTTCTGATAGTCATAGTCATTCATTAAGACGAACATTTGTTTTATGCAGTTTTCTGAATTTGTGTTATATTTAATTTGGTAGCCAGCCAAGATGGCCCTCAATGATCTCTACTTCCTGATATTCACAATCTTGTGTAATCTCCTCCCATACTCCACCAGGACTGGTCTGTGTGACCAACAGAATATAGCAGAGAAGATAGTATGTCACTTCTGAGATAGATTACAAAAGAAGTTTCCGTATTGGGTGTGCAAGCTCACTCTCATACTCATTCTCTCTCTCCAATCTTTCACTCTGGTGGAGCCAGCTGCCACGATGTGAGGCCACTCAGGCAACTTATGGAAGGATGCACATAGTGAGGATCTGAAGACTACAGTTAGCCAGCAAGTAATGAGGTCTGCTGACAACTATGTGAGTGAACTTGGAAATGGATCCTCCCTAAGTCCAATGTTCAGATGACGGCGGCCCCTGAAGAAGAGTTTGACTGCAACCTCGTAAGAGACCATAAGCCATTAAACCATCCAGCTAAGCCACTCCGACTTCCAGCCCTGTCAAAGTGTGTGAGATAATAAATGTCTGATTTTAAATGGCTAAGTTTTAGGATAATTTGTTACACAGTAATAGGTAACTAATATATTACAACAAAAATTCTTAATACTTTTCTGTGGAGCATGTTTAAAAATAGTGATAATAAAGTGTTTTTACAAATTCTTGAAATAAATTCTAGAGATGGTATCCCTTACCAATGGAGTATCTTCCAGTAAACTTAAAATGCAAATTTCTGAGTTTTTAAAAAATTGTATTTTCACACTAATTTCAAAATTAAACTGGAAGGTGAGCAAAGTATCATACTGTATCTACGTATCATTCACAACTTGCTTTTTTCTCTCAGTGCTATCTACAGTAGTCCCTCCTTATCCACTGGGGGTATGTTCCAAGACCCTCAATAGATACTTAAAACCATAAATAGTACCAAACCCTATATATAATGTTTTTTCCCTATATATACCTACAATAAAGTTTAATTTATAAAGTAGGTGCAGTAAGAGATTCGTAACAACAAAGAATAAAACAGAACAATTATAACAATATACAGTTGACCCTTAAACAATATGTTTGAACTATGTGATGCACTTACATGCAAATTTTTGTTAACCAAACGTGGATTAAAAATACAGAATGGGCCGGGCGCGGTGGCTCACGCCTGTAATCCCAGCACTTTGGGAGGCCGAGGCGGGCGGATCACGAGGTCAGGAGCTCGAGACCATCCTGGCTAACACGGTGAAACCCCGTCTCTACTAAAAATACAAAAAATTAGCCGGGGGAGGTGGCGGGCGCCTGTAGTCCCAGCTACTCGGGAGGCTGAGGCAGGAGAATGGCGTGAACCCCAGGGGGCGGAGCCTGCAGTGAGCCGAGATTGCGCCACTGCACTCCAGCCTGGGCGACAGCGAGACTCCGTCTCAAAAAAAAAAAAAAAAAAAAAAAAAAAAATACAGAATGGGCCAGGCATGGTGGCTCATGCCTGTAATCCCAGCACTTTGGAAGACTGAGGCGGGTGGATCATGAGGTCAGGAGATCAAGACCATCTTGGCTAACATGGTGAAACCCGTCTCTATTAAAAATACAAAAAATTAGCCGGGCATGGTGGCAGGCGCCTGTAGTCTCAGCTACTTGGGAGGCTGAGACAGGAGAATTGCTTGAACCCATGAGGTGGAGGTTGCAGTGCGCCGTGATCGCACCACTGCACTCTAGCCTGGGCGACAGAGTGAGACTCCGTCTCAAAACAAACAAACAAACAAACAAAAAAACAGTATCTGCTGATTGCAAAACTCATGTATATGGAAGGCCAACTTTTCATATATACTCGTCCTGCAGGGCAGACTGTGGGACTTGAGTATGCGCACATTTTGGTATACACAGGGGGCCCTGGAACCAAATCCCTGACAAATACTGAGGGATGACTGTACTGTAATAAAACTTATGTGAATGTGGTCATTCTCTGTCTCTCAAAATACCTTATTGTATATAATATTTTAGAACTGAAACTGTAGAACGTGAAACTGCAGATAAAGAACAACTGTGTTTGGGATTTACACTTATTAGTATTTGTAGCTCTAGTGTATTCATTTTAACCAATTCATAGCATCATACTGCAAAGTAGATTACAATTTATTTACCATTCCCCTACTGGACAACATGTACATTATTTCTAATATTCCATTAAAATAATGCTGCAATGAAAACCATTTTTTCATGTCTCCTTATTTATATTTACAGAGTTACAGATGGTCTATATTCAGCTTCATTATATTTTTGTCCAGTTGCTCTCCTTGGTAATTGGCGCTCCCATCAACAATGCACGAATTCCTATTGCTGCACAACTTTGTCAATACTTGGCATTGTGAGATTTTTTAATGTCTGAAAATATGAAGGGTAAGAGCATCCCCCTATTCCTTTATTTTATGTTTTTGAGACATGGTCTCGCTCTGTCACCCAGGCTGGAATGCAGTGGCGCTATTATGGCTCACTGCAGCCTTGACCTCCCAGGCTCAAGTAGCTGGGACTACAGGCATGTGCTACCATGCCTGGCTAATTTTGTGTATTTTTTTGTAGAAACAGGATTTTGCCATGTTGCCCACCCCTGATCTTGAACTCATGGGCCTCGGCCTCCCAAAGTGCTGCAATTTCAGGCATGTGCCACCATGCCTGCTGCCACTATTCCTTTAATTTGCATCTCCCCAATAATTCTGAATCAGCATATTTTTTCCAGTGTTAACTGGTTATTTGGGTTTTCTTTCTATGGACTCCATATGTACATCCTTTGACTATTCTCCTATTGGGTGGTCTTTTTCCAATTGTTTGGAAAGTTCTTACATAGTCTAGAATTGAACCTTTTGTCAGTTACACTTAATACACATTATCTTCTTCAGTTTTATCATTTTTTACTTTGTTTATGGCACCTTTTGATGCATGGAAATTTAAAATGTAGTGGCATTTAATCAATCTTTTCCTTATGACCTTTTGTGTCTTACTAAAGAGATCACTATCTACCACAAGGACAATCAGGATTATGGCTTCTGTCTCCATTCACAGAGTTTTGTTTCTATTCTGCTTCTCTTTCAAAGATATACTTAGTTTGGTTAAAACCAAAATGACACACAGCTGTGACTTTGAAAATGTTCTCTCTTGTATCACAGCTATGCATCTGCAACTGAAAGTGGTTTCTAATGTGTAATTTAATTCTATCTCAACCGAAATTTCCACATTTCTTTAAATTTCTAAAATTAGGGTAAAGAATAATCCACCCAACATGCCTATATTTTCTATTCCTAATTATCTGATTCTTGGACCAAAAGTCGGCTCTTTCTCATGAGTCTATGTTAGCTTCATAAACAAGCCCCTTCAGGTCAATCTTTACTTCATTATCCTCCTTTTTCTTCACATTACTTCTCATTATTTAAAATTATATTGACTTGCTTATTGTATATTTCTCTCATCATTACATCATATGCTATATGAAAACAGATAGCCTGCTATATCCCCAACATGTAAAATAATGGAGACCAAGGGGCAGAGATATAATTTGTCTCAGATCTTCTCAACCTTAGTTCAATCTCTTCCCATCTCAAATATTTAGTCTCTTAAGCAGTGTTGTTTTCCTATGAATTACAAAATATAAAATCATAACAAAGATCACTAACATTTTAAAATGAAAAGCAAATTCTAATACCAAAAAATTAAACCTTTAACTTAAATTAACCAAAATTAAATTAAGCTTTAAAGCAGCCACAAATTGCTTTGTGCCATCACTAGAAGAAATATCTCTGCTATTCAGAGGAGTAAGGGCCCCCATCACATTTTGGCCCTAACTAAAACAAATACAGTAGGAAAATGCACCAAAAGGAAAACAAATTATGAGGTAGCTTTGTTCTTTTAATGGGTTATATACTTTAAAAAATAGTCTCTATTTTCTAAACTTCTTGTAATATGGTTTTATAACTTAAAATTTTAAATTTTTTCATTCAAAAACAGAAAAAAAACCAAAAACTAGAAAACAAGGATATTTACTGACCCTTTTTCAACATTTTCTTTTTTGTTGTAGGAACAGATGAAGTTAATGCACATGCAAATGCCACATCTTCTATAACCTTAGAAGATCCTGCTGATAAAACAACAAAGAATCTTAAATTTTTTTCAAATTATCTCCTGTGCTAGAGTACAGGTACTTTCTAAGGGTAAGAAATAGAATATCATTTTCACCCTCTATTGTAAGAGCTTATATTATTAAGTTAAAATATTTGGTAACCAAAATTACTACCTCTGACACTAAGGATATCTTTTCAACTCAGAGAAACGATGTAGTCATTCATGGTAAGACTTGAGGAGAAGAAATGAAAGTAGGAGCAGTCATATGCAAAGTAATTCGGCTCTCAGGTGGAAGGAGAATTTTTCAAGGAAACAAACAGTTTGATTCCTAATGATAAGGCTGCCAAATTTTCAGATCAGTCAAGATGATCAGTTATTTTCCAAATGCAATACAATTTCTCAACGAATGAGAAATATAGTATGATGTGAATTACAGGAAAATAAAACATATTTTAAAGAAAAAGAAAAAATTTGATTATTTTCACATCTGTATAATAATGTAAACAATAATAGTATTGCCAGGAAGACATTCTCAACCTAATTTTGTAATTACTATTCATACTACACACATAGGTTTTATTGAAGTCATTTTATAGGTAGTAGAAAATTGTTTTAAGTATAGTTTAAATATTATTATCCCTTAGATTTTAATTTGCAACTATTTATTCACTTTTCCTCCTTTACAAAATTAATTTAAAACCCATGGTTAGCTCCATGAAGAGTTCAAATGTAAACATCAGCCAAGTTTAAGAGCTATTACTAAAACATTCCAACCTAGCGAGATACAAATCAATGGAGCTGTACTTTAATAATCTTGAAGTCTAGATTATGGGTATATAGTATACACATACCTTTCGCCCTGCCTTTAGTTTCAGACTGTACATTTTTCAGTTTGCCTAAAAATAAAACAAAAATAAACATAAAAATGGGCAAAACAGGACATTAGAATATAGGACACATTATCAAATCAAATCTATTACATGTTACCTTTCATTTTCTGCGGCAATTCACTTGTTTCAATTTCCTCTGAATCACTGCTTTCTATGTACTGGACAGCAGTTTTTCTTCTAAAATTAAGTATACACAAAGAAATTTTTGGACCAACCCAAAGCAAAATAAGATATACAAACATGTTTAATAAATGCAATAAAAAACTTTTGTCCTACTCATTTATTTTTTGAAAAATTTTTTAAAGATTTTGACAAATGAAAGTCAGATCTGCTAAAAGCATTCTGCTTTCATAACCAGATAGATGCATTAACTATACAAAATGGAGTACCACCGTTATTGTTTTTTGAGACAGGGTCTCACTCTTTTGCCCAGGATGGAGTACAGTGACACAATCAGAAGTCACTGCAACCTCATACTCCTGGGCTCAAGTGATCATCCCGCCTTAGCCTCGGGAGTACCTAGGACTACAGGTGCGTGCCACTACACCCAGCGAATTTCACTATTATTAAAATAAATTTGATAGCCGGGCGTGGTGGTGGGTGCCTGTAGTCCCAGCTACTCGGGAGGCTGAGGCAGGAGAATGACGTGAAGCCAGGAGACGGAGTTTCCAGTGAGCGGAGATTGCGCCACTGCACACCAGCCCGCCTGACAGAGCGACACTCCATCTCAAAAAAATAAAATAAAATAAAATAAAATAAAATAAATTTGAAAAACTAAGTCATTCTAAAAAATTAAAAATTTCAATACCAGGTTTAATATTTGGTAGTTCAATTAAAGCATATAAAACTGGAACAAAAAAGAATTGGCTCGTGGCCAGGCACGGTGGCTCATGTCTGCAATCCCAGCACTTTGGGAGGCGGAGGTGGGCAGATCACCTGAGGTCAGGAGTTTGAGACCAGACTGGCTAACATGGTGAAACCCCGTTTCTACTAAAAATACAAAAACTAGCCAGGTGTGGTGGTGCGTGCCTGTAGTTCTAGCTGCTCAGGAGGCTGAGGCAGGAGAATTGCTTGAACCCGGGAGGCAGAGGTTGCAGTGAGCCGAGATCATGCCATTGCACTCCAGCCTGGGCGACAGGAGCAAAACTCTGTCTCAAAAAAAAAAAAAAAGAAAAGAAAAGAAAAAAGAATTGGCTCTTATCAAAGAAAATACTTCTAACACAATGAAATAAGCAGCCAAAAGGCAAAAATGTAATTCTTTCACAATAGGAAATTTCATAAATTTTGTGTAGAAAGTTTAACAGTGATTAAGTGCCTAAGAGCAATAAATTCTGAAGTCAGACTGCCTAGCTTTAAATCCTCATTCCACCAGTAATTTGTTATGTGATTTTAAGTAAATTACCTAATATTCTTCAATGCCTGTTTCCTCATAAGAAAAATAGAAATAAAAATATAATCCTCATAGAATAAAATGTTACTACATGCAAAAGCCCCTAAAAGAGTGCCTGTTACACAATAACATAACTATTAGCTATAACATGTGTGTCAGCTGTTGTTAAGTTTTTCTCATGTCCTCACCATTATTATTTCTATGTCCTTTAATCTGATCTTGTCCAATTAACAGTGTTGTGTTACCCAGGTTTATGATAAGTTCAAAGTTGTAACATTTGTCATTTATCTAAATCTGAAGCAATTAGATTTAGATAACACTGATGAGTGCTGGCTTTGTGCTTAGTTCAGACAGCTATTAATGACAGAACAATTAACATAGCCAGTTTCAAAACCTTTGTTGATGAAATAGCTAGCAGAGACAAATTTGCGATGACTTGTGTAGATACTGATGGTAGACAATACAACAAAAGCCCAATTTTTAGACCTACTTCAGAAGATAAATGAAGTTTGTAAAGTTAACAGATTCAAGACAAGATCAGAGGGGAATTACATCTTTTATTCAAATTCTCCCTCTAGTCTATGTTAATATAATACTGTCCACAAATAACTTTATCATGTCTTATTTCCACTACATGTGAAGAACTGAAACGATCAAGAATGCTTTTGTCAAGTTATCTAATAAAATATTCTTCAGTTTTCATCCCCTTAAATCCATAAAGAAAACTTCTAAAATCTCAAAAAAAAGCAAAAATCCCAAGATCTAGATCTTAGTTCCTTGACAAAATAGAAAAAAAGTAGTAGAAAGATGAGTGATTATTAAAATTTACCAATTCATTTCTTTTATAGGTCAGTATCATTCTTCTTCATCTGTAAAATGAGAATACTCTATCTGCCTAAGTCATAGTGATCTTGGTAGTTTCAAATAAAAGAATGTATTTGAAAGAACTACTTAACAAATATAAGGGTCATGGTCATCTCTATCTCTCTCTTTTTCTTTTTTTTTTGAGACGGAGTCTCACTCTGTCACCCAGGCTGCAGTGCAGTGGTGCGATCTTAACTCACTGCAAGCTCTGCCTCCCGGGTTCACGCCATTCTCCTGCCTCAGCCTCCTGGGTAACTGGGACTACAGGCGCCCACGACCACGCCTGGCTAATTTTTGTCTATTTTTAGTAGAGACGGGGTTTCACTGTGTTAGCCAGGATGGTCTCAATCTCCTGACCTCATGATCCGCCCGCCTCGGCCTCCCAAAGTGCTGGGATTACAGGTGTGAGCCACCGTGCCCAGCCTCTATCTCTTTTACACATAAGAAAACAGAGTCTAAATAAACATATGACATAATCAAACCATAATAGTTTACCTTTTGGGGCGGGAGCTAGACAATTCTGACATGCGAAACTTACTCTTCTCCTTGATATCTGAAATACTGGGTTGTTCACTACATCTAGATGCGTCTATTTCAAAGAAAAATGCAAATATAAAGTATTAGTAAGGTGTCTTAGAAACTAGTATTATCCCTCTTAAAACCTTGGTTTTCTAATTACTGATTTTCAGTTTTCTTAAGATCTTCATTCCTTTCATTACTCTATTTTCTCTACTTTTTTCCTAATCTAGTATTTCCTCATTTCTAATTAGAAAGTACCTTCAAATTTTTATGACCCAGTCTTTTCTTTGTACTCATCCAGCCCATCCCCACACTAGCTGAATGTCTTGCTGTACCAAGGCAGCTAAGAGCTATTGGAAAAAAAAATCAACAGAACCACAAATAGGTGCTGTTATAAATTTACATGTTCAAATCTCAGATGTCACCTTGTGTCACTTGGTAACTCTTTTTACTAAACACTGTTCGGCTCCCCTACCCATTTATCAGAATGATCCATACCAGAATGATCCATACTACATTGACCCCTTTGCCTAGATTATAACTCCTTTTATTCCAAGATGACCTATTTCACTTTACAAAGAAAATGAGAAGGTATCTTCCATAAAAATCTCAATTTTCCTATCTTTTAATCCACTCATTTATCTATACTTTCCTTCAACCTTACTTCTTTCCTTCTACTGCTAACTCATCTACCTAACTCATCTAGGTAGATGAGTTAGACCACAGAACAAAATCAAAAACAAAAAAAACCTCATCTTACCCTAACTCGCCACCTTTCTATTTCTTTCCTGTTCCAAACTTAAGTAATAGCACCAATTGTTATTTACAATTTTTCACCTACTACTCTTAAAATATTTTCAGTCTGCTCTAATCTATCTTTAGAAATAAGCTTTATGAGGGTCATTTAAGTAAAATCCACAGATCTCTTTCCATTTCTCCTATGACTTCAGAATTTGGCTCTAAAGCTAGCTTTCTAGCATTATCTGCTGTTATCCATGCATATTACATTTTAAATACAACAAAATTCACTGAGGTCCCAGAATAAAACATGCTCTTTTTAAAGTACCCTTTCATGAGATTTTTTTTCACAACCCAAAATGCTCTTCCCCAGTTCTCTAAATGTTATACTACCCAATTCAATCATCTCCTTCATGAAACCTTTCCTATCAGTACTCAGGGAAGACCTTTTAAAAAAGAGATCCTAAATTTTTGTACAGTACAAAGCCAAAACTAGAATTACAATATTAGGCTGAAAAAACGCAAATCAAATATTGGGTCATATTCAAATTAAAGTTTACCAGATCAAATATTGGATCATTTCAAAATTAGCATTTACCTTTGCTTAGTCCATCTGCCTTTTCACTGGTATTGTTTCCTCCAAGTTTCATAGAGTCATCGTTAACATTATATTCCTGGGTAAATAGGCATATTTCTTAAACAGTACTGCTATCAGTTTTAAATAACTTTAAATGCATCCTGTTTTATATTGCTTTACTTTGCATAATAAAAACGACTTAAATTGCTACCCAATTCTGGAGCAACTGAAGGGGAGGGTGAATAAGTGAAGAGGAAAATATACAAACTGATTTAAAATTTTTTCACGGGTTATCTCAAAAAAAAAAAAATAAATAAAACTACTTGGCCTTCACCTTTTCGAAAGGAATACCGAAAGCAAATCTCAATTATAAATGACACATTATTGTGAGAAAAATTCAAGAACTGGGATTTACTTTATAATTAAGAATTCTCAGACTTCAAACTTTTCAAACCAATGTTCCATGTTCAGATCTTTAATGAGGCTGCCATTGTCATCCTCTCTTTCTCTAGAATTTGCAGGGCAAATAACTCTAATATATAATAGTACAGGTCCCAGAGTGTCCTCTCTTCTTACTCCATGGGGTATTTTCCTGCTAGCCCATTTTCTTTTCTTTTCCAATGTACCTTTGTTTCCAAAGGCACCAATGTACATGAATTGAAAACAATTTTATAAAATTTGAATTGTAAGCACTTAAAAAATCCCCCCTTAGAGTTAAGTCTTACTAAAAATGTGGTTGAAAAGGTTCATCCTCTTTAAAGGTACCAATCAAAAAAAACTAAAAATCTGCCGGGCGCAGTGGCTCATGCCAGCACTTTGGGAGACCGAGGCGGGCGGATCACCTAAGATCAGGAGCTCGAGACTAGCCTGGCCAACACAGCAAAACCCTGTCTCTACTAAATAGACACAGATTAGCCAGGCATGGTGGCGGGCACCTGTAATCCCAGCTACTTGGGAGGCTGAGGCAGGAGAATTGCTTGAACTGAGGAGGTGGAGGTTGTAGTGAGCCAAGGTTGCGCCACTGCACTCCCTCTGTCTCAAAAAATAAAATTAAATTAATTTAAAATCCCAAATACAATATTTTTAGAGATACGTAACTAGAAGAGTTACTTTAGACAGTTAATGTCTAAGCATTAGCTCCAAGAAAGAGATGGTAAAAATGCTTTTCATCAAACATCCTATCAAGTCTACAATAATTACTATAACCATTTATATTAAACAGTATGCAAAAAAACTAAATGTTTATTCAAACATAAAGGATGTCCTTTGCATTCATCTTCTTTTTTTTTTTTCTGAGACAGAGTTTCACTCTTGTTGCCCAGGCTGGAGTGCAACGGCACAATCTCGGCTCATTGAAACCTCTACCTCCTGAGTTCAAGTGATTCTCCTGCCTCAGCCTCCCAAGTAACTGAGATTACAGGTATGCGCCACCACACCCAGCTAATTTTGTATTTTCAGTAGAGACAGGGCTTCATCATGTTGGTCAGACTGGTCTTGAACTCCTAACCTCAGGTGATCTGCCCGCCTCAGCCTCCCAAAGTGCTGGGATTACAGGAATGAGTCACTATGCCCAGCTTTGCATTATTCTTTATATTAAAATATTTTGCTCAGCAAACTTTTTCTCTATAAAGTTCAAAGATAAACTTTTTATCAAGTCCAAGCTGGATGAAATAATAGTATGTTAGAATCTAGGGGAATTTAAATCAATATTTCAGTCTACTTATGTTTGGAATATCTAAACATACTTGAAAGAGTGACAATTTTTTTTTTTTTTTTAATAAATCCCTGGCTGGAAATCACATCTTCAGCTGCCATTTCAATTAATGTAGCAACCCAAATATTCTAAAACCTTTCTACTATAAAACACACTTTAAATATATAACTTATCTTGGGGAAAAATAAGAGAAATCCTTATTGTTAATTGATAATTTCTCAATTAATAATTGAGACTAAAGCAGTAAGTAGTCTTATGTGCTTCTATCAAATCTGGTAACCTAAAACTTCAGTTTCAATAACCAAATGTAGGAAGAACAAGACATAAAACATTAGGTTGCTCAGGGTGAGGAATTGAACCTGAGACTTCAACAGGTTTAACTCTCAATAAAAGTAGAAAGTAGGAAGTAAAACTAAGTGCAGACATTAATAAAATAAAATCTCAATAGCACTGACAGGAAACTGATGTACTGCCTTCTCTGAAAACTAAAAACTAGGAAGAATGGTAATTCAGAAGAGTTCAGAAAAGAAGTATATTGCATACATCTTTTTGCTATTTCCTTCTATTTAAGTTACTTGAATTTTCAGGTAAGAAAAGAAGTAACTGTTCCTCTCTAGTAACATTTATTTTTCTCACTAAACTAATTTTTAATTCTTAGAAACCAAATATAAATGTATGTTTATATTATATACATATATATATGTATATATATACACACACACACACAAATTTTCAAGAAAAGTCACCCTTATTCTCATCACTAGGACATAAGTTATTATTAACATTTTGGTACAGATAGTGTAGTGAATGGACTTAAAACACACATGAATATATTATTTACAAAGTGAGGAACCAAACTCCACACAAAGATTTGTACCTGTCATTTTTTAACTAAAAAGAATCATGAAAGTGATTATTCATCAAAAATAATACTTAATGGTTACATAATAGTAAGTTTTATGGCTATATCGTTTAACTGTTCCCTTGTCAAAAGATGTTTCAAATTGTCCACCTTTATTTTATTTTTATTTGTTTTAGAGACAGGGTCTCACAGTGTCACTGAAGGTGGAGTGCAATAGTGCAATCATAGCTGACCATAGGCTCAAACTCCTGGGCTCCAGCAATCCTCCTGCTTCAGCCTCCCAAGTAGGTGGAACTACAGGTGCCAGTCACTATGCCCAGCCTTTAAAACAATGTTGAGGGAAAAAAAAATAATAATAATAAAAAAAAACCTGTATTTTCTTTGGAAAAAATGAATTTCTGGTAACTCCTTTCAGATAGTTTCTTAGAAATGGCATTATTGACTGGCAAAATTGTTCAAAGATTATAAACAATTTTAAGACTCCTGATACAAATTATCAATTGTTCTCAAGAATGTGATACCTGCTGGTGGCTCACACCTATAGCCCCAGCACTTTGGGAGGCTGAGGCAGGTAGATGGCTTGAGCTCATGAGTTCGAGACCAGCCTGGACAACATGGCGAAATCCCACGACTTGAGCCTGGGAAGCAGAGGTTACAGTGAGCTGAGATTGCGCCACTGCACTCCAGCCTGGGCAACAGAGCCACACCTTGTCTGAAAACGTAAAAAGAATGTGACACGAACTTTCATTCTTATCAGCAACACATAAAAGACAGAGAGACCATTCATCGCATTTCTGAAAACACAATTTCTTGGTAGTTTTTTTTAATGATGAAATTTAAAGATTTCACAATAAACTGGAGGTTTCACATAAAGCGCACTTACTACTACTTTACCTTCTTCAGTAGATTCTTTTTAACTCTTTCAATAGGAAGAGGTCTGCCATCATGGAAGTTGGTAAGGATTACTGCAATGGCCGTAAGAGTTTTACCCTTAAAAATGTTTTAAAAAGATAAATGGTCAGATTGTGAAACCCAGTTCACCAGAAAAACGTTCCCATTTTAAAATCAAGTAATCGAATATCAAATATCATTCAAGGTCACAAAAGTGTACTGTATATTAATGAAAAATGAGTATTTCATTTAGTTAGAAAATGCTTTCCCCCACTGCATTATTAGGGAATTATTAAATGATTTACACTATAAAATACTACAAGTATCTCTGAGAAGTGTCATTTTATTGAATGACTGCTATTCTACAATTCTACATTTAATCCTGAACTCTTGATTTTTATCATGCAACTATTTATAACTACTCATTTGCCATGAAGTTCGGAGCTAAAGTGATTAGTAATTCCAGTATGCATATAATCATTTTATTAAAATTTGACTTAAAGATAATACCAAGCTTAAAAGTCATAACTTCTCCATAAAGCATAAAAGATATATTTCTTATGCATTTTTCTTAAGTGGAAGTATGTAATTTTTCAATATTTACTGCAGCTTAATTCATAGTTGGCAATACATTAGTAAATCTCTGGCAATTTTAAAGCAGTGTAAATAACAGCAGTTTTCAAAGTGTGGTCCACAGGCCACTGGGGATGGGGAGGGTTTCCCAGGAGCCCTTCACGAAAATGCAAAGTCAAAACTGTTTTTATAATACTACTAAGACAGACCTTACTCTGTTAACATCTGCACTAATCCTACAAAAAGCCCAAATAGCAATGGTCAAAAAAGTGCCTCAGCATAAAACAAAGCAGTTGGCACTAAGGTATATTAGTACTAGTCATCATATTCTTAACTGCCACATACAGTTAAAAAAAAAAGTTTTCCTTAAGAATGTTCTTGGCTGGGCACAGTGGCTCAGGCCTGTAATCCCAGCACTTTGGGAGGCCGAAGCAGGTGGATCACCTGAGGTAGGAGTTCAAGACCAGCCTGGACCAACACGGTGAAACCCCGTCTCTACTAAATACAAAAAATTAGCTAGGTGTGGTGGTGCATGCCTGTAATCCCAGCTACTTGGGAGGCTAAGGAAGGAGAATCACTTGAACCTGGGAGGCGGAGGGTGCAGTGAGCCAAGACTGAACCATTACTCCAGCCTGGGCAACAAGAGTGAAACTCCATCTCAAGAAAAAAAAAAAAAAAGAAGAAGAATGTTCTTGACGAAGCAGTACACATTAATTTTATTAAGTCTCATTACTTCAGTACAAATCTTTTTAATATTCTGTGTAGTGAAATGGAAACTACATATTAACTACTTCTGTTGCATATCAAACTATGAGGGTTAGCTAGAGAAAAATCACTCAAGATGGGAGTTATAAGCTCAACTAGTCACTTTTTTCATGCGACACCATTTTTACTTGAATGACAACTATCAATCACGACTGAGTGTCTGAAAGATACTTTCTAGAAAATGAACAAAGTGAGGCTGTCATCTACAAAGGAAACAACTGAGCTTGTCAATGATAAAATGTGAGTTTTCAATAGAAAATTAGAATGTTGGAAAAGTTGTGTGTGACACTATGAACATAGTGCCTTCCCAAAATGTAAATGATTTTCTAATAACATCAGTGGTAATATTAATGAATGTAAGTTTTGGATATTGCATATGAAATACATCAACATTTAGTAGGTCTGCCCAACTCAATGAACCAACATTTTCTAAATGAGCAATGCCTGGTGTTATAAAATCATACATGGGTAAAATATTCATTCAATGAGCAAGATACACAAATAGATTTTAACAAAACAGGGTATAAAAAGCTCACTGATATGATTTAGCGTTCCATATTACAACAATTAACCTTTAATAAACTAATATTTATTGAATTTTGATGCAGTATATCAAAGAAATCTGCAATTATCTAAAAAGCTATTACAATACTCCTCTCTTTACAGCAACATACCGTCGTAAGGACAAATTTTCTTCATATACTTCAACCAAAACAACCTAACAGAACAGACTGAATGAAGAAGCAGGTGAGAATTCAGCTGCCATCTATTCGGCCAAACACAGAGATGTGCAAAAATGTGACAATGCCAGTTGTTGCAACAAAAATGTTAATGTTTTGGCATAGTTATTTTTCTTTTAAAAATATGCTATTTATGTTAACAAGCAATGAGTTTGTACTGCTATCTTTAGCTACCACTGCCTAATACTATAACTACTGATAACAGCACACAAAAGCAAAAGCTCTTTGAAATCAGTAATTTTTATGAGTAGAAAGGGTTACTGAGACTGAAAAATATAAAAACTGCTAGTGTAAGGACACATAAGTATCTATTTAATACTCTGCATAACACAATATTTGTGATGGAATACAATTTCACATAACATTGTTTTGTCTTTACTTTTTAAAAGAAAACCTATGAAAGACAGGTCACCCTGAATTTCAAAGAGCAAAGAAAATTGAGAAACATGGCCAGGCAGGGTGGCTCACATCTGTAACCCCAGCACTTTGGGAGGCCAAGGCGGGCGGATCACTTGAAGTCAGGAGTTCAAAACCAGCCTGGCCAACGTGGTAAAACCCTGTCTCTACTAAAAATACAAAAATTAGCTGGGCATGGTGGCACATGCCTGTAATCCCAGCTATTTGGAAGTCTGAGACAGGAGAACTGCTTGAACCTGGGAGGCGGAGGCTGCAGTGAGCCAAGATCGCGTCACTGCACTCCAGCCTGGGTGACAGAGCAAGACTCCATCTCAAAAAAAAAAAAAAGAAAACTGAGGAACACATCTTTATACCACTATTTTAACTAAAAACTACAGGAAAAACTGTGTTCTACAAAGATAGTAAGATCTAGTCCCAAACTGGTACCAACATATTCCTATCTCTTTTTACTTCAAAATTACTTTCTAGAAAATCATAATCACAAAATTAGATTTTATTAACTAAAGAAAAAAATAATTACCAAACCCATATCATCAGCTAAAATTCCTCCATGGACATTTTCTGGTCGGTCCTTCTCAGAAAAATTTGTTATTGTGTTATAGTATAAGTCATTTCGCTGTTCCCAGAATGGTGGAAGTTCTTTGCTATTTTCCCGTGACACCATCCAAGCTAGAGCTTGTTTTTGATGTGGAAGCAGTGGTGTTTCAATAGCCTATAAATAAAAAGTCATAAAGCGAAATACATTAAGCCATTCCTTTTTCACATGCAGATCCTGTGATTAAACAAAAAGTAGATTCTAAGTATATTTAAACATTCTGAGTAGTCTTAAATAAAAAATATTGGTTCAATACCTCAGCTGGTTCCATTTCATGGGTTTTATCATCTTCTTTTAAATCTTCAAACAATTTGTCAAATTCTGTTTTAAGCTACAATAAACAGCAACAAGAAACAATGTAAAACAAACTAATTAAAATAATACTTGCATTTAAGTCAGATTTGAAATCATTTAATTAACTGGCGTTAATGTCAAACGGGCCAGGAGTGGTGGCTCATGCCAATAATCTCAGCACTTTGGGAGACCAAGGTGGGAGGATCACTTGAGCTCAGGAGTTTGAGACCAGCCTGGATAACATAGTGAGAGATCCCATCTCTACAAAAAAATTTTTAAAAAATTAGCCAGGCATGGGGGTGCATGCCTGTAGTTCTGGCTCCTAGGGATGCTGAGATGGGAGGATCACTTCAGCCTAGTAGGTAGAGGATAGAGTGAACCATGATTATGCCACTGCACTCCAGCCTGGGCAAGAAAGTGAGACCCTGTCCCAAAAAATTAAGAAATTGAAATTAAATTAAATTTAAAAACCACAAACTAGTCAAACGCCAAAAAGGCACATAAATCAACTCTAGAATTACACTACTCACTGAAGAGCGAATGAACAGGTGCTTTAGTTGTTAGGAGGTAAAAGAATATAAAAGAATTTTAAGTCCCGAGTTTCAGTCACAGTTTTATCACAAATAAGCTTATATGTAAGTTTCAGCAAGACTTGACCTTTATGGCCCCATGTCTTATTCCTATAAAATGAAAGGGATGAACTAAATTTAGATTGTCTCTAAGGTTCCTTCTGCCATTAAAATTCTGTGATGCTATCAGTTGTATTCAAAATATTTTCTCAGTCCTACCAGGTCAATGACATTCCATTTATTATTACTGCAATAAGGAACTTGCCATGCACTATAGGATACTTTTATTATTATGCTAACTTAATTGACTATTTAAACTAGGTTAGTCCAATTTTATATCAACATATATGTGATACAGATATTTTTGAAAATTAACACATGAACACAGCAGCAGCTCAGAAGAAATCAGGCCAGGTCTAAAAAATCAGAAGTAACCGGGGGCTTATCTACCAGAAACAAGCTCAAGTCCTTCTAACAATAAGCAGGGTAAATATGGTAACTACAATTAGTAGATAAAAGGACTAACACTGGTAGATACAAACATCAAAAAAGTTTTAATGTTATTTTTAAATTGATCTGCATTAATTACTTTATATACTTTTTTTTCAAAGAAATTCAGCATAACTCATCCTAAATTACAAATTAGACAATGTGAAGAATTTGGAGTTAAATCTTTAGCACTGCATTTGCAAAATTACTGAAAGGAGTTAAGTCTCAGCTTCAATTTTTTTCTTAAAATTACTACTTGAACATTTAAAACATTTCAGATACAAAAATATGCCGTGCATAAACAGGAACGTGTGTGTTTTGTATGTTGGGTACAAATGTTCACGTATGGATTTATTCCTTATCAGTACTTTTTATATAAAATGTTAACATATATATATTCTATTTATTCTATAACATGTTTCATTATAACTTAATATATTTGAAGACCACAAATACCCACACGTACATATTCATCCTGTTCTTTTAAATACAAACCTGCAACATTTAAAATTCACTTTTAGATTACAAAATAAAAGAGAAGCACACCTGTTCAGTTGTCATCTGTACTGCAGCATGCACTGGCATACTATAGCTTGGTCCAGCTCTTCCAGAGCCCCAACCACTTTCCAAATTGAATCCTAAAGCTATAATTTACAAAATAAAAAGAATAAAGCCATCAAATAAAGTAGGTTTTTATCTTTTATTAAGTAGCTTTTAAAATATGCATTAACAGGGCTGGGTGCTGTGGCTCATGCCTGTAACCCAAGCACTTTGGGAGGCCAAGGCAGGTGGTTTGCCTGAGTCCAGTAGTTTGAGACTAGCCTGGGCAACATGGTGAGATTCTGTCTCTACAAAAAATACAAAAATTAGCAGAGCGTGATGGTGTGCGCCTGTAGTCCCAGCTACTCAGGAGGCTCAGGTGGAAGGACTGCTGGAGCCCAGGAGGTCAAGGTTGCACTCAGCCACTGATCGTGGCCACTGTACTCTAGCCTGGGTGACAGAGCAAGACTCTGTCTCAAAATATATACACAAATAAATAAATAAAACGTGCATAACAAACTGCATTAAAAGCCTTGTATTTTAGAGGTATTTTAAAAGCTAAATACTAAATCACTAAAAAAACAAGTAATTCCACATTATTTGAACAAACTCTTGCCAAGCAATCCTTTTCATTCGCTATCAGAAGATTATTTTTGCCTAAAATTTATCAAAAAGAATGTTTAAAGTCAGGGGTTTCCAGATGTTACCATTAGGGAAAATTAGGGGAGGGTATATATGAGACTTCATTGCATATATACTTTTTCTTTAATTTTTTTAATATCCCCTCACTCTTACTGTGTATATTTTTATGTGTGAATCTATTTCAATAGAGGCAAAAGGAAAAATCAGAGATTTCCTCAAAAAGACTCCTGAAAAAAAGTTGTACCTTGGAGCCTTGAGCACAAATTAGCCAACAAACTCCAAGAGAGAATAAATGTTTCATAATCCCTGCATCTTACAATATCAGAATAATATTAAGTGAAACCCTAAACTTACTTTTTGGTGCAGGACCCAATTTAAATCCATGTTTCTTCAACTGATCTGAAACCGCTTTTCTATTTTCTTCTTTTCCCCAAAAAGTCATATGCAGAGGCATGGTAAAAGCATTGTTTGCACCAAAAGGAACTACCCTATTATATTTGGGAGAAAAAGAAAGGGAAATCAGAAGCATTACTTTTTATCCCCACTAAGAATTAGTTCAATATTTTAAGTGTATCATTTACATTTTACATTGAAGTAAAGTAATAAGGAACTAGTTGGGCAGACTTGAAAGAAAAAAAGGAAAAGAAATAGAACCATAAACAATCAGAAGGGTGATTTTTAGAAACAGAGTGCCAGAAAAAATTGAGAAAATGGAATAAAGCAGTTTTAAAAATGCAAGGATGGCCTGTAAACAAGATTGTAATATAAGTAAAATAAGTTAAATCAAAGGGTAGAGTTTGGCTAACGGAACCACTGAGGGTAGTAACTCATTCTGCTTGGAAAATGGGAAATGCAAGAACTTGTGATTCACTAAGTTATTCTCAATAACTGAAAAACCTGATAAACTGAAAAAGGAGAAAACAAAGTGAGACATTATGAGCATTTATTTTCTCTTCAAACTCACCTAGGATTATATGAATATCCTAAAAATTAGAATTAGAATATCAAGATCCTAAATATTCCAGATACTTAAATTGAGATCACAAGTACAAATGCCTAAAAGAGAAAAGGTAACTGAAAGATTGAAAGAGTTTAGAAAAAGAAAAAAGAAACAGGTGATAAAACTGGGAGAGCATATGCCCTAGCTAAAGGGAGAGTTCCAGTCAACTATTGTCATATGGAAGTGACAACTCATCCTGCATTGCCAGATTTCCCACTTGTCAAGAGAAAAATAAGTTTTTTGTATTTAAGAAAATAAATTAATATGTATAAAATGCGGACTTAGCTATTTCAATAATTAGTACTGAACGAAAAAATGTCTAAAACACTGCAGGGCAAAATGAAATTCACCTACATCATATCACAGAATACCAGTTTATAACCTCTGATATAAACAAACACTTCCAGGCTGGGCACGGTGGCTCACGCCTGTAATCCCAGCATTTTGGGAGGCCGAGGCGGGCAGATCACCTGAGGTCAGGAGTTCGAGACAGCCTGGCCAACATGGCAAATCTCTGTCTCTACTAAAAAATACAAAAATTAATTGGGCATGGTGGCAGGCACCTGTAGCTACTCAGGAGGCTAAGGCAGGGAGAGTTGCTTGAACCCTGGAGGCGGAGGTTGCAGTCAGCCGAGATCACACAACTGCACTGCAGCCTGGGCAACAGAGTGAGACTTCGTCTCAAAATAAATAAATAAATAAATAAACAAATAAACACTTCCAAATTCCTAAACCTAGGTACCAAAAGGTTTGGAGAAATGGAATGTACTTCCTAATATTTGAACCAAGGTCTATTTTCTCCATGGTAATAATTCCATAGGAAAATGAGAGGACAATTGTTTGATGGCTGGGGTAGTAGAAGTATGTAAAAGGAGAAATAAAACATTTATTTAACACGTACCAAAAGTACAGTGATAGAAATTGTTAGCATACCTTTATAGGCTCTAACAAGAAGCCCTAACAAGTTCAAAGATGACTATAATTCACAATTATTAAAACTAAATTCTGAAAGTACATTACCCTTCAATTTGTGCCAATTTGTTGTCCATGATATAGGCCAAAGCACCTGCAAGCTCTTTCTTTAAATGGCCAACTTGATTTCCATTCACATTGTTTACTTTAATTGCATTCTTATCATAAGGGTTATTAGGATCTCGTTGTAATGCAACCATTTCATTATTATTAACCTAATAAAAATGATAAACAGATAATATTACATTATAAATAATAGACAATAACTTTGTTATACTTTATCTGGGATTTCCATTCATTTTTTAATGCTACTGCTAAACACTGCACATAAGAAAAATATATTTTCTAGACACAAACTACAGAAATATTAATATATATTATTATGACTCCTTAATATTATTTTTCTAATCTATATTCATTAGGAAGTTAACAAATCCTTAATGTCTTAAAAAATAGTCAAATGTAAACTAGCAAATTCAAATTATCTAAAATTTTCAACATCATAACTTCTGAAAAATAGCCAACCCTTATTGAGCGCTTACTATGTGCCAAGCATTGGTCTAAGTACATTGCACAGACTGACTTTTTAAATCCTCACAGCTCTATTGGGAGGTACTATCATTATTCCCATTTTACAAATGAAGAAACTGAAGCACAGAAAAGTAACTTGCCCAAGGTCACAAAGCTAAAAGGTAGCAGAGCTAGGATCTGAACCCACACAGGGTGGTTCCTGAGCCTCAATTCTCCAGAATATAAAAGTCAGGGAATAAGGCATTTATAAGTCAGGATGGAACTAGGTAAGAAAAATATATCCAGCCTTCAACTCATGCCATTCTGATTCTACTTTATTAAAAACTGTATGATTTAACTTAAATATTATGATGTATATTTTTAAAAACTGAAGGAGGGTAACACAATAAAGAATGGTAGAATGAGGACTTTCAAAAATTCCTCAATAAAGGCAACAAAAAAACTAGATAAATTATTTGTCAGAATCAAATGTTTCAGAACACTGAGAACTAAATCAAAGGCTTGCAGAAATCTGGGTAACATTTATTCAAGAATAAAAAGAATAAACAGCTGAATATCAGTACTTCAGTCCCATCCCCAGCAATCCTGTAGCCTTTAAAAATAGCTCACGGCCAGGCACAGTAGCTCACGCCCCCAGCACTTTGGGAGGCCGAGGTGGGAAGATCACGAGGTCAAGAGATCAAGACCATCCTAGCCAACATGGTGAGACCCCCGTCTCTACTAAAAATACAAAAATTAGCTGGGTGTGGTGGCACGCGCCTGTAGTCCTAGCTACTCGGGAGGCTGAGGCAGGAGAACCACTTGAACCCGGCAGGCAGAGGTTGCAGTGAGCCAAGATAGTGCCCCTGCACTCCAGCCTGGTGACAGAGCGAGACTTCATCTCAAAATAAATAAATAAATAAATAAATAAATAAATAAATAAATAAATAAAAATAATAGCTTGTTGGGATCCTAGGTAAAGCCTGGCAGTCACCAGAAAAAAAGAGAATGGAGTTACAGTTCTTTCAGAGATTCATTCCCAAAGAACTGTTATTCTCCTGAAGTTCCCCGGAAGACCCCACTTGCAAGGCTGACTGTATTTAACCTCTGAGCTCACCAAGTACAAAAAAACCTCCCTTGGGCGGATGTTTGTCAAAACAATTTTACAGGAAAGTGTTTTAACTTCATGGCTACCTGAGGCAGTGGATAACAGCTGAAGCAAAAAAACAAAAAGGCTTATAAAGAAGAGCTAGGGAATGAGATGTCTGTGAGGGCTTTGAAAAGCTCCAGTGTATTTCTGGATATCTAGAAGGCCGTAAGCAAGCACAGGGCTGGTATGCATGACCAGGGCTGTGCACATTCTCAAGAAAGACCTGAGAAGGCCCTAAACGCTCACCTTTGCCTGAACTTGAGCATTTAAACAAGCCAGAAGTGAAAGCTAAAGCAGAGTTGTCAGGGGCCTTAGAGTGTTGAAGGAATGCCCTAACATACAGAAGTTCTCAGCAAAGAATGTACGATTTATTAGTTCCAGCACAATCATCAGCTGACCGCTAAGCTAACCAAGTACAGACTTCAGTGACCACACACGATAAAGGATAGACATCACAGAATTAATTCAGGAAAGTCACTAACAAACACACACTAATTACAAAACTCAGCAACAAACCACCCTAGAAGCCTAACAAACACACACTAATTACAAAACTCAGCAACAACAAACCACCCTGATTTCCAGAGCTGCCACATTATTTAAAATGTCAATTTTTCAAGAAAAAAAGTACAAGACATGCAAAAAAAATAAGAAAGTATGGTCTATACACAGGGAAAAAAAGCAATCAATGTCAACTGTCCCCAAGAAAGTATAGATGTTTGACATAGTAGAAAAAGAATTTAAGTCAGTTATTTTAAATATGTTCAAAGGGGCTGGGCATGGTGGCTCACACTTGTAATCCCAGCACTTTAGGAGGCTGAAGTGTGAGGATCTCTTGAGGCCAGGAATTTGAGACCAGCCTGGGAAACATAGCAAGACCCCATTTCTACAAAATAAAAATAGAAAAATTAGCCAGGTATGGTGGTACATGCCTGTAGTCCCAGCTATTCAGGAGTCTGAGGTGGGAGGACTGCTTGAATGCAGGAGTTCAAGGTTACAGTGAGCTATGATCACGCCACTGCACTCCAGCCTGGGTAATAGAGCAAGAACCTATCTCTAAAAAATTAAAAAGTTCAAAGACCTGGCCGGGCACAGTGGCTCACGCCTGTAATCCCAGCACTTTGGGAGGCCGAGGTGGGCGGATCACGAGGTCAGGAGATCGAGACCATCCTGGCTAACACAGTGAAACCCCGTCTCTACTAAAAATACAAAAAATTAGCCGGGCGAGGTGGCGGGTGCCTGTAGTCCCAGTTACTCGGGAAGCTGACACAGGAGAATGATGTGAACCTGGGAGGCAGAGCTTGCAGTGAGCCGAGATCGTGCCACTGCACTCCAGCCTGGGCGACAAAGCAAGACTCCGTCTCAAAAAAAAAAAAAAATAAGTTCAAAGACCTAAAGCAAATCATTTCTTTCGACATGAAAACGCATGTCTAAAAGCATGGAGACGATGTCTCACCAAACAGCAATTCTAGAGTCAAAAGGTACAATAACTGAAGAAAAAATTCACCAGAGAGACTCAACAGCAAATTTGAGCAGGCATAAGAAAAATCAGCGAAGCTGAAGATAGGTCAATTGAGATTATACAATCTAAGGAACAAAAAAATGACACACAACAGAGCCTCAGAAACTTGTAATATCAAGCATACCAACACACATACATAAGAGTACCATAAGGAGAAAAGAGAAAGGGGCAGAAAAAATATTTAAAGAAATAACAGCCAAAACCTTCCCAATTCGATGGAAACCACTACTCTACACATATAAGAAGCTCAACAACTCCAACTAAAATAAACTCAAAGAGATCCACACCTGGTCACATCATAATCAAACTGTCAAAAGAAGTTTGAGACCAGCCTGGGCAAAAGGGTAACGACAGTTTCTAAAAAAAAAAAAAAAAAAAAAAAAAAAAAAAAAAAAAAATTATTTAAAAAAATAAAAATTTTTAAGTATAATTTTTTGTAATTTTTGTCCTATCTCATTAAAAAGTATATAATTATAAATCTTTGTTGATAGGTATACTACATATATAAAGATATAACTTGGATAACAGCACAAAGGAAGGCAATAGGATGGAGCTGTGAGCAAAGGTTTTTTTGGGGTTTTCTTTGTTGTTGTTTTTTTGAGACAGAGTCTTGCTGTCACCAGGCTGGAGTACAGTCGCACAATCTCGGCTCACTGCAACCTCTGACTCCCTAGTTCATGCGATTCTCCTGCCTCAGCCTCCCAAGTAGCTGGGACTACAGGCAGGTGCCACCATGCCCAGCTAATTTTTGTATTTTTAGTAGAGATGGGGTTTCACCATGTTGGCCAGGATGGTCTCAATCTCCTAACCTCGTGATCCACTCACCTTGGCCTCCCAAAGCGCTGGGATTACAGGCGTGAGCCACCATGCCCCATGCCCAGCCACAAAGTTTTTTATATACTGTTAAGTTGGCACTAATCCAAACTAGGTTCTTATAAATTAAGTTGTTAATTGTAATCCCTAAAGCAATCATAAGTAACTCAAAATATATAGTAAAAGAAACAAGGGAATTAAAATAGTACACTAAAAAAAAAAATCTATTTAACATAAAAATGAGTATTGGAGGCCAGACCCAAATGCCACATATTGTATCATTTCATTTACGTGAAATGTCAAGAGGAGGTAAATCCATATACACAGGAAGAAGACTGATTCATGGTTGCCAGGGACTGAGGGGTAGAGATAATGGGAGTGACTACAAATGGGAATGAGGTTTCTTTTTGGAGTAATGAAAATGTTTTGGAACTAGATTGTAGGGATGGTTGCACAACCTTGTGAGTATTCTAAAAACTACTCAACTGTACACTTTAAAATGGTAAATTTTATAATAAATGTATCTCAATTTTAAAAAATTCCTTGAAAATATACAAGAAAGCTGCTTCAAACCTCTCCCAGCATGTCTACTGACTCAAGAGATTACAGCCAGAACTAAACAGAGTATTAGACAGATATTCATCTCTAGACTTTTAGAGATATTATCTATGAGGCAGAGCTATGTTCTCTCCCAGTCGCCACCCCTCTGCCACTGCCTACAGGATGATCTTTTTTAAACCGGATTATGCAAATCCTAGAAAATACATAACCAAAATAAAAAAGCAGGGCACAAAACTAACAATTTTTGAGCATTTCATCTCAAGGTATTACATAATTGTAATTTATCATAATAAGCTATCATTAATTACAATTAGTTAACTGTCGTTACAAATAAGTAATTACTAGAATTTTAAATAAAATATATATGAGCCAAAATATTGGAGACTATAAAAACAAAAACATGGTCCCAGCAGCAAGAAAAAACAGGACATATAAAAAAACAAAAAGACAAAGACAAGAATAACAAAAGGAATGAGAATTAATCATAACAGTATAGTCATACCCCGCATAACAACATTTCAGCAATGACAGACCACATGCATTATGCAACAGTTGTTCCACAAGATTATAATGGGGCTGCCCTATAGAAGTGTACCATTTTTCATATTTTATACAATATTTTTACTGTACTTTTTTCATGTTATATATGCTTAAATACACAAATGTGTTACAATTGCCCACAGTATTCAGTAAAGTAACATCTTGTTCACTCTGTTTCCACAAAGAAATCACCTAACACTTTTCTCAGAAAGTATCTTCATTGTTAAGCAACACATAACTGTATTTTAAAATAGAAAAAGAAATAAACCACATTATAAAATAAAGCCTTTGATGGGTCAAAAAATAAACTTAACCATATGCTTATTGAAAACACACTAAAAAAAAAAAAACAAAAAATAAAAATGAAATAAGAATAAGAAAACACCAGAGTTAAAAATAAAGAATGCTACTACATAACAAAACGTGGTGGCTAAAGGCAACGCAATACTTAACACGTTTAAAGATTAAAAGATTAAATGACTCAAATTAAGTGCTCAAATCGCAAGTCCAACAGAAATGAAAAGAAAATAAATCTAAGTAGAAAAACCGAATGTAAGAGTAATTATTAAGCCAAGAAACACAATCATTAAGAAAAATTCAAGAGAGCCTGCCTTGAAAAGAAATAATGTCATAGCTAATCAATAAAAAAGACACGAATGTGTAACACAAAGAATAAAAACAGGAATATAATCACCTTTTTAAAAAAGTTTTTAAAAAGTTTAATGGAGCCAATAAGGCATATAAAATTATGTTCTGGCAGACATTAAAAAAATGGCACATTTTATCAAAATTTGACAATTCAGAGTAAAGGGTACTGAAATTTAAGGTTCAGAGCACCAACTTAAAACAACCAAAAAAATGGTTATTCAACTTGGAAAGAGTAACTAGAACCAAGGCATAAAAGGGAGTTTAAGTATGTGTTCCTCCAATTCAAAATCCTTCAGGAATAGGAGTTCTGGCCACTTGTGAGCAACACATCATACCACCAAACCCCAATTCCAGAAAATTACAGTTACAATTTTATAAGGATAAATGATTACTATGCACAATTCTATGGGAATAAGTTTGAATATCTAAATAAAATGGATGCTTTTCTTCAAAAATGTAACTAACCAAAATAGACCAAAGAAGTACCTAAATTATGCTGAGTGAAAAACGCCAGACTTAAAATAGTACATACTGTAGAATTCAATGTATATGAAGTTCTAGAATAGGCAAAACTTATTTATAGTGATAGAAGACTTGTGTGGCCGGGCGCAGTGGCTCACACCTGTAATCCCAGCACTTTGGGAGGCCGAGGCGGGCGGATCACGAGGTCAGGAGATACAGACCATCCTGGCTAACACGGTGAAACCCCGTCTCTACCAAAAATACAAAAAAATTAGCCGGGCATGGTGGCAGGCGCCTGTAGTCCCAGCTACTTGGGAGGCTGAGGCAGGAGAATGGCATGAACTTGGGAGGCGGAGCTTGCAATGAGCCGAGATCCCGCCACTGCGCTCCAGCCTGAGAAACAGAGCGAGACTCCGTCTCAAAAAAAACAAAAAAAAAGAAAAGAAATGAGACTCGTGGCTGCCTAGGGCAGGAACAGGGAAAAATGAATGCAATAGGATACAAGATACTTTGAGGGAGACGGATACAATCTGTATCTTGATTGGGGTAGTAGTTATCAGGTATACATCTTTGTCAAAACACTAGGATCATACATTTAAAATATGTACATTTTATCATACGTAAACCACATCTCAATAAAGTAGAAAAAAAATTAAAATAACAAGTATGCAAAGATAGTATCTCAATTTTTATTATTTTTATAATAGTGATTAACTCAAAAATGTCCATCAACAAGGAAATTATAAGTCCAATATAGATGATATTCCTAATCACATTAGGCATAATATGATCTCATTTTTATTAATACATAATATGATTCCAATTTACATGCACATGCTCACAGAAACAAGTGTAGAAGATAAGTTATGGTTCTGGATGATAGACTTCAGAAGATTTAATGCCTTTTTAGCCATTTAAAAATAATGAACGTGGCTGGGCGCGGTGGCTCATGCCTGTAATCCCAGCACTTTGGAAGGCCGAGGTGAGTGGATCACCTGAGGTCAGGGGTTCAAGACCAGCCTGACCAACATGGCAAAACCTCATCTCTCCTAAATACAAAAAATTAGCTGGGCATGATGGCGCATGCCTGTAATCCCAGCTACTTAGGAGGCTGTTGCAGGAGAACCGCTTGAACCTGGGAGGCGGAGGTTGCAGTGAGCCAAGATTGCACCATTGCACTCCAGCCTGGGCAATGCAAGCAAGACTCCGTTTCAAAAAAAAAACAAAAACAAATAAAAGAACATGCATTAATTATAAAATAAATGATATCTCAACATAGTGTTCCTGGAAAAAAATAAAATTTAAAGTATATATATTTGGCAAAATAAGAAAACTGATGATTACTTTTTATCAACACACACTAGAGTTTACCGAAGTCATAGAGATTATTCTCAGATCAAAAATACTGATTGTTCTAAGATCAATAACTACCATAATCTAGTATTTCATGGTGGTATAAAATAATTATCGAAAGCAATGTAAGTTTTGAAAAATTAGCACAAATCTGAAACAGAAAAGCTCAGAAATGCATATGAGAGCCAGAGAATATATAGATGTGAAATAAGAACTGATAGAGTTCAAGAATCTATTAGAAAAAATTAGAGGCCGGGTGCAGCATCCCAGCACTTGGAGAGGCCAAGGCGGACGGATCACTTGAGCCCAGGAGTTCCAGATCAGCCTGGACAACATGCCAAAACCTAAAAAAAAATACAAAAAAAAAAAATACAAAAATTAGCTGGGTATGGTGGTGAACGCCAGCAGTCCCAGCTACTCAGGAGGCTGAATTGGGAGAATTGCTTGAGTCTGGGAGGCAGAGATTGCAGTGAGGCCAGATCAGGCCACTGCACTCCAGCCTGGGCAACAAAACGAAACTTGGTCTCAAAAAAAAAGAAAAAAAAAAAAATCCAATTCACTTAAGTGAAAGAAAATCACACTGGCCTGAGAATTCTATGCAACATTAGGATATGGAGATTTTATTACAAAGATTTTATTACAAAGATATATTACAAAGATTTTAAATTCAGCCCAACTGTCATTAAGTCCTTCATAACTTTCATTTTATGAAACTGTCATTCATAAAATGCCACAAGTATGAAAATATAAAAACTTAGGAAATATTGTCTCTTCCTAAGGAATCTCCTAGACAACACATTTCAGACAATCAAAAAACAATTTGAAACGTTCCAATGTAAAGGAAATACAGGAGAAAAACAAATCCAGAACATGAAACTCCTAAGGAATCTCCTGTCGAACATGCTTCAGACACCCTATTGAGAAGCTTAAACATAAGAAACATACGGAGAAATGAAAGAATAAAATCCAGAAGATTCCACAAAACGATCTCCTTTTTGCAACAAATCGATGACATGAACAAGGCGCTGGGGTGTGGGGGTGGGGTGCTACCCATAATAACCAAACATAACGCACTGAGGCCAAGCATATTGGCTCATTCCTGTAATCCCAACACTCTGGGAGGCTGAGGTGGGAGGGTCACTTAAGGTATTTGTTATTTTTTGCGTACAAATATTTAACTAACTTAAAGTAAAATAAAGATTAACCGCACACATCACCTGCGAATTCTCTTATTTTCTAGGTTAACGCCAGAAATATAATCAAAATTTAATTATCTACTATTATACTCACTACTCCCGTGTAATAGCGTAGTCCAACCACATGACCTCTCAAACTTCCAAATAAAACGGAATCTACTTCTTCATCACTAGTTAGAAAGTCATCTGGAGGGATAACATCTTGGAATTCAAAACGTGGAAAGAAAGTTGGATATGAGAGGCGTGGAAAATTTCCATGAACTCCATACTGGACAGTCTGCAAGTACTTCCAAACTGGATCCCTATTTTTTTTTAAAGGCAAAGAAAAACAATATAATATTTAAGTATTTCCAAAGACCATATGAGTAGTTTTCTCATGCTTTACTTCAGCAAATGAAATCTTACATGGGAATCACGGTAAAGATTAATAGTTACTCTCGTTAAAGCAGGAATTGCAGTGAGTGGAGAAGGCTTCTAGGAACTCTACCTGTTTTCAATATTGGCTCTTCTACCTGCCCCCTAGGTATTCAAAATGAAAAGCCTAGTCAGAGTTCACTAACCTCTTTCCCAGTGAAAATCATCTAAATTGATATGTATATGATGTCTGTAACTACAATTATGGGCCGGATGCGGTGGCTCACGCCTGGAATCCCAGCACTTTGGGAGGCAGAGGCAGGTGGATCACCTGAGGTCAGGAATTTGAGACCAACCTGGCCAACATTGTGAAACCCTGTCTACTACAAATACAAAAATTAGCCAGGCGTGGTGGCGCCCATATGTAATCCCAGCTACTCGGGAGGCTGAGGCAGGAGAATCACTTGAACCCGGGAGGCGTAGGTTGCAGCGAGCCGAGATTGTGCCACTGCACTCCAGCCTGGACGACAGAGCGAGACTCCATGTCAAAAAAATAATTTAAAAAATGAAATCATATGCCAAAATTTCAATAGGGATTGAGCTATATAAAAGACTTATAAAAATACAACTATTAATGTACCAGAAGTTGTTTATAATTTTCCAGAAAATACATCCAGCATCCATCACTGTAACTCCCTGCGAGCAGAACACCTATTCTGGTATCCAAACCACGCCACCGTGGGAAATTGGCCCCAAGCCACCCGTACCCGCCTTCCGTCGCCGGTTTAAGCATAACCCCAAACCCATTAGGTGTAACTGTTTCGGGAATGACCATAAATACCAATTTGGACAATGAAAAGTGAAGGGGAGTCTACTGGAGCATTGCAAAAAGTTTCCATTCTCCTAAGAACAGTCGCTTATTTGCGATGCGTTTTCCTTGCAAGTGGCGCATATCTCTACTAGCGCCTCTGCAAATACTTATCTGCACGTCTGTGCATACAGATAAGCTGTGAGCCACTTGGGGACAAGGACTGTCTTACTCGGCCCTCCACCGAGCACAATGCCTGGCGCACAGTGGGTATCTAATGGATGTTTTGTTAAATAAAGCACTGGCCGAGATGCTTTAAGCCCCAGGCCCCCCACAGTCGGTGACAGAGATTTCCCAAGTCCCTAACACGGGACTCGCCCTAGGAGCCCCTACTCGCCAGCGAAGACAATGCATTTATTTCTCCGGCGGCCACATATGCGACCAACAGAACGAATACAGCTGCACAAATCGCCCAGGGAACGCAGAGGAACGCGGGGAAGGTCAGGTTCATTTGGGGACGCCTCCAGGCCGTTAGACCGAGCGCCCCACCCCCTCCGCCCCCTTCACCTCTTGAACATCCAGGACATGGCGCTGAGTGGGATGACAAGAGGAGCGCCTCGGCTCCCCTGGATCGTTTTCGAGCCGCCTCGATACGCCTCCTTCCAGGCCCCGCAGCCCTGAAGCCGGGGACAAATTCCGAGCGCCGGATCAGGAGCGCACGACTGAAAGGTAAGTCGCCGCGAGTCCAGTCAGACGTCGACGCCGTCTCCTTCTGCAACAATCTGGGAGACCAGCGTCGCTCTGTGACTGGCACTAGGAAAGCCCAATCACGAAGAGGAGAGTGCGGAGCCAAACCAGTCAGAGCACAGAAGGGAGGGCAACTCCGCCCCGCTGCCATTCAAAGACGGCGGGGGGTCCGGGCTGCAAGGGTGGTTCCATCCGGGTTCTTCCCCGCCCCCAAGGCGGGCGCGCGGGAAAGCCACGAGGCCCCAGGAGTGCGACTGCGGTGCCTGCGGTGCCGGTGTTTTGTTTGATTCCCTGCCTCAAACGGAGGGAAACGACCTTCCTTTATCCTACGAGTCCTAAGACTGAACCCCATTCTAAAGGCTCTACCGTATCCTTCCTCTTATTTTCTTCTCATCTAATGTGGCACATAATAGGGCCTTATACTAAAGGAGCTCCACGGTTTACGAGACCTAGAGCTACCGGCGAGATACTTTACTTCATTCCCTGTGGTGAACCGTGGGGACTTTCGCTCCAAATTTTCATGTTAAGCCTCAGCGTATGCATGAGACACAACGAGTTTGGAAAATCTTAAATGGAACTTAGAGTCCCCTCCCCACCTCTTTTTGTTATTTTTAAGGAAAATTTTCCTTTCTTGGTGCAGGAAACCCATCACATGTTTATTACAGCTATGGGGGCGTTTGCCTGAAATGGTGGACGGGACCATTTTCCCCGTGGGCACTTGGCTGCTCCAGCCAAGAGGGGGAGGCCCTTGTTTTCCTCAAGGAACTGCAGAGGGGCGCTCTGAGGCCCTCCATGGCTCTCTTTCCAGAGTCTGAGGTGACCGGAAGGAGAATGCGGCCCTGGGACCGTCAACCTTGGACCAGCTGCAGCCGACGCCTGGCAGGGCTGGTCGCTTTGCGTTGAGGAGGCTGCTGTCCCCGAAGCTGGCCTTTTAATCGCACAGGGCAGGAAGCTGGTGGTGGCGCCCAGCTGCACAGGCGGCACCATGTAACTGCCAGATAATACTTGCGCGTCACAGAGAGGTCCATGTTACACGCCTGTCAGCACAATAATATTAGGTGGTCAGCTTTTCTTTTTTCTTTTTTTTGTTTTTTTTTCTTTTTTATTGAGATGGAGTCTTGCTCTGTCCCCCAGGCTGGAGTGCAATGGGGGTGATCTTGGCTCACTGCAACCTCCGCCTCCCGGATTCAAGCGATTCTCCTGCCTCAGCCTCCGGAGTAGCCGGGATTGCAGGAGCCCGCCACCACGCCCAGCTAATTTTTGTATTTTTAGTAGAGACGGGGTTTCACCATATTGGCCAGGCTGGTCTTGAACTCCTGACCTCAGGTGATCCGCCCGCCTCGGCCTCCCAGAGTGCTGGGATTACAGGCATGAGCCACCGTGCCAGGCCGGTAGTCAGCTTTTCAAGACACATTTGTTCATTATCGTAAATAAACTGTAGTGATCTCTAATCATGAACCATGGATGAGCAATAGAATTTGAAACAATGTATTATTTCATTTGACCAAAGTTGATGAGGAAGATAAAGACAATGGCATTTCAAATTATTTTAATTGTTGTATGTTCTTCTTGAAGTGTGTTGAGGCAAATGGCAATACAGTTCAGCTTTTAGTATGCCAGATTTTAAATAAATTCTTGGAAAATATGCCAGAAATTGCTCAAATTGATGTTTTGTAAGAGTAAGAAAGTCATGCTCACTAGACAAAGAAAAAATTCCAAATATGAGAACATAGCTCTTTCAGACTTAAGACTGGCCAGGCGCAATGGCTCACACCTATAATCCCAGCACTTTGGGAGGCCGAGTTGGGTGGATCACCTGAGGTCAGGAGTTCGAGACCAGCCTGGCCAACATGGTGAAAGCCTGACTCTACTAAGAAAATACAAAAATTAAGCAGACGTGGTGGCACGCACCTGTAGTCCTAGCTACTTGGGAGGCTGAGGCAGGAGAATCGCTTGAACCAGGGAGACATGGGTTGCAGTGAGCCGAGATCAAGCCACTGCACTCCAGCCTGAGCAACAGAGCGAGACTCCATCTCAAAAAAATAAAAAGACTTAAGATCTATGAATAATGACTGTCCCATGGTTAAAGAATGTGCTTTGAATGAACTAAAATTTGCTATTTAAAGGAATGGTATGGAAAGGAAAGGAATCCAAAATTTCTCCATCCAGCCACTTCCCAGTCACAAACACACTTCTCATCTGCACCCCCAGCCACACACACACACATGCCCGCGCGCGCGCACACACACACACACACACACACACACACAGAACCTTTATGCAAATTAATCATGTCATGTCACTCCCCTGTTTGATTCAGTGAGCCTGAAATCCAAGAATGGCATATGTGGCTCTTCCTCCCACAGTATGTTTTCTCTATGTTATCAATATTTCACATCCCAGAACCAGGAGTAAAACATTCTTTCCCTTAATCATTCTTTGTTTTATATTTAAAGATCAAGTACAATTTGTACTAGTTTGATTAAAATGTTACAGCAATTACAATTTCAAAACTATTATACTAAATAATGTTTTCTGAAAAATTAACTTTTTTGGTTTTTTCTTGATTTATTCTGATAACAGCATCACAAGTAGATATGAAAAATGAACACTTGTAACTGGAAAATGAACTGTAGGGTGGCTTGTGGGGTTTGGCTGGTGAGTAAGAAGGAAAGTGGCACTAAAAGGACGGTGGGGAAGATAAGGGCCAGGTTACATAGGAACTTAAGAGTCTCCAGTAAAATTTGTGTTTTAACTGCAATGGAAAGCCATTGAATGTTTCGAGCAGGAGGATAACGACTTGATTTAGGCTTTTAAAAATGCTGGCAGCTCTGTGGAGAATTACAGGAAACAAGGATAGAAGCAACTGATAGAAAATTATTGTGTTCAGATAAGAGATGGTGGTGGCTTGGAAAGGGAAGGTGATGAAGCCAAGAGAACCAAAATGTTCACTGATAAATTTAGGTAGGAATGGTATGGAAAGGAAAGGAATCCAAAATTTCTCCAGCCAGCCACTTCCCAGTCACAAACACACTTCTCATCTGCACCCCTAGCCACACACACACATGCCCGTGCACACACACACACACACACACACACAGAACCTTTATGCAAATTAATCATGTCATGTCACTCCCGTTTGATTCAGTGAGCCTGAAATCCAAGAATGGCATATGTGGCTCTTCCTCCCACAGTAGCTTCATTTCTCGGGTCACTTCCCAACCCACCCTGCCTATAATGGCCTTCACTAATTTCTCTAAAAACCATGGACCTGGCAAAATTAATAACAAATCACTTCTTAGTATCTTCTAATAACTAGTTCATAATCAAATGTTCACAATTGTCTCAAAAAAAAAATTTTTTTTTTTCTTGAGACAGGGTCTCACTCCAGTAGCCCAGGCTGGAGTGCAGTGGCGTGATTCGACCTCCTGGGCTCAAGCGATTCTCCAGCCTCAGCCCCCAAGTAGCTGCGATTACAGGCATGGCACCACCACCCCCAGGCTAATTTTTGTATTTCTTGTAGACAGGGGGTTTTGCCACATTGGCCAGGCTGGTCTCGAACTCCTGAGCTCAAGCAATCTGCCCGCCTTGGCCTCCCAAAGTGCTGGGATTACAGGCGTGAGCCACTTTTTCTAGGCCTTTTCTAGGCTGGGTGTGGTGGCTTACGCCTGTAACCCTGGTATTTTGGGAGGCCGAGGTGGGCAGATCACTTGAGGCCAGGAGTTCAAGACCAGCCTGGCCAACATTGTGAAACCCTGTCTCTACTACAAATACAGAAATTAGCAGGGGGTGATGGTGCCATACCTGTAGTCCCAGCTACTTGGGAGGCTGAGGCAGGAGAAGCACTTGAACCCAAGAGGCGGAGATGGCAGCGAGCCGAGATCGTTCCACTGCACTCCAGCCTGGGTGACACAGCGAGACTCCCTCTCAAAAAAAAATGTTTTTTACACTTTGCAAAATAGAATTTTAAAGCCATTGGTGTGGGGGCAGGGACCAGGCAGCAGGGAGGGGCTTTAAGAGAAGAATCTGAATATCTAGAAATCTGGCTTCAATACAGAAACTTTTAAGCTTATATCATAACTCATAGACTGAAGAAAGTAGGATGATGTAAGAGCTTGCTTGTTTGTTCGCTTCTTTCACTCCAAAGGAGATAAAAGTTCAATTGAGGAGAATTTTCAAGAATGTCAGGCAGGAGGGTTTGCAGAGTAAATCCCTTAAGTGGGTCTTAGAGAGAAGACCTAGAATACCATCACACTGGGCCAATCTGCACAAAGGGAGAATGCTAGAAAGTCTAGCAAAGTTTCTGTAGATTACACAAGAAAAGGAAGCTATGCCACATTTCCCAGAGAGTGGCCTCAGTATTCTGCAGATCTCAGAGAGAACCTCAGAGACTAGAAATGTGCCAAGGCAATAAAGGAGTAAAGGTGACTGAGGTGGCTCTGTTAAGGGGACCCGGGGTAGCCTTGTGAGCCTCTAGCCCTGTGAAGGCTGGAGGGCATCATCAGGATTATGGTTCTAGCAAACAAAAGCAGGATGCTGGTCCCCAACGGTGAGGTGAGATGAGTTACATCTGCAATGGGTGACTGCATTAGATGAATGGAGTCCAAATATAACCTCCCTGGTGGGTAAGACGAAGGGAACTAAATCTGAAAGCTGAATTTAAATGACTTTAAATCTTAAAATGACTGAACTATTCAGAAGTGACTAAATTAGGTTACCTGCCATTAGGCAGAATGAAGGTTTAAGAAAAATTAAGTTCAATAAAGAAATATAAAGTTTTACATTTGCAAATATAGTCAGTGATTGAAATTCATACATGCTATATGTCCATATGCACACATCTTGATGAAGATATACCTAGATATTTATAGTAAATACCTCTAGCTGGTTAAATTAGGGAATTTTCATTTTCTTCTTTTTACTTATATGTATATAAAATATTTGCTACATTAAACATGTATTTCTTTTTGCCATAATAAAATAAAATGAGTAATTTATTAAAGAAATGATGAACTATTATTCAGCTTTATTTTTATCTAATTGTAGACTTACAGAAAATTACAAATTTAGTACAAATTGTTGCCTCATATCCTTTATGCCACTTATTTTAATACCGTACATAACTATAGTACAATGACCAAAATGAGGATATGAACATTGGTACAATACTATTTCTGAACCATTTTTTTAAATAACCAAGACAATGCAGTGGAAAAGAAAATATAATATTTTGTGACTTATTAAATTTTCTTATAATCAGGTTTCTCTAGATTTTGGACAAAATCCTGAGTAAAACCACAGCTGACAGGGCCAAAGTGATATTAAATTAATGCCAAGTAAAAATCTTCTTAATTAAATAATATAATGAATATGAAGTGCTGCCCTGGAGTAAGCACTCAGTAAGTGCTCTTATTGTTGTAATAGAGTTATTGTCTAACGAGTCCTCTAGCACTTAAGAAATATGGTTGATTGAGGCCTATTTTCCTTATTGAGGCTCAATCAGCAGGGTTGTTCCTAAATAGCAGAATAACACTGTTTCCAGAAGCCAGTCATTTTTCCAGGTGCACGTCCTTGAAGTAGACTGAATTGTTTCATCAAGCGGTAGGAGACACTCTAATCTCAACTCCGCGTCTGAGAAATCTGTGGTGTTCCAGATTATATAGCCCTTTCCCAGGAGATAATTGTTCCCTCCTCCTTTAGGCCTTGACTCACTAAATGCTCTTATGTGGCTCAAGCCCAGGGTTGCAAGGCATCAGGCCAGCCAGGGATCTGCCCCCTCCTTTGCTTTCTGCCCAGGGTCCTTTCCCCAGCTTCAGGGAAGTACCACTCTAGGCCCTGGAATGATTTAGGGTTTCTGTCATGGCCATACCAAAGTAATCTTTTTATTTTAATGAAAACTGCAAGGATTAATAAACATTTTTTCTGCCTCCTTTTTTTTTTTCCTCTTTTAAGACAGGGTCTTGCTCTGATGCCCAGGCTGGAGTGCAGTGGCACAAACAAGCTCACTGCAGCCTCAAACTTCTGGGCTCAATTGATCCTCCTACCTGTCTCCCAAGTAGCTGGGCCTACAGGCATACACCACCATGCCCAGCTAATTTTGTTTGTTCGTTTTTTTTTTGGAGAGACAGGTTGCCCAGGCTGGTCTTGAACTCCTGGGCTCAAGTGATCCTCCTACGCTCCTACCTCGGCCTCCCAAAGTGCTGGGATTACAGGCATGAGCCACACGCCCAGGCTTTCTGCCTCCTTTATGGCTAGAACATTAAAACTTCAACTCTAAATGCCCTTTTGATATAAGAAATACTACCTTTTTTTTTTTTTGACAAGAGTCTTGCTCTGTTGCCCAGACTGGAGTGCAGTGGTGCGTTTAGCTCACTACAACCTCCGCCTCCTGGGTTCAAGCAATTCTCGTGCCTCAGCCTCCCGAGTAGCTGGGACTACAGGTGCACGCCACTACGCCTGGCTAACTTTTGTGTTTTTTGTAGAGATGGGGTTTTGCCATGTTGCCCAGGCTGTTCTCAAACTCGTGCGCTCAAACAGTCTGCCTGCCTCAGCTTCCCAAAGTGCTGGGGTTACGGGCATGAGCCACTGCACCCAGCCTAGAAAGTGAGCAATTACATCGTAGTAGTAATTCACTGGTTTTCTTTTTTCTTAGAAAATAGGTTTCACTATGTTGCCCAAACTAGACTCAACTCAGGCTGCCCTACCAACTCAGCCTCCCAAGGAGCTGGGACTACAGGCATGGGCCATCTCACCTGGCTGTAAATGACTTTTTAAAATTATTATCACAATTCACCAAACTATTGCATCGTATGGCAATACTTATGCTAACCCTAAAATTAAGGTTTAACTTGCTAACTTGCTATTTCAAATAGCCTTTTAGAAAGTTAAGAAAAAAACCTCACAAAAAAACACATTTCTCAAATTTGAAGAAGAAAAGTAGGGTGCTGTGGCTCAAACTTGTAATCCAAGCATTTTGGGAGGCCAAGGTGGGAGGATCATTTGAGCCCAGGAGTTTGAGACCAGCCTGTGTAACACTGCAAGACCCCATCTCTATAAAAAAAAAAAACACAAAAATTAGCCAGGCGTGGTGGCACACACCTGAAATCCCAGCCACTTGGGAGGCTAGGGAGAAAGGATGGCCTGAGCTCAGGAGGTAGAGGCTGCAGTGAACTGTGTTTATGCCACTGCACTCAGCCTGGATAACAGAGTGAGGCCCTGTCTCAAAAAATAAAAAAAATAAAGCATTCCAATAGATTTTTAGAGGAACTTAATCTGATCCAATAGAATTAGAAATTCTAAGAGACTCAAATTAATGAACTAATGAAGTTTTAGGGTTAGACTATATTGATATACTATGCTATAATTAATATATATATTAAATTAGCAAATACATGTTAATTATCTCAATTAATATTGAATTGCTAACTTTGTAACATTTACAAGTAAAATTTCTAGCCGGGTGTGGTGGCTCATACCTGTAATCCTAGCACTTTGGGAAGCTAAGGTGGGAGAATCACTTGAGGCCAGGAGTTCAAGGCTGCAGGGAGCTATGACCACTGCACTCCAGCCAGGGCAATGGAGAGGCTCTATTGCCAATAAATAAATAAATAAAATTTCCATTTCTCAAACATTTTTAGCTAAGGCATTGGGTTAAAGTGGAATAAGGTGGGATGCCCCCCAAGAGAAACATTAAAGCACCAATGACCTAGGTTAATGTATTGAAGTCTGTACAGCTGGCCGTAAATATTCGGAAAATTCAGCTTATCAGGAAACATCAATAGTTGGCTAAATTAGCAATCTATGAAAAAGAAGGATAATCAAAAAAGGACAAGACATATTTTTACTCATAAAATTAGTTCAGATTTTTTTAATTGCTGCAGTGAGAAGGAGGGAAAGAGTAGAACAAGGAGTTCGATCTGTAACTGACTGTAAACAATCAATTGAGATAACTCACTAACTTCGGACCAGCCAACTTTCGATTTTTTAAAAGAATTAGAAACACAGCTAGCCTGATATTTTAAGAAGACTTCTTCAAGATGTTTCTGGTAGAAAAGAAATGACTATGCACTTGTTTAAAATTTGCTATTTATTTGAACAAAAATTTGGATTTAGAAAAGAAACGGCAAAATTGGGATACAGGCCAGGTGTGATGGCTCATGCCTGAAATCCTAGCACTTTGGGAGGTGAGGCAGGAGGATCACTTGAGCCCAGGAGCTTGAGACCGCCTTGGCAACATGGCCAAACCCTGTATCTATAAAAAAATAGAATATTTAGCTGGGTGTGGCGGCATGCACCTATAGTGTAGTCCCAGCAACTCATGAGGCTGAGGTGGGAAGATCGCTTGAGCCTGGCAGGTCAAGGCTGCAGTGACCTGTGATCATGCGATTTTACTACAGCCTGGGCAACAGAGCAAGATCCTGTCTAAAAAACAAACCCTGGTACATATATTTTTTTAACTAGATACCAAATATAATTGTTCCCAATCTTTTCACCAAGTACCCCTTTATTGTAGAAAGATCATTTGATCAGTTTGTTCGGTTTTTAATCAAGAAATTTTAAAAGCCAATCAAAGCTTCTAATTAGCACTAACAAACTTGAAATAATTTGAGTAAAAACAATTTTAAAGGCTTTGTTTAACCTATACATTCTAATTAATGAGGTATAGTTAATCATATTTAACATCAAAAATAGGTAATGAATATTTTGCCAGGGGTTCCTGGCCTTAGGCTGGGAATTACAGATGATGCTATATATACACACAAACAAAAATACATGGCCATTAAGTATAAAAGGTAAGTAATGAGGCCTAGCATGGTGGCTCATGCCTGTAATCCCAGCAATTTGGGAGGCTGAGTGGATCCCTTGAGGTCAGGAGATCCAGACCAGCCTGGCCAACATGGTGAAATCCCATCTCTACTAAAAATACAAAAATTAGCCAGGCATGGTGGCACACGCCTATAATTCCAGTTACTTGGGAGACTGAGGCAGGAGAATCGCTTGAACCTGGGAGACGGTGGTTACAGTGAGCCAAACTCGTGCCACTGCACTCCAGCTTGGGCGACAGGCTGGATAAATAAATAAATAAATAAATGGTAAGTAATGAATTGTCCCTAAATACAGAAAGGGAAGTAATGCTTGTCTTTCATGAGCTTACAAAACAGAAAGGGGAACAGAAAGAGACAAAAATTACTAAACTACAAGGGAGATTAACAAAGTACAGTAATAAAGATAAAAAATATTGTGCTCTGGGAACAAGGCTTTGCCTTGGGTATTCTGAGCTTCAAGGACTAGGTGACAGCCAAGGGGAACCAGGAATGATGAGTGGATTTCAATCTTGTGTTGCAAATGGGTCTTCAGAGCCAAGTCACAGAGCCCACAGAAAAAATGATGGGTGGATGGAGTGTTTGTTTTGAGTTGAAGGACGTCTAATGAGAAACTATATAAAACAGTGAAATGAAAACTCCATCCAACTAAACCCAGAAACAGTGCAGTTTTGTATTCCTCAATATCAATTCAGAATAGGATCTGAGGTGGCTAATGAAAATAAAAAGGGTAAATATTTTCCTAAGCAGTAAGGCTTAACATGCTTTTTCGTGTGGTTAATTTGCTGAGTGGCCGTCCTGATGGCCACCACCCACCCCAGCAGCCCCTTCGAATCAATATTGCCTATTAGCAAAAATCTTCCTTAATGAAAATTTATTTCAGAAACAAAATTAAACAAAAACAAAACAAATGGAGAGACTATAAGGAGTTAAAGCAAACTTTAACTCCTTATAATTGGCCTATGTCCCCAACATATTTCCTCTCTTACCATCCCCCAAATCATTAAACATCACCAAAAGAATAAAATAAAGGTCCACATAAATCTAAGGATCCTACTGTAATACTACTACATAATTAGGATCTTGTTATCCTCCTTCTACCTATTTACAAAATATCCTCATTTGGAGAGCTAGGGAATCATTACAAATACTGCTGCTTTAGGGCCGGGTGTGGTGGCTCATGCCTGTAATCCCAAGCTGAGATGAGCGAATCACGACTTCAAGAGATTGAGACCATCCTGGCCAACATGGTGAAACCCTGCCTCTACTAAAAATACAAAAATTAGCTGGGCATGGTGGCACGCGCCTGTAGTCCCAGCTACTCAGGAGGCTGAGACAGGAGAATTGCCTGAACCCGGGAGGTGGAGGTTGCAGTGAGCCAAGATCACGCCACTGCACTCCAGCCTGGAGACAGAGCCAGACTCTGTCTCAAAAATAAATAAATAAATAAAAGTTGCTGCTTTAGATTTCTATATTTGAGATAGTTCAAAGTCCCGAAATAAACACAGCAAAATAACATATTTTTCTATACCACTGTGTCCGGAATTGGTGGGTTCTTGGTCTCGCTGACTTCAAGAATGAAGCCGCGGACCCTTGCGGTGAGTGTTACAGTTCTTAAAGGCGGCCTGTCCACAGTTTGTTCCTTCTGATGTTCAGATGTGTTCAGAGTTTCTTCCTTCTCGTGGGGTTCATGGTCTCACTGGCTCAGGAGTGAAGCTGCGGACCTTCACGGTGAGTGTTACAGCTCTTAAGGTGGCGCGTCTGGAGTTGTTTGTTCCTCCCGGTGGGTTCGTGGTCTCGCTGGCTTCAGGAGTGAAGCTGCAGACCTTCGCTGGTGAGTGTTACAGCTCATAAAGGCAGTGTGGACCCAAAGAGTGAGCAGCAGCGAGATTTATTGCAAAGAGCAAAAGAACAAAGCTTCCACAGTATGGAAGGGTACCTGAGCAGGTTGCCACTGCTGGCTCCGGCAGCCTGCTTTTATTCTCTTATCTGGCCCCACCCACATCCTGCTGATTGGTAGAGCCCAGTGGTCTGTTTTGACAGGGCGCTGATTGGTGCGTTTACAATCCCTGAGCTAGAGACAAAGGTTCTCCACATCCCCACCAGATTAGCTAGATACAGAGCGCGGACACAAAGGTTCTCCAAGTCCTCACCAGAGTAGCTAGATACAGAGTGTCGATTGGTGCATTCACAAACCCTGAGCTAGACACAGGGTGCTGATTGGTGTGTTTACAAACCTTGAGCTAGATACAGAGTGCCGATTGGTGTATTTACAATCCCTGAGCTAGACATAAAGGTTCTCCAAGTCCCCACCAGACTCAGGAGCCCAGCTGGCTTCACCCAGTGGATCCTGCACCTGGGCTGCAGGTGGAGCTGCCTGCCAGTCCCCTGCCGTGCACCTGCACTCCTCAGCCCTTGGGTGGTCGATGGGACTGGGTGCCCTGGAGCAGGGGGCAGCACTCGTTGGGGAGGCTCTGGCAGCACAGGATGGGGGGGGGTGGGGGGGAGAGATGGGGGGAGGGGGAGAGGTGGGGGAGGGGGAGAGCTGGGGAAGGGGGAGAGGTGGGGGAGGGGAGAGGTGGGGGAGGGAGGAGGGGAGGGGGAGAGGTGGGGAGGGGGAGGGGGAGGGGATAGGTGGGGGGAGGGAGGGGGAGGAGGGGGAGGGGAGGGGGTAGGGGGGTGCTCATGCATGCCTGGCTGCAGGTCCTGAGCCCTGCCCCACGGGAAGGCAGCTAAGGCCGGCGAGAAATTGAGCACAGCAGCTGCTGGCCCAGGTGCTAAGCCCCTCACTGCCCAGGGTCGGTGGGGCCAACCAGCGGCTCCAAGTGCGGGGTCTGCCAAGCCCACGCCCACCCGGAACTCCCGCCGGCCGGCAAGCACCACGCACAGCCCCGGTTCCCGCCTGCACCTCTCCTTCCACCCTCCTCACAAGCTGAGGCAGCTGGCTCTGGCCTTGGCCAGCCCAGAAAGGGGCTCCCACAGTGCAGCGGCGGGCTGAAGGGCTCCTCAAGTGCTGCCAAAGTGGGAGCCCAGGCAGAGGAGGCGCCGAGAGCGAGCAAGGGCTTTGAGGACTGCCAGCATGCTGTCATCTCTCACCACCACTGAAGAGTAATTATCCCCAAAGGCCTACCACCAAAGTCCTCATTTCCTCACACCGAGGCCAGTAGAATGCTTTTCCTCCAATCATGCAATTTAATCTATCAACTGAATATATACACAGAAATTAAAAGTCACACAAAAATCACAAGTTAAATGAAAAGCAAAAAAAAAATTCCACAAAAAAATCTGTAAGTGGCACCATATTAACAGACTAATAAAAGATCCAAAACTTACCTTTTTTTTTTTTTGAGACGGAGTCTCGCTCTGTCACCCAGGCTGGAGTGCAGTAGCAGGATCTCGGCTCACTGCAAGCTCCGCCTCCCACATTCATGCTATTCTCCTGCCTCAGCCTCCCAAGTAGCTAGGACTACAGGTGCCCACCACCAGGCTCAGCTAATTTTTTTTGTATTTTTAGTAGAGACAGGGTTTCACTGTGTTAGCCAGGATGGTCTCAATCTCCTGATCTCATAATCTGCCCGCCTTGGCCTCCCAAAGTGCTGGGATTACAAGCGTGAGCCACCGCGCCCAGCCACTTAGCTTTTTTAAAACTAAAGCTATAGTATTTTAGAAAGTACTTGATAAATTAAGTTTATAAAAATAGGGTAAGGCCGGGCGCGGTGGGTCACACCTGTAATCCCAGCACTTTGGGAGTCCAAAGCGGGCGGATCACCTGAGGTTAGGAGTTCGAGACCAGCCTGGCCAACATGGTGAAAACCTGTCTCTACTAAAAATACAAAAATTAGATGGGCATGGTGATGGGCGCCTGTAACCCCAGCTATTCAGGAGGCTGAGGCAGAAGAATCGCTTGAACCCAGGAGCCAGAGGTTGCAGTGAGCTGAGATTGTGCCACTGCACTCCAGCCTGGGCAATAGAGACTCCGTCTCAAAAAACAAACAAACGAAAAATAGGGTAAAAATGTGCTGAAAACTAAAACTGTCTCACACTTTACTGGTAGAGTCTTCCTGCAAAATGTTTTGTCTGCAAAAATTAATGTCTTATGAAACTCTCTTCTTAGGCTGAATCACACACAACATAATTTTCAAGCCAATTCACTTTGTATTTTTCTTCATGCTTGCTTCACAGGTGCAGGGATATTAGCAGAAGCCTTTTCCAGGTACATCAAGTTCTTTTGAGGAATTTCTGAAGGCTTTTGTGCTCCCTGTTGATGTTGTCCAGCACCTGCCTTTGTTTTATCAAATGTTTCTTGACCAGAGCATCTTTCCATTATAATTTATTCCTTATTGCCAACATATCCTTTTGGATGCCTTGCTCTGGTTTTCTGAAAGATAACTGCAATATTTTTTGGTAGGAAAATAAGTTCTGTCTTGCAATACCCAGAAACTTCTGGATACACTTCTCAACACCAGTTTGAATTTCTCCCTAATTAGTGCCATTAACAGTCATAAAAAATTAGTCCAAGACAAGTGATATCATCTTAAGCAAATGACAGGGAAGTTGCACACCTCACTGATGTTTCATATTCCATTGAAAAAAGTTTAGTCAGTGGAGTAGCCACTCCTGCAGCATGGGAGGCTAGGTAGTGATGTGCCTAGCTAGAAGTTTATTATCATGGAAGAGAGAACAGATTTAGGGGTACAACTAGTGATCTTCTACAAATCCTAATGTTCAATAACATAACTTTTGACGAGTATACAAGATGAAATGCAAAAGTTTTTTTATGGTAAAATGCCTATGTTACTGAATCAAAGTAACAGAAAAGATGCAAAATTAGAATCAGGAGTAGAGACTTTCTCTCTCTCTCTCTCTCTCCTCTTCTGCACATACAGCAGAAAGTCTATGTGAGCACACAGCAAGGTAGCTAGCTGCACACCAGGAGGAGAACCCTCACAGAACCCAACCATGGTACCCTGATCTCAGACTTCCAGCCTCCAGAATAGTGAGAAAGTACATTTATGTTGTTTCAGCCACCCAGTGTATTTTGTTATACAGCCAAACCTGACAAATATGGGTTTGTCTCTATATTTTCTTCTGTAGATTTTAACTACCATTTTTAAAAGCAAAAGTGTATTAGTAGAAGCTAGATAGTATTTACCATGTAGAAGAGATATTATGCAGAAAAACTTCATACAAACATATTTGAAAGTCTTAATGCTGTTATATAAAACAAATTAAATTTCTACACAAATACAAGAAACCAAAAGAAATGTAATTCCACATCAACTGTTATCCAAATATCTAGAACAGCATTGTCCAAAAGAACTTTCTACAATTATAGACATATTCTGTATCTATGCTTTCAATAGGGTAGTCACAAACTATGTGTGGTGGCTGAGTTCTTGCAATGTGGTTAGTGCAGCTATAGAATGAATTTTTTTTGAGAGTCCAGCTCTGTTGCTCAGGCTGGAGTGCAGTGGTGTGATTTCAGCTCACTGCAACCACTGCCTCCCAGGCTCATGTGATCCTCTCACTTCAGCCTCCCAAGTAGCTGGGACCACAGGTGCACACCACTACACCCAGCTAATTTGTTGTACTTTTGGTAGAGATGGGGCTTCACCATGTTGCCCAGGCTGGTCTCAAACTCCTGACCTCAAGCAATCTGACCATTTTGGTCCCCGCCAAGCGCTGGGATTACAGGCGTGAGCCACCACACCCAGCTGAAACCGATTTTTAAATTTAAGTTTAAATATAATTAAACACATGTAGCTAGTGACTACCACATTGGATGGCACAGATATAGAAGATACAACTTTGTACAATTTTTTCCAGCACCAGATCCAGTCAAAATTCGCAAGTTTTACTGCAGTATATCAGCTCATCCGTTCAATGATCTTTAGGGAAAATGGAGGAGGGAATATATAACCCACTGAAACTTCAGCAGTACATGTCCATGTTTCTCTAACATAAAACATCCATACCCTTCATCAGGATTTCCCAAACTGGACACTGTTGAAATTTTATTTATTTATTTATTTATTTATTTATTTATTTATTTATTTATTATTTTTTAGAGATAGGGTCTTGCTTTGTTACCCAGGCAGGAGTGCAGTGGGGCAATCACGCATCTCAACTCCTGCAGCCTTAAACTCCTAGGCTCGAGGGATCTTCCCACCTCAGCCCCCCAAGTAGCTGGGACTATAGGTGCACACCACCATGCCCAGCTAATTTTTAAAAATATTATGTAGAGACAACGTCATCACATTGCCCAGGCTGGTCTCGAACTCCTGAGCTCAAGCGATCCTCCTGCCTTGACCTCCCAAAGTGCTGGGACAGGCATAAGCCACAACACTCTGCCACTATTGAAATTTTAGACTGGATCATTCTTTGTTGTGAAGGGGAAATATCTGTCCTGTGCATTGTTGAAGGTTTAGCAGTATCCCTGGCCTCTATACGCTAGATACTAGTAGCACTCCTCCTGACCACTTGACAGTCAAAAATGTTTTTGGACATTGTCAGATGACCCGGTAAGAGGGGAGAAAAATCACTCTCCATTAAGAAACACTGCCTTACATGATCTCACTCACACATGACTTCCTTTTTTATTTAAAATAACACCACCTTCCAAACCTAACTCGATTGTAAATACCATCTATATGCTGATCACTCCCAAATATATATCTCTCCAACCCTGACTTTTTTTTTTCTTTTTTCTTTTTTCTTTTTTTTTTAAACTTTTAAGTTCGGGGTACATGTGCAGGATTTGCAGATTTGTTATATAGGTAAACATGTGTCATGGGGTTTCATTGTACAGATTATTTCATCACCCAGGTATTAAGCCTAGTATCCATTAGTTCTGTTGTTCCTGATCCTCTGCCTCTTCCCACCTTCCACTCTCCAATAGGCCCCAGTGTATGCTGTTCCCCTCTATGTGTCCATGTATTCTCATCATTTAACTCTCACTTAGGAGGACATGCCGTATTTGGTTTTTTGTTCCTGTGTTAGTTTGCTAAGGATAACAGCCTCCAGCTCCATCTGTTTCCCTGCAAAGGACATGATCTCATTCTTTTTTATGGTTGCATAGTATTCTATGGTTTATATGTACCACATTTTTTTTTATCCAGTCTATTAGGTTGATTCCATGTCTTTGCTATTGTGAATAGTGCTGCAATGAACATATGCGTGCATGTGTCTTTATGATAGAATGATTTATATTCCTTTGGTTATATATCCAGTAATGGGATTGCTGCATCAAATGGTATTTCTGTCTTTAGGTCTTTGAGGAATCACCACAGTCTTCCACAATGATTGAACTAATTTATACTCCGACCAGCAGTGTATAAGCATTCCTTTTTCTCTACAACCTTGCCAGCCACCTGTTTCCTTCTCCTAGATAAACTCCACCAAAGCAAGAACTTATATTGTTCACAGCTGATCCTATAGCACCTAGAAGAGGATCTAGTAAATATTAAATATTTGTTGATTAAATAAAGTAAATCACTTTTCCTTGCATCTAAGCATAATTTAGGAAAGTAATAACTTAAAAAATCAAATTCTATCCTACCATGAAACATGCTTTCTCCTGTAGATTCTTCTGTTATTATAGAAGTTGAGTATTCCTTACCCAAAATCTTAGGACAAGAAGTGTTTCAGGTTTGGGATTTTTTTTTTTTTTTTTTTTTTTGGTGTATCTGTGGCCAGGTGCAGTGGTTCACGCCTGTAATCCCACCACTTGGGGAGGCCAAGGAGAGAGGATCGCTTGAGCCCAGGAGTTTGATACCAGCCTGGGCAAGATGGTGAGACCCTGTAATTCCAGCTACTCAGGAGGCTGAGGTGGAAGGATCACTTGAGCCTAGGAGTTCGAGGCAGCAGTGAACTATGATCAACTCTACTGTACTCCAGCCTGGGTGACAGAAAGAGACCCTGTCTCTATTTTTTTAAAGGAATATTTGCATATACATAATGATATATTTTGAGGATGGGCTCCAAGTCTATATGTGAAATACATTTATGTTTCTTATATACTTGATACACATAGCTTGAAGGTAACTTCATACAATATTTAAAAGTATTTTGTGCATGAAACAAAATCTGTGTACACTAAACTATCAGAAAGCAAAGATATCATTCTATCAGTCACCCATGTGGACAATCTGTTTTTGATTGGCATCACTGTCATTCCTGATTCTGAATTTATATGCTACTGATAAGCAACCATTTTCTTACACTTATTTGCATGTAAGTACTTAACAGTAAAAAAAAAAAAAAAAAAAAAAAAGGGACATATCATTAAGATACTGAAAAAGGCCGGGTATGGTGGCTCACGCCTGTAATTCCAGCACTTTGGGAGGCCGAGGTGGGCAGATCACAAGGTCAGGAGATCGAAACCATCCTGGCTAACACAGTGAAACCCCATCTCTACTAAAAAAAAAATACAAAAAAATTAGCCGGCTGTGGTGGCAGGTGCCTGTAGTCCCAGCTACTCGGGAGGCTTCTGGAGGCTGAAGCAGGAGAATGGTGTGAATCCTGGAGGCGGAGCTTGCAGTGAGCCGAGATCGCGCCATTGCACTCCAGACTGGGAGAGAGAGTGAGACTCCGTCTCAAAAAAAAAAAAAAGACACTGAAAAAAACAATGTGTTGGAGGTAAGTAAGCAGCACAGTAGCATCACCAGAATGCCTATATCATCCATTAAACAACAACATCAACAAACAATGGCAGGCTTTCAGTCTCCACTTACAATGCTGTACAGGTGAGCCTTGAAAAAAAAACACAGATTTAAACTGTGCGGGTCCACTTATATGCAGATTTTCTTCCATATATGCCACCCCTGAGATAGCAAGAACAATCTTTCCTCTTCCTCTTCCTCATTCTTTGCCCACTTAATATGAAGATGACAAGGATGAAGACCTTAATGATGATCCACTTTCACTTAATAAGTAGTAAATATATTTTCTCTTCCTTATGATTTTCTTTATAAAATTTTCTTTGCTCTAGCTTACTCTATTGTAAGAACACAGCATATAATACATATGACATGTAAAATATATGTTAATCGACTGTTTTTGTTATTGGCAGTGGTTCCAGTCAACGGTAGGCTATTAGTATATAAATTCTGGGGGAGTCAGTTATATGTGGATTTTTTTTTTAATTGTGTAGGAGGTCAGTGCCCCAACCCCTGCGTTGCTCAAGAGTCAACTCTATTTTGATTAAAAGGTTGCTGTACACTGTATTTTATATTTTTAGATGGGAAGAAACATCAGAAACTGCTGAGGGACCAGGAAATGAGTTCTCAAGGGATAAGAAGGCATTCTGCTGGATGACTTTTTAAAATACTTCCTCCGGAGTCATCTGACTCATTAACAATAGTTTTTGTCTTAAAAGTCTCTGATTTTATAAACTGATATGATTATTGTTCTGTGATGAATGCATGCTACTCTAGTCCTTTTTTGTTTGTTTATTTGTTTTGTTGTTGTTTGTTTTGAGACACAGTCTTGCTCTCTTGCCCAGGCTGGAGTGCAGTGGTGCGAGTTTGGCTCACTGCAACCACTGTCTCCCAAGTTTAAGTGATTCTCCTGCCTTAGCCTCCCAAGTACTGGAATTACAGGCGTGTGCCATCATGCCCAGATAATTTTTGTATTTTTAGTGGAGACGGAGTTTCACCATGTTGGCCAGGCTGGTCTTGAACTCCTGACCTCAAATGATTCACCCACCTCTGCCTCCCAAAGTGCTAGGACTACAGACGTAAGCCACCATGCCCAGCCTTGCTCTAGTCTTTTGATAAGTCCATCACACATTTTCACCATGTTATCTATAGGCAGTTTTTCTGCAGTATAACAACGTCATCTTCATTGTCATGTTGGAGCTCAAAAAGATTTGGATTTTGGAGCATTTTGGAATTCAGATTTTTTGATTAGGGATTTTCTGATTAGGGATGCTCAATCTGTAATTGAAAAAAGACAATTGATAATCCCCCAAAACTTCTCAGAAAGCAATTTCTTATCCAACATTTTATTTTAGATATTTTAGACATTTTATCCAAATCACTGCTGTTTCCAGTGAGAACTTTTGCTGTAAATTACACAGAATACATCTAACATGTTTACTTTTAAGTAGAATAAAGTCATACAAATCTGACTGTCTTGATAAAAATTACAAACCTAGAGGAGGTCTCCTTCACTGGAATACATACAAAATGAATCATATTGTTACCAAAACACCATGGGTTCAGTCTAGGTCCTGCTGTTCACCACACAGAAAGCCAATCACTGAGACAACAATTATTGCCAAGGAAGAAAGTTTTCATCCAGTGCTGCAGTGGAAGAGATGGGAGATCAGTCTCAAATCCATCTCCCTTACCAATACAATTAGGAGTTTATATAGCAGGAAATAAATGTAACAGTGTGTTAGAAAACAGAAACTAGAAAGGGGTAAAGATACAAAATGAAGGGTCTGGCTTCTCACTGTCTGCATGTGGGGATCTGGTTTCAGTTCTTCGATACTTTTTGAGAGATCTGGGGGTCTTTCTTCCTGAGGAAGGAACTCAGAGAAAAACAAATACATGTTTCAAGCTTTAAGACCAGAAGGACCAGTTTCTACATTTATCCAAAAAAAAAAATCTATTGGGCTATTGGATTGGTCTCAATCCCTGCATTCTATTTATCAGTTCCTTTATTATGGGGAATCTGGTCATTGATCTTTCTGGCTGCTGAGGAGGGGAACTGTGGCTCCATATCTTGGGTGACCACATGGCCAGCTAGGAATCCAAGGTTAATCTAATACTATAGTTTTTTTCTGAAACACAATCTTTCTCTCTCCAGTTCCCCACTTCCACCAAAAACAAGTCACAGCAATACCAACCTACTTGCAAAATAAGCTTCTGTTACTATACTTGGCCTGGTTACCCCCACAAATACAGCAAGAATCATTGTCCATATAGGGCCTCCTAAACTGGCTTTGCTGGAACCTCTCACAAGGCCATTTCAGTCAAAATTCTGGGAAAATAACAAGTTCCTCCACCTGTGTGTCATTAGAAAAGAAAACAGGTTCTTATTAACCACATGCAAACAACCACATTGCCATGAATTAAGAATATTCACAAACAGTTTACAAATTCTGGAGAAATTAGGCAGAAAGAGAAATATGCCTCAAAGTCTGTTTACAAAAGTATATTCTACTCAGTATATTTAGGCTACAAATAGCTCAAAACAAAAAAATTTCTCCAGACTCTGAAAAAAACAAAAAGAATCAGCAATATTTCAAACAAAAAAAGCCATAAAAATTATTTCAGTCCTCCATTAGTTCAGTCCATACAGTTAACTCTTGCTCTGCTTCATAATGGGTTAGCAATCTTTATGAACATACCAGCCTTTCAATTAGTGCCCTGGAAGTTTTCTTTCTAATGTAATGGCACAATCTCCAAAGTTATCAGAAACCTGCACTCAGAGTCCTTTCATGAACTCCCCCAAAGAAGCAAGCCCTGGACTGTAGCTAATTATAAGTCACTTTTTGAGAAGGATCAAAGCAAAACAACAATTGTAGATGGCAAAACTTAGCATGGCCATAAAGACACAGTTGACAAGATAATTTGGTTATTTCCATGGCGTACAACAATTTAATAATCATAATTATTACTGACAACATATATTAAGACATACCAGAATTTTAGGAGTCTCATACAATCCTGGAATACATTGGCAACACATCTAGAAATATGACCCAAAGGAAGCTAACTATCACCTCAGATTTGACAATGCTTCCTGAATAATTCTAACAGAACAAATAAGCCTAATATATCTCTCTTGGAGAGAGACAGGTGACTTCAGGGAACCTAATATCCAAAAAAGTTTGTTTAAGGTCAAAAAGATTGAATTTAAAACCTGAAATTCCACTCTTGGAGTCTGTCAAAGGTTTAAGACACTTCATATCACAAAATAGGATCATAGGTCATTATGAAATAGTCATTCATCTAGCTGAAATGATAAAACAAAAATATTTACTCTTTGATAGACAGACTCAGTTTCCCAAACAATAACACCTAATAAACTCAACACGAAGCCAACTAAATGTGTCTCCCCCCGTCCATTTTTTTTCCTGCAGTTTACTTAAAAGGTAAACACAAATCTCTTAAGATCTCTTACGTGAAAATGTTGTTTAAAAGAGAAAACCAAATTTTACATTTGTATGGTATATTATTAATACTAAAGCTGATTTAAATAAAACCTTATAAACAAATCTATCTAATTTTAATCAGTTTGACCATAAAGTAAGATTTCCATAAACTTTTTTTTTTTTTTTGAGACAGAGTCTTGCTCTGTCACCCAGGCTGGAGTGCAATGGTGCAATCTCGGCTCACTGCAAGCTCTGCCTCCCGGGTTGATGCCATTCTCCTGCCTCAGCCTCCCAAGTAGCTGGGACTACAGGCGCCCGCCACAGCACCTGGGTAATTTTTTGTATTTTTAGTAGAGACAGGGTTTCACCAGGGTCTCGATCTCCTGACCTCGTGATCCGCCCGCCTTGGCCTTCCAAAGTGCTGGGATTACAGGCGTGAGCCACCGCGCCTGGCCTCCATAAACTTTTTATAACCTTTTACAATTTTTTATTAAATAACTGATTAATGCTCCAAGAAAACCCTGTTATTCTGACACACAGTCCCAGATGCTGGCTTGCATCAGTATGCTTTTGATATTAATGTTTAATTTACAGAAACACTCTAATCTTATTATTCAAAATCAGCACTTACAATCTCACGCGCCCACCTCTTCCACTATAGTCCCTGGGCCTAGAGGGATTGCTTAGTTTTAATTTCCAGCCCTGTGTCTCATGAAAGCAGTTAATTTTGATTGTTGCCTTCTCTTGCATCTGAAGACGATAGTTCAATTGGTGTCAATGCTCAAAATTTAAAGGGGTAAGTGCCTTCTTCAGATCCAGGAGTCAAAGCCCTTAACAGCACAAGCATTAGTTAACAGGATATTTATACTGCAGAAATTCCTATCACTCTCTCTAACATGTTACAAATTAAAACACTATAATTTGGTGTATAGGAGTTACTGCCTGCACCACTTCCAACCACCGTATTAAAGTAGTTAGATTACTCATGGCATGTGTCTAATTGCTAGCATTCTGTGATAGATCTATGACCAAAAGCATCAAAAAGTGATAGGTCCTATGCCAACTCACCAAAGTAAAACAGCTAACCTTTCTCTCCATCATTAAAAATAAAAAATAAAAATAAAAAGCAAATGCAAATATCAGTTCTGGAAACTCAGTATGAAGATAAATTATCTCCCTTCCCTTAAATTCTGTACTACAAAACAGGCACAAAGTAAGAACAAGCACACAATAATTTATTTTCAGCTATTTCAACGAGCATCATCATGCATTTCCAAGATTGGTTTGTAGATATAGTACTAACAACTGATTAGGTAACTTTCACCACTAAAATCTTCAAACCAATTTAACATTTGTACATATTTTATTTTCAAGTACACACATGAAGCCCTAACAGTGATAAAAAGCTTAGGATCAAAGATCACTAGAAAGTCTCCCCTTAAAAAAAAAATTACTACTTAATTGAAGTGACTGTCACTTAATTTTAATAATGGTTAATGCAACTAAAGCAATTACAGAGAAATCCTGGTCAATGGAATTCTTTAAGAACAAGGCTGGCTGGGCACAGTGGCTCATGCCTGTAATTCCAACACTTTGGGAGGCAGAGGCGGGCAGATCACCTGAGATGTGGAGTTCAAGACTAGCCTGACCAACATGGTGACACCCTGTCTCTACTAAGAATACAAAATTAGCCAGGCATGGTGGTGCATGCCTGTAATCCCAGCTACTTGGGAGGCTGAGGCAGGAGAATCACTTGAACCCGGGAGATGGAGGTTGCAGTGAGCCGAGATTGAGAGGTGATAGCGTGCTGGCAGCCCTTGCTCACTCTTGGCGCCTCCTCAGCCTCGGCGCCCATTCTGGCCATGCTTGAGGAGCCCTTCAGCCCACCGCTGCACTGTGGGGAGCCCCTTTCTGGGCTGGCCAAGGCCAGAGCTGGCTCCCTCAGCTTGCGGGGAGGTGTGGAAGGAGAGGCATGGGCGGGAACCAGGGCTGCGCAAGCGGGGCTTGCAGGCCAGTGCGAGTTCTGGGTGGGCGTGGGCTCGGCGGGCCCCACACTCGGAGTGGCCTGCCGGCCCCACCAGCCCCGGGCAGTGAGGGGCTTAGCACCTGGGCCAGCAGCTGCTGCTGCACTCAATTTCTCGCCGGGCCTCAGCTGCCTTCCCGTGGGGCAGGGCTCAGGACCTGCAGCCCACCATGCCTGAGCCTTCCCCCCTTCACCCCCTGCTGTGGGCTCCTGCACAGCCCGAGCCTCCCCAACGAGCACCGTCCCCTGCTCCACAGCCACCGGTCCCATCGACCACCCAAGGGCTGAGGAGTGCAGGTGCACAGCAGGGGACTGGCAGGCAGCTCCACCTGCAGCCCGGGTGCAGGATCCACTGGGTGAAGCCAGCTGGGCTCCTGAGTCTGGTGGGGACTTGGAGAATTTTTATGTCTAGCTAAGGGATTGTAAATACACCAATCGGCACTCTGTATCTAGCTCAAGGTTTGTAAGCACACCAATCAGCACCCTGTGTCTAGCTCAGGGTTTGTGAATGCACCAATCGACACTCTGCATCTGGCTAATCTAGCGGGGACGTGGAGAACTTTTGTGCCTAGCTCAGGGATTGTAAACACACCAATCAGCACCCTCTCAAAACAGACCAATCAGCTCTCTGTAAAACAGACCAATCGGCTTGCTGTAAAATGGACCAATCAGCAGGATGTGGGTGGGGCCAGATAAGAGAATAAAAGCAGGCTGCTTGAGCTAGCAGCGGCAACCCACTTGGGACCCCTTCCACACCATGGAAGCTTTGTTCTTTCGCTCTTTTCAATAAATCTTGCTACTGCTCGCTCTTTGGGTCCACACTGCCTTTATGAGCTGTAACACTCACCGCCAAGGTCTGCAGCTTCACTTTTGAAGCCAGCGAGACCACGAACCCACTGGGAGGAACGAAGAACTCCAGATGTGCCGCTTTAAGAGCTGTAACACTCACCGTGAAGGTCTGCAGGTTCACTCCTGCAGCCAGCGAGACGAGACCATGAACCCACCAGAAGGAAGAAACTCCGAACACATCCGACCATCAGAAAGAACAAACTCCAGACACGCCGCCTTTAAGAACTGTAACGCTCACTGTGAGGGTCTGCAGCTTCATTCTTGAAGTCAGTGAGACCAAGAACCCACCAATTCCGGACACAAGATCACGACATTGCACTCTAGCCTGGGTGACAGAGTGAGACTCCGTCTCCAAAAAAAAAGAACAAGGCTAATCTTTCCTGAACATTAAAACTTTGCACCCATATCACAGTTTGTCCTCATGACCTAAAGGAAAAGATCTGAAATCAATTCAAATTATTAAGTGAATTGAATTTCTTTGGAAACAAACACCATTTAGAAAATCTTATTCTCATCTACTTTTCCAAATAAGATATATAATGTACTATTTCTGCTTAGAACTTATAAAAGTCTTTTATGTAATTTTTTTCACCAGGAACCCTAAAGCTCTCATAGCTCTTGGGAGCATCAGAAGTAGCAAAACCAATCAAATTTCAAATACCTGGTATCCTCTATCAATTTTTAGAGGCTTGATAATGGTAGCTTAGGAATTTTTGGATAAATAGAGCAGATAGTGAATTCTTGGAAATCCATAGGAAACAAAATGACTATTCATAGAACCAAATAAAAGCCTTCCGTTAGAAACTAAAAAAAATCAATGGTGTTTTATGTGTTTATATAAGCAAAATGCAAAGGAGAAAAAACAGCAAATAAATGAAAATTAGAAGAAAAAAAAACAAAGAGGAAACCACTCCCCAATTTTTCTCTTACTTGGTTTACCCAGGAGGCTATAGTATTGCCCAGAGCCTACAAAAACAAATGATGAATATTTTGTTCCTGGTACACAATTTAATGTCTTTAAGTCCACCAATACCATTATGTATTTTTTGCAATTGAGAAATTCACTTTAGGTACATGACCAGTAAGTACTTTAGTGCTGAAACTGTCTATGCAGAATAGCAAAAATAGTGTGAAGCAATGCAAGCATATATGTGAAATTTGGCTCCATGCTAACTAAATCTGGCTTCATGCTTAACTTTATTAAAAAAGAATGGCCAAACTGCCAATGTATTTCTTTACAATATTTTCTTATTTTACTTTCTTCGAGATTAAGAACTTTATGAACAGTGTTAATTCACTGAATTTCTCCAATTTTCTATCAGCTTTTAAAGAATATTTTACTATCTAAGCTTTTTCAACTTTTTTTTTTTAAATAACCAGTCATTTTACTTTAGGACAAAAATTTACCTTACAATTTACCATCCTTTCTCATATGAAAGTATTCTCTTTTCTTTATACCCTTCCTTACCAAAAACACATCTTCATATCTGTAACTTTCTTTTTTTTCTTTTTTTTTTGAGAGGGAGTCTCACTCTGTAGCCCAGGCTGGAGTGCAGTGGCGTGATCTCGGCTCACTGCAAGCTCCGCCTCCCGGGTTCACGCTGTTCTCCTGCCTCAGCCTCCCAAGTAGCTGAGACTCCAGGCACCCGCCACCATGCCTGGCTAATTTTTTGTATTTTTAGTACAGACGGGGTTTCACCGTGTTAGCCAGGATGGTCTTGATCTCCTGTCCTCGTGATCTGCCCCCCTCGGCCTCCCAAAGTGCTGGGATTACAGGCGTGAGCCACCGCGCCCGGCCCATATCTGTAACTTTCTTCACATCACTCTCCCCTACCTACTGATTCCTTACTACTTTGTTTCACGAATAACCTTTTCAAGTCCATATTTTGAATTAAACTTTAGATAACTTCTGAATTAAATAAAAATTATTATTTTTCTCACTAAGAACACCTCTTTTTGGTACATTTTATATACAGAATAATATATTAACCATAATTCTTATCCCTAGACCTTAAATTTTAGCGAAAACCTAGGAAGCAAAAAATCCTGAGCTGCCTATCAGATATGATCATTTTATAGATGAAAACCATTCCACAATTTTTACAAATATGTTTCTCCATATCATAACCTTTTAATTGGAAATGATATCTAATGAGCATTAAAAACCATTTTAAGATTTTAAATTACACAAAAAATTCACCTACAACATTTATCCCATTTACAAGTACTCAATTCTTCCATTTTTAACAGTTTAGATGACTTCTGAAAACTGAGATATTAGTCGCAGCTAATCATCATTTAAAGGTATTTCCTTGTCAGCCTTTGTTTTGTTTTATTTTATTTTATTTTATTTATTTATTTATTTTGAGACAGAGTCTTGCTGTGTCACCCAGGCTGGAGTACAGTGGCATGATTGCAGCTCATTGCAACCTCCGCCTCCTGGGTTCAAGTGATTCTCCTGCCTCAGCCTCCCGAGTAGCTGGGATTACAGGTGTGCACCACCATGCCCAGCTAATTTTTATATTTTTAGTAGCGACAGGGTTTCACCATGTTGGCCAGGCTGGTGTCGAACTCCTGACCTCAGATAATCCATCCTCCTCAGCCTCCCAAAGTGCAGGGATTACAGGCTTGAGCCACCGCACACGGCCTGTTTTATTTTATTTTATCTTTTTACAGCCGTGAACATCAGGTAATCACATAAGAACTTTAAATACATAGGTATTTTTGCCAGTAACTCAGAAGATTCAGCTAACAACATTAGTCTCATTTGTCAAAGCATACAAACCAAGATCATTTTGTTTTGCCTGGGTTTATAGTTTTATAACCGTCTATGCCAAAGCCTGATACCTCAAAATATCTAGCAGAGACAAAGACAAAATCCAGACATAAATGTATGCTGACAATTCTGAAGGATTTCTATTTTTATATTATCAATAATTTTAAAGCCAGCTTGTTTATTAAAGGTTTACGTAAGTCACATGAACTTGAAAAATACTTTGGGCTTAATTTATTAAGTGCTCTTTTATTTATAAGCCAATTTAGTAGACACAACATACAATAAATGTACATACATAAACACATCTAGACATGAATACACACACATAAGCAAAGATCCAATAGCTTTTACCTCAGAACTCTAGCCATGAAATAGCAATACAAACTCACCAGTTTACATGGCTATGCTTTGTTTCTCTCAAAAGGTAATCCAGTGTATTAGTCCGTTTTCATGCTGCTGATAAGGTTTAACTGTAAGTCCAATTAAACCTCTTTTTCTTCCCATCCAAGTCTCGGATAGGAAGAAAAACAGGTTTAATTGGACTTACAGTTTCATATGGTTGGGGAGGCCTCACAATCACGGCAGGAGGCGAAAAGCACTTCTTACATGGCAGTGGCAAGAGAAAATGAGGCAGATGCAGAAACGGAAAGCCCCGATAAAACCATCAGATCTCATGAGACTTATTCACTATCATGAGCACAGTATGGGGGAAACTGCCCCCATGATTCAAACTATCTCCCACTGGGTCCCTCACACAACATGTGGGAATTATGGGAGTAAAATTCAAGATGAGATTTGGGTGGGGACACAGCCAAGCCATGTCATCCAGTGAACGCTGTGAACCAAAATTTTGGGTAAAGCAGTTTCCATGGCAGCTTGATTTTTAAAGGCCAAACCTCCCAGACTCCAAGGAACACTGAGGCCAAACAGCAGCACCACAGGACAACACCACATACTAACCAGGCCAGACCCGGCTTAGAACAGCAGCACAAAAACCTGAATATATGGAACTCCATTTCACTTGCCCATTCAACAGCAAACTCCAGATTCCAAACAATATTGGGGCCAAACAATATTATAAAAGTATATTAGTTTATCAAATTCAAATTTCCCATGACTATATTGACACACACACAAAAGAATCAACAAAACACAATCCAACCGCTGCAGCCACAAACTAGCTCCAACAGTGTCCTCTCTCAATAGGATGGGTTTGGTCAACCTACAAATAAAAATTCCTTTGGAATTTCTCAAATTAAGAGGAGCCAGTCCCTCTGTCTCACATCCACAAAAGACACTCACACAACAATTGTGACATACACAACAATTACAAACAAGTCTGGATGCACACACAACAATTACAAAAAAGCCCCCTAGAGGGTCCAAACTGAAACAAGGTGCTTCACTCTCTTACACAATTGGGCTTCTTCATCCTGCAGATGGAAATTCCTTTAAAAATTTCCCAAATTGAGAGGAGCAGATCCTGCTGTCTGGGCCCACAAAGGACACTCACCTATTCATATGCATATGTCAGATTTCAAAGACTGTTCTTTGTAGGCAATCAGGCACATACTTGGGGCTGGCAGCCACAAGGCCATAGACAGACCAGAACTTAACCTCCAGCCAAAATTGGGCGGTCAGCTGATTAGGAGGTTTTCCAAGACTTCCTGGCCCCATAGCAGCTGAGCAATGCATTCCAGGTCAGGGAATGAAATCTGTTATTGAACAGGGGTTCAATCTAGGTCCTGATGCTCACCTCACAGAAAGCCAGTCACTGAGATGATTATTGCCAAGGTTCAAGAAGGCTTTCCCAAGGAAGAAAGCTTTCAGCAGTCACTGTCCAGGGAGATGGGAGATCAGTCTCAAATCTATATTCCTGACCCACTAAAATTAGGGCTTTATGTAGCAGGGAAGAAATGTAACAATGTGTTGGAAAACAGAAACTAGGGAGGGGTAATGAAACAAAATGAGGGGTCTGGATTCTAATTGCCTGCATGTGGTGATCTGGTGAGTTTCAGTTCTTTGATACTTTTTAAGTGGCCTGGAGATCTTCTCGGGAGGAAGGAACTCAGACAAACGAAATATAACTTTCAAGTTTTAAGACCAGAGGGTCAGTTTCTATGTTTATCCAAAAGAACTATTTATGGCAGAAGTCCCCAGCCCTGGAGTGGCAGGCTGGTACTGGTCCATGGCCTCTTAGGAATTGGGCCTGTGCACAGCAGGAGGTGAGCTGCAGGCAAGTGAGCATTATTACCACCTGAGCTCCGCCTCCTGTCAGATCTGTGGCAGCACTGGATTCTCACAGGAGCCCGATCCCTATTGTGAACTGTGCATGTGAGGGATCTAGGTTGCGTGCTCCTTATGAGAATGTAACTAATGCCTGATGATCTGAGGTGGAACAGTTTCATCCCAAAACCATGCCCCTCCCCAGCCTCCTGCCCTAGTCTGTGGAAAAACTGTCTTCTACGAAACTGGTCCCTGGTGCCAAAAAGGTTGGAGACCGCTGGTCTATGGGACTACTGGATCAGTTTCAATATCCCCCTCTCATCCCACCTCCATTTGCTCTCCCAATTTGTGTCCCTTCTTTTCTTACCTTCTTTGTGCCATTCCTTAGGCTTTTCCACTTAGAATTTGTGCTTTTACAAGAAACATAAAAATATCATTAGCACCCATTGTGGGTATTTTTAGACCTCCTTAAAATATTTCTGGAATTAAACCACTTAAATAACTTTTTTTTTTTTTTTAAACAGAGTCTCACTCTGTTGCCCAGGCTGGAGTGCAGTGGCATGATCTTGGCTCACTGCAACCTCCACCACCTCCTGGGCTCAAGTGATCCTCCCACCTCAGCCTCCCGAGTAGCTGGCACTGCTGGTACGTACCACCACACCTGGCTAATTTTTTGTATTTTTAAAAGAGACGGGGTTTCACTATGTTGGCCAGGCTTGTCTCGAACTCCTGACTTCAAGTGATCCACCTGCCTTGGCCTCCCAAAGTGCTGGGATTACAGGCGTGATCCACCGTGCCTGGCTAAAAATATTTGTTATTTAGATAACAAATATTTTGAATAGAAGATCACTGTAATTAGTATTTCACTGTAATAAGTTTTCATATCTTTTGGCTAAAGGAAGTTGTGAGGTGTTTTTTGGAATTTAAATCTAAAATTCTTTCTACTTGCCTTCCAATTCAAAATTTACTCATCTCTTAAAATGAACCCTAAATAATACTGTAATGTATTCTCTGAAGCTGGAGGTGGGAAAACCCAAGAATACCAGCTAAAGGACGAACTAATAAAAAATGAGGCCTATACTTGGCCTATCTAAAAAAGATTAAGCCAGAGGCATGATAAATGGTTAAAGTAAGACCCTCTAGGACTTAGCAAAATTAGGGAGTTCTTTTCTCTCCAGGGTAGACCACCCTTACATTTTTTTCCACCAAGACTATTTTATTGCAATATCTAAGATAGTACTGAATATTTTGTATTCAATTTTTCATTTAGTTATTTGAAAAGTATTTATTGGTCAGCTCCTATGTGACACAGCCTTTTCTACTAAACACTGGAGTTACAGAGGTGACAAGTAGCTGACAATCTAGCTTATTTGGGTAGGTCTTAGTACAGACTGATTCAGTTCCAGGCTGTCATTGGAAAATAGATTGGACTACCCCATTGAGAGTCACCTGGAAGAATACTTCAGAAGAATAAATGTTCTGGAGCTATAAGGTTCTCTCAAGGGTTAGTTGCATAGGAGAGTTCTGCTGAGTGGTAGCCTCCTTTCCTCCACTGCCCAATGCACGTCTATCTGTCTTTCCCCCTGACACCCCTGATACTTGTAAGGAAACAGCTTGGACCTCCAAGATATCTCTGGGAACGTACTGCAGTAACAGAGACCTTTTCTATTTAGAAAGGTTTCCTCCATGTGTGGATATTCCTCAGGGACCCAAAGCCTCATACAATCCCCAGAGAAAACCATTCCTGAGATTTATTGTGCTATAGGTCCCCCTAGAATTACCACATACGTAGGAGCTGGCCCAGAAGGAGTTGTGTTACTGAAGACTTAAGTTGCTTCTAAAAGGAAGGTCACCTCTTCTCTGCTCCATCTGGGGTCTCCTCTATACTCTTCTCCACTTTTGATTGTAATAAAACCATTAGTACAGTTGTGCCAATTATTAGTTTTTTCCTGGAGGTACTTCCCCATCACCCAGAAAGGAGAGAGCCTGATTTTTACTTCTCTCTCCCTGTGGGGATCCCAGGGAGATCCAGGACATCTAACCTTCTATCAAGGACGTGTGCTACAGACCCCGTGGAGTCTCTCATCAGCTTGGCCAACGAGAATCTGGCATTTACTGGGGAAGAAACCTACCTTCCTTTGCTCAGCCTGGCATTGGTTATGGCCTACTTCTGCCTCTGGGTCAGCCCCAGAAGAAAATAGGTTTTTGGTTTCTCTGCCATTTCCCAGTCCACCCTTCAACAACATGAGTATGTATGTTGACAGTTCTATGGTCAGAAGGAGGCTGTGAATGCTTGTTAATTTTTACACCATAATCTCCATTTCGACAGATGTTCCCGAAGTTCCATGTTTGCATTTTTAAAGCCTGGAAGATATATTTATTTCAACCCTTCTTTTTGCTTGCCTTTGTACAGTCATCCTGGGTTCCTCTTTTGTAAGTGGGCATCTCTTCTACAGATGCCATTATCAATAAACACAGTAGGATTCCTTTAGTACTTAAGGCTCATTCTTAAATTCCACATGCTCATAACAATTGAGTGGTCCATTTGTAAGGAGTTGTCTTTTAGAAATTAAGCCAAAAGAGGCTAAGCAGCTTGCACAAGAGCTCACCATGAAGAGGAACGGACCCTGAGGTGTATAAAGGGAGGAGTGAGGGGGCAAGGACCTAGTCTGTCATTCCAAGTCTAACACAACCTCTGCATTTATGTCTATCAGTGCATTGCATATTATGTGTGTTCACATGCATATGTTGTGCAAATGGCTGGAAATCTCCTTCAATTTATTTATTCAAATGAGATAGTTTATAAATAAGGGCATTCTGTGTAAGAAAAATGGGCAACACGTGTGTGAATTTCTCTATCCAATGAGTGGCACCCACCCTACCCCCAGGGAGGCCCAAAGTAATCTACCATCCCCCACCCAATCGATGACCATTTTTTTCCCCGGCCTATCTCCTAAATACATGTCGTTGCCATAATATCGTCTCCTCTCCATCTCCACTGGTTCCACTCTAGCCAAGATCACTATCATTTCTTCCAAGAATTCCTGACCCCAATGTCAGTCATTCCAATCTACCCTCCACAATGGAAATGGATTGTTTTAAAATCCAATTTTGAGCAGGTAAGACCTCTGCCTAGAGTTCTAATGTCTCCATACTGTCCTAGGCACACAGTCCAAGTTGCTCAGTCTGGCTTTGGGTGGCCCTTCTCCCTACTTCCACCTCTCTCCCTGTTATCCCTTTACTCTCCCCGGCAAAGGTTTGTTCTGTTAACTCCTCTCTGGTCCCTCGGCCTGTGATACCTCTCCCAGAGGCCTTGGGCCTGCTTGTACGCCTTGCCAGCTTCCACCTTACAGGTGCCCCAGATTTCTGCTCGAACTTCAGTGCCTCTGGATAACTTTCCCACCCATGTGCTTCTGCCCAAGGCAGCAATTGTAACATGATGTGTTGTTGGTTTGCTTGTTAGCCCTTTCCAGATTGTGAGCTCTGGATATACTAAGTCCCATGCCACAGTAAAGCCTTAACGACTCCCGACAGAGAGGCAAACGGAAGGGTAACAGTCGCACCCACCCCACCCCTGGTGGCACCAGGCCAGCCTTGGGGGATGGCCACATGTGCCCACGTGGCACAAGATCAGGCCCCAGCCTTGAGCACAGTGCAGATGCCGAGCAGGTCATGCGCATCCGGAGCACAAACACTACTATTTCCAGGGAGCTTCCAAAATGCACCCTCTTCATTCGGGACTACACTTCCCTGAAAGCTCCACAGGGCTTTGCTCTGGGTTTCAAAGCTTTTCTTTCATCCAGACTACAGAGGCCAGAATTAATCCATATCTTTCCCTTTGCCGAGGGAACCAAGGCAGCCCCCGCCGGCTTTCTCCTGGCGAAGGTGTCTGCGAAGCCTCTCTTAGACTTGACAGTTTGGCACCTCATGGTGTCAATAAAGTTCCAAAAATTGAGACTTTGGATGGAGTGGAAAAGGTAGGACTCTCCACTGCAGCTGCTGGATTCTCCTGTGTCAAGCAGAGGCAGGTGAATAGAAAGGGATAGGAGACCCTATCTATCCCCCAAGTCTTTGCCTGCTCACACTGGCTTGAAACGTTTCTTGTTCTTTAGGGGTCCCAGTGCCCTGGGAGCCACACCTTAGGCACCTGCTACACAAAATAAGGTAGGAGCAGTGCAGCCACTGGCTGTTCTCTGTCTCTAGGGAGGACACCTATATAGGGCCCCAGCCTTCCCTTTTCTCTTGCTCCTGGATCTTCAGTCCTCAAATTCCACTCAGTTCCTGCTTCAGGAACTATTTCTCCCAGTCTAGGTTCAAAGATCCCTTCCCACCAGCCTGAATCTTCAGCCTCTGCCCTCCAACTCTGATATCCTAGCTTCTTTCAGACTACTTTTCCTTTGGACTCTGGCATCATCCGTTGTTACTTCATATAGAGAATGTCACACCTCTGGTGTCCCATTAGTGTTAGTGCTACAAGTCAGCCAGGGGCTTTCAGAAGCCTACCTGGAAAGCATAGTTCTGTACTTGGGTCTCAGTTTCCCCACTTGGTATGAAGGCCCTTGGATTCAGGACAGAGAGAAAGAACGTGTGGAGATAAGTGGTCTTGGCAATTACCTTCATTGGGCCTTAGTCCTCTAATTTGTTAAATGGGAACCATTATCCTTAACCAGAAAAATCAGCCTATATTTTGTCCCCATCCATCAGATTTTCCTACCCAACAGTGCAACTTTTTCCTTCTACCAGGGGGGAAATCAAAATCCTAGGGTATATAGGAGAGGAACCACCATTACTATCCAGATACTCTGGCTAAGGTTAGTCATGCAGCTGTGTTTGGCAGTTGCAGGCATCAACCAGGGTCATGCTTGGGAGCTAGAAAAAAACCCCTGGAAGCTATTAGTGAATGGTGGTGTTCCTTATAATGGGAAGATGTGAAGATGAGGCCACTCTGGGGGAGGATGCCCTTGAGAGGAAGTGGAGGTAGGTGGACCAGTCAGGTTCCAGTTCCACAGCTATCAATTACTCTCTGGGTCTCCGTTTCGCCTTCTGTATGATATGTGTATGTAGGGGAGGGGTGTTTTGGGGAGGGGAGTGGTCATTGGCACCTTTTTCCTGTGTTAAGAGTGGTCCTACACCAAGAAAATTAGATTATTTGTTTAGGTTCTCATCAGACCTCCAGATGTCGCTATTGACTAACAGTATTCGTCTGAAGAGCTATTTAGTCTGTTTAGAACTTGAGGACATACTTACATATTTTTATACACATTAGTTAGAAAAGTGAAACAGCACCTTAGAGTAAGGGCTTCGATATAGTCAGTGCTCTAAGCACAGAAAAAAGGGGTCTATAAACTCAGCGGTTCCTAAACTTTGTTGCAAATTGGAATCTTTAAAAAATACTGACTTCTGTGTCTAGAAATTCTAAGAGGGGTTCTGTGTCAAGGATGCAATGAAAGATAGTGGTAGGAAAGCTTGGTTGGAGGTTGGAGAGAGACACAGGCCAGATAACACAGGGCCTCACAGGTCAACCTAAGAAATTTTACCTTTAATCTCAGTATCATGGGAAGCCACTGGGATGTTCTGAGTAGGCAAGTGGCACTATCTCTTTCTCCCGCTCTCTCATATTTTAAATTCTTGAACAAATATTTATTAAGTATCTACTATGTAGTTAGGTACATATAGTGAGCTTTACCTTTAAGTAGCAGTATAATTTGGAATAATTTTCTTAGTCATGTGTCTTGTGGTCTTTTAAAAAAATTCTACATATTTTAAGTATATAAATTTATCCTTATAGGTATATGCATGTAATGTTCAACATATGCATATACCTATAAACCCATCACCAAAATCAAGATACTGAACATATCCATCACTCCCAAAAGTTTATTTGTGCTCTTTTGTAATCTCTCCCCCTCTCTCACACCTCTGTCCCCCATTCGGACCCAGGCAGACTACTGCTTTCTGTTACTATAGATTAGTTTATATTTTCTAGAATTTCATATAAATGGAATTATATGGGATGAACTATTTTTTTGTCTGGCTTCTTTCACTCAGCATAATTATTTTGGGATCCATTTATGTTGTTGTGTATATCAATAGTTCATTCCTTTTTATTGCTGAGTAGTATTTCATCGTAGGGATAAAACACAATTTGTTTATCCATTCATCTGTTGATGAACATTTGGGTTGTTTCTGGTTTTTGACTATTACACATAAAGCTCCTATGAATATGTGTTCACAAGTCTTCTTAAAGACAAATGTTTTTACTTCTCTTGGGTAAATACCTAGGAGATGGAATGGTTGGATCATGTGGTAGGTGTATGGTATATGTTTAATGTTGTAATAAACTACCAAATAGTTTTTACAAGTTGTTGTACCTTTTGGATACCTACCAGTAGTGTATGAGAGCTCCAGTTGCTCCCCATACTCATCTACACTTAAGATAGTTAGTCCTTTTCATTTTAGTCATTATAAGTTTGTAGTGGTTTCTAATGGTGTTGTTGACTTGCATTTCTTAAATAATTAATGATGCTGAGCATCCATCCTTTCGTGTACTGATTTGCCACTATGTATCTTCTTTAGTGAAATATGTTTAAATCCTTTGCCCATTTAAAATTTTTTTTCCATTGTAGTGTTTAAAGACAGTTCTATGTATTTCTGGAAACAAGCAAATATTTTCTTCTGGTCTTGTCTTTTCATTCCCTTAGCAGTGTCTTTCAAGAAACAGAAATGTTCAATTTTAATGAAATCCAATACATATTATCCTATATATATATATATATATATATATATATATTTTTTTTTTTTTTTTTTTTTTTTTTTTTTTTTTTTTTTTTGGAGACGGAGTCTCGCTCTGTCACCCAGCTTGGAGTGCAGTGGCATGATCTCGGCTCACTGCAACCTTCACCTCCCAGGTTCAGGCAATTCTCCTGCCTCAGCCTCCCGAGTAGCTGGCATTACAGGCGCACACCGCCACGCCTGGGTGATTTTTTGTATTTTAGTAGAGACAAGGTTTCACCGTGTTGCCCATACTGGTCTTGGAACTTCTGAGCTCAGGCAATCCCCCTGCCTCGGCCTCCCAAAATGCTAGGATTACAGGCATGAGCCACCGCGCCTGGCCTATAATATATATCAATTTTTTTCTTCTCTGCATTGTATTTTTGGTGTTGTATCTAAGAAATTTTTGTCTTACTCAAAGTCACAAAGATTTTCTTTTATGTTTTCTTCTAAGAAGTTTTAGGTTTTACATTGTCTACTACCTATTTTGAGTTAATCTTTATATGGTGCAAAGTTTCAAAGTTTACTTTTTGCATATTGATTTTTAATTGTTTTCATGAATTACTTGAAAAGACTATCCTTATTACACTGAATTGCCTTTGTACCTTTGTCAAAAATAATGTCAATATATTTTTTATTAAATATAGTGAATTATATTGATTGATTTTTTCCAGATGTTAAGCTAACCTTGCATTTCTGGGGTAAACTCTTCTTTGTTAATATATTATTCTTCCTATATATTGTTAGATTTAATTTGATAACATTTATTTAGAATTTTTGCATCTGTTGAGGTACATTGGTTTATAGTTCTCTTTTCTTGTGATGACTTTGTTTGGCTTAGTCATCAGAGTAATGCTGGCCTCACAGAGTAAGTTGGGAAGTATTTTCTTTTTTAACATTTCCTGAAAGATTCTGTAGACTTGGTATTTTTTTTCTTCCTTAAATATTTGGTAAATGGATACATGAAATCGTCTGTAGGTATTAGTTTTCTTTTTGAGAAGGTTCTTAGCTACAAATACAATTTCTTAAATAGATACAGCTATTCAGATTATTTCTTTTTGAGTGAGCTTTGGTAGCTTGTGCTTTCAAGAGTTTTTGTCCATTTCATCTACTTTGTTCACTATATTAGCATAAAATTATTTATAATATTCCCTTATTATTGTTTTAATATCTGAAGAATCTTTAATGACGTCACCCTTCTCATTCCTGATACTTGTAATATGTATTTTTATTCTCTCTTTTTTTTCCCGATAAGTCTGGCTAGAGTTGTACCAATTTTATTGATCTTTTCAAAGAAACAGCTTTTGGTTTTATTGATTTTCTCCAGTGTTTTTCTGTATTTGGTTTCGCTGAACTCTGCTCTGAACTTTATTTCCTTTCTTTTGATTACATTGGGTTTAATTTAGTCTTCTTTACTCTAGTTTCTGTTTTTTAAATTTTTTCTTTTTAAAAATCATCTTCCCCCATTCTGAGATCACTTTCTTAAGGTAGAAGCTGAGGTAATTAATTTGAAGTCATTCATCTTTTCTAATGTAGGTGTTATGTTTTTTTGTTTTCATTTTCATTCAGTTCAAAATATTTTCTAATTTTCCATTTGGTTAATTCTTTGACCTATGGCTTCTTTAGAAGTATGCTATTTAGTTCTTACATATTTGGAGATTTTCCAGACATCTTTCTGTCATTAATTTGTAATTTCATTCATCATAGCATCTTCCTCAAATTGCATTGGTCTGGCCAGGTGCGGTGGCTCATGCCTGTAATCCCAGCACTTTGGGAGGCCGAGGCGGGCGGATCACCTGAGGTCAGGAGTTCAAGACCAGCCTGACCAACATGGAGAAACCCCATCTCTACTAAAAATACAAAACAGGGTGTGGTGGCACATGCCTGTAATCCCAGCTACTCAGGAGCCTGAGGCAGGAGAATTGCTTGAACCCAGGAGATGGAGATTGCGGTGAGCTGAGATTGTGCCATTGCACTCCATCCTGGACAACAAGATCGAAACTCTGTCTCAAACAAAAAAAAAAAATTGCATTGGTCTGATGTTTTCCTCATTATTAAATTCAGTTTATGCAATTTTAATAAAAGTATCTCAGAAATGATGCTGTATTCTTATTCCTTCCCATCACATGATACACAATTTCACTTTTTCCTATTGACTAATTCTGATTTTCTCCTTTTGGTAATTATACTGTCCTTTCCTCTGCCGGCAGTGAGAAACTTGCCTTCCACTCTTCTTAATATACTGTATTTACTGAACAGATCAACCCTCCATGCCAGGCTGCCCCTCTCACATGAACACCCTCCTCACCCTGCGCTGGCTCTGACATTCCATCCTGGGCCACTCCTTCCCCCTGCAGGGACACTCTCTGCACCCTGCTCAGGCTCTAACACCTCAAACAAGCCCACCCCACGTATGGATGCCCTCCTCGTCCTGCATGAGTGCTCTCCTCACTAATCAGGCTCTGACACACCATAGCAATGCCCTCTTCACCCACTGTGGCCTCTGACTCCCCACACTAGGCCATACCACCCCATCATGGATGCCCTTTTCATTACATTTGGCTCTGCCTCTTCACTTGCATGGCTTCCTCTTCCCCCAACTATGGTGATCTTACTTTACTCCACCTAATAGTTTAAAGATGAATTTTTTGGGTGATAGAGAAAAGGAGAGGGAAGAGAAGGTGCAGTACTTTTTAAAAAAGTCTCTGGCTATTCTATGGAGAATAGACTAGAGCGGGGCAAAGAGTACAGCAGAGAAACCAGTTAGAAGGCATTTGCTTAGGTAAGAAACAATGGTGACAGGGACTGGGATGGTAGTGGTGATAAGGTGAAAAGTGGTCAGATTCTAAAGGCAGAACAGACAGGACTTGCTGATGGATTGGATGTAGGGTGTGAGAGAAAAACATGGGTCAGCCAGGCACGGTGGCTCACGCCTGTAATCCCCGCACCTTGGGAGGCTGAGGTGGGCAGATCACCTGAGGTCAGGAGTTTGAGACTAGCCTGGCCAACATGGTGAAACCCCGTCTCTACTAAAAATACAAAAATTAGCTGGGCATGATGGCAGGTGCCTGTAATCTCAGCTACTCGAGAGGCTGAGGCAGGAGAATCGCTTGAACCCAGGAGGCAGAGGTTGCAGTGAACCAAGATCGCCCCATTGCACTCCAGCCTGGGGGACAAGAGTAAGACTGTCTCAAAAAAAAAAAAAAAAGCAAAGAAACAGGAAAAGGTGGGCCAATGATATTCCTGGGCTTTTGGCCTTTGGCCTAAGTGACTGGTGCTAGTTACCTAGTTAGGGAAGATAAGAGGTGGATGCAGGGCATGAAGGAATCAGAAGTTTAGTTTTGGACATCTTAAGTCTGAAAATGACAGAGAATAGAGATGTTAAATTGGTGACATAGTATGGATGTGTGCCCCCACCTAAATCTCATCTTGAATTGCAATCTTCAATGTTAGAGGTGGAGTCTGGTAGGAGATGATTGGACCACGGGGATGGATTTCTCATGCATGGTTTAGTACCCTCCCCTTGGTACTGTCCTCGTGACAGGGAGTGACTTCTTGAGAGATCTGGCTGTTTAAAAGTGTGTGGCACCTCTCTCCTCTCTCTCTTTTTTTCTGCTTGGGCCATGTGATATGCCTGCTCCCCCTTCACCTTCTATAATGATTGTAAGTTTCTTGAGACTTCCCCAGAAGCTGAGCAGATGCCAGCATCATGCTTCCTATGCAGCCTGCAAAACCGTGAGCCAATTAAACTTATTTTCTTTATAAATTACCCAGTCTCGGGTGTTTCTTTATAGCAATGTGAGAACAGCCTAACACAATTGGATATTCCAGGTCAGAGCTCAAGGAAGCTGAGAGCTAGAGATATAAATTCAGGGGTTCTTAGTATTTAGATAATTTTTAAAGTGATGGGATTGGTTGATTTCACTGAAAGAGTGAGTATAGATGGAGAGAACATATTCATCTAATTTTAGAGTTCAGAGAAAGGAGGGATAGGATCCAGTAAAGGAGACAGAGGAGGAAAATCAGAAGTGGACTGTCAGAAGCCCAGTGAAGAGAATGACTTAAGAAGAGAGAGTGATACAATGCTGCTGACGGGTCAAGATGAGAGCATTAGTTTTGGCAATGTGGGAGATCTTAAAGGCAAGGATACCCTCTAAATGCAGCAAGCCAGGAAAACTACAGAAGTGGCCTGCCTGTGCCACTTTGGCAAAGAAAACTAGGGAAGAGAGGGGAGAGAAGAGGAGGCTAGGGAAGAGAGAAGGAGGGCCATTTGGAGCTGTCGTTTCCACCTCCTTACACCCCACCAACTGCTCTATCTGAAGGCTGAGGGCTGGACACCTCAATGCTGGCACCTGATTTCCCCAAGTGCCTTGGGCTTCTCTGACAGTAGTGATGGTGTTGTTTAGAGATGCAGAAACCACTTCATCCATTGCTCTGAGAGAGTCACGTTCTATTCTTCAGGAAGCATGCTTACAACACCAACCTAATTTTTAAAAAATCTTTCAGAGGCCCCTTTTTTAAGATGCAAAAATAGGCCGGGCGCGGTGGCTCACGCCTGTAATCCCAGCACTTTGGGAGGCCGAGGCGGGCGGATCACGAGGTCAGGAGATCGAGACCATCCCGGCTAAAACGGTGAAACCCCGTCTCTACTAAAAATACAAAAAATTAGCCGGGCGTAGTGGCGGGCGCCTGTAGTCCCAGCTACTTGGGAGGCTGAGGCAGGAGAATGGCGTGAACCCGGGAGGCGGAGCTTGCAGTGAGCCGAGATTGCGCCACTGCACTCCAGCCTGGGCGACAGAGCGAGACTCCGTCTCAAAAAAAAAAAAAAAAAAAAAAAAAAAAAAAAAAAGATGCAAAAATAATGGAGCCACCTATGCAAATAGTGGTCAGCTACCTTTTGGGAATTCCTATACACTTTCCTTGTTTGTTTTTTGTGACTTTTCCAGAAAGAACTTTGAGGAAATAAAGAAATAAAAAATGAGAAGTAAATGGTATTTTGTGAGTGACTTTCTCAACACATTCTCTAAGACCAATGCAGATATCCCGAGGTACCTCACAGATGGGATAGGAAATCAGTGCTCCAGAGATCCAGAATCCTTCTTTTCTAGGCTGGTTGAGTAGAGCTCTTTGTCCATGTTGTTGCAGAACCATTTTTGTAGCCATCCCCAGTGGTGTTGTCACCTAGAAGAAACTTGGGGGAGCTTTTTACCCACATAGCACCCTCAATCTCCCCAGCAAATACAGCTTAAAGAAGTTCTAGGGCCAGGTGCAGTGACTCATGCCTGTAATCCTAGCACTTTGGGAGGCTGAGGTGAGAGTATCGCTTGAGTCCAGGAGTTCAAGATCAGCCTGGGCAATATAGTGAGACCCTATCTCTACAAAAATTTTAAAAATTAGCCAGGCATGGTGGTATGTGCCTATAGTTCCTGCTAATCTGGAGGCTGGGATGGGAGGATTGCTCGAGCTCAGGTGGTCAAGGGTACAGTGAGCCATGATCACACTGCTGCACTCCAGCCTGGGTGACAGAGCGAAACCCCATCTCTTTAAATAAGAAAGAAAAGAAAGAAAGAGAGAGAAAGGAGGGAAGGAAGGAAGAAAGTTCTCAAGACAACCCTTTTCAACAGAGTGCTACCCTAAGTGCATGTGCTATGGGCTAAATTGTGTCTTCCCCCCAAATTCATATGTTGAATCTGTAACCTCCAATACCTCAGAATGTGACTGTATATAGAGATAGGGCCTTTAAGAAATAATTAAGGTTAAATAAGATCATAAGGGTGGGTCCTAATCTAATATGGCTGGTATCTTTATAAGACAAGGGAAGGACACCAGGGATGCAGGCACACAGAGGAAAGACCATAGGAACACATAATAAAAAGGTAGTCATCTTCAAGCCAAGGAGAAGGGGCTTCAGGAGAAACCATACCTGCTGACATCTTATCTTGGACTTCTAGCCTCCAGACCTGTGAAAATGAAATATCTATTGTGTAAGCCACCCAGTCTGTGGTGTTTTGTTATGGCAGCCCTTGCAAACAAATGCAACCTCCCGCAAGGAATTGATGGTGTGCCATTGCTGCCCCTGCATTCGTAACAGGAATACAAGTGGGCAGCTCCTGCTCACAGCTCCTGACAAACGTGGAAACCAGACACATGCCCCACCTTCCCTTGGGTAGCATGTCTCTTCCCAAAGAATCTTAGATGAGTCAGGTGCAGTGACTACAGCAAGGAAGAAGACACTATCTCTAGGAAGGAATGGGGTTCCAGGTTTTGAGCAAATCTCACTTCTTTCTCCAAAACAGACATTCTTTTTATGCAGGTGAAATTACACTAAAGTTAATATCAGTCTTCATTAGGAGAAAATTGAATTAGGATAATTAAGTCTTGAAGAAGAAAATTAAGCCAAAAAGAATAATATGGCAGATACTTGTGGAAAGGAATCTTTTTTACTATTGATTTTGATATTTGCTCTTAAGTTTTGTATCTAGAACAAATAACTTGTGGACTATTAGTCTGGTTGTTTTCCATAGGAGCCTTCTGTGATTTTTTGCAGCCCTAGTTCCTGACCTGAGCTACCTCCATGTTTACTTCTCTAACTCACTGAGTTTGACGAACCTGTTGTTTCCCATTACTTAGAGGTACTTTATTCATCTGAAGGGCCTAGGAAAGGGAGGCAAGTTTAACTTCAATCCAATTGCATCTAATTTACAAATTCTGAACTGGAAACTGACTGAAGAAAATGTTGCACTTTCATTTATGTCCCTGTGTGCCTAAATAAAACAGCATCCCTCAATCCATGCTAACACATATATTTTCTAGGTGAACTGGACAAAGTTATACTACTTGTTTTATCTAAATCTGATTTTTTTAGAAAAGGGAAAGTGTTGCGATCGTGAACTCCACGTTGAGATGTCAGGAATAGATAATTTACTGCATAGTTTTAGGAGCACTGGACTGAAAGCCAGGGGATTTCCCTCCTAGTTCTTCTATCCTCTGGGGCTCAAACTAGTCTTTTGTCAAATGCCTACAAGATGAAGTCCATGGATTCTTTCTTTCAACAAATATCTTTTTGCCAAGCACGTTCAAGGCTTTGCTCTTTCCAGCTGAACTATTCTAGAATTTCCATTATTTTAAAGCAACTCTTCAGAGTGTTTAGCCCCGAGTTGCACCCCATTTCAGTTTTTGCAACCCCATCCTCCAGAAGCTCAGGGACTACTGAAGAGACATGAATAACGCTCCTCAAAGTAAGTACAAAATGTTACAAGATAGATGATGAATTGTCAGAACGTACTCAAAAGCCAAAACATACCGCCTGGCCCAAAGCAGTAAAAGACGAAAGGCAGGGACCCAGCGGTCCCCGCACCCACCGGCCACTGAGCATAGAGCAGTGGCAAGCTCGCGCGGCGGAGTGGGAGGCGCAGAGACCGAAAGCACTGCAGCGCCAGAGCGCGGGCTGACCAGGCTGGCGTGACCGCTTTCCCGACGCCTGCCACGCCCCGCGGCGGCCTCTTTAAGTAGCGGAGCCGCGGGCGGGGCCGGCTGGCGTTCACGTGACCCGGCGTCATTGGCTCGCTCGCGGAAGTAGTCCTACATTCGCGGTCAGCGCGGGGTCTCCGGGCGCCCTGCAGGGCGGGCAGGCTGTGCCATCCCGCCGGACGTCGGGATGGTGCAGCTGTACAACCTGCACCCGTTCGGGTCGCAGCAGGTGGTGCCCTGCAAGCTGGAGCCGGACCGGTTCTGTGGCGGGGGGCGTGACGCGCTTTTCGTGGCGGCGGGCTGCAAGGTGGAGGCGTTCGCGGTGGCCGGCCAGGAGCTGTGCCAGCCGCGGTGCGCCTTCTCCACGCTGGGCCGGGTGTTGCGCCTGGCCTACAGCGAGGCTGGTGAGTAATCTAGAGAGCCAGGGGCCGCCTGGGGTCCAGCTTGAGGCCTCCTAGCTAGCGGACCGAACGTCTGGGCTGTAGCTCTAGCTAGGGATGGGACTTCTTGCTTCCCGGAATTTGCCGGATGGTCTCCCTGGGTCTGGCCGCTGATTGCTTGAAGTCGCATTGAGCTATGCGGTTGTCGCGGCAAGCATAGGTATGAGCTTGCTTCTGTCGGGGCGGAGACGCTGACATCTCTTCGTCTTGGTTTTCTGCAGAAAGGCCTCTGGCTGGATTCCACTCATCTCGGATACTTAAGCAAACAACAACAAAAAACTCTTTAGTGCATCAGATTTCAAAGACTTACCAAAAAAACAAGTAGGAATAAGGAGACTAGTACTGTATCCCGGAACCTCCAAGTACTCCCAGCTTTAACAATTATTCCAACTCTTGGCAGTTCTTTCACATCTGTACCTCCATCTACTTCCGGTCGGTTTTTGAAAGCTCACATTATGTGTTGATTTTTAAATGTGTGTAAGTAGAACTCAGACTGCCCCCCTCTCTTCTCTTAAACATCTGTGGCCGGGCGCAGTGGCTCACGCCTGTAATCCCAACACTTTGGGAGGCTGAGGCAGGCGGATCACGATGTTAGGAGTTCGAGACCAGCCTGGTCAATTTATTGAAACCCCGTCTGTACTAAAAATACAAAAATTAGCCGGACGTGGTGGTGGGCGCCTGTAGTCTCAGCTACTTGGGAGGCTGAGGCAGGAGAATCGCTTGAACCGGGGAGGCGGAGATTGCCCCATTGCACTCCAGTTTAGGCGACAGAGTGAGACTCCGTCCCAAAACAAACAAAAACAAACAGTTGTAAGAGCAGCCGTTACTCTTTCACACCAGAAATGTGAAGCAATACCAAGGAAATACTGTGTGGGTGAATCCTATTTTAGAAAAATCCAACATTTAAAACTAGATCCCTTTTAGATTACAGAAGAATTTACCATATAATTCCTTTAATACACTTACCTTCGATTCATACTTTACAAGATGGGTGTAAAGTTCAGTATTTACGTTGCAAAAGCTGGTGGCTATGCTATTAATGAAGTGGAGAACTTGAACCTGGAAGATTGGAGATCTCTCTCTAATCCCTACCCCGCAGCTGGTTCGGTGTGAGTTTATAGAAACCTTGGGGTCTGAGTTTATGTTAAAAAAAAAAAAAAAAAACAAAAAGTTGAATAAATAGATCAGTGATATCCAGACCCTGGGATTTCGTGGCTCAATTAAAAACTGTGGGGTTACCATACATAGTATCTGACTGCTTATTTTGTCAAGTAAAGACATATACAGGCATACCTTGTTTTTTTTGCATTTCACTTTGTTGTACTTTGCCGATACTGCGTGTTTTTTTCTCCCCAATTGAAAGTTTGTGGCAACTCTGTGTGGAGCAAATCTACCAGTTCCATTTTTCACACTGCATGTGCTCACTACATGTCTCTTGAGTCACATTTTGATAGTTCTTGGCAATATTTCAAACTTTATCATAATTATTGTATCTATTACGGTGATCAGCAATCTTTGATGTTACTATTGTAGTAGTTTTGGGGTGCCATGAACTGTGCCCATGTGAGATGGTGAACTTAATTGATATGTGTTGTGTATGTTCTGATTACTGCTCTGATCGTCTCTGCCTGCTCAGGCTGCCCTAGGCCCTGAGACACAACAATATTGAAATCAGGCCAATTAATAACCCTACAATGTCTTCTAAATGTTCAAGTGACACTTGGACGTCTCTCACTTTAAATCAAAAGCTAGAAATGATTAAGCTTAGTGAGGAAGGCAGGCGTGTCAGAAGCTGAGATAGGCTGCACGGTAGGCCTCTTGGACCAAACACTTAGCCAAGTTGTGACTGCAAAGGAAAAGTTCTTGAAATTAAGTGTTACTCCAGTGAACACAAATGATTAGAAAGCCTTATTGCTGATAGGAAAAAAACTTTGCTCTAGGTAGAAGATCAAGCCAGCCAAAATACTCCCTTAAGCCCAGGCTTAATACAGAGCAAGGCCCTCTGTTCAACTCTGTGAATGCTGAGAGAGGTGAGGAAGCAGCAGAATAAAAGTTTAAAGCTAGCAGAGTTCAGCTCATGAGGTTTAAGGGAAGAAGCTGTCTCCATAATATAAAAGTGCAAGGTGAAACAGCAAGTGATGATGTAGAATCTGCAGCAAGTTATCCAGAAGTCCAGAAGATATAGCTAAGATGAGTTTATGGAGGCAGCTGTGCTAAACAACAGATTTTTTCAGTGTAGACAAAACAGTCTTAAATTGGAAGAAGATGCCATCTAGGACTTTCTTGGCTAGAGAGGAGAAGATAATGCCTGGCTTCAAAGAACAGGCTGACTCTTGTTAGGGGGTGATGCAGCTGGTGACTAAATTGAGGCCAGTTCTCATTTACCATTCTGAAAATCATAGGGCCCTTTTAAAAATTATGCTAAATCTACTCTGCCTGTGCTTTAGAATGAAAAAAGCCTGGGTGACAGCACAGCTGTTACAACATTGTTTACTGAATATTTTAAGCCCACTGTTTTGATCTACTGCTCAGAAAACAATATTCTTTTCAAAAGATTACTGCACATTGACAATGCACCTAGTCCCTCAAGACCTCTGATGGAGATGTAGAAGGAGATTGATGTTGTTTTTATGCCTGCTAACACAGCATCCATTCCGCAGCCCATGGATCAAGTAGTAATTTTGACTTTCAAGTCTCATTATTAAAGAAATACATTTGGTAAGGCTATAACTGCCACAGATAAGTGATTCTTCTGATGGATCTGGGCAAAATAAATTGAAAATCATCTGGAAAGAATTCACTCTTTCTAGATGCCATTAAAAACATTCAGGATTCATGGAAGGAGATCAGATACCAACATTAACAGGAGTTTGGAAGTAGTTGATTCCAACTCTCATGGATGACTTTGAGGGGTTCAAGACTTAGGTGGATGAAATAACAGTAGATGTAGTGGAAATAGCAAGAAAGCTAGAATTGGAAGTGGAGCCTGAAGATGTGTTGGAATTCCTGCAATCTTATGATCAAACTTGAATGGGTGAGGAGTTGCTTCTCATGGATGAACAAAGAAAGTGGTTTCTTGAGATGGAATTGTTTCTATTGAAGATGCTGGGAACATTGTTCAAAAGACAACGAAGATTTAGAATATTTCATAAACTTAGTTGATAAAGCAATGAGAAGGTTTGAAAAGATTAACTCCAATTTTGAAGTTCTGCTGTGGGTAAAATGCTATCAAATAGCATTGCATGCTCCAGAGAAATCTTTTGTGAAAGGAAGAGTCAATTGATGGAGCAAACTTAATTGTTTTATTTTTTTATTTTATTTTATTTTATTTTATTTTTTTGAGACAGAGCTTCACTCTTGTTGGCCAGGCTGGAGTGCAGTGGCGTGAACTCGGCTCACCACAACCTCCACCTCCCAGGTTTAAGCAATTCCCAGCCTCAGCCTCCCAAGTAGCTGGGGTTACAGGCATGCGCTACCACTTGTGGCGAATTTTGTATTTTTAGTAGAGATGGGGTTTCTCCATGGTTGGTCAGGCTGGTCTCAAACTCCCGACCTCAGGTGATCCACCCGCCTTGGCCTCACAAAGTGCTGGCATTACAGGTGTGAGCCACTGTGCCCGGCCCATTGTTGTCTTATTTTAAGGATTTGCCACAGCCACCCCAGCCTCCAGTGACCACCACCCTGATCAGTCAGCAGCCATCAGCATCGGGGCAAGACCCTTCACCAGTGAAAAGATATGTCTCGTTAAAGGCTTGGATGATCGTTAGCATTTTTTTTAGCAATAAAATATTTTTAGTTAAGGTATGTACATTGCTTTGTTTTTTTGTTTGTTTGTTTTTTAGGTATAATGCAATTTCACACCTAATAGACTATAATCTAGTACAAACATAACTTTTTTATGCACTGGGAAACCAAAAAATTTATGTGACTCTTTTTATTGCATTATTTGCTTTATTGCGGTGGTCTGGAAGCAATCCTCCAATATCTCTGGGATATGCCTGTGTTTTTTTTTAAAAAAAATGAAAAGCCTTACTATTTACTGTCATTATTTATAAAAGAAAAAACACTTAGCATCAAACATTGGATATCTTTAGCTTTGTGAACAACTTACTCTGCTGTCATTGGTTTTTTGTTTTTGTTTTTGCCTAATGACAACATTAGCAGGGGCCTGCACTGGGCCACGGACCTGTTTGAAAAACCTCTCATTAACTCTTTAAGTTCCCTTTCAGCAGGAATATTCCAATTTTGGTATTATAAAATCTGTCTTTAATGGTCATACCTGTTAAAATATTGGTAGTTTTCTCTACGTCACTCCTTTTAAGGCATAAGAGTTCTCACTTTCAAGAGTTCTACTGAGTAACAAACTCACCACTTTCAACTTTTATATGTGTGTGTGTGTGAGAGAGAGAAAGAAAGACAGGGACAGACAGGCATACACACAGACAGATAATATGTTTACATGATTTACTTCATTCTTCCAAGTGGATGTTTATTTTAGAATTTGGAGTGGCAGGTATTATGTAAACTTCTAGCTTTCTTACCTGTCGGATCCTTGGATGGCCACTACCTATGCATACGAATCACTTGGGGAGTTTTTAAAAATCTCTATGCCTGGGCCAAACCCTCAGAGATACAGTAGTAGTTTCCCTGGAGTGAGGACAGCATTGGGGTGAGTCAGATATTTAATCAGGGTTGAGAACCGCTGATCTAGAGCAGTACTGGCTGCAGGAGGCCATGAGTAGCATTGTAACCTCATTAACGAGGCCTTGAACAATAAAGATGTTTTTATAATCCAGTTGGCTGCCTTACAGCAGGTTCAAGAGTCATGTGGGATGGAATTAGCATCACGGGTCATGTAGCTCAAGGGTAAGTTTCAGTCCACAGCTTGAACTTCAACCCCTGGGTACAGCTCCTATTAATGCACCCACAAATGAACATAAATAGAGCTGACTCTGGCTATGATGGTATCCAGATAACTTGTTTTCCACTTCACAGCTTTTCCCTTTTGGCCCCTTCCTTCCATTCACAATAACTGGGACATGAGGATTCCGGCTCAATGCCCAGTGTCCTCCTCTGTAGCAAGTCTCCTCCTCAAAAATGGAAAGAATCTTACATCAGCCATCTATGTTTACTAAAAATGCTTTTCAGGTCTCTACTCAAGCAGAAAACATTTTCAGGTTAAAAAAAATCTCAAATTAGCTGAAAGTTTTTAAAATAAAATTTGGGGGTATTAGGGAGAAAGCAGGTAGAAATTTTGAAGGATGGGGACCTCTGACATCGTCATCAGTAAGGGAAAATAAATTTAGGCTTTGTGTGTGATACGGTTTGGCTGTGTCCTCAGCTAAAATCTCATCTTGAATTGTAGTCCCCATAACCCCCACGTGTCAAGGGCGGGACCAGGTGGAGGTAATTGGATCATGGGGACAGTTTCCCCCATGCTGTTTCTCATGATAGTGAATTCTCATGAGATCTGATGGTTTTTAAGTGTCTGGCATTTCCCCTACCCACACTTATTTTCTGTCCTGCCGCCCTGTGAAGAGGTGCCTTCCACCATGATTATAAGTTTTCTGAGGTCCCCCCAGCCATGCAGAACTGCGAGTCAATTAAACCTGTTTTCTTTATTACCCAGTCTCAGGTATTTGCTTGTAGCAGTAATGTGAAAATGGACTAATACAGTGTGTAAAGCAAAGAAGAGGGGAGACCTGAGAACTCCTCACTCCTGAAAGAGAAAGACCTGGTGGCCAGGGTTGAGTGCTGTATGGGGACCTTTGGTGGTAGACACTTGTTTATGGGGTGTCTAGGGGTGGTGGGGCATGGAGGATGCAGACCACAAGGCTGTAATTGCCTGGCCATTAGCACAAGTGTACTAAACCAGCCCCAGCCCATCTACCCCTCCCACAAGCCCTACTTTCTCTCAGTTTTCCTGGAGTCATAAAACATATTTAGATGCCTTATAAATTATTTCTGCCTTGTGATTCAATTTTGTCATAGGAGTACAGCCTTTGATCTGGTATTACTGTTAGCCATGTTTGTGATCTTGCTACATAAAAGGGAAAGTTTACTTATTTTTAAAAATCAGTAACTCTAAGCTCAAGAGTAAAAATGAGAATGATTTTTCAATGTACTTAATAAAGACAGAAGCTGAGCCTGGGCTACATAGTGAAACCCTGTTTCTACATATGTGTGTGTGTATATATATACACACACACATTATAATATATGTATATACATATATATATACACACACACACACAAATTAGCCAAGTGTGGTGGCTCACACCTGTAGTTCCACCTACTTGAGAGGCTGAGGTGGAAGGATCACTTGAGTCCGGGAGGTGGAGGTTGCAGTGAGCCAAGACAACTTGGGCAACGGAGCAAGACACTTAAATTTAAAAAAGGTAAAATGAGGCACTGCACACATAAAGCTTAAAAAATTTAGTTCCCTTCTCTTTTAAAGGGTTATAGCCTCCACAGACTCCTGTAGAGTTGTATTTCCCTTCTATCAGTTGGGGAAACAGCATTACTGGGCAAAGAACATAAACTTTTGAGCTAACCAGATCTAGGTTTGAGTCCCAGTTTCCTAATTTGTTCGTTGTGTTGCCTTGGACAAGTTACTTTGCTTGTCTGTGCTTCAGATTCCTGATGTATAAAATGAGGAGGGAGATTTGTATCTTAAAGGGCTGTTGTGAGAGTTAATTGAAGGAACTCTAAAGCTCTGATCATAAGGATTGTCAGGCAGGCACATTTAGCAAGTGCTGGATCATCATTTAAAGACCAGGTCATTAATCTGAAAGCACACAATACAACATGGACACTATCTACAATTTGCATACTATAAACATTAGTTAATATATGAATTTTATAGATGAAATGGGCATGTATTTATAGGTATATGAATAAAAAGGTTTTATTGTAATTAAATATTCTTAGTTTTAAAATTTATTTACTAAATTATGATACCAAAAGTATAGGCAACAGAAGAAAAATAGATAAACTAGACTTTATCAAAGTTAATGACTGTTGTATATCAAAAGACTCATCAACAGATTGAAAAGACAACATGGAATGGGAGAAAATATTTCCGAATCATATATCTCATAAGGGATTAATATCTAGAATATATACAATAAAGAACTCTTACAACTCAACAACAACCAAAAAAACTTGATTAAAAAATGGGCTAAGGACTTGAATAGACATTTCTACAAAGAAGAAAATACATAAACGGCAAAAAACATAAGAAAAGATGCTCAAAATCACTGATAATTAGGGAAATGCAAATCCAAACCACAGTGAGATAGCACCTCACACCCATTAGTATGCCTGTTATTAATAAAACAGAAATTAACGTGTTGGGGAGAATGTGGAGAAATTGGAACCCTTAAACGTTGCTGGTAGGAATGTAAAATAACACAGCCTATGTGGAAAACAATATGGCAGTTTCTCAAAACATTAAACATAGAATTACCATATGATCCAGCAATTCCACTTCTGGGTGTATACCCAAAATAATTGAAAGCAGGGACTTGAATGGATACATGCACACCAATGTTTGTAGCAAAATTATTCACAAGAGCCAAAAGGTGGAAACAGTCCAAGGATCCATTGACAAGTAAATGAGTAAATAAAATATATTGTATGAACATACAATAGAGTATTATTTGGCCTTAATGAAATTCTGATGCATGCCACAACCTGGATAAATCTTAGAGAAGTTATGCTAAGTGATACAAGCCTGATACAAAAGGAAAAATACTATATGGTTCAACTTACATGAGGTACCTAGAGTAGTCAAATTCATAGAGATAGTATAATGGTGGTCTCACCCTGGGGAGAGGGAGGAATAGGGAATTATTATTTAATCAGTGCAGAGTTTTTTAGTAGATGAAAAAGTTAGTTATAGAGATGGATGGTAGTGATGGTTGCATAGCAATGAGAAGATACCAGTGCCACTGATCTGTAGACTTAAAAATGGTGAAAATGTACATTTTATGTTGTGTGTATCGTACTACAATAAAAAAAATTTATTTATTTACTGGGGGAATTTTAGGAAGATGGAGGCCTCAACTTCATCCCAACTCTGTCCAAACTGCTTCCCTGGAAAAGTGAACAAACTTAGGGCACCTGCAGGATCTCTTTAGGCATTCTACGATCTCCAGGGAAAGAACAGGTTCAGGCTCCATCTCTGTGGCATAAAAAGAACCATCATCAGGAGAAAGCTTGCTACCTGTAGAAGTCAGGATCATTTTGGAGGAGGGAGCCTGGTCAGCCCAGTGAATGTCTGCAGAAAGGGGCAGCACCTGTTTGCTTGCCTCATAAGTACATGGGAAGTCAATGTAATGGCAGCATTTCAATTTCAATTCATCGGAAAAGGGCCAATTTGCTTAATAGTGTTAATATAATAGAGTCTACATTTGGAAGAAGTGACATTAGATCCTCTGACTTATCTCCTTCTTTACCCGCAAAATTCTAAAGATTAAAAATGTATATTTTCTAAACCTCCACTAAAATAGAAGAAAATATAGGAGCATATTTATGTAATTTGGAGGACATGGATGGGAACTCAGAAGGCAAGGAGGAAAAGATACATATAGTATACTCTAAATAAAAAGGGTATGGTAAAACATGCCATCAGCAAAGTCAAAATCAGAAAATAGACTCTAAAACCATTTACTATTTATAGACGACAAAAGGTTTATATCCCTTTTAAGTAGAGAGCTACAGTGTCATGATAAGAAAAACAAATGAACAACTTAATAAAAATTGGACATCATGCAGAAGAGAAACTATACATGGCTGATAAACGTAGGAAAAGATGGCCAGCTTTATAAAAAGGTCTAGGAAATGTAAATTATAATAGCCGTGAGAGTCCATGTTTCTCTCATTGTGTAGAGTCAGTGCTAGTGAGGATGTGGGGAAACAGGTGTGTTTAAGCACTGCTGCTGGTAACATGAATTTCTATTATCTAATTGATAGTAATTGGGCAATATTGAAATTTAAAATGCCCATGCCCTTTGGCCCAACATATCTCACTTTTGGGAATCTGTACCGTTAAAATAAATCCCCCAGTAAATAAATATATAGATATAAGCCTATGTATTACTATGAAACATAGTGGCAAAAAACCCTGGAAATATATTTGAATGCTTATCAGTAAGGGAATTATTGAATAAATTATGCGTATGTATGTACATATGGGATGTTGAACATATTGAAAAGGATGTTAGATATCCATGTATCAGCCTGGAGGGAGAGATTTATTAATAATTTTTAAAAGTTGCAGATTGTTAAATATATTTAATATGATTACATTTTAGTTTTTGTTCATTTTTAAAAAAGACAGAATACCTCTCTGTGATCTCTGTTTATATGAGAGAAAGGTGTTGAAAGGCACATACCAGGCTGTGTGTTAACATTGGGTCCTCAAGGGGGAGATCATTATGCTTTTCATTTTGCATCTCTTTACCACGTTACCATTTTGACTTCCCACAACCAATATATGTTTATAAGTTAAAACTTATACAATCAACAATTTAGAGAAAATTAACTTGGATCTGTATTTTCTTTGCTATTTCCAACTTTATCCTGTTTCTCAGACTTGTGACTTGTGGGAAGGAGAGGGTTTGAAATGTAAATTCTGCTAATCTGAGAATTCCTTAATGTATACCTAATTTTGGTGTCACCCTAATAGTGAATTCTGTGTCAGTAGAGCTTTGTTAGAACTGCAGATTTAGAGCTACAGTAAACACTTAATTTTACATTTTATTCCTTATATGAACTTTCTGTATGTTACATGGGCAATTAATAGGTTGTCTTAAGACACTCAGATGGGAGAGATTGCATTTCAGAACCTCAAAGCCTAATGTCAGTCAAAAATACACCTAAGATTTTGTTACTTAGGGTTTTATTCTATTCAGTCTTTAATTCGACCATTTGTGTTAGAATTCATTAATAGTACTCATGTCAGCAAGGGAGGTGGTTGTATTTCTAATTACAAATTCTCAGTATAATCTTCATTCCTTCTCAGGAGATTATTTGGTAGCAATTGAAGAGAAAAACAAAGCTACATTTCTACGTGCTTATGTGAACTGGAGAAATAAAAGGACTGAAAACTCTCGTGTGTGTATCCGAATGATTGGGCATAATGTGGAGGGACCATTCAGCAAAGCCTTCAGAGACCAGATGTACATTATTGAAATGCCGCTTTCGGAGGCCCCCTTGTGCATTTCCTGTTGCCCTGTGAAAGGAGACCTTCTCGTTGGCTGCACAAATAAATTAGTCTTATTTAGTTTGAAGTACCAGATCATTAATGAGGAATTCTCACTATTGGACTTTGAACGTTCTTTAATTATACACATAGATAATATCACTCCTGTTGAGGTTTCTTTTTGTGTTGGATATGTTGCTGTCATGTCAGACTTAGAAGTCTTAATCGTAAAACTGGAGTCAGGCCCTAAAAATGGAGAGAGAGTTCACCACCATCCACATAAGACCAACAATCGAATAAGACGGACAGAAGAAGGTAAATAATGAATTTGACTTGCTTTCTTGTTTTAGGAATATAGAAAACCTTCACCTTTGGCAGTCTGAAGGTCTGTGGTATATATGGTGCCCGGCCATGTTATTTATAGATTTAGTTATTCCTATTTCATGGGATTTGGTTTTATGATCTGGCTGTCCATAGCTTACTCTGTAGCATGTGAATATATTTATCAGTAGAAGTAATGGAACAACCACTGCTAGATGAGGGGCTTCTAGTCCTAGTCCTCATAGTTACTAGTTGAATGACCTTGGGTTAATAATACCATCTCTGAGTTTCAACATCCTCATTTGTAAAATGGGGATGATAATACCTACCCTGTTGTACTTTATCAGTTGTGGAGATTAAATGAGCAAGTGCTAAGTCTTTTCACAACCACAGTGCCTTGTAAATGTGTGCATATTATAAATAAATGAAATTACTATATGTCTAATTGGTGAGAGGATGTTGTAAAATCTAATTTTCATTCAAGCAGGACTGTTACATTTTATTTTTTTAAGGCATCAGTAATGAAATTTCACAGCTTGAGTCAGATGATTTTGTCATCTGCCAGAAGCCCCTGGAACTTCTTGGTGAAAAAAGTGAACAGTCTGGATTATCTGTTACACTGGAGTCTACGGGATTAGCTGATGAAAAAAGAAAATATTCCCACTTTCAGCACCTGCTCTATAGGTATTATAGTGCTTTTTTTTTTTTTACCAGCATTTTATGTATATATGCCTGCTTAAAGTACATGGAAGTTATATTTTTCCCTTTCTCTGTCTTTTTAAACCCACAGACGTTTTGCTCCTGATATTTCGTCCTATGTCTTGTCTGATGACATCAAGCTACATTCCCTCCAGCTGCTACCCATTTACCAGACCGGTAAGCATGACAGTGCAGGAGTGCGACAGTGCAGCAAGGTGAAAATGCTCTGTCTGGGCTGGGAGTGAAGACCCATGTGGGTAATAGGTTTGGTGGTTTGGTTCTTCCACTGGAGTCTCCTTGTGGCCCTTTAACAAAGTTTTTTTTTTTGTTTTTTTTTTTTTTTTTTTTTGAGACTGAGTCTCGCTTTATTGCCAGTCTGGAGTGCAGTGGTGCGATCTCGGCTCACTGCAACTTCTACTTCCTGGGTTCAAGTGATTCTCCTGCCTCAGCCTCCCGAGTAGCTGGGACTACAGGCGCCCGCCACCAAGCCCGGCTAAATTTTTTTGTATTTTTAGCAGAGACGGGGTTTCACCATGTTGGGCAGGATGGTCTCGATCTCCTGACTTTGTGATCTGCCTGTGTTGGCCTCCCAAAGTGCTAGGATTACAGGCATGAGCCACCACACCCGACCTCTATTTTATTATTATTTATTATTTTTTTTCTTGAGACAGAGTTTTGCTCTTGTTGTCCAGGCTGGAGTGCAATGGTATGATCTTGGCTCACTGCAACCTCCACCTCCCGGGTTCAAGTGATTCTCCTGCCTCAGACTCCCGAGTAGCTGGGATTACAGGAATGCCCCACCACGCCCAGCTAATTTTGTATTTTTAGTAGAGATGGGGTTTCTCCATGTTGGTCAGGCTGGTCTCGAACTCCCGACCTCATTGATCCGCCCACCTCGGCCTCCCAAAGTGCTGGGATTACAGGTGTGAGCCACCACACCCGGCCCAAAATCCTTAGCAAATACCTATGAGTACTAGAAAGGGAAGTCATACCTGCTAGGAGAAGCCATGGAGAAGGCATGACAGACTGAACTCATTTCCCTTTTTGAAATGGCCTCTAGGCCCAAAAAGGAAATTGGAGACCTGTTAGAGCCAAGGTATGTGTGGGTTCTAGCTGGGTATTTGGCCAAGCTTCTTATGATTGGCTTGTGAATTAGGTGTAAAAATGTGGACTGAATGGAAAATAATTTAGAGCAGTTGTTTTCAACCCTGCCACACAATGGGCTTACCTGAATGCTTTTTAAGATATTGATACTCAGGCTCTACATGCAAGATATCAGTTACAGGGCCTGGGCATTAGTATTTTTTAAAAACTCCCCAAGAGTCTAATGGGCACCATGATTGAGAATCACTAATAGGCCCTGCACTCAGTTCTGGCCTGATTAACATCTTTAGATGTTATCTAGAGAAAGATACAAATATTATTCCGATTAAATGTGTTTCTAACCTTCATTTTTTTTTCTTTTAGTAAATATTTATTGAGTACCTACTATGTTGAGCATTGTGCTGAATACTAGGGAACTAACAGTGAGTGAAGTGCTTGCTCTTACGGAGCTAATTGTCTAGTGGGGGAAGGGAGACATTCGAATAACGGCAGATTCACAGTTGTACCCTGAAATGAGTGATCTGTGGTAAACCTCCCTGTGACAGCCTATAACAAAAGACCCTGACCTCATCTTGAGGTCAGGGAAGGCTTCCTGAGAAAGAGGATCTGAAGGGCGAATTGGACTCACTTGGGAATAGGGTTGGGTTGGTGCAGGGGAGGGGAAGAGAGCCTTCCAGGCAGAAGCAGCAGCAAAGGCTCTGTTGCAGAGGGAGGATCACATCTGAGAAACTGAGAGAAGCAAAACTAAGGGGGCTGCAGTGAGACAGGGCTGGAGACCAGACAGGGCCAATAGCCATATTAGAGGGTCAGCTAAAGATCCAGTGAGCTTCCCATAGCACTTGGAATAAAAACTCCAAATCCATTCCATGGCGTATATGACCTTAACTCTAAGCCCATCGTGTCCCACTCTCACCCTGCTTACTATTCTTCATCCATAGTGGCCTTTCCCTCTTCCTTAGAGACGCCACAGGCACGCTTATCTAAGACCTATTATTTGCTCTTCTTGTGCGTAGGGTACTCCTCTCAGCCTTGTGTGACTGGTGCATTTAAGTCATTCAGTTCGCAGCTGAAGTGTAACTTCATGACGGAGGACTTCTCTGACCTCTCAATTTAAAATATCCCTTCTCCACTCACACTGGAGTTTACTTGTTTACTCTCCATCCCAATCCCCATCACTAGAATGAAGGCTCTGTGAAAGCAGTTACGTTGTTTTGAACACTGTTGTATCCCTAGAATCTGGAACAGCAGCACTTAGTAGGTACCTGATGAATGCTGACTGAATAGACGAATGGATGGGTCATATGTATTTGAGCTGGGCCGTAATGGATGATAGAGATTTTGGAAAGATATTACATAATGGGAACCAACATTATATGAGGTGTAAAATTATGTGTATTTGGAGATTCGTGAGCAGTTCTCTTTGGCCAGAGCACAGATATATGTTAAAAAAGAATAGGGAGAAAAAAACTGGACAGTTGACTTTCAGCCAAATATGGAGAGTACAGAATTGGACTTCTGCTATTAATTGGTGTCCTTCAAGGGTGTCAGTCAGGGTACTTGTTAAACAACTTTGGTTATGAAAAATTACAGCCACATGTAGATAGAAAATAGTGCAGTGAACCCCCACGTACCCATCAAACAGCTTCAACAGTGTTGCTCCATGCTACATTATTTTGATGCACATCCCGGAGTTCATACCATTGCATTCATAAATATTTCAACATATGTCTCTAAAAGTATTCTTTTACTTAAACCCAAAATGCTATTTCACATTATAAAAAATTTGTTGCCGGGTGCGGTGGTTCACGCCTGTAATCCCAGCACTTTGGGAGGCTGAGGTGGGTGGATCACAAGGTTGGGAGTTCGAGACCAGCCTGGCCAATATGGCGAAACCCCGTCTCTACTAGAAAAAAAAAAAAAAAAAAATTAGCCAGGCATGGTGGTGGGCGCCTGTAGTCCCAGCTACCTGGGAGGCCGAGGCAGGAGAATCGTTTGAACCCGGGAGGTGGAGGTTGCAGTGAGCCGAGATCGTGCCACTGCACTCCAGCCTGGGTGACAGAGTGAGACTCCGTCTCAAAAAATAAAAATAAAAAAAATTTTGTTGATACCACCAGATATCCAGTAAGTGTTCACATTTCTCTAATTGACTAAAAAACTTCTGTAATTCATTTGTTTGAATCATATTCCAAATAAAGTTCATACATTGCAATTGATTGCTATGTCTTTTAAGGCTCTTTTAATATCTAGGCTTTCCTTCCTCTCTTTTCTTTGCATCTTATTTAACAAGAAATTAGACTCTTTACTGTAAAATTTCCAACAATCTGAATTTTGCTAAGTGAATCCTTACGTGTCATTTAACATGTTTCTCTGTCCACTGTATTTCCATTTGAGTTGGTAGATGGAAATCTATGCTGTTTAGTATGGTAGCCATTAGTCACATGCCGCTATTAAGCACTTGAAATATGACTAGTCTGAATTGAGATATGGCATAAGTATAAAATACACACTAGGTTTTGAAGACTAAGTACAAAAATGTATATAATATTAATTTTTGTGTTTATTGCTTCTTGAAATGGTAATATTTTTGATATGTTGGGTTAATACAATATTATTAAAATTTTACTTGTTTCTTTTTACTTTTAAAAATGTGATTACTAGAAATCTAGTAATTGCAGATGTGGCTCACATATTTCTATCAACATTGCTGGTCTATACTCAGGCTTGCTCAGATTATTTATTATTCTTTTTATTATTTTGAAACCCAAGTAGTGTTGAGCTCTGCCAGTGGACTCTTTTTGTGATGTTAACAGCCATTGATGATCATTACTTAGATCTGTTAATTTAGTAGGGGTTGTACAATGCCGATATTCTAATTATATTACTCCTTTTTTATTTCTTACCAACATTCTTCTATAAAGAGCAACTTCCCCTTTGCAACTCTTTGGTTACCCACTGATACAGTTTGCATAGCAAAGTCAATATATGATTATTTCCCCCTTTATTTACTGGTTTCATGGTGTTTTATTTCTTTCATTTTTGCATGCAGGTTCTCTTACATCTGATGGAAAAAATTTGTCTCAGGAAAAAGAATTGCTGAGTCTCTTTTGCTTTTTCTCCTTACCTCATGTGGGCTATCTCTACATGGTTGTCAAATCTGTTGAATTGATGTCAGTCTACCAGTATCCTGAAAAGTCTCAGCAGGCAGTACTCACGCCACAATTTTTGCACGTCATTACAAGGTACTGTTAGAGGGTCACTTGCTGGCCTGTGAGTCACTTATTTGTAAATTTTTGAGGTACTTCCTAAATCTGTGAGAATTGTGTGAACTAGCATAGAGTACTATAAATGCATGAGTTACATGTCATTGTAAGTCTGTCTTTTGATGACCCATACCTGCCTTTTCAATGTCAAAGATTTAGACTCTGGTTTTGTCTTTGTTTGTTTCCCTAGACTGGATAGGGGTCCCTGTAAGGAAGTATAAGGTTCTTCATAAAGGAAGACTTTCATAGGGAGTTTTAATGAAAAGTCAATGCAGCCAGTCAGAGCGTCTCTTTAAGTTTCTTTTTAGATTTCCTAAATTTTTTTTCTCACTGCTACCATATTTTTCTAGTATAAATTGAGTTATTTATAATAGTTTAGAACTGTGAAGGGGCCAGAGAGATGATCTGATTCTCTCCTTGATTGGCACAGATAGGGAAGTTGTTACAGAGAGGTTAGAATTGGCCAAAGTCATGTGCTAATTGGTGGCAGATGTGTTGAGTTGCCTTCCCCTATTATGCTGGCATGTAAACTGGGTTCACAAGCAGTAGCTTGATTTCATTTCCTTTTAATCTCAGCAGCATATGATGGTTTTGGTTCTATTTCCTGTTTTTTGAGCTTAGATTATGTTCAGGGCACTTCCTTGTGCCCTCTGACCATGCAACTGTGAATAAGATACACCAACCACTTTCTAAAGCAACAATAGAAGAGAAGGTTAGAGAGACACACAAGAGTCACAGACACTAGGAGATTTGCGAAAAATGTCTTAAGACCTCATGAAAGTGCCATTGACATTGGGAGGAGGGAAGTTACTTCTGGCTAAGTTGTATGGGGAAGTTGTGGATAGCTGATTGTGTTTGAAGTGAAGCATGAAAGCTAGCTAGAATTTTGGTAGATGAAGATTGAAAGAGATGTGCATTATAGATTGAAGGAAGACTATAAACAAAAACTGTATCAAGTTTTTAGGAACATCCAAAAATTAATTGCACAGGACAGAGATCACCCCACCACTGAGTGGTAGTATCACAATCTCTAGCAGGTGCTGGAGATTCCAAACTGCATAGAACCAATCTGGAGATTCTGATATCCACTCTTAGTGGTTGCACTCCCTTCTCCACCTGATTTCTGGCTTAAGGAGAAATGCTGCTGATGGCAGTGTGTTTCTTAAGTGAACAATGTGGAGGTAGCTACTCTTTCCAGTGTCCAAAGTGTTGTGTAGTGATGTTCTTTAAATATGAAGAAGCTGAAAAGTAGACAGGTGGTGAAAACAGTGCTTGAAAAGAGAGCTCAAGGATTTGAAAATTAAACTAAGGACTTTTTTTTAAAGTTTTAACCAGAGAAAGTAATATGATCAGAACATTGTTTTAGGAAAATTAATGGTGGCTGTTGTGGAAGATGGATTGAACATAGATAAATAAGCTATTGGAATAGTTCAGGCAAGGATATTAAGGGGCGGTATTCAGGCATGGTAGTGTTAATGAAAGGAGAAGGGAGGATGCATGGGAGAGGCTTCAGTGGGAAAGTTAAAAGACTTGTCTGATGGGATAATGGGGATGTAGGAGGCATGAAAAATCCCACCAAGGTTTTGCCTGCTTTTATGAAACAATGGAGGCTGGTGAAATGTGGGGCAAAAGAGATGTTTGGTTTAGACATTTGAGTTTGAGATGCTTATAGATTATCAAGACATAATGCTAAGTAGGCTTTTGGACACATAGAACTGTAGATTAGGGTAAAGAGGAAAGCTTAGAAGTTTTACTACCGCCAAAAAAAAAGTTGATTATTAAAGTAGTGAGAGTATGTAGATAGTGAAAAGTTATTAAAGAATTAAACTCTGGTGAAGGTCTTGCTCAGCAAGCAAGAGGAGAAAGACAAAGATTTTTAAGGATGCAGAAGAATCTAGGAAACTATACCATCTCAGAAACAATGGAAAAAGGGAAAAGAAAGGAATATACTAATTTCTGTCCCATCATATAGATGTAAAAGACTATCCATCTTTTTCCCATCTGATTGCATATACTTGAAGTACACTGAGAATTTAGTGAGTGGACCCACTAAATCTGTTGCCCCATCTCTCTTATTTATAAGTTATGTACATATTTGGAGTGTAGAGCCCTGAAAGCATTATATTATGGGTTTGAATGGACTTGTAATGCGTGGGTTTTGACTGCCTCCAGACAGGACATTTTTGAGCTTTTCTTATTATCAGCACTAAAGGAGACTGACATCATTAACTTCACTGTGAAACCATTAGACATTAGAATAGCAGTTGTTTTATGTAAATTCAGATTCTTAATAAGAATCTCCACTCCTGTTTTTCAAATCAAATCGGAGTTTCTCTTTTGTTGCCCAGGCTGGAGTGCAATGGCGCGGTCTCAGCTCACTGCAACCTCTGCCTCCCGGGTTTAAGCAATTCTCCTGCCTCAACCTCCCAAGTCGCTGGGATTATAGGCACCTGCCGCCATGCCCGACTAATTTTTTTGTATTTTTAGTAGAGATGGGGTTTCACCATGTTGGCCAAGCTGGTCTCCAACTCCTAACCTCAGATGATCCACCCGCCACGGCCTCCCAAAGTGCTGGGATTACAGATGTGAGCTACTGCGCCCGGCCCATCTTTTTTATTTTACCCGATAGATAAATGTTTCAAAATCTCTTGTCCCATAAGGTGGTCTTGAAAAGTTTCTGGAAGATAGGTATACGCCTAAAGAAAGCAATAGAGATTTTTTTAAGAAGCAAAGAACAAAATAAAATCATGTAAAATGCCAACTTTATAGAAACGTGTAAGTAGGAAAGCCCCCCATGAAATCCTATTCTCCCAGAGTTAAGCATATCAAGACTTTTTTTTTTTTTTTTTTTTTGAGATGGAGTGTCGCTCTGTCGCCCAGGTTGGAGTGCAGTGGCGTGATCTCAGCTCACTGCAACCTCCACCTCCCTGGTTCAAGCAATTCCCCTGCCTCAGCCTCCTGAGTAGCTGGGGTTACAGGTGCCCATCACCATGCCCGGCTAATTTTTTTGTATTTTTAGTAGAGGCGGGGTTTCACCATGTTGGCCAGACTGGTCTGGAACTCCAGACCTCAGGCAATTCGCCCACCTCAGCCTCCCAAAGTGCTGGGATTACAGGCATGAGCCACCATGCCCGGCCATTTTTTTTTTTTTGTTGTTGTTTTTACAATGCATGTACTACTATGCCTTATTTATTACAGAAATTGATCATGCTCTGTCCACTGTTCAGCAACTTGCTATTTTACATAGCAGCATATCTTGGACATCTTTCAATGCCAGCACATTTCAGTTTATTCTTTCTCTAGTATACATTTCTGCTTAGGATTCCAACAGTAGCCAATAGACTGGATTCCTACAGGTGGAGGTAAGTCAGGGAACCCTGCCTTTTTTTTTTTTTTTTTTTTTTGAGACAGAATCTCACTCTGTCACCCAGGCTGGAGTGCAGTGGCACGATCTTGGCTCACTGCAAGCTCCGCCTCCCGGGTTCATGCCATTCTCCTGCCTCAGCCTCCCGAGTAGCTAAGACTACAGGCGCCCACCACCACGCCCAGCTAATTTTTTTTTTTTTTTTGTATTTTTAGTAGAGACGGGGTTTCACTGTGTTAGCCAGGGTGGTCTCGATCTCCTGACCTCATGATCCGCCTGTCTCGGCCTCCCAAAATGCTGGGATTACAGGCTTGAGCCACCACGCCTGGCCGAAACCCTGCCTTTTTATCTCTAAAATCTAAAGGCTATTTGTTTTTGCGGTCATAGCTATTCTCATCTGTCCTTCCGGTCCCACTGCAGGTGCTTTTTTGCTTCCCTCTCTCTCAGTTTACTTCCCAAGGTTGCTAACTCTACTCCAGATTTGTAAGTGGTAGTGCTACTGTCCTAGTTATTGTCAGGACTCCAGAGGTCATTTCCTAGAACGTTGCAGAGATAGACAGAGATGGCTGAGGCTGAAGTGGAAGCACCAGCAGATGGAGAGAGGCCTGACTACCTCTTAAATTGTGCTAAGCCTCCTAACTGAAAATATCAGAATGCCTTTTTTTATGAGGACATTTTTTAAATTTAATATTACTGTTAGGTTTGCTTTAGTCTTTTTTTTTATTTTAAAGAGTTCGTTTTTACTTCTCCCACTTTCTAGTTTTTTTAAAAAGGGAGGGAGAAGGAAGGAATAAAAATATCAATTTCTGTCCCGTCACATAATGGAACAGAAATATACATCATTGTGTAGCAATTTCTAAGTTAATTAACTGTTTTTAATGTCAATATTCGAGGGTTGACCTAGATAACAACCACAGATGACAACCAGGCATCTATTGTGCACTTACTGTGGAGTCCCTAGGTCCTTTTTGTATGCAGAAGCAGCCTGGAGTTGTGGAAAGAGGTAGAGGAGTGTGAGGGGTCAGGAGACCTGGGATCTAATTGGCTCTACTCTCCAGAGAGGCGGTGGACCAGTCATGAACCTTTCATGCCCCAATCTTTAAAACAAGCTGCTGGACTAGGTAATTCTGAAGATGCCTTCAGATGGTCTCTCATTTTCAATTCGACCATTGGATTTGAGTTTGCATAGTCTGTGTTGTCCAGCATAATCCAGGATGGATTTCATCATGAGGTGGTTGAGGAAGAACAACAGTTAAGAAATGGATTTTACTCTTGGTTTTGATAGACACCCATCTGTACCTTGGGCAGGTACTGGGGGCATCATTTGTCTGTAAAATGAAGATACTGACCCAGATCCATGGTTCCTAACTAGGGATGCACATCAGAGTCACATATGGAGTTTTGTAGAAATGTACACGTCCAGATTCAGCCCCTAGAGATTGCGATTCACTAGGGGTGTTATGGGGACCAGTTGTATATTTTTAAAAACACACCACAGGGATTCTGAGGCATTCCTCTTATTGAGAAGAAGTTTAACTTGGCAATATTTGACAAATACTTGACTGTCACCCCTGCCCATTGCCCTGTTTGCCTGTGAAACCCTCCCTGCTGTGGGTATGTTGGTTCTTGGCCTCACTTTGCTCAGCAGCCTGTGTCTTCCTCCTCAGTAACAACCTGCAGTGTTTCACTGTGCGGTGCAGTGCGGCGGCAGCTCGTGAGGAGGACCCGTACATGGACACCACCCTGAAGGTAAGAACTGGCTTATGAAGATAGTGAAACCTTAAGATCACAAGGGAGCACATGAATACTCGTAGATTTGCTCTCAGACCTAAGCTAGGCAAGAACAAAAGAGCTTAAGGTTGTCTAATGTATTGAATTAGAACTTTTGGATGTAAAATAGTGAGGATTTTGTGATTCATGGCTTAGTTGACAGTTTTTAAGATTGCTTTGCAAACATTTCACTCCGAATTGATTTAGTGCATAGTTTTTAAAGTTTGGTAAAGAATATAAAAAGTGTGAACTGAGAGCAGTTCACAACTACTGTATGCTACAATTTTATTTTTTATTTTTTTGATTTTAACTTTTAATTTTTTCGAGGCAGGGTCTTGCTCTGTCACCCAGGCTGGAGGGCAGTGGCAAAGTCATAGATCACTGCAGCCTCGAACTCCTGGACTCAAGTGATCCTGCCACCTCAGCCCCTCAAGTAGCTGGGACTACAGGTGTGCACCACCATGCCCTGCTGATTCTTTTTGTATTATTATTATTATTATTATTTTTTTTTCTGCAGAGACAGGTTTTGCCGTGTCGCCCAGGCTGGTCTTGAACTTCTGGGCCCAAGCGATCTGCCTGCCTCAGCCTCCCAAAATGGTGGGATTACAGGCATGAACCACCATGCCTGGCCCAATTGTATTTTACTAAATGGAAATACTGGTGGCAGTTTTACAGAGCTGTTAACAAAACAGTCCAGAAATCAATATACTTAAGAGCACAAAATTGAATACGATGCATTAAAATGATTTATTTATACTATTATCAGCTATGCCTGTAATTCTGTATTTTATAAGCCTTTGATAACCTTCTATACTTAATCGAAGAGTTAATGGTTATGGTAGATCAATAATCTCATTTTTAGTGAGAAGTAAAGTGCTTGGTTTCTAAAAAAAAAAAAAAAAAAAAAAAAAAAAAGCCTCTTGACCACAGAATAAATGTAGGCATTATTATGTTGAGATTCGGTGTTTTCTGACTTTGAATTTCTGTTCTCAGAAATACACTGATCATTTACATTATATTGATCTATGTTATTTTACTTCTGAAGTATAAGCTATTTGAATTGGATATTTGTTAGGAATATACATGCTGCAAGAAGCTCCCAAATTATCATGCTCTGTGTTTCAAAAATTGGTTTATATCTGTCTGGAAACTGGAATACCTTTTTCCAGAAGGATAAGCCTTCAGTAATGGTGGTTATCTTAACAAGCCAGCCCCGACTTAGTGCCTAATGTGTCTGAGATACTCTTTCACGGTCACTGTCACCCAAACTGTGTCATATGATAGTGTTTTATGGCAAGCATGGTCTCTGAGTTCCTAGTGACCCTTTTTAATGGCCTGCCTGTGGTTTTCTGTTGCTGACCAGGCTTACTGCCTGCTGTCAGCCTCTTGGGAAACCAGAACCACAGATTTCCTGTGCCTTTGTTTGTATAAGATACACACATGGCCTTTTTGAGAGATTACTTTAAAATCAGGATTATTTCCTTTGTAAAAATAGAAAAGTAACAGATTAAAAAAATAAAACTTCCATTCTTTGTCCTCTTCTTTCCCCTCCTTGCGTTTTCAAACCTCAGAAAGACATAGGCTTATATAGGGGTGATGGTGTAATTTAAAGTACCTAATAGATTGAAGTAGGATCAATGTACCTTTGGAAAAAAAATAATTCCATGTATTTTCAGAGTCTTATAAAAGGCAGAATGAAGGAACAAGGAAGAGACAAAGGGGAGGGATAAGGAGAGGTGGGCATCTGGTGGAGGTATGCTGCCCTTGAGGCCAGTGGAGGTAGGAGGGGGAAGGCATAATCACACCTCACGGTTCCTCCTTTCCTGGGACTCCACCAGTTCTGAAGCCCTAGGTGCCAGTTAAACAAGCACACGTTTAGCCCACCTGCTGACTCAGGCTTTGGAGCTGTGATGTCTGAAAAAAGTTTCACAACCTCAAGAGTCTGGTTGAAAGTGCTTGTGGTCTGTCTCCTTTTCCTCTGAGATTCTGACTCCTCAGCACTAACCAAGCCACCTTAACTATTTTTACATGGAGGTAACAATGAAGATGACCTCAGAATCAAAACAGCATGCATGGACAAGAAGGCAGGGTCCTGGCAGCATCATTTTGTGAGCTCCCAGAATAGAGCTCTTCCATTAGTTTTCTTATTCATTCTACTTGAATTAATGGTCCTTTACAAGAGCAAAAGGCTGGCTCCTCTAGTTTACCTGACATGTCCCAGCCTGTCCGCCATTCCAGGCACTATTCGTACCTAACAGACTAACAGTCAGGGGCCATCGGAACATACAAGCATTTCTTTCACACACACATCCGCAAAGAAACCATTTTATGTACTCTACAAGCAGTAGAATGTCCTTTCATAGTGTCTGGTTTTTCCTAAAAACCCCATTTGGGCGTACCCCCAACCATCCTGCTAGTTGTGGGGGTTTCCCTGGGTGGCAGAGTACCAGCTTCATCTCCTGGAGGTATCTGTGGAGCCACTCTGTGGGGCACACACACAAGTTCCTGCAGCTGTGGGACCCTCTTTCCGTATTTATTCAATCAATCAATAACTGAGTTTGTTGGCTGAGTAGCTCTATGGAATACACTATTGGTTACATAGGTTTAGATAACCTCTTCTGTTAAGAATAGGAATCTGGGTTGGTCTTTTGTTTGTTTGTTTGTTTTTTGGTGGTGGTGGGTATGGGATGGTGGCAGCAGAAGAGATTTGATCAAATAAACTGACTGATTTTTGAAGATTGAAGTGCATGTACCTTTATTTCTTGCTTAAATATGTGATTTTCCTTTACTAGGCTTGCCCACCTGTCAGTATGGATGTCTGTGCTTTAAGAATACAGCTTTTCATAGGCTTGAAAGCCATCTGTCACTTTAAAAACCACATCATACTTTTGACTAAAGCAGAACCTGAAGCCATTCCAGAGAGAAGACAGTCACCCAAGAGGCTTCTGTAAGCATCCCCTTGCCCCAGGCATTCCTGCCAGTTTCTGGAATGAGTTGTAACTGGTATATTTTGTGTTTATCTTTTTTCAAATCATAACTTGGAATGATCAAATGGCTTTTTTATGGTGGTCTTTTTCCAGAGAAAGAAAAGAAGGTTCTAACAATCTCTGTAATACACTTTATAACTGACCTGGAAACTTTTAGGAGAAAATGGATTATAAAATAGTTTCAGTAAAAATCAAAGGTGTTTTAGATTAGTTAAAGGCCATGCTTTTCTGTGTAATTAATGAGAAAGACTGAGCCTATAATGCTAATTGAAACTACAGGACTTTTTACTGTCTTTCTTCTTTGACCCTTTCAGTTGTTACATTTTTATCTAAAATTATTTTCTGATATTATGAAAGAAATTAATAATGTATGTCTTACCTTAAAGCACATTTATGATCTATAGATATGTGCTCATGTATCTGAAAATAAAGTTGTATTTTGATAACATTCATCTCTTGTTATTTATTAGGTTTCTGCTTTCCCATTGTTTAGAATAGAATGCTTAATTCCAGACTAGTTATGCTTCTATTTGATGTTTTCCTACTTAGTGGTAGAGAATGCAATCTAATTTCTCTAAGGAAAATTTAATCAAGAAAGAAATCTCTTCAGGGAGTGAAGCATATAGTGTATTTCATATCAAACATGGGTTATTTTTAACATAGATTTTTACTTTTTCAAATTGTTAGTGGCTGTGCTTTGTTGCATCAACAGGAATCAGAGGTTGACTTTGGTAACTGATCACTTTGAGTGTACACAGAGTGGTCTGGGGCTGACTGATCCTAAAAGCTTTCTGGGGAGAGGAAAAGCAGTTTGTAGTCTTGCACATTTGACATTCTAATAGTATAATTTTTTAAATGATGTTTTAAAAATTCTAATTCATTTGAAAATTCATTTGATAAACAATTATAAAAGATTGTACACTAAAGAAAATGTATCACATAGTGAAAGCAAGAGATAAGATAGTGCTTTAAGCAGACTTAACAGTTTTATGTGTCTTCATCATATTCTCAGCAGCCATGATGTTGCTTCTGCTTAGATTTGTGGCTCAGGGCATGCTAGACTCATGAAAGTCAAATGCAGAAAAGAGCCTGGGTATAGGGACTTCCGCAGTCAAGGATCTTTTCCTCTTGATGGGACTTGCCTGTTCTTTGAACTTACTGCTCATTTGAGAATACTTGCAGAGTGAATTGGAAGCAGTTGGTTTATCATTACATGAAAATTACAGAATATTAAATGCAGTTAGCCTATGTAGTATTGTGAACTAATATTCCATAGAAATAGAGTGTACAGTTAATCACTGAGGAAAATAGTAAATGAAAATGATTTTATAGTTATTTTATATCCAATATTTACCATTTACAACTACCATTTATTAATAATGTCATTTTAAAATTCTTGTCCTTTGTTTTGCTTTTAGTTCGAGAAAAGATACCAGTGTTAAAATCAAAATACCTCCTGTAGCTGAGGCTGGGTGGAATTTGTATATTGTGAATACGATCTCACCAGTGCAGCTGTACAAAGAGATGGTACTCTTTTCAAACTTCTGATTCTTGTTTGTAGATATTTAGAGTGAAATTAATGATCAGAAATTGATTCTAATTATCATACATTCAGGATGCCACAGCCATTCAGCTTCCTGGCTCTGTCTGACAGTGGAATGTATATCTCTCTCTGCCTCCTCATTGTTACAGCTTCTGACATCCGAGGAACCAGTAGAAATTCCCTTCACTAGCATAAGACTCCCTTATTCATACCCACTCTCCTAAGAAGATCGATTGGCCAATCTGAACATAGTCTTTGACCTTAATTTGAACTCTAGCAAAGATAGCTAAGAAATGGAGCAAATAAATAAATAAATAAATAAATCTAGGATTATGTATCCCTGTCCCACTCTTCTTATTTAGAAATGTTAGCACATTGTCCCAGGGCACCACAGCTACTGCAGCATTGTCCTGGGGGGAGGGACCCAGAGGGAGCATCCTTACTGATCTAAGAGTGACAGCTTCCTACTCATCCCTGGCAATTATTTTAACTCTTTATTTTGAAACAATTTCAAACTTACAGAAAAGTTGCAAGAATAAGTATATTCTTCCCAACCCTTTGGGAGGCTGAGGCAGGTGAGTTGCTTGAGGCCAGGAGTTCGAGACTAGCCTGGGTAACATAGTGAGATCCCATCTGTACAAAAAATTAAAAAATTAGCCAGTTGTGGTGGCACATACCTGTAGTCCTAGCTACTTTGGAAGCTAAGATGGGAAGATCACTTGAGCCCAGGAGTTCAAGGCCACAATGAGCTATGGTCGTACCACTGCACTCCAGCTTGGGTGACACAGCAAGACCCTGACTCTTTTGACTCTTTTTTAAAAAAGAAGAATATTCTATATATTCCCATTCCCCACACAGATTTCTCCACAGTCAACATTTTACCCTATTTGCTTCTCTCTCTCTTTTATGCACTCTGTGCTTTCTGTGCACACAGATATACATACACTGTTTTCTGATTCTTCTTCGGGAGGTAAACTGCATACATCAGTCTTTTGCCCCTAAGTACTTCAGCGTATATTTTCTAAGAATAAGGATACTCTCTTGCATACCAGAATACAGTAGTATGCTTTAATAAATTTAACATTGACACAGTGCTTTATCTGGTTTATGGTTCATAGTCTAATTTTGTCAACTGACCCAATGGCTTGATAGCATTTCCCCTTCTCCAGTTCAAGACCCAGTCTAGGATCAGGTAGTGTGTTTAACTATGATGTCTCTTTAGCCTCCTTTGAAGCTGGAATATTTCTATAGCCTTTCATTATGTTTTATGACATGAGCATTTTTGAAAAATATAATTTTCCCCTCTACTTTTTTTTTGAGAGTATTCCTTATTTAGGGTTTGCTTTTTTTTTTTTAATGGTTAGATTCAGATTATGCATTTTCAGCCAGAATATTGCATAGGTGATTTTTGTGTTAAGGGTATCACATCTGGAGGCACATGCTGTTCATCTACCCCTCTTTGGTGATGTTAATTTTTGGTCATCAGGTCAAGGTGTTGCCTGATTTGTCCCTGCCAATAATTTAATGCCAATTATTATATTAGCTGTGCCCTGTCTTTTCAGTCTTGCTTAATTGAAAGTCTTCGTTTAGGTGATTTGACCGCTAGAGTCTGAATATATTGATTGAGTCAGATTAGCTAGTGATAATTTTTATGAGCCCTCTATGAGTTATGGAAATAGATGTAGTAGAGCCTAAACTTACCAATCAAAACTAAAATAAGGGAAGAATACTCAGTCTAAATTTGAGAAAGAATTAAATCACAATTTTTTGAAGTTTATTTCAAATATTAACATGTTCACTAGTCTTACTGAGATCAAATTGTTGCTAAGTTTACAGTATTATTAGTATTACAGTATTATTTGGACCTCTGTAATGATTAGAGCTGTTTAACAAGGTATTATTTATAATCATGTATGTATTAAACTGGCTCATAGATGGTGGGAAAAAAGCCCTACAGCTAAGCCCTTGTCAGAATGGTGAATAACCATTTTGTTTACTTTTAGGGTTTAATATGTCCAAATGTTAACTTTACTAACAAAATATATAAATGTTTTTAAGAACTCAGGAACTTTTGAGAGTCTCTCTTCAGCAACATTAGTGTTTGTCTTTTTTGTTTAGGTAGACTATAGCAATACCTATAAGACTGTCAAAACCCAGAGCTGCATTCACCTTCTCAGTGAGGCTCATCTGTTAGTGCGAGCTGCCCTGATGGATGCCAGTCAGCTGGAACCTGGAGAGAAGGCAGAGCTTTTGGAAGCATTTAAGGAAAGCTGTGGGCACCTTGGGGACTGTTACAGCAGGTGGGTGACACCTCTTGGAACCTTGTTACAGAAGTCATCTTGAACTTTGGGTACACTTGTTAGCTTTTCCATCTCTGGTAGTTACCTGATAAATGGGAAGGTGGTTCATTTATTCCCTTCTTCCACAAGCATTTGTTGAGCACATACTCTGTTAGGCACTGTGCTAGGCTTAAACATACAAAAATGAATGTGACCCATTTCCTGCTCTCAAGGAGTCACAGTTTAGAAGATGAGCAGTAAGTCTCAAGTTTGTGATTTTCCCACCATTTAACTTAGGACTTTGACATTTTTCTCAAGCTTTGAAAATCCCTGACATTAAAAACATATATTTTGTTAGTAAAGTTAACACTTGGACATATTAAACCCTAAAAGTAAACAAAGTGGTTGTTTTCCATTCTGACAAGGGCTTAGCTGAAGGACTTTTTTCCCACCATCTATGAGCCAGTTTAATACATACATGATTATAAATACTACCTTGTTAAACAGCTCTAATCATTAGAGAGGTATGACTAGTTTATTGTCTGCTACCTTAAGGGAGAGCTGCCAGTTGGACAGTCTGTGATTTTGATCTCAGTAGTCAGTGCTTTTATGATATCAGAAAGGGACACTGGTATGAATAATGTTTTTATTTTTGAGAGTAATGTTTACAAATTTTTTTGCATATGATTGTTTTCAGACTTACTTGATCCACATGAATGGTTAAAAATTAATAAAACAGACTTTTCCTCCTATAAACACCATTATTTTAGAGTCCGATCATGAATATTAGAATTAACTTAAATTGTTGTTTTTGTTTCTATTATGAGCAGGCAAAAAGAAACTGCATTAATTAGAAGTTTGTAAGATAAAACTTAGGAGTTTGTTTCAGTTACTAATGGCAGTAGAAAAGCATTTTGGAATTTCTATCTTCTGGAAAGCATGATATATTCTGTTATAGAATGTTTTAGATATCCAGGTTTAAAAATTCCAAATTTGACTAGGCATGGTGGCTTACACCTGGAATCCCAGCACTTTGGGAGGCTGAGGTAGGATAATCACTTGAGGTCAGGAGTTTGAAATCAGTCTGGGCAACATAGTGAGACCCCGTCTTTAAAAAAGTGACAAATTTGAGGTTTTTCATTTCCTTCCCTTTAGGCTTGACTCCCAGCATTCTCATCTCACCTTGCCATACTATAAGATGTCTGGTTTGTCTATGGCTGAAGTTCTGGCCCGCACGGACTGGACAGTAGAGGATGGATTACAGAAATACGAGAGAGGATTAATCTTTTACATTAATCATTCACTTTATGAAAACCTGGATGAAGAATTAAATGAAGTGATTATAGTTTTCTGTTTTCTATCTAATATTTTTAACATTTCATTTTAATGGTTTATTTTATGTAGTACTGTTTAGAAGTCAGATTCCAAATATTTTTCTTCTTTGATACTCTTTTTCTAAAAAAGTAATGTGACCTTTTCTTCATTAATGAAGATAGAATTATAGCTTGGAAAAGAACTTATGGATAATCTTCTCATACTTTCTCATTATACAGACAGGGACATGTGGTCTGTTGTAGTCTCAACACCTGCCCAGTGACAGTAGCATGTCCTCAGTAGAGCTACACAGAATGCGGGCCTTGCCTTCCATCTTCTCATCTGCAGTCCTTCCCGCAACCCTAATTGTCCCTTACTCCTTGTGTCCTAAACTTCACTTATAAAACTCTGACCTTAGGCCAGTGACCTAAAGACATTATTAAGGATTATTTTTAGGGCTGGGCACAGTGGCTAGTATCTGTAATTCCAACACTTTGGGAGGTTGAGGTGGGAGGATCACTTGAAGCCAGAAGTTTGAGACCAGCCTAGGCAATATAGCAAGATCCCATCTCTACAGAAAATTAAAAAATTAGCTAGGCTTGGTGGCATACACCTGTAGTTCCAGCTACTCAGGAGGCTGAGGCAGGAGGATCGCTTGAGCCCAGGAGTTTGAGGCTACAGTGAGCCACAATTACACCACTGCATTCCAGGCTGGGCAATACAGAAAAACCCTGTCTTAGAGAGAAAAAAGAAACGATAACCCCTCATGTATTTTATACATAGTTGGATGCAAATATGCCACATTAGAAATTGTGGTATCAAATGTTTTAAGGTTTTGAAATGAAATTTTCTCATACAAATTACTTAATTGGGTATATTTTGAACTAAATAGTAGTTTTTATGATGGATTTTTATTGTCATTCAATCAAATGTTTATTTTCTTCTTCTGAAGTGTTAAAATTAGAAACGCTGGCCATAACCTGGTACATATTTTCATTGCTTTTTCTTCCTTATAATCAGCAAAGATCACTTCAGGTTATCTCAGGCCTCCCATGTATTAGTATCAGTTTTTGTCTTTTTAAAATTAAAACATAATACTATAATTTTATCTTACTTGGAATGTTTGTGTCTTGGCTTTTTGCACATATGTTTTGCTGATTTTGTTGCTTTCTTCTGGCTGACTGACCTTTTATTCCTTTTATTCCTTCGTGCTCACCAAAGGAATTAGCAGCAAAAGTGGTTCAGATGTTTTATGTGGCTGAGCCAAAGCAAGTGCCCCATATTCTCTGTAGTCCTTCTATGAAGAATATTAATCCTTTAACTGCCATGAGCTATCTAAGGAAGCTGGATACTTCTGGGTTTTCATCGATCTTAGTGACATTGACCAAGGCAGCAGTGGCTCTGAAAATGGGAGATCTTGACATGCACAGAAATGAAATGAAAAGCCATTCAGAGGTATGGAGCTCTGCCCGGTGCTAACAGAAGGCTGAAATAGGACCTGGTAATCCTGAAGTGTTTAGCTGTCTTCTGGCTTCTTTCTAGCTTATATATTCTTGGTTGTAATGGAAAACAGACAATATTAGAAACAAAGTGATCCAAATGGGACTTCGGATCTGGCAAATGAAAAATAAATAAGACTGATAAATGACAGCAGTGGATATACAAAGACTTCAACTTAGTGTCAAGTGCGTTCAGAGCACTGAGCTTGGTACTAAAGAACAGGCTCTGCTCCGAGGGGACGATGTGATCTGGCATGAGGGATATGGTGTGTGCACTGGAAAAGCAGAGTAGTATGTATTTAAGAACAGCAAAGGGGATATTAGCCATGAGCTTTAGGAGTCTAGTAGTTGCAGAAATAGCCCCCGCTTGGGAAAATCACAGATTAAGAGGATTGGACATTTGAATGGTATACCAAGAAACACAGGCTTTCCCTTGGAAAAGAGGTCATTTAGGGACACTACCAAAGGTGTTAATCATTTAAGCGAAGAAAATAGGAGGTAGTGTAATTGAACACTTATTATTTACCAGGCCTATTCTAAGCTCCTTGCATATATCATTTAATTCTTAATACTGCTATAGGGTAGGAGTATTATACAAATGAGGAAATTAAGACACAGAGAGGTTAAGTAACTCATCAGGATCACACAGCAGTTAAGTTGTAGAGCCAGAATTGAATCGGGCAGCCTGATTTCAGAATCTGTGCTCCTGCACTGTTTTCTTGCCAGACTGGCCAAAGCCCACAGTATGACTTGGGTTGCTAAAAAAGGAAGAACGTAAGTGCTTTATCACTATACAAATGACATGCTTTGTTATGATGAGGAGAGCAAGTCAACATCGGAATGTCTTCTGTTTTGAAGAGTAGAATTCTAGAAAAATGAATTTTATCTTCATAATTTTGAAAAAACTTAAGATATATTAGTCATCACTTGGTATTTATGGGAGATTGGTTTCAGAACCTTCTACAGTTACCAACATCCACAGAAGCTAAAGTTGCTTATATAAAGTGGCATAGTATTTGCATATAACGTATCTACTTTCTCCAATATACTTCAAATCATCTCTATATTACTTATAATACCTAATATAATGTCAACTGCTATGCACATAGTTGTTAATACTGCATTGTTTAGGGAATAATAATAAAATCTGTACATGTTCAGAACAGAAGCAGTTCCCCCACACCCTTTTTTTTTTTTTTTTTTTTTTTGAGAGCCTCGTTCTGTGGCCCAGGCTGGAGTGCAGTGGCGCAATCTCAGCTTACTGCAACCTCCACCTCCCAGGTTCAAGCGATTCTCCTGCCTCAGCCTCCCAAGTAGCTGGGATTACAGGTGTGTACCACCATGCTTGGCTAATTTTTGTATTTTTAGTAGAGATGGGGTTTTACCATGTTGGCCAGGCTGGTCTCGAACTCCTGACCTCAAGTGATCTGCCCTCCTTGGCCTTCCAAAGTGCTGGGATTACAGGTGTGAGCTACTGCACTCAGCCATCCCGAATATTTTTGATCTGTGGTTGGTTGAATCCATGGGTGTGGAACCCACGAATACAGAAAATTGACTGCATTTTCAAATCAAGTAGACCTAAATATAAAGCTCTCTACAAAAAATAGGACACCTTGATTCTTAGTTAAATGTTAGTAACTTCTGTAAGACAGTCAGTGGTGTCCTTTGGATAAGAACTAGCCTTTATAGTCAAAGAAAAAATTGTGATTAAATTATTAATAGCTTAACCATGCATTGTGAATGCACTAGCATGTTTAGTATTTCTAAAATGGACAATCTAAATACAATGTACCTTTTGTTCCTAAATTTCTTTCTTATCTGAAGATGAAGTTGGTATGTGGCTTCATTCTGGAACCTCGGCTGTTGATTCAACAGAGAAAGGGACAGATTGTTCCAACCGAGCTTGCACTTCACTTGAAGGAAACTCAGCCTGGATTGCTTGTGGCTTCAGTTCTGGGCTTGCAGAAGAACAACAAAATTGGAATTGAAGAAGCAGATTCCTTTTTTAAGGTTTGTCACTTTGAAAATGTGATTTTTCTGGATGGCCTCATTAAATTGGTGGTGGGGAGGGACAGAATAAGAGAAGTGAGTTTTTCATTTGTTTGTTTATTGAAAAAACAGACATACATAATCAGTTTATAAGATAAAAGTACTAATTAAAAGACTATATCTGTAGAAACTTTATTTGTACATCCTAGAATCTGTTTCCTTTTAAAAATGTCTAAATTTGCTTTTGCCATGGCGCTAATGCTAATGGTAAATTATTGATTGCGTGGCCCATGTGATGCTGTGATATTCAGCCCAGCTGTCGCTTTATCAGTGCTATATTTATCTGGAATATAGAGGCTCCTTTTACTGTTTTTAAGGTGCTTTGTGCTAAGGATGAAGATACAATTCCTCAGCTCTTGGTAGACTTTTGGGAAGCTCAGCTAGTGGCATGTCTCCCAGATGTGGTACTTCAGGAACTCTTTTTCAAACTCACATCACAGTACATCTGGAGATTGTCTAAGAGGCAGCCTCCTGACACCACACCATTGCGAACATCGGAGGATCTGGTAAGATAATGGAATAATACCTTAAATTTAACTCATGCATTGCCCATTACAAAAACATACCTTATTTTTAATAACTTATTATAAAATCTAACCTAGTTTTCTATTACCAGGTATCTTATTTATGCAGGAGTTAAAAATACACTTAAAATTTGTCTTTAACTGAAGTGGCCTACATTTTAAATAATTTTGTACTCTAAAGAATGTCCTCTACTTATTAATGTCCCTCACTTAATTGCAGTGGTAGCTCAGTTGCCAAAGCATGGAGAAAGGGACTTCTTCCAGAACATCACCTCATCTGTCCTTCCTCAGCAGAGGATCATTAAGTGGAACATAAGAGAGAAGACATCTGCAGACCTCCTTGGTGGGAGAGGAACTGCAGAAGGCTGTGGGAGGGAGACTGCCTTAGTGGGCCCCCATTTCCTGTCTGTTGCACATACAGGAGCTGTTCTGTGGCACTTGAGGCAGCCAGTAACAACTCTTTCTACCCTTCTTGCTACCGTTCTTGCTCCTAGCCCATTTCTGTCCTAGCTCATTAGCCATGGCTAATGGAGGGTTAAGTGGAGAAGTTACCAGCTTCTTGAATAAGCAGGGCTTCTTGGGGATTGTCTTGAGAATTTATGAAAGATATTTTGCCTTCTAAAGAAAGTAGTATTAATAAAAATTATTTCCAATATTCTTTTTAGGTATAATTGGCTTAAATGCAGTATTGCTCTTTTTGCTAGAAAGTGCCTCTTTGGAGTATTTACATTTTAAAATATAAGGAAATATTTAGTGTAGAAGCAAGCAAGACTGAAATATTTTCCAGGGGAAAAATTCTTAAAAACTTTCCTTCCCATTCCCAGGAAAGTATATACCTAATTCTATGACATGGCAGAGAATTAATGATTGCTTTGCTCTTTGTGGAATGGATAAGCAAGCTTTTGTTGTTATATTTTGTTTATGAGAAATTCTTTTATGTTTTAGATAAATGCCTGTAGTCATTATGGCTTAATTTATCCATGGGTTCACGTCGTAATATCATCTGATTCTTTAGCTGATAAAAATTATACAGAAGATCTTTCAAAATTACAGGTAAGTAAAAATACCTCCTTTTCTTATGAAATTGCATATTACAATATAGTGTAAGATTAAATTTGCTGAGACCCCAGGTGTCCTGTTAATCTAGAATGTAGAATTTTGAGGGACAAAATCCATAGTTAGGCATACTCAGGAGACTTGGAGGGAATGCCTGCCTCTGCCTGAAACTGATGATGGTTGGAACACCTGTGCTGAGCGGCTGGTTTTGTTGTAGGTGGATGAACGAACTTCACCAAGTCTCCTGGCTGATTTCCTCATTTTCAGGATGGGCTTGAAAACACTTTGTGAAATGAAAGTGTGGCAAATGTTTAGTGGTGTTTTTATTGATGTAGTTTGTTTTTGTTAGTGTTGACTTACACATTTTAGGTCTCTAACCCAAGCCAGGCACTGCTATTTCTCTTATAGGAAACAGGTCAAAGTAGTTAGTTTATCCAGCTCCTGAAAAGGATTTTTCAGAAATGAGGGGGATGATTAGAGAATGTGGATCATCCTTTAATAATTCTGACTGCAACAGTGTTTTGGCTGGCAGTGAGAATTAAAGTCCACATTTGACTTGGTGGATCAGGCTGGGCCACATGAGCATATGATTTTATTTAATGTAGTTCAGTGGCCCAAAGAACGAATATAATTCCCACATCTGTTTTCTTTGGTCTTCCCAGTGTAGGTGCTAACATACAAAACTTAAGATTTCCTATTAAGAATTCTGAGTTTCAAGTCACTCTTGAAAAATTTAGCAGCTCCGTTAACCCAAGGCCCTCATTGCTTCTGACCTGAGGGTTGGGGCTGACCCGCAGCCCCTCCTTGGGCAGTGCTCACACTGTCCTCCCGCACAGTTATCATCTTTGTGGCATCCTGACCCAAATGCTGAGTGTCTGTTTTCCTTATCCTAGCTGCCCTCATGCATCTTCATCATTTGATTGGCCTCTTTAGGCTTTTGAATTTGCAATACCTCATTTACACTATGGGAACTACACTATAAGTGTAGTTGTTACTTAGTGTCAAATTGGGAATGGGGCTTAGAGGAGGGAAGCTGAAGAGGCCATATTGCTTAGACTCAGCCTTCAGGTGGGGCTGTGGTGTTCCCAGAGATGGCATTATTTATGTGCTTCTTTAAAAAATAACCAAAGAAGATTCTTCTTGTCTCTTGTCTCTAGTACTATTGTGATACAAAGGCTTCTGAGGGGCTAGCCTCAGATTTTGTTCATTTCACGAATATTGCTTGAGCATGTGCTGTAGATGTATGGGGAGCATTGGACAAGACAGATGGAGCTTTGCCTTCCTAGATCATACACACTAATTACATATTTAAAATTGTAATTGGAATAAGTGCTATTAAATTTTCCCTGATAAAGCTTTAAAGCATATTTATAATCATTGCTTGAAAAAGTATAATTCAGTGATCTTTTAAAATTTGTTTTAAAATATTTTAAAAGGAAAATATTTGCTATTAAAGGAGGAAAATCTTTGCTATTAAAGGAGCAAAATCTTTGCTGTTGAAGGAGAAACATAGTCTGCCTAAACTTTTATAATTTTTTTTTTTAGAGAGACAGTCTCACTCTATTGCCCAGATTGGAGTGCAGTGGCAGTCATGGCTCACTGTAACCTCCAACTCCTGGGCTCAAGCAAGCCTCCCACCTCGGGTTCCCAAAGTTCTGGGATTACAGGTGTGAGTCACTGCACCTGACCTTACTTTCAAACTTCTTGATTACATGGATAAAACTAAGTAAAAGTTCATGGGTAGTTGAAGTTATGACTACTTTCATTTCAGTCATAATTTGGTACACATGCTTTGCTCCTTCCTACTGCCCCCACTCCCTTCCCCATTATCTGGATTAGTCAAGAGTTAAATATAGAGGTAATCTATTTTCTCCCATGTTGGGAGACCTTTTGAGTGAGAGATTATCAACCTTATTTCATCTCTGCCATCTGATTGTCAGGAAATTATTCACATGAATAATTTATTAAACTTGCAGGAAGAAAAGGTACCAACCTTATTCTCCTGGTCATTCCTTGGTAGATATTTGGAATAAAATAATCACACTGACTGTGATTGGGTAGATCACATTCCATATTCTCCTGTGAGTCTCAGAAGATGCTGTAGCAAAAAGGGTACAGGGACAAGAAAATTAGGACATGACCATCTCATCTTTATCCTGGAGAAAGGGAAAGTGGAGATTATTTTGGTGGTAGAATCAAAAGTAGTATTTATAGTTTAATTGCTTGAAGTAAATATTGGTAAAGTTGTAAATTCTGAGATAATACTGCTCCCTGTTATTCATCTTGTGACAAAGTGGTATTGATAACAATGATTAGTTCTAAACAATCACTTTAGTCTTATTAAGTGTTAAATTTTATTTTTGCATATGTATGTAGCACATGCTTATAGAAAATTTGGAAACTACAGGAAGGGGTGTAAAGAAAACAAAGAGTAGGCTTTGTTGTCCCATCCTGTGTGCTGTTTCAAATTGCCATGCTCTTCCGACAGTATTTCTGTATGTGCATTTACCTATGTAGATTTTATAAAACTGATCATGTTCAGAATATAATTTTGTATTGAAATTTTTTTACTCATTTTATCATAAACTTTTTTTATTAACTAGCCTTTGAAAACATAGTTTTGATGGCTGTGTAATGTTCCATTATCTGAGTGTGCCATATGTATTTACTCATCCTTTGTTGTTAAACATGTAGATTACTTCTAAATTTTCAATATTGCGAATACTCTTGCGGTGAACATCATTGGACGTAAATCTTTAACCACAATGTTGATTATTCTCTTAGGATAGAGTCCTAAAGAATGCCCATTGGTTTTAATTTGCAGTCCACACAAAGCAAATAAAATCATGTTATTTAAAAATGATTGCTTTCTATTAAAGAGATCTTTAAACTAGAGGTAGTTTCAAGATTATATTATACTTAGATTTATTAAATAAGGACCACGTGCATGTGCTCTAATATGGCATTCTTTCTATTTTATTTTTGGCAAGTGAGGTTTAGTCTTAAGAAATTGAATTCTGCATGTTGTGTTTTAGTTTTTGAGGTGCCTCATTTCATAACATTTCACTTTTCTGTTCATAGTCTCTTATATGTGGTCCTTCATTTGACATAGCTTCCATTATTCCGTTCTTGGAGCCACTTTCAGAAGACACTATTGCCGGCCTCAGTGTCCATGTTCTGTGTCGTACACGCTTGAAAGAGTATGAACAGTGCATAGACATACTGTTAGAGAGATGCCCGGAGGCAGTCATTCCATATGCTAATCATGAACTGAAAGAAGAGAACCGGGTATGCTTTTTCAGATTATGTTTTTAGGCTTGATCAGTGATAATCAGATCTGATAACCTCATTTCCTTTCCTGCAAAATGGGGACAATTTATGCTAATCCAACATCATAAGGCTGTGTGGGTCCATTGAGCATATATGTTTAATATGTTACGTGTTTTGAGTACTATTAAATGCTGTTAAAATATATGGAGATGGTATATTATCATCATTAAACATCTTTTGTTTGGAGATGAAGTAGTTGATTACCTGAAGATTTGGGAACAGTGTATGATGGGAAAATATTTTCTCTGCCATACGGTTTTTAGTTTAGAAATTAGAAGAATTTTGGACCTTAGTTCTTTTTTTTCTTCATTCCTTCCTTCTTGCCACATAGGAGATGATAACGGGATATGTCTGTTACTTCTTGAAAATAGCCATGTACATATGTACAATATATGTATTACTGGGTTTTCAAGTTACGAACCTGACTTTTACGTTATAGTTAAGGCAGAAGACTGGCTGCTGATATAACTTATGTTATAACAAAGTTAGCTGCCTTAGACAAAATGATGTATTTTTGCTCTGTGCTTTCCTGCACAATCTTCTTATTCTCCTTTGAAATCTGAGAATAAAATGCATCAAACTAAAATTTATTCATTTTTTCCTAAGATAGACTCTGTGGTGGAAAAAACTGTTGCCTGAACTTTGTCAGAGAATAAAATGTGGTGGAGAGAAGTATCAACTCTACCTGTCATCATTAAAAGGTAAAATGATTTTTTTTTTGCTTGATTATAAACTTAAGTTTCAGTTTTAAATTTGGTGAAGCCTTCTTAAGTATTTTCATGTGATTCTCAAGTGAAACCGAGGGCCTTTCAGAACCATCTGGGGAGCTTATTTTCAGCATTCACGTACCCTCCCCTTGACATTTGATATTGATTTATCTCCTAGTCACAGAACTGATGTTCTTTTAACTTAATCCTTTCAAACACTTAACAAATTATCACAGTCATAGAAAATGACAGCATCAGTGTTTTAAAATGTGAGTAGTCATTAAGGCAATTACATCTTTTATCAATGATCAGAGTACTTAATTTACTTCATGTAGGAAGTTAAGATCATTACTATTAAACATAATTATAAGCAAGTATTGATGAATAACAACCTCAAGGATTTAAAAGTTGAGTATCTAAATTGTACCGTATTTTACAGCATAGTAGTTATTTGAATTTTCATAATTCATAATCATAAATCTTGGTAGATATGTAATCTGTTTCTATACTGCTGTGTGTTAATATAATTAGTTGTTTTCCCAATGACAAAGGGTATGGGTATATCAATTGCAGAGCACATAAAATATTAGAAATTGACAGTGTTGAAATTGTGTTTTCCAGCCAAGACAGTTGATTTTTAAAATGTAAGGCCGAGTCAGTGGCCACTGGAGATTATTTTTCTGAAGATCCCCCTTTAATTAAAGCTGTATGCTTGTGATTGGGAAGGGAAAGGGGGAACTTTATTCTCTGTCCTACCCGTCTCCCTGATTGCTTTAGGTTTTCAGAAGATGGAAGTGTCAGATGTCTGATTACTTTGCCCCACTTGCATACACTTTACATAATTTATCACTGACTGTTTGTGTTAGTGGAGCACTTTCCAGTACAGACATCCCACATCTTTACACCTCAGCATCATCATTATCTTAATCAGAAGACTCTTTCTTCATCCTTTTCTGATCCACATCCACACACTCCACCCCAACTCACCCATAATCATTCCTCCAAATGTTGCATTTTTCTCTGTCTTCAAAATATATTTGTGTGCATACGTGTGTGTGTGTGTGTGTGTATGGCTAATGAGACTAAGTGCCATGTGTGATTTACCTTTATTAGACTGTAATACCTCAAGAGCTGGCATAGTGTTTTATTCATTTTTTCAAGCTACACATTCCTCACCAGCAATATGCCTCTCCTATAGGAAGCATTCTGTAACTGTTCATTGATTAGAAAGGGAGACAGCTGAAGAACTTTAGGTTCGTTTCACAGAAGGGTGTTTTCTTAACAGTTGTACACTGAAAAGAGCCCTGTACTGGGATCTGGAGAATTGGAACTGAGTTCCAGGTTTGCCACTTACTAAGTGTCCGAGAGCAACCCAGTTTTCTAATGTCGTGAGACTAAATGAGAAGTTCAGGACTGAATCAAAAGTTAAATGTTAGGCAAAATTGCAAGAGGGAGAGGTTGGAGATGAAGCTCAGGGACTTACATGCTTAGGAGTTTGGATTTCTTATCTCTCTAATACAGCATTTTTCAACCTTGGTAATTGTCCGTGTGCGTGGGGGTTTCCCCTGTGCATTTTAGGATATTAAACAGTATCCCTGGTCTCTACTCATTAGATGCCAATACTACTGCCTCAGTTATAACAAACAAAAATGTCTCCAGATGTTGCCAGATGTCCCCTGTGGGACAAAATTTTCCTGGTTGACAACTGCCACACTAATGCAGAACCATTAAAATGGGTTAGTGGATGGGTTGGTTGTTTTAGGGAAATATTCAGTACTGTTTTTGTAATGAACCAGGCTTATTTTTTAAAATTCTGGTACTGTGGTAAATTACAAAAATTAAATTTAAAAATCATTTAAAATCCCACCATCCAGAAATTTTCAACCTTTGACAAATATTTTCTAGACATGCTGGAAGATTTTAAGGGTACAGGTTTACATTTAGATATATCATTTATATGTAACTTGTAGATTTAGGTAGCTGGTGAGTGGAGTAGAGCAAGTAATTTTAACCTTCTCTTAGCCTCAATTTTCCCAACCCTAAATCAGGCCTAATACCCATTAGTTTACCCTATTTGGGATGGGGCTTGGATTAAATAAATAAAAACCTCAAAGGATTCTAGAAGGAATTAAAGAGAAGTTATACATGAAAGTGCTTTATTAATTTTTAAAGTACTCTGTGAATTTAAGATATTGACCTTCTTGGAGTGATAACCTGTATTAGCCCCTCCTTATTTGGGAGAAGAGGAGAATTGGGAAGTGGTGAGATTTTTGTTGACTCTATAACAACTCCACACTAGCTCTCCAACTCAGTTTTTTTGTTTCTGAGATGCTACTTACAGGCTCCACATTTAGGTAAGTAAACTGCTTTGATAGGAAAACATCAATAATTCATATTTTTCACATACATTTTGCAAGCTAGTTAGTAGTTGCTGTTTATTAAGGTCTGATTTTATGTCAGATGTGCATCATTGTATTTTAGCTTAATTTTCACGGGAACTGTGGAAGCTAGCAGACAGTACCACTACATTATAAATGAGGAACCTAGGACTTGGAAGATTAAGTGACTTTCTTAAAGCCACTCGGTGAGTTGGTGGAAGAGTCTGGATCTCTTCCCAAGTCTGTCTGGATTCCAGAACTAGGAATCTTTTCTATAAACCATTGCTGCTTTATTCATTAACTCTTTAGCAACAAAGGCAGTTCATTCTTTTGTGTAAAGAAAAATTTAGGTTGCTGTATATTGGACAGATGACTTTGGAATGGATCTTATATTTCACTTACTCTGCAAATAGAGTAAGCGATGGGCATGCAACGATCACACAGGGAATGGCACTGACATGTGGATAGAAGATGTAAGACCAAGTGGATGTTTATTGGGAACATTGTTCATAACTGTCACCCTTCTATTCCGGGAGAGGGCAGCATGTATCTGTTAAGAAGCTGTAGAATCATAAAGTTGCATTTTTTTTAATGTATGTTACATTCCTTAATATTTAAAATGTTCACTGGGGCCAGGTGCGGTGGCTCACGCCGGTAATCCCAGTGCTTTGGGAGGCCAAGGCAGGCGGATCATGAGGTCAAGAGATCGAGACCATCCTGGCCAACATGGTGAAACCCTGTCTCTACTAAAAATACAAAAATTAGCTGGACGTGGTGGTGCGCACCTGTAGTCCCAGCTATTTGGGAGGCTGAGGCAGGAGAATCTCTTGGACCCAGGAGGCAGAGGTTGCAGTGAGCTGAGATCGCACCACTGCACTCCAGCATGGTGACAGAGCGAGACTCCGTCTCAAAAAAAAAAAATATATTGTTCATTAGAACACCATTGCAGTTTGGGGGAAAAGGAAGTAAATGGTCGTGAAAACAGATTTGTGCTTATTAACAACATGAAATGTTACGTTAGGAACTAATACGGGAAAACATTGGTGTTTCTTATCCTATCAATCTTTATAAATTAGCTTAGTATAGACATAGCATTAAAAAGAATATTCAAATGATTGTACTTTTCTTTAGAGGATAGTAGAAATTGATTGCAAAATAATATAGTAATTCAGCAATGAAATAATAAATCCAAATTTCATGTGGCTGATATAAAATAACCTTCAAAGGATTCTAGTAAGGAAAAATAAGTTACAACCATAAAGAAGCCTATGGATTTAAGAGACTGATTTTTTTCTTTGAAGTTATAACATTTTGTTACCTGAACTGGCTTCTTTTTTTTTTTTTTTTTTTGTCCTGAGATGGAGTCTTGCTCTGTCACCTAGGCTGGAGTGCAGTGGTGCAATCTCAACTCACTGCAACTTCTGCCTCAAGGGTTCAAGCAATTCTCCCGCCTCAGCCTCCTGAGTAGCTAGGATTACAGGTGTGCGCCACCATGCCCGGCTAATTTTTTTGTATTTTTAGTAGAGACAGGGTTTCACCATGTTGGCCAGACTGGTCTTGAACTCCTGACCTCGTGATCTGCCCACCTCGGCCTCCCAAAGTGCTGGGATTACAGGCGTGAGCCACCACGCCTGGCCTGAACTGGCTTCTAATTGGTTGGTTAAGTAAGAAGAGATTGAATGAAAGACAGACTTTCAATTCTAATTCAGATATTCTTTTCTACACAGAAACATTGTCAATTGTTGCTGTGGAACTAGAACTGAAGGATTTCATGAATGTTCTCCCAGAAGATGGTACTGCAACATTTTTCTTGCCATATCTTCTCTATTGCAGTCGAAAGAAACCATTGACTTAAAGGTATCATTTGAAAAATACCATAATGGCATTTGAGACTGAATTTCTAAAAATTGAATGCCAAAGTACAAGTAGAGGAGTTTTTTATTTTATATATCACACACACACACACACACACACACACACACACACACATATATGATACAAATGCTTTCAGGCTGCTTACCTTACCGTGTAGTGGTAACTATTCACTTCTTAATTTATGACCTCAATCAATTTAATTGTCTAGAATGTAAAAAGTCTTTAAGACATAAGAATTCCTCAAAGAAGCCATACATTTTTTAAGGTGGGGATTGACTTTTATTCCAAGGAACAACATCAGTTCACTGTTGTTGGAGACATGACAATCATTTTCATCCCAAGAACACTTTAAGGAAACATTTTACAAGTATGCTTGAAAGAATGTCACTAACTGGTCCAGAATTTTATCTTCTTGATTTTTCCAGATTTCTCTATGTTTTTGAGAAAGATGTTAATGTTTTGCCATGGTAAAAGATTTCAAACCTCATTTTTTTTGTTCCTTTTCTTGTTACTTTTAAGAAAACTCATGCTCTGTTTCTCTGAATCAAATGAAGTAGAAGTTTACAAAGCTAACTTTCTTCTTGTCTAGCTATTAACATGATTTGTCAAATGCATGTTTTTTTCAGCCAAAGCCTTGTTTCCATTTTTGTTGATGTGTACTCTTGCTCTTTTAGCTAGAGTGTATGTGAAAATAAAGAAATACATCATTGTATTCACAACCATGTGTCTTCATTTATAACTTTTTGTTTAAAAAATTTTTAGTTCAAGTTTAGTTCATTGATATTATCCTCTGAATGCAGTTAAGGCTGGGCAGAAATTCTACTCATGTGACATCTGCCACAGGTCTATTTTGAAGCTTTTCTTCTAATGGCAATGTTTGTCCTTACCAGGATTTAATCTATAGAATTGTCTCTCAACTCTGCTTTTCTCCAGTTCCAGATAACGTCCTTAAGACCATCTGTTCAGGGGTTCACAAAACTCAAATTTGTGTCATTCTATTTTATTTATTTTATTTTTTATTTCCTTCCCTCATACCTTGCCCATTCCCTCTGAATATTAGGTGTGATGTCAACAGCATGTTAGAAGGATCAATGGGAAGGCAATGATTGAAAACATTTCAATGAACCTTAATAGTGTTCCTTTGAGGAGCACCCAGGAGAATATCTGGTCATAGATCTTTTTTTAAATGCAGTTTTATAAAACCCTAACAGCGGTGATATCATTAGACTGTATGAATCAGTTTTATTACCTAGTGTACAAGTGTCAGTCATGTATCATTATATAGTCTGTTGATCTTTCCATTTGCAAAAAATTAATAGTTTTCCCCCACAAATGTACAAAGTTGTATGCTTCCAGTCTTCTTTTAATGTTTATAGTCATTCCAAAGTAACATTCTATTTTACACTTTCACATACATTGTTATGAATCATTGGTTTTTCTCTTTTTTCCACTTATCACCAATTTATTTCATTCAGCCAGATTTGGTGTCTATAGAAAAAGAAATTTTAAGACCATTATTAAAAATAATATATGGTTAGAAATTAGTAGATGGTTCTTTAAATGTATTCCAATTTTTAATGTTACTTTACTCCTGATTCATTTATATTTTTCTGCTTTTTATATGTTTAAAAATCTCTCATTCTATTGCTGCTTTATTTAAAGAAAGATTACTTTCTTCCCTACAAGATCTTTATTAATTGTAAAGGGAAAATGAATAACTTTACAATGGAGACACCTGGCAGACACCATCTTAACCAAAGCTTGAAGTTAACATAACCAGTAATAGAACTGATCAATATCTTGTGCCTCCTGATATGGTGTACTAAGAAAAACACAACATCATGCCATGATAGTCTTGCCAAAAGTGCATAACCTAAATCTAATCATAAGGAAACATTAGACAAACTCAAATTGAAGGACATTCTACAAAGTGCCCTTTATTAAGGAATTATTCAGAGTAAAGGAGACTTAAAAGACATGGCAACAATGCAGTACATGATCCGGGATTTTCTTTTTCTGTAAAGAACATGATTAGGATTATTAGCGAAATTTGAAGATCTCTAGTTTTTAAATCATTGTTGCTTTTCTAATTTCGATCATTGTATTGTGGTCATGTACAAGAATATTCTTGTTTTTAGGAAAGATAGTTGTATGTGTATCTATACACGTCTGTGTGTGTACATATAGAGGGTGAGCATGAGAGGGAGATAGGGAAAAGAATGAGAAAGCCAATGTGGCTACGCACATCATTAATATTTGGGGAATCTGGGTGAAAGGTATATGGGAATCTGAAATTATGTCAAAAAAGTTTCAAAAGTTTCTCTTCATTGAATTAATATGTTGTTATACATTCAGTAAGCAAACTATTGTATTGGATTTGGGTACTTAGCTAGAAATACAGAATATATAGTCCCTGCCTGTAAGAAATTTAAAGCTAAGCAGGCTTTTCTAAGACTCATAATTAATGTAAACTTGCTCAAAGCTTTATTGGACTTATTTAAAGATGATTCAGACTGATAAACATGGCCACTGATTTTATGGGCCAAAGATAGTTCAAACTATCTTTTTTTATTCAGTCTGCTGCTTTCAGTCTCATGCAATACCTTTTCTCTTTGCAAAAGTCAAATTTCTCTTTAATTTTTTATCTAGTGTTGATTTTTACTTCATATTTGCTATTTGTTCTGTAATTTTTACTATAGCTTTAAAAACTATCTCGCCTTTCTTAACCAAGCAGTAATCTCCCTCTTCTTTCACGGTTGTTACACAGGAGGAATCTTCTCTGTGGCTGTGTGTGTAGGGTTACCCTGTAGTGCCATACTCTGCATGCCAGGCATTTGCACACATGAATTCCCCAAATGCCTCCATGTTACTTACTCACCATTATTTTTTTGAGCAAGACCATCCTTTTGTGTGGTTTACATGCAACCACATGTAACCACATGGTTGCAAGTGTTATTTAAAGACTAAAGTTTTCTTTCTCATATTTGGCTCTCTTCACTTTGTTCAAGTTATTGGCGTTAAATTTAGTGGCTTGTCTGTTAGAGTCTTTGATATTCTAGTGTTATCAGTGACTGCTCTAATAAAAAGGGCATTAATGGAAATAGTTTTTCATGATGTAAGTTGTTTGTGTAAGACCCAGGAGCAGAAATTAAAACTTTCCATTTGCACTAAAGGTTAACCTTTCAGGGCTTTTTAAATCTTCAAATATATTTACATTTATATTTTCTTCATTTGTATGTTCCCTTTTTCCCCATTTTAGGGAGGAAAGACATAGATTGGTTTTCTTTACATAATTTCCTCCCTTTGAATTTACCATTTCTAATTACAACAATCCTCAACTCGAAAGACCCAGGAAAGACCAAAGCCTGCAGCCACAGTGCAGGAATCTTACCAAAAAAACTGTTCATTTTTCTCCATTTTAAGTGTGTGTGTGTGTGTGTGTGTGTGTACCTACACATGGGGAGGGTTATTGCAGGGGTTGGGGAGCAGTGCATTTAAATTTTGTTTCTTCCCTGGATCTTTCACAAACAATTATCGGTAAGGTTCCTCCTTCCCCTTGGAAGCACAGAAAAGACACTGCCTATTTGAAATTATATTATTTGGGGTTGTCTTGGGCTTCTCTTACATGGAGGTGCCACCTAGAAAAAAAATTGTTTTTTGTTAAGAAAGAAATTAGATTCTAAATGTGTCTTATGTAAATAATGGTTTGTTTCTTGGTAAATAACATGACTACTCCCTTATATCAGCTTTAAGTATAATTACACATTTGTATTAACTTAGAAATGACTGGTGCTGTTACAAGTACTGGCTGTCAGGAAATGAGCAGTATCCCTCACCATTTAGCAGGAAAAAAATCCTGTTTGGAGGTAGAGAAGGAAGAAATCAGGGCAGCAGATTCACAAATGCTTCATATTGATGCATCATATTGGGGGAAGTATTTAGGCAAAGTAGTTCCTTTAGTTATATCTTTTATATATGGCTTCTAGAATTACTACCTGGATATTCACCTTCATTTTGTAGAACGGTGTAAGTGGTTTCCATTCCAGCATGAATGTGGTCGGTCACATGGCAGTGGAGTAACCAAATTCCAGGTGTTCTTGGAAACATTTCTAGGGTTTGGTATGTTCCAGGGAAAATGTCAAAGACATCAGAACTATAAACTCCCCTGTGCTTAATTAGAAAAATGACAAATAATGTATAATATTGTATATGAGAGTTCACTCATGTCATTTGTTAATGTTCAGCTCAGGGATATTGAAAAAATGGATAAATCTGTTTTTAAAAAATCGAGCTCGTTTCTGTGTTTAATACAAATGGTAAAATGTGGTTTTTGTATTCCTAATAAGTCTTTGGTATCCACATCAAGTGGGTGTGAAAGAAAGATGTGATGAGAATGAATTCATCAATCAGGACTACCTACAAACCTCCTGTACCTTGATTCTGGTTTGCCTGTTTGTCATAGCACTTAAGCTACACAAAAGGAACTCAGCTGTGGCCCCATTTCAGCCCTAGCCTCACTTTTGCCTGAATCTGTCCTAGCTTGTCTGAAGCTTTAAGTCAAGGTAAATAATAAAGGAAGCAGAAAAGGAGGCTGATGAAAACGACAAAAACCAGAGGCACTTCAGGGAGTCTCGGCTGGAAACAGTAGTTGGGTGACAATAGTCTATTTCTGCAAGGATAGAATTGAAAGCCCACTAAGAATACAATATATCTATGTAAAACAAAATGCAGGTAACAAAACAGGCTTTCTGCAGTATGCTTTTTGATAACTTCTGCCTTTTCTAAATTAGCCCAAAGCATAAGGAAAAAGCATTTCCAGGAGGGCCACTGGCTTCTGCTGAAATCAGTACTGAGAAAGAATAGAAGTAAGATTGAGATGTACAGACCAGTTGCTTGTCACCTAACTGATCTTGCTCACCATGGGCCATTTAAGATACAGAACTTAGAACAGGCAGGGCAAGGGTTATAATAAAGTCTTGTTGTGGTCTCTACTCTCATCCATCATTATGTGAACATTCCTACCCTCTTTGTTAGCAATTCCGCTCAGTTGCCTTAATCAGGAATCTGAGCAGAACTCCATGAAAATTCAGTTAAAAATGCAAATCCTAGGAAGAGCTCAATGTGTAACAAAGGCTAGTGTGTCAATTGAAATTGCTGTGCCTTATATAGGCATCCCTCAGTATCTATGGAGGATTGGTTTCAGGAATGCCCCCATACCAAAATCCATGGATGCTCAAGTCCCTTATATAAAATGGCATATTTCCATTTAACTTATGCACATCCTTCCATATACTTTAAATCATCTCTAGATTATTATAATACCTAATACAGTGCCTACATATCATTTCATTTGCATGGATTCAACATAGTACTCAGTGCAGCAGATCCAAGTTTTGCTTTTTGGAACTTAGTGGAATTATTTTTTCCTGAATATTTTCAATCCATGATTGAATCCTGGGTGGGGAATCCACGGATATGAAGCACCGGCTGTACTCTTTGCAGCTTTTTTTCATAAGTCTCTCTGAGAAAATATTTTCTTCACTTGTATTAAAACATTTTCAAACAGAGCAAGAGTAATTGCCATGGATAGCTCTTACCTTGTATTGGAAGCTATGGCCGTGAAAATGTACAGTGTGTAAGTCTATTTCATTGCCCATTCCCATCAGATACCAGTTGACTTCATCTCCCACGTGCATTGTGAGGCCTTGTAGGTTTCCAAACATTCTTCCATTAATAGCTAGGGAAAGCATATGGTTTTATGTTACTTTTCAGGATATTTTAAACCAATAGCTATTTCAAAGAAAATATGATTATTAGGTTAATGTAAAGAATCTTTTTGATGTAATAGGACTTATTTTACTACAAATGAGAGAAATGGATACTTTAAAGTCAATAATATCACATTGCTTTTCTAGGCACTTTGCACCAAAAGCCTTAATCTTAGTTTTGGATTATTTCAAAGGAAATGAGATTTTGGAATTGGAAAATAAATTAGCAAATGATTTTGAACATAGTCCCCTTTTTGTTTTGAACAGGATTCTACCTGACATACAAAGTGAGGCAGAAGTGGTTTATTTTAAGACAAAACAAATGAATGGTCTCCAAAATAATTTTATTTGAAAGAGAAAATGATAAAAAAGTAGAAAAATTGTTTTAGAATAATGTGACATACCATGCATTTTATTGCTTTCTATGAATTCCTCATCATCTTTGTTTACTTTCTCGGGGTGATCAGAGTATGTTTTGATGTTGTCATCTAAGTACCAAGATTCATTCTCATCAAAAACTAGAAACAGAAGGGCAAATTCCAGTTTCCTTCTGGGATTGAATACTTTCAAGTAAGGTCTTCGACAAACAATCAGGGGGCCAATTAATCCACTGTAGAGGTCCTGGAAACAAGAAAAATCTTCAGTAACCCTTGTGAATTAGGTCAGGATTTCAGAGAACTGAGACTTTGCACCCAGGGCCTCAGGAATTTTGGAGAGACCAATTGAAGTAACAGACTTTGCCCAATGTGGTACTGCCAATTTAGTAACTTTTCACTTGAAGTAGTTAAATTGGAACAATGGTGAGTAGTAGGTAGGTCATGTGGGTGATGCTGACATAACAGAAATGTCTGCAGAGGCAAAAATTAGCTCAGCTAATGAGCAGTGATTTTAAAAGAATCCCAAATGAACAGTGTTGGTTTGTTCCATAAACTCATGAACTCTTGAGTGTGAGCCAAGCGCTATGGCAGTCCCTAAAAATCCATAGATGAATGAAATGTGTAATAATAAATAGGACCACAAATACCAGATTTACTCATTTGTTTGAGCCAGAACACTGAATTATCAAGGAGCTACTTCCCCCGGCTCACTCAGGCACTTCACCCACCTATCTATAACCGACTCCATTTCTTTTCTCCCTCCTTACAGTAGAGGTCCTTGAAATTTGCCTCACGTATTACAACGGCCTCCCAACCTCCAGTCTCTTCCCCCTCCAAGCCTTCCTTCATTCCACCAGAATGAAGGATCTGAAATGCAAATATACTGCCATTCTTGGTCAATTTTTCAGTGGCTACCTGTGACCCACAAGACAAAAATCTAAACTTCCCAAATATCTTGAAAGGCCTTTGAGCTGTATCATATTAGGAAATGTTAGATTTTTGTCTTGTGTGTCATAGGTAGCAGCATAGTTGCTAAAGTAGATTGCAAACAGTTTATTTTCCTAGGATTTTAACGTAGAATTGGACCACAGGAAAACACTAACCTTGTCTTCCTTCAATTGTGTGTCTATTTTGGGAAGTGTCACAAAACAAATGATTTGTATTTTACCTTAACTTGATCCACAGTTGAATAATAAGCCCATGGAATACAAGCAGAATCCTCTGTTCCAGCTCCAGATCTTTCTGGGATTTTCCATACGTAAGTGAGAGTTTCACCTAAATTCATCAAGTGTTAATGGATCTGGTTGTATTTGGTTTATATTGTACACACACACACACACACACACACACACACACACACACAGCCTTGATAACTAGGACCCAGGAACTGGAAATGTCAGTGTAATTAGTTTTTAAAAATTGTGGTACTCAAGATTGTTTTCAGGAATTTAGTTTTAAGATGAACTGGAAGACAAAATTTTGTCATTTTTTGGGTTAATTTTAAATTAGCTATAACCCACTTGCCATACCACAAAGCTAGGAGGTGTGTACTTCAATATTACAATTTGAAAAAACTTTGCAACCAATCTCTTCTTAGCTTGAAGTGTGTTTTCCTAATATACTTTTTTCTCTTCAGATACCAAGTGATTTTTCCCCAGTGGCTGGCACCTTTCCCGTAATCTCTGCATGTGTGTATCTGGACTATTTTGTGTAATTCCCTCAGCTTCAGCATTGGCTTCCTTTCCTTGTCCTCTCTCATGATCATCCTTAGTGAGCTCATGATTCCTGGCGAGGAGCCGTTAGACCTCTTGATCTCATGAGTCACCGACTTGACACAGTTATGTTTACCTCCCCCTCCAGTCCATCTCATTCTATCACACCATGTGCTGTTTTGTCACTACTCCCACATACAGGACATAACCACACCCTCGGCCTTGGCATTTTGAAGACGACCAGTTGCTTCACCCTCCTGCTTTGCCAAGGCTCTTACCCTTTTCCCATGTGCTCTAGGCTTTTCTCCAGTCTGATCTGCGTTTCCATTCACCTCAGGGCTTCCTGTGCAACTGCTCACAGGCCTCAACTTTTGGCCATGCCCACTCACCAATCCCAGCCACACTCATTTTCCATCCCATTTATTTAGACCACACCATTACATATTCATGCTATCACACTAACCTGCCAGAGTCCAACAGACATTCACTAGAGAATCAAGCAAGACAACAGAGATGGTCTCAAGTGATGTGGTAGACGTCTTACTTTTTCTTCAAGCCTCAGTCTGAGCTGTTCCTATGTCCTCACCCTTTTTCTAAGCAGAAAATTTCACTAGAATATAAAGTATTGATTCACCACCTGCACATATTACTGTCTGGCCATCTCTGCTTTTACTTATTCTCATAAGCTGCAAAATAACATTTTCTTCTCTTTTCCACACCCCTTTACAACCTGCTCTTCCACCAGTGGTCAGTGCCCAAAACCTTGGGGTCATGCTTGACTCCTCTCTTCCCTAACACTCCCTAGTGCCCATTTTCCAGCAGGTCCTTTTAGTACCACCTTTAAAATGGAACCAGAATATGATAACATCTCACCACTTCAGCCGCTTCCACCATATTCCAAATCTCGATGATGATGATGATGATGATGATTTTACCCAGATTATTGCAGTGGTCCTTAACTGACCCCAGATTCTGTCCTTGCCCCCTTAGGGTCACTTAACCACACATCACCAACAGCCCCTTAAAAGGTGTCCATCAGAACATCAGTCTTAAATCTCGAGTCTGAGGTCCTCCCTACTCCATCTGGCCCCTGCTCTCCCTGGATCTCATCTCTAGCATTCTGTCCCTTGTGTGCTTTTCTTTAGCCTCTGGCTGCCTTGCTGCTGCTCACACACACCAGGCATTGCTCCTGTCTTCGGGGCCTAGAATCAATTCGTGCACAATTACCTGAATTTCATTACTTCTCAAACTTTAGGTGTTTTCAGCAATGCCACCTCCTCAAGGAAGCCCTCCTGACCTCTCTACCTAAAATAGCACCCTTGCTACACCCTGCTAAGTTATTGAGAAATAGTATTTTCCTGGAAGCCAACTTTACAACTAATAGAAGAAAAATATGGTTCTTATTAAAGAAAATGCTCACCTATGTATATAATCTGTTCAAGATTTTACTCTATGTTTATTAAAGAAACATTTGATGATCTCCTAATATATGCCAGATACTGTACTAGATAGGGGGAATTTAGAGTTCCAAGTGGCAGCCTCTGGCCCTTAGAACCACATGTGCTAGAGACAGGCATGGGAACATCCAGCCACATATGGTGTGGTAGATGCCATTTGAGCTGTGTTCTAGCTGAGCGAGGAGACAGCATCTCTCTGATTCACGCTTGAGGATTCATAGATGTCTACTACCTTCAGGTTTTTCTCTTAAGCTCTCCTGTGGACTTTTTTTTTTAGTACAAGCATGTGCATGTACTTGCATACACACAGACACCTCCTTGCATCCCCTCTTCACAACTACCTCCCTTTTCACTTTCTTGGTCCAGACTCTCTATGATGAGAGTAATCTGTGGAAAGGCTGTACAGCCTGTTAAAATGCACCACCCCCACCCCCGCCCCCGTGAGTACCTGGTAATGTTGGAGTAACTGTAGAACTCTCTGTTTGTACCCCATGGGCATGTATTGAGTAGGGCCTTGTGGCCATGTTTTTAAAGATAATTTTGACTTTGTCTCCAACATCTGCATGAAGTTGTGGACCTGGCAAAAGTGAAGAGGAAGAGTGTCCAATCAGAAGGTCTAACTTAGTAATAAAAGCAAAGATCAGCAAAGATAACTTGTTTCTCTCCCCCATGGGTTTGTGGTATAATACTCTTGGATTTATACTGCGTCCCAGGGAATTTGGAATCAATACACTGGAAATAAAAATGGAGACCATTTGTTTATCTCTTAAGAGTTCTAGGGGAGGTTTGGCCTGAAAGTCCTTTGCAGAGTACCGGTCTAATCATGGTGGGTTGGATATCTGGCCAGGAGTCATTTATACCCCTCTCATTTCTACCCTTTATCCAATCTTAGCTTGTCTCTTGTCTGGTAGGATTTTTGTGCTCCAGCAACAATGCCATTTTGCCTTGGTGTCTTAGTCTAGGGGTTGAGGATAACCAAGCCTCAGGGGAATGCTGACAGTATGGGAACACAGTGGGGTGGGGATGGGAGTGGGGGTCCCTGCAATTGATAGTTTTAAAGAAATGTCTCAAGACCAGTGTTGCTCGAGTTCTAGACATTCTGTCTTAAAGTGAGTCCTAAAAAATTGAAGGCAGCTTTGCCCCTGCTTTGTGCGTGGTATCATTTTTTCTTTTATTTCCTGTTGTAATTAATTTCCTTTTGTATATTTCTTCTTGTAATTAATCATTTATATTTTAATTTTAAAAGTAAATAGCTGTAATTTGAGAGGAATGGGTAGGATAATGGGGATAAATTGGTTAAGAATTTTATTAGGGCCAGGTGTAGTGCCTCACGCCTGTAATCCCAGCACTTTGGAAGGCTGAGGTGGGCGGATCACTTGAGGCCAGGAGTTTGAGACCAGCCTGGCCAACATGGTGAAACCTCATCTCTACTAAAAATACAAAAATTAGCCAGGCGTGGTGGCCCATCCCTGTAGTCCCAGCTACTTGGGAGGCTAAGGTGGGAGACTCACTTGAGCACAGGAGCGGCAGGTTGCAGTGAGCTGAAATCACACCACTACACACCATCCTGGGCGACAGAGTGAGACTCTGTCAAAAAACAGAATTTCATTAGAAAATAGTTTCTGGGAACTTCACTAAAACTACAGGCATCAATTTGATAAAATATATATAATTTCATCAGTATACGGGACAATACATAGTTTCCAAGAGAAATAAGTAATATTTTACTATGTCATATTATTTAATAAACATCAGTCTTATTTCATTAGATAACTAATTTTTAAATTTTTATTTGAACAACTTTGATATATGAACCAAGAAAATGAAACCCATAGACATGAATTGACGGTTACTGCAGGTAGCATCACATCATTAACCCACACCTGATAAACTGGAGATATTAACATACCTAGAATTCCCAGATGTTCTTCTTCAGCTTTTCTCTCCACTGGAACACGGAATGTGCTATCAGTATACTGCCGATACACAACTTTCTTGTACTTTGAGCCTATGTAAAACTCTCCCTTATCTAAAAATGCATTTGAAACACTTAAAAAAAAAAACAACTAAGGTTAGTATTTGTCTTAATGAAAATGTAACTTAAGTTTTAAACTTTAAATTTTGAATAAAAATATAGTTTTTATTAGAGTAATTATAGTAGTTTTAAATCATCACTCTTCTATCCAAGTAGGAATGCATAATAAGACTTTAAAAGTCTGTGTGGTAGAAAGCATACCTAGCCATCTGAGTGCAGCCATCTGAGTCCTGGCCTCTACCCTGCCACTAGTGAAAATTTCCTCCAGCTAGTCACTGCCTATTGGAACCTCAGTTTTTTCATCCCTCAAATGAGATATTTGAACAGATCATCTCTAAGATTACTTTATAGCTCTAAAATTTTATGAGTCCAATATTTCTGATTTATAGGAACTGAAATGGACATCTTTTCCCAGGCATTCCCTTTTCACTTACTTCTTTTTTTTTTTTTTTTTTTTTTTTTTTTGAGGAGTCTTGCTCTGTCGCCCAGGCTGGAGTGCAGTGGCGTGATCTCCGCTCACTGCAAGCTCTGCCTCCCGGGTTCACGCCATTCTCCTGCTTCAGCCTCCGAGTAGCTGGGACTACAAGCGCCCGCCACCATGCCCAGCTAATTTTTTGTATTTTTTAGTAGAGACGGGGTTTCACCATGTTAGCCAGGATGGTCTCCATCCCCTGACCTCGTGATCCGCCCGCCTCGGCCTCCCAAAGTGCTGGGATTACAGACGTGAGCCACCGCGCCCGGCCAGTTTTCACTTACTTCTAATGGCAGCTGTAGCCTTTTAACCATTTTACCCCAATTACAAAATAAAAGTTTACTCCTTTACACTGCAAACTATACTCACTACTGCTGTCAAACAGGTAACCACTGCCTAGCCACAGGTCACCAGTTGTGCTATGCACCCTGGATCTGAACACCTGCCCACCCCAATCTCTCAGATCATCTCCATGTGGTCAGCGCATGATGTAAGTGGGATGATGGAGAGGAAAGTGCTTGGAAAAGTATGAAGAAAGGGCTAACTAGAAGTGATGAGAGATGCTGCTCTAAATTAATGTTTCTGAAGCTCTAATCATCCTCTACTTATATCTATTCATACAGAATTTATTTTGTACTTTTCCATGATGGACATGTTACTGGTAATTTTGTGCCATATTTTCCTGTAAGTTCTTAGAGGATAGAGACTATATCTATCATCTTCAAGCATTTAAAATATTCCATACGTAACGGTTTTAAGGATGTGAAATGACCGATTGTTAGACTAACAATGAAAACTCTGAAGGAAAAATAAGCAACAAACAGTTGCTAAGGGGAGTAATATTTCTGCTCTGAATTTGGGCATTAACTTTTGTTAAGTTTGAATATAAATGACAACATGAGGGCACATGAATGTGAGAAGACACTCCAGTAGAAAAGAAAGCAAGACTCCAAAGGATCAAAGAAGATAAATGGAAATTTTCCCTTAAGGAAATTGAGAGAAGCGGAAATGAATAAGGACAAGTTCCTAGGAAGTGTTTTGTTGTTGTTGTTGTTGTTGTTGTTATTGTTTAATGCAACTTTTTTTTTTTTCTAAAATTTGGTGTAATTCTTACTTCTCTGAAAAGGAAACCTAAAATTACTGCTGAAATTGGGAATCAGAGTCTGGAGAATTACTTCTGCTCTTGTAAATGATGCAGCTCCTTTTCCCACTCCCTTTGTGGGGAATAATCCCATTCCACCTCCACTGCTGCGATATAGTATGTCCTCTCTCCCAGGTAGAAGGTGGAATCCTCAGACTGCCGCCTGCATTGGTTCACAGTATATTTTTGCTTCATGCCGCCTGTGTAATGATCAGTTGTAAGGCATTCAACATTAAAAGTCCCTGGAGTGGTAAATAAGAAAACATGTCACTTCTTTGCTAGTGCCCTCTGGGGCTCTCCACCTTCCTCAGAATTAATGCTGAAGTCCTTATCATGGCCTCAGGTGATCTAGCTTTCCACACCTTCTGCTCACCCTGCTCCATCCATCCTTTTGCTGTTCTTAGAGCAGATCAAGTGTGTGCCTGCCTTGGGAACTTTGCACTTGCTGTTTCCTCTGCCTTCTCCCCAAAATATCCTCATGGTTCACACCCTCATTTTATTCTCGTCTCTCCTTAAGTAGCACCTCCTGAGAGAATCTTGACCCTTTCCCCTCTCAGTCACCATCCCCTTCCTCTGCCTTATTTTTCTTTGTGTACTTATAATCACTTGACATATATGTATTAATATACTTGCTTGTTGTCTGTCTCCCTGCATTAGAATTTCAGCAGCATGAGACATCTTATCTCTTTTGTTCATTGTTGTATTTACATTTGTTGAAGGAAGGAAAGCGTGACACTGGGGTGGTCTTAAGTTTCAGTGGCATATGATAAACCAAATGAAGCCTGAAACAAGCTAGCATATTTTCACATTTTGATTAAAATTCTTTCTCTTCAGTTGTAGTTTGTTTTACTCGTTCAGAGCCAGGTCTGTAGATGTCTCTGAATTTGCATGGCTACAATGCTAGCATAGAATATTCACTTGCAACCAACAAGCCAACACTACATCTAGGCTACAGAGACATGATGAAAAGTTTAGGTGCAGAATATTTATGGGAGTCATTCCCCTTCTAGTCTGATTTTCCAGCTATCTTTAAAAGGACCATAATCTAAAAAGGGATCATCTTGAGGAGCCTATGGAAGTGGAGAAAACCACACCATGTTCTTTTACTCCACATTGTCCTCAGTAACTAGGAAACAGACCTATCTGGTACATACTTCAGCTGATAGTGGCCTAGACTTGCTCTTTCAAAGATAGGAAGGGCACTTCAGAGGCTTGGGGAAGGGATAAGTTTATCACCCAACACATTCTGCTACAGGATTTTAAACCAAAACTACACAAATCCATCCAATAGAGACTTGGCTTTAAGTAAATATACCCTCTGTGTCAGGCCACATGTGGAGCGTAAGACTTGTTTGAGGGAAGAGGTTTGCTGTGTCTCTCCGTTCTCCTCTCCACAGATATGTGTTTCCTGAAAAGTATATTCCATGTACATCGGCCTCATTTCCGGCGCTGAATAAGTACCACACGACCGAATCTCCTTTGCACATAGTGAGACCCGGCTGATTCCCATACATGAATCCATTCATGGCTGTAAAAGTTGGGAAATAACATTTTGGAAGTGGTTTAGATTCTACTACATGACAACCTCACAGACTTTCCAGGACCAACTTTGTTTTTTTAATTTTTAAAAGACCTATTCAGGCTTGCCCACGCTTTATGTGTCAGGAGTATCCTTGCAACTCCTTGTGGTTCCTGGCATTTCAGAGCAGCCGCTGGCTGAAAGGAGCAGAGCTGAATGCATAGTTCTTGTTCTATGCTAGTGTCCCTAGCAACCTGGGAATCCCACTGCTCTTCCTGGCTAAAACAATGATTCTGTTATTTCCAGTTCTTTAAGTGATTATATTTGTGAGCACCCAAATCTGCGAATTATAACAGCTTTTCCTGTGCACCATATACTGGGAGTGTGTTGCTGTTCTAGATTTAAAAAAAAAAGTCTCTAATTCATCTTGAATAACAGGAAAGGTCATATGTAGGAGGTTTTTTCTTTATCTTGTGTATTTAATTATTTTTGATGATTAATATTCTCAATGCTTCCAAATATACAAAAATGCAGAATCAAAAGAAATATTTTAAAGATTGTGGGTAGCGTGACTAGTACCTAGCTTAAAAAAAAATCAGTTTGTAACACAACTTTACATGTTTTTCTTCTATTGGCTACAATAATTTTTACTGATGTCCATTAGTGGTGTGGGCCTTTTGAATAATGAACTCACTGTCTCTGAGCTCTAACCACTTTTTAGAATTACACTAGGTATTTAAAAAAATCTGGTATTAGACTTAAATAAAAATCTCTGGGGGTATTCCAGGGCACTGGTCATTTTTTAAAAGCCCCCAGTTGATTCTAATGTGCAGTCAAGGGTTAGAATCATTGAGGGCTGAGATCATATCTTTCTGCATATTGAATAATCAAATGAGCCTGTCATTTTTGAGCCAAAATGAGAAAAGCATCTGATCCAGTAGTTTTCAAACTGTAGCGTTCATCAGAATCATCTGCAGAGTTTGTTGAAAACAGATTGCCGGGATCCATCTCCAAAGTTTCGGACTTTGTAGGTCAGGGTAGGGGTCTAAGAATTTGCATTTCTAAGTCCCTCAGTGATGCTGAGGCTGCTGATATAGGGACCACACTTTAAGGACCATTCATGTAATTGACATATCTTGAATTAAGTGAAATAATGGATAACTGACAGACACATCAAATAACCAGTGAGATTACCTTCAGGACACTATTGTAATCGTTTATTGAAAAAATAATCAATGAGCAAAGCTCTTCACATTTTGTTTAGTTAAAAGCATTACATATGCAGTACTAAAATAACTTGGTAGATTGGTGGATGATGCAGTACTTACAGTGCATTTTATTAGATTCCTGAAAGTCTTCATCTTCCTTATCCACCTGATCAGGTGCAGTTGTAAACATTCTAATATTATCTTCCAGGAGTAAACTCTCATTCTCATCAAATACTGTAGGAAACAAATAGAATTCCTTGTCTACATCTTTCTGTAAATCAAAACAAAATGAGATGGAGACAGAATGAATAAAGCAGAAGACTTCCATGTGCACAATACTATTTATGCACAAACACACCTAAAGGAAAGAATGAGAACAGAAGTTTCTGTTGCTCTTTGTAAACTAGGGTTCCTGAAATATTTCAGTTCACCACCAGAGCTTTCTTTGGTATCTGTTTAGTGGATTTGTGGTTCAATATGGTAATCTGAGTCTCTCTCTGCATCTAAAAGTTCTAACTCTACCTTCCTGCCCACATTGTGCATACCAATTGAAGCCTCCAAAAAAAAAAAAAAAAAAAAAAAAAAAAAGTTAAAATAGGAAAGAATATGGGTCTGTGCTGGAAATCAGGGAAGATTTCACATTCATGAAAACCGGAAGAATTCCTGTAAGGCAGAGCAGGATGGAAGCAGATTTGAGGAAGAAATCATCCCAGATGAAGAAATAACCTCCCAATGAATTCGAACAGAGATTCAAACAATCTCCAGCCAGCTGTTCAAACATTATCACCTCCTCCCACTTCTCCCAGTGGAAAAAACAAAAAAAAAGGAGCAGAAGTGCATCTGGTCTATGAAATGATTCAGTAGTTCAGAAGAAGGCAGTCAAAGGAATCAAAGCAAATGAGCCCCTGAGAATAAGTGACTCTTAAAGGAGAGAATACTTTAGAGATTATTGCCTGTCTTTCCCTTAAGATCAGTCCTTCAGATACATGATAAGGTGATTATCAAATTGAAAAAAATCAAACTAAAGCAAAGACCTGAAGGTTAGATCCTTCAGAGAACTGAAACTATGATGAAGGGGATCTAAAGAAAGCTCCCATAAATCAGAGGAGAGCATTTGAAGGTGAAAAATATACACATTGTAATAATTTTAGAAAGAAGTTATAAAAGGAAGAGGCACAATCATAAGAAATACTAGTGGAAGTGTTTGCCACCACAAAGGGAAAAGACTAGAGGATTCAGATTCAAAAGCTTCCTGAAAACAAGACAAAATTACAAAATTAGTAATGGAGATCTGTACTAAAAATGTCCTGGTAAATGTTCCATTTAAAAATGTTATGAAAGGCCAGGCGTGGTAGCTCACGCCTGTAATCCCAGCACTTTGGGAGGCCAAGGCATGTGGATCACGAGGTCAGGAGATCGAGACCATCCTGGCTAACATGTGAAACCCCGTCTCTACTAAAAATACAAAAAAAATTAGCCGGGTGTGATGGCGGGCTCCTGTAGTCCCAGCTACTTGGGAGGCTGAGGCAGGAGAATGGCGTGAACCCAGGAGGTGGAGCTTGCAGTGAGCCAAGATCGAGCCACTGCACTCCAGCCTGGGTAACAGAGCGAGACTCTATCTCAAAAAAAAAAAAAAAAAGTTATGAAACGAAAAAATCAGGTTGACATTAAAATTATCAAGTATAATAAATGCCAGAAGAAGATGAAGTAGCATTTATCTTTTTGAGAAGAAAATATTATGATACAAAAATGTAACACCAGGTAAAGAACAACAAAAGTCATTTTCAGATGTATAAGGATTCCAACAGGGACTGGTACAATCACCTGTATACTGATCGACAGAGAAAACGTCAATGAAATATTTTCAGGTCATGTTTTCTGATCATAATGCAATAAAATTAAAAATTACTAGTCAAGGACAAAAAGTAAAAAAAGAATGTCATTTTTGATCCAAATAACTTAGATCGAAGAGAAAATAAAAATGAAATACTGAGATTTGGTAAGTAATGTCTGTGAGCATGCTGTAAAGAAAAATGTATAGAATGTAACTACACATATAAACTAAGAATCTGAAAAGCTTTTTATCTTAAGACTAAATAAAAATAAATCTAAATATCTGAAAAAATTTTAAAATTAGTTACAGAGAAAAATTAACAAAGACAAAAGCATAAATTAAGAAATTTAACACAGGTAAAATGATTAAATCCAAAAATATATTATGTGAAAAGACCAGAGAAATATAAATCTCTGGCAAGTCTAATAAAAAAGGTGGAGAGAACCAAAAAAATACCACATTAGAAATGAGAAAGGAATATAACCACATATATAGGGGAGAAAAATGTAAATCATTATATGCAATTAATGTGATCTACTGACTTAGAAAGAAGTGCCTGACTGGACTAGTACTCATGGATGAAATAAAATAGTGATTAAAAACATAAACAGGCTGGGTGCGGTGGCTCACACTTGTAATCCCAGCACTTTGGGAGACCGAGGCAGGCAGATCACTTGAGGCCAGAAGGTTGCAACCAGCCTGGCCAACATGGTGAAACCCCATCTCTACTAAAAATACAAAAATTAGCCAGGTGTGGTGGCAGGCGCCTGTAGTCCCAGCTACTCAGGAGGCTGAGGCACAAGAATCACTTGAACCCAGCAGGTGGAGGTTGCAGTGAGCTGAGATCACACCACTGCACTCCAGCCTGGGCGACAGAGGAAGACTCTGTCTAAAAAAAAAAAAAAAAAAAAAAGGAGGGGGGGAACCCCATAAACAACAAAACTACTCCTTTTTAAAAGTCAAAATAATTTTTAAGGCAGTTTCTTTCAACTCTCTAGGGAGCAGATGGTTCCCAAATATTTAAACTATTCCTAGTTTATTTAATAAAGATAGTATAACCATGGATATTAATATCTGAAAAAGCAAGCAAAAGCTAAACTAATTTCATTTATAAGCTTAAATGAGAAATTCTAAATCAAACACAGTCAAATTCAGCCCACCAATATATTAAAGAAAAATTCACCATACTTAAGTGTTGTTCTCCCCCAGAGTGCAAGGATAGTTTAACATTAGAAAGTCTTTAATGTAGCTGGTCATATTTATTTGTAGTTGATCACATTACAGGAGAAAGACTATATAATGATTTCAAGAAAATCTAAAAAGAAATTTTTGTAAAATATGACATTCTGGCATTAGCTCTTCCCTTTGCTTTCCTCTCAGATCTTTGCAAGGCTGCCTTTTTGAAATTTAGGTATCACATTAAATATTATCTCCACATTATCTGAACTAGAATTTCTGTTCACTATCTCATTACGCTATTTTTTTTTTTTTTTTTTTTGCAGAACTGCTCACTTTCTGAAGTTATCTATTTCATTTTCTTTTGTTTGCTTATCTTCATCTCCTTTCCTCCCATTCCCCTCCTTCCTCCCATATACACTAGAATAAAAACCTATCAGAGCAGGAAACTTATTTGTCTTATTTACCAGTGAATTCTGTGCCTAGCACAGGATGTTTTTGGAGCAGCTCAAGTGATTTGTTTTAAAAACACTCAGTGTAAAAGTAGAATAAAGCACAACCACTAGCCAATTCATACTTAGTGGTAAAATAAACAGAGATGTTCTCATTAAGATCAGACACAAACAAGGCTACTGGCTATTCCACTATTGTTTAATATTATTTTTAATATTCTACCCATCATAATAAGGCAAGAAAATAGAATAAATTTGCTGGCGATGAGAATTAGCATTATTTATAGATAATATAGAACCTATATGAATCAGTTGGAAATTATTTGAACTAAGAAATGAATATTTAAGATGTCCAGCTCCAAAATAAATGTTAAGCAATTAACAGCTGTTTCTATAATGACAATATGCAATTAAAAAATACCGTGTTATGCATAATATTAAGAAAAACAGGAATTCAATGAGAAACATGCAGGACGAATATGAAAAAGACTATAAGAATTTACTGAATAATTAAAAAGACAACTTGAATTAAAGGGCTCCTGAGTGAAAGACTAACTATAGCTAAGAGATGAATTCTCTCCAACTAAAGCTATTCATTTAATGTAATAATAATAAAAACTACCAATGGCAGTTTTTTAGTTTAACAAAATTATATTAAAATTGATCTAGAATAATGTATATGTGAGGGTATCTAAGAATAAAAAGGGAAAATAATTCTTTTCAGTAATGGATGAACATGTTCTGACATGTATTTAAAACTTTACAAGCTGCAATAATAAAAACAATGTGGTACAGGTACTGGCACAGATAGGTCACACGGTAAACTAGGAAACCTAGAAAAATGATCCAGATATATTTAAGATTTACAATATGTTAAAGGTGACACTTCAAATCAGTGAGTAAAGAATAGATTTGTTAATATATAATGCTCAGATAATCTAATAGTTGTTTAGAAAAGATAAAACTTAGAGCCTTAGAGCCCTACTCACCAAACTGAAAATGTGTTACAAGTAGCATTTTTAAGATACTGACTAAACTGTAGATGAATATTTACTTACCTATAGAATAGAAAATAATTTTCTAAGTATGATACAAAAGGCAAAAAAAAAAGAATTGATAATTTGGCTATGTAACACTGAAAACAGCTATATTGTCACAGGCAAACAAACAAAAAAGTAAAAACACTCAACTGTAAGCAATAATGGAATATGAAAAAACACACACAAAAAAGAAAAAGACCTGCATTATACATAACAAAGATAATATGTATGTAGTATACACACACACACATATATATATTATATGGCTTAATATATAGATATTTTATGGATTAATAATTGAAAATGAATATCTGCCGTCACCAAGAAATTGACTGAAGAAGTACAAATGGTCAATAAACATTATTAATTAAACTATAAATTTAAATGAGAATGAGGTGCAGTAATTGACCTATGCCGTTTGTAAAAATTTAAAACTAAGTATTAGTAAAACGGCAGAGAACAGCCTCTCTCCTACACTTTACGCAGTGATTTTCAAACTTTTCTATTGCAACCACATAAGAAGTACATTTCATGTTGTGATCCTGTATACACACACACACACACACACACACGCATACACTCCAGAAAAGAAATTTCTTTAACCCTTACTTGTCCTTACTGTATGTGGTATACTCTGACATTGTCTCTTCTTTCCCACTTGATACTTCAAAAAATTCTAGTCGCTAGTTACAACCGACTAAATGGGTCATGATCTACAGTTTGAAAAATACTACTTTATGAAGAGCAGTTTGACAAGCACATAAGTTGTGCCTGGCCTGTGACCTAGAAATTTAAGTCCCAAGATTTGTTCCCATGAAGTAAAAATGGGCATATCCTACTGTTTAGTTAAAACAAAAAATAGTATGTCAAATACACCCAGTTCATAATTGTAAAAAATTGCAAACCATCTAAATGTTTGACAGTAGGGAACTGACTGAATAAATTATGGTGCATTCAGATCATGAAATACTTTGCAGTCATTCAGAATAAGGCTGAAGTTTTTTTAATGATATAGAAGGATAATCATAATATGTTTAAGTGTATAAAGCAAATTGCAAACAATATATGCAATTGTGATCCCTTTTTTGTGTTGAGACTATTTTCTTCTTTTACCTCCATATATTTTCATAATTTTCACAGTGTTCATGAAATATTTTCATATTAAAATGATATTTTTTTAAAAAGAATAGTTATAAAGGTCAGGAACTTGCTTTAGAAATTGATTGACTTCACATTGTGTTGTATGCATTTAGACAAGATAACCATTCCTTGTCAGCTTAATACATTTTAGCTTACCCAGGGCTTTAACCTATATTCATTCCATTTGTTTCTTTCAAAAAGAAAGAATGCAACCCATCAAGATGCGTCAGTAGGGCAGGTATCATCTCCATTTTACTGATGATTCAGATGGGCATGAGAAATATTAAATAACTAATCTGTAGCCACATGGCTAGTAACTGAGAAAGCCAGGATGAGGACTTCTGATGCCTCTGTAGGCCTTCCTGTGTTGTGATTTCTTCATTTGCAAAATGAAGATAATGAAATATGCAGAAGGTAAATCTCATTTTAAATCTCAACTCATTGAGCATCAGTTCTTTGTCCACAAAATGGGCATAAAAATACATAGCCTCTCGTGTTGTTGCAAAGGTCAAATAAGGTAACATGTCTGACAGTACCTGGAGAGAGTTTAATAAACATTAGTCTTGTTTTATTCCTTCCAAAGTAAGCACAAGATCAAGAATAGGAATCTAAAAGTAGAAAACCTTTTTTTTTTCAATTACATATTTAAAATTTTTTATTTTTTATTTTTTATTTTTTTTTTTGAGACAGAGTCTGGCTTTGTCCCCCAGGTTAGAGTGCAGTGATGCAATCTCTGCTCACACCAACCTCCGCCTCCCGGGTTCAAGCAATTCTTGTGCCTCAGCCTCCTGAGTAGCTGGGATTACAGACATGCACCAGCACACCTGGCTAATTTTTGTAATTTTAGTAGAGACGGGGTTTCACCATGTTGGCCAGTCTGGTCTGAAACTCTTGACCTCAAGTGATCCACTGACCTCAGCCTCTTAAAGTGCTGGGATTACAGGTATGAACCACCACACCCAGCCACATACTTAAAATGTTAAGTGATGGTATTACCATTTACAAAGGCCAAATAAAAATAAAACATCTCAGCGTAATCTTAAAAAAAAATCCAAGATCCATATAAGAGGAACTATAAAATACTCTTGAAAAACACAAAAGTAGACTTGAACAAATGGAAAGACATACGTTCTTATGTAGGATGACTCAACTTCGTGATTATGTCTGTACTCCCTACTTTAACTTATACATTTGAAACAATCCCAATAAAACACTATCAAGCCTTTTTTCTGGATCTAGATAAGTTTTTCTAAGGTTCAGTAGAAAGAATAAGGAAGCAAAAATAGCCATTAAAATGATGGAAAAGAAGAGAAATGAGACATAGCTATAGCCATGAAACATATTAAAGGGCTCTCCTAATAAAGCAGTATGGTATTGGTGCAAGAATAAAGACCAGCAGAACAGCATAGAAAATCTAGAAATAGACTCACTTATATATAAATATTTTAGTAGATGATAAAGGCAGCATTTCAATCAATGCAGCAAAGTTTAGCTTTTTTGTGGGTAACTAGATAGCCATACAGAAAAAAGATAAATATGATCCGCTCCTCGACTGTATCATTTATTTCCTATCAGATTTGTGAAAATCCCCAAATTTGACAATATAGTTTGTAATAACGCTGTGGAAACACAGATGATCTCATGTATACCTTCTGGAAATACAAACTGGCACAACTACAGAGGGGGATTTGGCAATATTTCACAAAACTGTATAAGCATTTAGCTTTTGTCCCAACAATACAATTTCTAGGAATTTATCACAAAGGTATGCTGGCAAAATACAAAGAGACATGAACAAGGCTAACAAAGCTGTACATTGTTTTGTATTTGTGAAGGCAAAGACTAGAAACAACCCAAACACTTGTCAAATAAGGGACTGATTGTATAAACTGTAGCATGTCCACACATCAGAGTAATATATACTATGCAAAGAAATGAGGAATGAGCAATATTTCCAAACAATACTATGAAGAGATGTTCAGATTCTATTGTGAAGTGAAAAAAGCAAAGATATGAATACACACACGTTTGTTTATTTAAAAATGGAAGAATAGGCAGAGGCAGGCGGATCACGAGGTTAGGAGATCAAGACCATCCTGGCTAACACGGTGAAACCCGTCTCTACTAAAAATACAAAACAAAATTAGCTGGGCGTGGTGGCGGGCGCCTGTAGTCCCAGCTACTCAGGAGGCTGAGGCAGAAGAATGGTGTGAACCCAGGAGGTGGGGCTTGCAGTGAGCTGAGATCATGCCACTGCACTCCAGCCTGGTTGACAGAGCGAGACACCGTCTCAAAAAAAAAAAAAAAGAATAAACTATAAAGCCAAAAAAAAAGGTAACTATGTGAGGTATGAGTATTTTACATAAAATAATATTACAGTTTTAAAAGCAATTTCTGAAACAGAGAAGTACAATGAATTAACCCGTATATCCAGTGGTGGCAAAACTATGTGGAGAAGAACTATTCCAAGTGATTTTAGATATGTAATTTGTCTAAAAATCTCTAGTGGGATCTACCCTAATGACAAAAAGAGTGGCAAACAAATCTTAAACTGTTTTCAGTAATCATATTGTTGATTGTAGTGTTGTAATTGTGATTCTGAGACTGTTGTATGTATATTGTGGGATGAATCAAATGAATATGTTGGTGTCGTGGAAAAAATAAGATTTTTCAGTGCAGTTTAAGGCAGATACAAATATAAGATTGATGCAGTTAATAACAAACCAAAAAATCTGTAGACTCAAATTTGAATAGAAAGTATAAGTATGAAATCATGATGAATTTATCTGAAAAGTTTTTTCCCATTTTCTTCCACTGAAAAGGCCCAGAAACAATTGTTTGCCCAATAGCAACAAGCAACTCTAGTGCCCACATTGTGGTTCCAAATCCTCACCAAAAAAAACAAAAAACAAAAAACAGGCTTTTGGGAACAAATGGTTAGTTTCAGTTCTGGCTCCGAAAATGTGCAAAATGAGCCTGGTGTCTCGTTATACTAGAAAGCAAAGAATCTTCAAAGACTACTATGATGTAAAAATAAAGGAGTCAACCTGAACAAGTCCTTCAGTGTCAAAAAGGATACTTTGAACATCAGTAGGAATAATGGCAGTGAATTGTAACACACCACATATGCTTAAATCCACGAGTGCACAATGCTACTTAAAAGTAAAAAAAAATTGAGAAGCCTTTGATTAATTTGAAACTTATAAATATAGGGAATGAATCAAGTATTTGTCATTGTCAGGCCTCTGAGCCCAAGCCAAGCCATCGCATCCCCTGTGACTTGCACGTATACGCCCAGATGGCCTGAAGTAACTGAAGAATCACAAAAGAAGTGAATATGCCCTGCCCCACCTTAACTGATGACATTCCACCACAAAAGAAATGTAAATGGCCGGTCTTTGCCTTAACTGATGACATTACCTTGTGAAAGTCCTTCTCCTGGCTCATCCTGGCTCAAAAAGCACCCCCACTGAGCACCTTGCGACCCCCACTCCTGCCTGCCAGAGAACAAACCCCCTTTGACTGTAATTTTCCTTTACCTACCCAAATCCTATAAAACGGCCCCACACTTATCTCCCTTCGCTGACTCTCTTTTCGGACTCAGCCCGCCTGCACCCGGGTGAAATAAACAGCCATGTTGCTCACACAAAGCCTGTTTGGTGGTCTCTTCACATGGACGCGCATGAAAGTCATACTCTTTCTATATACTGTGTACCTCAGGGTAACCAAATAATTCATTAAGAAGTTCCTGTTTATAGAGAAGTATGCCAGCTAATAAAGAAAGGAAGATGGAATTAGAATATTACTATTATGCAACACTGATTAGTTTATGAATCTAGGAAACCATCATCAGTAGCTGATAACATCCCCAGTTAAGGGACAACTATAAATTATGTACTCCCTGACAGAAGTGCCCAGTACCACATTTGAAGCAGTCTTGAAAAAAAAAAAATCTGAATTAGATCAAACTTTTAGATGTAACTACTAGTTATAGGAAATAAAAGCAGAGAGAAAGAAACATGTTTTAGCGATCCCCAACATTTTTGGCACCAGGGACCGGTTTCACGGAAGACATTTTTTCTACAAAAACTTGGGAAAGGGGGGTGGTTTCTGGATGAAACTATTCTACCTCAGATCATCAGGCATAAATTCTGATAAGGAACGTGCAACCTAGACCCCTCACATGCACAGTTCACAATAGGATTTGCGCTCGTATGAGAATCTGTTGCCGCCACTGATCTGACAGGAGGCAGAGCTCAGGAGATAATGCTTGCTTGCCTGCTGCTCACTTCCTGCTGTGCAGCCCAGTTCCTGACAGACCACCTAACAGGCTCACCTCCTGCTGTGTGGCCCATGGGGGTGTGTGTGGGGGATGTTGGGGACCCCTGTGTTAAATGATACCATACGATAAAAAGTAAAATCAAGACATGGGAAATTTCTACAGGACCAATGACTCTTGCAACAGAAAAATTGCAAGTAAACAATCTTAGGAAACATATAAATTGATTGTAATATGTGTAATTGTTTGGATACTGATCCAAACAACAGACCTAAAAAGTCAGTTGGGGAAATGTGAACATTGATTGGCTATTTGATAACTTTAAAGAGTTATGATGTGTGTTATTATTATTTTAAGGTGTGATAATTGTGGGCATTTTTAAAGAAGTCCTTATCTTTTAAAGGTATATACTAAAGTATTTTTGGAGATAATGATGAGGTTAGATATTTCTATTTCTGTCAAATGATCATTTTCAAAGAGATTGAACAATTTTTTTTTCCCCAGTTGGACTTACCTGTCTCCCATTTGCATGTAAACTTCCTTTCTTGCATATTTTCATTGGCCCAATAAGCCCAGTGAATATATCTTTAGTGGGTTCCACAGCAGAATAATACATCTTAGCTAGACACACAGGATCTGCATTAGTGGGTCCTACTTCTTTGGGGACAGTCCATTCATAGGTGAATGTTTCTGTGGGTGCCACATGGGAGGCTGAAGGAGGCACACCTGTGAGAAAGGTCACATTAGAGAGGTGAAGTGTGCTTTCTAACGTGGTCATTTGAGCCACAAAGTAGACTAAGTTTAGTCTAGAATAGCCCACTTCTGAGTTCTTTGTTATAAATTAGAATGGAATCCCACTTATGCTCTGGTGTCAGATAACAGACCGATGTGATTGCATCCAGATAGACTCTTCTAAACCTCCTCCTGGGAGTGGTGCCCCTCTTTGTGCTCACACATCTTCCGGGAATGTCCCTAGCACCTTTCATGTTGTATTGCGTGTATTTCTCTCGAACAGAGCTTAACTTTCTTGAAGGCAAGCACTGTCTCTACATTTCTATCAGCTAGAACAATGCCGGCAATACAGTGAAATCGATGCATTTTCTATTGAATAAAATGGAACTGAAAATTACATTCCATTCCATAATTGTAGAACTGAAAGAACTTTGCAGGTGATCCTATTTAAATCTTTCAAATTTACATTTGAATAACCTGTTCACAGTCACACTGCAAGTGGTAGCAAAGTCACTAGTCTTCACTGGTCCTTCTTGATGTGTAAAAATAGTCAAAAAATCCACATAATGAAATATTTTATATCATTAAAATTATGTTTATAAAACCCTTGTAATGCTAAGAGAACAAACTCCGATTATGAAATTAAAATAACATTTATTTGCTATGATCTCAACCGTATTTAAAATATATATTATATGTATACAGATGAAAATGGAAGAATTATATAAAAATATAAGAGCGATTGCTTATAGAACTATGGATAATTAGTATTTTTTGCTACCTTTCTATATTTTTCAAATATTCTAAAGTGAACATCGAACATTCTTATAAGAACTTTTTTAAAAATTAAAAATCACCCAAGGTACTCCAGAAATGTATAATTGATACAACCCAACTAAATTACTATCAGGATTGTCAATAATCATCCAATTAAGGCAGGACAAAATTCCGTAAACCAATTGGAGGTAGGAGAAGGGGTTTATTTGTTTCCTGGCATGATGCCTAGAAATGATATATGAGCGGTTTCCTTGGGAGTTCCTGCCTTCAGTTTTTGCAGCATACTGTCAGTGACCAGTACAGTGGGTTATTAAACATTGTTGATTTGTTACACAGTGCTGTATACTCACTTCTGCTCTGGGGGTTGTAATTTGGGGAATAGTATGTGCCCTCGTTGTTCTTATTGAATCTCACCCCAATCGGCTCAATACTGAGGGGATATGCTCCTTTGTTATGGAAGGTTACTCTGATGGTGTCTCCCACCTCTGCCCAAATGACAGGACCTGGGAACAAAGAGAGAATTATTATCCTTCCTTGGTATGTAACATGCAGAATGTATAAGATAGTTATCTTCTTTGACTGTGTTCTCTGGCAAGAACTACTAGGAGCAACACGCTTATTTGTGGTGAATGGAAAGCTTGGTTTTTGAGAAGTCCATAATCAATCTGATATGTCGAGGTTGGAAGGAGAGAAGGGCTTTTTAATTCAACTTCAGATTAATGAAATTGATTATCATTTTTGTACAAGTCAGTTAGTAAGCTTTACACATCTACAAAAACTATTCAGAATGTTGAGACTCCTCAGCCTAATCTTCTGTTGGCTGGAGGTGTGTCATTTGTCCCAAGAGTTAGGTGCTATAAACTCTGACCACCCAAAGCAGATAAGTTGAATTGTTTTGGATGTGAAGGATAACACTGTTTTGGATTTTCCATGACCAAAATTAATGATTACCAATTATAGAATAAAAATATATATTTTACATAAATATTTTATGTAATATACAAAATGACATTTATAGAGAGTTTCCTATCTGTTCTTCTGAGTGTATGTCTATTAACTGATTTAATCCCTATACCAACTTTAATAACTATTGTTCCCATTTTACAGAAGGGAGCAGGGACAGACAGTGAGTATTTTCTTTTTTTCTTTTTCTTTTTTTGAGATGGAGTCTCATTCTGTTGCCTAGGCTGGAGTGCAGTGGCATGATCTTGGCTAACTGCAACCTCTGCCTCCCAGGTTCAAGTGATTCTTCTGTCGCAGCCTCCCAGTAGCTGGGATTACAGGCACTCGCCACCACGCCATTCTCATTTTTGTACTTTTTTTTTTTTTAGTAGAGATGGGGTTTCGCCATGTTGACCAGGCTAGTCTCGAACTCCTGACCTAAGTGATCTGCCTGCCTCGGCCTCCCAAAATGCTGGGAATACAGGCATGAGCCACCGCGCCCAGCCAAGTTGAGTAACTTTCAAAGGTCACACAGCTAATGTATGCACTGTGTACTCACAAAAAAACAGCTTTTTATAAGGGCCTCCAATTCTTGTAATACCTTGTTCAAAAAGTATTATACCTCTGAGTCACCGCTAGGAAAAAAAAAAGTGAAGAACCAGGACAATCTGAATCCATACTCTGTTTGCTCACCCACTGTTATTCTGCCTGCGTGCCTTGGCGAGAACAGGTCTCTGGACTCTGGCTGGGGGCAGCCTGCGGAGGGCTCTAGGACAGATCCTGCTTGTTTCATTAGTAGCCTGGGATTGATTGATTGATTGATTGATTGATTGATTTTGAGACGGAGTCTCGCTCTGTCACCCAGGCTGGAGTGCAGTGGCAAGATCTCAGCTCACTGTAAGCTCCGCCTCCCGAGTTCACGCCATTCTCCTGCCTCAGCCTCCAGAGTAACTAGGACAGGCACCCGCCACCACGCCCGGCTAATTTTTTTTGTATTTTTAGTAGAGACTGGTTTCACCGTGTTAGCCAGGATGGTCTCGATCTCCTGACCTCGTGATCCGCCCGCCTCGGCCTCCCAAAGTGCTGAGATTACAGGCGTGAGCCACCACGCCTGGCCCTAGCCTGGGTTTTATTTCTAAGGGAACACATCTTTAACTAAGTGCAGAGGCTCACAACTTAGTTATCTATTTAAACCAAGTCACATAAACACACAACACACAATTCCCCTTACCTCTTTGAAGAAAAAAATAACCATTTGAAGTCAGGTCAGCATGGGTTTTTGTTTGTTTGTTTGTTTTGTTTTTTGAGATGTAGTCTCGCTCTGTCTCCCAGGCTGGAGTGCAGTGGCACGATCTTGACTCACTGCAACCTCCGCCTCCCGGGTTCAAGCGATTCTCATGCCTCAGCATCGAGGCACAAGAAACTGGGATTACAGGTACGTGCCACCACGCCCTGCTAATTTTTGTATTTTTAGTAAAGATGGGGTTTCACCATGTTGTCCAAGCTGGTCTCAAACTCCTTACCCAAGTGATCTGCCCGCCTCAGCCTCCCAAAGTGCTGAGATTACAGGGGTGAGCTACCACTCCCGGCCGTCAGCAGGGCTTTTAATGATGAAAATTTACCATTGGTAATTTACATTTGGAAAAGTACTTAGCTGCTGCATTTTATTGTTTTATCTTCCACACGCCTACTTAACACATAGAAATCATGCAGTAGGTCCTGAAGTTACTATTCTTTCTGAGGTTGATGTAGCCCATGGGAAGAGTAAACCAGCCATATATATTCTGCAAGAACTCACCCAGGATGCCAAGATGCTCTTCTTCAGGGCCTCTCTCCTTTCGATTTGTGAAGGAGGCATCTGTGTACTCACGATAAACCAGCTTTTTATAAGAGCCTCCAATTCTTGTGGTACCTTGTTCAAAAAACACCGCTGAGTCACTGCAGGGGGAAAAAAGTGTTTAATGCTGGGGTTGAAGTAGAACAGAAAGCAGGTATTCACTTAAGGTGCTAATTGAAGAGAAAAATTCTGACCAGTGCTTAGAGATGAATATTATCCATGATTTATAGCAATCCGTACCAGTTACTCAAACAAAGCAGACAGTTCCAGTCCACTCATAGAAGGATGGTCAGTTAAGAAGTAGAGAATCATGGAGGATGTTTATTTTTTCAAGTGAAGAGAAAATTTTCAGAAGGGCCCCTTCAACCCCTTGACAAAGGATTCTACCATAGAATCTTTTTATCAAATTGTGAAATGTTTAAAAACACAGTGGCTAGTTTTTTGTTGTTGTTGTTGTTGTTTGTCTTTTTTTTTTTTTTTTTTTTTGACATGGAGTCTCGCTCTGTCACCCAGGCTGGAGTGCAGTGGCACATATCAGCTCACTGCAAGCTTTGCCTCCTGGGTTCACGCCATTCTCCTGCCTCAGCCTCCCGAGTAGCTGGGACTACAGGCGCCTGCCACCATGCCTGGCTAATTTTTTGTATTTCTTTAGTAGAGACAGGGTTTCAACATGTTAGCCAGGATGGTCTCGATCTCCTGACCTCATGATCTGCCCGCCTCGGCCTCCCAAAGTGCTGGGATTACAGGCATGAGCCACCATGCCTGGCCTTTTTTTTTTTTTTTTCAGGTGGAGTCTCACTCTGTTGCCCAGGCTGGAGTGCAGTGGTGCCATCTCAGCTCACTGCAACCTCCACCTCTCAGGTTCAAGCAATTCTCCTGCCTCAGCCTCCCGAGTAGCTGGGACTACAGGCGCCCGCCACAACGCCCGGCTAATTTTTTGTATTTTTAGTAGAGACGGGGTTTCACCGTGTTAGCCAGGATGGTCTCGATCTCCTGACCTCAGTGATCCGCCCGTCTCGGCTTTGCAAAGTACTGAGATTACAGGCGTAAGCCACTGCGCCCGGCCCCAGTGGCTACTCTTTATTGTGTATTAGCACTGGCCAGCTGCTCGGGAGCTTTTATTTATTTATTTTTTGTTTTTGGAGCAGAGTCTCGCTCTCTTGCCCAAGCTGGAGTGCCGTGGTGTGATCTTGGCTCACTGCAAACTCTGCCTCTCTGGTTCAAGTGATTCTCATACCTCAGCCTCCTGAATAACTGGGATTACAGGCATATGCCACCATGCTCAGCTAATTTTTTGGTTTTTAATAGAGACGGGGCTTTGGTATGTTGGCCAGGCTGGTCTCGCACTCCTGGCCTCAAGTGATCCACCCGCTTTGGCCTCCCAAAGTGCTGGGATTACAGGCATGAGCCACGGCGCTTGGCCAGGAGCTTTTGTTTATTAGCTGAAACTCACATGACATCGCAACAAAGTTGGTATTATTCTCCCTATTTTGCAAACGAAGAAATTAAATTTCAGAAAGGTAATTATTTGACTTGCGCAAAGCCACCTCATTCATCATTTCTTTCACTTGACAAATGCATCAAACACCTGCTCTTTGCTGGGAATCCTGCTATGTGTTGATGACTTAACCATAAGCAAGGTGGACTCTTCCTTGTCCACGTGGACCTTACATCTGGCAGAGAAGACAGGCCATGAACCCATCAATATAATACAGTGTAATAAGCACAGGGTATTATGGAGCATTTCTTTGAGGTTGGGGAAAGTGCAGTGAAGAGGCCACAAAGACATTCCAGAGGAAGTGATTACTCAAAACTACCTAAAGGGGAAGTAGAGTTAGCAAGATGAAGTGTGTGTGTAGCGCAGAGACTAGGGCAGGTGTATACAAAGAGGAAACTGCTTATGAGCAGGCTTAGAGAAAAGAGCGAGCATGCCATGTTCTAGAAAATATGGCAGAAGCATAGCATGCAAGACAGGGCAGAGGAGTGAAGAATGAGGCTTAGATAGATGGGAGATAAGCAGTAGGACCTAGTTAAGGTTTCAGCCTTCCATCCCAGGGCAGTGAGAAGCATTTGAAAGATTTAAGCATTCAGGATTAGCATTTTAGGAGGATCCCTCTGGCAGATGTTTGGAGAATGTGTTGGAAAATACAAGACTGCAGTAGGGAGACCAGTCAGGAGCCTGCTTTTCTAATCTCAGTGAGAGGCAGAGATGAGTTCATAGGTATTGGCAAAGAAGATGGAGAGAAGTAGACAGCCTTCAGAGATAGTTTCTATAAAACAAGGCAGTACTTGATGAGGAGAGGAGTTTGAATAGCCTCATCCATGTGGGGGTGTCACTAAGAAGTTTGAAATGCAATCTGAAATTCACTAGATCCTCCTGAGTTGGAGACGCAGCGTTGGGAGTAATCACATGTAGGTGTCAGTGTAGCATGGGACTTAAATCTCTGCTTCAGGAGTCACAGGTCTGGGCTGAGCAAGTCCTAGCTATCCATTTATTGTGTGATGTTGGATGAATTACTTAACCTTTCCAAGGAGGGTATTTTTAATATGGATGGCAAACAGGGCTTCTCTGAGGAAGTGATATATGAGTAAAGACTTGGAGCAGGGGAGTGGCATCATCTCATTGACATTTTTGAAAGATCACAGTACTGCTTTGTAAAAAATCGATAGTAGAAAAGGAAGACAAACAGAAAGAATGACTGGGAGGCTGTGGAAGTCATTCAGACATGTACAAAGAGTAGCTTGTGTACATCAAAGGACACTATCAAGAAAGTGAAAGACAACCTATAGAATGCCAGAAAATATTTGCAAATAACTGATAAGGAATTAATATCCTGAATATATAAAGAACTCCTACAGGTCAACAACAACAACAACACAAATCCCACTTCAAAAATGGCTGAAGGACTTAAATAGACATTTATCTGAAGAAGATACACAAATGACCAAAAAGTACATGAAAAGATCCTCAACATTACTAGTCATTAAGAAAATGCAAATCACAACCACTATGAAATATCACTTATGCTCATTAGGATGGTTATTATTAAAAAAAAAAACAAAACAGAAAATAACAAGTGTTGATGAGAATGTGAAGAAATTGAAACCCCTGTACATTGCTGATGAGCCTGTAAAATGGTGCAGTTGCTATGGAGAACAGTAATGTGGTTCCTCAAAAAATTAAAAATAGAATTACCATTTCTATTAATTATTTTGCATATCCAGCTAGAAGCGGAATCGCTTCTAGCTGGATATGCAAAATAATTAAAAGCAGAGATTTGAACAGTGATATTTGTATAACAATTGTTCATAGCAACATTAGTCACAATAGCCAAAAGGTGGAAATGACCCAAATGTTTATCAACAGATGAATGAATAAACAAAATATGGTATATACATACAATGAAGCATTATTCAGCCTTAAAGAGGAATGAAATTCTGATGCATGCTACAACATGAACAAATCTTAAAACATTATGCTAAGTGATATAAAAGACACAAAAGAACCAATATTGTATGATTCCACTTGTATGAGTTGCCTAGAATAGGAAAACTCATAGAGACAGAAAGTAGAATCGAGCTTATCAGGGGGTGGAGAAAGAGTGGAAGAAGGTTGTTATTGTTTAAAGGGTTCAGAGTTTTCATTTGGGATGATAAAAAAAAAGTTCTGGAAATGGATAGTGGTGACGGCTATGCAATAGTGTAACTGTACTTAATGCTGCTGAATCGTACAGTGCCACGTTTTCTGAAATGGGAAGCAAATTAATTGATTTATCTAATAGTATTCAGTGTTTTCTTAGGACTTTGTCAAGCATTTGATAACTTTTGAACCCATCTTTTTTCATGGACTCAAAACTCATAGTTCTCAAGCTCAGACTCTTACATCAAATACCTTAATAAATATTTAGCAGTCTAGTTACTCAATTTCAGATACCAATTAAAATTTTAATTGCTGAATTAGCCTTTTGTAGTTCCTTTGTGCGGGGGAGAGCATATTTTGAAATAGTACTCTTTTTTTGTAAATTACCTTCCAGGTGCTGTTAAGTTTTCTTTAGTGAAGATGTCTATACCAGAGGGAGCATAGTTCCAGATGATTTCCTCAGCGGCAATGTAGTAGTGTCTAACATGCTTCCCACGGATATTATCCTTTGATGAAGACTTGTTACACTCCTGGACCTGGAAAAAGGCTTGCAAACCGGCTGAAATGAAACAGAAAGAGGCATTGATTAATGAAGACAATGTTTCTCTCTCCTATTGCCCTGTAAACACTGCTCGGGTGATGACAAGTAGAAATTGAAGGAATAGACAGATAGCAACAGTACTATAAACTAGGGCAGACAGCTGTAAATAAATTAATGATGGAAAACTCAAGTTTAAAACAGATATACTTTGTTTTTTATGTACATACAGCATAGAGATATTAAGCATATATGTTTTCAAAATATGGTACCAGTTTCTGTGGGGTTTCACTTGGTAGTTCTTTCAATGAGAGAAAAAGAACAAATCTGTAGATAAGCAGAGAAGAGAGGCTTTGACATATTTTAAGGGGTTGCATTGGGTGGAGGAGGAGGTACAAGGAGGAGGTACCAAATGAGCTTATATTATTGCTGTCTTGTACAAGATGGTTGTGCATCTGCTGTGCTGGGCCTTCTGTGGCCCAGAGCATATTTGATAAAAGCAATTATATTTGCACGTCAAAGTAAAATATCTGAACTCCTATGTTAAACTTAATTTATTCAGTAGACCAATATTAAAAACTAATATTTTTCAAGAACAAGGAATGTTTTTATTGCCTAAGTTAAAGAGATAAAGGAAGGATTTATCGAGTTAAACTAAGGGATGGCCAGGCTCAAATAAAGAACAAAGTTAATTATACTTGACAGAAATAAGTCGAAAAACAGGGTGCTTTCCAGTGCAACATACAATTTTTCTGGATGTTACAACACTGGTATATTTTACAAAGCTGAGTAAGTATATATAGTACTATACTTTCAGGGCCAGTTGTTCTTTCCAAAAACTAATATATTTTCAAATTTCATTACTTTATAATATTCCTGTCTTACAGTCTTTTTTTATTACATTATTATATATACCATCATAGGGATAAAACTAAGATGCCAGTTCAAAGCTCAGATTATTTCAAAGATATTTAGCTTTTAGATTCTGATTCCCAGTAACCACCTTTTTCAGCTGACTGCTAATTTCAGGTAAAGATGTCCTACCTTTCAGATGGTTTAGATTCTGACAGCTGAGCATCCATTCTCCAGGGTTCTGGGCCACCATATAAGCATCAAACAGGGTAGCAGGAAAGAGGTTGATTGTGTCAATACGGTAGTTCTTGTTAGTCAGTGCTTGCCCGTGAAAGAAAGCTGCGTGCACATCAACTTCATTACCCATACCAAAAAGGTACCATTTTACTCTGTCTTCAGCACACATGGAGAGTCCTGGGAGACTTCCAAAAGTGTATCCATTCACAGCTGTAAGTCAAGAGCAGAGTTTGTGACTAAGAGTCATTAATGCTTGAGATAGTGAGAGTTACCTCTATATAAATAGAATCAATTTGGAATGGCAAATATCTGGCACACATGCTGGTATTCTTGCCCCCTATACTCATGTCAGACATTGCTAATCAATCACAGCACTCTTTCATTTTGGAACTGAATTCAGCCTGAGGATTCTTATCAATACCATATTAACAGATGAACACAATACTGAAGATAAAACCTATTTGCTGTCTTTGTTATAAACTGTACACATTGTGTGTGTGTGTAAATACAGAGGTGTGCATATATACATACATATAAACAAAACACACATAGAATTAATAGAAAAAAGATTGAATATTAGTATTCAATCAGTTATTCATCATGTTGGTAGTATGGATGTTTTTGCTTGTCAGAAAATTTCCAATTTTCTACCATAAATTTATTTTGTAAAAAGTACATAAGAATAGCTTTTTTTTAAAGATTGCAAGACAAAATTTTTAAGATTGGAAGAGATATGAAGGAGGGAAAAAATGTAGAAGGGCAGCAGGGACAGAGCCACAAAGACCTAAAAGTTCATAGGCAAGGTGGCCTGAAACCCTCAGAAGAAACTTATGGTCACTGTTCAAACTGGGTGGCCCTAAAAATTTCCCAAGTGGAAATTAGTTCTGGGAAGAATCCTGAGTGCACCACATGTAACACTGGTACCAAATCAAACCTGCTCAGGCTAGAATTTTGAGTATCTTTTTATAACAACTATTTTTGTTAGTACACAACAGAGACAGGATTAAAGTATGGAAAGAGGACCTTCCACCCAGATATAAGTAAAAGTTGGAAACAAAATCTGTACTTTGTTAACTAGTTTATTTTTCTACTTTGGTAGTATCGTTATTTTTGTGCTCTCGGTTTCTGAGTACAGGTTATTTTGAAGAAGTTAAACACAAACAAATAAACGAAAATATCTACTTATTGGTCTAGTTGTTGTTAAGGGACTCTGTTTCTCATGCAAATTATGAGAAATAGATAATCTTACTAAGCTCATTATTTTGTGTCTGAGAATTAAGAAAAAGTCTAAACTGTAAAAAAAGCATTTCTAGAAAAGTAAAGTGAACTGAAATGTAGAAACGAATGATGCAGACTAAGGGGCCCAGTGAGGGCAACATAGTATGTAAAACGAATACCTTTCAGAACTCGTGGTTTGAACTATTTTCTTAAATATAGTTAGATGCTTTAAAATATAATATGGTTTTAAGCATTTAGTTTAATAATTTGGAGCTGCCTCAAATAATTTTTAGAATGAGTCTAGTGGATAAATAAATATATTAATGTCACATACATATGCATTAAACCATAATTGATGCTTTATCCTTACCAGTTGGGGAACAAGTTTGGTGTATCTGGCTTTACCTGGCTTAGAGTTTTTATTCTGACTTACTTAGCTGAATATCAAATTGCACATCCAATATGCTTTGTTATAAGGACCACAGACTAGACACACAGTACTTATTTATGTGAGGGAATAAGCTTAGCAGAATTAATGGATCAAGGGAAAAAAAAGTAAAGTTAACATGTCTGCTGTAATCTTACAATACATTCTGTTACTCTCCTGGAAGTCTTCGTTGTCTTTGTCAACTTTCTCTGGTTCTGAGCAGTAGGTTTTAATGTTGTCTTCTAGGTACCAGCTGAAATTTTCATCCACCACAGAAAACATCACCACAAATTCTCGGTCAATATGTTTTTCTTTTTCTTTATCTAGAGAATCTGGAGTTAAAGTTACTATTTTAGCAAGACTAAACTTTTAGCATGTATTTTGATTTATGTTTTCAGGTGATTTATAGTTTTTAAAAATGTTAGTATTTATTTTTTCGAATAAATCACAAGTCTGGACCAGTCACTCCTGTTTTACAGACAGAAACACTCAGGGAATTTTTATGATCAGTATCTGGTGCTTGGAAGACACTCCTGTGTCTGGATGTCCACTGACCACATAACTATTAAATGCTTTTTGGCAAATGGGAAGATTGGAATTCAAAGTTGTGCGTCTATTTTCTGGTGCATATAGCCACAAACAGAGACAAGTCTTTACAGGTAACGATTGTTCAAGTTAGAATTGTATTTCAGGCTCTTGAGCTCCGTTGTCTTTTTCATGATGTTAGAAATAAATACTATGATATTATGTTTACCAATATAGTATGAGTAACTACAGATCTATCACCGTGGAGTGCCCTTTTGGTAGTCACATTTGGTAAAGTCATATGTCTCTTCAGCACCACTGTTGGAAGTTAGATACAGCAAACTGAACCCTGAGAGAATATATTTCTTTCACATTACCTTCATTGGCATTTTCCCCGTAGGAATGCTTGTTCTATTTATCCCTTCTTCTCCTAGTCCTGCCTGGCTCTTCCCTTCCTTTTTTTCTACTTACCACCTCTCTACCTTACCTGCTCAATCTCAGCACAGAAGACTTGATTTCTTTTTAAAAGACAAACTGCCCTGCCCCTGTCTTTTGGTCATATAGCATGTGCAATAAGGAGAAGATGTACCTTTTTTACAGATTATTAAAGGTCCGATGAGTCCTGAGGCAATATCTTTTGGAGCATCAATGTGGGAATGGTAAATCCTAGTCACACAATTGCCATCTCCTTCCCCAGGACTTTGTTCTTCAGTGGCAAGCAACATGTATGTATACTGCTCTCCTGGATATACTTTGTCATCTGCTCTTTGAAAATCTGTGGTGTTATCAGGGTAGATGGCCCCTAGGAAGCAACATGCAATGAAGGTGCAAAGTGAATGTGTTTGAACTTAAATGAGAGAATAGATAGTCCATTAATTCATTCAGCAAACATTTATTAAACATCTACTATGTGATCCTTGGGGATGTGTTATCCTATTTGGACACAGGAAAATGAAAGGCTAATGGCTAGGGTGTGTAGAAGCTTCACAGACATTTTTATTATTTTTTTATATTTGATTGGGTTTTCAGAGAGCATAATGACTTTTTGTTTGCAATGTAAAGAACTCGGGTCATGGTATGGGAGTCTGAGCAAAAAGGCTACCCTCTTCTAAATTCAAAACTTCTTATATGATCTCAGATTTTTGCCCACGAAGTAACCATAAAATTAAAAACATTTCTACTCTCAATTTTGGAAATTTCCAAACACACACAAAGGTTGAGAGAAGAAAATGCTGAACCTCTGTGTACCCATCAAACCAGCTTTAACAATGATCGACTCAAGGCCAACCTTGTTTCATCTGTACCCCCACACACTCTTATCCCCAGTATCATCAAATTATTTTAAAGCACGTCTCAGACATCATATTCCATTCATAAATACTTGAGTATGTATCTCTAAAAGATAGGAACCCTTTTTTTCTTCTAACAAAACCACAGTTCCATTACCATACCTTTAAAATGAATGGTAATTCCCTAGTAAGCCATGAAATCATTAAAAAGAAATAGGATGGCAGTCAGCCTTTTATGCTATGAATGTAATTTATCCCTAAACAACAACAAAAACAAAAAAAGTCAACACATTCACTTTCTAAACCAATATCTCTTTTAATAAGACAACTAATAATGAATCAAATCTAATTTTAAATTAATTTCCCTATTCGATCATTATAATTTCAATGAACTGTAGCATGACTTCAGCATTTTTGCTTATGATAGCAGCTGATAGTTATTGAGGTATTACTATGTATTCTTATTATCTCTATTTTATAGATGAGGAAACTGAAGCTGAAAGAACTTAAGTAATTTGTCCAAGGTCACTCAAACAGTGAAAGGCAAGGCTGGGGCTCAGACCTTTGTCTATTAATTTCAAAGCCCTTGCTTTTCATCACTACAAAATACCACCTTTTTTACCATCATTGTTAAGGACTAAGAATGAGATCACAGGCACCAAACCTTATCTTTGTTTTTCAGGTACTATTTTCAAGGCTTCCAAGTCCTACATTCAAATGACTTTTTCAGTTAATTGTGTCTCATATGTGACTACAGTCATCCAGGCATATGTACCATTTGACTGACATGAGACTACTTATGCCACCTTAGCTGGGGCAGAGTTTATATAAAGTTAGGATGGGAGGTAACAACAGCACAGTATGTTTACATGTAGGAACTTCAAAGATAAGGCAATCCACATCTTGAGTCCTTCTTTCTCTTCCCTCTGGATTTTGCCTCTTCTAGGCTCTGATGCACTTTGTCCATTTCTCTTATTCTATTTGGCCAGAAAGGACTGGGCTCTGGGAAAGAAGCTCCAGCTCTCTCTGACTCTCACTGAGTCCACCTAGAAATTCTCTCACATTCACACTTTCCACGAAAGAGCACAACCAAGAGAAACATGCCATTATTATATGGAAACAAAGTACCTATTAATAAAATAGTTGGCCGGGTGCAGTGACTCACGCCTGTAATCCCAGCACTTTGGGAGGCTGAGGCGGGCAGATCAGGAGGTCAGGAGATCAAGACCATCCTGGCTAACACGGTGAAACCCCGTCTCTACTAAAAATGCAAAAAAAAAATAAAAATAAAAAAGTTTGCCAGGCATGGTAGTGGGCGCCTGTAGTCCCAGCTACTCGGGAGGCTGAGGCAGGAGAATGGCTTGAACCCCGGATGCGGTGCTTGCAGTGATCCGAGGTCGTGCCACTGCACTCCAGCCTGGGTGACAGAAGTCAAAAAAAATTAAAAAAAAATAAAAAAAAAATAGTTAAGAGCTGAATGGCAGTTATATGTCTTATCCAGGAGAGAAGTCCACAATTTTAGAAGCTAAAAGGCACTTCTACTGAAAAGTAAGAGGAAATTCCAGCTACATGAGCTGAACTTACCCTCATGTTCCTTATAGTAAGTTATTCCATGTGAATGAAAGGTGTAGGGCCTAGAGGCAAGGTTTTTTAAGTGTACATAAACTTTATCTCCAGTTTCAGCTTTGATAATAGGGCCTAAAAACCCAAGCCAGACCGGTTTTTCTATAGTTGTCCTAAAGGTTTCATCTGTGTACTGAAGATAAAGGGCCTTCTTATATAGTCTCCCAATTCTATCTGGGCCATTTTGAAGATAGATATTGGAATGTTCCCTGCAAAGAAAAACAAGACAACTCTATCAGAAGCCATCATTTCTAGGGATGACATTATCATTATAATTTAATAACATTATAATTAGAGAAATTAATGAGCACATCACATTGAATGTTTGCCTGTTGTAGGGATGCCTCCAAAATTGAAGTGGAGGGCTGGTAGTTAGCCCTGTTATTTTAATGATGTGAGGCTTTCCATATCAGGTATATGTCAGAGAACCATCTGCGAAGGCATCATAGAAATGTAGTGCATCTTACTGAAGTATTTTCTCCATGATTTTTATATTAAGACACAGGCATATTATGTAATGGAATAGAATACAAAATTAAGTTGAAATATTAAAATAAAGCAGTTAATTAAGACATTTTTTCACTTCTACCTCTCTTAGCTACTGGAAAAATTTGAGTTTATAATTAATCAATCTGGATATTTGAGACTTCAAAGTATGTGTGTGTATATTTATATATTTTTTTCCTTAAAGTAAGATTAATAAAGCTAAATTAATTCTTTTATATTTCTTTTAACAGCACTAAATCAAAGCTAGAGTTGTTGATGCATGCAATGTGTGTGGTTTTTAAATTACTTTTGAATTTAAATAATCCCTGTGTTTTTTAATCCCTCACTAGTACAGATACTTAACATTGAATGTTTGTATTCTAGTGAATGTCCATTAATAGTTGCTTAAAACTTTCTTTAAAATATCAGTGAGGTAAATAGCAATCTGGAAAAGAAAAGATGGAAAGAAAGTAAATTTGGTTTGAATTAATTTCTTGTGTTATCAACCTTAACTGAAGGCTTATATAGCCCAGTGGGATCTATTCATGGGCAACATCATGTTGCCATTTGGCAGGACCCACTTAGATTCTGGCCTTTGGCAAGCCCCTCCACAACCAAGGCTCTTCCATTTGAATAAAAACTGCTCATCATCATGGGTGTGTGTGTGTGTGTGTGTGTGTGTGTGTGTGTGTGTGTGTTGCCTTCTTTCATCTTATTGATCTTTGATACTTTACCAATTTCTACTCAACATTTGTGGGGCCGAGTAATCTGACTGAGGAATAAGTTTTGTCTTGTTTCCTCAGTTGTAAGCTCACTGGTAAAAGTGAGATATATTTTTCTTTCCCTTCTTTAAGACAAGAGCAGAGCTTGTGTGAGAGCTCTGGACTTTCACTGCTACAGAATTTAAAGATGTGGTTTTTCAAAAGTCTAAGGCCTGATGTTTCTTAAGTCTGAATATGCACAGGAATCTACTGATGAACTTAGTGAAATGCAAACTCCTGGGACACAACTCCATTGATTCTGATTCTGTGGGTCTGGGGCAGGGCCCAGGTATCTGCATTATTAACCAACACACTGGTGTGTTTTGATGAGATAGTCTGCTCTGGGGCCCTGGGTAACCTGTGTTGAAGAGGCTCTAAGGTTGAAGATTAAGAGAGCTGCCCAATCCCAGAAGCAGTGGGATTCCTGATACCATGAGACAGAAAGGTAGAAAACTCGGTTTCCAGGTCATACCTGGAAGTGGCAGGACCTCTGCGGTGGAGGCTATATAGATTAAGCCTGAGTGCTGGGGCCAGGTACCATGGCCACTTGGCAATGGTCCTGGTGGCTGAGTTTGGGCAGAGTGAGCAGGTGTTGAAAATAAGAGTCACCATTCTCTGGATTGATCAAGGAATTTCTATGATGAGCGTTTCCTCCTAGTCACTACCATATACCAATACACTGGGAATACCAATTTTCCTGAATTGTATAAACCCGAATTCCCAAAGAAGATAAAATTATTCACTAAAAAAATGACTGAGATGATGTTTCCCTGTCCATCCCCTGTCCTGGTGGGAGGGCTAAGCTAGAAGTTAGAAAAATAAAGTGTCATTATTTGCAGCCTGTGTGGAGCAGCAAAACTGTGAGTATACCCTCATTTTTTCTATTTGTTTTCACTTTCTAATTGTTTGTTGCCATTTCCCAATTTGTTAAAGCAAAATAGGAAAAGATTGGGAGAGACTTCATGGACACAGGTAGGCATGGGAAAAGGGCAAGACACTGGGGTGAACTCTGTCCCTAAACCCATAGCAAGGAATGCACAGAAAGAGTCTTAATAAATATATGTCTTAACAACAGCAAAATTGTTGCATCAAAGACTACTAAGTTTAAAAGCAGAGAGTCATTCAGTCCATATGACTGAGAGGAGGTCAATAAGAGTGCAATTTCAGTTAGGTACACAACTGCAGCTGCAAAGTCTACAGTACAAAGGTACAATTCCACTCTGGTCCCACCGGAACCCTGGACCAATCAATCTCACAGAGACTTGTCTAAGCCCCAGGGTAAATTTTCTTAAGAGTCTGAACACACTTTTATTTCTGAGAGATTGATTTGATAATATTTGGAGACTTTACTCCATGCTTTACCATGTCCTATTGGTACACATCTTACATAGGCCAAAGTTAAAAGTTAGCCCTCAAATTCTTAAGGCTTCATTTAAATAAAATGTTTCTTTATATTTTCTGAATGTAAATACACTTTGGCATACATCATGTCCTATTTTGATAAACTATAGCAGGCTTTGTCAAAATGATTTTATTGCATTGAAATGCTCCTGTATTAATCATTTCCTAAAATAGGAAGAGCATTGCCATAAACAAATACCTAAGACCAAGACCAAGACCTATATTGCCTAGGCTTTGTAACTAATTTTTCTAGGCAAAGTTTTTTGGGGGGGTTAAAATTGCTTTTAAAATTATTGATCTGAAGGTATAACATATCTAGGCGTTTTAACATCTGAAATTCCTTTTATACACATTGCAATATGCAAACTGCTTTTTGCATCTTGCCTTTTATTGTGAAAAAAACTGTCTTAACCAAACTGGAAAATATTTTACACTGTGTGACACTTTGGGAGAAGTCTATTTGTTTATGCTTTGTCTCCAAATAAACATTAAAAGGTCATTAGGGGCTCTCTATTTAATTTCGACAGCACAGCTTGAGGACAAAGGGCCAGTTACTGGAAGCTTGCAGGAAGTTTGCCAGTTAGATATTCAGCCACAAGAATCTATTATAGCTGTTCTTTCAACCAAATAATTCACATTTAATTGTAGTTCTTCCTGTTGACAACTGTAGTATGTTCCTTTCTACTCATTACTGTAGACATATCTCCCTTCAAGTAATCAATCACATTCTCTCTTTTTAGCCCCTTATTTAAAAAAAGAAAAGCCCGCTCCTATAATTTCTGGTAGTCTTAGACCCAGAAATGAGTTTTTAATAGTAGCATAACTATTTTTTAGTATTGCTTTGGTAAGATATTAATAATGCTATTCCCTCCCATAAATTTAGAATTCACTCAAGTGATCTTGGTTTATGCTTAGACGTGGTTCCCAAAACTTGGGTATTATAGGTGAAAAGTTTCTGGATTTTTGACTTCATTAATTGAGACATATATTTTTTATTGCTGCATAACAAATTATCACAAAGTAGGTTAAAACAACACCCATTTATAATCTCACTATTCTATGGGTCAGAGTCTGGCATGGTGTGGCTGGGTTCACTGCCTCAGGCATCACCAAGCTGAAATCAAGGGGCTGCTGAGCTGAGTACTTATCTGAGGCTCTGTGGAGAAATCTGCCTAGCTCATTTGGGTTATTGCCAGAATTCAGTTCAGTGGGGTCATAGAATTAAAATCCTTGTTTGCTTGCTGGCTATGGGCCGAGAGCCTCTCCCAGTTTCTTAAGGTCACCCGTATGCCCTCCTAGGTGGCCCCTTTCATCTTCAAGTCAGCTTCAGTGTGTGGACTCTTCAGATAATCTCACTGACTAAAACATAAATCATGAGAGTGATGTCTCATCCTGTTCACAGGTTCTGGAGATTTAGGATAGGATTTCTTCTGGGAGCCACTTTGGAAATGCTGCCTACCATAAACAAGAATCATAAGGAAAACAGTCAAAAATTAACTGCTGCAAGAATATGGCAGAGACTCAACCTAGGTATATATAACACAAATTCAAGTGATTTGCCGGTTCTAACCAGCCTTCCTCCACTGGCGCAGCATGAATGCAGTACCTAGTGAATTTTCTTTTGTCTGTGTTCTCAGGAGAAATAGGAACTTGATAATAAATGGAATTTGGTCAGTGTGAAATGTTAGTCACTTAATTAGCTCTTCCATACAAGCTGTCTTGTGTGAAGTGTTTGGAAGTGTACTGCACTAGCTATTGCTTGCTTTTTTTTTTTTTTTTTTGAGATGGAATCTTGCTCTGTCGCCCAGGCTATAATGTAACGGCGTGATCTCGGCTCACTGCAACCTCCACCTCCTGGGTTCAAGCAACTCTCCTGCCTTGGCCTCCTGAGTAGCTGGGACTACAGGCGCACGCCACCACACCTAGCTAATTTTTGTATTTTTAGTAGAGACGGGATTTCACCATGTTGGCCAGGCTGGTCTCAAACTCCTGACCTTGTGATCCACCTGCCTTGGCCTCCCAAAGTGCTGGGATTACAGGTGTGAGCCACCACGCCCAGCCCTATTGCTTGCTATTTTTTATTTGGCAACCTTGGAGAATGAGTCATTTAAAGTAAATTTTCCAGAAAATTTTAGCTAGTAATTGTACCTATTTAAGAATCATTTAAAAATTTAAAAATCATTTTTGAAGGGATGCTATATAACTTGGGAGGCCACTAGGCTGAGACAACATCAGCGCCTTGGGTTCCTACGTAAGCAAACCAAAACCCAATTCAATGTAGTAAACAGTAAAATGAAACTTCGAATCTGTAACTAGAGACTTTACCAATCAGAAGCCGCCAACTAACATCTAACTAGGGAGTCTCCACTTTAACCAGTCTAATATCTATTTCTTAGTCTGAGAATACGTTATAAAAGTTTCCTCCCTGCCCAGAGGAGCATTGACAGAACTGCTTGTGGTCTTAGGGCACCCAATTGCTGTGGCTGAATGCTTGAATAAACTTGTTAAACTTTCAATATGCCCAAGTTTATCTTTTAATAGGGGTAAAATGAATGTCATTAGTGCAAGCTTTTTCTTTAAAAATATTTTATTTGCTTCCCTGTTTTCCTAAACAGCGGATATAATGGAAAAAAAGTAACTTTTTTGATAACAATAGTGAAATGAACACTTATTGAATACTTATTATATCCTGATCACTCAAGATCATAATTATAGTAATTATGATTACCGTAAGGTGGAATGTTCTTTGTTGTCTAGTTTTTTGGTCAGGATTTGAGCTGTTATTTCTTCTTGGTCATTAGGCCTGCTTATAGTGACATCTTCACTGTACCATTTGTTTTGGAAACCTCTAATGGAATGAAAAACCCGGTAATAATGTTTGTAAGAACTGTATGTTAAGAAAGTTGCCAAGCCTGAGTGAGAGCCTATGAAGTCAAGTATAAAAGAGTTTTGTGATGGCCGTTCGTATACTTAAAAAAATTTTCACTTATTTCCAGCTTCCTAGAGGTCATCAGAAAAAAAAGTAATCTGAAGATAAGAGAATTACTATAATTTTTGCTATTATATAGTCAATTAATTCAGTAAATAATTAACTAATGCCTACTATGGACCCAGAACACACTATTGTGTTTACTAATTGTTTTTATATGTATGTCATTTATTTTAATTTGAATATATATAACTTAGGATCAGGAATTATCTCTTATAAAGTCTTTAACTACTTACTGATGTGTTGAAGTGACAGATAAGGCACTGACCCAAGTAAATAGCAGTACTGAGTATAAGGAAATTATTTTCCACTTCACTCTTTTAGAAATAAATATTATTGGCATTAATACCAGAGAAGTAAACTTTATTTTTTTAGTCCCCCCCAAAACCTATACATTTTTCTCTTTTAATATCTGCCAGTGTTTTCAGTTGCACTAACCCTGCATATAATCCCCTCAGGTGACTTTTCTATCTTATTCTGTTACCTGATTTGTTCTATAGCATGAATCTCTCCACATGAGGAGCAAGGAAAAGTTTTTACAATACAGTCTATGATTTTTCCTATCTTCCTATGTATCTTTTATTTACTCATTTAAACTTATTCAGAAATATTTATTTAGTGTCTCCTATATTCTAGGTACTAGTGACCAAGCACTAGTACTTGCATATGCATATACTAGTACTCTCAATGCATATTTTCCTGTTCATCATCCCAGACCTTCAAGATCAACATTCAGCTTAAACTCGATTCTTTACCTAAAATTCATATTACACTCTTTCACATCTTATTCTTCAGCCCATTTATTTCCACTCCTTTTTAGTCATCATACGATAAGAAGTGCCAACCATGTCTTGTGATACTCCATCATCCTTCACTGACTGGGCTAAACATGCTGCAAATCTGGGACAAAGAAGGGACCAAAAGGTTGCTATCTGCACACATCTATGCAAAAAGTTTAGCATAGTATTGGCAAAATTGCTGAAGCTGTATTCAAAATTCACTGGTAAGATATATGGGGGAAAAAAATCACAGAGAAAGCAGTCCCACCTAGAGTTTGCAAAACTGTAGCATATTGTTGAAGCCAGAGGAGATGTTAAAGTCACAGGACAATAACAAAAAGAGAGGTGGACTTTGCAACTAGAAGATGCTCCATTTTTCCTTTTAAGGAGCCTTAAGTATCTCTATTAAGTATACTTTTTAAGTAACTGATATGGTTTGGCTGTGTCCCCACCCAAATCTCACCTTGAATTGTAATAATCCCCACATGTCAAGGGAGGGGGCCAGGTGGAGGTAACTGAATCATGGATGTGGTTTCCCCCATATTGTTCTCATGGTAGTGAATAAGTCTCATGAGATCTGATGGTTTTATAAATGAGAGTTCCCCTGCACAAGCTCTTTCTTGGCTGCTGCCATGTAAGACGTGCCTTTGCTCCTCCTTTGCCTTCTGCCATGATTGTGAGGCCTTCCCAGCCATGTGGAACTGTAAGTTCATTAAACCTCTTTTTCTTTATAAATTACCCAGTCTTGAGTATGTCTTTATTAGCAGTGTAAGAACAGACTAATACAGTAAATTGGTACCTGGAGTGGGGCACTACTGTAAAGGTACCCAAAAATGTGAAAGTGACTTTGGAATTGGGTAGCAGGCAGAGGCTGGAATAGTTTGGAGGGCTCAGAAGAAGATAGCAAGATGTGGGAAAGTTTGGAACTTCCTAGAGACTTGGAGGGCTCAGATGACAGGAAGGTATGGGAAAGTTTGCAATGTAAGACATGCCTTTGCTCCTCCTTTGCCTTCCACCATGATTGTGAGGCCTCCCCAGTCATGTGGAACTGTGAGTCCATTAAACCTCTTTTTCTTTATAAATTACTCAGTCTTGAGTATGTCTCTATTAGCAGCATAAGAAGAGACTAATATAGTCACAATGGGGTAAACAGGCTTATACTCATTGGGTAGCTTCCCTGGCACAGACAGGCCACAGGAGTAATTAAAAACAAAGGAATTTCCTCCGCCCCCATTCACCAAATTCTAAACAAACTCCTTCACTCTTCTACTCCCTGATTTTTAGAATTAAAGATTTTTTTTTGAAGCATATTCAGGGCAATGTCTTGCACTTAGTTTATGCCTGATAAAGCTGATTTGATTTTTGATCACGAACAATGGCAGAGTGGTGGTGAGTGGGGGCATAGAGAAGGATAGTATTTTTATTTTTTTAATGTGTCTGACTTTTTCCTTGGAAATAAAAACCACATATAATTTATATTATATTTAATCAAGAAAATACTGAATCCATGCAAAATAATGTTTCTGGTGAAGCTGTAAAAATATGTCATATTCCTTAGAAGATAATACCACCTTAAAACCAGGTTAAAAAAGAAATAATTACAAGATGTATTAGTTTTATTTACAACCACTTATCTTCAGGTCAGAAACTTTCTTTATTGTATATTATTAAATTCATAATATAATAATTGGATATTAGTATCTGTTATGTATTTATTTTTATGGTGAAAAATTTCAACTTTACATAATGTTAAAGAAAATAGTATATACTCATCAATAAGATTCAATAATTACAAACTTCGGCATCCTTATTTAGCTGTTTTTTAAAGATATAATCTTGGCAGCTGATGGTCATTGGGCTTGTTTGTGTTTTATTACCACTGAAATACATTTTAATGTAGTGAATATTGATTTTGAATTCCAAGTTCCCATTTGGTGGTTAATGTTTAATTAACATCATTAAAAGTGAAGACCTCAGTATAGATAAACTTCTGTACAAAAAACTTCAAGGAGAACTAAACTTTTTGTTTTACTGTGTAGTGAATATTGCTTTCAATAAGGGGATTTTCCAACTGAAAAATGAAGACATTTAAGTTACATGGAGCTTTTTGAGGACCATCCTAATAAGTACCTGACATTTTTTTATGCACATATGTGCCAAGCATTGTACTAAGAGCTTTACATGCACCCGCTCTTTAAATAACCCTATGAGCTATGCTTATTATCCTCATTTTACAAATTAGGACCCTGAAGCTGTGAAAGATTAACCTACTTAACTGTCTGGAGTCTCTCAATAAATATCAGGCAGGATCTTATTTGCTAAAATTGTATTTTATTTCTATAAGTGATGTTTTGAAAGATATAAAAAAATTTTATGCCTATCATGAATAACCATTAAATGGTGCAATAAACATAACATTGTATACAGTAATTGTTTAAATGAAAGAACTTCTGCATAAACACATAAAAAGACAGATTCCTAATCGGAGATGCAGTTACGACCATGGGAGGTAGTAAGATGTGAACACAGATCCCCAGGAACAACAGGAAAGAAGCAGGGTAGTCCACCAAATAAAAAATATACAGGAATATAAAGGAGATTGATTCAAGTGTCTTGGGTTTCAAGCCCACATTTTGCAGTTTCTGTATATAAGAAATTTTAAAAATATTTCATCTTATTGGCTCTATCCTTTAAAAATAACTTAAAATTTTGGTCTATAAACAATAAAAATAGTGACTTACGTGTCAACAGAAATAAGTTTCTTTTCCCCATGGTCAGAGGCATAATCCCAAGTCGTTTCAATAATTCCAATGTAATAATGCTTTTCTTTCGCCCAGGCTGGGGTACTACATAAAAACAGAAAAATACCAAGTATCAAAATCTTCATTTTTTTCCCCTTCTTGGAGCCTGAGAAGAAATGAAGTAAAATCAGGAGCAGGCAATTTTATAAATAAGACTTTCTTCCTTATTTGCTTGATTGACACAATTTAGTGTTGCACAAGAGTAAATTGTTTCATTAAAGCAAATATTTTCCAATTCAGTTAAGTTCTCGTAAACCACCAAAAAAACAGTTCTTGGTTGCCAGGCTTCTCTGACTGAAAATAAAAAGTCAACAGTTATTGTTGGAGGCATTAGGGTGTGCATAACTCTGTGCCTTTTTCCATTCATTGTGTAAATTCCAGGAGGGCAGAGAACGTGTCTAAATGCTCCCTTTGTTCCTCTGACAATATGTCACAGCACAGTGTCCTGCAAACAGTGCACTTTTAGTAAATCAGGATAAGAATTATGTAAAATGAATCAAAACATGTAGCTTTTTACTACAGTCATTCTTAATGACAGGGATACGTTCTGAGAAATGCATTGTTAGGCTATTTTGTCATTGTGTGACTATCACAGAGTGTACTTACACAGACTTATATGATATAGCCTACTATACATCTAGGTAGGCTATATGGTATACCTATTGCTCCTAGGCTACAAACCTGTACAGTCTATAACTATGCTGAATGCTATAGACAATTGTAACACAATGATATTTCTGTATCTATACATATGCAAACATAGAAAATGTACAGTAAAAATATGTTATTATAATCTTATGGGACCACCATCACATATGCAGTTTGTCATTTACTCAAACATTATTATGTGGTGCATGACTATTTCTAAAAGTCTAACAAATGATTAATTGCAGCTTTATGATATGAAACATGATATCTAGCATGCCAAATTTAAGTAAACAAAAATAAGAATTTAATTTGGAAGAATTTATCTGTTTTATGAGCTTGGACCAAATCTGCATAAAAACTTTACCAGATCATTCTGTATTGCTATATGCAAATAACTAGCAGAGCCTAACAGGGGCTAATAACTTTGTTTTAATCATCAAATAAACAAACCATAACTAAACCTGTCTTCAGAGGCAAAGATTAGTCTTAGTAAATAGAAAGTACCCCAGTTTATCATTAGACTGAAATTTTTCTCTTTGAAGTGGATATGAATTTTAAGGTGGAAGACTTTTTCTTAAAACCCTGTTTTTAGTCAGGAAGTATATGTCTAAAAGTATGAAATGGCTTTTTTTTTTAGCTGAAGAAAATCCTGATAACAGTTGACACTTTGTGTTAGTATAATTTTTTTTCTCTCAAATACCTCAAAACGTTGTGTATTTGCTGAAGGCCACTTGTTGAAATAGATTGGTATAGAAGAAAGCATGCGATATTTGAACAATTCCTTCATTTAGGAAATATTATTGAATGAGCCAAGTTCTGTTCTACTCACTGGGAATACAGCAGTCTGTGCCAAGTTCTGTTCTACTCACTGGGAATACCGCAGAGAACAAAACACCTACCATCATGCAACTTACATTCTACTTGGGGAAACTGAAAATATAAAAATGAAAAATGAAATACACAATATTAGTGGTGAATGCTATGGAGAAAAATAAAGCAGAGAAGGAGAATAAGGAGTGCTAGGGAAAAATCTGATGCTACCAAATGACCTCAAGTAAGATACTTCAGCCCAGCTTCAGTTTCCTCATCTGAAAATCTCAGGTTAATTGAAATGACCTATGTTAAGGCAGACAGTGGAGGAGCTTCTCTCACCAGCTGGTAATAATCTTAACTAAATGGCTTGGTACAGAAAACTGAATCATGTTGCCCAGGATGCCCCAAGGCCTCCTTCTAGGACTGCCTTGAACAATTGTGCCGTCATGTCCACTGAGAGGACTGACGAAGGACTAAAATCTTGCTCAGATGCCACCGGCCATACCCTGTGCCTTGCAAGAAGCTGCTTTTCCCCTAATGGTCCACACAGACGGGGGGCATTTTTCAGCCGTTTATCCTCCCCAGGGCATGGAGAAGGGGGACAGTTCTTTTTCTAATTGGCATGAAGCCACGATGTGAACCAGCAACTGTCTCAGCCATTTGCTTTTCATTTTTCACTCAGTGCTCAAACTCAGCCCCAATCTTGTGCATGGAAAGATGTTGATCAGAGCACCGTAACCATGCCCAGAGTCACTTGTTTCAGCAAATTGTACCAACCAACCATCCAACAAACAAACCTGTTCAAATAGTTGCTGAGGGTTCCAGAATGTATGCATAGCACACCCCTCATATTGGTGGTGAAATGAAATGGTTAAACAGTAACACTGTGACCAGTGCCCTTGTGAACGTTTTATGGTGTAATGCAAAAAAGGTCATGCAGTCCGTATTTCTGTTCTGTTTTGTGGTAGTTACTCTTCTCATCAAAAGGCATGTGGCAGGAAGTGGGGAGAATTCTCTGAGCCTTAGGACTATTTAAATAGGAGGGAGAGGGGCCGGGCGGAGTGGCTCACGCCTGTAATCCCAGCACTTTGGGAGGCCGAGGCAGGTGGATCACGAGGTCAGGAGATGGAGACCATCCTGGCTAACACGGTGAGACCCCGACTCTACTAAAAATACAAAAAAAAAAAAAAAAAAAAAAAAATTAGCCAGGCGTGGTGGCGGGCACCTGTAGTCCCAGCTACTCGGGAGGCTGAGGCAGGAGAATGGCGTGAACCCGGAAGGTGGAACTTGCGGTGAGCCGAGATCGCGCCATTGCACTCTAGCCTGGGCGACAGAAGAAGACTCTGTCTCAAAAAATAAAAAATAAATAAATAATAAATAAATAAACAGTAAAAATAAACAGGAGGGAGAAGGCACTGGGAGCTAATAAGCTCAGCCATTGGCAGAGTCATTTTGCACTGCAAACTTCATTACAGTGATTCCAGAGATAGTACTTAAAAATGAACTTTGGATAATGTTCCAATTGAGAGTTTTCTGTACTCAAGAAATGTACCACAACAGCACAGACTGGGGTTAGACAAGAAGGAGCAGAGGGGCACCAGAAGAAGCCTAGGAAACTTAGAGCATTGCAAGAAAGAGAGGAATCTAGACTGCCAAACAGCCTGTCCTCTTAGCTGTGCTTGTCAAAAGGTTTTTACCTCAGAATCCCAGGGTATATCTTGGTTATAAACAACTAGTATATGTCTAAGTTAACAGCTTAGTAACCTGAGTACAGTTATGTAGCAGAAGTTTTAATCATTTTCCACATTTTCTTTTTTTGTCGTCTTAAGGATTTCTGGACTGGGTGAATCTTATCTGCATTTGGCAATCATGATTCTGAGACTGTGAGTGGCTAACGTCAAGGAAGCAGCCTCCTTTACAGAACAACCCTTCTGTTTATTTCTGTCTGGCAGGATGCAATCTCTCTTTACTGCCGCTATTCCTGTATATACCTTCTAGTTTCATTTTTTGCTGACCCTTGAGAACTGGCTCTTAACCCCTACTCCATGCCAACAGAATTATTAGGAAATCATCGAGAACTGTCCTTCACTTTGTGACAGCAGGAGACTCTAAGTACAAAATAGCAGGTCACTCTGACTATGACCAATCGGACAGATAACCACGCTGCTTTCTTTTTCACAGGAAATTGTGTAACTCTGGAATTTTAGAGGTGAGTGTGGTCACGTACAGACTTTGCTAATGAGTACACCGACTTGCCCTAGCACAGTGTGAGCATTGCTGATCCTATTCTCCCCTATCAGTCAGGTCATAACTGTTTAGGAAATGATCTCTCAGATAGTTCTTCAGTCATGCCACCATCCCCCTTTGGCTGCCCATTAATGGGTCACGGCCCTATTCATCAGCTCCTGGGATGTAAAATGGTCTCAGGCAAGGGAAGAGAGAAAGCCCAGACTCTAACATACAGAAAGCCTTAACATACAGTAGTACTATGGGAAAGAGACTTTAAAAAAAATGGCATAAGTATTTAGCTGAATCCTTCATGCTTGTTCTCTCACTACCTTGACTGTTATAGAAATCAAAGCATGTGATTTATCAAAAATGAAATAGAACCACAATAATATAATTATAATTTTTAAGAAGATTAAAGAACAACCCTTTTTAAAGGAATAACTTAATTCACTACTTTGACTACATAGAAATTTAATGCATGACTTTCTTGAAACGCTCTTCTCTCATAACACCCCTGGCCCATTTTCTCCTGTTTTGACACCATGTGAGGGTTATATACACTGCATAGCTCTCAACACTCTGATTTGTGTCCTGGTCTTAATTTACAAAAGGTGACTGCGTGACAATTCTGAGAGGCCAATGCCAATGAGAGAAAAGTTTACTGCTACTCATGATGGCGCCCCTGGAAGCAGAAGACACAGCACGCTATAGAGGGCCATGTGGGAAAGCACTGGAGTAGCTCCAGGCCGGGCTTGCCAGTCTCTCTGCACTCTGGAAGGAGTTTGCCTGGGTTGGGGTTGTCCCTTGGTAGATTCCAAACCTTCATTTTGTCAATTTACTTAAAGGTGACTGGGTTTAAAGGGGCTGACTGATTGTAAATAACTTGGAGAATAAATCAATATTCATTAATAAAGTTAAATAATTCACGTAAAATTAAAGTATAATAGGCATAATTTATATTATTGGTTTTTTTTTCAATTTAGGGGCATTCGCTCCTTCTTTATAGATTCACTCAGAAAATTGTATTATGGAACACAGTTTCATTCATAAGTATAGAGTTTGAGCGAAAGGGTAGATATTCTTTTCTGTAAATTAATTTTAATTTGTACTTTAAGTTCTAGGGTACATGTGCAGGATGTGCAGGTTTGTTACATAGGTAAACGTGTGCCATGGTGGTTTGCCGCACCTATCAACCCATCATCTAGGTATTAAGCCTAGCATGCATTAGCTATCTTTCCCAATGCTCTCCCTCCCCATCACCCCACCCCCCGACAGGCCCCAGTATGTGTTGTTCCCCTCCCTGTGCCCATGTGTTTTCTTGTTCAGCTCCCACTTATAAGTGAGAGCATGCGGTGCTTGTTTTTCTACTCCTGCATTAGTTTGCTGAGGATAATGGCTTCCAGTTCCATCCATGTCCCTGCAGAGGACATGATCTCGTATGCAAAAGGGAAGATACTGTTAAAGCATGTTTCTTTTCTTTTTTCTTTGACATTTTAAAAATTAACATGATTTCTGTCTAAATACTGGGTACTCATTATTAGAATAAGAGGACCTTCCAACAGCTGTGCAGGGGACATTCCATTGACACATTCTTAGTCTTTGACTCTCTTCTGTTAAGAATTCATACAGATTACTACCCTTCCATTCAAATCCATTTGCTAAATCATACTTTGCCCACCTGATAAGTCAAAGTTTGGAACTGTGTTCTTAAATGAATGAATGAATGAATTAAACATTATTCTTGGTGAAATTTGGGCAATATCTTTTGCTGTTTCTTAAAAAATGTTCTAGTTTTATCAGCATCTTTGAAAGTCTCAGACTTGAATGTTTCTATGGAAGGAGTTAGCTGCACCCATATTTCATAAGTTCTTCATAGTTTTAATATCAAATAATGAGGTATTATTGCTAATGTTGTCTGATGTTATAATAGCATTATTACTATATTAGTATTATTATTATTTTTTGAGACAGAGTCTTGCTCTGTCGCCAGGCTGGAGTGCAGTGGCATGATCTCAGTTCACTGCAGCCTCTGCCTCCTGGGTTCAAGTGATTCTCCAGCCTCAGCCTCCTGAGTAGCTGGGACTACAGGCATGCGCTACCACGCCTGGCTAAATTTTTTATTTTTAGTAGAGACGAGGTTTCACCATGTTGGCCAGGATGATCTCCATCTCTTGACCTCGTGATCCTCCTGCCTCAGCCTCCCAAAGTGCTGGAGTTACACCTGGCCACTATATTACTTTTTTAAAGGTTTTTTATGCCGGAGATACATATCGGAGTATTTTGGAGTGAAATGATATAATGTCAGGAATTTGCTTGATTACACTCCAGGTTTTCATGTACCGCCCACACAGCTAAGAAGCTAGAAAGTAAAAACATGAACTCTGTTGTTTAACCAAGCTCTGATTTCAAGTATTCTTACTTACTGTCTAAAGCAAAGGCTGTTAGCCAACCCACAAGACATTTCTAACCCAGTCTCCCTTGTTCCTTTCATGATAGAGGCTACAAAAGTTCTTTTCCAGTCTCCTTTGCAGTTAGGAGTAGCCAGATAATAATGGTTTTGACCAATAAGAAAAAGGCAGAAATTGGCTGTTGTCTCTTCAGATGTGACTGATACTCCCCCTTTTTCCATCTTCTCTGCCTTCAATGTGGATGTAACATGTGGAGCTGCAGCAACCATTTTGCAACCGTGAGGCAACAATTATGGGGAAAAGGCCAAGAGGGTTAAAGACACTGGCCCTCATGTCATCAAATTGCTAAGCCAGGCTGGGTACAGTGGCTCATGCCTGTAACCCCAGCACTTTGGGAGGCCGAGGTGGGTGGATCACTTGAGGCCAGGAGTTCAAGACCAGCCTGGCCAACAAGGTGAAACCCTGTCTCTACTAAAAATACAAAAATCAGCCAGATGTGGTGGTGCAGGCCTGTAGTCCCAGCTACTGGGGAGGCTAAGGCAGGAGAATTGCTTGAACCAGGGAGGTGGAGGTTACAGTGAGGCAAGATCGTGCCAATGCACTCCAGCCTGGGCAACAGAGTGAGATTCTGTCTTAAAATGTTGCTAAACCAATCCTAGCAGCCACTTATCTCCAAACTTTGTTTATGATATAAGACAAATAGCACTGATAATTCTCTCTTAGCTGGGTTTTCTGTTGCTTATAGAACACATCCTAACTGGTTAGTACTGCCAGATACAAGCTCAGAGCTTGAGTCCCCCCCCTTTTTTTTTTGTTCTGGAAAACTGAAAATTATATATTCTGTAATCTATCATCTTCCAATCCTAAGGCACAATATAATATATAGATTTACATTTCAAAGATTGATTTAAATGGTTACCCATGCTATAAGAATTTCATTTCTTAAAGTTTTACAAATGTTGCAGTCTATGGTAAAGTCTTGGGTTGCATACATTTGGTACTTTTTATAACTGAGCAAGACTTTGCTGTTGCTGTCTTTGTCTCTCCTACCTACCCCCACTGCATTTGTTAAAAGCCTTATTACATCACTCACAGGCACAATACAGACACCACTTCAGGGTCAATTTATGAAAATAAGAAGCAGCTCTCACACAAAATTTACTAAGAAAACTTTTATTTCAAACTAGTTTTCCTGGTACATTGTCATGAAAGTCTTTAGCTGGTTCCTCCCAGACTCCTTGGTCCCTGGAGTTTTCCTTCTTTGGCAGCTTTACCTTGGCTTGTAAGCTTGTCAATATTCATATCATATCAAATATTTATGCTGTAGAAAAGGAAGTTTCAAAAATAGGTAATATTATATAATAGCATGCAGTTCTAAGTTAAAATACTAAGCTAAAATGATTACATACATTTAAGGAATAAATACAAAATTTATATTAGTCTTGGGAACATCCTTAAAATAACTACCATCACTTTTGCCACAAAAAGTTTACTTATCAATAGCAACATCAATATCACCCTTCTGTGGGAACAGATGACCTGTAAATCCAATCCAATTTGACTTTATATTCTTTGAAATGCAAAATCTACTTTTCCAAAGAAAGAATGTTAGCAATGGGGGATTTATTTCATGGACAGCGCACCAAAGTCTCTTTTACTAAGAATGTACATGAACACTGATAGGAATAAGGGTAGTGATTATTAGAATTGTATCAATAATGATATTATTGACATTAATAGGATGTTGTAGGTAAAAATTATATCGGTGGCTAATCAGTTTTTGGTTTTGTTGACAAATGTAGTCCTGATATTGAGAGAAGATTCTGAGAAACTGTTCATGCTGACTCTCCTTTGTCTGCTTCAGAGGTTCTGCTCCATCAGCCCTGCAAGAAGCCCCACAGAGAAAATATTCACATAACTTGAGAGCTGCATGGTATGTTTTAAATAGTGTACAATATATATGTTCAATAGTTTTCCTAATTTTGAAAGTAATTTAAACTTTACAGAAACCTTGGAAGAAACAGATTACTAGTGAGATTTATTATTTCTTAATAAATATCTTCTTATTATTTTCTTAATAAATCTCACGAATAATTTCACTACGTAGAGAGAGTCATCAGTAACATCTCATAAAATTTCTATTCAGTCTTCATATACATATTTCAGATACTATTTTGTAGACTGCATTTTTTGCCACCCAATATGATATTATAAGCATTTACTCATTAAAAATTTTAAGACATGATTTTTGAAGTTGGATATTTTAGATGATATGTTGCAGTTTTTTACACACATTACAGTATATCATTTGCTTGTTTTCAGTTTTCCATTAGCATAAAATAATGTGGTGATACATATTTTTCTGCCTTGTTGATAATTTTCTGAGATCAAATGCCAGGTGGAAATACTGAGTCAAAATATGGGGATCATGATTTAGATTCCTGCAAGATCTGCAGAACCAATTAACACATCCACCAAAGTATATGCAATGCACCCTATCTCACCACACTGCTATTGATGCTATCATTAAAAATAGATAAATATTTGCCAACATATACTCAAAAAGGTATTTTATTGTTGCTTAAATGTGATTTTGAAGTGATTTGATTATTGGCAAGTTTGGATATTTTTATAGGTTCAAAAGATATTTGTTTTTGATCTTCTATGAATTGTCTGTTTATACCTTATATGTATATCTTATGTGAATCTGGAAATTACATTTAACTCTAGAGTATATTTTATCAGATCATGAAAAGTTATCTGAGTTTTACAAAGAAAATAAAACTAGAGTATCTCAGTCATCTCAAAATAGTAATCTTTGAATGAATGAATGGCACATCACATTATATGAATGTTCAATGCATTAAATATCCTTACATAAACACTGCATTTGTTTAAATATCACTTCTAATTAATTTAGCCAATGGATCTTACCTTTTCTTTCAAGTACAGTGTAAGTGCTTTCCATTCCAGCACCAATGTGCTCAAAAACATGGCAATAAAATAACCAGGTTCCAACATCTCTTCGATACATTTTTACAGTTCGATAGACCCCAGGAGGAAGGTCATAAACATCAGATTGATACACTCCCTAATTCTTAACAAGGAGATTAAACATCATTACATCGCTTATAAAAGATATCACTTACCACTTGCTATAATTCCCAAATTCTAATATACCTAATTAGGTGACAATTAGAAAGCATTAGGTGCTGGGCTGGGCACGGTGGCTTATGTCTGTAATCTGCTACTTGGGAGGCTGGGGTGGCAGGGGAGGATGACTTGAGCTCAGGAGTTCAAGACCAGCCTGAGCTCCTCATCTCTAAAAAAAAATATATTTTAAAAATTAGCCAGGCAGTAGTGTGTGCCAGTAGTCCCAGCTACCTGGGAGGCTGAGGTGGAAGGATTGCTTGAGCCCAGTTCAAGGCTGCAGTAAACTGTGATCATGCCACTGCACTCCAGTATTCCAGCCTGGGTGACAGAGCAAGATCCCATCTGAAAAGGGAAAGGAAAGGGAAGGGGAGGGGAAGGGAGTGGATGGCAAGAGAAAGGAGGGGAGGGGAGGGGAGGGGAGAGGAGGGAGAAGAAAAGGGAAGGGAAGAGGGAAAGGAAAGGAAATCATTAAGCTATTAAAGCTATTTTGTTCTCTTCTCTGAGTGCACTTGAGGCTTTGGAGGAGAACTAAGACCCAGGACATTCTGGTGTTAGATAGAATGCAAAGAAAATGTTTCACTCTACAAGGGTACCTGTAGTTTCGTATTGGTGTTAGAAACTTGCCAATGTCTCACACGACCGAGCGCTCTAGATTTCAGAGAACTTCTAGTCTCAAATCCCAAAGGTTCTAAGTGACATATTTCTAACTTGGGATGTTACGTTGATGTGACATAACATGTTGATGTGAAGGATTGTCATTTCTTGAGATACAGCTAATCAGAAAAACTCATTGTTACAGGAAAGAGAAGGGGAGAGGGAGGAGAAGGGAGGAGGAGCTCCCTTGGCATCTGCAGCCAAGTTTGCCTTCTGGAGATTGGGCCTGAGGGCTGAGGGCTGAGGGCACTTTTTAGCTAATTTCTCTCCTAAGCAGAGAACCCAATGTTTAGGAAACTACCTCTGTAGGCTGCTTAGAATTTTAGATATGAAGTCCTAGGGCCTAGTCCGGGTGGATTGGAAGAGACTAAAAGGAAGGTGAATTGCTCTACAAAATAAAATAGGAAGTATTTGCAGGATGGTGGTGGGGGTGGATTGGGGAACTGCAGCTCAAGAGTTCTGAATAATTTCAGGAGAGAAGGGATGTCAGAGAGTCTAGAGAGGAAAAATGTGGAGAAACAAGTCCTGAGGGTGAGAGTAAAAGGCAAACGAGCTAGAGGCTCTCAGTGATGCATGGTGAAAGGGTAATTGGGGGTGGGACATCTAATGTCAAATGGTAAGTGCTTTCTTTTTTTATTATTATTATTATTATACTTTAAGTTTTAGGGTACATGTGCACATTGTTCAGGTTAGTTACATATGTATACATGTGCCTTGCTGGTGCGCTGCACCCACTAACTCGTCATCTAGCATTAGGTATATCTCCCAATGTTATCCCTCCCCCCTCCTCCCACCCCACCACAGTCCCCAGAGTGTGATATTCCCCTTCCTGTGTCCATGTGATCTCATTGTTCAATTCCCACCTATCAGTGAGAATATGCGGTGTTTGGTTTTTTGTTCTTGCGATAGTTTACTGAGAATGATGCTTTCCAATTTCATCCATGTCCCTACAAAGGACATGAACTCATCATTTTTTATGGCTGCATAGTATTCCATGGTGTATATGTGCCACATTTTCTTAATCCAGTCTATCATTGTTGGGCATTTGGGTTGTAAACTAGTTCAACCATTGTGGAAGTCAGTGTGGCGATTCCTCAGGGATCTAGAACTAGAAATACCATTTGACCCAGCCATCCCATTACTGGGTATATACCCAAAGAACTCTAAATCATGCTGCTATAAAGACACATGCACACGTATGTTTATTGAGGCATTATTCACAATAGCAAAGACTTGGAACCAACCCAAATGCCCAACAATGGTAAGTGCTTTCATTATGTAGTACTGAAAAAAAAACTTCGTTTATCCCCACTCTTTCACTAAAAGTCTGTAACTCACAATGGCCTTGATTTTGTGGTTGCTTAAGAGTACCAAAGGAAATGGGATGTGCTCCATGTTTGGAATTGCACACAGTTATGAAAAAACACCAGCTATAGGAGTTGAGAGGCAAGGGAGATGAGCAGAAGCAGGAAGTTAGAGTTGGGGTGAATAGAAGACATTTAAGCTCTCAAGACTCCCTGCAGATATCGGAAGGCAGACAGGAGGAAGACTGAGCTGTTTCTTACTAGAGACAGAGTTGGAGCTCAAGCCATTGTTATTTAGGAACATTAATTTTACAACTAAAGTGAAAATAATACAGATGACATAGGATACAGTTTTTGGACGTCAGAAAAACGTAGAGAACAGCATGAAAAAAATTTAACCACAAATTGACGATGTCCAAAGCACCAGTAAATGTGGAAAATATACCTAGAGCCCTGGCACCCAGGAAGACTGTAGCTTTAGGGAACAAGCTGTGACTGGCTGGCTTGTCCCAGAACTAGGTTAGTAACCACAGAGGGCTGCTTCACTGCCCCCAGGAGTTTCAGGGAGTGAAGCCCAGTGTCTGCATAGATGCTGGTGGGATAACATTCTGCCTCAAGGTGGGAGGCTAGATATCTCCTGCAATGCGTTTAGAGTGAGTGGTTAAAGCTGAGAGCCGGTGATACTAGGCTCTGTGGTATAAATAGGATTATACTTAAGGGAGGCGGTTTTGTGAAGCACTAAAGAGTTCAGACTCTAGAGTGAGAGCCAGGGTTTAAATCCAACTTCTATCACTTCCTGCCTGTAGGAAAGTTCCTTATTTTGTTAATGCTTCATATAATTTCCCTGCAATTATCCCTGAAAAACAGCTCTGATTTCCTTTCAGCTCCATGCAACACTTAGCATGGTTCTAGGCATGTTAGAGGCATTTGCTGGACTGAACTGTTATATTTGACAACATCAGATAAACTGTAAAACATGATGACCAGATTTTGGCCCATTTTTTTTTTTTTTTGACAGAATCTCGCTCTATCACCCAGGCTAGAGTGCAGTGGCGTGATCTTGGCTCACTGCAACTTCCACCTCCTGGGTTTAAGCGATTTTCCTGCCTCAGCCTCCCAAGTAGTTGGGACTACAGGTACCTGCCACCATGCCTGGCTAATTTTTTGTATTTTTAGTAGAGATGGGGTTTCACTGTGTTAGCCAGGATGGTCTTGATATCCTGACCTTGTGATCTGCCTGCCTTGGCCTCCCAAAGTGCTGGGATCACAGGAGTGAGCCACCGCGCCTGGCCCTCTTTTGGCTCAATTTTAAAAGTCTTTAATACAAACAGTTATGAAGTGAATAACCCTAATATGTAGGCTTTTGCTTTAAAAAAAATGGGGAGTGTAGATGAAAGTGTAGTGGGGTCACAGTGGTTAGATTTGGGTAATAGGGGTTTGTTACATTATTCTGTTTATTATATAAAATTCTCAATAATAAAGAGTTTTTATGCCAAAAAATAAATTTAACAGGAATAAATTTGTTCATTAAATGGTGGGAAATAAAGCAGCACACCAATAAGGCTCTGTGAAAACCAAGAGGTGCATGCTTATATAATTTATTTCTACAATGGACACTGCATTAAAGAAGGTATTAACATAATACATCTGGAATTCAGGAAAGCTTTATCTGAAACTTTTATCCATGTGGAAAAGGTGAACTGTACTAATGCCTAGTGGTTGGATTAAATGTCTAAGGTGTGAAACACAGAGAATATAATTGATCCTAAATTATACATTAATGTTTATATAAGGAATTAGGATGAAGAAACAAAAAGCTCTTTAAATAAACATTAATGAATGATACAAACTTGGAAACTGAAAGAGGAAGGATAAAATTTAAAATACTTATCATAAAGAAATGAGTCAAAAGTGGTCATGATAACAATTGTAAAGAAGTATGGGGGAGGGGCCAAGATGGCCGATTAGAAGCAGCTGTAGTCTGCAGCACTCATGGAGAGGAATGAAAGAAACACGTGAATTCAGCAACTTCAACTGAAATATCCAGGTTCTCACATTGGGACTGACTAGGCAAACCACTAGGATCCGTGGAAAATGAAGAAAAGCAGGGTGTGGCTACAGCCCATGTGGGAGTGGCATGGAGCCAAAGGAACTCCCAACCCCAGCTAAAGAAAGCGGTGAGTGATTGTGTGACCCCACCCAGGAAACCATGCTTCTCCCATGGATCTTTGCAACCTGAGGATTAGGAGATCCCCTCATGAGCCCATGCCACCAGGGCCTTGGGCACCATACACAAAGCTGTATGGACTCAGCAGAGCAGCCGTGGAGTCACACACTGAGACCCAGAAGTTTTACATACTCCGGCCCCAGGAATCCTGGCAAGTCAGGAGATCCATCCATGCATTCCCCTAGAAAGGGGGCTGAATCCAAGGAGCCAAGCAGCATTGTTCTGCAAGCCCCACTTCCACGACACCTCACAAGTTAAGACCCACTGGCTTGGAATTCCAGCCAGCCAATGGCAACAGGTTGGAAACTGCCTGAGACAGCACAAAATTCCTGGGGGGAAGGACAGCCACCATCTCTGTGGTTCAGTCAACTCAGCTGTTTCAGCCTGCCAGCTCTGGAAAGCACAGGCAGTCCAGATGAGGAGGGGTCCCCTACAACACAGCACAGTTGCTGTGCCAGATCATGTATGGCCAGACTGCTTCTTTAAGTGGAACCCTGATCCATTCCTCCTGCTGGGCAAGGCCTCCCTGCTGGGGTTTCAGCAACTCTAGCTGGGGTTATACAGACAGAACTCTGATCTCTCCCTGAGGCAGAACTCCCAGGAAAAGGGGCAGCTGCCATCTCTGCAGTTCAGTCGACTCAGCTATTCCACCCTGCTGGCTCTGAAGAGTTCAGGAAGGGTCCCCTGCAATGCAGCACTCCTGCCCTACCAAAAAGGAGCCAGACTACTGCTTTTATGAGGTCCCTGATCCTGTTCCTCCTGGCTGGGCAAGACCTCCCAACAGGGGTCTCCAGACACCTCCTACAGGAGCATTCGGGCCAGCAACAGGTGTAGTACCCCTCTGAGATGGAGCTTCCAAAGGAAGTATCAGGTTGCCATCTTTGCTGTTTTGCAGCCTTCACGGCTGATACCTCCAGGTACAGGAAAAACTAAGGCAACTAGGGTCTGGAGCAGACCCCCAGCAAACCACAGCAGCCCTATGGAAAAGTGGCCCGACTGTTAAAAATAAACAAACAGAAAACAACAACAACAAGAGACCCCTTGAAAGCCCCATTCAAAGGTCAGCAACCTCAAAGATCAAAGGTAAATAAGCCCACAAAGATAAGAAAAAAATCAATATGAAAATGCTGAACACTCAAAAAGCCAGAGTGCCTCTTCTACTCCAAATGACAACAACACCTCTCCAGAAAGGGCACAGAACTGGGCTGAGGCTGAGATGGCTGAATTGACAAAAGTAGGCTTCAGAAGGTGGGTAATAACAAACTTCACTGAGCTAAAGGTGCATGTTGTAACCCAATGCAAAGAAGCTAAGAATCATGATAAGAATCATGATAAAATACAGGAGCTGATAACCAGAATAGCCAGTTTAGAGAGGAACATAACTGACCTGATGGAGCTGAAAAACAACACGAGAACTTCACAATGCAATCACAAGTAACAATAGCAGAATAGACCGAGTGGAGGAAAGAATCTCAGAGCTTGAAGACTATCTTTCTGAAATAAGACAGGCAGACAAGAAGACAGAAAAAAGAATAAAAAGGAATGAACAAAACTTTTGAGAAATATGGGATTATGTAAAAAGACTGAACCTATGACTGATTGGGGTACCTGAAAGAGATGGGGAGAATGGAAACAAATTGGAAAACATACTTCAGGATATCATCCAGGAGAAGTTCCCCAACCTAGCAAGACATGCCAACATTCAAATTCTGGAAATGCAGAGAACCCCAGTAAGATACTCCATGAGAAGATCAACCCCAAGGCACATAATCATCAAATTCTCCAAGATTGAAATGAAAGAAAAAATGTTAAGGGCAGCTAGGGACAAAGGCCAGGTCACCTACAAAGGGAAGCCCGTCAGACTAACAGTGGACTTCTCAGTGGAAACCCTACAAGCCAGAAGAGATTGGGGGCCAATATTCAACATTCTTAAAGAAAAGAATTTCCAACCCAGAATTTCATATCTGGCCAAACTAAGCTTCTTCGTAAGTGAAGGAAAAATAAGATTATTTTCGGACAAGCAAATGCAGAAGGAATTTGTCACCATCATCCTGCTTTGCAAGAGCTCCTGAAGGAAGCACTAAATATGGAAAGACAAAAACATTACCAGCTACTATAAAAACACAGTGAAGTACAGGGACCAGTGACACTATGAAGCAACCATATAGTGGCTTATGAAGCAGCCACATAAACAAGTCTGCAAAATAACCAGCTAGCATTATGATGACAGGATCAAATTCACACATAACAATACTAATCTTAAATGTAGATGGGCTAAATGGCCCAGTTAAGAGACACAGAATAGCAAGCTCAATAAAGAACCGCTACCCATCCGTATGTTGTCTTCAAGAGACCCATCTCACATGCAGTGACACCCATAGGCTTGAGATAAAAGGATGGAGGAAAATTTACCAAGCAAATGGAAAACATAAAAAAGCAATCCTAGTTTCTGACAAAACAGATTTTAAACCAGCAAAGATAAAAAAAGACAAAGAAGGGGATTACATAATAGTAAAAGGTTCAATTCAACAAGAAGCACTAACTATCCTAAATACATTTGCACCCAATACAGAGCACCCAGATTCATCATGCAAGTTCTCAGAGACCTACAAAAAGACTTAGACTTCCACACAATAATAGTGGGAGACTTTAACAACCCCTCCTGACAATGTTAGACAGACCATCAAGACAGAAACTTAACAAAGATATTCAGGACCTGAACTCAGCTCTGGATCAAGTGGACCTGATAGATATCTGCAGAACTCTCCACCCAACAAGAAAAGAATATTCATTCTTCTCATCGCCACATGATACTTACTCTAAAATTGATCACATAATCAGAAGTAAAACACTCCTTAGCAAAGGCAAAAATAATTAAAACCACAATAAACAGTCACTCAGACCACAGCACAATCAAATTAGAAATACATTTTAAGAAATTCATTCAAAACCGGCCGGGTGCAGTGGCTCACGCCTGTAATCCCAGCACTTTGGGAGGCTGAGGCAGGCAGATCACGAGGTCAGGAGATCGACACCATCCTGGCTAACACAGTGAAATCCCGTCTCTACTAAAAATACAAAAATTTAGCTGGGCATGGTGGCGGGCGCCTGTAGTCCCAGCTACTCGAGAGGCTGAGGCAGGAGAATGGCATGAACCCAGGAGGCAGAGCTTGCAGTGAGCCAAGATCGCACCATTGCACTCTACCCTGGGTGACAGAATGAGACTCTGTCTCAAAAAAAAAAAATGAAATTCACTCAAAACCACACAACTACATGGAAATTGAACAACCTGCTCCTGAATGACTCCTAGGTAAATAATGAAATGAAGGCAGAAATCAATAAATTCTTTGAAACTAATGAGAACAAAGAGACAGTGTACCAGAATATCTGGGATATACAGAAAGGTCCCAGTCAATGTAGAAGTTTATTTTGCCAAGCTTAAGGACATGCCCATGATACAGTCTCAGGAAGTCCTGAAAACTTGTTCCTAAGGTGGTTGGGCTACAGCTTGGTTTTTGTATGTTTTAGGGAGAAATAGGACATCAATTCATACACATAAGATGTACACTGGTTCAGTCTGGAAAGGTGGGACAACTGGAGGAGGTGAGGCTTCCAGGTCATAGGTAGATTCAAAGATTTCCTGATTGGCAATTGATTGAAAGAGTTTATTTAAAGACCTGTAATCAATAGAAGGGAATGTCTGGGTTAAGATAAGGGGTTGTGGAGACCAAGGTTTGCATAGTGCAGATGAAGCCTCCACCTAGCAGGCTTCAGAGAGAATAGATTGTAAATGTTTCTTATCAGATTTAAAAAGTGTCAGGCTGGGAGTGGTGGCTCACACCTGTAATCCTAGCACTTTGGGAGGCTGAGGTGGGCAGATTATGAGGTCAGGAGATTAAGAACATCCTGGCTAACATGGTGAAACCCCGTCTCTACTAAAAATACAAAAAATTACCCAGGTGTGGTGGCAGGCACCTGTAGTCCCAGCTACTTGGGAGGCTGAGGCAGGAGAATGGCATGAACCCTGGAGGCAGAGCTTGCAGTGAGCCGAGATCGTGCCACTGCACTCCAGCCTGGGTGACAGAGCGAGGCTCTGTTTCAAAAAAAGAAAAAAAAAAAAGTGCTAGACTCTTTTAAGTTCATTCTCTCCTGGATCAGGAAAAAGACCTGGAAAGGGAAGAGGATTCTCTACAGAATGCAGATTTTCCCCATAAGATTTAGATTTGCAGGGCCATTTCAAAAAATGTCAAATAAATATATTTTGGGATAAAATACTTTGATTTCCTTTAGGGCCTGCTATCTGCCATGCTGGTATCTTATTACTACAAACAGTCTGTTCTATCAGTCCTAAGGTCTTCATTTTAATGTTAATGCTGGTCAGCTGTGCCTGAATTCCAAAGGGTGGAGAGTATAATGAGGCATATCCAACCCTCACTTCCCATCATGGCCTGAATTAGTTTTTCAGGTTAACTTAGGAATGCACTTGGTCTAGAGGGGACTTAGAATTTTATTCAATTTTTCAATTGTTTGGGGAGCTTAGAATTTTATTTTTGGTTTACAATGAGGATTGGTCACCAGAAAGACCAGGGCAGGATTAGAGGATTGGGACTTTCAGCCCCATCCCCTAACCTCTGGGGAGGAAAGAGAGGCCGAAGGCTAAGTTGATCACCAATGGCCAATCATCCAATCAATCATGCCTATGTAATGAACCCTCCATAAAAACCCAAATGGACAGGATTCAGAGATGCTCCAGATAGCCAAATGTGGTTCCTGGAGGGTAGCTCACCTGGAGAGGGGATGGAAGCTCCATGTGATTCTCCCATACCTTACCCTAGCATCTCTTCATCTGGTATTCATTAATACACTTTCTAATATCCTTTTTGATAAACCAGTGAATGTAAGCCAGTGTTTCCCTTCATTCTATAAGTCATTCTAGGGAATTAATTGAATTCAAGGAGGGGGTCATAGGAATCCCAATTTATAGCCTGCTGCACAGAAGCATATGAAAACAACCTGGAGTTTGTGATTGGCATTGGAAGTGGGGGGCAGCCTTTTAGAACTGAGCTCTCAACCTGTGGGATCTGACACTGTATCCAGGTAGATAGTGTCAAAATTGAATTGGAGGACACCTAGCTGGTGTCCAATGCAGAATTGATTGATTGGTTGTGGATAGAGGGAAATCTCCACACATTTATTTGTGACCAGAGATCAAAGAAGTCTTCTGTGTAACTGATTGTGAGTGAGAGAACCGGAAAATCACTTTGATATGGTTTTTATTCCTATATTCTCAGAATCACCTTAATCAAGTTCTCAAACTTAGCCTCAGCAATATGAGGACCTATTGCCATCATGTACCTCTTGATGCAATGTGTGGGGAGCATACAACATCACCTTTGTGGTGTTCTTGGCAAATTTGTTAAACATGGATCCAATCATGAGGAAACTATCAGGCCAATGCAGAATATGGAACATTCTACAAAACAACTGGCCTGGACCCTTCAAAAATGAAATGTTATGAGGGAGGAATTTTTTTTAAAGGCAAAGGGATCTCTTCAGATTTTAGGAAAGCTATGGCAATGGCAACCACATGCTATGTATGCATCTTGATCAGATCCTAGATTTAAAAAAAAAAACAGCTATAGGGAGCATTTTTAGGACAACTTGGGATATTTGAATGGATTGTACATTAGACTATATTATTGAATTAATGTTAATTTGGGGGCGTGATAATTTTATTGTAGTTGGGGTGGAGACTGTCCGTATTCTTAGGGATGTTTCCGTATTTAGGGGTAAAGAGTCATAATGTTTGCAATGCACTTTGAATTGCATTCAGAAAAAAACATGGAAGAGAAAGCTAATGTGGCAAAATGCATATGAGCATTCAGAGTATTTTTCTTTATGTTACTGAGGGCATGAAAAAATTTTTTTAAGTTGAGATAGAAAGTACAAAACTAGAAATGACTATAAATGTCTTATTTACCTATTAACTAACAATAAATTAGAGTGAGAAATGCACTTCATTCTTTGGTCGGCATTTATCAAATGTCCACGGGATATAAAGAGCTAAATTATAATTATTTACTTGCACCTGATATATTATAGATGATATGGATCAAATTTCTGACTTGGTCATTTTCTTTCCAGCCCTGTTATCTTGCCATGCTACCTGATAACTGGTTTACAAGACATCACAGGATATGGACTGTAGAAGGCTCTTACCTTGTATTCAAAGCTATGGCCATGAAAGTGAACTGTGTGCAGGTCAGCTTCATTCCCTATGCCAATCAGATACCAATTCACTACATCCCCAACATGGAATGTTATACCTTGGTTATTTCCAAACAGTCTTCCGTTAATTGCTGTGGGAGTCAGGGAAAGGCACAGTTTATTATATTCAACAAGGATTTAAAATAATGTGGGCTTTTAAAAAATCACCACTTTAAAAAAGTATTATCATCCCTATAGAAAATATCATGGATGTTTTCAGAAGCAGTGGGGATTTTAAAGCCAGACTAAGGAAGTTGTTAAATGTGACCAAGCCATCCATTCATGGATGTGTCTAATTCTAAGGAGTTTTTCTTGCCCAAGGAAATGAGGCACTGACTTTGTGTTAACACAATCAGGTTGGATTTGACTATTTCACAACTAAGCATACTTATATTGGTGAATTGTGTATTTAAAATTATCACAAGAGACTTAGAATATTAGGAATGGCCAGGCATGGTGGTTCATGATTGTAATCTTAGCACATTGGGAGGCTGAGGCGGGAGGATCACTTGAGTTCAGGAGTTCGAGAACAGCCTGGGCAACATAGTGAGACCCTGTCTCCATAAAAGACAAAGAAGAATATTAGGAATGTGCATTCTTATTTAACTGCCCTAAGTCAAACCTTTGTGATCTGCCACTTGTATGTCTGGAATGGCCATTTGTGAGGTCCAGGCCCCCTCTTGTCCTCTACAGGTGTGGTTTCCAAAGGGTAATGTAAATAAAATATGAAGATTTTATATATATATATATATATATATACACACACATACATACACACACACACATACACACACACACATATCCTCTTTTTACTTTGCCGTTTTTGTGCATCTTTAAAATGTATAAAATGCATTGGTACAGTGGTGCAAGTATATAATCTATAACTATATAACTATATATCTATGGAGGCTGAGTTCTAATGCTTTCAGCTGATGGAGGGATGTAATAGAAGAAACTAGAAGACACTGCTCTAGACTAGTGCTTCTCACACTTTAATGTGAATATGGCCTGGGGATTTTGTTAGAATTCAGATTCTGACTTAGGTCTTTGAAGCCTGAAATTCTGCATTTCTAACAAGCTCCCAAGTGATGCTGATGCTGCTGGTCCTTGGGCCATACTTGGAGTACAAGTGCCCAGATGAGTGCCAGAGTTATTCCTAAAATCTATCCCCCCACGCCCTAGCTCAGTGTACTTGGTGCTTTAGTACAGTGGTTCTCTACAGGAGGTGATTTTGTTCCCCAGGGGTCATTTGGCAATGCCTAGAAATATTTTTGGTTGTCATAACTTGTGGGGAGATGCTACTGGCATCTAGTAGGTGGAGGATATAGATGTCGACAAACATCTACAATGCACTGGATAGCTCCATACAACAAAGAGTTATCTAACCTAAAAGGTCAGGAAGTTAAGAAACCCTGGTTTAGATCAAGTCTAAATTCTTAACAAGGTGTTTGAGGTCTTCCACAATTCTGTTGGCTCTTTCTTCCCAAGTGCTATGTGACTTAGATCACATTCTTCCATCTACTTGGAGTGTCATTTCCCTCCTTTTCTAACTGGACAGACTCCTATGAAACCTTAAAAAATCAACTTGAATGTCTCTTCCCTATCATGAAGCCTTTCCAAATCTTCCAAATAGGAATTTAAAGCACTGCGCTGTGTTTAAATTTCCGTGACAGCATCCCACCCCGCGTCATCCTCCTTGGATTGCAGCAATGCGCAAGTCTGGCGTCCCTTAGACTGTAAACAACATGAGGGCAGATGACCCATATTATGGGCCTTTGTATCTCTTTAGGGCCTCGCAAGGTGCTTTGTGCCCTCTATGACACTTATTAAAAAGACTATTGGTAAAATGGATGTCACCCTTGAATTAACTTTAAATTTACATATATTTCTAAAAAAGAGAAAAAACAACCTTAGAAGTGGGAGATTACTATATTTGAATTTGCCTTAGTTAAGGATCTTTTACCCAGTCATATCTCTGACCCCTCTCAGCTGAGCAGCTTAAGATGAGAAGTTTCCCTGGCTAAGAAAGTAAGTGAGATTGTTTATGTGCTTTCTATTGGAATAATTGTCTTGTTACTGTGATTCTAGAGTGGGGGAGGTCATCTAGATGTAAATAGATGCACCTAGTCACAGTCAACCTATAAAATAATTTTGGTTGATGAGCATGAAGTTTTCAAAAGTTCTGCCTGTGAAGGTAATGTGATGGGGAAGTGTGGGTGGGGCCATGTTCACTTTGGTTTGCCCCAAGCCCCACCTCTGTCTGTGTTCATCCAAGCAAAATACTTAGAAAATTATGGTAGTAAGTTCCTCCTGAAATGACAGCTGATGTTCCTATTTTTACATTGTCTACATAGCTCTAGAAAGCATGAGAATTTGCTGTGCTTGCTAAATCAGTAGTCTGTGGCATATGGGCAAGGTCCAGCACACTGCCTCTGTTACTGCAGCCCATGAGCTAAGAATGGTTTTAAAATTTCTAAATAGTTGAAAAAAAATTTAATAATATTATTTCTTGACATGTTTTATGAGATACAAATTTCAGCATCCATAAATGAAGTTTTTGGCTCTCAGCCACTTTCATTTGTTTTCCTATTGTCTGTGACCACTTTCATTCTACAGTGGCAGAGTAGAGTATGGCTTATGATAGAGACCATGTGGCCTGCAAGCCTAACTTCTTTACTATCTGGCCCTTTGCAGAAAAAATTTGCTGACCCCTGGTCTACATGATCCATACCAGTTATATGTAGTTGAATTCTATAAACAGTGTGGAGCGAGGCCCTTTCATCTGTTTCATTTGTGCAGAGCAACCTGTGGGTTACCATTGGTGAGTCAGTGAGTGAATGTTACCGTGCATTTGGTTGCTGAGTTGAAAATTATCATTTTCCTTGTCCACTTTGTTTGGTTTTGAAGCATAGGTGTTGATACTGTCTTCGAAGTACCAGGATTCATTCTCATCAAATATCATGAAGTGGAGAACACGGTGAACTATGTTGGGGTTGATGTCTTTGCGGCATACAGAGAGAGGGCCTACCAGTCCACTGTGAAGGTCCTGAGGAGGCAAAGCAAGATCGTTCACTGTGGCCACAACTAACATTTTCCCCCACAAAATAAAAGAGGTAGAATCCGGTTTTAGTTTTTAATGAGGTCAAATCCTGAGTTTTTAATTATCAGGATTCTGAGAGTGAAGAACAAAATATTTGACATGCTCAATGTTTGATTGAAGAAAAATTGTAACCTCATTCATTAGAGTTGAAGTCTAAAGAGAACACCAAACCTCTGAAAGGGATTTTAGATACATTTTTCAGTGGATTTAGCTCTATTTTTGACATTTTAATAAAAAAAGAATTTTGGTTTTAATTAGAATTCCTGGCATTGAAGTTGGTTGGCAGGAAGTCTAAAGGAGTTAGTCCCTTCACCTTTGTGCTTTTGCCCCTGCAGCAGCTTTTAGTTGAGAGTCTTGGTTTGTTTGTCTTCATTTTGTTTTTGAATTAAATCTCTGTGTAGATTCTTGTTCCAGGCAGAGTGGGCCAAGATAAGAGTTCAAATAGAATACTTGCACTGTTTTTTTTTTTTTTTAGTGCAAATAAACTTGAACCCTATAGTTGAGGGTTTTAAATATAAACACACACACACATACACCCCCCTACACACACAATATGTATATATATATTTCTTATTAATCATAGAATTATACCATTCTTTATTTATGATTACTATTGTTACTATTATTATTATTTAGAGACCAAGTTTTGCTGTGTCACCTAGGCAATGGAGTGACCATAGCTCAGCATAATCTTGAACTCCTGGACTCAAGCAATCCTCCTACCTCAGCCTCCCGTAGCTAGGACTACAGGCATGTGCCACTGCGCCTGGCTAATTTTAAAATTTTTTGTATAGACATCAGCCACCACATCCAACTGAATTTTAAAATTCTTTAGTGTATGTTGTTTTCTGTAATTCGAATACTATTCAGTGGAACAAAGTATAGTCTATTATTGTATAATTAGATATATTTTTCAATTCACAGTGAGATTATGCAAAGAATTATAAGCCTAAGTAATCATGAGGTAATAGTTTATTTTGCTCTTGAAAAATGCAGACCAATGTAGGAATAAAAGCTGAACAGTAATTAAGTTACTTAATAGAAAGTTTACATGGAACTAAGGTTCTTAAGAGCAATGATAAATACCTTCTTCCTTCCGTTATAATTTCTGGGAGGAGATAGGATAAGAACTGTTATTTGATTTAAAATTTACCTTAGCCACAGATACAGTTGAATAGTAAAACCAAGGTATGCATTCAAAGTCCAGTGAGGTAGGACCAGTTCTATCAGGTATCTGCCAAGTATATATTTGAATCTCTCCTGAAATAGACAAATGAAGTGTATTTAAATAGAGCTTTTAAAATCAGACTTCTTTACGGAGAACCAGACAATGAGCAAACACTAAAGCTATAAAAATAGTAGGCAGCATAGTCCTAGCTTTCACTTCTGGTTTCACTTCTTGCTTTGTGATCTTAGTCAATGTGGCAATTACTCAATGTGACAAAGCCTTGAATCCCTGCTCTGAACATTCCAATGTGTGGATCACATGTACCTCCTCCCTGCCCTCAAGGCTGTGCATATTAGTCCTATTGGATCTTAATTCTATATTCTATATTGCAGTGAAGTTCTTTTGCTCCCTCCCCACCGTAATTCTGTATCTCCCACTTCCACAGATCCATGGGAGTTATAGTCCTATGACATTAACCAACCCCACCTCCAGCTCCCAAATCTGTAACAATCTACTTAGCACTAACCCTTGCCTTCCAGTACATCACACAATGCCTGGCATACAGCAGGTAGAGTACTCAGAAGTGTTTGTGGAATGCATGTAGTAGATCCTTTCTTAACTAATCAGAGCAGTGGACTGACTTGCAAACTCCCTTGATATGAGACTTAACAGACCACAGGACTGCTTTTAAAAACAAAAAGAAACATTTCGCCCACCATCAAAGTCTATTGTCAGTCCCTCTGCTTTACAAATCTTTTCTTTCTGAATTTGGCTTTCATTGATACTCTTAATTTCCAAAACTACTTGTTTTGGTGAGCAACTATAGTGGACATTCTGATGCCACCCCTAGATTCCCAATCAAGAATGAAGAACATTTCACTCCAGCAGGCGTCAGCCTCCTTTAGAGAGAGCCTTGGCTGAAGAAAGCTACCTTGCTCAAGATTGCATCTAATGACTGCTTCAGGGACATAACAGCCCAGCTCTCTCACTCCAGCTTAGGAAAGCTGAAGGTCACCCTATCTTCAGAACTGTGTTGGCTGTGACTTCTGTTGAGGCTGCATCTCTGCTTAACCTCACTCCCTGTCCAATCCTACTCATTTCTCATTCTTTCCATATTAGTTGATTCCAAGAGCACTATCTACACACAAATCCTCATATCACAGTCTGCTTACTGGGCATTTTTAAGTAAAATATATTAATGTTCTTCTGAGTTAATTATGTTGAATGGCATGCTGTATAGCAGTGATTCCATTCCACGGAAATGTTAATACATGGGGTCCATCATTTCCTCTTATTGGCTCAATCCTCCCCCACTTTCTCACATATTGCATCTTGTACTCAACTCCTACTTTAGCACTTTAGTTGGAGAGATTGTATATAGTATAAGAATACCTGGCAGCTGGACAGGTACAGCGGTGGGAGGGAGGGTGGACCTAGAGGAGAAATTCATACACTGGGGAGGTAGGCCCTGAAGACCAAACCTTCACTTCACAGTTTTGCTCATGGTGCCCCAGCCTGGAAGTAAACTTGACTTGCAGAAGGAACTCCCCCGCCAAATGCTTTCTTCAGGCTCATCTTACTAGTCCACTCGTCTCTCTCATCTGGAACTGCACCCATATATTTAAAAGAACATTAGCCTCGTAGTCCTGCATAAAAGCTTTGGGGATTATTTTTCTCCCAAAGTAGTTACCTGGCTGAGTTGGAACAACAGTGGAATTATTTGTTTTCACTCCATGAGCATGAATAGAATACGGTCTTGCGGCTTTATTTTTAAAGATAATTTGAATTATTTGACCAGGGTTGAGCAATATTAATGGACCTAGGGAATATAAAAAGAAATATGTCTGAGTAATTGTTATTTATTTTAAATTATGAGTCATCTCTCTTCTTATTTACACAGTGACTTATTCTTATCCTTTTACTTAACATGCAGCCAAATGAAATAAAAACATTTAACAAGTAGATCATTGCTGATTTATGAAACATGATTTTTGCCTGAAATTTTTAAATCATTTAGAATTTTATGAGTTTTTTTTTTTTTTTTTTTGCCAGAAAACTTATTTTAATGAACAACGGTTTATGCCTAGGAAAACATACAATTTAAAAATGAAACCCTTTCTTTTCTTTCTTGACCAATCTCAACTTTCAAGCCTTTTATTCCCTTGCTCCTTATTCTACTGGAGGATTGCAAGGAGCTGCAAGGCCTGTTTATTGACCCAAAGTGATTTTCTCTCTTACAGACTAAAAACCTTCATTTTACTCTCTCTCCCTTTCATCCTAAGCCAGAAACTACAGGTATAAAATTCATTTTAAATCTTCTTTCTATTTGGAAGCAGGTTGAATTAGTGGCTCTGAAAAATTCTGAAACACAGGTGGTTTTGAGATGAGATAAGCAGCAAGAACTTTCTGCAAACTTGTGCTACAATTACTAAAATTAGAGCCCTGAAGATGCCTGCTGGAGGCTAAATGCTAGCTAAAGACAGGGCCTCTTTGCTCCCTGTGACCATTTCACCTCCCCAAACAATATGCATGGTTTTTCTTTTTAATAAAGTGTTTTCCTTTTTGCGTAAATAATAATAGAACCTTGAGGGTCAGATTGCGTTATTTATCTTCATGCATTCAGCCACAATCCTAGAGAAAACAAACATCCTGTGGTTACTAAAGATAGGGGCCCACTCAAAAGCAGCAGCAACAGGATAGCACAGGCTTCCCTCCAGGGCTCACAAAGAGACAAGCTCTAGAGGCTGACGGAGAGCAAAAAAGAGCAAAAATTCCTCTTCATCAGCATGTAAATCCATCTCCTCAGGATCCCACATCATAAAATAACCTCTAATATACACATAGATATTAAGACTGAAACAGGAGTTGGGCGTGTGGAAATGTCGCATGTGGGCACCTGGGATGACTCAGAGGTTTCCTACTTGATCTATCAAGGGTGGAAGAAAGAGTTGTACTTTTCCTCACTCAGACAGAAGACACTTAAATTTACATAAAGAAGTTCCTTTCCTCACTATACTAGGGTCCCCTGGGCTTTGTTTTAATTGTATTGAAATGATCCCTGCACGCTACTTCTAAACTCCTTTCTAGAATTTTTTAATTCTGAGAGCAAGAATCCAGGTAATCTGAAACTGAGCACATTACTTTTCTACATTCTCCTTATTTTTTAGGAAACAACACTTGAATCATTTTTTCCCCCAATGAAAATGCCTATCAGCAAACAAACCAGAATTACAGGTACTTTCCTCTGTTGAAGTAGAGGTTGACAATGGCCTCCATGTGTACAACAATCTCTAATGGCTGAGGACAAGAAAAACTCGAAAACCAATCTTATGGCATACCAATACCTAGTATATCGAGATGTTTTTCACCTTCATTCCTTTTTGTTTGATTTGTGAACGTGTTATCATCATATTGACGATATAAGACTTTCTTGTATTTGGACCCAAGAAGTGTTCCACTTCTGTCCACATACATGCTCGTTTGGCTTTAAGAAAATAAAAACAAAAACAAAAAAACCCCACAAAGTTAGTTAATTTAACCATTAATTTAGACAAAGAACTCATATGGAAGAACTTCTTATATCTAGAAGCTGTTTTACCTAAAAATGTAAGTCATCTTTTTAAAAATATATATTAATTCTAGCAAGATAGGTAGATATTCATTCTACATTTCAAAGCTTATTTTCAGGATAAAATTTAGTTTTTATAAATAAATATACAGTAAGAGAGAAAACCAGAGAGAGAAATCAAATTGTACAAAAAGAGAAAAACAGGTGTCTTTAATTTGAAGTTCTCAGAAGAATAGAGGTAGAAGAAAATGAAGACAAAAGAAACACCTGACTGTAGATACTGAATGTAGCTGAAGTTATGTCACTATTCCTGTGGTGAGATCAGACAGTAACATATGTCCAGGAAGGATGCAAGAAGTGAAAACTCAGGCAGGAAGAAATAAAGCCCATAAGTAAGTTATATAGATATTTAGAAAGATTTGAAGCCCTTTGCAATTGAATATGTCACACACACACACACACACAAATTTTGAAGTGATTTATAATGGAGAATATCCTAAACACACAAATACCACATCCACATATCCATTATGCACACGTACACCATAACAAACACAAATAAATATACCACACACACCCACCATACCAAACACAAATAAATACAACACACACACAGACACAGACACACACAGAGAGACTGAAAGGAAAGAGAGGAAGACTCAGAAAGAACCCTTAGAACCCTTCCCATTTAGAGACTGGAGCTATCATGGTACTTCTCTCTTCGTAAGTGGTGGAGTTCATTCTCCCACTTTCTACTAGGAGAATAATCCCATTCCATTTCCTCGGCTGCAATGGTAATAATTATTTTCTCCTCCTGGTATTGTGTTTGATCAGGGTTTGGCTTCCCACATTGCCTCACGTGATATTTATGTTTCATGCCTCCTAGATTGTGCTTTATTGTCATGCAAACCAAATCAAAAGTTCCTACAGACGAATAAGAAAGGAATGGTTAAAGCCTTGCCTTCAGATTTCTTTCCTCTGTAAAATTATTAATAAGCTGCAACCCTCAAAAGAAATATAGTAAAATCATTTGTTCATTCTTTCATTAATTCAACAAATATTTATTGATGACCTTCTTTGTGTCAGACATATTTCTAGGCATTCGGGAAACATCAGAGAACAAAATAGTTAAAAATTCTTGCTCTCAGAGTTCATATTGCAAGGTGTTGTGGAGACAAACAATAAACATGTTAAGCAACTTGTATGTATGCTGGAAGGTGATAAGAGCTATGATTAAAGAAAAAAAGTAAAACAGTGTAAGGAGGACTGAGGATTCTGGGTGTGTGTTGGGAAGGGCTCAAGAGAGCAGTGAGCAATATCATAGGGTAAGCAGGGTAGGCCTCGATGAGAGGGTGATACCTGGGCAAAAATTTATAAGAGATGATATGGGTCTGGAGGAAAAGTGTGTTCTCTCTAGGCAGAATAAACAGGTGGCAAAGGCCCCAGGCCAGGAGCCTGTTTGGTGTGTGTGAAGAGCACCCAAGAGGCCTGTGTGTCTGGAGGGAGGGAGCAAGGGTGAAAGTACTAGGGAGCAGAGGGCTAGGTGATGGAGCCCTTGTGGGCCACTGAATACATGATAGCATTCACTAAGTGAAATGGAGAGCCACTGTGGGATTTTAAGTCAATGAAGGGTATAAGGACACTCTAGCAGCTGTGCTGAGAATAGGCTGGCGTGTACAATGGTGAAAGAAACGGGATCTGTTGAGAGGCTATTAAAAATAATCGATGAGAGATGATGGCTTTGATCAGAGTGGTAGGTAGCAGAGGAGGGAGTGAAAAAAAGTTCAATACATTAAAAATACATTAAAAATCCAAAACAATGACAAAAACAAAAACAAACCACCATAACAAAAAAACTCTAGCCTGATTCTGACCAGAACATTCCACCTGAATTCCAGTTTTCTTTCTTTTACCTTGGTAATTTTAGGCCCACCACGTGCTGACACTGCTTCTTGACGAAAGCTCTCTTTCAACTCTACGTATTTCTGTTGTTGCTGTGACTTTTGTGGAGGGTAAGGTTTAGGAAGATGTACAAGGAAGCAAAACCTTCAGACTCAGAGGGTTTGAGAAAAAGAATTTGTTGAAAATGACATAATCCCTGTATAAGCTCTAGCACCGTGTTTAACACATAGTGTACCTGTCTCCACTTGTTTGCTACAGTTGATATGCTTTGGAAAAGAGAATGAGACAAGGTAGTTTTTAAATCCAGAAAAACACCTGCAGGGGAAAGGAGAGGAAGGACTGGGGCAGGAAAAAGAAATAACTTGTCCCTGAATGAGCATGCAGGTACATCCTCTAAAAAAGAGGAGGAAAAAAAAAAGCACCAGAGAAAGATCTCTCTCTCTTTTTTTTTTTTTTTTTTTTTTTTTGTGTGTGAGACCGAGTCTTGCTCTGTCGCCCAGGCTGGAGTGCAGTGGCACGATCTCGGCTCACTGCAAGCTCCGCCTCCTGAGTTCATGCCATTCTCCAGCCTCAGCCTCCCGACTAGCTGGGACTACAGGCGCCTGCCACCATGCCCAGCTAATTTTTTTGTATTTTTAGTAGACACAAGGTTTCACCATGTTAGCCAGGATGGTCTCAATCTCCTGACTTCATGATCCGCCCGTCTCAGCCTCCCAAAGTGCTGGGATTACAGGTGTGAGCCACCGCGCTGGGCCAAAGATCGCTTTCTTTTCCCCTCCAATTACTCTGAATCACAACTTTTGTTTGTTTGAAAAGTAAAATTTTAAATTTTGAAATGAAGAAAATGTAGTCAAATGAATATTTGGCATCACAAAGAGTCAAGATACCAATTCATAGTATTTACAGAGTAGTTTGTTTATCATATAGCCAGATTTTGGTTGATATCAGTCATTTTTGACCAAGATAGATGTATTTTGGGGCGGGGGGGCAGGTATATGGGACAAGGGTGGATCTACTGGATTAAAGAAGGAACTAGCATTTATTGAAAGTCTAACATATGCCAGGCAGTTTACTATACTTTACCTATCTCATTGATCACTGTCTATTCCTTTTTGCAAATTACAAGTTTTTACAATTCCTATTTTACAAATGAGGAAACGAGGTTCAGAAGGAAGGCTGGTTTCCTTTGATCCCCACACAGTTCTTTGATATGGGGTGCCTTCTTTAAAAAAAAAAAATGTTGCCAGCAAGGATCAACCTCACTGAAGCTAAAACATTTATCCAGAGAGCAAAGCTAGTAAGGAGGATAGAAAGAGGAAGTCACAAGGCAGTAGGGTAAGGTCGAAGCAGCAGGAAGGCCTGGGAAACAAATGGACAGAAGAGTAAGAAATGCAGAAGACAACAGAATGAAAATGAGTTTAAAGGGTTTAAAACATCTTCATCATTTTTGAAGAGCATTGGGATGGTTTAAAGCCTGAAGGACTAGGAAGAGGACCTGAAAAAACTGAGGTGATTTATGTGTATAGGAAAATGAAATACTAAGGCTCTTATAAATGAAGTGGAGCAGGGCAAAGATTTCTCAAGCATTGTTTGTATCAGTTCAATTTTTTTTTCCTGTACAGAATATTCAGTGCGTATAAAGATAGTGCTTCTGCATACTTTAATGTTTCAGGCTGAATGAGAAGACCCACTGCTCACCTATAGAATCAGGTGTCATCAAAAGCGTCTGAGAAGTATAAGGAAACATAGGTATTGTGTCCCTTCTTGCTCCTAAAGAAGTGAAGGTATTTCCTGAAAAATATATCCCGTGTAAATCTTCCACTGATCCTACACTAAAAACGTGCCACAAAACGTTGTCTCCTAAGCACGTGTCCAATCCAGGCAGATTTCCATACATGTATCCATTTATGGCTGCAAGGTATTTGTAACAAAGGAAAGAGTATTTAATTCACTGGTACTTGATATCTTTTGAAACCCAACAAAGCATTAATCATGAAGCAGCTCATTCACGTAAAAAAAAGCAATTTTTTCAACTTTCCTTTCCTCTATTGTTATTTAATCACTTCATGGGGGCTAAAAATGACATTATAGAATTAGAGAATGACAGAATTCCATGATACCCTCATTGGGTTATTCCAGTCAAGCTCTTCCTTTTAGAGTTGAGGAAACTAAGGCCAGAGAAATAGTTTCTTGTCCAATGTCATACGGCTAACAAATGACAATGTTAAGACCAAAGTCCAAGTCTCCAGATTCTGGATCAACCCTTTTCCCAATGCACTGTACAGTCTTCAAAAACCAACAACCAACCAACCAGCCACCCACCAACCCACCCAACCAGCTCAACAAACACCCTACTCCACCCACTCTACGAATTTGGCAGTAGAGAAGTACGTGACTTTTCACATTTAGCTATAGATAAAATATATTGCACCAAGAAGGTGTTGGTAAATATTTGGTAAGTTAAATTCAAAATAATCACCCTAGTAGACAATATTCTTCTTGGGAAATGATATTTATTTATTATTTATATATTTACTTATTTTTTGGTATGGAGTTCTGCTCTTGTTACTCAGGCTGGAGGGCAATGGCGCGATCTCAGCTCACTGCAACCTCCACTTCCCAGGTTCAAGCGATTCTCCTGCCTCAGCCTCCCAAGTAGCTGAGATTACAGGCACCTGCCACCACTCCCAGCTAATTTTTGTATTTTTAGTAGAGATGGGGCTTCACCATATTGGCCAGGCTTGTCTCAAACTCCTGACCTCGGATGATTCACCTACCTCGGCCTCCCAAAGTGCTGGGATTACAGGCGTGAGCCATCGCATGTGGCCAGGAAATGATATTTAAAGGAAACATAAACGTATTAGCCAACCGTTGTGGGGAAAACCTAAGTCTCTTTTAATCCATAATTCTTTAGGCAAAATAAAATTAAGTGTTTAATGCATTTATCTTATAAGTTAAATTGTTTCTTACAGTACATCTTATTTGAGGCTTGGCAGTCTGTATCCTCTTTATCTATGTTTTCAGGCTCTGTGATAAATGTTCTGATATTTTCATCCAAGAGATTACTTTCATTTTCATCAAATATTGTGGCAAGTAGGTAAAACTCTTTGTCTACTCCTTTCTGTGGATGAGAACAGAAAAAGGAATAGACATGAAGTATAGACGGTCCATATTCAAATCTAGCCAAATGGTTGATCTGCATACAGTGTTTTCCACATAAGGAGATTGTGTACTTGTGAAAAATTTGATCAATTGACTTCCTGATTTTGGATAGTCCGTAGAAAGGCACAAGTCCCAGTGAATGAATTATCACAGACCTAAGAAGTTGGGAGAAATCTCTATGGCTTTTTTCATATAAAGTGTTTCCTCCAGGGATTCCTATATCTAAACTTCATAAACTAAACCATAAGATGTTTATAGTGGCTTTTAACATAATGTACTCTATGGAAAGTAAGTTAAATAAATAGTTTTCAATTCTAGAAAGTCTGAATTTTTAGGGCTTTTGAGCAAATTTAATATAAACACATCACTAGATTAAATGTAAAAATTATATGTATTATAAGAATTATGACACTATAAATATAACTCATTATATAGATAAATATAAATATATATTTATAATTTTGAATAAGATATACATTGTTATACATGTATGGATTTATAAAGCTTTGTTACCTATACTTTTTTATATAAATGTCGAAAAGAACTAGATATTCACTTCTGAGTGAGAAAAAAGAGAAACTCATTTAACTAACATTTATTGAGCACCTATTATATGCCCAAGAGGAGCTGTGGTTATTATAAAAAATTAATAAAATCCTGTGTACACTTTCTAGAAACTTTCTAGAAAATCTTGTGTATACTTCCACTAGAAGCAGTCTAGTGGAAGAAGCAGGCCAATGAAAACAATTGCATGGATAAATATTCTAACAGAAACATACCTAAGGGACTACGGTAACCTGCAGGAGCTTCAACTAACTTTAGTTAGTGAACATTGTCCAAAGGAAGGTGCTCTCAGTCTGAGTTTCAAAAATGTCTCCCACTTTTGGCAGATCAAACACTGAGGAAAGGCCATTCCAGATGGAGAGAAGAGGGGAAAATCAGAGATGTCAAATAGCTTTCCTTACTCAGGGCCTAATGAGCTAATTCCACCATAATGCAGAATTCTACTTTGCCATTTAGAAGAAGCTAATTCTGCAGTGTAGAGGTGGGAGGGGACATAAATCTGAAGGAACTGTCAAGATCTGATGTGTTGGCTTCTGAGCCAACAAATTGCGGGGAGATCTTTATTGCAGGTAGTGCTATAACCAGATTCTTTAGGGAGGGATGTGGACTAGCTGTATTAAAGCAAGATAAGAGTGGAGACAGAAGCTAAGAATGAAAGGAATTCAGAAAGAGATGATAGTGCCTAAAATAATGCAGAGGTATTGGAGACTTAAGTGATAAATGTGTAGGTGAGACAGAAGGAGTTGTTGATGAAAGTCCAAGGTTTGGTGATATTATTAACTAAGGGATAGAACGGAGGAAGAAAAGGCTGATTGAGGAAAGGGAGGGATGGTAAAGGTCTGTCCAAAAGGATGAGATGTCTGTGGGACATGCCAGGGTGCATGTTTAATGGGCTGATACAGGTGTTTAGTTGAGGTAAGAATAGAATTGGGAGACTTCAGTACACAGAAGTTGAAGCTGCTGATTCCTCTGGCCCTGAGACATTGTCATTCCTCTGCAGTTCTGTCTCAAGCACCTCTCACCAAGGGTTACCTGGTGATACGCTTCAGGACTCACCTGTTTGCCATCGTCTCCAAGACTTCCATTTCTACATATAAGGAGAGGCCCCAGAAGGCCACTGTTGATGTCTTTTTTCCCATTTACTGAAGAGTAATAGAACCAGGTCAAGCAGTTGGGATCTGTGGAGGTGGGACCCACATCTTTTGGAACTTCCCATGTATAGACAAATGTTGTGCCAGGACTTACATGTGAAGAGGGTGGAGGGGTACCTAGCAAGAAATAAACATTTATAGAATAGAACCTAAGACCGTAAGTACACTAGTCTAGACTGGGAGATCTCTCAGATCAAGAACAGATCTTTCTCTTTGGGTGACAGTTGAATAGGAACTAAAGTAATAACTCTGCCACAATAAGTATACAGAGCTGTTACACTGTGACAGGTAGGCTGCACAAAAGGAGTTATATTTCTTGCTGGCATTATATGGAGGTATGGCTCACTTGGACCTCCCTTGAGCTCTACTTACTTCCTCCAGGTGTTTCGTAGAATAAGCCCTCTTAGCTCTTGTTGTAATGCAGTCCAGGAGGCTGAATGCTGAGTGGCAGGGAAGCATTGTTATAGAAAGTGATTTTGATGGTCTGTCTCACCTCTGCCTTAATAACGGGGCCTAGAAACCAACAGAGTTAGTAGTTATCCTTGGTTTTCATAAAGGTAATTGTCAGGTTGTGTTACTTGAGTAAAGTTCTTTTAGGAAGAAATTAAAGGGATGATGCCATGAACCCAGAAAGGGGTGCAACTGCAAGAAGTCTAGATGATTCGAGGTCTTATAAAGTCACTTTGGATCAAAGATATTAGATATTAGATGAAGATTAGTCTCTTTGGATTTATAGGAATAAAGAATGTAGTTAAAAATCACTGGGTGGGCTGGGCTCAGTGGCTCATGCCTGTAATCCCAGCACTTTGGGAGGCCGAGATGGGCGGATGGCTTGAGCCCAGGAGTTCAAGACCAGCCTGGGCAACATGGTGAAACCCGGTATCTACAAAAATTACAAAAATTAGCCAGGTGTGGTGGTGTGTGTCTGTGGTCCCAGCTACTTGGGAGGATGAGGCATGAGAATTGCTTGAATCTGAGAGGCGGAGGTTGCAGTGAGCTGAGATCATGCCATTGCACTCCAGCCTGGGCAAAAGAGTGAGACCCTGTCTCAAACAAAACAAAACAAAACAAACAAAACAAAAACGTCACAAAAATTAGCTGAGTATGATGGTGCATTCCTGTAGTCCCAGCTATTCCAGAGGCTGAGATAAGAGGATCACTTGAGCCTGAGAGGCGAAGGTTGCAGTAAACAGAGGTCACACCACTGCACTCCAGCCTGGGCAACAGAGCAAGACTGTCTCAAATAATAAAGTAAAATAAAATAAAATAAAATAAGTAAAATAAAATAAAGTCATTGGGTGAATTGATGTATTATTTTCATAAGGCTATAATACTACAGCTAAAATCTCTAACTGAGTTGATGAATACTGTTTTTATTGCAGAATATTTATAAATAATGTTTATAACCCTACAAGCTCTGAATAGAATTTTACCAAGGATTCCAAGGTGTTCTTCTCTTGCCTTCTGTGTTTGGAAGGAAGCATCTGTGTATTCACGGTAAATCAGTTTTTTGTTAAGTTCCTCCAATTCTGGTTGGACTTCGTTCAAAAAATAACTGGGATTTACTATGCAGAGAAGGTAGATACACAAAGAACTTTTATATTCACAGTTATCACGTGAAAAGAAAGAATCCAAACACATCTGTTTAAAATATTTGTAATTTATTTCTGATTATAAATCTAAAATTTTGAAAAGAAAGAAAAATACAACAAAGAAAATGGAAATCTCCATAATCCCACCATCTATATATTACCATAGTCAGTATTTTCTGTAAATATCCTTTCAGTCTTTTATCTATGCACATATATATAATTATCTATATGTATCTACCTAGTTGTCTGCTAACTTACTTTTGGAATAAAAATTAAAAGATATTATACCTGACTTTTTCAGGTGGGTAATAACAAATATTGCTATTAAAACAACTATTTGCAGAGATGCTATAATATTAAAAAGATAGATGTTATTATTTTTTTAAATTGTTATAATAAAAAGGAGCCTCTGAGAAGAAGTTTCCTAACAATGAGAAGAATATTTCCTAACAATAAAGTGGTGACTTGCTATGCCAAAACATCATAGAATTTTACAGCCAGGGGGATCAAGCAAAATGAATCTATTAATTCATACTTATTTTAGTCGATATAAAATGAGAGTAAGCCCTAAATCTAAATCTAGTTTTTTGCTCTAAGCCCAGTTATCTTTCTGACATTTAATACAAAATTTCCATTACACAGATTGAGTAATTTACTGATGAGCTTAAAATGTAAGAAAAGGAGTAAAGGCACCCGGCACTCACATTCACAAAGAAGGACCAAAACACTGAGTAGATAATCACAAGTTGGATACAGCATCTAAGAGAGAACACTGGAATTCGGCAGGAAAGTGTCAAAGAACATCTGAGACACAGAAGGAAAGGGAAGCAAGGCAGCTGTCACTGCTCAGACTGGCTGGGAGCCAGGAGAGGCTCCCCAGTGTGGGAAAAAGATAAGTGAGAGAGCTTCAGCAGTCCATACTTCTACCATGGATTCCCGCTAATCCTAGCCACAAGAGAGCCCCTTAGCCCTTGCAGGCCCTGAGACTAGTAGAGAGAGTGGCTTGGAGTTGATACAATGGCATCATTCCAGGGAGGGAGTTCATGCTGGGTCCCATAAAACCCCCAAGACCCAAGTAGCTGTAGCATGGCACCATTTTGGGAGCCCAGCCCCAACCAGACTGTATCCTGCCCCAGGGCCCAACAGCCCTTGTATCTCCACATCCCTAGAACCCCAACGACATTCTCCTGTGTCCACTCAGAGGGCTGAGCACTGTGACACTGAAGCCGTATCCAGTAGATTGGCCGGGTCCCCACCACTCTAGCCCATACCATGTTCTACACTGTGGGGGATGGGCTGTGCCGTGCACCAGGGAGGCTACCCCAGAACAAAGGGAGCTGTGCATGCCCTCTCCAGAGCCTGAGAGCCATCTGCCTGGAGTGACTGCCACTGATAGCAAACACTGCCCTTTCAGCAGCAGGGCTACCACACACCAGAAGGCACCTTTGGTGGACATGAGACCAGCCCATCTAGATGCTGTCCTGGAGTCTGAGGACAGGCACACCTGCCCACTGCTGCTTCCACTCCAGTGTGCCATCTTGGGTACTGGGGATCGACTTGCCCTGCCTGCCACAGCTGTTCCTCATGTGCACTATCAGGGAACCTGAAGACAGTCTTGCCCCACCTGCTGTTGGCACCCAGGCATGCCATCTAGGGGCCTGAGGGTGAGTCTGCCCACTCTGCTGGTGCCCACACACATTAACTGGGAACCTAGGGACTGACCCACCGTATCCACCACAGTCTGCACTCATGCACACCATCGAGGGCCTGAGAACAGGTCCACTCTGCCTGATGCCACCTCTGCCAATGCCCACATGTGCTGTCCAGGGACCTGGGGATCAATCTGCCCTGCCTGCCATCACCAGCGTCTATGCACTCCTCCTCCCCAGGAGTCTCAGGGGGCGTGCCTGACCTGCCAGAGCCCACAAGTGTTATCGAAGCCTGAGGATCAACCTTCTCCACCAACCACCGCTGAATTTGTACACTACTTCCAGGGTATGAGGACAGGTCTGCCCAACCTGCTGCCATCACCTCTGCTGGCACCCACCTGCATGTACCACCTGGGGGTCTAGGGAATGGCCTGCTCAGACTGTTGCTTCCACCACTGGCACTTATGCATGTCACTTGGGGGCCTGAGGGTTGGCCTGCTACCACTCCTGCCTTCACAACCATACATGCCACCCAGGGACCCAAAAATACGCCCAACTCACCATTGCCACTGCTGACACCTGAGAAAGCCACTTGGAGGCCCAATAATTAGCCTGTCTGGATCCTCTAACACCAGTGCCCATGTATGCTGCTGGGCCCCAAGGATGGGAAGACTCAACCTGCTGCCACCACCACTGGGGCCCAAGGACTGTCCCATCTGGCATCCCCATCCCCAGCAAAACCTCCACTAACAACCACAGGATAAGCCACCAAGGAACTCACAGGCACCACTGATGCTGATTACAGCTGAGGAAATTGTACAGAAACCACATGACTGCACGCAGCAAGAATCAAAGTTAAAGCATCCTACCCAATCCACACTATAAATACATCTATAGAAAATGTCTCTTTTCCTACCAAAGCCACCGCCCCACAAAAAATGGGAAGAAGTGCAGATATCAATGTAAAACACAAGAAGCATGAAAAAGCAAGGAAACATGACACTTCCAAAACAACACAATGATTCCCCAGTGACAGATTCCAATGAAAAAGAAACGTATGACATGCCAAAAAAAGTCAAAATAACAATATTGAAGCTCAGTGAGATACAACAAAACACAGATAAGCAACACAAAGAAATCAGAAAAAAATTCATGATCTGAACAAGAAATTCAACAGATATACAATAAACCCCAAAAAGACATCCTAGAACTGAAGAGCTTTTTAAAAATTAAAAATATGATCTAGAGCTTCAACAACAGACTTGAAAAAATAATTTTTGAACTTGAGGTCTGGTATTTTGAAACAACCCAGTCAGAAAAAAAAAAAAGAGAGAGAAAGAAATGAAGAATTAAAAAGAATGAAAAAAGCATATGTGACATATGAGTGACATAAAGCTACCAAATATTCAAATGTTGGGTATTCCAGAAGGAGAAGAAATGGACAAAGACATAGAAAACCTATTCAACAAAATAATAGCTGAGGGCTGGGCATAGTAGCTCATGTCTATAATCCCAGCACTTTGGGAGGCTGGGAAAATTGATTGAGGCCAGGAGTTTGAGACTAGGCAAGGCAACGTAGTAAGACTCTATTTCTACAGAACATTTAAAAAATTAGCTGGGTGTGGTGGCACGTGCCTATAGACCTAGCTACTTGGGAGACTGAGGTGGAAGGATCGCTTGAGCCAAAGAGTTTGAGGGAACAGTGAGCTGTGATCATGCAATTGCCTTCCAACTTGGGTGACAAAGCAGGACTCTGCCTAAAAAAAAAAAAGTTTGTTTTCATTCCTTGTTAAAAAAACAAACACTGTTAATGCAAAAGAATAATAATAATAAACTGAAAAGTTCAAATGTCTTACAAGAGATATAGACATTCAGATACAGGAAACTCAAGGATCCCCAAATAGATCAACCTGAAAAGGCCTTCTCTAAGACACATTAGAGTCAAGAGTCAAAAACAAAGAAAGAAAAAAGAGAATTCTAAAAACAGCAAGAGAAAAGCATCTAGTCTCGTATAAAGAAATCCCCATCAGACTAACAGCAGATTTCTCAGCAGAACTCTTACAGGCCAAAACAGCATGAGATGATACACTCAAAACACTGAAAATAAAAAAAAAGAGTCAACCAAGAGTACTACACTCAGCAAAGCTATTTTTCAAAAATGAAGGAGAAATAAAATCTTTCCCAGACAAGCAAAAACTTAGGAAATTCATCACCATTAGATAGGCCCTATAAAAAATGCTTAAGGGAGTCCTATATCTGGAAGCAATAGGATAATATCTACCATCCTGAAAACACATGAAAACATAAAACTCATTGGCATGGCAGACACACAAATGAGAAAGACAAAGGACTCAAGGACTACAGAAAACCACCAAACTGCAATTATAACCAATAAGAGAGAAACAGAAGGGAAAAGGATATATGAAATAACCAGAAAACAATTACCAAAATGACAGGAATAAGTTCTTACCTATCAATAATAACCCTGAATATAAATAAATTAGAGTCCCCAATTAAAAGATATAGACTGGCTGAATGAATTTTTTAAAATGACCCAAATATATGCTACCTACAAGAAACTCACTTCACCTGTAAAGACACATAAAGACTAAACATGAAGGGATGAAAAAAGATATTCTGCAGAAACAAAAACCAAAAGTTAGTAGGAATAGCTATCCTTATATCAGATAAAACAGACTTTAAGTCAAAAATGTAAAAAGAGACAAGGTCGTTTTGTAATGATAACGGGATCAATTCAGTGAGGGAATGTAACAATTCTAAATATATATGCCCAACACCAAAGCACCCAGATACATAAAGTAAATATTATTGAGCTAAAGGGAGAGATAGACTCTAACACAATAATAGTTGAGAACTTCAACACCCCACTCTCAGCATTGGACCAATCATCTAGACAGAAAATCAACAAAGAAACATTGGATTTAAACTATACTTTAGACCAAATGGACCTAACAGATATTTACAAAACATTTTAACCACTAGCTGCAGAACACACATTCTTTTCATCAGCACATGGAAAATTCTCCAGGATAGACCATATGTGAGGCCACAAAATATTTCGACAAATTTTAAAACATTGAAATCATATCATTGTATAATGGAATAAAGCTAGAATTCAAGAGGAACTTTAGAAACTGTACGAATACATTAAAATTAAACAACATGATCCTGAGTGACCACTGGGTCAATGAAGAAATTAAGTAAGAAATTTAAAAATTTATTGAAACAAATGAAAATGGAAACCCAACAAATCCTTTAAGATTCAGCAAAAGCAGTGCGAGAGAGTATTTTATAGCAATAAATGCCTACATTAAAAAAGCTGAAAAAGGCCAGGTGTGGTGGCTCACACCTGTAATCCCAGTACTTTGCGAGACCAAGGCAGGAGGATCGCTTGAGGTCAGGAGCTCGAGACCAGCCTGGCCAACATGGTGAAACCCTGTCTCTACTAAAAATACAAAAATTAGCCGGGTGTGGTGGTGTGTGCCTGTAATCCCAGATGCTTGGGAGGCTGAGGCAGGAGAATCACTTGAACCAGGGAGGTGAAGGTTAGAGTGAGCTGAGATCATGCCACTGCACTGTAGCCTGAATGATAGTACGAGACTCTGTCTCAAAAAACAAAACAAAAAAAAGTAGAAAGATTTCAAGTAAATATCCTAATGATGCACCTCAAGGAACTAGAAAAGCAAGATAAACCAAACCCCAAATTAGTAGAAGGAAAGAAATAATAAAGGTCAGATCAGAACTCAGTTAAAAAGAGACTAAAAAGACATACGAAGGCTCAACTAAATGAAAAGTCAGTTTAAAAAAAAAATAAACAAAATAGATAAACCACTAGCTAGACTAACCAAGAGAAAAGAGAAGACACAAATAAACAGAATTAGAAATACAAAAGGAGACATTACAACTGATACCATAGAAATACAGAGGATCATTAGAGATTATTATGAACAACTGTACAATAACAAACAGAAAAACCTAGAGGAAATGGATAAGTTCCTGGACACAGATAACCTACTAAGATTGAACCAGGAAGAAACAGAAAACCTGAACACTCCAATATTGAGTGATGAGATTGAATCAGTAAAAAAACATCCCCCAAGAAAGAAAAGCCCAGGACTGGATGGCTTTACTGACAAATTCCACCGAACTTACAAAGAAGAATTAATACCAATTCTTCTCAAACTATTCCAGAAAATTGAAGAACAGGGAATTCTTCCTAACTCATTCTGCAAGGTCACCATTACCTTAATACGAAAACTAGACAAGGACACAACATAAAAAGAAAACTACATATCTCTGATGAACATAGATGAAAACATCCTCAACAAGATACTTGCAAACCAAATCCAACAAATATCAAAAAGATAATACACCATGATCAAGTGGGTTTTTTTCCCAGGGATGCAAGGATGTTTCAACATAGCAAACCAATCAATGTGATATATTACATTAACAGAATAAAGGACAAAAACCATATGATCATATCAGTAGGTACAGAAAAAGTGTTTGATAAAGTTCAACATCCTTTTGTGACAAAAACTCTCAACAAATCAGGCATAGGAGTTACACTCTTAACATAATAAAGGCTATATATGACAATCCCACAGCTAACATACTGAGTGAAGAAAACCAGAAAGCCTTTCCTCCAAGAACTGGAACAAGACAAGGATGCCCACTTTCACCATTCCTATTTGACATAGTATTGGAAGTCCTAGCCAGAGCAGTCAAGCAAGAGAAAGAAATAAAAGGCATTCAAATTAGAAAAGGGGAAGTCAAATTTTTCCTTTTTGCAGATGACATGATCTTATATATAGAAAAATTTAAAGACACTACGAAATAACTCTTACAATAAATGAATTCAATAAAGTTGCAGGATACAAATCAACATACAAAAATCAGTAGTGTTTCTATATACCAATAACACAGTAGCTGAAGAAGAAATCAAGAGAACAATCCCATTCACAATAGCTACAAAACAAAAACCAAACCAAACAAAAAACCTAAGAATAAATTTAACCAAAGAGATGAAAGATGTTTACAAGGAAAGCCACAAAACACTGATGAAAGAAATTGAAGAGGATACAAAAAGTGGAAAGACACCCCATGCTCATGGATCAAAATTAATATTGTTAAAATGACCATTCTACCAAAAGCAATCTACAGATTTAAGGCAACCCTATAAAATACCAATAACATTCTTCACAAAAATAGAAAAAAAAATCCTATAGGCCAATGACATATAGGCCAACGAAAAAGAATAGAGAACCCAATGACATACAGGCCAATGAAAAAGAATAGAGAACCCAGAAAGAAATAAGTCCATATATTTACAGCCAACTAACCTTCCAAACAAAAAAAAGTGACAAGAACATAGAATATACACTCGGGAAAGGACACCTTCTTCAATAAATGGTGCTGGGAAAACAGGACATCCATATGCAGAGGAATGAAATTAGAGGCCATATCTCATCATATGCAAAAATCAACTCAAAGTGGATTAAATGCTTACATGTAAGACCCAAATATAAAAACTGACTAGAAAAAAACATGGGGGAAACACTCCAGGACATTGATCTAACTATTTTATAGCTAATACCTCAAAAGCACAGACAACAAAAACAAAAATAGACAATTTCGATTATGTTAAACTAAAATACTTCTGCACAGCAAAGGAAACAATCAACAGAGTGGAAAGAAAACCTGTTGAATGAGAGAAAATATTTGCAAACTATTCATGTGACGAAGGATGAATATCCAGAATATACAAGGAATTCAAACAGCTTAACAGTAATAATAATAATAACAATAATAATATTCCCATTAAAAAGCAGGCAAAGGGTCAAATGAAGAGACATTTCTCTACAGAAGATACACAAGTGGCCAACAAACAGATATATGAAAAAATGCTCAGCATTACTCTTCATCAGGGAAATGCAAATCAAAATCACAATGAGATCTCATCTCACCCCAGTTAAGATGGCTATTATCAAAAATACAAAAAGCAGCAAAAGCGGCTGAGGTTGCAGAGAAGGAACTCTTACACACTGTTGGTGAGAATGTAAATTAGTACAGCCATTATGGAACGCAGTATGGAGTTTCATCAAAAAACTAAAATTAGAACTATCATACAATCCACTACTGGGTATTTATCCAAAGGAAAAGAAACCAGTGTATCAAAGGGATACACCTTTGATACTACACCTCCATGTTTATTGCAGCATTATCCCCAAAAGCCAAGATATGGAATCCAACCCAAGTGTGCATTAACAAGTGAATAGTAAAGAAAATGTACTATATATACACAATGGAATGCTATTCAGCCATAAAAAAGACTGAGACCATGTTATTTGCAGCAACATGGATGCTGGGGTGCATTATATTAAGCAAAATAAACCAGGCGCAGAAAGACAAATGTCATATGCCCTCATACATGGGAGCTAGAAAAGTCGATTTTATGGAGGTAGAAAATAGAATGATGGTTACCAGAGGCTTGGAAGAATGTGTGGGGGTGGTGGTGGGGGAGTAATGGATGATGAAGAGAGGTTGGTTAATGGGTACAAACATACAATTAGATAGAAGAAATATGCCCCAGGGTTCAATAGCTCAGTGGGGTGACTATGGTTAATAACACTATATCGTATATTTCAAAATAGCCACAAGAAAAAAATTGAAAAGTTTCCACCACAAAGAAATGATAGATGTTTGAGGCAATGGATATCCTAAATGCTCTGATTTAGTTATCACATATTGTATGCGCATATCAAAATATCATATGTACCCCCTAAATCTGTACAAATATCATGTATCATTAAAAAATAATTAAAAATAAAGACGGGAAAATGTCACTTGACATAATATTCTTTGCTTTCTCAAATTCCTGTGAGTGCATTAGAGAAAAATAAGTATCATAAAGAACGTTATTTTCTGGTGGTTTTAGGACTTTGTCTGTTCTAACATGTGTCTTCACTCAGTAGGCCAGAAGAATTAAATCTCCTGTTGTCCTCAATATGGTAAATATACTTGGCAGTTGGACTATCAGAAAAACTTTTTGCCCACTTTTAAATGCTAATGAATGCCAGAGTAATGCATTTTAGTGTTAGTTTTTGGTTATTAAGACAACAATTGGTAATATAGTCTTAGGTGTTACTGAGTACATAATATTTATAGAATATAGTTTAAGGATATCACATTCAATGATTTAACTGTGCCTTCAGATCTTAGCAGGAGTGTATAAGTTGCACACAAAGAATGTTTTAAAATTTTAATAAAATGTTATTGATGACATTGTCTGCTATATTGTTAAATGTTTCATAAGTATAGAGTAAATCCATTTTAAAGTTTTGTGCTAGGAAAAAGATGAATAATATATTTTCCTTTACATTGTCGGCCAGCGCATTTAGAGAAGAATTTTGTCTAGCAATGCTCCTTGGCTTCAAAATTTTCCAATTACTTTCTTATATTTATTTTATCAGTATATTTTAATTAGATGCCTAAATCTTTTTCAGAAGTAACTAGATTATGAAATTTTTCAATTATCTTAATTATTTAACTATAAATATTTTAACCAGTGACTCATTACCTTCCAGCTGCTGTTAAATTTTTTTTAGTGAAGAAATCTATACCAGATGGAGCATAGTTCCAAAGAATTTCTTTAGCAGCAATATAGTAATGTATAACATGTGTCCCAGTAACAAAGGCTTCTGTTGAAGGTTTCTGGCAATTACTTACTTTGAAAAATGCCTGCATACTCTCTGAAAAACAGATAGAGAATGTTATTAAAACATTAAGACAATTTTCTTGGTCAATACATATTTTCAATTTTAGCCAACAATATTGAGACTTTCTATTTCTTTGAGAAATGTGATGTATGAAATCAATGGAAAAATTTAAGATGTATGAAATAAGTACAAAAGTCAGGATGCAAAAATGAATATTAAAGGCATATATATTATTAGAGAATAATAACCAGCTTTGGACCAACTCTGAAGTGAAGATGGTACCTACATACTGAGAAGAATTTGAGAGTCCAAGAACATCTTCCCTCATGAATATGAAATTACTACTACTAGTCATTAATGAGTTAGTTGGTTTATTCAATTAACTAGTTGGCTGGAAGAAAGAAACTCAAGGCATGAGAAGATCAGTCCTGTGTTTTAATTTCAGAGCACCGTTGGTGGGAATGTAAATTAATATAGACTTTATGGAAGACAATTTGGCAAAATTTGTTAAAATTAAAAGCCCTGGCAGGCAGTGGGTCACACGTGTAATCTCAGCACTTTTGGAGGCCAAGGCAGGCGGCCTCACTTGAGCCCAGCAGTTTGAGACCGGCCTGGGCAACATGACAAAACCCCATCTCTACAAAAAAAAAAAAAAAAAAATCAGCTGGGTGTGATGGTGTATGCCTGTAACGCCAACTACTCCGGAGGCTAAGGTGGGAAGACTGCTTGAGCCCAGAAGATCGAGGTTGCAGTGAGCCATGACTGCACCACTGAACTCCAGCCTGAGCAACAGAGCATGACTCAAAAAAAAAAACAAAAAAAAACCTCTCTGCCATTATATAGTTTCACTTCTTGAGAGTCATGAGAAATATTTTCACATACATGAAGAGACATATAAAAAGGTATTAAATAAGGTCAGGCACGGTGGCTCATGACTGTAATCCCAGCACTCTGGGAGGCCGAGGCGGGCGGATCACCTGAGGTCGGGAGTTCAAGACCAGCCTGACCAATATGGAGAAACCCTGTCTCTACTAAAAATACAAAATTATCTGGGCATGGTGGTGCATGCCTGTAATCCCAGCTACTCAGGAGACTGAGGCAGGAGAATCGCTTGAACTTGGGAGGCAGAGATTGCGGTGAGCTGAGATCGCGCCACTGCACTCCAGCCTGGGCAACAAGAGGGAAACTCCATCTCAAAAAAAAAAAAAAAAGGTGTTAACTATAACATTGTTAATAAACCAAAAAGGCAGTAGCAACTTAAACATCTGTTTGTAGGCAAAAGGTTAAATAAATTACAGTACAACCAAAATATGGAAAACTATGCAACAGTTAAAAAAAAAAAGTTAAATGTATAGAGAATGCATGGAAAGAGACTTCAAGACTTTGATATGAGTGATGAAAACAACAGAATATTATATGCAGTGTGATCTACTTACATAAAACAAAGCACAAAACATAGCTATGTATTTTTATTTCTACGTGTTCATGTTTATGTTGTGTGAAAGTGCATAGCGAACAGGTTTTCAAATACTTGCACAAATTGATTACAGTGGCTAAGATGGTGGTGGGGTGGAATTGGACTGATGGTGTGTCCTTAAAGCAGCTCTCCAAAACTAAACACAAACTCTGATTTATGTGCTAATTTTTTTGTAGTGTAAGCACTTCCCATTGCAACCAATTTGAAGCTACCAATAATTTAACTGCTGGATTATTTAACTCTCAGCTCTTTTGAGCTGGAGGCTAATGTATACTGCATTAGACTTCTTTCACTTTTTCTGCCTGCTTTCCTCCACCTATTTTTCTGCCTCTTTTCCTCCTTCTCTTCTTCCATTTCTCCCACTTTTTTTCCTCCTTTCTTTCCTTCCTACCTTTCTTTCCAACAAAGGTCTATTCATATATTCTTGTAATTACTTAAAAAAAATGGAGTAAATTAAAGCGCAGAAAATCTTCAGAAGGACACAGAAAGAGGAGACACACAGGAGAAAGTGATGGGATCCCATCAGCCAACTAGGCTTTGAGGCGTTTTTTCACTTGGTCTAGGGCTGACACTAGTCTTTCTGCAGGGTTGAGGTAGAAAGACTGTCTTGAGGGTATGATCTGAGAATAAGGTAGATAGGAGGTATTGGTGGAGCTGAGTATATTTTAATCTGAAAATGATCATCTTTTCTAAGTGACAACTTTTTATCACTAAATTCAGTCCTTGAGTTATAATAGCCGTGAGTGGTTTTCTTTTTCTCACACAAAAAAATAAAGTTAAATTCTGTAATTCTAATGAAAATTATGTTTTTTTCTGATTGAAAAATAACACAGAACATTTACGTGATCATATATAGAGTTTTGTCATATTCAAGAATAAAAAAGATAAACAACAACATAACTGACCATTCTGTTATTAAATGGCAAATGTGGAGAGGGAAATAAACAAAAATAAGGAGGTTTACTTGAGTAATCAATTAGAATTATTGGGTTCTGCATAATTTCTTGCTCTGCTTCCCATAGGATTTTGATTCTTGTTTCCTCAGTTAAAGAAAAAGCTGTAATAATATCTGCTCTGTCTGACACTCAGGGTTCTCACTCAGGGTTTATATTCTCACAATGAATATAAAAGTTTTTGTAAAAACAGCAACCCAATCCTATATACTTAAAAGGATTTAAAGCTGTCAGGGACCTGGGCTCCATCACTGACTGTTTCCAAAAGGAATCATATCACCTTCTTGGATATCGGTTTCTTCATTTGTAAGGTAAGGCATTTGTAATGGGCTATGACCTTGGAAGTTCTCTGACTCTGTATCACGCAAAAGTAATAGATCACTACCATGTATCTGGCATCCCAGCATCCACACTCCAGGGGCCTTGGCCACCATGAAGGCATCTTCCAGTGAGGAGGGGAAGAGCATAATGGTGTCCTTTCTGTGATTCCGAGAGATCAGAGTTTGTCCGCGGAGGTAGACGGGGTGTATGTCAGCCACGCCACCCATGCCAACAAAATACCACTGGACCCTATCTTCAGCACACATGGTGAGATTGGGCAGATTTCCATAGATGTATCCATTTATTGCTGAAAACAAATGTATATTAATCAATCAGGCATGATAGATCAGTGCCACCTGGTAAAAATTCTGTGTATTTCCTCATCATATTAATATAAACCTCACAATGTCAACATTGTTCTCACACATAATCTATAACATCTGATTTGTGTTTCATGGGAAAGGAGTCCATATGCATTGTGTATGATGAGAAGTGAGGGGAACACAAAGGTTTAAAGGCAAGAGGAGAAAAAGTTCCTGAAAGGCAGGAAGCAGTGAAAAGGGGAAAAAAATAGAAACTAAGTTCATGAGAGAAGAAACCAAGGATAAGGGTGACGGATTATGATGACATCATTTCTGAAAAATTCTATGTTGGATAAAAACACATATTCATAAAATATTTGGTCAATTATGTCTTTGTTATTCCATATTTTATTACTTAAAGTTACGTCTTTCTTAGGTTTTTACTGTCTATTTTAAATCAGTATGAGACTTCAGAAAACAAATATTGACCAAACTTTACTTGCTATTGGACTTAGGGAATGAGCAGGCTTTACTAGTGATTTGCATTTGCATGTCAACCCAGTATACTCTGATTGAAACGCTGAAAAACATAAACTCAACTAAATAAACTTGAACAAAGGGAAATGACTGAATACGATCATAGAAGTTAGAATTATAAGATATTATGTATGAGAAAGTTCTTTTAATCGTACATTGCATGCTCATGCTCTCCTCAAAACGGGGATCACTAGTATTAATCTTGCCAGATTCAGTAAATGCACGAATATTTTCATCACTATACCAGCTTCTGCTTTCATCAGTTGTAGAAAACATCAGAAAAGAAGACCTGTCAATATCTTTTTCAGTGTCTCCATTCAGTGTCCCTGAAACAAAAAACACATTTCTTACTTTTCATGTAGACATTAATTAGAACCATTGTTACAGATACAACTACTTTTACGATCTACAGTTTTGTTAATTGTTAGGGCACGTGAAAAAGGTAAATGTTTGCGATGTGGGATGTCGGTTTTTGTAAAGTTTACAACAAACTTAAAAAAGCATATTACCTATATGAAGCCATATTTAAAGAATCCATACTCATCTTTACATCAAATCAGTAACTTTCTGCAGTGTCTGCATCTGATGACCATTATCGCGTGAGATTGTTCAAAGTCTAAAAATTTGTGTTTCCTCAAACGAAGGATAACTTTAGTTCATACCAATTTATTTATTCTTCTATGCTTATATTCAACAAATATTTATTGAATATTTGTAATGTGTTAGGTACTATGACAAGTGTTGGGTTTATAAAAGTGAACAAGACAGTTATCTACCCTTGCAGGGCATACAATCAAGGGTGGACGCCATCAATTAATAAGATACTATAGTGTGTAAAGTTCTATAGTAGGGAAGAGTTCAGTGTTTGGGAGCTGGTTAATTTAATTTTGGGTATGGAAATCTTTTCTGAAGGCAGTGACACCTCAGTTGATATTTAAAGGATGAGGAGTTTGCTGGGGTGTACCTGTAGAGAAGATTCCAGGCAGCAATTAAGATAAAAGGAATTTGGACTTTATCGTCAGAACAATCAGCAGTCCTTGAAGGATTTTAAGCAAAGGAGTGACAGACTCAGAATCATCCTCCCACCTTCACCCCCCAGACAGAAAGCCAAGTGGAGATGAATTGAAAGGGGAAGCACTAGAGACTGGTGGGGCAGCTAAGAGGCTGTTGTGGGTATCCTAGCAAAAAGATGGCAGTGGCCTGAACTAGGTTAGAGTTCGTGGAGCTGAAGAGAAGTGAGCTGACCTTGTGATGTGTACGAAGTAGAGCTGGCGGGACTTGACTGATGTATTTAGCAAGTGATGAGGGAGAGGGCAGTATCAAGAATGTTACCCAAGGTTTTGTCTCCAGTGACTAATTGGAGCATACTGGGGCCATTCCCCAAGGCAGGGAACACAGAAGGAAGGGAGAGATTCAGGGCAGGAACAAATGACGGGTTTTGGAATATGACGTATTTAGGTACGGATGAAACACCCAAGTAGAGACGCCAAGTTGCCAGGCCTGACTATCAGTAAAGGAGTTTGAACCAAAGTTACAGATTTCAGACTCATTAACCCACAGATGGAAACAAATGACTCAAAATGGATAAGATCCCTCTGTGCGCTTAGATTGAACAAAAGAGAAAAGTGCTTAGGACAGTGGGAATAAAATAGTTATAATATTTAAAAAGTATATAAAAATATAATATTCTATAAAATTATTATCAGTCCCAAATATTTTATAACAGCCTTATATTTAAAACCATAGGGCATAAATCAACATAACTGTAAGTGAGAAAGTCTTTTTCTTTTTCTTTCTTTTTTTTGTAGAGACACAGTTTCACTATGTTGCCCAGGCTGGTCTCAAACTCCTGGCCTTAAGTGATCCTCCCAACCTGGCCTCCCAAAGTGCTGGGATTACAGGCATGAGCCACTGTACCCAACCAAGGAAGGCTTGATGGCAGTTCACATACTTGCCTTTGAGAATGCAAAGCATTAAGTTATCTTACTGTTTAAAAAGAAAAGGGAGAAAGTTTGGAAATGTTCAGACTAGATAGCTAATGTTTAAGTTAAATATAATAAACACATATTCTTTATCTTGCCATTATGCAGTTGAGTTCCTTGCAATTTTGAGAAGGGCAAAAAGCTCTTCCAAAGTTGGTTTAAAAAGTTATCTCCCGGCTGGGCACGGTGGCTCACACCTTTAATCCCAGCAGTTTGGGAGACCGAGACGGGCGGATCACAAGGTCAGGAGTTCAAGACCAGCCTGGCTAATATGGTGAAACCCAGCCTCTACTAAAAATACAAAAAAAAAAAAAAGTTATCTCCCAAGGAATGTAATTTGTAATCATGAGACTATGTGTGTTTGGCATAGGAAACTGCAATTATTAAAATATTTATTGTGGAGAGATGTTTGTTCACCTAAAATTTAAACTTTGATTGTCATAGGAAGTTAAATTTGCTCATTAACTTCATAATTAATCTAGTGCTGTTGCTTTGTTGATCTTGTTTTAATGAACCAAATCAGAATTTTCAAAACTCTATATTCCCTTGCAAGTTAGAAACATATCAGCAAAACTTCCTCCTTGCAAGAATTATTAATAAACTGATGATTCTAACTGATTCACCTTAAAACATAAACACAAAAAGGTGGCAGTAATTTTGAAGGAAGATGGCCGAAGTGAAGTTTATTGGGTTTGACTACCATCTAGTGACCAACCTGAATTATTGGTTGAACTGAGGGTTGGATTTGAGATCGCCATCTAGTGCTCAGAGTCCAAGATGGCAAGTTTCCATTCTTGACTGGAAAACCAAGGTTAAGGCAGGAAAATGGAGTGCCTTGGATAGTAAAATTCCTCTAGGAGAGCAGAGGACAGCCTACCCATTCTGGTTTACTCTTTTACTGCAATGAGATTTTTTTTTAAAGTTACCTCTTTTACAAGTCAGTATTGGTCCAATAAGTCCCGAAGCTACATCTCTTGCAGTGTCTATATGGGAATGGTAAATTCTTGTCACACAATTACTGTCATTGGGGCCAGGTCCCTGATGTTCTTCTACATACCACTTGTAGGTATATTGTTTCCCTGGCTCCAGATATTCATCTTCCTTTTGCAGGCCTGTCGTATTATCAGGATAGATAGCACCTAGAAAACATATTCTGCACTGTGGTTACAGTAAATATTGGATAACACTATTTTGAATGTGACTCGGGCTTCCTCCATTATGCTACTTTGTATTTCTCAAAAAGTGTGCATTTCTCCCCACCATTTCCCAGATTCCTACCTCCCTAAATCCCCTTTAGTTGGCTTCTACCTGAATGCTCAGCTTGGCTGCAGTTTTTAGACTAAATTGGAATGAGGCAGGCAGTATATAATAGGCTATCATCACTCTTACTGATGGATTCAACAAATATTTATTTTGCACCTACCATGTGCCTAGATCTCAGATGCAGAGGTAACCTCTGGACTCCCGAGTTGCCCTCCATATTTTCTTCATTGCCAGTCAGACTTGGGACCCAGGGCATCCAAGGGTGTCCCTGTTACTTCCAAGTAGCCCACTGCAGTCCGAAGGTGGCCCATGCCGTTACTCTGAACTATTACCTCAGTTCTGACTTTGGACCGTTGCTCTCCTTTCTTTCTTCTTCTCTGGCTAAAGTGTTGCCTCAGATCCTTACCCCTCGTGGCTGGATCCTGCTAACTATGAATAAAATTCCTTTATTCAATAAAAGACTTTGAAACATGAGCAGCCTCTGATTCTCTATTCTTCTTTTGGGACCCTCCTGTTCCACACTGAACATGAAGAAATTATGACTGACTGTTTTGTACTTTCTTCCTGCCCAGCGGCCCAGCTGGAACTGGCTCCAGTCATGGTCCAGTTTCCTGAGTCTGTTTCAGTCCAGAGGATTAATTCAAGGCCTGTTTTCTAGTTCTTCTTCATGCTTCCCTGACGGAATCATCAAACCTCAGTTCAAGTTTTGAGAGTTGATTAAAAAGTAAAAAAATAAAGCAAACTCTTGTTAACATTTTTCACATTATATGTCTATAATATAGACTATTTTTCTTTTTTTTTATAGACTATATTTAAAGGGCAATAATCATTGCAAGATGGTCATGTAACATGGCAAAATAATGATGACAGATGAAAGGAATGGCATATGGGATTTCCGCTGCCCTGTATTATCATAGAGCCTCTGTTGGAAGGAGCACGTATGCTATAGGTGGTACTCTTATCAAGTTGGCCTAAAATTCCAGTTTTCTAAAGATTTATGCCAGGCCTTTTAAAAACCATATTTCAAACACTGGGAAAAAATATCTGTGTTCTACTAAAGACAATTCCAAACTCTGTTTTCCTAGCTTTCCTTGTTGTCTCCCAAAAACTCACAAAATCCTATTTGTTGGCTTTCTCTTCCCTTCCTTTTTTTTTTTTTCCAAAATCATGATGTATCTGTGACTGTAGCTGTGTAGGAGAGAAGAGTCTGCCTGGAAAGTAGTGATTTCTCTTGATACTGATATCTTCCCAGAGGGTGATCCTCATCTACTAGGAAATGGAAATGAGGTGGGGGCAGAACAGGATTTCTGCCAACCTAACATTTAGCTCATGAGTGTTTCCTACAAAACGAAACAAAAAAACACCTTTTTTTTCTTTTCTGGTGAGTAAGGGAAAAGTGTTTTATTTCCTAGGAATTGCATAAGGGCTGTCACTCAATTAAGATGAGAAACTAAAAAAGGACTGTCTTGGGTATAAACTTTAAATACATCAGAAGTAGAGTCTGCATCCACTCTAAACTCCACGTAGCTCAGAATGCTGACCAGTCCATGATTACCTGGCTTTTTCTAATGCAATGTGCTCATACTCTCCATAAGCAAAACTCAGGAAAGAGGATCTGCTTACCTTCATTTTCTTTGGAGTAGGTGAGCCCATGAGGATGATAACTATAAGCTCTTGAAGCATTATTTTTTACATGTACATAAATGAAGTCTCCAGTCTCTGCTTTAATCATTGGACCTAAAAATCCCAACCAGGATGGTTTTTCAATGATCCTTTGAAATGTATTATCAGTATCAATATTGAAAATACAAAGCCTTTTTAAAAACAAAGCTCTTCCTCGCTTGACCTCCTTGTAGAAATTCTCTATAAACAAACAAAAAAGACAGAACTTTAACAAATGTTGACTGGAAAGAAACAAAGTGTTAAATAAGCTAAATGAAAAGTCAGAAGCTCAACAGCCTAATTTTGGCAGATAAAACCCAGAGGCTGGAGAAAATGTGATGGGAGTCAAAAACAGGTATAATTGGTGAGAAGAGTGTTGAAATACTGAATGAAGAAATCAAATACAAATGTAGTAAGTAAAACATGTGGCATTTTGGTTTAAAAGACATGCCAAATTCTTTAAACTGAACTGTGTCTATGTTTCTAACCCCACTTTAAGGTTACTTTAGCATTCAAGTAGTCGATCAGTTCCCATGATTTAGGACTGTTTACACATTTAAATGGATTTGTGGATTTGTTGGTAGCATTAAGGTGTTTTGCTCTTAAACCGTGGTAAATCAGAACCCCACTCATGTCCTCTATATTTCCCTCTCTCAATTATCTGAAGAGAAAAATCGAGAAAACAGCTACACACATATCAAAAGGAAAGTGTTGTTTTATACCTTATCACGTGAACAAAATTAATGATAAACAGAATTAGCTGTGATCTGCAAAATAACGTGTCAGGAAGACAAGAGTGGCGATCATTCCAGGAAAGAGCAATTTTGGATTTGTATTACTACCTCTTTTCCATACCATGTTGGAACTAAACAAACGAAGTGGTTCTAATGGCATATGTGTCCTGCAAGTGTCAATCATGAGAAAGTTTTCATCAGCATTTCATCAATGATCAACAATTACCAACTTTTGCTTCAGATAATAACTTGTTAAATGCAAAGGATTACTTACAGGTCTTCAGAAAAAGGCTTTTCATTGAGCATATTTTTACCAGAAGGAGCATAGTTCCAAATGCTTTCTTCAATGCCTATGTAGCAGTGCCTATCTATTGCCCAACCTGGAGAACTAATAAAAAACAGAAAGGTCAATGGTAAAAGTGCCTTCATTTTCAAATTCTGAGCCTGGAGAAGTTAACTGAGTAGGGCTTGCCTACCTTTTATAATCCAGGCTTTCTTCTTTCATTTGTGTCTACTGACATACATTATCTGTCTTCATTAACATATATGTCATTTCCATTCCAAGTGGTTTTGGATTTCATTGTCAGGTGAGGTGAAATGTTGCACAACACACTGGATCGTTAGGTTGCCCATCATCCACTGTCCCTTGATAATGATTATCTATTCCTAAAATATAGGAATATTCTTCTGTCTAGTCTCCAGCCTCCACTTTCTTACTATTTAGTCCATTCTACGTACCATTCCCGGAAAATTCTTGAAATGCTACCTTTATCAAGTTTTTCTACTAGATGATAATTTAAAATTTCTTGTCATTTAAGACTTTCATTAAGTTATTCTCAAATTTCTTAGCATTTAAGACTATCCATGTAATCTAGGCCCCAATCTGGTATCTCTGATATTCCAGATTTGTCCCCAAAATTCACTTATAGGATCCCTTCCCTTTGGGGAGTTTTCTTACTAGGAACACAGTGTGAGGTGGGAGAGAATGCAGAAAACCTGGAATCAGACAGCCTGTGTTTGACTCTTAGCACTGTCAGTTATCAGCAATGTGTAATTATGTAACTTCATTTCTTCATTTATAAAATGATAATATTACCTACCAGTTAGGAAGTTGTGTAAATTCAATGACAGCCATCTTACAGAGGAGCTTGCGGACACACAAGGAAGCTGATGCATAGTCAACATTTAACAAGTGTTATTTACAGTACTTCCTGTTCCTTCGTTGTTATAATGTGCTTTCTGAATTTATCTCATCTTATTTGTGCCCATTTCCCAGTCTGATTTTGCCTCCCTCAGCCTCTCTTTTTCTCGGCTAATCCAAATTTTTCCCATTCTTCAAGGCTCAACTGAAACTTCACCTTCTCAGTGAAGACTTCCCTGACCATTTCAGCTTAGAAACATGCCCCTCTCTGAATTTACCAGCTGTGACACAGACTGTCAACAAACCACATCCTGCTTCAGACTGTTGCTTAAATTTCCATGTGGTATTTACTTTACTCCAGTAGGTTATAACTCCTACAGATTAGGATAGGAAGATTAGATAGGAAGCATTTATTCTTTCTGTTTCCTGGAGATACCAAGAAATGTTAGATTTAAATGTCAAATTTATTGAACAAATAGAGTGCCTTGGCTGAGAATACAATAAGTAAGGAAAGGAGAAGGAATGTTTATAAGCCATTGATCTGATCTGGGTATCATCATGTATTGTAATATCTATTACTATTAGGTATTGTTTGAGATTTTAGAATTGGAAAGCCACAGTGTGTTTCAAAAGTTAGACTCTAATTTAGGTTTAGAAACCCATGGTTAGAAATATTAAGACAACACAATCATATGATATATGAGTAAGACCTAGTATTTGATAACACAACAGGGTGACTATAGTCAATAATAACAAATATACATAAAATAACAAAGAATGTAATTGGATTGTTTGAAACTCAATGGATAAATGCTTGGAGGGGATGGATATCCCATTCTTCATGATATGCTTATTTCACATTGCGTGCCTGTATCAAAACATCTCATGTACCCCATAAATATAGACACCTACTATATACCCACCAAAATTTTTAAAAAATTAAAAGAACATGGTGTGTATAATTTTGTAGCTTGCTTTTATTCCTCAACTATATATCTTAGATGTCTTTTATGTCAGTACCTAGAAGTCTAGTTCTTTCATTTTAACCTCAGCATAGCTTTTCCTACCTATTTTGGATATTCTATTAATATACAAACATACTATAATTTCTTTTTTCTTTTTTTTCCTTTCTTATTTTTTTTGAGACAGAGTTTCACTCTGTCGCTCAGGCTGGAGTGCAGTGGCCCAATCTCAGCTCACTGCAACCTCTGCCTCCTGGGTTCAAGTGATTCTTGGGCCTCAGACTCTGAGTAGCTGGGATTACAGGTGTGTGCAACCACACCAGGCTAATTTTTGTGTTTTTAGTAGAGATGGGGTTTCACCATGTTGGCTAGGCTGGTCTCAAACTCCTGGCCTCAAGTGATCTGCCTACCTAGGCCTTCCAAAGTGGCAGGATTACTGGCATCAGCCACGACACCCAGCCTATTTTTCAAAACACACAAAATCAAAGTGTATTTTTCCCATGTGTACATATAGATATCAATACCTATTTAAGAAAATGCCACATACTCCAAATGTCAATACTCCAAAAAGTGTTGGAGTTTTGGATGAAGAGATCAAATATAAATGTAGCAAGTAATATATGTGGCATTTTGGTTTAAAAGACATACCAAATTCTTTGGGCTGAACCATCTATATGTTTCTAGCCTCACTTTAAGGTTACTTTAGCTCTTAAGGAGTAGATCACGTTCCATGACTTAGGATTGTTTACACAATCCTTGCCTGAGCCACCGAGTGCTTTGGCAGATTTAAAGTCACCAGCAGATCTTGGAAGGAATTCAGAAAAGCTGGGTCTCCTGGAGGGACCTTGGCAATGGGAGAAACCACCCACAGGAGAACCAAGAGAAGAGATTCACATCCCACACCTTTTGGGAAACAATTGAAAGGGCTGGCAAGAAGACCCCAGTCAAACACAATGTGTCACAAGAGAAAAGGATTATACATGGGCTCTCTGCCTCAAGGAAGAAACTCAACTGGATTCAAATAGTTGGAAGCTATAGGCCCATAAATTTAGCTCTGTATATGGAAGAACTTTAAAGCCTATCCTGTCACTGTGGCCTGGACCAGCAGCTGTAAAAGGACCCACCCACCAGGTGGGAATGGGATTCTTTAAATGAGCTTTCAAAGGTCCCTTCTTCCCAACATTCTATGACTTCTACCTCATTCTCATAGGAACATTAATTTTACCCTGGAATATGGATAGCAAAGGAGCGATTCAGCTGGCATTTTTTTTTCTACACAAGGTACCCCAAAAAGTGCAAAAAAATCTCCTATATTCAATTCAAGCAGATCTACCTCCAGTTCAACTCCACCATTTACTACCTGTGTCATGTGGGACGAGCTGCATAATCATTCTGACCCAGAGTCCTGTTATTTGTAATATAAGGGTAATAATAATTAAAGTTCATGGCTCCTGCGAGGACCTGGCCTCTACTTTGACACAGAGCAGGCACATGGAAAAAGTTAGCTCTCAGCCCACTGAGAGCTACAACGAAAATGGTAGAGCATGGTATTGGTAAATATTTGTTGTTTTGGTTCTTCTCAACAGGTGACTAGGAAAATTGGCTTCTATTTTTTTTTTCTTGTTGAAGGGTGAAGGGTCAAGCACTTTTTCCTAGGTCATGTTACATACTATTGTTTGTCAGGATGAAAATAATTGTTCCAGTCCTTTCTGTTCCTCCCTGAATAGCCCTCAGTAGATCAGCCTTTTGGTACAGCAGTGTTTAAAGTTGGTCACTATCATTTGATTATATTCTTGGTTACAGCTCAAGAACATAACTCACTTTATTTAAGTTTACTTAGCCAAACTTTGTTGAATTTAGCCTGAAGGTGTGAGGCTAAATACCTTGGAGGAAATTTAGATTCCTTCCTGGTTTTTCCATTCCAGAACTGTAAATAAGTTTAAGAAATAAATACAGCAAATAAAAATGTGCATAAGGGACTAGTGATAATAACATCTGTTTGTAAAAAACTCTGCTATATAGAAAATATTTTATAAATGAAAATTATTACCCTATGTAATTTTCCCAACAGTCTCTCCCTTACCCCTGCCCCTTCCTTACATCTGATTTGTAGATAAGAGACCAAAAACTCAAAAGGTCAAGTAACTTGCTGTAGAATGCACATTTCCAAATTGTAGTGCCAGTAGTCAGCTATAGATTACTGGATTCCAAATAAAATTTTCTGTTCTTTTCATACTACCTGTAATAGCAGTGGCTTTAATAGTTTAAGTGTGTAGACTTCTATATTACCTACAAATGCTCAGTTTTTCTCAGAGTATATGGCTCTAATTATATCTTCCAACAAAGCTGATAAATTAGATATAAATGATGTTGGGGCAAGATGGGGAGTTTAAAGACACCATGGAGGATGTCAGTCACTGTTAGATCCATTTCTATTCTTTGTATTACTTCTACCAATAACCACCATTTGTTGAAAGTCAGCTCTTCCTTAGCCCTTTTGTAAATATTAGCTCTAATTGTGCCACCAACTCTGAAAGGGAAGCTTATTAAGTTCTCTTTTATAGATAAGGAAACTGGAACTTGGAGATTTTAAACAACTAACCAAAACAACTAAATGTTATTGCCAGAATTTAAATCCAGGACTTAAAGCCTGGTGGATGCCCTACCATTAAACTCCTTGCCTTATAATCAAGGTTATTCTATGGGAAACTATATACTAGATTAGAAAAATTTGAATAAGTAGAGCAGCTAGCAGCTGGGGCAGAGAGAGTTCCACTTGGGCTGGAGCTCTGAGTCCTTCGCAGTTTAAGGCTATGCAAATTACAAGCTTTCGCAGTATGGGGTAGACTACATAAGACACTGGAGGCCTACAAAGCAAGGCACAGAAGGGAATAGTGGGAAGACACTGAACAGTAAGAAAGAGAAAAGCAGCCCCCCAACATCCAGGAGCTGTCCTGGTACTAGTGGCTAAGCTTTGCCCAACTAGGAGCTGGCCTGGCACTCACAGCTAGGCCCTGGTGTCCTCCTCCTTGGCATAAACAATCTCCCAGAACACCAACATCAGACAGCACCACTCTGTGACCCTAATGGAGCCAGAAGAAAAACAATACCACTCCAGAAAATGTCTGAATATTGTTGATGAAAAGAGTCAAACTCCGTAAAATATTTGAAGACATTTATTCTGAACCAAATATGAGTAACCATGGCCTGTGACACAACCCTTAGGAGGACCTGAGAACATGTGCCCAAGGTGGTTGGGGTGCAGCTTGGTTTTATACCATTTTACGGAGGCATGAGACATCAATCAAATACATTTAAGAAATACATTGGTTTGGTCAGAAAGGCGGGACAATGCCGAGTGGGGGCTTCCAGGCTATAAGTAAATTTAAACATTTTCTGGTTGACAATTGGTTGAATTTGTATAAAGACCTTGGATCAACAGAAAGGCAGGTCTGGGTTAAGATAAAGAATTGTGGAGACCCAAGTTATTTACAGAGGAAGCTTTTAGGTAGTAGGCTTCAGAAACAATAGGTTGTAAAAATGTTTCTTATCAGACTTAAAGTCTGTGTTGGTGTTAATGTTGAGAGGTGTAATGAGGCATGTCCAACCCCCGCTGCCCTTCAAGGCCTGAAACAGTCTCCAGGTAAAATTTTAAAAGAGCCTTGGCTGAGGAGGAAGTCCTTTCAGATGGTTGGGGGACCTTAGAATTTTATTTTTGGTTTACAGTATACATGAGAAACATGAACATTCTCCAAATCTCAAAAATAACCACACATTCCCTGACTATATTTTATGGCTCTAGCTTTGTTTTACTCTTTACCAATTATAGCTTTAGCTTTATTTCATTCTTCTTTTCTTATAGATTACATTTATTAAGATACCCAATCATAAATTTCCCCCACTTTCTCACTGCCTTTGATCCAGAGCAAAGCCCTGCTTCCTTAAACATCCCCCACAAATCACCTAACACAAACCCCAATCATACAATAAGTTCTTTTTAACACTGCTTTTTTTTTCTGAGATACCCCAAGGTTCTGTATCATGTATGTTCTCTCTCAATGCGTTAAGCAACAAACACAACTTGTTCATCTACAGATGTGTTCCTGTGGTTTAGTTGGAGTGCACTGATACTAAAGTCCATGATGTAGGTCAGGGAATCTGTTTCATGGCTTAAAATAGTGCCAACATGACAAAAACTCAGAAATGTGTGTCTCTGGCTTGAACCTCTCTGCCTAACAGTATATACAATAATCTATGCCACATTTCCACTTAGATGGTTAATATAGCAACTTCTTAAATGTTTATGCACAGAAAAATCATCTGGAGATTTTTTTAAAAGGAAAAATCTGTATTCTATAAGTCTGGGTGGGTCTGAAATTCTGCATTTCCTCACTGGCTCGCAGATGATGCCAGTGCTGCAGGTCCATGAACCACACTTTGAGAAGCAAGAGTCTAATGAACTCGTCAAATTCAACATGCCCAAATACCAACCCCTAAGACTTCCAGTTTCAGCTCCAGCATGTAAAGAGCATGGAAGTCATAATCCTTACAACAAGAGAAACTGGACAAAGAAAATCAACAGCTTTTCTTAAACCCATCAGATAATGGAGTTTGTAGGGCAAATCCCCATATCTGAAGAGACAGACAATCTAGAGTCACAGAAGAAATATGCTTACCTAGAGCAGAAGCCACTGGCACAATAAACTGGTAATTTTAACAATTGCTGGAGGCTGAGTTTGGACTGGATAAAAGTCAGCTTAATTAAAAGGCTAACATCCAAGATGTGTGTGTGTGTGTGTATGTGTGCATGTGTGCATGTTTGAAAGGCCTTCATGTTTTTGGTTTTGTTTGTTGGTTTGTTTTTCTCTCCTAAGACCTTGTCTTTTGGAGCAAAAGTTTATTTTTTTTCTTTTTTTTTCTCAGTTAACTGAATTCTGTTTTCACCTGATTTTTTTTTTTTTTTTTTTACTAAACTAGTTATTGCAACAGAATCTACTCTAGGGATTTTAAGGAAGAGTGTAGTTTAATTTTATGTTTAATTTGGCTCAAAGAAAAATAAAAGTGTCTCCTTCTAGCACTGCCAGATTTTTTTCTCTTTCTATTTTATAACGTAAATTTTGCTATTTGATTTTCACCTGAGTTGTTTCCTTTAATGTGAAAATTTTAGACTATTTAGCTGACAACTGCCTAGGGCTATGAAACAGGTTATCGAGAAACCGAAAGTCTAAGATAGGAAAAAAAAGGAGGGAGTCTTTGTAAATCTATAAAATGTACTGTAAACAACCAATGGGTTCACTTTGCCAAGACAGACTGATTTATCAAGATAGGAGAATTGCAATGGAGAAAGAGTAATTCACCCAGAGCCATTGTGCGGGAGACTGGAGTTTTATTATTACTCAAATCGATCTCCCTGAGCCTTTGGGGATCAGAGTTTTTAAATATAATTTGGCAGGTAGGGGCTTGGAAAGTAGGGAGTGTTGATTGGTCAAGTTGGAGATGGTGAGAGGTGACAGCGTGCTGGCAGTCCTCGCAGCCCTCACTCGCTCTTGGCGCCTCCTCTGCCTGGGTTCCCACTTTGGCAGCACTTGAGGAGCCATTCAGCCCGCCGCTGCACTGTGGTAGCCCCTTTCTGGGCTGGCCAAGGCCAGAGCCGGCTCCCTCAGCTTGCAGGGAGGTGTGGAGGGAGAGGCGCGGGTGGGAACCCTGGCTGTGCGTGGTGCTTGTGGGCCAGCACGAGTTTCCGGTGGGTGTGGGCTCGGTGGGCCCCACACTGGGAGCAGCCGGCAGGCCCCACCGGTCCCGGGCAGTGAGGGGTCTTAACACCTGGGCCAGCAGCTGCTGCGCTCAATTTCTCACCGGGCCTTAGCTGCCTTCCCTCGGGGCAGGGCTCTGGACCTGCAGCCCGCCATGCCTGAGCTCCCCCCACCCCCCTGCGCCCCGTGGGCTCCTGTGCGGCCCGAGCCTCCCGACGAGCGCCACCCCCTGCTCCACAGCACCCAGTCCCATCGACCACCCAAGGGCTGAGGAGTGTGGGCGCAGGGCACAGGACTGGCAGGCAGCTCCACCTGCGGCCCTGGTGCGGGATCCACCGGGTGAAGCCAGCTGGGCTCCTGAGTCTGGTGGGGACTTGGAGAACCTTTATGTCTAGCTAGGGGATTGTAAATACACCAATCAGCACTCTGTATCTAGCTCAAGGTTTGTAAACACACCAATCAGCACCCTGTGTCTAACTCAGGGTTTGTGAATGCACCAATCGACACTCTGTATCTAGCTACTCTGGTGGGGACTTGGAGAACCTTTATGTCTAGCTCAGGGATTGTAAACTCACCAATCAGCGCCCTGTCAAAACAGACCACTCGGCTCTCTGTAAAATGGACCAATCAGCAGGATGTGGGTGGGGCCAGATAAGAAAATAAAAGCAGGCTGCCTGAGCCAGCAGTGGCAACCTGCTTGGGTCCCTTTCCACACCGCGGAAGCTTTGTTCTTTTGCTCTTTGCAATAAATCTTGCTGCTGCTCACTCTTTGGGTCCACACTGCCTTTATGAGCTGTAACACCGCGAAGGTCCACAGCTTCACTCCTGAGCCAGCGAGACCACGAACCCCACCAGAAGGAAGAATCTGTGAACACATCCGAACATCAGAAGGAACAAACTCTAGACATGCCGCCTTTAAGAACTGCAACACTCACTGCGAGTGTCCGCGGCTTCATTCTTGAAGTCAGTGAGACGAAGAACCCACCAATTCCAGACACATTTTGGCGACCTAGATGGGACAATCGCCTATCACCGAGTGGTGAGACCATCGCCTATAGCTGAGCGGCGAGACAATCACCTATCGCCAAGCAGTGAGTACCATCGGACCCCTTTCGCTTGCTATTCTGTCCTGTCTTTGCTTAGAGTTCGGGGGCTAAATACTGGGCACCTGTCGGCCAGTTAAAAGTGACTAGCGCGGCTGCCGGACTAAAGACAAGGGTGTCAGGCTTTCTGGGAAAGGGCTTTCTAACAACTCCCGACTCTTCGGTGTTGAGACCATTGGTTTGCCTAGAACCAGCTTTTGCTTTTCCTGTACTTCTGGGCTGAGCCGAGGGTCAACAGAGAGGAAAGCCATGCACCTCCGGGGTCCCGACAACAAGTTGGTTGACCCTGCGACCATGAGCGGAACTCTCAAAGGCATGTCGCCCAAGCGAGACTCGCCCATCTATCCTATCTATCCTGAGCCTTGCCCCCTGGTTCCTAATGCCTGCCAGACAAACTTCCTCTCTCCTCTCTTCTCTGAGTTTAGTCCCGCTTCTAAAAATTGCTACCTGTCTCTGGTGCTTTTCTAGTTTCTCCTATAAGAATGATTTCTAGTATAGACTCCGGACACACTGCCTTTAAGAACTGTAACACTCACCACGAGGGTCCGCGGCTTCATTCTTGAAGTCAGTGAGACCAAGAACCCACCAATTCCGGACACAATGAAATCATAGTGGGTCAAAGTTAGGTTTTCTTAATGTCTTCTGTTACTGTGTGCGATGGCACAACTGGTTGGGCCAGATTACCGATCTGAGTGGTGTCCACTGATCCATCAAGTGCACTGATCTTAGGTTTTACAATAGTGATGTTATCCCCAGGAGCAATTTGGTGAGGTTTAGACTCTTGGAGAGGGAGGCTGCATTATCCCTAAACTGTTATTTCCAATCTCGTAGCTAATTGGTTAGTCCTAGAAAGGCAGACTGGACCCCAGGTAAGAAGTGGGGTCTTTTTGGGAAAGGGCTGTTACCAATTTTGTTTCAGAGTCAAACCTTGAGCTGAATTCCTTCCCAAAGTTAGCTCGGCCTACGCCCAGGAATGAACAAGGACAGCTTAGAGGTTATGAGCAAGATGGAGCCAGTTAGGGCAAATCTTTTTTCAGTGTCTTAGTTATAATTTTGCAATGGTGGTTTCACAACTTTAAATCATGACTATCATAGTTTTCATAAATAATCTAGGTAAACAATTAAAATAAAATAATTAGGTAAATGTAATGGGATAAATACTTGTAGACAAACTGGTCATAATTTAGAATATAAAGTTAAATTAAATAATAGATATTTTACTATTTGGGCATTTTCCAATAAATATATATTGTAGGAAAACATTCTTGCTAAAAAAAAGTGTGTCTTTAAAAAAAAGGTGAACAAGTTTCGTCTAATTCAAAGCTTAAAGGTTATGTGTAAAACAAGGTAAAAGGAACCAGGAAACAAAAAAAGATGCATAGAAAGTTATAAAAATAAAAGAGTTTTTTTAGGTAAAGAAGCTGAAAGAAAAGTAATTTTAGGTAAGAAAGAATCCTGCATGGTAAATATAGTCCTAAAATAAAATAACTGGTTGTTTAAAAAGAATGTTGAGAACAAATTAGAAAGTCTGACCATGTCATGAGCGGTCAGTATAAGTCACAATAAGAGGAGATATATATATATATATACACACACACATATATACATATCTTTTATATCATCAGGTTGTCATATTATTATTGTTTTGGTTTGCTTAGAAATATATATATATATATAAACCTTGGGCACCTGTCAGGACTTCCTGAGGCTGTGTCATGGGCGTGTCCTCAACGTTGGCAAAATAAACTTTCTGAATTAACTGAGACATGTCTTAAATTTTGGGAGTTCACAAGGGAAACAAGGGTAAGAATTAAACTTCACTAATATTTCTCACCCTCCAAAGCCACTTCAACCACTGCCTTTCTCATTTCGGTTAATAGCAACTCCAATCTTCCAGCAGTTTAGGCTGCAAAACCTTAGCTCCTCTCTGTCTTACACTTCACATCCAATCTGTCACCTATTCAAAGTATCCCCCAAATCGAGCAATTTCTCACCATCTCTTACTAATACACCTCAGGTCCAAACCACCAGTATACCTCCCTAGAGTACTCCAATAGTCTCCTAAGTAGCTTTCTTGCTTCTATCTCCCTTCAGTTTATTCTTAACAAAGCAGCCTGAGTGGCCCTTTAAAAATATAAATCCAATCAGGTAATTCCTCTGCTCATTGCCTTACAATGGGCCATATTTTGATATGGACAGGAGACAGGGAAATACTGGATAGAAGAGGGCAGTTCCCTGGCAAAGGCCCCACCCTCAAGCTTGGAGACCCATGGCCTTAAATGGGAACAGCCATTTCTGTTTTCGCACCCCAAAAGTTGCCTTTTATCCTGCCATGCTCCCCTATCCTGTACCCATATAAACCCCAAACCTCGGGCTCCAGAAGCAGATGAGCAGATGAGGAGACGCCTCTATTCCGTGTCGTTTAGAATGAGCAAACAGTTGTCTTCACCATCCCAGACAAGCAGATGAATGGTGAAACGATACAGCAGAGAAAGAGAGAAGAGGAACATTTGAACGCCGAGAGGAGTTCAGCCGAGGGTGGTCGGAGAGGTTTGGCCACCCAGCAGGAAGATTATCTTCCCGTGCCATCCCCGCTTCCAGCTCTGCATCCATCCTTCAGAGAACCACCTCCACCACTCAATAAAACCCTGCATTCAACCTTCAAGCCCATGTGTGGCCTGATTCTTCCAGGATGCTGGGCAAGAGCTTGGGATACAAAAAGTGGTCACATTGGCCCTCTGCCCTTGTGAAAAGGCAGAGTGTCCATTGAGCTGATTAAATTCAAGCCATCCATGGACAGCAGGGCTAAAAGGGCACACTGTAACACACCCCCACTTAGGCTCCTGCACCTGTCCATCTGCATGCTCCCCTCCCCTCAGGGGTTTGAGCGTGTAGCAACAGAACAGGCGAGCCACACCCTGTAAAGCCCTGGGGCAACTGAAGGTGTTTTTTTGCTGCAAGGCCCCAGGACTGAAGTCTGTTGGCTAAAACCCCCAGATTTTGCTTGATGTCTTCTCTTCTCTCACAGTTTGAAATGGCTCTCATCTCTTCCTTTATGATGTTACGGGTTTTGGTTCAGGCTGTGCAATATTAAATAGAATGAGCATTTGGCTCAGCCATCAAAAGTGCAATTCAGGCCGGGTGTGGTGGCTCACACCTGTAATCCCAGCACTTTGGGAGGCCGAGGCAGGCAGATCACGAGGTCAAGACATCGAGACCAGCCTGGCCACCATGGTGAAACCCTGTCTCTTCTAAAAGTACAAAAATTAGGTGGGTGTGGTGGCACGTACCTGTAGTCCCAGCTACTCAGGAGGCTGAGGCAGGAGAATCGCTTGAACCTGGGAGGTGGAGGTTGCAGTGAACCGAGATTTCACCACTGCACTCCAGCCTGGTGACACAGTGAAACTCCATCTCAAAAAAAAAAGAAAAAGGAAAAAAGAAAAAAAAAGTGCAATTCAGAACAATGTGATTTCTGTTTATTCTTAGAAGTATCATCACCACCCCCACCCCAACAGTCTCAGGTGCACATGGCACCTCCTTTTCTTACCCCCCAACTCCTAGCTCGGGCACCTGGGCATATCCACAGCATGCAAAAGCCACACCCAATGGCCACAAGGGGCAGGAGAAAACTGCAGCTGCCACCAGGACCCTGCGCAGCCGGCTGGCTGGTGCTTCCCGCCTGCAGCATCAGTGGAACTTTTCTTCTCCTGGCCAAGGAGTTCAGCTCAGTTCAAACTGGGGGAAGGACCCATTAGCAGTGAGCAAGGGCTTCTTCCCTCAGGACCTCCCCGTTTTGACCCTTTAACTGTTTTCTCTTTTCTCCTTTTCTAGATTAGAGGGTTCCTATCCCCCTGATAACTGCAAATTCATCAGGGCTCATTTGAGGTTTAATCTAAACAGATACATGCAACCCTCTAAAATACTTTTTAGTCTCAAACTTGACTCCAAGCTTGAGGCTGAGGCCATAGAAAGAAAAACCAAATCTGAGGGGTCCAAAGCCAGGCAACAGGCACAATGTAAATGGGCAGGACCAATTCCTGCTGACTAAACCCCCCACCTCATGGAAGGAGGCCATGCTCCATGGAATAAATGAAGCCCAGGGAACCCAAGGGTTGCTGGCAGTAGGAAAAATGGAGGCAAAGTTAAGGGCAAATAATTCCTATTCTCTAGGCCTTCCCTGCTTCATGGGTGCATGCCGGATCAGTAACCATGGGTGGCGACTGCCAAGGTTGCCGAGACTCAGGGACAAAAAGATGGAAGAAAAAGAAAGGACACTTGCTTCCTCTCTCCATCACACCCCAAGTTTTCGCTGCAGTAAGGAAGGGAAATGAGGGACACCTCTATTCCCTGTCTTTCATAATGGGCAACCAGTTCTCTTCACCACTGCCAGCCTATACTCCTCTGGGGTGTATCCTGAACCACTGGGACTGCTTTGACCCTCAGAATTCGGAGGAAAAATGCCTCATAGCCCTGTGCACAAAGGTTTGTCCAAATTATGAAGGACTATGATGGCCTCAGGAATGAACCATTCATTTTGATACCATCTGGCAGTTGGACCATTTCCGTAGACATGAGTACTGATGGTCTGAGACCTCATATATGCAGGCTTTCTACACCTTGCAAGGCAATCCAGACTTTTGCTGACAGTGTAAGATTGGTCCAGGCCTGCTGTTTGCCATCTCAGGAAAGGCTGCAAGGGGCAAGCCGAGAGAACTAAAGATACAAATCCTAGAGCAGGGGAGCCAGCTCCCTCCAGCCCTGCTCCTCTGGGTCCACCCAACCTCCCTATCCAGCTTCAGCTTCTCACTTGCTCCCTCCTAGAAATCCTCACCCTAGACAAGCCCCAGTCTCAATCTTGCCCCTCCAACAGATGCCTGTTGAATCTGACCTCAGTAAGGTTCAGGTCCCCTTCTCTCTACTGGACTTAAAGCAAATTAAGGGGGGATCTTGGCAAGTTTTCAGATAACCCTGGCAGATATATAGAGGCTTTCCAGAATTTCACCCAAGTATTTGAATTCTCCTGGAGAGACGTTACTTTACTTTTGAATCAGGCCCTAATGGACACTGAGAAGCAGGCCACTCTGCAAGCAGCAGAGAGATCTGGGGATGAGCTTTGTATCATATATAGTGTCAGAAAGGGGATGAACATTATCCAACTGGAAGAGAAGCAGTACCAATGGATGACACTGGATGGGATCCCAATGATGAAATGGGAGACTAGAAGAAGAGGCACTTTCAGGTGTGTATAATGGAGGGCTTGTAAGACTAGGAGCAAGCCTCTCAATTATACTAAGTAATCCATGATTGACCAGAGATTTGATGAAAATCCCACTGCCTTCCTGGAAAGGCTAAGAGAGGCCTTGGTAAAGCACACCTCTCTATCTCCTGATTCTGTTGAGGGACAACTAATCCTAAGGGATAAATTTATTATCCAGGCAGCTCCTGATATCAGGAAGAAGTTGCAGAAATGGGCCCTGGGACCAGATAGTACTTTGGAGACCCTTGGTAGATAGTACTTTAGTAGCCACCCTGGTCTCTTATGATAGAGATATGGAGGCCCAGGAGAGACAGAGGAATTACTGGAAAGATACAGAGGCTTCAATAGCCACCATGCAAGCCCACAAACCCCAGAATTCCCAGGGTGCACCTGTTAACTGCTACAGATGTGGCAAGCCAGGGCATTTCAAGAAGGATTACCCAGGCAGCACGAGGAAGCCACCTCAACCCTGTCCAATCTGCAATGGGGACCATTGGAGGGTGGACTGTCCCTGGGGATGCTGGTCACCAGGTTCAGAACCAATCTACATGATCCAGCAGCAGGACTGATGGGTCCTGGGTCTCCTTTCCCTGGCTCCAGTGGTCCAGACCATCATTACCATCCAGGAGCCCCAGGTAATTCTGGAAATTGAAGGGAGGAAATTTTTGGACACCAGGGCTGGTCTCTTGAGTTCTCCCCTCCAGTCCTGGGCCCTTCTGCTCTCTTAGCACAATCATGAAGTGTGTCTCAGGGAGGACTTTAACCCGATATTATCCCCAACCCCTTAGTTGTAGCTGGGGAGACATTTTGTTCACCCATGCTTTTCTAATTATGCCTGAAAGCCAAACTCCTCTGTTGGGCAGGGATATTCTGGCCTGTATAGGGACCACCATCCTGATGGCCCCTGGGCAAACTCGTTGTCTCCCCCTAGTGGAGACTGATATTAACTCAGAAGTTTGGGCAACTTGAAGGAAGATTGGCTGAGCCACACCTGACATATTGGTCTGGGTTCATCTTAAAGATCCCACCTCCTTTCCTAACCAGAAACAATATTCCCTGAAACCAGAAGTTAGGAAAGGACTAGAAGCCATCATTGATGACTTGAAGATGTAGAGCCTCCTCAAACCCTGCAACAGCTCTTGTAATACCCCAATATTGGGGGTACAAAAACCCAACAAGGATGAAGACTAGTTCAGGACCTCCACCTTGTTAATGAGGCTGTGGTTCCAATACATCCAGTGGTTACCAATCCATATACCCCACTAATTCAAATACCTGAGGGGACTAAATGGTTCACAGTTCTGGAACTAAAGGATACCTTCTTCTGCACACCTTTACACACTGACTCCTAGTGTTTGTTTGCATTTAAGGATCCCTCTAACCAAACCACCCAGAACACTGTTACCTCAGGGGTTCCGAGACAGCCCCACCTTGTTTGGCCAGGCATTATTGAGAGACCTCTCTGAATTCCTTTATCCTCAGGTTAAAGTTTTACAATACATGGATGACCTTCTCTGCGCTCCAACTGAGGAAATCTCTTAGGAGGGCAGTAAGGCCCTTCTTAACTTTCTGACTAACAGAGGATATAAGGTTTCAAAATCTAATGCTCAGGTATCTCAGACTTCAGTGAAATACCTAGGTCTGGCTTTGTCAGAGAGGGCCAGGGCATTGGACAAAGAGAGGATTAAGCCCATCTCCTCCTTTCCCTTCCCTAAAACCCTCAAGAAACTGAGGGAATTCTTACACATTACAGGATTCTGCAGACCATGGATACCTGGGTACAGTGAAATAGCTTGTCCCTATTTCACCTAATAAAGGAGACTCAGACAGCTAAATCTCACTGTCTAATTTGGGAACCAGAGGCTAAAAAGGCCTTTGACCAACTAAAACAAGCCTTGCTTAAGGCACCAGCCCTAAGTCTCCCCATAGGGAAAACATTTAAGCTTTATGTATCAGAGAAAAGTAATGGCACTGGGAGTTCTAACACAGACCTGGAGTTCAGCCCAGCAGCATGTAGGCTACCTGAGTAAGGAGCTTGATTTGGTAGCCACATGATGGCTAGCCTGACTCTGGGCATTCACAGCAATAGCCTTGCTGGTACCAGAGGCTAATAAGTTAACCACGGGGAATAACTTAACCGTTTATATCCCACATAATGTGGCAGGACTACTGTCTTCTAAGGGGAGTCTCTGGCTAACAGAAAACCACCTCCTCAGATACCAAGCTCTGTTATTAGAAAGTTCTGCAGTCCTTCTAATTAAGAACCTGTCCCTAAATCCAGCCACCTTCCTCCAAGAGGAATCCAGGGAACTTGAACATGACTGCTAGCAAATAGTAGTACAAACCTATGCAGCCAGAGAGAACCTCAAGGAAACCCCCTTAGATAACCCAGACTGGATTCCGTTTATGGACGGAAGTTTTTTTTGTAGAAAAAGGAACTCACAGAGCAGGGTATGCAATAGTTACTCTGAATGATGTTGTTGAGAGTGCACCTCTCTCCTTGGGCACAAATGGTCAGCTAGTTGAACTAATCACCCTCACGAGGGTGCTCGAATTAAGCAAAGGAAAAACGTTAACTTTTATATTGATTCTAAGTATGCTTTCCTGGTCCTCGATGCCCATACCACTATCTGGAAAGAGGAACTTCCTCATAGCTAATGGGTCTCCTATTAAATATAATCAGAAAATTAATAGACTATTATCCTCAGTTTTCCTCCCACAGGAAGTGGCAATAATACATTGTAAAGACTGCCAAAGAGGGACAGATGAAATAGTTGAGGGAAATAGGCTGGCAGACCAAGCAGTTTAATCAGCAGCAAGTGGGCCCCAGGTCTCTGACCCATTTGAAGTCCCACTGATCTGGGAGTGCCCCGTGATAGAAATAAAACCTCAATATTCTCTTGTGGAAATAGAATGGGCCACCTCTTAGGGATACATCCTGCAGTCCTCAGGATGGCTATAATCAGAGGATAGTAAGCTTCATCCACCAGCTGCCAACCCATGGAAAGTTCTTAAAAGCCTTCACCAGGCCTTCCACCTAGGTAAGGATAAAACCTATCAACTGGCCCAGAGATTATTCTCAGGTAAAAACCTGATACAAATGGTTCAACAGGTCATTAATACTTGCAAGACCTGCCTTGAAAACAATCCCCTTAATTGACAGCTTATTCTCCCAGGAACCCAAAGGATAGGAGGCTACCCAGGGGAAAACTGGCAAATGGATTCACCCATATGCCAAAGGAAAGGTACATGCAGTACCTCCTATTATGAATAGATACTTTCACTAACTGGGTAGAAACATTTCCATGTCAGACAAAGAAAGCCTCTGAGGTAATAAAATTACTGATCAGTGAGATAATTCCTTGTTTTGGACTTCCTAAATACCTCCAGAGCAATGATAGCCCCTCATTCAAGGCAGCTGTCACTCAGGGGGGTCTCAAAAGCACTAGGTATACAGTACCATCTTCATTGTGCCTGGAGACCACAATCCTCAGGAAAGATAGAAAAGACAAATGATATTATCAAAAGGTACCTCGGGAAACTGTCTCAGGAGACTCATCTCCCCTGGCCTACCCTTTTCCCCATAGCCCCTGTTAAGTATTAGAAATACTCCTTCAAAGCTAAGTTTCAGTCCCTTTGAAATGATGTATGGTTGGTCTTTTCTCACCAATGATTTCTTGTTAGACCAAGTAACCTCTGATTTAATTAGGCACATAATATATTTGGTCCATTTCCAATAGGAACTGAAACAACTGTCGGAGGCCCAGTTCTGTGTACCAGGGCCACCTCTATGCAACCCAGGGGACCTAGTGCTAGTAAAGGTACTTCCGTCCCTTTCTCCTTCTATAGGCCCAGGTTAGGAGGGACTCTACATTGTACTTCTTTCTACTCCTACGGCAGTGAAGGTCACTGGAATAGACTCTTGGATTCATTGCACCCGAGTAAAGGCCTGGGAAGCCAGTGGAGTCACCTCTGTTGACCCAGGAGGGCACTCAAAGTACCAATGTGAAGAGATCGGGGGCCTCAAGCTAAAAATCACAAAAGATAAATGGCAATAACTAACCTTCCATGGATATCCTCCTTACAGTCTTGTCTATGCCTGCTGTTCTTACCCTTGTTCTGTTCCATACTATGGGGCACAATAGTGTTTTCAGAATAAATAGTATATCTTACTTCTTATTTCTGTAATCTTTGGCACTAGATTCTTTCCTTGTATAATACACATGTTTAATCCATGCACACTTAACCTTATAAAACTTGTTTTTTTCTCTCTCTCATCTAGAGGTCATCAAACTCCAAATGGTCAGGCAACTGGAGCATCAGACAATGGCTCCCTTTTGCTGGGGACCCTTAGACCTCTGGGAGAAATCTGACTGCCTTTTTCCCCAAACAACACCCCCTGTCAGCAGGAAGTAGCTAAGATTGGTCATGGTCCATATTCTAATGGCAGTTAGATGTGCCTCTTCAGAGTGGGGATGATATGGACAGGAGACAGGAAGAGGGCAGTTCCCTGGCAAAGGCCTCACCCTCAAGCCTGGAGACCTGTGGCCCTAAGTGGGAACAGGCATTTCTGTTTTTGTGCCCAAAAAGTTGCCTTTTGGCCCGCCATGGCTCCCTATTCTGTACCCATATAAACCCTGAACCCCAGGCTCCAGAAGCAGATGAGTAGACAAGGAGACGAGACAAGCAGATGAATGGCAGAATGATGCAGCAGAAAAAGAGAGAAGAGGAACGTTTGAATGCCAGGAGGAGTTCGGCTGGGGGCAGTCAGAGAGGAGTTCAGCTGCTGGGCGGCCAAACTTCAGGGGAAGATAATTTCCCACTCCATCCCCTTTCCAGCTCCCCAGCCATCCTGGTGAGAGCCACCTCCACCACTGAATAAAACCCCACATTCATCCTTCAAGCCCATATGTGACCTGATAGTTCCAGGACGCTGGGCAAGAACTTGGGAAACAGAAAGCTGTCATGCTGGCCCTCTGCCCTTGCAAAAAGGCAAAGGGTCCATTGAGCCAGCTAACACTGAAACCATCTGCAGATGGCAGTGCTAAAAGGGCACACTGTAACACATGCCCACTTGGCCTCCTGCACTTGTCTGTCTGTGTGCTCTGCCTCCCCTCAAGGGTTTGAGCAGCAGTGGCGACTGAACAGGTGAGCCACACTCCTGTCACACATCTGCGAGGGGGATCAGGAAACTCTATTTCTATTTCATACAGAATAAAAGCTATAGTTCTTTCTACAGCTTTCAAAGCTCCTTAGGGATCTCACCTCCCATTATGTGTTTTCTCTTATCTCCTACTCCTCTCTCTTGCTCACATTACTCCAGCTAGTCTTTCCTTCCTGCTGCTCCTTGTGCATACCAGTCATGTTTACACCTTAAGGCCCTTGCACTAACTCTTTCTCTTGCCTAGAATCCTCTTCCCTCAAATATCTTCATGACTACCTACTTCCCCTTCTTCAGGTCTACATTTAACTCAAATGTCACCCTCTCAATGAAGTCTACTCTATTTTGTATTCTCTGCCCTACCCCTCACTCAGGGTCCCCAGTGTTTAGTTTCCTGTCTCTCCACCCTCATAGTTATCCTTTTCTCCATTGTGATAGTCATCTTCTGATTTACTGAAAATTTCTCTTAGTTATCAGGTTTATAATTGATCTGTCTCTCCTTACTAAAATGGAAGCTCTCCAAGGGCAGGAATCTGTTGTTTTTGTTTGTTAATATATCCCCAGTGCACAGAACAGTGTTTGGAACAAGTAGGTGCCTAATAAATATTTGTTGAATATAAGTATTGTGAGATACCTTGAAACTGGCTATGTGACCTAGGAAAATAAGAGCAGCAACAATAATGATACTAATAATAAATGATACCATTTTGAAGGCACTTTCTATATGTTAAGTGCTTATTGAGCTTAATTCATTTTGAGAAATGAAAGTAAAATTCTCAGCCCCCCAACCAACAGAACTGACCCCCACCTTGGCCAAGGGGACCCCAGAGAAACCTTGGAAGCTGAGTTCTGGGCAATGATAGGATGTGAGGTCTGTAATGCCTCATTATAATCCCTCCCTGGCTCACTGCCATTAAGTTTTCTTTCCTAAAGGATAAGCAGACACCAGCCTTTTCCAAAGACCATCACTGCTTTCAACCAACTGCCTGACGCTGTCCCTCCGTTTAGTGGTTTTGACACAACCGACCAGCCTTCCTTCCTGATAAGAGACAACCAACTATGGAGTGGTTCTTGCCCATCTAGGGATGATGCACTGAGGGTTTTTGTGTTCTCTGCTTCACCTTTTGATGTCACAGAGCTGAAAACTTTACCCTCAGATCATGCTAATGCCACCAGTTTTTGAACATCGGTCCCATGGAGAAACAAGAAGCTCAAGTATATGTTTCTCCTTTCATAAATACTCATGACTTCTCCTATAGTTTATTGAATACTTATGCTTGGCCACCCCATTCAGCATCAATCCCTGTCTTATTCTTCTGACCCTCAAAGTGTTGGTTGCTGGCTTCTGGCCTATCAGAATGGCCACCCTGCCAGCTGCAACTCTTTATGAGAAATAAAGCTCTCCTTTCCAAATTTTTGAACCTCATCATTCATTAGTTGACAATTCAATTCTTACAACCCCAAGTGCAAGGCAACTAAAGCAGAAGAAATGTAAGATTCCTATCCAGGGTCACATAGCTGGTTAGAGGAAGAGCCATGCTTTGGTTCCAAAGCCATGTCCTTAACTAACGTGCTGTGTGGTAAAGAGGATTATCCTTTCTGCACCGCAGGCATTTTCTCCTTTATTACAAGTTGTTGTGCCAGATTATTTTTAGAGATCCTTTCAGATCCACACATAATATATCACTCTGTTTCACCATTTTACCCACTTCACCAATAAATTGCAGACAAAATTACCAGATAATGACCTGATTGAACTAGGAACTAGTTGTTCTGTGGACCTCACATTGTAGATCCTTCACAATGTTCCACTCCTTTTTCCAAATGCAAATGACACAAGTATGTATGAGAAAACTTTTTTTTTCCCTTTGGCATGATGATAAAATTACAACCATTTCCGCCTATCCATGGTCCTAGTATTCTTAAGGATAAGCAAACAGTCATTTTATTCTTCAAAGAAAACAGAACAATTTTAAACAGACTGGTTAATCAAAACTAGACAAAGCCCCAACTCCTGCAGTTAGGAGTAGATCAGGACTTCTGTGGGAAAGAGACCAGGGGAATCTGGCACAGCTTAGAGATATTCAACAAGCAAAAAATACTGGGATGGAATAAAGTGGCAGGATGGATAAAAGAAATTGTATTGGGAAAAAAAACTATGTTTTACTTTCTTTGTTCCCTAACTATGAGCTATTCCTACTTCACTATATATGTGAATGATGGTTCTAAAGAGGGAATCAGATCATTCATGTATTCAACATTCAGCAAATATTTGAGACTTCCTGTGCCCCTAGCCTTTTGGCCAATTGCTATTGGCTATATATATGGCCAATATATATTAAAAAGGGGGCCAGTATAATGAGTACAGAGGGTCTGCAATCATGGTGCAGCCACAAGTAAAATATGAGTAGTATTTATGCTTTTCTACACTCTCATATGTATTGCCCAGCTTATTTACTTATTTACCTGTTTACTTATTAAAACCAACCCCCACCTTCAGTGGATGAATATTTGCCAACTCAAATGACAGTAAAAAACGGTGCAGTGGCTCACGCCTGTAATCCCAGCACTTTGGGAGGCTGAGACAGGCAGATGGCTTAAGGCCAGGAGTTTGCGACCAGCCTGGCCAACATGGTGAAAACCAGTCTCTACTGAAATTACAAAAAGTAGCCGGGCATGGTGCCACATGCCTGTAATCCCAGCTACCTCGGAAGGCTGAGGCACGAGAATTGCTTAAACCCAGGAGGCAGAGGTTGCAATGAGCTGAGATTGCACCACTGCACTCCAGCCTGGGTGACAGAGTATGACTCTGCCAAAAAAAAAAAAAAAAAAAAGAGTAGAAGGAATTATAGCCACAGAATTTTCCAGGGCAATTCCAGAGGAGACCCAACAACTGTTAGGGACTATGCCCCTATTGTTAAAATGTCTATATAACCTCTGAGGCTGATGACTTTGAGAACACCTACACTGACTTGAAAATTCACATTCTGGTGTGTTTCTTTCTTTCTTTGAGACAGTGTTAGTTTTACTCTGTCACTTAGGCGAGAGTGCAGTGGTGCGATCATGACTCATTGCAGCCTTGAACTCCTGGGTTCAAGCAATCCTCCCACCTCAGCCTCCCAAGTAGCTGAGAATACAAACATGCACCACCACACCCGGTTAACTTTTCAAATTTTTTTTATAGAGACAAGGTCTTGCTGTGTCGCCCAGGCTGGTCGAGAACTCCTCACCTCAAGTGAACCTCCTGCCTTGGCCTCTCAAAGTGCTGAGTGTGCTTCTACTGAAAACATTTACAGTATGTCATAATCACAACTTTTTAGCATACTGTTAGCTAAAAAATAAAATATAGGCTGACTGCAAAAATTTACTTGCAATTCATCGTTTGGACCTCACAATAACTTTTCTCCATTGAAGCAATGTTGCAAGTGGTTGGTAGATTTCATTTTTGCCTTCCCAATGCCTTTGTAAACCCAAATGTAGACAAAATAGCCAAGGATAATTGCTACTAAAAAATATCCATTTAAAATGAATCCATTGGAAACTGGAAACAAACCAAAATATTGTATTAGGATTTTATCATGAGAAATGAAACCAATCAAGAAAATAAGCTTATTTTATCTTATATTATGTTAAACCCTACTGTGTAAAATTTATTAAAAATGGCACTTATTGTGGCTCAAACCAATATTTAAAACAAATTTGATTACATTTGTAAGTCTTTACCAAATCTTAGAATGAACCAGGAATAAATCAAGTGTTTGGATTTGAATGTTACGATTTTTGTTGACAAAGCTGTAAGAGGGGCACAATATCAAGTCCTTTATTTCACTGTTGATTTTTGCAGTACCTTCACAAATAGGGTTATTTTGCCTAAATATTAGAGGGCACTTCACTTTTTCGAAGGGCATCTCTTAATCTATGCTATTCAAACCATTCTTTTGAGACACATAACCTATCATTACCCCCTTTGCTTTTCTTCAAACATTTACTAGATTCTTATTTGTCAAATCTTTATGTGTGATTTAAGTAGTTCCTCATCACATCTAATCACTTAAATCCTGCTATTTGCATTTAATTGGCATTCTGTTTGCTTCATGAGAGTAACAAATATACTGACACAATAAATATGGAAATATATTTGTATCACATGGGAAGAAATGTTTAAATGGAGACTAATATCATAAGTGGTCACTTCTAAGAAACACTCCATTCTCATGTAATTATATTTATAGTAAAAATCATAGAAGACAATGCAGATACAAATCTGACAACTAAGAAAATTGTAAAAATTATGGAATAGTTTTAAAACTTTTTCCTTGAATGTTGGCTCTTTAAACAAAGAAGCCTTAATCAGAGAAATTTACGCATAAGCATGTGATTCTGAATGAGCCTTTTCAAGGACTTTATGTATGAGTATTTGACTTTTGAGGTTAATAGAATCAATTCTTTAATATGGGTTGAGAAATAAAAATAAAGTCCTAAGCTTCTCCAACTGACTGAACACACCATCTCTTGGCCCAGGGGACTCCAGAGAAACCTTAGAAACTGAGTTCCTGGCCATGATGGGCTAGCAGGTCGAACATGCCTCAGTATGCCCCATTCCTTCTAACCTTTAACCAGAATTCTTTCCTAAGGCGTAAGTAAGCAGAAACCAGCTCTGGAAAATGAGAAATGGATGACTCATTACTTTGTCAACTTTAGCCAGTCCTCTGAGGCTGCCACAGGACTCCCTTTCCCACATTGCAGTTTCAACATGACAGCTCACCAGTTAAACCATAAATCCCTTCCTGATAAGAGACCAACAACCATGAAGTGGTTCTGGCCAATCTATGCAGGGTGCACAGCCAGGGCATTTGTGTCCTCCCCTTCATCTTTTGACATTAGGGGGCTGAAAACTCCACTCTCAGATCATGCTAATGCCACAATTTTTTGTACAGGGAATTCATGAAGAGGCATAAAGCTCAATTGTGAAGCACATGTTTCTCCTTTAATAAATATTCATGACTCCTCCTACAGCCTAATAAAAAGGTATTTTCAGCCACTCTGCTCAGCATAAATTCCCGTTTCTTTCAGCACTACCTTGAAGTGCCTGTTTCTGGCTTCTGGCCAGAGGTTACACTTCCCAGCGTGTCAGAATGGCCACCCTGCAGGTTGCAGCCTTTTGTGAGAAATAAAGCTGTCCTTTCCAAATGTATGAACCTTGTGATTCTTCAGCTGACAGGGTAATTCATCTGAAAAACGTAGTTTTTCTTCTTGGAAGTGGACTTCCAATATCATGATGCTAAAAACATGTCATACTGTAATAAGAGCTGTTTTGTACTTTTACAGAAGGAATTTTTAAAAATTTATTTTTAGTTTTTGTGGGTACATAGTAGGTGTATATATTTGTGGGGTACATGAGATATTTTGACACAAGTATGCAATGCATAATAATCACATTAGGGTAAATGAGGTATCCATTACCTCAAGCATTTATCTTTTGTGTTATAAACAATCCAGTTGTACTCTTTTCATTATTTTAACATGTACAATTAAATTATTACTGACTATAGTCACCCTGTTGTGCTATCAAATAGTAGGTCTTATTCATTCTTTCTAACCATTTTTTGTACCTATTAACAATCCCCACTTGCTCTCCACTACCCCTGCCCCAATACCTTTCCCAGCTTCTGGTAACCATCCGTCTGCCCTCTATCCCTGTGAATTCAATTGTTTCACTTTTTAGCTCCCACAGATAAGTGAGAACATGTACAGTTTGTCTTTCTGTGCCTGGCTTAATTCACTTAACATGATGGCCTCCAGTTCCATCCATGTTGTTGCAAATGACAGGATCTCATTCTTTTTAAAAATATATGTAACATTTTCTTTATCCATTTGTTTGTTTATGGACACTTAGGTTGGTTCCAAGTCCTGGCTATTGTGAACAATGCTGTAGGTATCTCTTCGATATACTGATTTCCTTTCTTTTGGGTATATACCTAGAAGTGGGTTTGCTGGATCATATGGTGACTCTATTTTAGTTTTTGAGGACCCTCCAAACGGTTCTCCATAGTGCTTGTACTAATTTACATTCCCACCAACCGTGTATGAGGATTCCCTTTACTCCACATCCTTGCCATCATCTGTTATTGCCTGTCTTTTGAATAAAAACCATTTTAACTGGAATGAGATGATATCTCACTGTAGTTTTGATTTATGTTTCTCTGATGATCAATGATGTTGAGCATCTTTTTATATACCTGTTTGCAATTTGTATCTCTTCTTTTGAGAAATGTCTGTTCAGACCTTTTGGCCATTTAAAACATTAGATTATTAGATTTTTTCCTATAGAGTTGTTTGAACTCCTTATATATTCTGGTTATTAATCTCTGTCAAATGGGTACTTTTCAAATGTTTTCTCCCATGCTGTGGGTTGTCTTTTCACCTTGTTGATTGTTTCCTTTGTTATGCAGCAGGTTTTTAACTTGATGTGATCCCACTTGCCCATTTTTGCTTTGGTTGCCTGTGCTTGTGGAATATTACACAAGAAATCTTTGCCCAGTCCAATATTCTGGGGGGAGAGTTTCCCCCAATATTTTTTAGTAGTTTCATAATTTTAGTTCTTAGATTTAAATCTTTAATCCACTTTTATTTTATTTTTGTATATGGTGAGAGATATCATTCTAGTTTCACTCTTCTGCATATGCATATCCAGTTTTCCCAGCATCATTTATTGAAGAGACTGTCCTTTCCCCAATGTATGTTCTTGGTACTTTTGTTGAAACTGAGTTCACTGTAGATGTATCATTTTGTTTCTGGGTTCTCTGTTCTGTTCCATTGGTCTATGTGTCTGTTTTTATGCTTGTACCATGCTATTTTAGTTACTACAGCTCTGTAGTATAATTTGAAGTCAGGTAATGTGATTCCTCCAGTTTTGTTCTTTTGTGCTCAGGATAGTTCTGGCTATTCTGAGTCTTTAGTGATTTATAAATTTTAAGTTTGTTTTTTTTTTTCTATGTCTGTGAAGAATGTCATTGGTATTTTGATAGGGATTACACTGAATCTGTAGATTGCTTTGGGCAGTATGAACATTTTAACAATATTAGTTTTCCAGTCCGTGAATGTGGAATATCTTTCCATTTTTTGGTGTTCTCTTTAATTTCTTACATACATGTTTTATAGTTCTCATTGTATAGCTCTTTCATATCTTTGGTTAAATTAATTTCTAGGTATTTTATTTTATTTGTAGCTATTGTAAATGGCTTGATTTCTTTTTTAGATTGTTCATTGTTGGCATATAGAAATGTAACTTTACTGAATTTGCTTATCAGTTCTAATAGTTTTTTTGTAGAGTTTTTAGGTTTTTACAAATATAAAATTATATCATCTGAAAACAGAATAATTTGACTTCTTCCTTTCCAATTCATATATGTTTTATTTCTTTTATTTCTTTCTCTTGCCTGATGGCTCTAGCTAGGATTTTCAGTACTATGCTGAATAACAGTGGTGAAAGTGGGCATACTTGTGTTTCAGGTCTTAGAGGAAAGGCTTTCAGTTTTTCCCCATTCAGTATAATACTAGCTGTAGGTCTGTTGTATATGGCTTTTATTATGTTGAGGTATGTTCCTGCTATACCCATTTTTTTTATGTTGGGTTGGTGCAAAAATAATTGAGGTTTCACAATTAAAAGTAATGGCAAAAACTGCAATTACTTTTGCACCAACCTAATATCATGAAGGGATGTTGAATTTTATCAAATGCTTTTTCATTGTCAATTAAAATGATCATTTGGTTTTTGTCCTTCTTTCTGTTGATATTGTGTATTACATTGATTGATTTGCATGTGTTGAACCATCCTTCCATCCCAGGATATCCACTTGGTCATGATGAATGATCTTGTTATAATAATGTGCTGTTGAATTCGGTTTGCTAGCATTTTGTTGGGGATTTTTGCATCAGTATTCTTCAGGGATATTGGCCTGTAGTTTTATTTTTATGATGCCTTTGTCTAGTTTGGGTATCAGAGCCTTGTAAAATGAGTTTGGAAGTGTTCTCTCCTCCTCTATTTTTTTGGAATAGTTTGAGTAGGATTGGTATTAATTTTTCTTTAAATGTTTGATAGAATTCAGCAGTGAAGTCATCAGGTCCCAGGCTTCTCTGCTGGGAAACATTTTATTATGGCTTTGGTCTTATTATTTGTTATTGGTCTGTTCAGGTTTTGGATTTCTTCATGATTCAATCTTGGGGGCAATTGTGTGTGTCTAGAAATTTATCCATTTCTTCTAGATTTTCCAATTTATTGGCTTATAGTTGCTCATAGTAGCCACTAATGGTCTTTTGAGTTTCTGTGGTATTGGTTGTAATGTCTCCCTTTTTCATCCCTGATTTTATTTATTTGGGGCTTCTCTCTTTTTTCTTAGTTAGTTTGGCTAAACGTTTGTCAATTTTGTTTATCTTTTCAAAAAACCAAGTTTTTGTTTTGTTGATTTTTTGTACTGTTTTCTTCATTTCAATTTCTTTTATTTCTGCTCTGATCTTATTTCTTTGATTCTACTAATTTTGGATTTGGTTTGCTCTTGTTTTTCTAGTTAAGAGGCATCATTATGTTATTTACTCGAAGCTTTTCTTGTTTTTGATGTAGACTCTTATGGCTATGAACTTCCTTCTTAGTACTGCTTTTGCTATATCCAATAGGTTTTGGTATGTTCTGTTTCCTTTATCATTTGTTTCAAGAAACTTTTTAATTTCCTTCTTAATTTCTTTATTGACTCACTGGTCATTCAGGAGCATATTATTTAATTTCTATGTATTTGTATAGTTTCCAAGATTCTTCTTGTTGTTGATTTCTAGTTTTATTCCACTGTGGTCAGAGAAGATGCCTTATATTATTCCAATTTTTTGAATGTTTTACAACTTGTTTTGCGGCCTAATATATGGTCTATCCCTGAGAATGATCCATTTGCTGAGAAGAATGTATATTCTGTAGCTGTTGGATGAAATGTTCTATAAATGTCTGTTGGATCCATTTGGTCTATAGTGCAGATTAAGCCCAATGTTTCTTGGTTGATTTTTTTCCCTAGAAGACCTGTCCAAAGCTGAAAGTGGGGTGCTGAAATCCCTAGCTATTATTTTATTGGGGCCTATCTCTCTCTCTTTAGCTTTATATGTTGCTTTATATATCTGGGTGTATAAATATATCTGGGTATATAAATACTCCAAAGTTGGGTGTCTATATATTTACAGTTGTTATATCATCTTGTTTAATTGACCTTTTTATTATTATATAATGACCTTCTTTGTCTCTTATAGTTTTTGACTTGAAATGTACTTTGTCCAATATAAGTATAGCTGCTCCTCCTCTTTTTTCGTTTCATTGGCATGGAATACCTCTTTCCATCTCTTTATTTTCAATCTATGTGTGTCTTTATAGGTGAAGTGTGTTTCTTATAGAAAACAGATCATGGGGTCTTGTTTTTGTATCCATTCAGCCACTCTGTCTTTTGATTGGAGAGTTTAGTCCATTAATATTCAATTTTATTTGATAAGTAAGGACTTACTCCTGTCATTTTATTATTTGTTTTCTGGTTGTTTTGTGGTATTCTTTCATTTCTTTCCTTCCTTCCTTGCTTCCTGTCTTCTGTGAAGGTGATTTTCTCTGATGGTGTGATTTGATTTTTTGCTTTTTATTTTGTGTGTATCTGTCATGTATTTTTTTGATTTGAGGTTACCACAAGGCCTGCAAATGCTATCTTATAACCCATTATTTTAAACTGACAACAACTTAACACTGATTGCATAAACAAACAAACAAAAAGAAAAATAATAAAAACCCTATTGCTTTAACTTCATCTCCCCACTTTTTCACTTTTTGTTGTTTATCTTTATGTCTTATTGTGCTGTTTATGTCTTGAAAGGTTGTAGTCATTATTATTTTTGAGTGGTTCATCTTTTAGTCATTCTACTTAAGAGTAGTTTACGCGCTACAATTACAGTGTTGTAATATTCTGTGTCTTTCTGTGTACTTAATATTACCTAAGAGTTTTGTACCTTAAGACTATTGCTTATTGCTATTAATGTTCCTTTCTTTCAGATTGAAGAACTCCCTTTAGTATTTCTTATAGGAAAGGGTCTAGTGTTGATGAAATCACTCAAGTTTTGTTTGTCTGGGAAAGTCTATTTCTAATTCATGTTTGAAGGATATTTTCACCAGATATGCTATTCTAGGGTAAAAGTTTTTCTTCAGTACTTTAAATATGTCATGCCACTCTCTCTGATAAGATTTCCACTGAAAAGTCTGCTGCCAGATGTATTGGAGCTCCATTGTATGTTATTTGTTTCTTTTCTCTTGCTGCTTTTAGGATACTTTCTTTATCCTTGACCTTTCGGAGTTTGATTATTGAATGCACTGAGATAGTCTTCTATAGATTAAATCTGCTTAGTGTTCTATAACCTTCTTGTACTTAAATATTGATATCTTTCTCTAGGCATGGGAGGGTCTCTGTTACTATCCTTTCAGATAAATTTTCTACCCCTATCTCTTTCTCTTTATTGGCCTTTCAGGCCAGTAACTCTCAGATTTGTTCTTTTGAGGCTATATCCTAGATCTTGTAGATGTGCTTTATTCTTTTTTATTCTTTTTTCGTTTGTCTCCCCTGACCATGTATTTTCAAATAGCCCACCATCAAGCTGACTAATTCTCTCTTCTGCTTGATGAATTCTGCTGGTGAGAGACTCTGATGCATCCTTCAGTATGTCAATTTCATTTTTCAACTCCAGAATTTCCGCTTGATTCTTTTAAATTGTTTCAATCTCTTTGTTGGCCAGGTGCAGTGGCTCGTGCCTGTAATCCCAGCACTTTGGGAGGCCAAGGCGGGCAGATCACTTGAGGTCAGGAGTTCAAGACCAGCCTGGTCAACATGATGAAACTCGGTCTCTACCAAAAAAATACAAAAATTAGCTGGACATGGTGATGCATTCCTGTAGTCTCAGCTACTTGGGAAGCTGAGGCACAAGAATTGCTTGAACCCTGGAGGCCAAGGCTTCAGGGAACTGAGATCATGCCACTGCACTTCAACCTGGGTGACAGAGTAAGACCCTGTCTCAAAAAATTTATTTCAATTTCTTTATTAAATTTATCTGATATAATTCTGAATTTATTCTCTGTGTTATCTTGAATTTTTTTGAGTTTCCCCAACACAGATATTTTGAATTCTCTGTCTGAAAGCTCACATATCTCTGTCTCTCCAGAAATGGTCCCTGGTGCCTTATTTAGATCATGTGGTTAGGTCATGTTTTCCTGAATAGACTTGATGTTTGTGGATGTTTTTCAGTGTCTGGGCTCTACAGAGTTAGATATTTATTGTAGTCTTTTGCAGTCTGGGCTTGTTTGTACCTGTCCTTAGGAAAGCTTTTCAAGTATTTGAAGGTATTGGGTGTTGTGATCTAAACTGTATCAGCATTAGGGAGCACCCCAAGCTTCGTAATGCTGTAATTCTTGCAAACTTGTAGAGGAACTGCCTTGGTGGTCTTGAATAAGATGTGGAAAAATTCTCTTGATTACAAAGCAGAGACTCTTGGTCTCTTCCCTTACTTTCTCGCAAACATATGGAATGTCTCCCTGTACTGAGCTTCCTAGAGCTAGGGGTGGGGTGACACAAGGACCCCTGTGGCCACCAATACTGGGACTGTGCTGAGTCAGACCTGAAACCAGCACAGCACTGGGTCTCTCCCCAGGCCCACTTAAGACCTTTAGGGCTACTGCCTGTGTTCACTTAAGACCCTTAGGGCTCTACAGTCAGCAGGTGGTGAAGCCAGCCAGGCTTGTGTCCTTCCCTTCAGAGTAGCAAGTTCCCCCAGGCCCTTGGTTGGTCCAGAGATCCTGTCTGAGAGGCAGGAACTCAAGTTAAAAACCTTAAAAATCTACCTGGTGCTTTTTCTGTTGCACCTAAGCTGGAACTCAAACACTGAGACAAAGTCCTTTCCACACTTCCTTCCTCTTTCTACAGGCAGAGGAGCTTCTCCCCATGGCCGCCACCATCACAAGCCCTTGGGGACTACTGCCAGGGTACTAATGATGTTCACTTAAAGCCCAAGGGCTCCTCTGTCAACTTATAGTGAACACTGCCAGGCCTGGCTCTCACCTTTCAACACAGTGGGCTCCCCTCTGGCCCAGGGCAGGTCCAGAAATGCCTAGAATTGGGGACCCCAAGAGCCTGCTTGGTGCTCTACATTACTGTCATTGAGCTGGTACCTAAGATGCAAGACAAAGTTCCCTTTAGTTTTCTTTCTGCTTTTCTCAAGCAGAATGGATCTTTCCTCTAAGCCACCATAGCTGGGAATGTGCTGGGTCTCACCTGAAGCCAGCACATCTCAGAATCTCACCCAAGGCCCATGGTGTCTTGCTGATGGTTATTCAGGGCCTGAGGGCTCTTTAGTCAGCAGGTGATGAATCCTGGCAGGACTGGGTCCTTACCTTTAAGGCAATGGGTTCCCTTTTTGCCCAAGGTGTGTCAAGAGACATCATCCTGGAGCCGGGGCCTGGAATGGGAGCATCATGACTCTGCCCAGTGCCCTATCCTACTGTGGCTGAGCTGGTATCCAAGATGCAAGACAAAGTCCTCTTTACTCCTCTCTCTTCTCCTCAAGTAGAAGGAAAGAGTCATTTTCATTGCTACAAGCTGTGCTGCCTGGTTTGGGGGAGAGGTGGTACCATCATTCTCTTAGCCACCGTTACTGGTGTCTCACTAGGTTATGTGCTGCCCAAGTTCACTGGCTCCCAGCTCAGCACAGCACTAGTACTTGCCTAGGAGTTGCAATGCTTGTGGCCTAGACTGCCTTTCATTTATTTGGGATCCCAGAGCACTTTAGCCCATGGTGGCACTCAACTTGGTCACTTGAAGTAGGTGGTGTCTGCCAGAGCTCTTCATTATAAAGGTATCTTTACCTTTTTGTAATTTATAAGTAATATCAAAGGTAAGATTTTGAGATCAAATGGATATATTAATACCCAAGTACATTCTCACTTAATCTTAGTATTATGCATTCATAACTCCTTAACACAATGGATCAGATCCTAGTTCTGATCTCTGAGCTCCAAAAATGTGTAATTAATGAAGTTTAACCTCACCTGAGCTCCTGATGCCTTTGAATCTTCCCCTCTGGCTATCTTCTTAGGTCTTGCAGTTCAAAAGAACTCATCCCTAGAGTTTTTCTAGTGTTATAGAATCTGACCCAAGATGCCAGGAACTGCCTCCAGGATTCTTGCACATGTTTTTCTTTCAATCTCTCTGTCCCTATGCCTACAGCTGGGTCCATCTGCACTTTGCCAAACTAGATAAAAAGGAAAGGCCTAGAGCTCAGAGGCAGAACAAAGAGACTTACCCTCTCATATTCAAGAACACTAAGAGACTCTTAGGAACCTCATTTTTCAGCTCAAGAGAAGATGAAGGACTCCTCCATGGCAGGCAGTGTTTGTACTTACTACAGTTCCCATCATGGTAGACTTGATGGATTCCCTAGAGCAGCAGGACTCAGCCAACATACTCTAGCCTGCCTTCTGAGGTAGAAGCTCCCATGTCCTATTCATTTCCCAGGCTTCTCATTTCTAGGGTCCTTTTTCCCCTAGATCCCTCAGGAATAGCTTCATGTGGATGCCCTCAGGCCAAGAAAACTCTCAGTTCCCATTTAGCAGGGTTTTGTGTCCTTTGTCTGCAGAGGAAATTCCAGCTCCCAGCCCAAGCAAACCTAAACAAGCTCCAACTACCAATGAGTGCCTTTTGTTATATCCCTACTAGGTATAGGGCTTCTGGAAGTGGAGAAACAGAACCACACTGAAGAAAAAAGGGGGATGGGGGAGCCCAGAAACTGTATCGAGTTTCTCTGTAAGGATTTCAGCCTCCAAAGTTTGTCTGTAGACCCAAGTGAGTTCCTCTCAACATGTTTAGAATCACTCAGTATAGGAGTCTTTGTGCCTAGAGTGGTAGGTTATGAGCTCTACCACAACCAGGGTTCTCAAAGGTACTTAAACGTCTGAGGGCAGATGGAGCAGGACCAGATCTGGGTTATACAGAGGTTACTTAGAAATTTTGGAGAATATGATAAAGGCCCAAGACCTCAGTATTAATATCAGTTCTTGGACTGCTGTGCTTGAGGCTTTTTGTAAACTTGAATTCCTCAAGATTCCTCCAATAAGACTTTCTGTATAAAATCCAGAACTTATTGTTAAAGACCTAGCAATAGCCAGAGTGACACTGGAATCTACCTTGGTGAACACAGCTCATTTCCTGGAAAATACTCTGCCTCTCCTGTATCATGTATCACCTGTATTTCTAACCCTAAACAATATATTGTTTATTTTTGAAGAAAAAGGAATACCAAGTAATATGGTTTGGATCTATGTCCCGACCCAAATCTCATATTGAAATGTAATCTCCAATGTTAGAGGTGGGGCCTGGTGGGAGGTGATTGGACTGTGGGGGCAGATTTCTCATGAATGGTTTAGTACCATCTCCTTGGTACTGTCCTTGTGATAGTGAGTGAGTTCTTGCAATATCTTGTCATTTAAAAGTGTGCGGCACCTCCCTTCTCTCTCTTTTGCTCCTGGTCTTGCCATGTGAAATGACTGCTCCCCCTCTGCATTCTGTCATGATTGTAAGTTTCCTGAGGCCTCCCCAGAAGCTGAGCAGATGTTGGCATCACGCTTCCTGTACAACCTGCAGAAACATGAGACAATTAAACCACTTTTCTTTATAAATTACCCAGTCTCAGGTATTTCTTTATAGCAATGTGAGAATGTACTAATACAGCAAGTATAACCTAGTCTCAATCAATTTAGAAGTTTATTTTGCCAAGGTTGAGGTATGCCTGGGAAATCAGTCTGTGTTTTTCTCCAAAGATGATTTTGAAGGGTTCAGTATTTAAAGGGGAAAAGCAGGCTGGAGGCAAAAAAGGAAGGATATAGTCACAATACTGAATCCACATGTTGCAAGAGAAAATAAGCAGATAGGGGAATAGTCAATTGTGTATTCATCTCATACTCAGTAAATTGGGATTTTACATAAGATAAGGTGAACACGGAACAGCTACCTGTGAAGATATTTAACCTTTTATCTGTAGCTGTTTATTTAGGAACAAAAGGAAAGGCAGCTTCTTGCATGACTCAGCTTTCAGCTTAAATTTTCCTTTTGGCATAGTGAATTAGGTTCCCAAGTTTTTATTTTCATTCCACAAAACTATTTGTGAGAAAAGGGCAACTGTGCTACTGTTAGATGAAGGTTCCTGGGAGAAGATCAGCTGAGATGTTTTTTAGTCACAGTTTGGTTTCAGCTACCTGAAGTTTTAAGAGTCTTGGAAAGTCAGGAGTGACTTCTGCTAAACACGGGGCTTTCCAGAGTCAGAGAAGCTAGCAAGCCTGTGGTTTGGACCAGGTACTAAATATTTGACAAGAGTATGCCAGGTGTAATGAGCTACTGTCTATTCCCCTTTAAAGCTCCCATGGCCTAACTCCAACTCTCAGGAGTAGGCCAAGAGAAGCACTTCTATGTAGGAAAATGAGTGTTCTTAGCTGATCCAAACAGAAGAAAGTGGAAGGGAAAGCCGGAACATCTTCAGCACGAAGTTAAGTCAAGCCAAGTAAAGATGAGACTCTCACCCAGGCATGCTTTCCTGAAGTTAAAAGAACTGTACATTGGCAGCAGGGATCTTGCTGATGAGCATCCTTGGCATAGCTAACTCTCAGGTCACACAGCTCCCATGGACTGGTTGCTTTACACCTGCTGAACAGCTGTCATTCTGGGACACTCTTTACTGGGCATTCCTCTCGCCTGTCTCCTCTGCCCTATCTTCTGTTTCCTGAATCCCATTTCTTCCCGTTCTTGGAAGAAGAGGAAATCTCTCATTTTGGTGGAGTGCGTTCTCCAGTGGCTTCTTGCGAGGGAGAGTTTTTGAGAATTTGCTCATTTGAAAATGTGGAAATCATGGAAATAATTTTCTTCAGAATCTTAAAGGCATTGCTCCACAGTCTTAATCCAATTTAGCTATTCAGAAGTCTAAAGCTCATATAATTCCCTATACTTTCTTTGTGACCTTTGCTATTTCTCTTGGAGGCTTATAACTATCCATATTACCTCAGGGTTTTAAAATAGTGAATTGTGCCTTCCAATCCTATGTTCTTTCTTTCAAGAAATTCCTGTTACTTGGGATGGGACTACATAGACTTGACTGGCTTTCTAATTTTCTTAGCTTTTTTCTCCATTAAAAAAGACCTCTTATTCTTTTTGCTTTAGTCTCTGGATGATTCCTTGACTTCATTTTACAAATTTTTGATTGAGTTTCTCATTTATGCTATCTTATTTTTAAATCTCAAGAATTATTTTTGTGTTACTCTGTGAATGGGTTTTTATTAATAGCATTCTCATATTGCTTCCTGAACAGATAATCATTTTTTACCCCTCTAAGAATATTGATAACAGTTTTTTAAAAAGTTTTCTTCTCTCCAAGATTGTTTCATCCAAATTGATCTTTTAAAAAAATTGTTTGTTCTTTAAAAAAACAACATATGAAGGGTAAATAAAATAAAAAGTTGGTTTTTTGAAAGGATAAACAAGATTGATAGACCACTAGCTAGATTAACAAAGAAAAAAGAAAGAAGATCCAAACAAGCACAATTAGAAATTAATAAAGGTGACATCACAATAGATCCCACAGAAATACGAAAGATCCTCAGAAGCTACTATAAGCATATCTATTTACACAAACTAGAGGAAATGAATAAATTAATGGAAACACAAGGAATTGAACAAGGAAGACTGAACAAAGTTGAACAAGGAAGGAACAGAAATATTGAATAGAACAGAAGCAAGTAATGAAATTGAAGCAGTAATTAAAAACCTACCAGTCAAATAAGCCCTGAAATGAGAAAGAGGGACTCCTCCTTAACTCATTCTATAAAACCTGTATCATCCTGATACTAAAAATTTAGCAAAGAACAATAAAAAAAGAAAATGACAGACCAATATCCCTGATGAACATAGATGCAAAAATCTTCAACAAAATACTAGCAAACCAAATCCAGCAGCACATCAAAAAGTTATTTCAAGTGGGCTTTATTCCTGGGGTGTAAGATTCAACATATACAAATCAATAAATGTAATTTACCACATACACAGAATTAAAAACAAAAACCATATGATCATCTCAATGATGCAGAAAAACATTCAATAAAGTCCAACATCCCTTCATGATAAAAACCCTCAACAAACTAGGTATCAAAAGAGCATGCCTTAACTCCAGCCTGGGCGACAGAGCGAGACTCCGTCTCAAAAAAAAAAAACAAAACAAAACAAAACAAAAAAAAAAACATGCCTTAAAGTAATAAGAGCCATCTATGACAAACACACAGCCGACATCATACTGAATGGGAAAAAGCTGGAAGCCTTCCCCCTAAGAACTGGAACAAGGTACCGACTCTCACTACTCCTGTTCAACATAGTAATGGAAGTCCTAACCAGAACAATCAGGCAAAATAAATAAAAGGCATCCAAATAGAAAATGAGGAAATTAAATGACCCCCCTCTTTGCTGAGATATGATCTATACCTAGAAAATCCAAAAGATTCCACCAAACGGCTCCTAGGCCTGGTAAACAAATCCAGGAAAGTCTGTGGACACAAAAATCAATGTACAAAAATCAGTAGCATTTCTGTACACTGATAACATTCAAGCTGAGAACAAAATCAAGAATGCAATTCCATTTACAATAGCCACACACACACACAAAATAACCTGGAAATACATCTAACCAAAGAGGTGAACTACGTCTATGAGGAAAACTAGAAAACACTGATGAAAGAAATAATAGATGACACAAAGAAATGGAAAATCATTCCATGCTCATGGGTTGAGAGAATCAATATTGTTAAAATTTCCATACTGCCCAAAGCAATCTACAGATTCAACACTTTTCCTATCAAATAACCAGTGTCATTTTTCACAAAATTAGAAAAACTATTTTAAAATTTGTATGTAACCCAAAAAGAGCCCAAATAGTCAAAGCAATCCTAGACAAAAATAACAAAGCCAGTTCAAACTGTAATACAAGGCTACAGTAACTATTAATAAAACATCATGGTACTGGTACAAAAATAGACACATAGACCAATGGACCAGAATAGCGACCCCTGAAATAAAGCCACACCCCTACAACCAACTGATCTTTGACAAAGTTGACAAAAATAAACAATCCAGAAGGGACACCCTATTCAATAAATGCTGCTGGGATAACTGGCTAACCATGTGCAGAAGAATAAAACTGGACCCTTATCTGTCACTACATACAAAAATTAACTCAAAATGGATTAAAGACTTAAATGTAAGACCTGAAACTATAAAAATTATAAAATTAAACCTAGGAAATGCTCTTTTAGACATTGGCCTACGCAAATAATTTATGATGAAGACCCTTAAAGCAAGTGCAACAAAATAAAAAATAGACAAATGGGACTTAATTAAACGAAGAGCTTCTGCACAGCAAAAGAAACTATCAACAGTGTAAACAGACAACCTACAGAATGGGAGAAAATATTTTCAAACTACGCATCTGGCAAAGATCTAATATCCAGAATCTATTAGAAACTTAAATGAATCAACAAGAAAAAACCAAAAACCTCATTTAAAAGTGGTCAAAGAACATGATCAGACACTTCTCAAAATAAGACATACAAGTGGCCAACAAACATATGAAAAAATGCTCAACATCACTAATCATCAGAGAGATGCAAATCAAAACCACAATGAGATATCATCTCACACTAGTCAGAATGGCTATTATTAAAAAGTCAAAAAATAATGGATGTTGGTGAGGTTACAGAGAAAAGGGAATGCTTATACATTGTTGGTGGGAATGCAAATTAGTTCAGCCCTTGTGGAAAGCAGTTAGGAGATTTCTCAAAAAACTAAGAATAGAACTACCATTTGACCCAGCAATCCCGTTACTGAGTATATACCCAAAGGAAAATAAATTGTTCTACAAAAAAGACATGTGCACATGTATATTCATTGCAGCACTATTTACAATAACAAAGACATGGAATTATCCTAAAAATTCATCAATGGGAGAGTGGATAAAGAAACTGTTGCACATATATACCATGAAATACTATGCAGCCATTAAAAAAATGATTTCATGTCATTTGCAGCAAGATGAATGCAACTGGAGGCCATTATCCTAAGCGAATTAATGCAGAAACAGAAAAACAAATATTGCATGTTCTCACTTATAAGTGAGAGCTAAATCTTTGGTTCACTCGGACATAAAGATGGAAACAGACACTGAGGACTCCAGAAGGAGGGAGGAAGGGAGTGGGGCAAGGGCTGCAAAACTTCCTGTTGGGTACTATGTTCACTAACTGGGTAATGGAATCAATAGCAGCCTCACCCTCAGCATCATGCAATATACCATTATAACAAACCTGCACATATACCCCCGATCTAAAACTCAAATGGAAAATAAATTTAAAAAATAAAAACGTATTTGCTCTCTATCTTTCATGTAAGAGACTTTCATCAGATGTCTAGGACACTTGACTATTTACTTGTATTAATGAGTCAAGAAAAGTGCTGCTTGGAAACTCAGAGTGAGCTTTGAGCTTATTTCCTCTGAATTTCACTGTGTGCGAATTGGGTGAATCATTGACTGAGGAATTTCAAATGCCAAGATATTCGTTTCTTTCTGCTTCTGTGAAAAATAACCACAGACTTAGTGACCAAACAACACAACTTTATTATCTGCAGTATCTGCAGTTCTAAAGAGCAAAAATCCAGAATCAGTTTCACTGGACTAAAAAAAAGGTGTTGGCAGGCTTGTGTTCTTCTGGCAGCTCTAGGGTGAGAATCTGTTTCCTTGTCTTTTCCAGTTACTAGAGGCCACGCACTCCTTGGTTAGTGCCCCTTCCTTCATGTTCAATGCCAGCAGTGTAGTAACTTCTGTCTTCTCTGATTCCTACTTCCATCTTTACATCTTTTCTCTCTGAATCTAATACTGTTACCTCCCTCTATATGGACTGTATGATTACACTGGGCTCCCCTGGAAAATCCAGGAACCCTCCCACCCCCCCATTTTAAGATCCTTAACTTAATCACAACTGCAAAATCCATTTCCATCCTTTCCTGTGTAACATATTCACAGGTCCCATGGATTAGGATATGGCATTTTGTCGGGGCTGTTATTTAGCCTACTACAGCTAATATCTAAAATTTTCCCTCATACTGGCCAGACTTGCTAGAGAGTCTCCAGCTGGGAAGGTCAAACTCTGACTGGCCACCAGCGTTCTGAGATCTGAGTGGGTTAAGAGGGCTTTGTGGGAGGAGTGCCTCAGCATTCATCCTTCAGGATATACCAGTTACTTAATTCTTCTGATTTTGGGGTTTATATTCATATCTTTAGTGAATCTAGTTTCCTTCAACTCAGAGAAGACCGTCTATTTTACCCTGCCCAGAGAATTTTCAGATGCCAGTCACTTCCCAGTGGCATGGAGAGGAGAAAAGATGCAGGGACTCACAGAATTCCTGTTTTAATGGTCTTCCTTCACTTCCAGGTCCAGAGGGCTCTGATACTATCAATTTGGGAGTCTCTGGAAAATTCTGAAGTATAAATCAGGTTAGTCTTCAGCTTCCCCCACTGACAGCTCAGGATTCTCATGTTTCTTGGGTTGGTTTGATCAGTTACCTGTCATCAATATGTTTTGTAGCTTCCAAAATTTTATTGCTTTTGCCACCTCTCCTAATCTCCCCATATTTGTGGTTTTATGTCTTAAAAAAAACTTTTATTGTAAATTTAGTGTGATTTTAGGCAGCAGTGAAATTTGTGTGTGTGTGTGTGTGTGTGTTTTCATCTTAACCCAGATAAAGCATTTTATCTGAATTGATTAAGTTCCTTGGACTGACTAGGCATGGGGTGATCTCTGACCTGGGTAGCCAGGCACCACACCCAGTGCTCTTTCTAAAGTAAAAAGATTTCAGTGGCCAGGTTTGTGTATCTTGCCCTGCCTGTCCAGTTGCACACACTCAAGCATGACTCGTTAACTTAATTTCCTGCCATATATCTCGGTTCTTCTAGAACTGGAATCTTGTCCTTAATTTTCAGCTTCATCTCACAAAGCAGGAAGGAGAGCTAGCAGGATTGTTTCTGAATACAAATAGTTATGATTTTCACAGTAGTAACCATGGATTGCCCCTATTCCTTATAGCTTTCCAAAGGGATGGAAATGTATAGGCCAGAGGCAGGGGTTTTAGGAATCTGAATATGATGTCTGTTAAGCTCACAGTCTCCAAGCATGTGACAAAAGGTAAGGCAGTGCTGGCTTCTTGTGCACTTTGTCTAGCCTAACAATGCCTACCTACCTTCACCTTCTTTCTCTCCCAAAATGGCTGACCCTTTGCTGTCCCTGTAACCCTATGACCTTTCTCCATCCCCTTCCCTTTCTGTTGTTTTTGTGGCATTTCCATGTCCCCACCATCCCAAATCTGCTCCAACTGCACCTGGGTTCTGATTTAAGTCAACCAGGCACTAAGAACTTTACATGTTTGAACTCAATTAATCTTCACAACAACCCTATTATTATTCCTGTTTTACAGACTCAGAAACTGTTGCACACAGAGGTTAAGTAAACTTGACCAAAGTCACACACCTAATAAGGCAGAGCCCAGATTTGAACCCAAGCAACTTGACTCCAAAGTACATCTTTATTCCACTGTGCTATAGGCCACTTATAAATCATATCCATGGCCAAATACTGTTTTCTGATATGTATATCAATAAAAGTATAAAATTACTCTCTCTATATATTCATTTAATCCTCACGGCAACCCTAAATCAAGCAAACAACCAAACAGAATATTGAAGACCTGAACAAAATTAACAACTTGACCTAATTTTAGTATGCATATAGAATTCCGCCCTCAATATTTGGAGAAAACATATACTTTTACAGCACATAGAACATTTACAAAAAGTAATCATAAAAGAAATCTTAAAAACTTTCAAATTATCGGAATCACACAGACCACTTTCTACGATCATAATACAATTGAGTTCAAATCATAAAAATATAACATAAACTCATATGCTTGGAAAGTTTTTGTTTGTTTGTTTGTTTGTTTGTTTGTTTGTTTGTTTTGAGATGGAGTCTCACACTGTCATCCGGGCTGGAGTGCAGTGGCACAATCTTGGCTCACTGCAACCTCCGCCTCCAGGGTTCAAGCGATTCTCCCGCCTCAGCCTCCCGAGTAGCTGGGATTACAGGCACCCACTACCATGCCCGGCTAATTTTTTTGTATTTTTGGTAGAGACAAGGTTTCACTATGTTGGCCAGGCTGGTCTCGAACTCCTGACCTTGTGATCTGCCCTCCTCGGCTTCCCAAAGTGCTAGGATTACAGGCATGAGCCACTGCGCCCAGCCATATACTTGGAAATTTTAAAGCACATTAAAAATCTCATGGATCAAAAAATAAATCATAAAGAAAACTAGAAAATATTTATAACCAAACAAGGAAAATGCAACATTTTAAAACTTGTGAGATTCAGCCAAAGTGGTAATTAAAGAATGTCTAGTCTTAAGTGCTTATTTTAAGAAAAAAAGAAAGTTAGAAAATCAATAAGCTAGGTATTCTATTTAAGAAGTTAGGAAAATAACAATGAGATAGAAGCAAGGAGAACAGTAGATAAATAATAAGTGCAGAAATGCATAAAACATAAATCATTCTCAATCAGGATTAGCTCATAATACTCTCAGAATTAAAAAGTGGAAAGATTATTTCTGGAAAGGGTAAGAGAAGGCCAGTCATATACATACCTATATATATTTTCTATTTTAACTCCTTAAATGAATTTTACAGAAAGAATTAGAGGACCATTGCTTTTTAAATGACATTTATTTTTTCTAATAATTCAAGTACATAACACATTTTCAAAGGGAAATTTGAAAATACTGAACAATGTAAAGAAAAGAGATAGAACTTATAGTCCTATCATTAGGAGATAATTATTAAGTATTAACTTGTGCGTACTTATGCTTTCTTTTTTCAGCCTATAGCATCTGGTCTCCCATCCAAGTAATAACCTGGATCAATCCTGCTTAAGTTTCCAATATTAGGCATTTTCAGGGTGTTGTGACCACAGATGATGTAACTATTAACTTTTAAATATTTTTCTGGTCTTTACATATCTCAAGGTTTATACATGTCTACATGTAATTATATGGTTACTTAATTAAAAATTTGGGCTCAAACTGCATACATATATTTGGTTTTTGAGTTTTTTTTCCTTTTTACTTTGAATTCACGAGGATATAAAACACATATTCAGCTTTTTTTGTATTCAGCTTTTTTTTACTTAAAATTGCATGATTAGCATATACTCTTCAAATATAGAATATTTGGTGGCTGTGTTAAAATTTAATTTTCCTGATAGAGGTATCATGCTGCATTTGGCTGTACCCCTGATGTGTCCAATGCTGTGGTGGAGTCATTCAGCAAACATCTATTAACAGTCCATTCAACGTACGGTGCCATGCTGAATCTAAACAAGAGATAGACAGTCTGAAAGTATATAACAAACTGATGAAGTGGACCTTCCAGAAGTCTGTTTACAAGAGGGCTGAGGAGACTTTGAGAGAATTTTTAACAAGATGGTCCTAGATATGACTAGCTTATGGACTTGATAGAGAAATCCTGGGCTGTCAGAGGGGAGAGGTCACTCTGAGTACAACATGGTGTCTGTAGCTTGGGTTTGCCTCTTGGTCCAAGTCCTTCAGACCTCATATTTAAGTTCTTTGGAAAGTAGAGTGTTATTGAATGAAGCTCTGTAAAACTCTGGAGCCTAAGCATCTTTGTCTTAGCATCCCTCCAACCCAACATCTAGAAAAGGGAGACTTCATTTGGATCGTTTTAGTTGCAATAAACAGAGCTGCACTGATTTAGTCGGGGGTTTACTGAAATGATCAGCACAGTGACAAAGAAGAAAGACTATCTAGGAATCCAAGAACAGAAACCAGGCCTAGGGTACACTGTTCATTGTGGGCAAAGGCAGTTTTAGGAGCTTTTGGAGTAGAAGTTCATGTATCTTCCTTTTAATATGATACCATTATTAACATGAACCAGATACTCTCTGAATGTTGGCTTCCTTCTTCATCCTTTAATCATTTTTTGATGGTAATGGTCCGGTTGCTTCATTCTTGGCTTCCTAGTTCAAATTCTTATGCTTGAATAACCACCAGTCTTGTTTGGACAGTGTTTTACTCCAGGCTAAGTCAGAGGCCATTAGCAAGACAATAGGCTGCCCATGACTCTGGGGCCTGCCCCAGTTCAGTCAGCTGGGCCCAGAGCATGAAGGTCATGCGGTGTATAACATGGCTTGCTTTCAAGATGCTTGTTTCAGCAAAGGCTGTGAACAAGGCTTAAAGGGGGCTGTTGGCACAGCAGGCATCAAGGAGAAAGATATTCTCTTCCGTATCCCCCCAGCCTACTCCCTGGCTTTGGCACAGAGCAGGTGTTGACAGACCATTGTTGACAGTGTCCATGGAGGAGACAAATGGGGAAATGGCAGAAGTGTTGAGGCCCAGTGCACCTGTGATGGAAGCAGTGCTCAGCAGGGTAACTACAGGAAGCAGAAAACCTGGTATGAGCATTCAACACTGAGTGCCTACTGGCTTCACTGTGTGCTGGGTCCTATGCATGGTGGGAAATATATAAGATGTGGCTACTGTCCCCGAGGAAGACATGGCATGTATAGGTGGAAAATTTGTAAGTGTTCTACTTTTTAATTACTTTAAAAATAAATATAGGTACTGGTAACTCCCCCTGACACAGGTATTGACTGGTCAGTGGTCATTTTCTCTTGCCCATTGAGCATGTTCCCTAGCTGCTCACTTATTTTAAGGCTACCTCTTCTAGTCCATCACACTCACCCTCAGGAGTCAGAAAGGAAGAGCAAGAGTTTAGATTGTATAAGTTTATATAAAACTCTTTTTGGCTCATCTATATCACTACTTTCCTCATTGAATGTTGATGGAAGTGTCATTTCATGATGTTTGCAAATAATGTTGAGGAATGTGGAAAGAGCATATGCCTTAAAGTTTGGAAAAATAAAAAAATTTTAATAGTGAAAATATGAGTTTAGAAAATATTTATAGTAAAACATATTCAATAAAGAAATCTTGGAAAATATAGAAAAGTGGGAAGAAGGGTCATCAATGCCCCAAACCAAGCATAATTGGCATTTTGTTATATTTCCTTTTAGATTTAGTTTTCATCCTAAACTTTGACTATTAGTGTTTCATTTGCTTTAAATAGTTATATAGTAAACATGAATTTGTAACCTGCTTTTTGATGTAGCATTATTCATAATTTTAAAAACATCATTTGTAATGACTGTAATTTTACAACCATGTAGTACTCTTTATTTTTTATTTAATTTTTTTTTTAATATCAGAAAACATTTACAGTATGTACCACTCTTTACTTAATCCTTCCTCTGAGTTTAGAATTTTGGGGTGTTTCCAATTTTCCAGAATATTAAATAATGTTGCAATATACATATTTGCATAAAGGTTTCTCTCATATTCTTATTTACTTCCCTAGTACAGATTCTTGGAAATGGATTTGTTTGATCAAAGGGCAGAAGTATTTCTGAAGTTTCTGATGCATATTACTTAAAAAACATACTAAATGGAAGGGTGGTATACTTGCATGTGCAGTGAGGACTGCAAATTTTTTACAAATAAACACCAAATGCAGAAAGCACCATCATTTCAATATTGCCCTCAAGTCTACACAGTTGATATAATATTTAGATAGATGGCCATGTCTTGATAATGGAAAACATTTTGTCCTTATTCAAATGATTCCAGGCTATAGGAAAAAAGGAAAAACAAAGTGATTAAAGTTATAAACTTGGCTTGATTAGTAATCCGTAATCCAGATAGCAACTTAAACTTATATTTCATATTCAAAATATGATAGAACAGAAAAAACATCTCTTAGAAATTGCTAGGAAAGGTATTACACATTCTGTTGTTAAACAAAATACAAGCCATCTAAATTCATAATTTTTCTTCACTCTGGACTTCTTGATAGCAGTTTCAACCATAACTAAATTAACATTAGTATTTTAGCAGACGAAGTAGAAGTAGTTTCAATGGGATAAATACATATTTCCCTTCTTCTTCAAAAGCACTCCTATGCACTCGAGATAAAGGTTCATTAGTTGAATGTAGCAGCATTCAGAAGAGAAGTTATTTCAATGAGATAAGGTTCTGAGCCTTTGCTTAACTTATGAACAGGGAAATTCTTGATAAATGGTAAAATTTCATCATGCTTTGAGTTATCTCTATGTAGAACACTAAAACTTTGCTCATTCAAAACACTTATGAAGCCTTACCATACAACAAGAAATGCAGATTTTACAATTACTGAGTTGATTCAACCCTTATAGATAAGCCAAGACACATTGGGATATCAGAAAAAATTGAGATATTAGAGCTTGAATAAAGATGAGGGCAATAGAAATGGGGGGAAAGTGATGGAATTCTAGAGTCTTTTCAAAAAGCCTCATTGAATCCTGGGAAGTGGGGGAAATATGGATGAGCTACAGGTGCCCATGAGAATCTGTTACCTGGAAGATCACTGAATAGCTTCCACACAGTATCTTGGATAGTTGCATGACTACTCTGATGAGGCAGATGATCACTTGAAGCCCACTGAGGGTTATGAGAATGGAAAATAAAATGATGTTCCACTCCACAACATGTGCAGGTTCCAGGCACTGAATCCATATGCTAGAATCTGTAAGGAAACTGAGAGAGACCCATGGCCAAATCTACATACTGGGTCCAAGGAAGAAAGCTACAAGCATTTGTATGTTTGAGAAATTACTGTATAACTAAAATATATAGTTATTAGATATGAATTAATACATTTTAAAAACCATTCAGATACACATATTGGACATATCTTATGCATAGCACTGAGCTAGATACTTAGTGTGTTATAAATGTTGTGCTTGCCTTATCACCCCCATGGCCTCTTTGTTTTTCTTTCTCCCTCTTCCATTTCTTTCCTACTTCCTTCTTTTTTACTCTTTCCCCACCTTTATTTATTTTCTACTTTCTAATGCTCCAGGAAATAGAGGCACTCTGAGAATTTCTTTATATTGTTAATGGCTCTTGTCTCCAATGGGAAAGAGCACAGAATATGAAATCAGAATTCCTGGATTTGGGTCTGCAGGATGTTGAGCAAAGAACTTTACCCCTCTGGCCTCCAGACTTTTTTTTTTTTTTTTGAGACGGAGTCTTGCTCTGTCGCCCAGGCTGGAGTGCAGTGGCGCATCTTCGCTCACTGCAAGCTCCGCCTCCCTGGTTCACGCCATTCTCCTGCCTCAGCCTCCCAAGTAGCTACAGGCACCCGCCACCACGCCCGGCTAATTTTTTGTATTTTTTTAGTAGAGACGGGGTTTCACCGTGTGAGCCAGGATGGTCTCGATCTCCTGACCTCATGATCTGCCTGCCTCACCCTCCCAAAGTGCTGGGATTACAGGCATGAGCCACCGCGCCTGGCCCTCCAGACTCTTATCTTGATAATGGGGTTAAAATATCTAACCCCAGAGTTATTGTGAATATTTGGTAAGAATGTGTATACAAACAGTTTGGAACCTGTAAAGTACAATACAGATGTGGCTTTCTGTTAAATTTCCCTAAACCTATCTCATACCCCCATTTACCCCTATCTCCATCTCAGCTGCCAGGGAAATGAGTCCCTCCAGATCCCTCCTCTAGACTGTTCCTAGTACATGCTCTGCACAGATCATCTAGCAATTTAAAACAAGATGACTTGCAATGTTGCAGGAAGTCGGGGACCCCAAATGGTGGGACTGGCTGGAGCCGCGGCAGAGAAACATGAATTGTGAAGATTTCATGGACATTTATCAGTTCCCAAATAATACTTTTATAATTTCTTATGCCTGTTTTTACTCTAATCTCTTAATCCTGTTATCTTCATAAGTTGAGGATGTACACCACCTCAGGACCACTGTGATAATTGTGTTAACTGTACAAATTGATTGTAAAACATGTGGTTTGAACAATATGAAATCAGTGCACATTGAAAAAGAGCAGAATAACAGAGATTTTTAGGGAACAAGGGAAGACAACCATAAGGTCTGACTGCCTGTGGGGTTGGGCAAAAAGAGCCATATTTTTCTTCTTGCAGAGAGCCTATAAATGGATATGCAAGTAGGAGAGACCTGAGGGAGAGTCATGTTTGCTAAGAAAGGTCATGGTATATGGCACCATGTAAAAATCTTCAGAATGAAGGCAGCTACAGTCACAGAAGCAGCTCTGCCATGTAGGCCTAGATGCACATGTAAGACCTCAGATGGACATGGGCCTTGAACAATAAAGCTAATCATGGAGAGTTGAGAAGAAAATTTAACTTCCCCCAGTGAATGGTACAGACATTCCCTCATTTTACTCCATTAGAATTCTGGACCTCTTCTGTATTTCTTTCTGGGCCCTGCTACCTCCTAATCTGCATCTGGTGCTGGGAACCCAATAAGCCCAGCACAATGCCAGTGTGAGGCATTCTGAGATCCGGGATTGGGTTGTGAGACTCCTGACTGAATTACTAGCCTTCTGAGCAAGGCTACCTCTTTAGACCCTTCTCCAGTATAAGCTGCATAAGCTCTGGCTCATTCCACAAACTCCTGCACCTAATCATGTTCCTGGACCTCAGACTGTACTTTCCTGCTCATCCTGCCTTGTTCTATCTCTTTATCATCCCTCCTACTATAGCCCTGAGTGGCACCATCCAAGAGCACCATGGTTTCTCTCCTCCTCAAGCCCTTTTACACTTGTAACAGACCACATGTCCAACCTGGCCATAAAACAAAACTGAGTTCCTGGATCCACCCAGTCCATAAGCTCCAGCTGTTACCAGACCAGACCATAGTAACCACACAACTTTAATCTGAGGTATGGGAGAAACACACCTTTCATTTGGATAGCTCCATGACAACCTCAAGACATTGAATGAAAATGGCATTAAAAGACTGAAGAAAAAAATCTAAACAAAGATCTGTGCAAGAACAAATTGGTCTGGATATTAGTAAACTAACAGGGAAATTCTGCACTAAAACAGCCACATGGAACCCCAAAGTGATCATGGAAAATGAGCGTGAGCTTGAGCATGAGGCAAGGTGTTTCTGATTTTCCGACCTCCTTGGTTTGGGGAATTATTCCTTACCGTCCAGCAGTGCCTTCAAAAGCATACTCCCAGCCATCAAGGGTGCGGCAATATGGCCCTTGGACAAGACCCAAGGCAGAGATGACCAGGCAGTATCCAGAAAAAGCAATTCCGAGGGAAGAAAAGATAATTGACAGCAGTGTCTAAATTAAAACATAGAAGCAGGTTAGTACCATAGAATGCGACAAGGGGATATTGTGGATAAATTATCAGATAGCTACATTCCCCTATTCACCCAAGCTCATGCAGTCTATACAATACTAAATGCCCACATAGAAATAAAAAAAAAAGTAATCCAAACCTATTTGATCTTAAAAATAAGCTTTTAAATAACGTTTAGTTTGGCATCACATAGAGGTAACTAGGTAATTTACTAAATTTATTCTTTCCTTGTGGAATTTTGATATCAAAATAATGATCTCCTCTTATGAAAATGCAGTGAAGGATGTGATCAATCAACCCATAACTATCTATTGAAGACCTGTTATTTTCTAGGTAGAGTGGGTTCTCTAAGAATTATAAGCTATGACCTCTGCTTTCCTCTTATAAAGATATTAAAATATCTTTACAACAATATAAAGGAAAATGTCAGGTATAGTATTGAAATTTATATTCATATTCAAGTGACGATAGGATTGATGGAGAGGGGGGTGTTTTCATTTGAGTAGAGAGAATGGGTGTTATTCACAGGCAGATCAGTGCAACCAGAGTTGTGAGAAAGTAGGTTTAATCTAAGAGGGGTTTATTCAGATGAGTGAGGAGAAAGGCTCTGAAGACAGATTGACATGGTACTAATGCTGGGAAAACAAGGTTGATAGGGCACAATTCAGCCCTTGAGTAGCTTAAAAAGTGAGTACAGCTTGGTAGATCCAGGCCAGAGCTGGCCTTGAATGCCAGGTTAAGAAATCTGGACTTTATCCTTCAGGGCAAGGGACTTCCCTCCTCCCAACCTTAAAAAATGTCAAATCTACAAAAAAGTTGAAAGTATAGCACAATAAACCCCTACATATCCTTTATCTAGAATCACCTACATGAATATTTTACCATATTTGTTTGTGCTTTCTCTCTTTCTCTGTGTGTATGTGTGTATATATTCATGCAAAGTATATATGTACACCTGTACATATATACAAATATGTATTTATTATGTGTTTTTGTTACTGAGCCATTAGGTTGCAGACATTATGATATTTCACCCCTAAATATTTCAGCATACACCTCCTAAGAATAAAAACATTCTATTATTTTGTAACTTTTAAATTTTTTTTGTACAGGATCCAATAAAGGTTTATGTACAAGACTACATCTCTTTAGTTTCCTTTAATTTACACTAGTCTTTCTGCCTTTTTGTTTTTTGGGGTGTTAAACTGTTTTTAAGAATCCCTGACAGTTGTCTTGTAGATGTCTCACATTCTGGGCTTTTCTGATTATTTTCTCACAATTGAATTCAAACATTTTAGCGAGAATACTTAATGGGTGTGGTGTACATTGTGGGCCTTTCATGCTAAGGGTGGTGCTAAGTTTGATCTCTTGGTTAAGAGTATCCTTCAGATCTCTTCCCTGGATAGGTACATTTTCCTCTTGGCAATTAGTAAATAACTGCCAAGGTGATGCTTTGAGACAGTGTCATATTCTGTTTCTTAATAACATTTCAACTGATGGATTTAGCATCCACTGATGATCCTCATATTCATTGATTACCAGCAATCACTGTGGTTCCAATGTGCTGCTTTCATAATGCTATAATTTATCTGCATTTATGTTATCATTTTTCTGCACAGAACAACTTCCATTTCCCATTCCTCTCTCCTTTGCCTCTGTCTATATTTTCTGGACTCACAGATCTTCTAATTCATTGTGCTATAATCCATAAATGCGATTATTCTTTTAGATGCACAGATGGTCCAAATTCGGCCAATGTGAACATCCCTGTAGGTCAACTCCTATGCCCTTTGACATACTCATGTCATTCTTTGAACATTTTCTTGCTTTCTGGCACAAGATGTTCCAGGTTCATTTTGAGCTTACCCTGCCATAGACCTGGAAGAAGCTGGGGTTTTGTTGTTGTTGTTGTTTTGTTGTTGTTTTTGAGTTGTAGTCTCACTCTGTCACCCAGGCGGGAGTGCAGGGCCTGATCATGGCTCACTGCAACCTCCACCTCCTGGGTTCAAACGATTCTCCTGCCTCAGCCTCCTGAGTAGCTGGGACTACAGGCACGTGCCGCCACGCCTAGCTCATTTTTGTATTTTTAGTAGATATGGGGTTTCACCATGTTGGCCAGGCTGCTCTCAAACTCCTGACCTCAGGGGATCCACCTGCCTTGGCCTCCCAAAGTGCTGGGATTACAGGCATGAGCCGCTGTGTCCGGCCAGAAACTATTTTTTAAACAAGTCTTGTAATTGGTTTTTGAGCAGGAAGTGATATGCCCAAAATGTGCTTTTGGAAGATTGCTCTGGCAGTGGTCACACAAGCTGGAAGTAAGAGACCTCAAAGATAAGGATCCAGCTTGGAGACAGATGCAAGTTGAGGTGACAAAGACACACATTGGAGGAAAACACATTAAGGAGGAAATGAGTAGCTGGAGATGAAAAAAAAAAAAAAATCCAGAGCTGGGGCTTGGATAAAAAGGAGACAGAAATAAGGATACCAAGAAAGGTTATTTGGTTTGGGGGAAAAATTAGCTTTAGAAATGTTGATTGCAGGGTGAGAGTAGGCAGCAGAATAGTAACATGCAGTAACCAATTGATAATAAATTCAAAAGCTGAGACCAGAAAAAGTAAGACCAACAAACCTGTGATTTTAGGAATAAAAATCATCTCAATAACATTTCTTTGTTTAAAATTATTTCACTGAGTATGACATTAATATATCCTCTTTATGGAAAACTGGAAAAAATATTCACTGGGAAGATCAGTGAAGAATTTCTTCATTGGGGGAAACTGGCAGCCATAGCATACACACACATGCACACGCACACACTACAATCTAATGAGTGGATACCATTGCACTATCAAGGTAAGCCTCAAAATAAAGTGGGAATAAGAATTTGAATCATAGTTTTCTTTTCTGTAAACTGTAGATGATGTAGACAGGAATGGTACCTATGTGACAGGGCAATTTCAAAAATAAAATATAATAAAATATTAGCTATTATTTCAAGTGCCCTTATTTGGCCAATATTTGCTTTCCAGGAATAATTGTCCAAGAATTTTGGCAGAAAACCAGACTCCATGCAGGAATGGAGAGTGCCTTAGTTCCTGCTGCTATAATAAAAATACCTTAGACTGAGTAATTAATAACAGAATTTTATTATTCACACTTCTGGAGGCTGGAAAGTCCAAGATCACTGGCAGATTCAGTGTCTGGTGAGGGCTCATTCCTCATAAATGGCACCTTCTATGTGTCCTCGCATGGTGCAAGGGAGGTAAGAGTACTCCCCTCAACCCCTTTTATAAGGGCACCACTCTCATTCATGAGGGAAGAGCCATCATAACTTAGTCACTTCCAAAAACATCCCACCTCTTAATATCGCCACAGTGAGAATTAGGTTTCCATGTGAATTTTGGAGGAACACATTCAGGCCATAGCAGATAACAACCAAGAAATGAATCAATTTTTATTACATTTTGGAAGTTACAAACTGATGCAGATTCAGTTTTTCCCACAATATGTACTTTGTTTGGTTTAAATGAAGATTAATTGCCAATATTTTACAATTGAAAAGTTTTACATAAAAATCCATATTTTTACTTTCTACTGAAAACTGAGAATTATTGCCCTACTTGATCATGGCAACAACTGGCTGGACTTCAGTAGCAGCTCCTTCTCCTCCTTAGATGGAAATTGTGCTCTGATGCCTACCAGGCTCATTTAATTCATTTATGTCACACACGTGGCTTCTGGGGGCATTTGAATTGGGACTTCTCTTCTAGAACTTACCTTGAAAAGGCCAAAAAGGGAACCCGGAGAATCCTCTCTTTCTTTCTCCTGCTGTTCCCAATGAGATGTTAGTCATCTAATTTAATGCTGATTATAAGACCCTTTTCAGACTATTTCTAGCATCTATTTGTGCTAGAAGTGCTAATAGTGAGTTAAGGCAAATTGAACATGTGAATTTTTATTTTACACTTAATATCACATATATTTGTTTTCTAGAAATTCTCTGAGTATCATAACTTGAATCTATACCTGAATTTATTATTTCCCCTAGGCAATTTTGAAATCTCTTCCATAAGTATATTACAAGTAGCTACTGGAGGATGACTGAGTCAACTGGTCACACACACACACACACACACACACACACACACACACACACGAGTGTATTTTAAATTTTCAATTCTTCTCCATAAGGGACACAGTACTAAATAAAGCAACGAATTTAATTTTTAAAAGACATTGGTCAAAGAAAATTTGCCATACAATCTTGACTACGCATTGAAATATCCTGGGGAGATTTAAAACATATCCATGCCCAGGTTGTACCTCAGACTAACTAAATCAGGGACTCTGGGGATGGGATTTAGGCATTAGTGTTGTTCCAAGCTCCCAGGTGATTGCAATATGAAGCTAACAGGTAGAAGCACTGCTGCAAAAAATGCCTACCAGATATCATCATAAAACTCCTCCTAGCTAATAATCACTTGTTCTCTTTGAGCCACAAGTGCTTCATCTATAAAATAGGAGCAATAATGACTTAATTCACTGAGTAAATGTGAAAGAACTATAAAGTGCTATGCAAGTGTGAATAAACGATGAAGAGGAGGAAGAGGATGAGAAGGAGAATGGTAGAAATGCAGGAGCACTGGCTTAGAAAATGCGGTTGTATTATTCACCCTGATACTATTTTAATTATTTTTCAAGTGCCAACTTAGAAAATGCACATCACATACACCCAACAATATGGATGAATCTAAAAATTATTATCCTGGATGAAAAAACCCAGATAAAAAAGACAAATATTGTATGATTCCACATATATAAAATACAAACTAATCTATAATGACAAAAAGTAAATCAAAGGTTAATCTTTGGGGGTTGGCAGAAATATTCTGTTATCTTGACTGCAATGGTGGTTTCATGAGTGTAGTCAACTGTTAAAACTCATGATATTGCATAATTTTAATGGATGCCACTTATTATATGTAATTTAGCCCTCAATAAAGTTTGTAAAGAAAAAATAGACTAATGGAAACTTAGTTAGGAAAAAAAAGTATTATTTCCTAATTTTAGGTATCTTTAAATGCTGATTTTCTGAAAGTGCATCAGTAGAACAAAAGTGGAGGAAAGACTAAGCAAAATGGAAGATGATCTTGGCAGTAAACTCTTGATCTCTGTACTGTACTCAACAGTAGTGAGGGTATAATACTGTCAATATTTTTGTGTTTCTGAGTGAGAGGAAAGAAAGCTGGAGCCCACTCAACCATCCTCAAAAAAACTGTTGCTCTTACCACATATTTTTTGCTGCAGTTTTCACTCTGGCAACATTTATAGTTGTTATTATTCTCCAGTACCAGAAGAACTGTTGTTACTATAAGCATCTATAGGAGGGAAGACATAAAATGTTAGCAATGAAATGCTAGTTTACATTTGTGCTTATAATCAGAGGACAGCGTCTTCAAGCATAGAGTCTGGGGTCAGGTAGATATGGATTTGAATCCAAGCTCTGTCACTTTCTAGCTGTGTGAATTTGAGACACCTTCTGTATAAAATGGTATCAAGAGATCGTCACGAGGTAATATATGTGACATTTTGAGTATAGTGGTTGATTCATAGTGACTGATAAATGTTAGCTATTATTATCATGGTTAGCAACCATCAAAAGCTAATGATTAAGGAGAAGTAAATGGATGGACAGGAGAATACCACCCTGGGCAGCAAAACCTGCCTTTCTCAATGACTCAGTTGTGGAGAACCAAGGAAAATCATTCAGCAGGCTTGGTAGTTTGCCAGCCTCTCTTCATTTACTGTCCTCTGGGAATGGAGGTGAGAGGCTCAGTTAATCTGAAACCATATCTCTTTAAAGTGACTTCAATTTCCCCATGCATTCAAACCATCTCAGGTTTAAATTGTTTCAATGTGTTTTGTCTGTATCAAGCCAACAAAGTGGGAGAATCAATGCATCTTATTTCCTTTTTTTAAATTTTATTTTAGGCAAAAGGCCAGAGCTCTGGAAAGAACATGTATTTCTTTACCATTATAATTTCATTATAATTTCTGGTTAGACTAGATACAGATCATGAATTGCTTATGGGAAATTCTCCACCCATTTTTTTACTCTCACTATTTAGGACTGAATCCCACAGCTGAGTTCACTGTTATTTTACTCTTCGTAGCCAATGTTTCTAGTTTCCAAATTTCTTCAGCTTTCATTAATTTTTTTGTTCATTTAATTATTTACCTATATTCTTCTCCTTTCTCCTAAAAGGATTTGATGCAGTTATAGTAATATATTTTAATAATTCCTGGAAGATGAAAAAAATAGAGAACAGGTTTCTTTTCCTAGTTTTAATTTTTACATGGAATATAAGCAAAAGAGTCCTATATTCCCCTCCTTTCCACATCGTTAGTTATGACAGATTGAAAGAAATTCTGGTCTAATCTTAGTTATGTCTTGCAACTCTTCCATCTATTGCAATTGCATATTGAGGGAAACAATGATGAGACAAGGCCAAAGCATAGTAACCAGCTTCATTACAATATTGATAGAGATAATTTGACCTAGAGCCTGTAGTCTTATTGCTCAGGCATCAACTGTTGAAAGAGACACTGCCTTCTTTTTTTGTTTTAAAATATAACTGCAATACAGAGGAGTCAAGAATAATGGAGGTAAAGTACACATAATTCCACCACCCTCGTGAGTCTTCATGCATTTATTTCTGGTGTTTTCCCACATATGTCTATTTGACACAGCTGCAATAGTAATTTACCCACAATGTTATTGTGTCTCTTTTCACTTAACATGAAATAATGTGCATTTTCCACGTTGTTACATCTTCATAATTATAATTTTCACCACTGTATGAAGTGAATGTACCATAATTTATTTTGCTACTTCTCTGTAAGATGCTTCTTCTAGTTATTTACTATTATACCAATGCAGCCACAAACATCTGCACACATAGCTCTTCCCTTATTTTGGATGATTTCCTCAGAAAAAATGATGAGATGTAGGATTACTGAGTCAAACGACATAAGCATTTTCATGGATCTTGATATATTATACCAAACTCTTCCCGAAAAGACTGACATTTATTTGTAGTGCAGCCAATATTAGTTATGTACTTATTTCATAGCAACATCAATAGCATTGGATATTAATATTTTAAAGTTTATTAATTTAATGTGCAAAATGAATAACTAAATGAAAATTGCTTTACAACACAGCTATTCAAATATAATAATTAAAAACCCCTAAAAGATGTAGAAATAGATTATAATGAATTTTCTTCTACATTATTGGTGGTCTGATTAGCTTACAGTCCATAATGCACTATTTTTAGAAATGACTTGACCAGGAAATTGTCTTTTCCTCTGAGTTGCCAACATGATTTACTCTCAGTTTGTTTATTTTTAAAGAACACAAAGTCATCAGGAAAACGTTCATGGATTCTTGCCATTGATAATTCAATTTACTTTTCAAAAACTCCCTCCATTATTAGGGTCTAATGTAGGACTATTTTAATGATGACACAGCTCATTCTTTAATAATCATAATTACAACAGTCACTGGCTATCTACTACATGTCAGTCTCTCTCCTGGGCACTTTATATATATTTTATCTTTAAAAGTAAATGCCATTATTCACATTTTTCACATTAGAACACTGAGGCTCAAAGATACTGAGTAACTTGCTGAAGGTCTCATGGAACAAATGACAGAGCTTAGATTTACATGCAGGTTTGTCTGAATAGCCAAGTCTCTGCTTTTTTTTCATGCTGTCCTAATGCCCCTTCAAGCTAGAAAAACATGAGTGCAGACAGAAAATCTGTTCTAGAAAACAGTAATGCCACTGAAGATCAAATAGCTTAAATTGATATGCAGGGTTCATGAGAACATACTGTTTTTACAGGCCAGTGTCCCACAGACTTTCATTAGGACTAATTTCCTGCATTACTGAGGCTGCATTGCTGAGCAGCTTATTGAAAACAGAGCTATGTCCCAAATGCCAGCAGATTACCTGCCCCTTCACCCCCATCCCTCTTTCAAATCCTACACCCAAGATTAGCAGAATGATTTTTCCATTATTCATTACTTCTACTAGTTACAAGGTAAGTCTCAATTACAACTCCCCCTTCTCTCCCAAGTCTCCAAATTCATACTTACCATGATGCCTGAGAAACAGATTCCTTCAAAATACCACACGTAGTTGGTGAGTTTATTGCTGGATGCATAGGAAGTTTGCCCATTCGGGAAATACAATAATATGTTCACGATTATACTCCAAAGTGCAAGCGGAATCAGCAAACAACTTAGGCAGCCTCCACACTTCCGAGACCCCATTTTGCCCTGCTTAGAACCTGCGGGAGATTTCAAGAGTATACAGTCACAGAAAGTCTATTTTTCTTCTTCCTACCTGACCTTTTTTTTCTCTCTCTCTCTCTTTTTTTTTTTTTTTTTTGAGATTACCTACCACTTCCAGGGTCAGAGCCCTTCACTTCATATTCATGAGGAGACGGGGAATTGGAATATACCCGCAGCCGACAATCTCAGTGTGAAATACTGGTTTACTGTTTGGAGAACAATAGACAATGATCAACAACTGAAGAGCTGAGCTGGTCTTCATCCTGTGCCAAAGGAATGCGGTGTTTTTCACTGCTTTTTAAAATAAGTAATTTTCCTCTGGATTAAAGCACCGAAGGCTTAACCCTGACCTTGTGTTAAGAAGGAAGTTGGGGTGGGAACTGGAATTGAATGCAGCAAATTTCATCCAACAGTGGAGAGAGGGTTAAAGAGAAAACTACCAAGGAGGCTTATATTTAGAGCTTGATAGGTTTGTTAAAATATCCTGACTTTACCCTTTTTATGTATCTGTCTTTCACCTAGTGTGCTTTTTGTGTGCACACTATTCACCAAGCTTTGTTCAAATTGCAAGGGATAAGAAAGGACTGAGAAAGTGACTGGTGGATGAGAAAAACAAAATATCTTGGTTAGATCAGTACAGCTTTCCTTCCAAGAGTTTGCATCTATTATCTCTACCTCTCTGAAAAATCATAACAGAAATAAAGGCATATTTTTCCTACTATTAAGAAAACAAAGGTAGGGCTGGCGCAATGGCTCAAGCCTGTAATCTCAACACTTTGAGAGGCTGAGGCGGGTGGATCATCTGAGGTCAGGAGTTCAAGACCAGCCTGGCCAACATGGTGAAACCCCATCTGTACTAAAAATACAAAAATTAGCTGGCATAGTGCTGGGCACCTGTAATCCCAGCTACTCTGGAGGCTGAGGAAGGAAAATCACTTGAACCTGGGAGACGGAGGTTGCAGTGAGCCGAGATCGTTCCACTGCACTCCAGCCTGGGTGACAAAGTAAGACTCTGTTTCAAAAAAAAAAAGAAAGAAAGAAAGAAAGAAAGAAAGAAAGAAAGAAACTAGCAGTCCAGGTTCCAAAGAGGTTTCTTGGCACCCCCTTGTGGATATGGTTTTTTTTCCCTCTAGTGCTTTTGATCTAAGTGCATCAAAAAATCTGGGCATTAGACGTTTTTTCCAGTCACATAGAAGCAGCATAAAATCATATTTACTAGAGTTCCTGGGATGATTGGGAAGAGAATAACATTGTTGGTTGAGCATTCATTGAGCATCTCTTATGTGGCAGGCACTGTGCTTGATGTTTTAAAAGGTTCACTCTGGCTGCTGTGTTGTAAATAGGTGGTAAAGGGTGTGGAGGAGATAGAGATGAGTTCTGAAGCCATTTCCACCATCCAGGTAAGAGATAATGATGACTCGGATCATGATGGTAGTAGCAGCAGAGGTGGTAAAAGGAAGCTGGATACCAAACACCGCATATTCTCACTCATAGGTGGGAATTGAACAATGAGATCACATGGACACAGGAAGGGGAACATCACACTCTGGGGACTGTTGTGGGGTGGGGGGAGCGGGGAGGGATAGCATTGGGAGATACACCTAATGCTAGATGACGAGTTAGTGGGTGCAGAGCACCAGCGTGGCGCATGTATACATATGTAACTAACCTGCACAATGTGCACATGTACCCTAAAACTTAAAGTATAATAATAAAAGAAAAAAAAAAGGAAGCTGGATTTGGGATATATTTTGAAGCTTGTGCCAACAGGATTGGTGGCAGATTGGATGTGGGTATAAGAGAAAGAGAGAAGTCAAAGACGACATCATTTGGGCCCGAGAAACTGGGAGAATAAAATTGTCATTAACAGAAATGAGCAAGTCAGCTGAATGAGCAGGGTTGGGAGAAGAGGAATGATATGGTCAGTTTCGAATGTGCTAAGTTTTGAAATACCTTTTAGAAATCCAAGTGGAGATGTCAACTAGGCAGCTGGATATACAAATATGAAGTTCAAGGAAGAGGTCTGGGTGACATATAAATGTGACAGTTGTCAGCATATAAATGGTATTTAAACCCATGAGACACTAAGGAAATGCATGTTGATAGAAAAGAGACCCAAGGACTAAATCCTGGGCAGCCCAGGACTGAGTTTAGGGACATGAGAGGAAGGCAGAAAGGATACTGAGAAATGGCCAGTGAGCCAGAAATGAAGATCAGGAGCTTATTCTCAAAGGTGACTTTCTAAGAAGAAGAAGGCGTGATCAACAAAGTTAAATGCTGCCAAAGGGCACATCATACGAAAGAACTGAGAATCGGCTATTGGGTTGAGCAACGTGGAGGTCACTGGTGGCCTTCATAAGAGGAGCTTTCTTGGTGAGTTAGAGATGAGATGAGAGTCCATCTGCAGTGGATTCATGAGAGAATGGGAGGAGAGAAATTGGAAATAGATGAGGTAACTCTTTTGGAGAGTTTTGCTGTAAAGGAGGGCAGAGAAATGGGGCAGCAGCTAGAGGAAAAGTAGAAGTCAAGGGACAAAAATTAATGGAAAAAATGGTAGCATATTTGTATACTGTTGTGGGAAGGGGTATGAGGGAGGGTAGGTAGGTATTTACCATAAAGGAGATAAAGGAGAGGATTGCTGGCACAGGCTCCTTGAGTAGGTGAGAAAGGGTGGGAGTGTGTGAACAGATGGAGGAGCTTACCTTAGATAGCAGCAGGGCAGGTCAGTGTCAGCAACAGAACAGAAGGAGAACATAGCAATGGGCTTGGAGGTGGTTAGCGGGAACTTCTGATTATTATACTTCTGTTTTCTCAGGGAAACAGGAGGCAATTTTATCAGCTGAGAATGAGGATGGGGAGAGGGTGTTAAAGGTTTAAAGGAAGAGAGGAGAAGTTCAAACAGTTGGCTTGGAAAGTGGGAGAATGAACAGACTAGAGAAATGTGGCAGGTGCTGAGGGACCACTTGAGTCTGTGACCGTGAATGGATAGTGAGACTGGACAGGAGACTTGGGTATTTTTCCTAGTAAGGTTCAGTGGCAGAGGTGTAGCCAGCAAGTAGGAAGAAAGCTGGAGTCAACCAGGATTGGGACTTTGCCAGGCAGATACCATGAAGAGAGGGATGGGCAAAGGATTCAAGAATGTATGCAAGTGAATGGTTATAATGATGGACTGTGGAACTTAAGCTGAGTAAGGAGGGAAGTAAGGACGTGAGGGAGTGTGAGAAATAGTAAAAGAGGCACTGGATTTGTAAATTGTGTGTCCCAGTGTGGCTGAAAAATTACTGGTTTTAGGTAACACACAGAGTGAGCTAGAAAGAGAGGAAGTAGTGATTGAGAAGTGTGATGCTGGAATTTGAGATTTTAGAGATGTTTCAGGAATAGGCGAAGAAAAAGTCTGGAGGTGTGTTATGGGCTGATCATGTCTCTCCTAAATGCACATGTTGAAGTTCTAACCCCCCATAATCTCAAACGTGACTGTATTTGGATAGGGCCTTTAAAGTGATGATGAAGTTAAAATGAGGACAGCATGGTGGGGATAATCCAATCAGATTATAAAAAGAGGGAATTTGGACACACAAAGAGATTCCAGGGGTGCAAAGAGAAAAGACTGTGTGAGGACACAGTGAGAAGTGGCTATCTGCTAGCCAAAGAGAGAAAGGCCCCAGGAGAAACCAATCTGCCAACACAGATTTGGCACATAATTTACAAATCTGCTTTGAGATTTGGCACATAACTTACAAATCTGCTTTGACCTTGGAATTCTGGCCTCCAGAACTGTGAGAAAATAAATGTCTTTTGTTCAAGTCACCCAGTCTGTGGTGTTTTGTTATGTCAGTCCTAGCAGACTGACACAAGTTGTGATCCTAGGAGTGAGTAGTGTAGGGAGGTGGAGGACAAGATGACTGGTGAAAAGGAATGGAAAGGGAAGTGTATTGGAATTATCATTTATAATGAATACTAAAATAAAAAATTAGACAATGTCAGTTTGGGAGAGAATGACTACATTTAGAAAGCCAGGTGCTAGACTCTTCAAGGAATGAAAGAAAATAAGCTTGAGGGAGGATTTAGAACTAGAAATACCATTTGACCCATCCATCCCATTACTGAGTATATGCCCAAAGGATTATAAATCATGCTGCTATAAAGACACATGCACATGTATGTTTATTGTGGCACTATTCACAATAGCAGACTTGGAACCAACCCAAATGCCCATCAATGGTAGACTGGATTAAGAAAATGTGGCACATATACACCATGGAATACTATGCAGCCATAAAAAAGGATGAGTTCATGTCCTTTGTGAGGACATGGATGAAGCTGGAAACCATAATTCTCAGCAAACTATAGCAAGGACAGAAAACCAAACACTGCATGTTCTCACTCATAGGTGGGAACTGAACAATGAGAACACTTGGACACAGGAAGGGGAACATCACACACCAGGGCCTGTCGTGGGGTGGGGGACAGGGGGAGGGATAGCATTAGGAGATATACCTAATGTAAATGACGAGTTAATGGGTGCGGCACACCAACATGGCACATGTATACATATGTAACAAACCTGCACGTTGTGCACATGTACCCTAGAACTGAAAGTATAATAATAAAAAATAAACTAATTACTTAATAAATTTTTAAAAAAAGAAAGTAACCTTGAGGGGGACTGAACTGCAGGTGGGAGATGGAAATATCATCTAGCATTGAAATTTACAGTTTCTTAATCCAATAGTCACCACTCCCCTTCCCAGTGATTTTTAAGCAGAATTTAAAAAAAAATGAAAATGTTTGATTTGGCTCTTCGTTTTCCTCGATGTGAAACCTTCTCTCATAGAGGTTCTAACAGGCACTGAAACGAGAATTAAGAAAGGGTGGGAGCAGAATAATCGCTGAAGGGGGTCATTGGCTACCAGGAAACCCAGAAGTAGCTGTGTTCTACTAGACATACTTGCAAGGTTCTAAGGAGGTTTAACTTAATTGAGATTTGACTTTAAAAAAAACTTTTTATTGTCAATATTTTGCTCTTTGGAGAGCAGTGACTAAGATTACATTTTGTTAATGTTTGTGGGGAGCAGAATCATTGAGCATTGTCTGCTTTGTAAAAGTGCTGTGGCTCCCAGGAATCTTCAGTGTCAGTGAAGTGAGCTGTCACTCTCAGTCAGGGTCTCCTTCCAATTAACTACGATAAATTGACATCTATTGAGTATCTTCTATGTGGAGGCGCTGTGCTAGAAGTTTTCACATGCATTAAAAACAAAAAGCCGAAAAATGAATTCTTACAATAACACTAAGGTAAAGGCATTATTAACCCTATTTTGCATGTATAAAAAAAATGGATGTAAGAAGAAAACCGTCCTTTTTACTTTATTGTTATTTAAAAAACAATTTTGACTTTTATTTTAGATTCAGAAGGTACATGTGCAGGTTTTTTACATGGGTATGTTGCAGGATGCTGAAGTTTTGGACCATTAGGCCCCAAACCCATCACCCAGGTAGTGAGTATAGTACTCAATAGGTAGTTTTAAAGTCCATCCTTTCCTCCTTCTTCACTCTGGTGGTCCCCAGTGTCTATTATTGCTATCTTTATGTCCATGAGTGCCTAATACTTAGTTTCCACTTATAAGTGAGAACATGAGGCATTTGGTTTTCTGTTCCTGCATTAATTCACTTAGAATAATGGCCTCCAGATGCATCCATGTTGCCACAAACAACATGATTTCATTCCTTTTTATGGCTGCCTAGTATTCCATGGTGTATATCTACCACACTTTCTTTATCCTATCTACCACTGATGGGCACCTAGGTTGATTGTATGTCTTTGCTATTGTGAATGGTGCTGTGATAAGCATACGTGTGTCTTTTGGGTAGAACATGGATTTTTCTACAAAAGAAATTTAAAAACTTGCTCAGAAACTAGAAGTTAAGTCTGACTTTCACATTCTTTATGCTATTCCACCATGTTCACCCTTGCCTGATAACATTGTTGTGCATTACCCCTCTCTTCTTCATTGTAAATTGGTTTCAAATTTGGAGGTTCTAATTCCTTGGTAGTAGCTTCCTACAGTGCTATTTTGAAGGCACACTGGTTTCGGTGGGAGAGATATACAGATTAGCTAGATAGATTAGTGATGTCTGCAGTGGAGATGGGGTCAGAGAAGAACAACATGCATGGCTAGTATTCCCTAGTCTTTGTCCAGCCTCAAACGATGATGTCTCTACTGACGGTATCATGTCACAGGTTGTTATGAAGACTTGGTGAGGAAGTACATGATCAATTGTTATTTGGAAGATGGTTCCAGAAGAATGACAGAAGTGAATGAAGAGGATATTCCTGGCTGGAAAACTTGATAAAATTGTTGAAAAGGGAGTTGAGTAATTTATTTGTCTTTGGTTACCCTATTAGTGAAAACAGCTAATGAAGTCTCCCCAGATAACTCAACATTTTACTTAATTTCATCTCTAAGAAAACACTTTTAACCTGCCTCTGGAAAAAAATATGTTTGCTCATAAATAACATTCTTGAAGCCATTTGCCTCCGGTAAACTCTCAAATTTTTTTGCCAAAGAATTCTTACTAAATCAGGATTTTCTTGCTGGTCCTCCAGTAACTGGGAGGAGCCACTGGGATGCCGTGCTTGTTGGCTGCTTCTGGCCTTGGCTTCCTGTTCTCCACAGCAGAGGGGAGGAAATCCGCAGGATGCCTGCTACCAGGGGACAGGGTGACTCAGGAGGAAAGACTCCACCTAAAATAGTCGTGGTATGCAGTCTCTGAGTCACTTCACTTTGAAATCAGTTAATATAAGATCCTGGAATTAGCCCCACAGGTGACGGGAAGTGGGGAAGAAGGAAATATCTGAAAAAAAGTTTATCCAAAAGAGAAATTGTCCATGAATATGACTTTTTAACAGCAGAAAAGGCTAATATTCAGGGAGAAATTTCACCTTGAGAGTTTAAAGTAGATAAACTGTGATTTCTTCCATGGAGCATGGGCATAAAGCACTGGTCTGGGTCCAATTTAGGGACCCACTGGGAATGAATGTTTGCTTAAAAACACATTAGACAAGCAGCAGCAGGGCAGCTGTGTAAACAGAAGTGTGCTGTTTTGATGCAGTTTTCCTGACTGTTGTGTTTATAATCCTTTCTCTAGAATTATCTGGCCAAAATGTCCATAGTGCCAATAAATTCCAGGTTTATCTCTAACTAATGATAAACATTAAGCTCTTTCCCTACTGAGACAGGGAGAAGAGTATTCCTGTTTCTATTCAAAGTTCCCCAAAGCAGCTTTCTGTATTTGAAATGTCCTCTCAGACCATTGTTGAACCTCCCTTTACTCCCTTCTGACTGGCTCCCAGCCTCCTAGAATTAATTTATTTATTCAAGCTCTTCATAGTAGGGGAGGAAGGAACTGTATTCAGTCATTTATTCTTAAAACGTGTATTGAACATTTACATGATGACACATGATGACTGAGGCAAAGAACACCCATTCCTTCAAAATGCTCAGAGTCTAGTTGAGGAAATAAAAAAGTTAAACAACAAATTCGTAATACAAAATGTTGAATATCCAGTAGATTTAACCATAGGCTTTTTGAAAGACACAGGAACCTTGAATGGAGCTGGAGTTCAAGTGAGATTTCTTGGAAGTCTGGAGGACAAAACTGAGTCTTCAAGGTTAAGATGCAAGTATCTAGGTAAACTGAGCCTCAATCAAAGCTAAATGTTGCCAGGTGTGGTGGCTCATTCCTGTAATCTCAACACTTCAGGAGACTGAGGCAGGAGGATCACTTGAGCCCAGGAGTTAGAGACCAGCCTGAACAACATAGCAAGACCTCGTCTCTGCATAAAATTTTTTAAAAATTAGCCAGGCATGGTGGCACATGTCTGTAGTCCCAACTATTTGGGAGGCTGAGGTGAGAAGATCGCTTGAGCCTGGGAGAATGAGGCTGCAGTGAGCCGTGATTGTGCCACTGTATTTCAACCAGGGTGACAGAGTGAGATCCTGTTACAAAAAAAAAAAAGCTAGATATTCACTGGTAGATAAATGCAGTGTGAAGCTTGATTGGATATTGGTTTGGCAAAACATGGTGAGACACATTTTGGGGATGATTGGAAAAATACGAATGTATGAATGTAGACCGTATTAGACAATATTAGAAGGTTGTTATTAACTTGGATGTAATGATGGTGTTATGAAGGAGTTGCTCTAAATTTTTGGAGATGCATATGTCTTCCTCCCTGAAATGGTTTAGCAAAAGAATAAGGAGAAGGAGGAGGAAGAGGAGGAGAAGAATGGTAGATAGATAAATGAAGCAAATGTGACAAAATATTAACAATTGTTGGACTTAAATCTGAATGTTCATTGTACTAGTTTTTCCACTTTCCTGAAATTTTTGTAAAAAGTAGTTGCAAAAGAATACCCTAGTAGACACTCAGTTACATGCTCAGACTCTAGAATTGTGAGAAATAAATTTTTGTTGTTTGTAAATTAGTGGGTTTAAAATATTTCATTATAGCAACTTGAATGGAGGCAGAGGCTAATTTGGCACAAATATTATTAACTTTAAATGTGTATAACTTTAAAAACTGTAAAGGATTCTCAATAAAAAATTTGTGTTCTAGGATCACACAGAGTTAAGTTTCTCTGTGTCTATATAGGCATGGGCATGCCTGTCTCGAAGCACTTCCTTGGGATATATTTTTCATTGATTTTATATGTTCTTTAAACAATTAAAATGTATAAAAATGATTTCTTAATTCTAATCAATAAAAAATACTAGACATCCATCTTTTATAAATGAGGAACACCTATAATATGGTGGTGGCACTGAACGCGGAGATAATTTAAGAGTAGAATCTTTTCCAGGAATAATTTTTCAGATAAGATATGTTTGCACATGGGCATACAAACCTATCAAATAAGAATTCTACTGTGGAAAGAAAGGACTGGAAATCTATCTCTCCATCCATAGAAAACTGGTGAAATAGATTATGGAATTATTTATGCAATGAATTACTATACGATTGTTAAAAATGAGATAAATATATTTTTGCTGATATGCAATGATGGCTAAGTTTAAAAACAAACAAACAAACATGTGACTGGGCACAGTGGCTGACACCTGTAATCCTAGCACTTTGGGAGACCAAAGCGGGAGGATCACTTGAGTCCAAAAGTTTGAGACCAGCCTGGGCAACATAACCAGACCCTGACTCTACAAAAGATTTAAAAATTAGCTGTCCATGGTGGCACACACCTGTAGTCCCAGCTACTCAGAAGACTGAGGCAAGAGGATGGCTTGAGCCCAGGAGTTCGAGGTTATAATGACAAAAAGAGACTCTATTTTCAAAAAAAAGAAAAAGACTGTATATAAAGTGTTCCCATTACATAACAAAAGCATGTGTATACACACATACACTTGCATAAGCATAAAAGATCTCTGGAAGACTACAACAGGAAGCTGCTGCATTAGTCAGGAGCCATTCAGGGGACAGAAACCACAAGTAATTTGAATACAGAAGGTTTAATATGAAGAATGATTATTTACAGGGAATTACTAAAGAGGAACACTAAGAGAACTCTGAAGAATACCTTTGGGCTGACAAAGAGTACCCGAGGAAGAAATGAGCTTGGAAGGGGTGCCCCTCAAGGTTGGATCCAGACTTCCTGGGAGAGGGTGCAGCCCTCTGGGTGTGCATTTTGCTGGATTGCTCCAGGTCAGAGCTGATCCACAGTTGACAGGTTGGGAGTCATAAGCCAGGGCTGGCAAGGTGGAAATTCCCCCAGTGGGAAACCAGCAGGCTGAGGCTGGCAGGCAAGAAATCAATGGCTGAGGGGTGCTGACAAAATTCATGGGGAAACTGCCCATGGGGAGTGCTGTTGAACTTGTGGGAAACTGGTTGGGCCATGGTGGGGACACACTGGAAAGCTTCCAGGATGCTGCTGCAGGACCATTGAGGAACTGGCCACAGGGAAACCAGCTGGGGCACCCATGAAACTTGTTGGCGTGAGCTCCATCACTGCGTCGCTCACATACCAGCCCAGCACCACAGAAGCAAGAGCAGAAAGTCTACAAGAATCAGGAAGGAAGATAATCCCCTTTTTCTTCCAGAGTCCCTCCAGGTCTTCTACTGGCAAAACTTAACACTGTGTCAGCTGGCAAAGGAAAGATGTTTCAGTATCTCAAGCAGAGAAAGGAAGGGTGCATTTGGCACAGAAAGGCAATAGGTTCATAAATGCCACAGCTGGTAACAGTCGTATCTAGGGAGAAAAACTGGATGAGGAGGCTCAGATGTGAGACAGAAACTTACTTTTCACTGTAAATCTTTGTACTGCTTGATTTGTGGGAAAAACATTGAGAAATTTCCTTACTGCATCAAGTATGAGTTTCATACTTCAGAATAATAATGATGCTGCTGATAGTAAATGACAGCCATTGTTAAATGCTTTTGCTATATTAACTTACCAAATCTTCTTTGTGAGTTACGACTATTAGACCTAATTTTTACGCAGGAAGAAATCGAGGCACAAAGAGGTGAAATAACTTGCCAAAGCTTCGCTAGCAAGCGGCTGAGCTATAACTATGATAATCTGGCTGCAGAATCTGTGCTCTTGACCACTACACTGTACTAATTTACTGTATCTATCAGGGTTTACTGCGACATAAAACACAACAAATGAATGGAGTGATAGTCATTAACACTATTCATCAGATATCTCCAAATCATTGACTCCCCCTAGGGGTGAATTGGGTCATGTGATTAATGAGCTGTATGTTGTCATTTCCAGTCAAGCATTTTAATTGCGAGAGACTCTCCATGGCTGGTTTTTTTGTCTTGCATGGAGAATGGCAATGTTAGAGATGACTCTACAATTGTAGTATGATGAACAGACTTTCTATATTGACTGTAATGGGCATATCACATGAGAAAGAAGTAAACCTCTGATTTTCTAAGCCCTTGCTATTTTGATGCTGCTGCTTACTGAAGCATAATCTAGCTCATTTTACCGATATAAATGATGTGTTCCTGATTAGAGTTAAAGAGAAAAACACATGTTTTTAAAAATTCCAAAAGAGTAAATATAGTACTTTATTCTAAAATGTTTCTCCTAAAAATTTTGAACTTAGAAAAACTGAAGGAATACAATGATCACTGTTTATCTTTCAACTAGATTCATCAATTGCTCATTTTTTATCCTCTTTATCTTTCTCACATAATTTCTTTCTGAACCATTTGAAAGTTGGAGACATCATGAAACTTCACTGAAAAAAACTTCATAAGCACCTTCTAAGACCAAGAACATTCTTCTGCTTGACCACATTGAAAATGGAAAATGTTGATTCCTTATTGAATTAGCATATTTTAAAATTCTACAATATACATAAAATAGCTTTAGAATACCCATATAACTATAAATTATACATCTATGAAGTAAAGTTTAGATTTCTTGTGGTCCCTTTTTTTTTTTCTTTAGACTATAAAGACACTAAGCATGTATCATCAGGGTATTGTGTTTGGTATGGAAAAGAGTAATTCAAGTAACCTTTGGGTTTAGTTTTACTTTTCAGATATTAAAAATGGAATCTCATTATGTTGCCCAGGCTGGTCTCAAATTCCTGGTCTCGAGTAATCCTCCCTTCTCAGCCTCCTGAGTAGCTGGGACTACAGGCATGAGCCACCATGTCCAGCTCTCAAGTAACTTTGAAAACCGTACTCTGTGTGTTCTTAGTAAGATGTGTTCTAAGGACAAAAGGGTCTTGCAAAGAAATCTTGATAATAATTTGATATAGGCATTAATTTGTTTTCTTTTATATTCTCCTTTAGGGTTTGCTTTTTAAAATCTTTTAATTAGATGAATCTCTTTTACTTGGTTCGACAGTCAGAACAATATAAAAAGGTGTATTTAAAGAAGTGCCACTCCCATCCTTTGCTTCCATTCTGTTCCCACCCTCCTCCATAAGTAGATATTTTCATTAGTCTCTGTTTTATCCCTTTTGTTTGTTTCTTTTTTTTTTTTTTTTTTTTTTTGCAAAATCACACACACACACACACACACACACAACACACACACACATTTCTCCTTATTTTCCACACGGTAGTGTCCTATATATGTTCTCTTTTTTTTTCACTTAATACCATTTCCTAGAAGTCACTGCATATTAGTTTATAGAAATCTTGTTGTTGGCCAGGTGTGGTGGCTCATGCCTGTAATCCCAGCACTTTGGGAGGCCAAGGCAGGTGGATTACTTGAGGTCAGGAGTTCAAGACCAGCCTGGCCAACATGGTGAAATCCCGTCTCTTCTAAAATACAAAAATTAGCCGGATGTGGTGGCATGCGCCTGTAATCCCAGCTGCTTGGGAGGCTGAGGCAGGAGAATGGCTTGAACCCTGGAGGCGGAGGTTGCAGTGAGCCGAGATTGCGCCACTGCACTCCAGCCTGGGCAATAGAGTGAAACTCTGTCTCAAAAAAAAAAAAAAAAAATTGTTGTTATTGTTATTATGTCTGCATAGTACTCCCTCATGTAGGTGTGCCACAGTTTAATTTATTAGTGGCAGCTTGGGTTGTTTCCAGTATTTTACTGTTATAAATGATATTGTGATGAAAAACTTTGTATGCGTGTTCTTTCATATTTGTGGAGATGTACCTTCAAGGTAGTTTCCCAGAAGTGCATTTTCTGGGTGGAAAGGTAAATAACATAATCATAATTGTTAGGTATTTCCCAGTTTCCTCCATCAGGGGTTGTATCATTCTGCATTTCCACCAGCATTGTATGACAGTGCTTGGATCCCCCCAGCCTCAACCAACGAAGTGTGTTCTCAAGTGTTTGAATTATTGCCAGTCTAATAAATAAGAAATTATATCTCTATGTACTTTTAATTTACATTTTTCTTATTATCAGTAAAGTTGAACATCTTTTTATATGGTTAAGGGCCATTTATTTATCTCTTTCTATGAACTGTTTACGATTGTGTCAATTTTTCCATCAGGTTTTTAAATTTTATTCTTTTTGATTTTTAGCCACTCTTTATATATTAAAGAGATTAGTCCTTTGCAATATGTTACAAGTATTTTTACTAGTATTTATTTGTCTTTGACTTTGCTTATGATGTCTTATGCCTTGCCAAAAAAAAAAAAAAACCCTTTATTTTCATGTAGTCAAATTTATCAAGATTTTCTATTATTGCTTTGGGATCTCATTTTATAGCTTTGAAAATAATTATCTCCAAATCCAGTTATAAAAATTTATTCATGCTTTCTTCTAGTACTTTTTTGCTTTACCTTTTTTTTTTTACATTTAGATTGCTGATCCACTGAAATTTATTCTGGTATATGCTGTGAGATAGGGATCTGAATTTATCTTTTTGAAATGTCTATTGTAGTTATCACTACACCATTTTTAAAAGTTATTATTTTCTTTAGTGATCATTGTTGTTATTTACTAATTTTTATATGTCAAAAACAAAATCAGATCAAGTTAGAAAATTTTAAAGAATGTATTGTACTTACAAAAGAACAGTTTTCCAACCAGGAGACTTTGAATAAATGTAAGAAGGTAATAATGGTAAGAAGCTCACCTTACAGCAGTTATAGCACAGTGTATAAAGCATAAAAGAGAAATTATTTGGACCTTTTTCGTGATTGGCTATTATACATTAACATTCTTTTTAGGACAAATAGTGCTATTCAAGCTAATTTATCTATAGCTGATTGGCTTAATTTCACTGAATTATACTGGCAAGGACATAAAGTTATGTTTTGTGTTTTATTTATGATTAGAAATTAGCATTTCAGAAAATCGAGATGAATAAAGTTTTGGTTATATGGTTAAAGATGGTTAGCCTTGGGGTATATCTAAACTGTAGCCTCCATTTGTATTTTTCTTTAACACGTAAATACTTGGGTCTATTTGGAAATGTCTAGTCTGTTCCATTTTTCTGTCTCTCTATTCATGCTGTATACTTTTTAATCATATGCAAGTGTTACTCTCCTATTTCTCTTGAAACATAATTATAAGGAAAAAGTGCTGTGCCCATGGGACTTGGTGACTAATTGAATGTGGAGTTTGGAATAGAGGAAAGTGTCCAGGCTAACCCCCATACTTCTTTCCCAGATGACTGGGTTGGAAAGTAAGGCTGTTGGCCAAGATATGGCATGGAGACAGTATAAGGGGAGAGTATTAACAAAGGATGGAAACTTTGTATTGCACTAGGAGTATGCCTGTGAAGAGGAAACCAGAAAGAGGACTGAGAACAAAGAGTTAAAGAGATGTGTATTCGTTTTGTTACCTACCATGGGGGTCTTGGGCTCTCAATGCAATAAAAATTGAGGCCAAGTTTGGTGGCTCATGCTTGTAGTCCTAGCACTTTGGGAGGCTGAGGCAGGAGGATCCCTCGAGGCCAAGAGTTTGAAACCAGCCTGGACAGGATAGTGAGACTCTGTCTCTTAAAGAAAAAGAAAAAGAAATTGACATGAGATCAAAAGAGTTTTCTCAGACAAGGTTCAAGCGTAAGGGAGGTAGCACAAGAAAGAGATTCTCTGGCTGGCCTCCTCGGTAGGTGATAGAAAGGTAGTTTTAAAGGAGTGAGGTTTAGGCATGCAGAGGCAGGGAACTTTTAGCACCTGCACAGTTTGATTTCTTGCTCCTTCAAATATCACACGTCTTATTAGCATATTAACTCTCTACCTCTGGATGTGATTTTTAGTATTCTAATGAAGCTAACGTTAAGGATTGGTCACTCTCCCGGCCTTGTACGCATGCGGGAGATAGGGTTAACTTCCTTGAGTAAGATTTGTGGTGGGAGCTGCTTATTTCAGCTTCCTTAAGGTCCTGCAATCAGTGGGTATAGCACCTTGAGCAAGATTTATAGTGCAAGGTCTGGATGGTCTGGTTGGGGTCTGGTCCATGCTTGCCCCCAACAGCTTGCAGTAGAGGTCCTTGGTTGTCACAGGGCAAGTAGGCAGTGAGTTCATTTCAGATCTGTCGCAGCCTCTTATAGCTGGCATAACAAATTACCACAAACTAGGTGGCTTAAAACAAAAGAATTGTCTGTATTGTATTGTCTCCCAGTTCAGGTGACTAAAGGTCTGAAATTAAGCTGCTGGCAGGGTTGGTTTCTTCTGGAAGTTCTGAGAGACAATCTGTTCCATGCCCATGTCCTAGCTTTGGTGGTTGCCAGCAATCCTTGATGTTCCTTAGTTAAGCAGCAACACTTCATCTCTGCACTTTGCACAGAGTAGATTCTTTATAACTGTTTGCTGAATGAATGAACTAATGAATGTATTTTAAAGTAAATGACAATACAAAGCATATTATTCTATAAATTGCTTTTTTGTTGTTGTCATAATTTCCTTTTTTTTCCTCTTAACAGTAAATTAATTTACCTGGTAACCTCTCATACAGATTTATATAGCAATATTTGAAACTCTTCTCTAACCACTCCTGGACTCCTGGAGTGAGGACTCTCAAATTGGGTATTTTAGTGTTAATTTCTCACCACTAAGATGTAGATTAATTTAAAGTCCCATATGGTCTGTTTATACTGATGCATCTTGGAGTAAATTACAGATGATATAAAACTGAGTTAAAAAGTATATTTTATTTAGCACTTATATGGTGCTTACTATTTTCCAGCTACTGTTTTAAGTGTTCTACCAATACTAGCTCATTTAATCCTCACAACAATCCAATGAAGTGGGTACCATTACTATCTTCAGGAAATTAAGGCACAGCGAGGTGAAATTACTTGCCTGCATTCATACTGCTGGTAAGAGTTAAGCTGAGATTCAAACTGAGTAATGTGGCTTTGCACGGAGTCTATGCTCTAGGCTGTCTCTTGAGAAAGTGCCTTTAACGTTTTGTTAGGTTGGCAGTTGCCTTTTTCTGCGATGTGGGTTGAAGAGATCAGCCTGCATGTTTCTCCTGTGATCCCCATCTACAAGCACCACACCTGCATCCAGCTGCTCACAACACACACAACTCTGTAAGAACACACAATCATGTACACACACACACTAGGCAGTCCAAATCAGAGAACAAGAAGCCATTTTCCAAAGTCACCACAACACAGAAGGCATCTTTCTGCTTAAAAAGCATCCTTCCACCCCCAAATTGACATGACTAATTAAAATCCTTAATTCGAATTCTGGTTACTTTTTATCTTTCTCTATAAAATTTCATGAATTTTGGTGCTCTATATTTGCATAACAAAAAATATAGTAATTATTTTTCCATAACAAAGGAATCATTAGGCAGAGCCTGCTGGGTAAATGGGTGTTTTTAGATGAATTTTAGATTTGTCATGATAGGTCATTGATTAGGATAGAAAATAGAGCGCACTGCAGTATTGTTTTTGTGAAACCCTGTATACAGATTTTCTGTTTTATATATAACAATTCCCTAAACAAGGTAATTCTGTATACAAGATTTTATATGCCTGAATTAACACAGCTCTGCTACAAGGTGGTAGAAAAGTTAGCACTGGACAGCAAAAGCTATGACTTATGAAACAGCAGTTTTTACAGTTTCAGAAAGTATAATGTCTAATCTCCACTGGGTACTTAATTCCATTCATATATCATGGTTTACAATGTACTTTACTGACACAGTCTCATGGACCTAATAACTACTCTGCTAGGTTGTAGGAAGGACACTGTCATCTCCATTAACACGCAAAGAGATAAGAAAGCCAAGATGGGAGAGGTGGGAGAGGCAGTCTCTTGGCTGTGCTAGGATGGAGCTGCCCCTGGAATCCACCTTTCTAGGCATTCCACAGTTGCTGGTTGAGGAACCTGCCCTGGTACTGATAGGGTCACAAAAGCCTCAAGGGGTTAACAGGATGGGAGATACAGTTAATTTTGAGCACCAGTTGGTAGAGGTGACTCCCTTTCCCAATGGTGTTTCCAAGATCACTTCTAGCTCAGAATGTGGGTGTATAAGGGGAAAGTTCTCATCAGCAACTGCTCTGGTTGCCTGTGACCCAAGCGTAGATCTGCTCAACCTCCATAGTCAGTTAAACCAGTGGGTCCCAACCCTGGCTGCACATTAACTCCTGATTAAAAATCCTAAACCCCAAAGCGTACTGCAGACCAATTGTATCACACTATTTGGGGTTGAGGTCTGGGCGACAGTATTTTTAAAACTCCCCAGGTGATAGTATTTGTAAAACTCCCCAGGTGATAGTATTTTTAAAACTCCCCAGGTGATTTTAATGTGTAGCTGAGGTCAAGATTCATAGAATTAGAGAAATATGGTGTTCAGTTAAGTTCAGCCTAAAGCTGCCTGCTTACATATTTTAAATCTGGCCTAAAGTTTTCTCCATACATAATGAACTATTACCTAACTGGATGTCTAAACAGGCTGTTACCTACTCTTTTACTCTTTTACCAGTCACTGAGTTTTGGCCACTAAAGGTGGCCAACTATTCAAACCATGTTCAAATAATGCAAATGCCAAGCTGTAACCAAGCCAACTATTTCTGTTCATCACTTCTGTTTTCTGTATGCCACTTTCCTTTTTCTGTCCATAAATTTTCTTCCATCACACGACAGTGCCAGAGTCTCTCTGAACCTATTTTGGTTCAGGAGGCTGCCCAATTCGTGAATCCTTTTTTGCTCAATTAAACTCTGTTAAATTTAAATTGTCTAAATTTTTGTAAAGAGATAGGGTCTCACTCTATCACCCAGGGTGAAGTACAGTGGCATGATCATAGGTCACTGCAGCCTCAAACTTCTGGGCTCAAGCCTCCTGCCTCAGCCTCCTAAGTATCTGGGACTACAGGTGTGGGCCACTATACTTGGCTATTTTTTTTTTATTTTTTAAAGATGGGGTCTTGATATGTTGACCAAGCTTGTCTCAAACTCTTGGCCTTAAGTGGTCCTCCCACCTCAGCCTCCTGGGTTGATGGGACTAAAGGCATAAGCCACTGTGCCCAGCTAGAAAGTTTTTCTTTTAACAATGGTGAATCTCATCTGGTCTAAACCTGTAGCTCTTTATTAAATGGATTCAACTCTTGATTTGAACATAAGAAAAATGCATCGATGATCTGATTGATCTACAAATTTTTGTTTCAATTTCATGAGTATAATAAAGCTCAATTTATAAAGCAATCCTGCTCAGTATTTCACTTTGCCAGTATTATCTAATTTAAACCTCTTTTAAGGTAGATGTATATTCTTTCTAAATCACAGATGAGAAGGCTGAGGCACATAGGGTGATGTGCTCAGATCACACATTTAGTAAATGTGGAACTGGGATTCAAAACCAAGTATCCTTGACTCCAACACCTGACAATTTCTGAGCAGCATTCCCTCCCATGTAAATTATTGATTTCATGAACTGGTTCTACTTTTGGTTTTCGGTATTTGTACATGCCTTTATGTCTCTCAAAGTTAGTGGCAGCAACTGAAATTAGCTCGGATCTTCCTCCTCTCTGCTCCTAAAACTGTCCTGTGCTTCTCTCCAGCCAAGTAGATTCCTTGAGTGGAGAGGTTGTGTTCTGGTCTATACTGCTGTCTGTTCCATGCCCAGAACAATGCCTGACACTTACTGGGGCTAACACTCTAAACCACATGAACTATAGACATTGACTAATTCACACAGTCATATTCCTATATATTAAAAAATGCCATAAGAAACAGACTGCGGTGTTCAACTAGAAATAAAATCAAACATTCCAACTATAAGACCATAGTGAGTGGCATGAATAACTTTCCCAGGAGATTCTTTAAAAATTAAACAGTTCCATATAAAATTGTAGACATTTCAACTGAAAGATACGTTAGAGAAAAACCTAATAATTCAGTGTAGTGTTATTTGAAATTCAAAAATTGGGTCATCCCACTCTTCCCTCTTCCTTTTTAAAAACAACAACAACAATAACAAAAAAACAAGTTTGCATACCATGAAGTGAAACAAGAAATGAAATGAAGCTGTGTTCAGTGGCCTGGAGTGTGATGCTCAAGGGCTCCCAAGAACTTGCAAAAGTCAATATTATGTAGTTATGAATTTTCAGAAATATAAGTAAAGTCAACTTGTAACGTTTGATTTAACCAATAGGAACTGCTCCAACAACTCAATGTATCAACTCTGAAAACAAATTACTGTATCCCCTGCCTACCCTAGTATTTAGAAGGTCAGTGCCTCCCTCCTGAAGTGTACCTCTCAACGGCCCAAGTTTGGGTTTAGGCTAGCCAGGCATCTTCAACCCAAGGGGAGAGATCATTGGTCAGGGCTGTCTTTACTGCTCTAGACCACACGGTGTCACTGTTGAAGACCAGTTGGTTCACCAAACATCTCTGCTGTGAGGAGCCGGGGGTGGGGCGGTGGTGCCAGTCCCTGCTGGGGCCACATGGCCCTTTTTGGAGGACAATGGCCTCCCACAACATGTAGCTCTGCCCGGGGCCCCAGTGTGGCAGCCCTTTAAATTCATAAAATCAGTTTACGTACACCGGAGCTGGCCCCAGAAGCTTTGAGTCAAATGGATTCCACTGTTTACAGAACTGCCTCCCATTGTTTCTTTCTAATCATGGCCAAGGGATAGGTGGCAGTGTTATTTCCAACACAACTCTGCAACTCAGAAAACATAAAGGGTCTCTCTAATACCACCTTTTTCTAGACAATCTAGGTTACTCACCCTTTACTTACCTCTCTTCTGTGGTTTAAATGATATGTATCCCCTTAAGAAAAAACTCCTCCTGGGAGTTCATAAGGCTATTTTTCATCCTGGCCCATAAGAAAAAGTTGCTTGCACTTCTCTTACTAAAAACTGAAGAGCCACAAGAGAAAATTAGCTTCTCTTACAGGGCTAAGATAAAATAATACCAAATATATTTTCATTCATTTTTATATTTTAGTAAAGTTATAGATCTGTGATATAATACCTTTGTGATTTTAAATATATCTAATCCCTCAGGGGTATTTTATCCTTTTATTTTCCCCACCCTCAGACCTGCCCACATTTCCACCATACTCTGCTTAAATATTGTCTGGCCTAATGCCATGTTTATTGAGAAGGAAGTGAACTTGATCAAGTCAGGGGCAAATGTGAGACTGAGGGCCCTGACTACTAGTACTTGCTCTTTCCACAGCATGATCCTGTGTCTCCATTTCTGGAGGTATTATTAGGTTTGGAAGGCTGAAGAATTACGTACAGACTGGATGGAAGCTGGAAGTGAGTCGAGGTGGGTGGTTAAGTTAGGTCTGTCAGCATCTGCACTGGTTTTCTACTTTCCAGCACTGAATACACAAGCATTTGACCAGGGGCCACTGAGTTCCAATTGCAACTGGTCATTGGAGCCACCTCACTCTGCTCTCTATTTTCCATGTCCCTCTCTCCACCCCAGGTACTTGTGAGGTTCCCACCATGTCCACTCATAGCAACCATGTATTATTGTTTTGACCACCTGGAATCTCCTTTTTCTTGCCTTTTGAGAACTACCCTCTAGCATTCATGTGATCCTGTTCAGTTGGCCAATCACAGTGGTCTGTTCCAGCTACCCACTGAATTAGGTAGATAGACTTTGCATGGACTGTCAAAATATCTCAACTCCGGGGCCACAGTGAGTTGTCCTTGTGACCTATCTTAAACCTTTTGTACTGCTATAACAAAATACTATGCTCTGGGTCATTTATAAACAATAGAAATTTATTTCTCACAGTGCCTGGAAGCTGAGCTGTCCAAGGTCAAAACAGTGGAATTTGGTGTCTGATGAGGGCCTTTTTGTTGTGTCCTCATATGACAGAAGCCAGAAGGACATAAAAGGGCCTAAGTTAGCTTTTTTCAGCATTTCTTTCCAAACAGATATCAGTAAAATTCTAAGATTTTCCAACTTGATACAAGATAGGTGAAAGCTCTTCATCTGTCACCAACAATACCAACTAGTCAGACACAAAATACACTCTTCAGCATCTTTCTCTCATTCCAGTTGCCACTCCAGATATACAACTGGAGTTGACATAGACTGAAGTTATTGAGTTTGATGATAATACAAATTCAAGTGTAGACTCAATCTCTTTCAACAGCATCCACATGAGGTAAAAAGGAAAGAAACTAACACTTATTTCTTATTTTATTTTCATCATTCAGTGTGTTGAGTTCTACGATGGCCAGTCTCCAAGGTGGTTCCCAGTGATCCCTGCCTCCTGTGTAGTCCCTTCCCATCTTGTACTATTGTTGCCCAGTGTGACCAATAGGATATGAAAGAAGGAATAATAGGTAACTTCCAAGATTAGGTATAAAAGACTGCAGCTTCCATCTTGGGCTCTCTTTCTCATCACTCACTGTAGAAGAAGCCAGTTGCCTTATTGTAAGAAGCTCTGTGGAGAGGCTCACAGTGTGGAGAACTGAAGCCTTCTACCAACAGCTGTGTGGGTGATTTTGGAAGTGGATCCTCCACTAGCAAGCCGTAGATGACAGCAGACCCAGCTGACACCTTGACTGTAACCTCTTCAGAGACCCTGAGGCAGAACCTGAGCTAATCTGCTCCTGGATTCCTGGCCCGCAGAAACTGTGAGAAAAAAACTGTTGTTTTAAACTCTTATGTTTTGAAGTAATCTGCTATGTAGCAGTAAATAATGAATAAGTGCTTTTCCAAGGTTACCCCCTGAACAATCCTGAGAGATAGTTACTGTCATATTTAACTTAATCTGAGATGCCTCAATTTGAAGATGACCCATCTATGAGCCCTTCTGTCCATGAGCTAGTCTATGAAATAGTTAAAAGGGCAAAAAATGCTGCTAATGAATCTATGACCTGCCCTCAATTGTAAGATACACGCAAATTTCAGGTATGTTATCGGGTGACAAAAATGTGCATCTTATAATTGATGAAACATATTATCTGCATTTTGTAACAGGGATTTCTTCTCATACACTGGGAAAATAAAAGCTTTCTTTTCATCCTCATTATTCGGCTTGATGAGGAGTAGCCAGTCAGTATATGTTTGTTGAAAGGTTTTGTTCTTAATAGAGATGGATATAACATGACTTCTAGGATAAAGCAGGACTCAGAAGAGAGTTTTTTGTTTGTTTGTTTGTTTGTTTTTGAGATGGAGTCTTGCTCTGTCGCCCAGGCTGGAGTGTAGTGGCGTGATCTTGGCTCACTGTAAGCTCCGCCTCCCGGGTTCACGCCATTCTCCTGCCTCAGCCTCCCGAGTAGCTGGGACTACAGGCGCCCGCCACCACACCCAGCTAACTTTTTGTATTTTTAGTAGAGACGGTCTACTAAAAATACAAAAAGCAGAGGATGGTCTCAATCTCCTGACCTCGTGATCCGCCCGCCTCGGCCTCTCAGAGTGAACACAGATCTTGTTCTTAACTATTAATCCGCATGGGAAGTGTTTTGAAGACATAAATTCTTCTCATTCTCATGTTAATCAAAGGAAGGCTCTTTTCCAGATTCTTAATCAGCACTGTCCTCTACATTTTATTCTGCTTAATTGAGAATGTACTGCCTATGGGACCCTTTAAAAATCAGCCTAAGGCAGTTCCCAGCTCCTTAGAATAACTGACACTGAATGTCTACTCCATGCCAGCATTCTCACTTACGTTACCTGAGCCAGACATTATCATTCCCGTCGGACATATGAGGGAAGAGAAGCTGAAGGATGCTATGAAACTTGCTTAAGATCACAAAACTAAAAAATGATAGAAGCTGGAGTTCTACCAGGCTGTTCTCACTGCTCCCCTTCCCATGTCACTGCACCTTCTCTAAAGAATGGTGGTGTGGCCCATCCCTTGGCCTTAAAGGATTTTCACCGCAAAGCAAAAAAGGCAGCCAAGTTGGGCGAGAGTTTTCAGAGACCTCTCAATGTGCCTTTTACGTGAATAACATGCTGTCTCTCATCTTGGGAACACAGAGTGTTTCATAAACATTATCTCATTAGACCTCACAACGCCAGACATTTTCAAACAAACGAGTTAATGTTTGCAGAAAGTCCTTGAGATATGAAGATTGTAGGCACAGTATGAATGTACAGCATTGTCCTAAAGCCTGAACAGCTGTCAAAGGGTCACAGCCTTGGAGAGCTTTCCTATGAAAATGTCAGATTTTTCAAGTCATGGAGATGGAGGCAGGAATGGAGCTGGTCAGGTCCAACGAAGCCATCTCTGGTTGGGGGATGGAATAGATGTATAATTCAGAGATGCCAAAGGGAATTCCACTGGCAACTCAGATCAATTATTGATCCTGCTTGACAGGCTGAGGAGAGGTGGATTTCAAAGCCTAGGCTCACTGGCAAGCAGAATGAGTAGCGATGTTTGCCATGGGGGTAGAACTGAGTGTTGGAAGCATATGTTCTAGGAATTTACCATTCTTGAGATCAGTGATTCTCAATCATGGCTTTATACTAGAATCATCCGAAGAGCTTTTAAAAATACTAATACCCAGGCGTTGCTCCAGATCAAATGAGTCAGAATTTCAGCAAGTGGGGCTTGGTCATCTATATATATTTTTTAAAGTGCCTGGGTAATTCTAACTGGCAGTTCTAATCTAACTCTAAGTGAGATTCAAGTGGTGAGTCTAACCTAACTCTAATTGAGTAGCATTCTCTAGGGCAGTAGTTCTCAGCCTTGGCAGTACTTTGAGATTCATGGGCTCTATTAAAAACTTACTGATGTCTAGGTCGCACCTCATATATCCTGAGGTAATTGATTTGGGGTTTGGCCTAGGCTTTGGGAATTTTGAAAGCTGTTGGGTGATATTTTTAATGCAGACCTTATTTTATTTTATTTGGTTTTATTTTTCCAAATATACAATTTGTTGGGCCTGTTCCTGCATCTTCACCAGAAGCTGGAGCACCTCCGCACTAGGTGTTTCTGGTGTAAATTATTTGAGCTCTGTGCACTGAAACTAGTTTGATAAGTCTGTTACTAAACAGCTCCTGAAAGGCTGCCCTGGACAGACAACTTTTAATTTTCAGTCTCTCAGAGACCTCAGTTGGGGTTATAAGCTTACTGTTGGGACTTTCTTACTGAGTATGTCATATGTAGCTTTGTCAAACAAGACTAGGTTATTGAGCTTGTCCCAAACTTTGCCTTTGGACCACTTCTTCTTTCTGTCCTTGCCACCAGATTTGTTCATTGGGTCTCTGTCTTTCTTGTCTGACTTTCCAGTGTCTTTCTTCTTCCTGTCGTCCTTGGGCAGCATCGCGATGCCCAGGGGACAGCAGCAACCACTTTAACCTCGCTAAGATGTCAGACAAAAAGCTATTTAGTTTTAAGATCACTTTTAAGTTCACAGCAACATTGAACTGAAAGCAAAGAGGGGTCAGCTCACATATACCTTCTTTCCCCACCCCCAACCCTGCAGCCACCTCCATACACACAAAATCTCCCTCACTTCCAACATCCTGCATCAGAGCAGTAAATTAGTTGTGATTGATGAACTTCCACTGACACATCATTATCACTAAAAGTCCATAATGTACATTAGAGTTCACTTGCTGTTGTATATTCTATCGACTTGGACAAATGAGTAATGACATATATCCACCATTATGATGTCATACAGAGTAGTTTCACTCTCTTAAAATTCCTTTATGCTCCACCTATTCCTCCCTCCCTCCTCACTAACACTTGGCAACCACTGATCTAGTTACTGTCTCCATAGTGTTGCCTTTTCCGTGGCATTTATAGTTGGAATCATACCATATGTAGTATTTTCAGATTGGCTTCTTTCACTTCATAATATACATTTAAGGTTTCTCCATGTCTTTTCATCATTTTATAGATCATTTCTTTTTAGTGCTAGATAATATCCCACAGTGCAGAAGTCCAGATGTATCACAGTTTATTTATTCATTCATCTACTGAAGGACATCTTGGTTGCTTCCAAGCGTTTTGGCAACTATAAATAAAGCTGCTTGCATAGATTTTTGTGTGAATATAAAATTTCTACTTATTTGGGTAAATACCAAAGAGTGTAATTATTGGATTGTATGGTAAGAGTATATTTAGTTTTGTAAAAAACTGTCAAACTGTCTTCTAAAACTGCATTCCCATCAGCAACGGATGAGAGCTCTTCTTACTCCACATCCTCACCTGTATTTGGTGTTGTCAATGTTAAGGACCTTGACCATTCTAATAGGATTATTATGGTATCTTGTTTTAATTAGAAATCTCTACTGATATCTGATGTTGAGCATCTTTTAATATGCCTATTTGTCTTCTGTGTGTATTTTTTGATGATGTGTCTGGTCGGGTCTTTCATCCATTTTTTAATCAGGTTGTTTGTTTTCTTATGTTGAGTTTTGAGAGTTCTTTGTATATTTTGTGTAACAGTCCTTTAACAGATAAGTATTTTGCAAATATTCTCTTCCAATCTGTTATTTGTCTTCTGATTCCTTTTGATAGAGTCTTTCGTGGAGCAGAAGATTTTAATTTTAGTGAAGTCCAACTTGTCAATTATTTCTTTTATAGATTGTGCCTTGGGTGTTATATCTTAGAAAGTCATCTCCATAGGTCATCTATGCTTTCTACAATGTTATCTTCTGGGAGTTTTATAATTTTACATTTCACATTTAGGTCAATGATCCATTTTGAGTTAATTTTTGTGAAAGGTATAAGTTCTGTGTCTGGATTTCTTTTTTGGCATGTGACGTTCAGTTGTTTCAACACCATTTATTGAAAAAAACTGTCTTTTCTCTATTATATTGACTTTGCTCCTTTGTCAAAGATCACTTGCCTATATTTATGTGGGTCGATTTCTGGGCTCTATTCTGTTTCATTGATCTATTGTTCTATTCTTTCACCAATACTATATTGTCTTGATGACTGTAGCTTTTATAGTAAGTCTTGAAGTCAGATCAGACAGTGTCAGTGCTGTAATGCTGCTCTTCTCCTGCAACATCATGTTGGCTACTGTGGATCTTTTGCCTTTCCATATAAACTTTAAAATCAGTCTTGACACCCATAAAATGACTTGCTGGGATTGCATCAAACTAAAAAGCTTCTGCACAGCAAAGGAAACAATTGACAAAATGAGAAGGCAACCTATGAAATGGGAGAAAATATTTGCAAATCATATATCTGATAAGTGGTTAATGTCCACAATATATAGGGAACTTAATAGCAACAAACAAACAAACAAACAAACAAACCCAAATAGACATTTTTCCAAAGAAGACAAACAAGTGGCCAACAGGTTTATGAAAAGGTGCTCAGCATCACTAATCATCAGGAAAATGCAAATCAAGACCACAATGCCATATCACCTCACACCTGTTAGGATGACTATTATGAAAAAGACAAGAGATAACAAACATTGTCAAGGGTGTGGAGAAAAGGGAACCCTTGCGCACTGTTGGTGGGAATGCCTTTAACATGAGTACAGCCATTATAGAAAACAGTATGAAGCTTCCTCAAAAAAATAAAACTAGAACTAATATATAATCTAGCAATCTCAATTCTGGGTTTAATACATTCAAAGGAAATGAAATCAGTACCTTGATGAGATATCTATACTTCCATGTTAATTTCAGTATTAAGTGTCCATTGACAGATGAATAAAGAAAATATATATGTGAAATATTTAAGTCATAAAAAAATAAGTAAATTCTTCAACTTTCAACAACATGGGTGAACTTGCAGGACATTGTGCTAAGTGAAATAAGCCAGATATAGAAAGAAAAAAATACTGCAGGATCTCACTTATATGTAAAATCTTAAGAAGTTGAACTTATAGAAGCAGAGGATAGAATGATGGTTGTCAGGGGTCTGATGGTGGGGAAAATCAGGAGATGTTGGCAAAAGATACAGACTTTCTGATATAAGATAAGTAAATTCTGAGGATTTAATGTACAGCATGGTGCTTATAGTTTATAATACTGTATTGTATACTTGAAATTTGCTAAGAGGGTAGATTGTAAGTGTTCTCACTGCACGCATACACACACACACACACACACACAGAAATGGTAACTATGCGGAGTGATGGATGTGTTAACTTAATTGTGGTAATCAATTCACAATGTATATGTATATCAAATCATCACATTCTACATCTTGAATATATAAAATTTTTATTTATTCAGTTATACTTCAATAAAGCTGGGAAGAAGAATCCCAAAGTCCTGTGAGGAAGGGGAAAATGGGGCAAGAACTAAGGAGGCAATTGTATAATAGAACTACAGTTCTAATTTTTTGTGGCCAAAGTAATCATATCTGACACATAACTTTATAGTTTATGATGAATTTTCATATGGGATCTAATTGAACCATCCCAATCTTGGTATTCAGGTAGAGATAATATTATAATCTCTATTTTACAGATTAGGAAACTGAGGCTCAGAGAGAAAAAGTGACTTGTCCAAGATGAGCAACCACGACCCAAACAAAAGATTCTTGAGTGAAGCCCAGCACCCTGTTTCTTCAGTTATTCAAATCATATGGTTGCTCAGCTACTTAAAGCTACTTTCTATGTACTTCACAGTTGTTATTTAATTCCCTGTGACATTAAGAACACAGTTGTCATTTAATTCTCTGTGACATTAAAGAGAGACTAATTTCCAAAGAAAAAAAATTAATATTCACAAAGCCAAATGGGAGAAAAAAATGCCTACTTCTGGTCTATGGGAACTGCTTAGTTTGCTGTACCTTCAAACCTGTTTCTGAGTGTTGCCAATGGAAGAGTGGAAGATGGGGAAACATGGAAAGGGTGGTGGTTAAGGAGGGCCCAGGGAGCCTCTGCAGCCCTCCTTATTCTTTTTCTCTGTACCTGAGCCCAGTTCTCCCACCTGGCATGGCTCTACAACCATGAAACCCTGATGCCCTCACATGCATAAGAAGCCCTGACAAAGTGGATGTGGATATTTCTCTCACTCTGCAAAATGAGACTCACGATGACCTGCAATGTGATGCTTCTTTGGGCCAAAAAAAAAAAAAAAAAAAAAAAAAACACAAAAAACCACCCAATTGCTTTCAGGTTGCCTGACTCACAGGGCACCTTGATGCTCTGGCCAGGGACACTGAAGACTGAATCACCTAGCTTGCCTTTGCAGAAACTATTTACTAATATGTCATTTCATTTCTGTCTTTTTCCAACCTTAAGCTTTATGTGCCCCTCATCCACAGCATGTCCTTGCCGCCCATGCCTCTACTCCCATGCATAAAAGGAGGCGTAGGCAAATGTACATGGAAGTCTCTTTTCAACCTCTGCAGGGGATTGTAGGTGAAATATACTATTGCCCACACTTATGTACAAGGATACCCTATGATAAGCATTACTGGGATTAAGAAATATTGAGCGGTATTTCTATCTCTGAAATTCTATTGTCTCTCCCACTTAGAGAAGACTATTACAAGTCAGCTACGATAGGACTTTTTTTCTCCAAAGTTGTGACATTGGAAATCAGGACTCCCCTTACAAACCCAGGTAGCTGATTTGTTTAAAGGACACATAGTATTTTCCTAGAGAATTGGAGCAAGAACAACAGGGTAGAAGCCCTGCAGACCTGTTTGAGTGCAGAAGACACGGACAAAGCATATCCGTGTTCCCATCCACTGAACAGGCAGCAGCTAATAATGTAATGAATTCTCTTCTGTCATCCTAAGCTTTTGGTTGTCGTTGAAGTACTCTTCTGAACTCCACCTATTATCATTTAATGAGTGTTTGCTATGTTTCCAGCTCTGTGCTTTTTTTTACATCTGCTATTCATTCTCTTTCCAAAGCTGTAGCCCCACGGTCTCATAGTTAAATAATTCAGATGTTTTGAGTTAAATAGGTTTTTACAACAAGACTTTTCAGAGCTAGTGGAAGGTCCATGTGTGTAGTGAATCTTTGGGAAGATTTATTTGGTATATATTATTTCCCAGATTTTTTCAAGGGCGTCTCATAAGACATGTTTAGTTCAGAAGATGCTACTGAGGTCTCAGAGACTGCTATCTCTTTCTCTGTTATGAGTTGAGTTGTGTCTTCTTAAAAAAGACATGTTGAGGTCCATACACTTTAGAGTGCGACCTTTTTTGGAAATACAGGCTTCACAGAGGTAATCAAGTTAAAACGAAGTCATTAGAGTGAGCCTTAATCCAACATGACTGGTGTCCTTATAAAAAGGAAGAAATTTGGACAGAGAGGCAGACATGAGGGATGACAATGTGAGGAGACACAGGGAGAAGATGACCATCTACAAGCCAAGGAATGTCTGACGTTTCCCGGAGCTAGGAGAGAGGTCTGTAACTGATCCTTTCCCAGTGCCTTCAGAGGGAGCATGAGCCTGCTGACACGATTTCAGACTTCTGGCCTCCAGAAACATGAGACAATATATTTCTGTTTTTCTAAGCTACCTACCAGTTTGTCGGACTTTGTTTTGGCAGCCCTAGGAAACTCATATGTTCTTCTAGCTGGGTGGTGGGTAAATCAGGCTCAGTTTCTCCCCTCTTTACTTCTTTATTTTAAAAAATATATTGGAAAACTTCTATCATAAGTATAAAATTAACAAAAATTTATCTCCTTTTCCATTGTAATAGAAGTATCCATTTTTATCTAGGCAAATAGCCAGCTACATTAGAAACAAACTTTTCCCGCAAAAGACCACAGAATAAATATTTCAGGCTTTGTGTGACATGTAGTCTCTGTCAACTGTTCAGCTCTGCCATTATAGGGGAAAAGCAACCATACACAACATGTAAACAAAACAGTGTTGCTGTATTCCCATAAAATTCCATTGACAAAGCAGGCAGCAGACCAGATTTGTCCCGTGGGCCATAGTTTGCTGACCCCGGATTACTGAGCACCTACTATATGCCAGGCACTATTTTAGAAGTTGGCAATGCAATAGTGAGCAACACAGTCAAGGTCTCTGCTCTCACAGAGCCTGGAAAATCTTGTTCACAGCTGTGTCCTCAGCACCTTGTGCAGTGCATGACATGCAATGAACAATCCATAAATACTGAATCAGTGAGTGACTGGAAGTCCCCCAGGCAGGAAGAGATGAGCCAAACCTTGAGAGTGCTAGGCTAGAGGAAAACTCTGGGAACCTTGGGATGCTAACTAACACAAAACAAAAGAAGCTCCACTAGCAGTTTGATTCCTTGACAACAAACAAACAAACAAACAAACAAAAATCAATGTGTTCTCATACGCACCGAATGCACCAAAAGACATGTACAAAAATGACCACAGCAGCATATTTCCTAAGATCCCTGAAAACAGCTAAGATCCCTGAAAGCAACTCAAATGTCCATCAATAGAATGATGGATATTATTCTACCCCATTGAAACATTTCACACACAAGTTTTGTGTTTTATTTTTATTTATTTATTTATTTATTTTTCATGTCAATGAATTCAAAGGAATCACACATAGGTTTTTGTATAGAAACAGCACTACATTTCTGTAAGAGGTGCTTTTTCAAGATATCTATGTTCACTAGTTGTAGCCTACAACTAGAAGGCTCTGTGTCAAACATTCCACTTGCTACTAATTCCTACCATACCCCTCTTTGTTCCCAGAACATTGTACCCCACATGTACCCCAGAACTTAAAAGTATAAAAAAAAAATAAAAAATAAAAAATAAAAAAAATAATGAAAAAACTTAAAAAAGAAGAAACGAAAACAAAAAGAAAAGGAATGGTGAGAGGAGATAACTTTGCTTTGTACACAGTCTTAGTGGGAAAGTTTCTAGTTCCTCACCTTTAAGTATTACGTTAGCTACTTTTTCATAGATGTTCTTCATCAAGTTGAGGAAGTTCTCCTCTATTTCCAGCTTGCTGGGAGTTTTTATCATTAATGAGTGTTGAATTTTGTCAAATACTTTTTCTATATCTAGTGATATAATCCTGTGATTTTTCCTCTATACCCTGTTGGTGTGATGGATTACATTACTCAATTTTCAAATGTTGCACCAGACTTTGATACCTGAAATAAATACTATTTGGTCATGGTGTTAAAAAAAAAAAAAAAAAAGAAACCCAAAGACAGGAAGCCTTCAGTAAAGATTATGATACGATTGTTTAAGACTGGGGGAAACAGCAAGGCAGGACTTTGAGTTGGTGGTTCAAAGGCTCTTGAGATATAAACTGTTGATGTTTTCTATTGAGGAGATGGTGGATCTTTCAGAGATCCCAATAATAAATAATAAAGTTATTTGCTTAGGAAAGAGTCTCCTGGAATAGTAAAACTGTGCTCAAGAAGAGTATGGAATAATAAAATCATGAGAATGTTAACAGTAAGCTGTGGAGCAGTTTATGGTTTTGATTCTCCTTGCCCAAGTTATGTGAGTCTTGGTGGAGGAGGGAGTAGATGGTTTGGGTTCTTAATATTTGTGGGATTCTTTCATGTATTGAATATATGACAGTTTATTATATGGATATCATCTATCATCTGAGACAGTAGTGGCCATTTCAATTGGCCCTTAGTCTTGCACACGAATCAAGGATATCTGTACACATGTAACAAAGAGGGGTGTGGTGAGGATTAGTAGCTAGTGTAATGCTTGACACAGAGCTTTCTAGTTGCAGGCTGCAATGACTGATCACAGGTACTTGAAATGGCACCTCTTGGGAAACTATTATTGCTCCTATACGAAAATCTGTGTGTGAAATGTTCATAAGAGATCTACTGTCTCTGTCTCAAGGAGTTAGCTACATTAGCTGAGATTACATCCAGAATTGGGGGGCAGGGAGGGAGGAGAGATTGTTTTAATTCTATTTATTTATTTATTTAAGACAGATTCTCGCTCTGTTACCCAGGCTGGACTGCAGTGGTGCCATCTTGGCTCACTATAACCTCGACCTCCTGGGTACAAGCGATTCTCCTGTTTCAGCCTTCCCAGTAGCTGAGATTATAGACATGCACCACCATGCCCAGCTAATTTTTGTATTTTTAGTTGAGATAGGGTTTCGCTATGTTGGCCAGGCTTGTCTTGAACTCCTGACTTCAGGTGATCCGCCTGTCTTGGCCTCCCGAAGTGCTGGGATTACAGGCCTGAGCCACAGCGCCTGGCCTTGATTCTCATTATTTACAAGATTCATCCACGTTGTCTCATGCAGCAGTAGTTTGTTCTTTTTAATTGCTGTATATTAGGAAAGTGTGTGTGTGTGTGTGTTTGTGTGTGTGTGTGTGTGTGTGAGAAAGAGAGAGAGAGAAAGAGAGAAAAAGAGAGAGAGAGAAATGAGAGCAAATAATTGATTCTAGGAAGTAACATGAAATCTAGCTCCAGAAAAACCTAGTAGACTTATTTAACTACAATAATTAAAATATGTGTCTAAATTTGCCAGGACTTGCATACACAAACTATTTAATGTTAAGAGAAGGAGGGCCAGGTAGGGTGGCTCACACCTGTAATCCCAGCACGTTGGGAGGCTGAGGTGGGAGGATCACGACGTCAGGAGTTCGAAACCAGCCTGGCCAACATGGTGAAACCCTGTCTCTACTAAAAATACAAAAATTAGCCAGGCATGGTGGCATAAGCCTGTAATCCCAGCCACTTGGGAGGCTGAGACAGGAGACTCGCTTGAACTCAGGAGGCAGAGGTTGCAGTGAGCAGAGAAAATTAAAATAAGGAAAATCCAAGCTGTAGTACACAAAGCCCTGATAAAAAGCCAATGTTCAAAGTAAAGGTATGCCATTTCGTTTTAAAATACAGAAAACAGATACATGGTTGATATTTGTAAAAATCTTACTTGGTGGCTTGTCTAAGAAGAAACTGTGCACTTAACATTTCCCAAACATGCAATTGAAATTATAGGCTCCCCATTATATTTTTAGCCTATGGTTACTGCCAGCCTCACCTGGCCCATCCCTTCACCTAATTGCAGGCATAATTATTCCCCTGTATTTACTGTAGGATGACTCCTCTGTCCAAGCACAAGAACAATGGTTTTCTTACATACCTGGGGAGTTTCCCTTAAAGACTGCGGGCTCCTCCCTGAATTATTTTAGGACTGAATCTTTCTTCTCATCTCATTTTTGTTTTATTTCTAAAAGTAATATGTGCTTATGGTAGAAATTTCAGAAAGTATAGATAAGCGAAATGAATCAAGACAAAAATCACATTGAATCTGATTGAAATTCCTTTTCAGTAATATATTTAAAGGGTATTTATAATATACATATACCTAGTAGAGAAAGACATAGAACCCTTCTTTTCTATATTTTCGAAACTTTCTCTTTCATGTAATGTTGTGCGGTTCATACATTTACCCTGATTTAACAGCCACTGACTACATTTATCAAACCAATTCCTTGTTATCAGAGATTTAGGCTCTTGCCATTTTTCCTGGTGTTACAAACAATACTCCCATAATTATTACTGGAAACTGAACTATTGTGAACATCCTTGATGATTTTCTTAAAATAAATTTCTACAAGTAAAAATACTTGGCTAAAGGATGTGTAGGCTTTATATATTGTAGACACAGATCACCAAATGGCTTTTCTGAAAAGTTGCATCAAATCCCATACCTGTTCTCACCATGGGTAAGCATCAGAGAAAACAATGAAAAAGATCTCACACACATACAAGAAACTCATACTGTGGTAAAGGTAGCATTCTATCAATTGTCTGAGATTTCAGTGCATGAGATTTCCTTTATGTAGGAATGTATTTGTAAATTTGGTCACTATGGTAAATTGACACTCAGAGGCCACGTGTACTATTCAAGTGATTCAGATTCTACAGTAATTTTTATTGTTTTAATGTTGTCAGGTAAGAATGAGCTGTTTTAGTACAACCCCTGAGGGAGTTTCCAGCCAAATTGAAAGGCCTAGAATATTACAAACCAGGAGCGTAGGCTATAAACAGAACTTAAGGAGGGTGTAAGGTAATTTGTGTAAGCTATTTCCTTCAGGTGATGACAATGTCTACTATTAAAAGATTCACAAACAAGGGGAAATGTTGAGTCACTCAAACTTAGGCTCTAGGATAGGGATGACTAAGGCTCTCAGGGGCCTGTCAAAGTCCCCATTAGGTGGGTGGAGTATCTGAGTGCCAGTGTAGGATAGGAGGAAGACTCTAGCCCCTGGGCCCTGGTGGCAGAGCAGGTAGATGAGGCAGAGGAGAGGAGCAGGGAAAACACCGTGTTCATGTTACACCAACTTGGAGTTAAATCAGTGTTGTTTTTTTTTTTGCTACAGTGTTTTTCATTTGCTAAAGATGTGGCCTTGGACAGATTACTTAACCTCACTGAGCTTTGAGTCTATAAAATAGAGAGAAGTAATACCTTCTAGGGCTGCTGAGAGATTTCAGTGGAATAGTATGTGTAAAACTAATTACAATAAGTGACATACTGAAGGGACTCAAGAAATTGTTGCTGTTATTATGATAATGGTTGATAATTATTATTGCTATGTCCTTTGAGGATAGATTTAGGAAAAAATGATGCTTATGACTGATTATTATGCCTTTTATCTTGGATCCTGTATTGCAGGGGTTTTTAATCTGGTGTCCAAGAATTCCCAAAAGACCCCATGGATAAATAACTGGGGGAGTGGGGTGTTAAACTTAGATGGGAAAAAAGTGTCATTTTTTACTAACTTATAACAAAAATTTAATATTTCCTTTAATTATGACTATGCAACAAACCAAAGTAGCATCAGTAATACTGATCATACTTTGATCTACAATAAAAATTTGCATATGTTTTCATATCACATTAAATTTGCTGCAGGTATCTCGAAATATCATTTTAATTGAAATTGTATTTCAAAAGTATGACAGTTAGGGGGCTGGGGGGCAAGGGGAGGGAGGGCAAATACCTAATGCATGTGGTTGATGATGGGTTGATGGGTGCAGCAAACCTCCATGGCACGTGTATACCTATGTAACAAACCTGCACGTTCCGTCCCAGAACTTAAAGAAAATAAAAAATAATAAAAATAAAAATAAATAAATAATAAATGTGCTTAGCATATTGGCTAACTCTGCTCAGTGAAAAAAAAAAAAGTAGGATAGTTCTTAGACCGACTCCTTAGAAGGCTGTTAGGACACACGTTATTGCTATCCACAGGTGTTGACGTGACAGAGCTGGCTGTCAAGACAACTACACTATATGTTTAAAAAAACATTTTCATAAAATATTCTAGTGTATTGGTTTTCTTCATAATTCTATGCATTTTATGAATTTATGAACATTATTCTTCGAAGGTGTCTGTAGGTTTCACCAGCCTGCCAGAGGGACTATGGTACAGAATAGGCTGAAACCTTCAGTCAGGAGCCGCCCACTGCAGGGCAGCTTGCCCATAGGAGGAGCTCTGCTGTCTAATAGCTGGTTATGCTTCTTTATAAATTTGCTTATCTGTTGTCCAGACCAATGAACACCAAAAACGGAACATTTCTATAGAAAATTCCCAATAAGTCCAGGAATCCTGTCACTTGAAAGAGCCTAACCCTGTACAGTAAGGAGAAAAATGCCTGTTACCCTTCCAGGGAGGCTGATACTTGCAGCACCTGGTAGAAAGGACCAGTGCCTAACTGGGGTGATGATCCCACAGGTACAGCAATGGCAATTTACAGACAGCAGAGAAAGAAGAGGAGAAAGAGGATGAGAGAGTAGGATAAAGAAACAAAAAGACAGGAAGCCGTTAGCAATAGGGGCCACATAACTTGCAAACTGGAAAAAAAAAAGGGGGGGGGGGAGAAAAAAGAGAACTTTTAAGGATAATGAAACTAAACAACAACAACATGGTAGTGAATACTTTATTTTGTTGTAAACAAGTTAGTTTTGAGGGTATTTCCTCGTGGTCCTCCTGCCGTCACTCGTCCCCATGTTCCAATGATGCTGATCAACTGCTTTATTCAGTTTCCCATCTTTCTTCTTGCCCAGTCATCGTAGCCTTTCTTTTTTTAAACACATGATCCCTAGTACTCATCTTTGGAGGACAAAAGGCTTTCCATATGTTAGAAAAATTTGAATCTCATAGTACTCACAACAATGAGCAGCATTGTAAGTTGTGATGCATTCATTTGGATTGGAACATTCTCAATCAGTCCTTCCACTCTAAGTAAATATTTGTTTCTCACAGAACACAAGGCAGTTCAAAGGGCCTCTTGTTAGAGATTTATAGGTGTATGAATGGGAAACATCATACAAGCAGTGAAAACAAAAATCTTTCCAGGTTGTCGGATTTTCTCCTTCTTGGTCTTATAAAAAGCAACTAGACATCTTTAATTTAAAAAATACATGCACATATATACAATAGTGATTGGAATGTTATTTTTATCCAAAACATTATAGAGTTTATCTCAGATATACTGAGTACTGTCACTCAGTCTGTAAATTACCCCCAGAGGGTGGTTTGTTTCCTCATTCCTTAAAAAAAAACAAAAACAAATAAACAAACAAAAAAGAAGTTTACTAAATTTAAACACTGACATCCTGTGAAGATGCCAGTCTTTACAGGCGTTTGTAAAAGTAGACTGTGGGGAGTATGTTACACTAATACAAAGTTTTACAAATGAATACAAGTGAAATATATAAATTACAATGAAATAGAGGAAGATTGTGGCTCTGTCCTGGGTTGGTTCTTTTAGCAGTCATATTGCTGTAGAGAAAATAAAATACCATTAGGCTATAATCAGGATAAATAATGATGACATTTTAGTCCTTTAAGTTCCTATTTTAAGCAAACATAAACAGACTGATCTTAGCTTCAGCAAAGCTTAGGCCAACCATACTTAGGGCTTGGACAATGCTCACAAAATGTTTCCTAAACAAACCCAGATCCCTTGTCTTCCATGAGTAAAGGCTGCAGAAAGGGCCCATAGAAACTGCAGGATACTGATATTGGGTTGCTTTGAGTGCATTTGTGTGGGGTTTTAATCTTAGGGATTTAAAAGATAATGCCATGGAAGTTTCACACTGGTATGAGCTCAATGTGGGTAACCTTTCAAATTAAATGCTACCGAGTTATGGACCTGACTCTTCTACATGAAAAGACCTGCCCTTTGAAAGTGTCTTTTGTCTTATAAACAAAGGTAACAGATCTTCCCTGTAGTATCTGGGAAGAAGCCATCCCTACAGTGACTCAGCTGGGAAACCTGGTGTATTTACTACCCCAAATCAGAGGAGAGTATCATTCCCTGCCAAATCACTTCAGCCATTTTGGTCATTGGCTCTTTATGCCTGTCCCCAAAACGTACTAAGTGAGTACATTTAGTACAAGTAATCACTTACTTTGAACTCTGCCTTGTATGAAATTCAAGGCTAAAGGTAAGCTGCATGACAGCAATCCCTAGAGGATACTTCTCTGCCCTTCCCCAACCGTACTGCTTGAAAGAAGCTCCATATTGAAGGTTTCCCATTCCCTTATTTTCTTGGAAATTTGCCAAAGAAATTATTAATCTTGCTATACTTGCCTGATAAGGAAAACTAGATTTTCATTTTAACCTTCCCCCAAAATTACAGAAAGTTTCCTTTTATTTTCAGCAAAGTTTTTCATGGTAGCAATGGGCTTTCAGTTTTCATTAGGTTTTTGTCTTATTTTTAAAAGAAAGTTAACAGATCTGGCACCAGAGGAGTAAATGGTTTGAAAAATATAAGACATAAAATAACCCTCTCAAAGATAGGATCAAAGCTGGACTTTCATTAATTCAATAATATATATATTTTAGGAGGATATAGAAACAAGAACTTTCACTGCTACAAACAAATGCATTTTTTTCTCCTAAATCATATCCCCAGGAAACAAGTGCTTCCTGGTTTTCTTTCACAACGAAAGGCTTTTCATGAGCTGCTGTTCAAAGATTGCTAGTGATTCTCCATACTTACTGCTTAGGCATTTTTATGACTCCTTATTAGGAAGGAATTGCAGAAAATCCAACCAAACAGCAAGTGTGGAATACAGGTTAAAAGTAGGAGCTTTTGCACAGAGCGACTCAAGGTTTGAAGCCTGTTATTTCCTGAGTAGGTGATCTTAAGCCTATTGCTTAATATTTGAGTCATATGGGTTTAGCATAGTGCCTGATGCATTGAATGGTTGGCTATTACTTATGTATACTAGTTGGGAATATAACAGCAAACAAAGAGCAGACATCACTTTTTTTTCTGTCTCTGCAGCGAGAGCAGAGGCAGTGAATTAGATCCTGAAGGGAGCGCTGTGTCTATGGGCAGCATGTTCTTGTGTACATAGAGCCAACTGCAAAGAACTAAGACAATCCTGTGACTGTGAGACTCGAGGAAGCTTGTTACTGACAGCTAAAGTGAATGCTATAATTGTGTTGCTACAAAGATGATATCAGAATAAATGCTGGTAGGTCGAGCATGTTTGGTTTTGCCTTTTTCTTTATGATGAAAACAATGGTATATTAACACCAGGGCCAGACTACGACATTTTCATGCAGGTTCTTACCTGTTGGTGAGAGCAGCAAAAGCCACATATGCCTCCAAGCACTCCATTTATTACTTGAATAAGACACAAGATGAATTCAATTCCACCAAGAGCCAAGAGGATAGAAAACAGAGATACATTCCATTCCACAATGTGCTTGGGTTCAGTGCACTCGGACCATGTGGAGGTATCCAGAAGGTACCTGTGGGTAAAAAGAGAAACTTCTGACACACGGTCATACTTGAGGGGATACTTCATAAACTACTTTTGTTTGGTGGTTTTTCATTCAGAAAAAAGGAATGAATTATTCAATATCCTGTGTAAGTTTCTTCCACTGCATGTCATTCCACAAAATGGAGGAATTTAGCCCAGATCCTACTGTAATGATAAACATAAAATTATAATTTATAATTTTTGACCCCAATCTAGGATTACATGGTCAGAAATTCTCACCTTATAATGATATTTATATTCCCTAACAGGCATCTGAATTCTTATAAACAAAAATAAAAATGCAGAACTGTATTTGTGCTGTGTTTAAAGCTAGGTAAGATTCATGTATGTGTAGGAAGTAAACTACGAGCAAATGCGGAAAAATGAAAATAATTCATGTGCTAAAGTAGAGTATGTGTAGGTGTTTTTTAAAACTGTTTTCCAATTTTATTGTTGTTATTGGTATAAAAGATGGGTATTTGTATTCAATATTGAGTGAATATTTAGAAAATACAATCTCTTTAGGCTAGTTTTTTTTTTGAACTTTAAAATATTAATTTAGATCATTTTATTACATCTCAATTTGTTACTGCTGAAAATTATCCAAATTCTGGCAAGTTTGGATATTTAATATGCTGGAATTTTTCAACTGAGACCTTTGGAACAAAGCTATTTTTTGTTTTTAAGGAATAAATTAATTTGCAACAGGAAGCAAATTCATGGGATTAAACCCAACTAATTTGATAGCTCTTTACTTTTTTCTGAGACGGAGTCTGACTCTGTTGCCCAGGCTGGAGTGCAATGGCGCAATCTTGGCTCATTGCAACCTCTACGTCCCAGGTTCAAGCCATTCTCCTGCCTCAGCCTCCCAAAGTGCTGGGATTACAGGCGTGAACCACCACGCCCGGCTGATAGCTCTTCACTTTCATGATGCTGTGCCCAAGAGTTGATAATAGCATGTAGCACACTGCATTTGCTCATTCAACAAAGATTATTGAGCAGTCAGTGTGAGTCTGACACTGAGCCAGAGCTGGGGATATAATGGAGCACAGGGCACGGGCTCTGTCCTGAAAGAGCATAGCTTCTAAAGGAAGAGACAAGTCACAAGTAATCTCAATGCAACAGATATGCTGATCGGTAAACAAAATATGGAAGAGCCACAGAGGAAGGGCATCTAACCTAGTCCAGGGAGAACAGCTGCTTATGTATCTATTCAATAAGGCTGAGCTCCATGAAGGTAGGAGCCAGACCTATTCATCATTGTATATCCAGCCGCTAGAACAGTATCTGACACACAATAGCCACTCAGCACATTTTAAAAGCAGTTGAATGATAAATAACAATATGAAGTTGCTTTGTGAAATGTCAGCAAACCATACTGAGGTGATATCTGACTATAGATTCTAGGATTTAGTCGATTTTATAAATACCTGGATATTCTTCCAGTCTGAAAAATTCTACTTCTGATAGCTCTCCTAGAATTTCAGCCTTTGCTACAGAGTATTTGGATTCTTAACAAAATATAATACAATCATGTGGGAAAATCAAGGTTTGACTTAATTCCACAAAGAGGCCTGGTATAATTCTTTTCTTATCACGACTTCCTTCCACAACAGAACAAAGGGGCTTGGAATTTGAGACCTAACTTTAGAATAGTTCATTGAGCCAATCAGAGATTATAGTTGTTCATTTCAAAAAAAGTTCTGTTTTTGTGGCCCTGTCTTTCTGCATGTCAGCAGAACAAAAATCTATATTTTCAGGTCTCAATGTAAAAAAAAATTTTTGGCTCCACCTGGCTCCCAGGCAACTAACCTGTGGCTTGTGACTGTTAGTTATTTCCCATATTGAAATCCTTGGACAGTTTTAAATGAAGAATGACATAGAAGAGGAGGAAGGTTTCTTGTAGAATCCAGAGTGGATAATGGGAGGGGCAAACAGTCAAATAGCTATAAAAACCATTTAGCAATACTACCACCTCTCCCTGCATTCTGGTTGCATAAGTCATGACTTTTCTTAGAAGTCTGTTTGTGCAATAGTTTTGTATGTTTGTACATATGTGAATAGCCATTTTCTACTAGTACATCCAGTATGTTCTGATAAAAGCTGAGTCATGATTGATCACAGTTTTGAACACCAAAATTTCAAACTTCTGTAAGTATCAATTTTCCTTCAAAGGCTACCATTGGGTTATGTTTATTGTAAGGTAGTAGCTAATATTAACAGCTAACAGTGGCAGTTGCACACAATGTGGCAGCCTCTGTGGGGAACATTTTACATATTATTTCATTAATTCTCATGACAATTGCCATTGATTTTATTTTACCAGTGGAGTAACTGAGATGCAGAGAGCTCATTTCACCTTTTCCTACAGATAGGTGCAGAGCTGTGATTGAACCCAGCTAATTCAAATTCATGATCTCATAACTGTGCTAAATTTGTGAGATTCATATATCCTCACTACATGCTTTAAATTCATGGGGTCAAACATTCTTGATAATATAATTTGTTATTAATATTATTTTTAATCATGAATCTCAAAACTAAACCTTTCAAAATTCAACTTCAGAAAGTTGAGTAGGGAAAAGGGAAACTCAGAATCAACTCCTGCTCAAAGAAACATGTCATCCATTCATCACCACATACATCCGTTTCTATCAGCTGTGCTGTTTCTGTTCTTTTCTGGATAACTGATAAAAAAAATAAGTATCAACATAGAATGGTAGAACAGCACAAATTATCCTGATATTATGATTGTGAATAGGCCTTACTTATATAGCTTAATAACTAAAAAAGGGGGCATTGTACATAGTTTGTATGTTTTATATGAGTGTATGTATGTGTATGTTTTATATGAGTGCATGTATACACAGGGGTAAGGGCATGGTTTGCCCTGGGCTTGGGTTAAATTCATATAGTTGCCATTCTTATTATATATGGATTCTATAATACTTTCTTATAAAGTAGTAAAATGTATTACACTTAATCAGGCAATTGTTCTGGTATAATGTATGAAGTAATTGAGATGCACTATATGAACACAAACTCTACATCTAGACTGCCTGGGTTCAAATGCTAACTGCCACTTTCTGGCAACGTGACCTTGGATGAATTACTCCATCTCTCTGTGATTTTGTTTCCTCATCTTTAAAATAGGAAGTCACTTCATAGGGTTATTATAAGGACTGAATTATTGAATCTATTCAAAAGCACTCTGTATTTGGGAAGCTGAGGAAGGGGTATTGCTTGAGCTCAGGAGTTAGAGGCTGCAGTAAGCTATGATTGTGCCACTGCATTCTAGCCTGGGTGACAGATCAAGACCCTGTCTCTGGGGGAAAAAAAAAGAAAGAAAGAAAAGAAAAGAAGCATTTAGAATTTGTTTAGGTCGGGGACTGGGGATCCATCCTTGGATACCTATTGCCTAAACCATGCCTGAGTCAGTGAGAATAAACACTGGCTAGGTGGGTGGATGGATGGATAAGTGGATGCCTATCTGGTTTGATAGAGCTGCCACTATATACATGTGGTGGATAAAAATGTGTAGCCATGTAGAGAGTAATTACATACTGGCCCTCAGTGCTGGCAAAGGTGTAGTTCCACTGGCCGAGGGAATCAAGACATAGTGGTCCTTCTGCTAAGCCAAGGGCTGCCACAATGACACAGTAGCCAGATCCTGCAATTCCAATGAGAGCAGCCAATACAGAAGAAAGCATCTAGGGAAAAGCAGACACACAGGAAGTGAGCCACAGAGTGCCACAGCTACATCTTAGGAGTCATTTTCACCACCAGGGCAGGAGGACCTACCGCACATCGTTTGCCACAGTTTTCATGGCCACAGCAGCCACAGCAGTCATCCTGTTCCAGCCCAATGAAGACAAATGCTGGCAGGAGCATCTGGTTAGGAAACAAACAAAGTCAGGTCATTGTCTTGCTCAGGCTCATATGGGTCAGGTTAGGCATCTCTTGGTAAAATATATTTATTTCCAATGACATTAACTGGCTTTGATTAGGTTGACCAGATATCTCAAAGAATGTAAACCTCTGAGGAGAAAAAGACCATTTAAATGTCATATCTGCTTGTTTTCATGTAATCTGTCAAAGCATTTTTTAGGGTGAGGATGTAACATGGGAGGAGTAAAATAATAAACTGTAAACGTGTTTATTCCACAAGAGTTTATCACACGACCCCAGATAACAAACTCTGTTTTGGAAATATTAAACCCTTTCTTTAAATCTGATTTTTTCCACTTGTAAAATGCAGAATATACCAACAAATCTTTAATAGAATAACTGAAACTTTTTTGTAAATGGGAGACATGAAAGCTATATATAATAAATATTAACTGCTTCCTTGATTATACAAATGCATAGTTTTAACTTAACAATATTAAGCTCTTAAAATATAGTAAATATGAAATACTTCAGGTTCAAGATCGAAAGAAACTTAAGTGTGATGTTATGTTTAAGACAAATAATCATGTTAACATGATAATAATGCTTAAATTTGAGGCAGACGGGCACTGTGGCTCATGCCTGTAATCCCAGCACTTTGGGAGGCCAAGGTAGGAGGGTCACTTGGGCCCATGAGTTCAAGACCAGCCTGGGCAACATGGCGAAACCCCGTCTCATTAAATAAAATAAAATTAAATAAAATCTCATTAAATAAATAATTTAGGGCAGATTTGCCATGCCATAATCAGTGTATTAGGTTTAAATGTTTTACTATCTTTTACTTGATTAAGAAAATTTATCACGTATGGTACCATTCCATAAAATTTCTCCTTAAAATTTTTAATCCCAGCACTTTAAAGTAGCAAACTTAAGTTTGCTCACATTCTTTCCATGCTGTGGTTGAAGCTAATGCTTTCAGCTCCCAGGTTGGCAGGGAAATTCCTCTCACTTCAATCAAAAACAATTCTTGGAAAAAATAACACATTCCACTATTAGCTTCAGACACCGACCTGCTGCTAACTGTAGGGTTTTTCCTAGACGCCACACCCCAGCCTTACATAAAGGAGAAAGCTTAGAGTTCTTTTAAAATAGCAATGCACTCACAATTCATTATTTTTCCCTATCACAGATGGCTGAAAATAAACAGCAGAGAATTTGGATTCAAAACTGTTGATTTAGGCAGAGAACCAGCCAACCCCTTCCGGCTCCCCAGAGCAAATGTTAAATGACTGCCCGTTCTAGTAGAAACTCTATAGTCTCTCAAATCTGATTTAAAAGCGAATATCTGTTTCCTACCTATAGAGTTTAGCAAAAAGGCAGTTCACTTTTAGTTGAAAGAGCATTTTGTAAAACAACATCTCATAAAATTACTACGCTATACTGTACCAATCTCGCTTTTGTATAATCTGCTTTCAAAGGAATGAACAGCAACAAAAAAGTCACTTGATTTAGAAATATGCATTACAAAAAACTTTCCATGAAAATACATAATGAAAACATCTAGGAAACAGGAGAGAATTCAGTAATAATCCTGAATGACTTACCAGCAGGCCACCTCCTACGATGCCAGAAAAGAACCACACGAAGCGGCTGAGGTGGTTTTCGGAGGCATACTTTGTTTCCCCATTGGGAAAGTAAAGCAAAATATTAGCCGCGATGCACAGGAGGGCGAGCCCCACCAGAGAATGTCCGATGCATCGTGCACACTTCCCATAGCACATGGTGGTCTGCTAGGTTTTCTCCCCCTTCTCTTTGTCTTCAGCTCAGTGATACCCCAAATTAGATGAAAGTGTGCCCTTCTGGTGGAGAAAGCAAACACCACTCTCAGCCCATTCCTGCTACCTCTTAAATACTGCGATTCTTAGTCACTGAGGGGATGAGGTACTTTGCTTTCATTGGTCCTAATGGCAGGCTCTGGCTGTGGTGCGAAGAGGCAGGGGGAATGTCCCGCCCTTCAGACGAAATCCTTGGGACAGGCAAAACCAGGGGCAGGATGTGAGAAACAGCCTCAGTCATAGGCAACAGGGAAAATGATTAATCTTGAACAAGGCATTGACTGTGCAACTCCTCCACAAGATAAAGAATCAACAGGAAAGCCTAACATGACTTTCCAGTAACTGCCAAGTGTCCGAGATGCAACAGCCCTGGTTGAGGCTTTGAAAGACAGTGAGCTGTGCCCCTGCTCCATGCAGCTGTCTGGACAGCTTCCAATCTGAGAGCTCTGTGTTCATTTCTACCTTTGTGCTGATTTAATTTACAACCTGGGGCAAATCTCCTGAGCTCATTTCCTTGTCTATTAAATACAAGGTGTCTGAGACGTCTCCCATGGATTTGAGAAGGCTGTTGGGAAAACTACAGAGCAAACTTCTTTACTCTGCCTACAGCAAGCTCTGCAGGATGGATTTCAGTGTTCAGCGTCCCTGGACATCTGCCTCTAAAACAAATCTGCACCACAACAGAGGTGGCATCAGTCAACACAAAGGGCTCAGGTGCTTTTTAAAAATTATTGAGTGTTGCTGTCAGGAAAAGCAATGCCAGGAAGGGCCAAGGAAGGCCTAAAGCATGGGACAAAAATAAAAAGAGGAAGAAGAGAGGGGGAGGAAGAGAATGGGAGAGAAGGAAAGAGGAAAGGAGGAAGGAAGAGAGGAAGGAAAGAAGAGAAGGAGGGAGAGAAGGAGAGAGGGAAAAAGGGAGGAAGGGAGGGAGGGAGGAAGGAAGGAAGGAAAAAAGGAAGGAAGGATGGGGGGAGGGAAGGAAGGAGGGAGAGGGAGAAAAAAATAAGACAAAGGGACTTGGCAAGCAGAGTGGAGAAACAAGGTTCAGAGAAACAGAACTGGCTAGGAGTGTCAGAACCCACACAGAGGTAAACAGATGGTTTACCCAGCCAGATCCTGAGACCAGCTTCCACAGGCTCCCCACACAGGGCAGAGAAAGGGTGTTAGACTAACTTTCTAGGTGGTTACCTTGCAGAAGGAGGGGCTGGGCACTGAATAAATTTATGCCTTGAACAGCAGATTGCACCAGCCAGTGGATGGTGGTGGGAGGTGGACAGGGTGGCCGGGTGGGGCCAGGCCTGGAGGGCCTTGTCACCAGGACAAGATAGAGAGTACAGAAAATAGAAAAGGACCAAGGTAGGGAGGCATTAGCTTAGAAGAAGAAGGTGAATGAGGTTCACGAATCTAGAGTCTGAAGGATTTGGCCCGGAACTAGAGGGCGGGACACATACCAAATTTGAGGAGACCAGCTGTGGTTAGTGATGTGGCATGGGACCGGAGGAGGGCCCAAGAAGTGTGGCCTCAGCACACTAACAGGGGTGAAGCCAGAATCCAGGATGGCCTGAGGAAATAAATCAGTGGAGTTGGGAAGCGTGGAACCACCCACCTGCTCAGGCGGAGGCAGGCAAATCCTCATAAGAGTGTCATTGGGTCACCACTATGTGTCCAACAACAGGGAACGTGTGTTTGGCCCGATGGCTTAGAGACAGGATTCCACTGGTGACAGAGCCTATGGGTGAATGACGGCATCCTTTGTTGAAGCATAATCATTGCAACCCTCCTGTCTGCTGATCTATCCCACCTGGGGCCAAAATGGGGGAAAGTGATGCTTAAACTACTGATATGGTTAGGCTTTGTGTCCCCACCCAAATCTCATCTTGAATTGTAATCCCCATAATCCTCACGTGTCAAGTGAGAGACTGGGGGGAGGGAACTGAATCATGGCAGCAGTTTCCCCCATGCTGTTCTTGTGATAGTGAGTGAGTTCTCATGAGATCTGACAGTTTTATACGGAGCTCTTCCCCCTTCTCTTGATGATTGTCTTTCCTGTTGCCTTGTAAAGAAGGTGTCTTGCGGCCAGGCGCAGTGGCTCACGCCTGTAATCCCAGCACTTTGGGAGGCCGAGGCGGGTGGATCACAAGGTCAGGAGATCGAGACCATCCTGGCCAACATGGTGAAACCCTGTCTCTACTAAAAATGCAAAAATTAGCTGGGCGTGGTGGCGAGCACCTGTAATCCCAGCTACTGGGGAGGCTGAGGCAGGAGAATGGTGTGAACCCGGCAGGCGGAGTTTGCAGTGAGCCGAGATAGCACCACTACACTCCAGCCTGGGTGACAGAGCGAGACTCAGTTTCAAAAAAAGAACAAAACAAAAAGAAGGTGTCTTGCTTCTCCTTCACCTTCCTCTATAATGGAAAGTTTCCCAAGGCTTCCCCAACCATGCAGAACTGTGAGTCAATTAAACTTCTTTCCTTTATACTGGGAAGTGAGGAGCCCCTCTGCCCGGCCAGCCACCCCGTCCAGGAGGGAGGTGGGGGGTCAGCCCCCCGCCCGGCCAGCCGCCCCGTCTCGGAGGGAGGTGGGGGGACAGCCCCCCGCCCGACCAGCCGCCCCGTGCGGAGGGAGGTGGGGGAGCAGCCCCCCGCCCCGCAGCGCCCTGCCGGGAGTGAGGGGGCTCTCCCGGCCGCCCTACTGGGAAGTGAGGGGCCCTCTGCCCGGCCAGCCGCCCCGTCTGGGAGGGAGGTTTGGGGGTCAGCCCCCCGCCCGACCAGCCGCCCCGTCCGGGAGGGAGGTGGGGGAGTCAGCCCCCCGCCCGGCCAGCCGCCTTGTCCGGGAGGTGAGGGGCGCCTCTGCCCGGCCGCCCCTACTGGGAAGTGAGGAGCCCCTCTGCCCGGCCAGCCGCCCCGTCCGGGAGGGAGGTGTGGGGGTCAGCCCCCCGCCCGGCCAGCCGCCTTGTCCGGGAGGTGAGGGGCGCCTCTGCCCGGCCGCCCCTACTGGGAAGTGAGGAGCCCCTCTGCCCGGCCAGCCGCCCCGTCCGGGAGGGAGGTGGGGGAGTCAGCCCCCCGCCCGGCCAGCCGCCTTGTCCGGGAGGTGAGGGGCGCCTCTGCCCGGCCGCCCCTACTGGGAAGTGAGGAGCCCCTCTGCCCGGCCAGCCACCCTGTCCGGGAGGGAGGTGGGGGGGTCAGCCCCCCGCCCGGCCAGCCGCCCCGTCCGGGAGGTGAGGGGCGTCTCTGCCCGGCCGCCCTTACTGGGAAGTGAGGAGCCCCTCTGCCCGGCCACCACCCCGTCTGGGAGGTGTGCCCAACAGCTCATTGAGAACGGGCCAGGATGACAATCGCGGCTTTGTGGAATAGAAAGGGGGGAAAGGTGGGGAAAAGATTGAGAAATCGGATGGTTGCCGTGTCTGTGTAGAAAGAAGTAGACATGGGAGACTTTTCATTTTGTTCTGTACTAAGAAAAATTCTTCTGCCTTGGGATCCTGTTGATCTGTGACCTTACCCCCAACCCTGTGCTCTCTGAAACATGTGCTGTGTCCACTCAGGGTTAAATGGATTAAGGGCGGTGCAAGATGTGCTTTGTTAAACAGATGCTTGAAGGCAGCATGCTGGTTAAGAGTCGTCACCACTCCCTAATCTCAAGTACCCAGGGACACAAACACTACGGAAGGGCAGGGTCCTCTGCCTAGGAAAACCAGAGACCTTTGTTCACTTGTTTATCTGCTGACCTTCCCTCCACTATTGTCCTATGACCCTGCCAAATCCCCCTCTGTGAGAAACACCCAAGAATGATCAATAAAAAAAAAAAAAAACCCTCTCCCCAGAAAAAAGAAACATACATGCTGCAGGATGCTGCTCATACATAATTTTGTCAAAGAAGTCCTTTCTGAAGACCTATTTAGTGAAGATATTCCCCCTATCTCTAGTTATGCTCCATCACATTACTCTGCTGTATTATCATCACAGAATTTATCAGCCTCTGAAGTTATTCTGTGTATTTGCTTGTTTCCTTTTCTGTTGTCATCTTCCCTCCCCTCCCCACTGAGCGCAGACACCTTCTGCCTTGTCCACCATTGTTTCCCCAGTACCTGGAGCATGTCTGGTGCATAATAGGTGCTCAGTAAATAGTATTGAATAGTTGGATGACTAAAATAAGTGAATCTATGAGTTTTTAAGCCTCTTTTTAACCCGGCTGATGCTCCAGTCTCCCCACCCTCAATTTCATTATGCCTCTCTGTGAGCCCAAGATCTACCAGCCACTCACACCATTGCTCCCAGGGCCTACCACTGCCTGGTTGTTCGATTTGGGGCAAGCTACTAACCATTGTGTACCGTGTACCTCTATTTCTATAATTCATTCATTCACCAACATCTATTGATTCCTACTATGTGTTATAAGTGCTGAGGATATAGCAGTAAGCAAAGCAAACAACAAAATTCCTGCCTTTAAGGAGTATCCACTCTATCAAAAAGAGAGAGGCAAATAAAAAATAGTAAGTAAAACACAGAGGGTATTAGATGGTGATAAGAGCAGAAAAGGGGAATAGGTGGGAGAAGGAGAAGGCCTTACTGAGAGGACCTCTCTGAGACAAATAATAGAATCTGCCTCATAGGGTTGTGGTATGCAGAAATGAGTCAATGTGCGTAAAGCTTGAAGCATCTGGCATTTAGCAGTCACTCAAAAAAAGTTACTTATGATTATTTACTATTTTTATCAGCCCGCTCTCTCAGAGGAGATGTCTCTATCTGTGATTCATTATATTTACTTTTCTGGGATTCTATCACTCCAATATATGTTGGATTCCTTTGTTATCTTTCGTGATAAAGTTTAAAATACTGGACTTCCCCCGGTTATAGTAAAACTCATTTCTAGCTCCCTCATCCCTTCTGGAATCACCCTTAATCCATGATACCCTTGGAAGCGGTGGTTTTTACTGCATCACAGAACTGCAGGTTCCAGAGCATGAGCTGCTGGTTCTCAGCCCCATGTTTTGGATATGCCAAAACTGCCAGAAAGGCCCTGCTATTCTTGCCCAGCCTACCCTACCCCTGCCTTGTTACCCTGACTGAACTTGTTACTTCATCCATGATGCCTTTCGTCACACCCCTGCCTGCTTCCCCCACCACCCCACCCTCAGCCTGCTCATGACTCCCGCTTTGTTCTTACACACACCACACCTGCATGGCAGCTCCGATCCGACCACGAGGCATGAGTGTGTATCCTCCTTAGCTTCCCCACCTTCACTGAAGTCTCAGAGAGCAGGGACCTTCTATTTTCTTCTTTGAGGGCACAGCAGCTAGCATAGTGTCAGGCATTTAGTTGGCTCTCAATATTCGCCAAATTTTTTTTGGATGAAGAGGGAAGTTGAATATGTTCAGTTCTAAGATTAGTGTTTAAGCAAAGTCAAAACATCTTATGAAAAGTTAGGGAAAATTGACATTTACTATATTTAAATTAGAAAATGTTCAATTTTACCTATCATTAACATAAGCAGCTGGTATATGCTTCTTAGGGTTAGCTCTTTCAACCTTTTCATGCACAGAATGTGGCTTCAAGAATAATTCCAGGGGAAACTCCTTTTGCTTATATCAAGTGCTATATAAGCATAGATTTTCATGCTGAAAGAAGCCTCATAGAGTGAATGGAATCATTATGGCCATTTTATAGTTAATCCCACAGGGGTTAAAAACTCTTCCCAAGGTCATCTAGCTAGTTGGCAGTGGAACTGGGTTACCTTTAAGAATTAACATAAACAGTCTATGATTCTATGTGGTTGTGAGATTCTAGAAGGAAGATTTGAACTCAGATCTCCTGCACCCCAGTTGTGTTTTTCCACATGCATTTCTCCTTCCTTGTAGTTTCTTACTCATTTGAACATGACAAATGTAATGATTCCTATATAGTAACAATGCTCATTAGAGCATTCTGATTATAGTAACAGAAGCCAGTTGAGTTACCTAAAACAAAGGGGCATTAATTATAAACTTCAAAGGTGGAGATGCAGATAGGATGATGGAACTCACGGACAGGGGAACAAAGGTCTGGAAATTCGGAATGTCATACTCCACATTTTGCATTTTTGACTCTTTCTATCCATATACTTTATTCTTCTTAGTGCAGTCTCATTGTCTCTGGTTCTCAGTTCACACACAAAAAATATGGCTACTGACAGTTCTGAAGTTTATAGTTTTTTCAGTTCAAGAGATTCATCCCAAGTCCAGATTGTGAGAGAAGGGACATGCATTGGACAAGACCAGGCCAGGTGCCCATGCCTGTGGGGTCAGGTGCCCATGCCTGTGGGGCCTGCATAAACATGGCTGCTGGGAGCCATCCCTGCAACCAGGTACATGCAGGAGAAGTCATTCTCAGGAAAAGGTGAGTGTGGGACCAGGCAGGGAAGCCAGTTTCTGTCCTTTATTTGGAACCATAATCAAGGCAGACAACCACAGTAAAGAGATGCAGAGGCAGGGAGTAGTGTAAAACCACCTTACACACAGCTTCCTGGCTTTCCCTTCACTTTAGGTTGTAGCTCAAGTTATTCTTGGGCTAAAAAATAAGCTCTGTTGGCCCAATTAAACCAGAATTAATCACCAATTCCCCATCTTTATCTGGTAATTTTAGTTCAACATTGCTCAGCTGATGGCTCATTAAGCCAAGAACTCTCCCAGGTCTCAGTTACCATTTTCAGACAAGACACCTCCTGGGGTGCCTGCCCTGTGGTCTGAAGCTCAAGATGTGGCTCTGGGTCTCCCTTCCTGAGGGCTAGCTACCCAGAAGGGCTGGTGTGACTTCCTCTTGAATGGGTGAGCTGAAGGCATCCAGGGCACCTAGGGCAACTAGTGCATAAATACTTGAAGGGGAAAGGACTCTCATGTTCTGATTTGAGTATCATTTCCTTGGGTTGAATAATTAGAGCCTGGCATGTGAGATGTGGAGGGCTTCAAAGACCATTTGATTTTCAACAGAAAACGGTCTATGGTTTTCTAAAACGACACACCCTGATTCAGCCCAAGGGAAACAGAATGTCTGTGGGTGAGGCCAGGAATCTGCATTTTAAGTAAGTCCTCCAAATGACTCCAGTGCCCAAGCAGAGTTGAAGTCCACTGATGTAGGTGGCCCAACTTTCTAGTTTTATACATGAGGCTACGCAAGTCCAGCAAGGTTCATTTCAGTTGAGAAGAAAAACCATTGATTAAAATAAAAAAAAAAAACCCTAAAAACTTTAAACTGATGAATTCATGTGTTTGCACCTTTTGAACCCGGTTCACCAAGTGGTTCTCTTTGTGAGGCAGGAGAAGTAGCAGGCCACTTGCAGCTCCTCTCTCTGTCTGATGGGAGACCAGGTCCTCCCTGGGAAAAGTAGCAAGTTCTCTCCTGCTGGCCTCCTTCCACAGATCACAGCTGCCTTTGGGGAGAATGACAAAAACTGTTCAGGGTTCCTGGGTAATACGTATCCAGTTTCTGTGCATTCAGGGGAAGAGGAGCGTGGAGCAGAAGGAGAGTGGGCACATGCAAGTCACTCTGATGCCGTCATTTAACTTTACAGCTCCGTTGTGCAAAGCTGTTTACAGGTGAGGAAACTGAAGCTCATCTGGGTTAAGCATGCAGGCCAAAGTCACAAGGCTGGCGAGTAATTAGGCCTGGATTCCTCCTACGCAAGTCTCCCTGACTCACATACCCATGCTCTTTCCTTCACACACTGGGCTGATTTTACTACAATGTTGATCAGATTCGGGGACTGTTTCTTTGGCACTTCTAAATAACACAATTTTGAGACATTAATCACTTGGATTCTACTTTAATTCGATGAATGATTTCAAGGTTAACCTGATGTCTCAAAATTAAAGCTACAGCTCCTGTTCTACAAACTTGGTTTTACTGTAGCAAAATAGAACTATCAACAAACAAGAGATGTGTGCAATGAAAAGTTTTTAAAAGAATTGTCTAGATTCAGTAGAGGAGAGAAATAATAGGGCCTATTTTCATTTCCTTTACCCTGGTCTAACTTGTAAAAGGATTTCCCTACCTGTGTCACTGGTCATGATTGCAAGTTGTCCAGGTTCTTGGCGTTTTGAACAAAGAATTGGACAAAACGCCCAGCAAAGCAAAGAATGGAGCAACAAAAGAACAAAAGCAGGGATTTATTGAAAATGAAAGTACACTCCACAGTGTGGAAGTGGGCCCGAGCACCAGCTCAAGGGCCCAAATACAGAATCTTCTTGGGTCCAAATACCCCTGGAAGTTTCTCATTGGCCACTTCATGCTTACCTCATGTAAATGAAGTGGTAGCCCGCAATCAGTCTGATTGCTTGCAGAAAGCAGCCAACCAGAGGATGAAGTGAAGTTACAAAGGTCACACTCCTGTGCAAACATCTGATTGGTTGCAAAAAGCAACCAATCAGAGGGTAGGGTGAAGTTACAAAGTTATACTTCTATGCAAACTGAAGACTCCGTCCACAATCAGTCTGATCAGAGCCACAGTCAGACCATTCAGAGTCTGGAGTGAAGTTACTAAATTGCAAACAAAGTCTCTACCAGCAATAAGTCTGATTTGTCGCTTACAGACAACTTCCCAACTGCCACGCAGAAAAGGTCAAAGGGAGTAGCCTCTGGTCCTTCTGTTACTGAGGCATGGAAAGTTAGGGTTTTCCTTTCAATTTAGTTCTAGGAAGTCAGTGTGAAAAGCCTTAGGTTCCCTGCCTCCAGTCTCTATTCTCCTGCCTCACATGGCCTTTTGACCTTATATAAAATATGCTTGCTTTTTTGCAGAAAGGTTGGGGTGAAACTCTCCACTCCTGCTTTCATACCATTTGAAGTTCAGACCAGTGAGATTTCCATCAGTTGGGAGTTGAAGATGCCACAAGGACAAGAACTGAGGATGGTTTGCTCAGAGCTGATTTTTAGACACCATTTTCCAGGGATCCCTGGTGACAGAGGAGCATTTTTTTTGTGGTTGAGTTCTGAATTAAAAAGTGTCGTACTATATATTTGTTTGGTCATTTCTATGACTTCAGCACTCTCAAAGACTTGGACAGAAGCATAAATAAGAGGCAGTGTGAGCATTCTCCAAGTAATCATTCCAAGTTGGTGAGTTCATACTCCACCTAGACCTCATGGCCTCGCCACTCTCAGTCAAACTGGTTTTTGTGGTTGTCAAAGTCCAACATGGCAAATTTCCCACTGATACTAAGTGAGTTGAAAACTCAAGTTACAGTTGATTTTGCCCTAGGGAATTTTACCAAGAACAGCTTTACAGCAGTGGAGAGTTGAAACGTGTGTGTGTGTGTGTGTGTGTGAGAGAGAGAGAGAGAGAGAGACAGAACGAGTGAGCATATGTGTTAGAAAGACAGACACCCAAAAAAATGTCAGATTTGGTTTGGCTACACTTCTTGCTCTTCTGGCCCAGGTGGACAGTTGACCTTCCTTCCCCCTACCTGTTCATAGTCTCTGACTGGCTTTGATGCGGGAGAACTGAAGTCCAAATAAGCATGACCCTAGCCTCTAATACAAACACCGTGCTTCAGATTTCCTCCCCAGAAAGGGAGTTGAGATTCTAACTAGCTGAGTCATCTAGTGACAACTCCCTTCATTGTGTTATGTTACAAAAACATAGTTGTTCACTATGGGAACCCGGATGGGAAATCCATTCCACTTTCAGGTTAAACCGTTAGCCTGGCCAAATGACTGTAAGATTCTACAAGGTCCTGATTTTTCAATAATGCCTTCACCATGATTTGGAAATTACTTTTTCAGACTTAGAAGGTGAGGAAAACTTGAGCAAGAATTGCAAAGGAACTGAAAAACCAATTTGAAACATAAACATTATCTGGAATGTTTATAATGCATGTATTCCTTGTCCAATAGAAACCAAATAAGCTTCTCTGATGAGACCCTTCAGAATAGCTGTCCCTAAGAGGAACTAAATCAGGAATTGGGGATAGCTGGCAAGAAGACATCAAAGAAAGCTCAGGATGTGGAATCTCTACATTGCCCTGGATCTTCTTTTGCAGGTGCAGGTTCCTAGAGTTCTTATTCACCATCCTGAGGACACCAGGGGAATAAAAAGGATTGCAGGGCCTCGTCCTTCTTGACCTTCTCCCCCTCTGATTTCCTGACTGTCTTCTCAGTGGTCCTGATGTCTTCTATAATGACTCGATGTTTTTAGGAATCAGAGTCCTGGACACAGAGACACATCCAGGTTTGGCACCAGGCTTGTGTGAGTTCTTTTCTATTTTTTTAATGAAGAAGAAGGAAGAACATAAACAAGTGTAAGTGGAAAGCATTTTTTTTCCTTCTAGATCACATATGTGACATTTTACAGGGATTTCTTCTAGGTTGTCAATACATTAAAGACAACTAAAAAGATTATTACAGGGAATTCTTAAAGTCTTAAAGGAAGATAGTCTCACAGGAGGATGAGATCTCTGACAAATCAATACGTTAATTATTGTCTGAAAAGGACGTGGAGCAAGATTTCCCCCTCATTTTCATTCTTCAGTTAGAGCTTCTGATCAACATAAGGATCATTCACCCAACAAATATTTACTGAGTAATCCCTGAATGTCAGGCATGAGTCTAAGAGCGTCACACTCATATCTTACTACGTTCCACAGCAACCTTCTGAGGTAGGTGCTATCGTAAACACTATCACACAGGGTATAAAACTGTAAGAGCTTAAGTGCCTTTCCCAAGGCTTCACAGATTGTCCAGCGTGGCCAGAATTTTAATTCAGGCAGTCTAGATCCAGAGCCTCTTAATCACTGTACGGTGTTGCCTCCAACCTGGAGGAACTGGTCTGAAGAGAACAAGTATTACCACGAGTGTTAATACCATTATAGGTAAAATACACGTAGTGCCTAGATATTGGTTTCTAAATATGGTTCTCCAATGAAAGGAATGAAGGCACTTTGGACTTCGGAGAAGTGGTGGCTGATATCAGGGCTGAAACAACAATATGAGATGATTATGGAATATTTTGTGCTGGTGTTCTGTGTTCTTTCATGAGATGATCATTCAGGTGAGGTCACAAGAGGACATATAAGGAGGCTCAGGAAAACACAGTTTACTGTACTCACAGATCCTAAAGACAAGAGGCACAGGACACCACAAAGGGCCTTGGGGGAAAGCTCTGGGGTGGCCAGGAGGCAGAGGGGCAGGAGTGAGAGGAGATCCAGGCCCATGGTCATGTGAAAAGCAGGGCAAGATGAACTGTTTAGGTTTGAATACTTTCCATAGGCTCTAAGCCATAGAGGTGTCCCCTAGTTGCCTGGTACCTGGCCTTGGAATGACTAAAGCAGAGAAGGGTTACCTCTTGTGTGTATAGCCAAATAGAAGAGATAAGGATCTGGTCTGGTTAGTTTACATATTAGAGACATGCTCCTGGCTGAGAGGGGTGTTGGTCTCTGTCCCCAGCTCTACTGGGAAAGGATTCACTTTGAAGCTTACTCAGGTTGTTGGCAGAATTTATTTCCTAGTATTTGTAGGACTCATGATTTTTCGAAGTCAGCAGGAGAGCAAGACTCTAGAGTGAGTCTACCAGCAAGACAGATCCTTACATAATGTAACACAATCACAGGAGTGACATCCCATCACCTTTGCCTTATCTTATTGATTAGAAGCAAGTCACAGGTCCCACCCACACTCAAGAGGAGGGGATTATATGAGGATGTGAATACTAGGAGTCAGGGATTTGGCGGGGACATGATAAAGTTGGCCATGGTGATGCTGTGTTCTCATTGCATCCTATGAGGTGGTTTACCATACCCCTTAGTCTACTACAAGCGATGTTTACTTGAATCACTTGATGAAGGTGGTGTCCACCAGGCTTCTCCAGTGCACTTACTCTTTTCCCCCTTTGTAAATAGTATTTTGTGGGGAGATGCATTCAGACAATGTCAATATTGCTTTTTCATCAAACTTTTAGTTAATATCTCTATGAACTCATGAAGTCCTATTTTGTTCAATGAATTATAATCCATTACTAGTGCTCAAATTGTCCCAGATTTGGCCTGTGAAAGCCCTTTAAAGCTGGCTCCTGTGTCCTTTTCACAGGACATTATTCTTTGGCCACTTCCTTACTTTCTGGATGTATTATTTATATTTTTTATTTTCTGTATATTATAATGTTTTGATTTCTTAAAAATCTTGATTATAGCCTCATAGAATACCCAGCTAAACTGCCCAGTCTTGATCCACAGGAACTGTGAGATAATAATTATGTGTTGCTTTTAGCTGCTATGTGAAAATTGATTGACCGCAATACAGAAAACCAATATAGTTGTTTCTATTTTATTCTTGCCAAAGATGCCTGCAATCTTCACTTGCATCAAGATAACAAAAGTAAGGAAAGACTGAGGAAACATGCTAGGTTGAAGGAGACTGAGGACATATAACCACACAATGCAAGATACTATTTTGAATTGGATACTGGACCGGAGGGAAAACTATTGCTATTAAGGACATTACTCTGACAATTGGTAAAATTTAAAATTGGTAAAATTTAAATATGGACTGTGGGTTAGATAACAGCATTTTATAAATGTTTAATTTCCTCATTTTCATTATTATAGTATGGTGGTTATGTAGAAAATTATAAAGTGAATATGACAAGATGTTAATTTGTGAATGTAGTAAAGGGTATATGGGAGGTATTCGTACTATTCGTGCAACTTGGTAGTAAGTTTGAAGTTATTTCAACATAAAAAGAATAGTCCAGCCATGTTTATTCATACCTGTAATCCCAAGACTTTGGGAGGCCGAGGCAGGAGGATCTCTTCAGCCCAGGAGTTCGAGAATAGCCTGGGCAACACAGTGAGACATCAGGTCTACAAAAATATCAAAAAATTAGTCAGGCATTGTGGCATACACCTGTAGTCCCAGCTACTCAGGAGGCTTAGGTGGGAGGATTGCTTAAGCCCAGGAAGTCAGGGCTGCAGTGAGTTGTGATTGCACCACTTAAGCCTGGGTGACAGAGTGAAAAAATAAAAAATAAAAAAAATTTATATTGTTAGATTTTATTTTTAGAATAGTATTGGAAATCATTCAAATAGCTCTTTTGCCTCTGTGGGAACTTTAGGGACTTGGGGAGCACTAACATATAAGATACTCACCTACCAGTGTCACATAGGTATAAAGAGCATGAATGATACATAACCTTTTATCACATTATATAGGTTTTGTGTGTTGTCAGGAATTTGATGTCAAGGCTTCCCTTTATGACTAATTCTTATGTGTCATTCACCTAGAAGCAATAATCCTTGGATTGGTGTGCAGTAAATTTGGTGTGACAACAATGTTGTCATTGGTAGACCCTGATGAGACACAGTCCAGCTCTCTTTCTGGCCTGAGGCCCTTGTTCCTCCTCCTGCTGACAGCGTGCTATGAGTGTTAGCCATCCACAGCCCAGACTCTCTCAGGGACTGCCCTCTGCCTAAGGAAGCTGCGTCACCCAAGCCATGGCCCCTCCCTGAGGAGAAGCCATCTCTAACCACTGAGGAGGCGGACTATACCTGGCTTCCTTGCCTCAAGTGACAAACTCGGTAGGGCCATCCTAGCTCCACAGCTGTCTGTGGGGTTGGCCGAGGCCTCCGTTGAACTGCATCAGAGTTCATCTGCTGCCCAGCCCTGCTTCTCTCACTCCTCTCCCCTCATAGGGATGATCCTGAGGGCACTCCCTGAGAGACAACCTGCAAGCTCATCTCCACCCACAATCTGTTTCCCAGGGAAGCCCGTAGTCAGCACATGCCTTCTCCAAACCCATCAACTCACCTCCCGAACCCCAGGCTGCCCGACGACATTGCTGCTGCTTCCTATGGAATGCAGACAGGAACATTTCTGATCCATAAGGAACATGAATTTTTAAATTCCGATTAAAAAAAATCCCAACACATGTATAGGGCCTAAAAGAAATGAGTTAGTTCAACTCCCTACTGCCAAATTTGGCAAAAAAAAAAAAAAAAAAAAACCAACAAAACAAAAGGGTATTTCTCAGACCCTCTTGTGATACAATGTCCCTTTTCAGGACAAATTGATGTTTAATGATTTTGTTTACTTAAAAAAAATTTAACATATACAAAATTAGAATAATATAAAGCCCCATCGATTTCCCTCACCTGGCTCCAACAATTATCCGTGACCAATCTATCTGCTTTGATACCTCAACTATTCCCACATTATTTGAAGCATATTCCAGATATAGTATTATTTCATCTGTTTTTTAGTATCTTTAGAAGAGAATGAACACTTTGAAAAAACATAATCCTCATAGCATTATGTAAAATATTACAAATTAGTAAAACAAGTTCTTTAATATCATCAAATATCCTTTCAGTGTTGAAATTTCCAGTTGTTTCGTAAATATTATAAAAGTTGCTTTGTTTATACAGTTTGTATATCTGAATCAAAATCCAAATAAGGTCTGCGTATCATGATTGGTTGATAGTCTCTGAAGTTTCCCCTCCACCTACCTCTTTTTCTCTCCCTTTCAGTTGCTTTGTTGAAGAAAGCTGTAGAGTTTCCCGCAGTCCACAGACTGGAAACCTCTTCTATTGCTTAACACGCCAATTGGCCGTTGGACCTGGACACTTCATCAGATTCAAAGTTTTTTGGTTCTTTTTTTTTTTTCCTGTATTTGGCAAAACCACTTTTTATGTGGGATTGCGCTTTTTCATTAGGATGCACCTAAGGCCAAGTTGTTTTCCTTTTGGTAAAGCTCACAGCTGTGGGTGGCCAATGCCTGGGTATAATCATTCATTAGGAATTATGAATTTTCTCATTCTGTTTTAATTTATTAGCTGGATTACTTTTTATGAAAGGAAACTTCTCCTTGTCTATTATTTGATGACCTGGAGACTCAGTTTGCATTAAAAAGTTAGAATAGGGCCGGGTGCCCTGTAATCCCAGCACTTTGGGAGGCCAAGGTGGGCAGATCACCTGAGGTCGGGAGTTTGAGACCAGCCTGACCAACATGGAGAAACCTTGTGTCTACTAAAAATACAAAATTAGCCGGGAGTGGTGGTGCATGCCTGTAATCCCAGCTACTTGGGAGGCTGAGGCAGGAGAATTGCTTTAACCCGGGAGGAGGAGGTTGCAGTGAGCCGAGATCGCACCATTGCACTCCAGCCTAGGCAACAAGAGCAAAACTCTGTCTCAAAAAAAAAAAAAAAAGTTACAATAAATGCTAGATTCTTTGCCTGGATTTACCAATTTTTAAAATAATTTGTTAGTTCCCCATCATCTACCCAGTATGACCAATTAATTTTCATTTTGTTTAACATTAGTATGAACTTTATGCATTCATAATGTATTTCATCATAGCCATTGCAGTTATTATCTTTATTGATGCTTAAGTTGCTCTGTCTTTGGTCAGTAGAAGCCTCTTCAAGTTAGTTCATGAGTCCTTTTGCCATGGCCCTAGTCATCTTCGTACCTTTCTTGCTATGTGGTATTAATAAGAGGTGCCAGGCTCATCTTGTACATTTCCTGCCCGAGACCTGCACTCAGTCATTTCTCTAAGAAGTCCTGGTTCTTTTTGAATAGTATTTCAAAACCATCATATAGGCTCAAGGAGGAGTGCCCCGTAATTTTTTTAACTTTTATTTGAAATTTTATCATGTATATTTATTATTTTATTTATTCCACACAAATTATACATAAGTACACAGGTGAAAAAAAAGTCAAAGTAAAAAATTTTCCCACGCCTTTCCCATGCTACTTCCTCTGCCAGAGATAACTATAGTTAGCAATTTGTTGTGAATTCTTCTAGAGTTTTTCTTAGATAGTATTGTTACCTAAATAAGACTAAGGCACTTAAGATTCCAGATTATATTTTAATCTATTTGGAATATTCAAAGAAACAGAAGTCTGAGAGAAAAATATAATGGACTGCAATTTAAATCTTCTTTGGGATCAACAGCCAGAGCCTCCGCATTGCCAACTCCAGGGGGTGCTGTGTACATTCAGGTCTCTGTGACTGATGTCCCCTGGCGTTTGCAACACAGCAAACCTGCTAACAAACCAATAGTACAATGAGCAAGGGGTATGAACACACAGAAAAGAAGATGGTTCATAAATATATGAAAAGATGTTCAAATTTGCTTTTGACAAGAGAGTGCAAAATAAAACCACCAAAATATTATTTTTCATCTCTCGGATTGGCAAGGATTAAAATGCTTGTTAACATACCCTTATTCAGTGTTGGTAGAACGACTGCATTTTCAGCAGTTTGGCAATATGTATTCAATTATAAATTTATTTGCAGTTGCTAATTTAAAACACTTCTAAAAATATACCCTACACATACACTTGAGTGTTTGGGAAATGATGTATGTATAAGGCAGGGTTTCTTAACTCTAAGTAAAATTTGTCATTTCCTTTAATTATGAAAGCAAGCAGGAAACCATGATAGTATCAGCCTATGCCTTTGTTACCAATAAAATCACAGATATTTTACATCACATTACAATTGTTGCAGATATTTTGAAACAGCATTTATGCTCACTCATATTTTGAAATTACAAGAATTTGATCCACTGCTAGATCTTATTAAGTTTTAATAAATAAGTACATATATTTCTAAATAAATGTTTATATAAAGAATATTTTGATACCTATATATCAGCATAATTGGTTTCCTTTTAATCCTGAGAATTTTGCATGCACTTGAAAATATTTTATTAAGAAGAAATTAATAGGCTTCACCAGACTGCCAAAGGGGTTCATGACACAAAATAAATTAAAAATTTACAGCATCGTGTATATAATAGCAAATGATCAAAGCAACCAAAAGTGGAAACTGACCAAAAACCATTTGTACCTTGCTATAGTGAATACTCTGCAGCTGAAAAAAAAAAGGAATGAAGAATCTGCCTAATAAAATGAAACAATATCCAAGATATTTTACAGAGAGTAAAGCAGGATACAAAATAATTTATGTAGCAAGCTGCTACTTGTTTAAAAAAAATGAAAGAGAGAGTGAATATATACAAATGTCTGTTTGCTTGTATGTGCATAAAATAGCTCTGGAGGACACACAGTAAACTGATAATATTGGTGGCTTCTGGGGATGAGAACTGGGTGGTTTGGGGCTGGAGTGTTATGGAGACTTTTTCCTGATAAAACCTACAGGACCTTTAAAAATTTTGAACCTTGCAAAAGTATAATCTATTCAAAAATTAAATTTAAAAAAGGGAACACTTAAGAACTCCTTACTGGAGTCTGTACAGGAGATTCATACATAGCCCCAAGGCAACACCTGGTCGAGTCCTGTCTCTCCTCCTCTGTGGAGCCTCAGCCTGCTCTGCAGCAAGCCTTGTAGCTTCTATGCCCTCAATCTCCTATTCTGAACCCCCAATCATAACTTTCTCTCTAAGGCTTCTTTGGCTCTTGCCTTTTCCAACACCTTTAGCATTTTCTCATTAGCCTAGTCTAATGCAGAACAAGCGCACTCCAGCCCTGTCTCTCTATTTTTGCTGCACACAAATTGTTACAAGTCAACTAGGCATTGGTGGAACTGTTCTTAATGGGCAATGAAGTATGTGAATATTCACAAGTTTTTTGTTTCAAATATTTTTTATGTTTTCATAATATAATTATTTTAAAATAAAATCCTATTCATAGAATGAGGGTAAATTTTTAGTTTGTTGGTCACAAGTGGGGCCTAATCACTACTAGTTGTAAGAGGTCATAAATATTATGGGATTAGATCACTGAAATATTTCATCTTCCCAAAACTCCTCTGATAAATTTTCCACTCTTTCAAAAATGAAGCCAAGTTTCAGCACAGTACAGTGATGACCACCCTTGTCCAATACATCTTTGGCAATATAGGGTAAATTTATACTATAAAAGTAAAATATTTTGAAGAAAACGTTAATGCCAAGCCCTGAGTGATGATACTAGCATGAGTAATGATTGCCAAAATTATGCAAGTTTCAAAACAAATTTAAGCAGGGTTTATAAATATTTGTTTAGAGCCTTATAACAAATGCTGACTCTTCTTGAGATTTGTGTCAGCAGAAGGAAGCCTGCTATATTTTTGGAAAATATTTTGTTTAAAAGGTTCTTTGTATGATCAACAAAACTATAGCAAGGTCTTTCCAAAAGAATCTGCATGAACAAATAATTTAAAATTAAAATATAACCTTATTATTTTTACGGCGGACTCTGGGAAAATATCTGAGTTCTCAACAGAAACTGCCAGTTTGTTGTTGAGTGAGAGATGTGTTTTCTTTGGAGTCATGAACAGGATGAAGAAAACTGGGACAACTGCCAAGACTGGGCTTTGGGTATCTCCATGCTGCAGAACAGAACAGGGCAGCCAGTGGATGTGGTGGGGGTGGGATTTAGAGAGGAGAGGGATAAAATTTCCTGTGGCTTCTGAAGAGCTGAATAACAAGGTCAGTTATTAAGAAAGGAATAACTGGTATTTCCAGCTTCTTTTCTCATCCATGACACCTAGTACAAAAGTTTTCCCAGATTGCGTTCACAAAGGAGGGGCATGGAGGTTAAGTCTTCGGAGTTGAAGACACAGAAGCTACCCAATTTAAGGAAACATTTGATTTTCCTCAGGCTAGGAGTGGGGAGTGTGCACAGGAATCAGGCAGGTTTCTGGAAGGGCCTTGGCTTCTTCATACACGTGTGCTAGCCAGGAATTATTTTGGGATGTGCTTTAGAAGCTCAACACTTAACGCCAAGCTCACAGGAGACATTGAGATCCTGAAGGTCTCTGTGAACCTGTGTGTGGTCAAGGAGTGGACCACCCTGAGGTGCATCTCTGGTCTGGCTGGAACATATGGCCTGTCCAATGCTTTCAAACACTGGTGAGCCACCGAAGACTCTGACAAGGAACCTGCAAGCTTCTGTCACTCCAAACACTAGGAGATTTTTGGATGAACACCAAAGCCGCCAAATATTACTGAGATTGAATTTTCTACCGTCACATGAGTGAAAGTACAGAACTAATTTTTCTGTCACATTTACACACCAGAAAGTGGCACAGTGACATTCGTACCTGCTATATTGGAAGTATTTCTATGCAGTCAAGTTTAAAGTTCACCTTCCCTGGGCTACTACTGCTCCCATGCAAACACACATGCACGCACACACTTCTGTCAACATCTTAGAAGTAAGATCGGCTGGGGCTGGCTAACCTCCCTACCCTTCTTTACATACCCTTCAGTCTTCATGTTGCCTGTCTCATTTGTCTCCTTTTACTTGTTGGCCTCGTTCATTTTTCATTCAATTAATTCTGCAGAAAATCTAAAGAACCTAATATTTGCCTGTAACTCAAGGGCATAATTTCGGTCTCAAAATGGTCACGGTCTAGAGTTTGATGTTGAGTCGAGGGTAGAAGGGTATGGTGGGAGGACATGAGAGCAGTGCCTGCCCATGGAAGGAGGACAGGGGATTTTAGCAGTACAGAGGAGTAGGTAACCCAATCTGGAACAAGAGTAGGGGTCAGGTGAAAATTTTACAAGAAACTGATGACTTAGTATTAGCAGATCTTAAGTTGCAGAGAGTAAATAGGGACAAGAAGAGCATTCTAGGGAGATAGATTAGTCAGGAAAATTCATGGGGACATGAAAAATATGGTCTGCTTCCTGAACCTCAGAGTTTAGCATTGTAAAAATATAAGCTCCAGGGGGAGCAACCAAACACTCTTTCTCCCCATTCTTGTGCGGTTTCTAAACATGCTCTGCAAACTGCCCTTAATAGTCATCTAACTTATTTTTCCACCTCTCAAGAGTCTGCCCAGTGTGGATCCATGTAAGAAGCAGCAGCAAACCAAGCAAAATGATTTCTAGCAGCAAAATGAAAGACTCAACTAGACTGTTGGGAGAGTTTTATCAGACAATTCCTGAGCTTCTCCTGCTATATAGGATTAATCAATATATATTAATCAAATGCCTGGACCCTTTCATTTCTGTACCTAGATTAAGATTTGTAATATAATCGTTTTTTGAGAACAAGCATATATTAACAGATGTTACTGCAAGAAATATATTATCTCATGTGAACAGATTGAATGTATAATGTAGTGCTTGTCAGTTGAAAATAAAATTATGAAATTATTTCATGCATAATTTGATTACCTAGGCTGACAGGACACAGAGAGTTAGGTCAGGGCATGGATTTTCACATAAACACAAATGTTGTTTTCAGACTCAATGCAGAAGGTCTTCTTCAAGGTAAGATCTTATCGTTGGCTAATTCCTCCACATAGATATTCCTTCCCTTTCCACTTTATTCTGTCTTAAACTGTCATTCCTTTCAGGAAATGTCCCATGAACCAAACTCATTTTGTTTTCAGCACAACGCTAATTTTGCCAAGAATAAAAAGGGACATCATTTCTATGAATGTTTATTGCACATGTGCTATCTGTCAAGAATTCATTCAATCAAGTAAATAAATGGAAGAGATGATGAAATTAAGGAATTGTTGCCCTAACATCTCTCTTCCTTAAAAAAAAAAAAGTTTTGAAAATTTTGTTCCTAGGGAATAATTTAAGATTTTCAGTGAATGTCTTTTTAGAGCAAGTTTTTAAAACTTTTATTTGCACTGTGGACCCATGTGGTAGCAGAGTGACACCTGTACCCCTCTCAGAGTAATGTTTTTAAAGGCATAAAATAGAATACATAAGATTCTATTTGAAATAGACAATTGAAATAGAAAAATAATTATATGGAAATACAATTATCAAAATGACTCTTAAAACTTCATTATAAAATAACATATGTGTGTTTCTTAACATATTAAATAATAAGATCCAGCTACCGTATTTTGAAGTTGTGATGAGTGCAAAGGATAGTTTCAAGGTACAGTTGTGCATTGCTTGATGGTGAAGCACCATCCTGAGTACATCAGGGTACATCCTGAGAAATGTGTCATTAGGCAATTTTGTCACTGTGCAAATATCCACAAAGTGTACTTACACAAACCTATGATGATATAGCCTACTACACAACTGGATGTATAGTTTAGACTATTGTTCCTAGGCTGCAGCAAGTTACTGTACTGAATACTGTAAGAAATTGTCACACAACAGAAGGCATTTGTGTATCCAGACATAGAAAATGTACAGTAAACATATATAATCTTATGGGACCACTGTTGCATAAGCAGTCTGTAGTTAACTGGAATTTTTATGCAGTGCATTACTATATTTAAAATTATGTGATAGGAAAATATATTGTATTTATATTGGTGACATACTTATAGGAAGAGCTAATAATTGCCATGGTTTGGAGTCTAAATTCATAACTGAGAGAAATGCTAGAAGTTCAAGAAATCAAAAACAGGAATTTTTTTCTTCATCCAGGCCCATGGACTGCCTGAATTCTATCCCTGGACCCAAAGAACCCTTGTTTTCAGGGGCCCAAGATCAACATATTGACTCAATTTCTGCCATTAATATAGAGATGACCCTAATGCGATCAATTTCTTAACAAGAAGGCAAGGAGCTTCTTAATCCTTGATTATAAGATATGAGAAGGAAGAGGAGGTTTACTATTGTGTTGTCCCTCTAAGATGCTTCACTGCAAACTCATTCTGCACTCTCTCCTACCATAATCCATTCTAACTATTTCAGAATTTACTTTTTAAAAAGTTTTAACCCAGAGGCAGCCCAGAAGAATGAAACAACCATGAGCTTGACAGAGGCCTCTTAAGCCCCAGCTTCATCTCCTGCGTGACCTTGGTATGTCCCTTAACCTTGATTGTCAGTTTATTCACCATAAAACAGGTGCAATTATGCCTACGTAGCAGTGTCATAGTGATGTTTAAACATGATGACAATTATGAAAATGATTTGTAAGCTACGAAGAGCTGTGCAGTCTTTTCTATGTCTTTTTCTCACTATAGTACAGGACTATGGGATAAGAGAAAGGCAAAGCTAATGACAGTACATTAAGGAACAAGAGCCCAGGTTTGATTGGTACAGAGCATGAGAAAAGCAGAGAATATTCCCTACACACTGGAGGATCTCAGAGCTTTTTTCCCTGCTACTTCATGGCTGTATAAAAGCATTCTGCCCCACCAGCCCTCACAAGAACAACAAAAGTCCACGTTTGCTTTAGCCACCCAAGTGTTCATCCTTCCATCCACCCACAGTCATGAGAGGATCTTAGAAATGGCTTTGCAGGTGCCAACCAATTGGAATTACATGGGCAAATGATCCAAATAGACATATTAATATCTCCAAAGACAGACAAATGACCACAAATATATATATGAAAAAATTCTCAACATCATTAATCATCAGAGAGATGCAAATCAAAACCACAATGAAATATCACCTCACCCCTGTTAGAACGGCTATTGTGAAAACAACAAAAAATAACAAATGCTGACAAGGATGCAGAAAAGGGGGAACCCTTATACACTGTTGGTGGGAGTGTGAATTAGTAAACCCATTGTGGAAAATAGTGTGGAGGTTTCTCAAAAAACTAAAAATAGAACTACCATATGATCCAGCAATTCTACTGGATCTACCTAATTCTATTAGGTAGTTATCCAAAGGAAAGAAGTCAGTATATCAAAGGGATATCTGCATTCCCATGTTTATAGCAGTACTATTCCCAATAGCCAATGTATGGAATCAACCAAAATGTCCATCAACAGAAGAATAGAAAGAAAATGTGAGATACACAATGGAATACTACTTGGCCATAAAAAAGAATAAAATTCTGTCATTCATGGCAATATGGATGAGCCAGGAAGACATTATGTTAAGCAAAATAACCCAGGCACAGAAAGATAAGTACTGCATGTTCTTACTCATGTGTGGGGGCTAAAAAAATTCTGTGCTAATAGAAGTAGAGAGTAGAATTTTGACTATTACAGGCTGGGAACGGTAGGGGGCTGGGGAGGTTGGGGAGAGGTTGGTTAACAGATACAAAATTACAGCTAGATAGAAGGAAGGAATTCTGGTGCTCTACAGCACTGCAAGGGGAATATGGTTAAAGATAATTTATTGCATATTTTTAAAAAGCTAAAAGAGAGGATTTTGAATGTTCACAATACAAAGAAATGATACATATTTGAGATGATGGATGTGCTGATTACTCTCATATGATCATTATCCATTGTATACATGGGTATTGAAATATGACTGTATCCCATAATATATACAATTATTACATGTCAACTAAAAATAAAAAGAAAAGTAAAAAATAAAAATTCAATCATGTATACATAGCACTCAAGGGCATATTTGCTTAATCCTTAGAATGACATTTTGTTCAGTGCAAAAGAGTGATGCAAGAAGTTAAAAGCAATGTGCTGGGTATACTCCTTACTAATAATACTAACAATACTTCTATTTATATAAACTTCTGTGGTCTTCAAAGCCCTTCTAAATGTATAACCAAAATGTTGAGAAAAGGCTATATGGTTGTTACATTTACTGACCAGAATTGAGCTATTTTGTTTGATGCTCAAAACAATGTTTGATATAGGTAGAGAAGGTGTTTTATTACTTCATCGTTATTATTATTATTTTACAACTGGAAAAACTAAGAGAGTTCAGATGACTTGCCCAGAATCCAGAAAAAGTAGCAAGACTGGAAGTAAACCTATGTTTCCAATCCTAGTACCTTTTCTCTCCTAATATATCATACAGTTTCTAAGATAATTATGAAAGGTGATTGACTTGAAATCACTTGTTTACCTTTGAAGAGAGATTTTCTTTCCAGATCTCCAGTTGCCTGTCACTACCCTCTGTCAAGACCCTTGGAGTCATGACTAACAGGAAGGGAGCAGGTGGCAGCGTGGCCACCTGCCATGCAGAAAGACTGGGTCACTTCCTGTTGGTAAAGGGTTTCCTGGTTCAGGTTTGTTAGGCATTCTAAAATGGAGAGAAAAACAAATGCACCTCTAAAGTACATGGAAAAATAAACACCAAAGTCAATGTTTTTGTGTTCCAAATGAAAATGTCACTCTAAAGAGAATCAGCTGTTATTTTTAGAAAGAAAGAATAAAATTTCAGCTCTGTATACCAAAACTATAGCCTCATCCATTAGGGACACTGATGTAGAAGCAAGTAGAAACTATCCAAAGTCTGCAGTTCCTACCTGACTAGGTAATGCTTAAATAAATAATCAGTTCTCATCATGCAACTCAATGTTTAGCTGAGTCCAAACATACTGCTGCCAACATTTTAAAGTCAACAACGATATCTAAAATAAACATAGGCTGACTAACACACACTGGTACTTTAATGAAAATATATTGTGAAATAGCTCCTTGCCAATAGAAGTTCTTGCGCTCCTTCTTTGGATAACTGTGGACTATTCAACAGAATGTTAAGCCACCTATATTTTTTAAATTAATTAATTCAACAACCTCCCCCCTTTTTCGAGCACTTACTCTTAAGAATTTGAAGGATCTGAGATTTTAGCTTATTTTATCCTATTTTGAAGCTATTTGTTAGCTTGCCAGTTTCAAAGGAACTGGTAGAAGTCATGAGATTCTTGGGTCAGAGACAAGTGACTTTGTTACAGCAGTAGCAGTAGCCAGTTTCAGCATTTGAGAGGAACTCTGAGCTTAGGGAAATCAGGCCTTTTACACCGAACAGGAAGCATGCCTACTCATTACTCTTGAGACACTTTTTCACTCTTCCAAGGTGGTTTGCTACACAAACACCCTTGAAAAATAGTCCAGAACAAAGTCAGTCAATCCCTTTACTCATGAGACATGTAGAAATGTGAGAAATCCAAGGAGAATTGTCTCCAGACACTTACTCTCTACCAGACATTGTAATAGATGCTAAACATACGAAGATAGAAAGAAAGAACATGCTACCTAATTCTTGATAAATATAATAGTGCTAATAAATTCAACTGACATTAAACTCTCAAGTTCTGTCCATAGAAAATGTAGGAAGTTCAGTTTGTTTAGTAACCCTCTTTAAATTCTTCTAATCAAGAAAATTGGTGAAGTATTCACAAGGCAGAAAGCCTGCCTTTTCATCACCAGCTTGTTTGCCAGTGAAGTGTTGAAGTACTATGTGTTGGCAAAATGGAACTAACGCATTACAATTACATTAGAGTGCAATATCTCCGCACTTTCCAAAGTTTTCAGTCTGTGGCATAATGATCAAGATGACATAAAGGCAAAGGTCACTGGCAGGGGAAGTAGATAAGAAAAAAGTGAAAGCCTATAGAAAAATATTATCAAGGAAACCTTTCTTAATTGTACTGATAGGACTTTGCTATAAAAGAAATTAGAATTAAGCCACACCAAAATTCAGAGCAAAACACCCGACTCTAGCAAATGCATGAGTTACAAATGCCTTTAGAATACAATTTAGAGGTGCGTTTTTCTTTTTTTCCTAAAACAAAACAAAAGGGATACATGTGTAGAATGTGCAGGTTTGTTACCTAGGTATACGTGTGCCATGGTGGTTTGCTGCACCTATTGATCCGTCCTGTAAGTTCCCTCCCTTCACCCCCCACCCTCCACCCCCCACCGCCCAACACGCCCTAGTGTGTGATGTTCTTCTCTCTGTGTCCATGTGTTCTCATTGTTCAACTCCCACTTATGAGTGAGAACATGCAGTGTTTGGTTAGAGGTGAGTTTTTCTATGGGGACTTGAGCATTATTACCAGAATGAATTTAAAAACAAAATTTTAAAATTCCACCGAAAATATATAGTCTGAGCCTCTGAAAAAGACATAGACATGTTACCTAAATCATTTCAACTTCAGTTAATGCTTTATAATGCCATTTCTCCCATTATTCTGATCCAGCTCCCTTTAGGCTCACTCGGTTTTTAACAAGGAACTTTTCAAAAGTAAATTGACTTCCTAGGCAGACTTTTCCACAAGTGAGAGAAACTTCTGACCTGACAATATGGATATTTCAGACTCTTTAATAGCACTCTTTTTTTTTTTCCATTCCAAATTAGTTAATTGGAGGTTTGATTTTTCAATAAGGCTCTTGTGAATTTAGTCAGCGTAAGCCACTTCCATCAGAGTCTTTCTCCTGGGTAACATGAAAATAACTACTGGATATTTTGAAGATGCAAACAAACTGTTGAGAAATACTTTGTTCCTAAGTGGACTCACGCTGAGGCTCCACTGACAAGTGCAAGTCCTCTGGAGACTGAATGGCTTACCTGATGGCTGTTCTCCCTTTGATTTTTTTCAATGTAATAATAATTTTGTCTTTTTCCTTTGATTTTTCCATGAAAGTTAAAATTTAAGAACATGTTGAAGATCTATCTCTAGTATAGTACACAAAACACCATTTCCTACATCTGAGCTAATATTACTCTCTTGGGCTACCTACAAAACTGGCAATTTCTATGTAGGGTAGCATACAGTCATGTCTGTAATTCTTTGATCTGTCACAGGTACAGGAGTTCCTCTAAGATTATAGATGTATATTTATAAAACTGGTAACATATACTACACTTGATTTCAGCCAAAATGCTGAGAAATGATTTTATATATATGTATATATGTATGTATATGTATGTACACACACAAATACATATATGCATATATAGGATTGCCAGCATATATATAAATATAGTATTTTGAGACATAGTGAAATAATATTGGATAACAAAGACCTAAGTGGAAATACAATGTATGTTTAGATTATTTAAAATAATTTAATAATAGTAAATAATTATCCCCAAATTAATTTATCATCCTGAACTATTTGAATCATTTAGCACTTAGGAAATTTTTTAATTTCCCAGTGTTTCGGGAACTTTTCCCAAGAGTATTGATTCCAGTGTACTTTGATTGTGAGGAAATGCTGTGAAACAAGTCTTGTTATCTCCATATTCAGAGGCATCCAATGTTGTGATTGTTCTTAGAAAGATTATAAAAGTCATAAAACTTACCACAGTGAAGAGAATTAATAAAATACTTTTATAATATCTATTGTCTGTGTCTGAAAGAGTTAATGCTAAGGGTAATGTGGCTGTTAGGTGGGGTTCTGAGGAAATAGCGGGAGAGGCCCTGGTGAGGCGTCTCCATGAGAACCTACCCCACAAACCCATTCACTTACCCATAGCAAGAGATTTCCAGAGCAAAACCTCCTTGGATGTGTAAGGAGGAAGGAAGGAAAAATCAAACCAGTGGAGCCAAATTTGCTTCTCTATGATTTCTTTTTGGGTCACCATCAGTCAGAGGTGTGTGCCTTTTCCCAGCTGTCAATAACCTGAGTCATAAGAGAAGGAAGATAGCAGATCACCCAGAGGAGGTGATGAACCATAGCCAATCAATTTTTGCAGGAAATGGTGTGGGCATTTGAAGAGAGATTAAACATGCGCACAGGAGCCAGGGGGAGGTCTGGTGTCTACCCCCTGAATGGAGTTTCCAAAAGTTGTACATTTTACAAACAAATGTGGTGCATCTTATAAGGCTTAATGTTTTTAGGAAACGACTTTGATATGACAATTGTGAAGGCTATGATGAAAAGACAAAACAGAAAACCGTGTAAAAGTAGGAGCCTGACATTACAAAGAATGACACCTTTGTGTGTTGCTCCCCCAACAGCCAGCACCAGGCCTTGCTTTCCAGCTAGCGCTACTGCAGGTTTATACTCTCTGAAGTTAGACGCTGGTTATTCCCCAGAGCAAAGCAAGGGATATAAACAAAAAAGAAAAAAGAAAAGAAAAAGGAAGAAAAGAAAAGCACCCATCCACCTGAGTTAGAATCTTAGCTGCCATTCTCTAACTTGACTCGGTTACTTGGCTGACTCTGTTTCCTCACCTGCAGGATGGAGTTTTTTAAAACACCTACCTCCCAGAGCACTATAAAAATTTAATAAAATAAAGTTTGTGTCTCAGCTTGGGTTCCCAGAAGAGACCTGAAACTAGGACTTGAGTGCAAGTAGTTTATTTGGAAGGTTAAGGGAACACTCAAAGAGGAGTGGGAGCTCAGATAAAGGAAAGGAAGGAGCTCTTCAAAGGAGCATTAGCCGAGCCTGGGCAACATAGTGTAAACTTGTCTCTACGAAAAAAGATAATAAAAAAATTAGCTGGGTGTTGTGGTACATGCCTGTAGTCCCAGCTTCTCGGGAGGCCAAGGTGGGAGGCTGACTGTAGCCCGTAAGATAGAGGCTGCAGTGAGCTGTGATCGTGCCACTGCACTCCAGCCTGGGCAACAGAGCAAGCCCCAGTCTCAAAAAATTACACAAAAAAACTATTAGCAAGCCACCTTTCCCTGTGTGTTACTGGAGCTTAGAATATCACTAATAATTCTTTGAAAGAAGGAAAAAAGTCAGAAAATATATATGCATATATACAAATACACATGTATATTTGTTCATGCAAAAAATATATTTAAACACAAAAATGTGTTAGAGAGGTTGCCTCTGAGGAAGAAAATTGGAGGACAGGGAAACATGAGTAAGAGGCATACTTAAATTTGCTCATATCACCTCCCGTACATCAAATTTTCCGTGCTTATGTATACTTTTAAATTAAGAAAATTGACAAAGTTTGCTAATACTGATTTTTCCCTAGCCCACTCCCTTTTCTTCATTAATCTTCAGGTTCATTACCTGACAAACTCAGTGTTATAGAATAACTTCTAAAAGTTTTAAATGTGAAGCTGGGCTGAGTGGCTTGCATCCCGTAATCCCAGTCACTCGGAAGGCTGAGGCAGACTTGCTTGAAGCTAGGAGTTTGAGACCAACCTGGGCAACATAGTAAGACCCGTCTCTATTTGAAGAAAAAAAAAGGAAAGGAAGAAAGAAAGAGAGAGAGAGAAAGAAAGAAAGAAAAAAAGAAAGAAAGAAAGAAAAAAGAAAGAGAAAGGAAGGAAGGAAGAAAGAAAGAAAAAAGAAAGAAAGAAAGAGAAAAGAAGGAAGAAAGGAAGAAAGAAAGAAGGAAAGAAAGGAAGAAAGAAAGAAAAAAGAAAGAGAAAAGAAGGAAGGAAGAAAGAAGGAAAGAAAGAAAGAAGGAAAGAGAGAGGAGAGAGAGAGGGAGGGAGGGAGGAAGGAAGGAAGGAAGGAAAGTTCTATATGGGAAACAACCCAAATGTCCATCAATGGATGTATGAATAAACAAGTCATGATCTATATGAGGGAATATTATTCGGCCATAAAAAGAAATGGAGTACTGACACACAGTACAATGTGGATGAACCTCAAAAATATGCTAAGTAGAAGACATCAGACACAAAATTCACATATCTTATGATTCCATTTATAAAAAATATCCAGAAGAGGTATCCACGGAGATCAAAAGCAGATTTGTGGTTCCTAGGGACAGCGGTTAGGGGAGAATGAGGAATAACTGCTTAATAGATATAAAGTTTCATTTGGGGATGATGAAAATGTTTTAGACTTACAGGTGGTGGTTGCAAAATACTGTGAATGTACTAAATGCCAGTAAATTGTTCACTTTAAATGGTTAATTTTATGTTACGTTAATTTCACCTCAATGAAAAAAATTAAAAAGTCTTATAATCATAAAAGGAATAAATCGATGCCCACTTTAGGTTTAAAGAACAGAGGTTTAAAAAGGAAGAAAAGAGACAGGAAAGAAGGAAGAAAGGGAAGAAGGGAGGGAGACACAAAGAAAAGGAGAAAGGACCACTCCTATATCCACCATTCAGGGAAATTCATCATTAATATTTTGAGTTAATATTTTGGTATATTGGTATTACCTTGCAGTCTGATAATAATAGTCAAATATATTCCAGTCGCACAATGCTTGGTATTACATAACCTTCCAGTCCTTTTTTCTCTACACAAATAAACTTTTTTTAAAGAAAATAAAACATGATATTATGTTGTCTATATGTTTACATCTCCTGCTTTGTTCATTTAATATAGCACAGGTTTTCACATCATTAGTCTTCCACATGATGTTTAATGCTGTATTGTACTCCAGAGCATAACATACTGTAATCTATTCAACTAATCCTTTAAGGTTAGATGTTTAGGCATGCAGAGTTATTGTTGAGAGATGAAAACATAAAGACTATAGTTATGAGACTGGTTTTTGTGTGTGACTTGAGGTACTAGTTTTTTCCCTGATAGTGTCACCTCATTCATGTAAAGTCAGCACAGCTCTCTCTACTTTCTCACAACTGAGGCACCCCCCACTTAGCCAAAATCATATGTAGAGTGTTTTATTTATAAAGAAGCCTTTCGTTAATACTGGGAAACTGAAAAAAACCCAGTACATTAAAAATATTTCACAAATCATTCACTCATGATTATGACACTAATTGGAAACTGTGGAATTATCTTTTAAATGTCAAGATACAAGGAGGTGCTCATTTTATTTTATAGAAAGTATCACAGGGTTTGAGCAAACTTGCCCAGGAACCAGAACATTTGCAGAGCAGAAATGCAGAGAGAAAATGGAGCATGTTTATCAAATAATGTAAATAAAGTTATCAGTGGTTTGATAGCTTCTGAAAACAACAGACTCTTGCATTTAACAAAGTCATTTCAACCATCTGTTCAAAAACCACGATTCCATACAAGGTCAGGCTTCTAAAGGTACAAAGCTGAAAGGAATTTTACAGGCTTAAATTCTCAGTTTCCCACAATGTCTGTACCCTAGGGGCTTGGAGGGATGCTGCTGTCTACTGCACCGTCTCAGAAAGTGGGACTTGAGCAGCTCAGACCCTGCCCTGTGGTTTGAAGACTTGAAGGCTCTGAGAAGTGCTTCCATAGCAGAGTAGTGACCTTTGGAGCTAACTGGCTAAATACGTGATTAAAATCATTATGAAAATAATACTTATTTTTAGAAAACTTGATGTTACAATCAACATTGTTATGTATATTAAATTTGACCCAACTGTTTGAAAATCTTTTGATATATGTCTTATACCTTAAACATAATGTTAATATATGCTATTCATTCATGCAATAAATATTTATTTGGTGCTTGTTGCCAGACACCCTTCCCAAGAAAAGAGCAGAAAAAGCCCTTCTGTCATGAATCTTACATTCTCATGTTAGGGGCTGTCCATAAAATAAATAAGCCAACAAATTAATAAAATAATTGCAATGACTATCAATAAGTGCTATGAAGAAAATAAACATGGGCTGAGTTGAGAAAAATGAAGCGAGATGTTCTTTAGGTAGGCAGCCAGGGAGGAACTCTTAAAGGAGATGAAGTTTAACCTGAGATGTATCTCCATGAAGAGAGAGATCTAAGCTTGGGAGCGTGGGAGGAGGGACATTCCAAGTAGAGGGAACAGCCTCCCAGGCCTCTGACGATAGATCAGACCTGGCATATCTGAAGAACTGAAAGAAGACAAGCATGGCAGAGTGTGGTGATGGAGGAGTGGGACAAGATGAGGCTGAAGAGATGGTTAGGACCCTGTTAAACAAGGCCTTGTAGGCTGAATAGGAACCCGGTTTTTTTTCAGAATGCTAAGTCCATCATCACGTTTGTAACGATGCTTTCCTAAAGGTCCTACTCAAGAAGTTAAACAAACTCAAAGTCAATGAATTGTTCTATTTTAAGAATAAAGACGTAAGAGTTCTTTTAATGAGAACTCAGGAGACTTACAGCATCATGCAGCTAAATTCAACCAGTCAAAGTGGGTTGGGGCTAGGGTGATCATATATCCCAGTTTGCTCAGAAGAGTCCCAGTTCACACCTGTGTTTCCAGCATCCTCTTGGTGTGTACCATTTGTCCCAAATACTTCACTTTTTAATGGAGTGTGCTTGTTAGTAGTTGCATTAAAACAAGCCAGAATGGATTGGGCAGACAGCTACTTTATACTTCCAGCTTCTCTCCTTTCATGGTGTTATGGAATAGTGTGTGAGATGTATATATAATGTTGACTTTTCACTTTAACATATGGTAAAATCTGACAGACGCTAACAATAACCCATTTCTCTTTTTTCAGCTCTTTCCAGCAGCAATGTAGCTAATATTTTCTTTTCAGGAGAACCATACAGGACTGTTGCTGATAAAATGAAGTTGGCAGTCATTCCTTGGAGATATCGCAGGTTCAGTTCCAGACCACCACAATAAATTGAATATTGTGATAAGCAAGTCACATAAATTTTCTGGCTTCCTAGTGTATGTAAAAGTTATGTTACATGCCAGGCATGGTGGCATGCACCAGCTACTTGGGAGGCTAAATTGGGGGTATCACTTGAGCCCAGGAGTTTGAGACCAGCCTTGGCAACATAGTGAGACCCTGTCTCTACAAAAAATTTAAAAAATTATTTGCCAGGCATGGTGATGCATTCCGGTAGTCTCAGCTATAGGCTGAGATGGGAGGATTTCTGGGCCCAGGAGGTCAAGGCTACAGTGAGCCATGATCATGCCACTGCACTCCAGCCTGGATGACATAATGAGACCCTGTCTCCAATAATAAAATACCAGTCATCTGAGCCTTCATCGAGTCATAATCCTTTTGCTGGGGGAGGGTCTTCCTACCTGTAAGAAGCAAATCCTCATCTGTTCAAGTTTGATCATGAGATTGAGCCACTTAGTCTCATCTTCAGGCTCTACTTCTAGTTCTAGTTTTCTTGCTATTTCCACCACCTCTGCAGTTACTTCCTGCCTGAAGTCTTGAACCCCTTAAATTCATCCACGAAGGTTGGAATTAACTTCTTCCAAACTCCTGTTAATGTTGATATTTCTACATCCTCCCATGGATCACAAATTTTCTTGATGACATCTAGAATAATGAATTTTTCCCAGAAGGTTTTCAATTTACTTTGCCCAGATCCATCAGGGGAATCACTATATATGACAGTTTATGAAATGTGTTTTTGTATAATAAGACTTGAAAGCCAAAAAATTATTACTTGATCCATATGCTGCAGAATAAATGCTAGACTTTCAGAGGGCAAATGAGAATTGGCTTCATCTTAAAGTCACCAGTTGCATTAGCCCCTAACAAGGGAGTCAGCCTGTCCTTTGAAGCTTTAAAGCCAGGCATAGACTTCTCTTCCTCTCTAGCTACAAAAGCCTTAGAAGATATCTTCTTCCAATGGAAGAAGATCTGTTTTACTTACATTGAAAATCTGTTGTTCATTGTAGCCACCATCATCAATGATCATAGCTAGATCTTCTGGCTAACTGACTGCAGCTTCTACATCAGCACTTGCTGCTTCACCCTGTACTTTTATGTTATGGAGATACAACTTCTTTCCTTAAACCTCATGAATCAACCTCTGCTAGCTTCAAACTTTTCTCATGGAGCTTCATCACGTCTTTCTGCTTTCATAGAATTGAAGAGAGCTGGGGCCTTTCTCTTGATTAAGCTTCGGCTTAAGGGAATGTTGTGGCTGGTTTGATCTTCTATCCATACCACTCCAACTTTCTCCATATCAACGAGAAGGGTGTTTCACTTTCTTATCATTCATGTGTTCCCTGGAAGTAATTTTCTTCAAGAACTTTTCCTTTGCGTTCACAATGTGGCTAAGTTTTTGGCTCAAGAGGCCTAGCTTCTGGCCTGTCTTGGCTTTCCATATGCCTTCGTCACTAAGCTTAATAATTTCTAGCTTTTGCTTTAAAGTGCGATGTGAGACTCTTCCTTTCACCTGAACACTTAGAAACCATTGTAGGGTTATTAATTGGCCCAATTTCAATATTCTTGTGTCCCAGAAAATAGGGTGGCCCAAGGAGAGGGAGAGAGATGGGGAAAGGCTTGTTGGTGGAGCTGTCAGAACACACATAGCATTTATTGATTAAGTTCAATGTCTTATATGGGCATGGTTTGTGGCACCTCAAAACAATTATAATAGTAACATCAAAGATCACTGACCATAGATCACCATGACAGATATAATAATAAGGAAAAAGTTTGAAATACTAATAATAAGGAAAAAGTTAGAATTACTAAAACGTGGCACAGAGACATGATGTGAGCACATGCTGTTGGAAAAATGGCACCAATAGACCAATGCAGGGTTGCCACAAACCTTCAATTTGTAAAAACCATAACACACAGCTCAATAAAGTAAAGCACAACAAAACAAGGTATGCCTGTACTCAGTCATGAGCAGTTAGGGACAGATAACTCCTGGTCTCAGGTAGTGGTAAAAGAGATATTCTATGCTGCTGGCCCTGCCAGACAGTCTATCAGCTTGTGCCACTCTCTATAAATGCACAAAGTCAGCAAGTCACTAAGTTGGTGGAAAACGTGGGAAATTATGGGTTAGGTACATATAAAGTATGTACAGAAGACAGAAGACAAGAAGTCCTGCCATAGAACTTACTGTGTAGTCTGAATGCTGCAATTGTTTTGCCATTTATTGAATTGAATGGCATAAATCCAAATAAATCCATGACTATTTTGTTGTTCTGCAATGCTTTTTTATTTTACAATAAACCCTTTCAATAGCAGTGACCTCAAGGAAATGAAAACATGAGTTTAGTACAAAATCAAGTACAGAATTGCCATTTCTCAAGAAAGTAAATGATTAAAGTGAAACTTGCACAAAATGTAGACATTTGCCATCCACCGTGGGACCCATTGTGATATCACTGACCACTTGAAAACAAGGAAATACAAATCTGCTGAAAAATCATCAGGGTCTACTTCGAAAGTTAATGGTAAATTTAAGAAGACGCATGTTGAATGTGACAACAGTTGAGCAGGTGCAGCTTCAGAAGGTGCATTTATACAACCTCTTTTAAAGCATAACTTTTCATTTAGGTTAAATGATCGTTTATCTATTTTAATTTTGTTCTTTTAAAATCCCGTTTCCTCATGTACATACACTTGTAAAGTGTTAGTGAAAAATGATAGCGGATAATTAGCATAAGAAGAACTTGCCAAAATGGCCTCAATTTTGTATCAATGTCATCTGGTGATTCAAGTAAAAATCTAGTTAACTCTGATGACAGTTGAAGGCTCTCATCCAATTCAGGGAATCAAAGTAAAACTTTTAGGATTTTCTTTTGTTGAAAGTGAAACATCTGAGATTATTGCGAATGCTATTGTAAATTCTGTTACAGAGTACAGCATTGAGGATTAAATGATTTGTTTTTGCATCCATAATATGCTTACAAATTCTGGCGATGTACACCATTGTGGAAAAAATAATGCTCTTACTAAATTAAACTTGTAGAGCAAAAATGTACTTGGAATTGATTGCCATGCACATGACTCATAATTGGGTTAAACAAGCTATGATATTCTACCAATTGACATAGAAGCTGTATTGCCAAAACTCACAAACATTTTTACATATACGCAGATAAAATAACTGAACTACATAGTTTTCATGGTGATACTGATATTGAAGAAAGAAAATACTTGGGTATAGCAACATGTGAACCCACTCTTTGCTGTTCATCATTAATTAGATTTTAGAAACATTTGAGTCCTTGAAAAACAAATTTGTAACACAACATAAGTATCTTATATTGGCATTGACATTTTTTGGTAAATGTGTCCTTTAAATTTTGGTTGCATTTCATTCAAAATCAGCTGGAAATCTTCAATCAAGGTATCAAATGAGTAGAGCACCCCAAAACTTCAGCTTTTAAATTTTGGCAAACTGCAATTATCGAAGGCAAAGCTTATGAACAAGAAGATATTAAAATTAAGCAATACAAAAGCATGGGAGGAACTGAACAAAACAATAAATGACAGTTTAAATGGTTTATAAGATTTAGTTTTAAAGCTTCATGATTGTGCTCTGGGCTATTTTAAGTTATATAAAAAATGTTTGGTAGACCTCTCATTTTTAGTTGCATAAGTTTCTATTCTGTACTAGAATAAAATGAAATGGAAAGGACCTGTATTTTTGCAGTATCTATATTTGTTCAAACACTCAAATAATCATATTATAGAGAACTTTTAAATAATTTTTCCCTTTTTAAAAATGTTTGTCAAAGGTACCAAGCTGATAGTCAAAAGAGGCAAAAATGACAGTATTTATAAAAATATTTGGACTGAAATATTTATATATATTTCAATACAAAAAATAAAATTAGGGTTAAAACTCTTCTGTTTATAATTTTCTCTGTACTTAGCAAGTATTATGTAGACCTTACATTTAATTATTATTACTATTATTATTATTATTATTATTGAGATGGAGTTTCACTCTGTCACCCAGGCTGGAGTGCAATGGCACCATCTCGGCTCACTGCAACCTCTGTCTCCCAAGTTCAAGCAATTCTGCCTCAGCCTCCTGAGTAGCTGGGATTACAGGCACCCCCTACCATACCCAGCTAATTTTTTGTATTTTTAGTAGAGACGGGGTTTCATCATGTTGGCCAGGCTGGTCTTGAACTCCTGACCTCAAGGATCCTCCTGCCTTAGCCTTCCAAAGTGCTGGGATTACAGGCATGAACCACTGCTCCCAGCTGTAAATTTTAAAAATTTGATATATAACTACAGAAAAAAGGTGCTAATGGTTTCAAATTAATTAATTATAAGATACAAATTTGAAGGCTATTTCAGATAATTTTATGAAAAATTAAAAATAAAAAGAACTTATTGAAAAAGAATATATACAGTCTTCAGAAAAAACATACACTGTGATATGGTATTAGAGACAAGGTATATCTAGGAAATACAGTGAAGTATGTTACTGCATACCAAGAATAATTATTCTTATGTGATTAATTTTCAAAGGATCGATATGAGTAAGTCTTTTTACATTTTGCCTTAGTAAATATGAATATGTTATTTTTATTTTTGGAAGCAATTTTATTTATAAAAATAGTTTTTGAATAGAACTATTATATCTTATAAGTTCAATAATAATGAAACTAATTTTTCATTCAACAAATATTTTTAAAACTATATAGTTTTAATTATTTTTCACAATCCCTTTTATTTTTAGAAGTGTCCTGGTCTGTATGATAAATTATATAGTCACCTTTGTTAGGGCAGTGTCACCTTGAAGAAGCGAATCTAAGGCACAGGGCCTGAAATTTCTGGGTGCCCAAGCCAGCTGGGAGCCCCTCTGAAGAAGTTAAGCCTCAGAAGTACAAATGCTCAGCTCCTACCTGTACTGAGGTTGTCTGCATTTAAAACATTTGCTGACTAAAGATTTCCTTGGTGCACAGCTCTATCATGAGAAGAGGTGGATAAATACTCATCTCATGCTCCCTCAGACTTGATTCTCAATCTACAGTTTGTGTAGGTCACACAACCCTGAGCGCCTCATCAATTGAAGAGCAGGTGTTGGACAGGTCTGCCCTTCCTGTGTGGGTGCTTCTGTGGAAGGCAAGGAGAATGGGAGGAAGTAGGCCAATGAAAAACAGGCAAGAGTCCCTTGAAAACCCTGCCTTGAAAACTTGGGCCAAAAAGAAAGAGCATGAGGGCCAAATAGAAGGGAAAAAAAAACCATGGGAACTTGATCTTTGCTGATGGTTTTTGAGTTTAGTTTGAAAGTGATTGAGGAGGGGAAGGGGAAATTCACAGTTTTGCTCAGAAGCCATTTGACTTCAAAGGTCTTGCTACACAAATCACATATGACTCCAATGCTTTCTCAACTACAAAAAGTCAGAAGGTCTTTCACTGAATGGAATGGTATGTCCTGCTCCACCCTGAAATAGCAGAGTTCAAGGGCTCTTAGCACTTTCCATTTCTCATGGTTTCTGGCTCTCAGAAGTGGAAACTCTGGGATAAGATGGGTTATAATTCCTATTAAGGAAAAAAAAACATTTTAGCTAAAGCTAAATCCACAAGAAAATTATATAAATCACATATAATTCCTATTTTAAAGGAAAGGAAAACTAAAATACAGTCTTCACCATGTCATTTCCATAAAATTATTCCAATTTCCCTTAAAAACAACTTCTGAGATACACTTTTTCTAGGCTTTTCATAATATAAACCAATCAACCTCTGCATCTTATGTTTCCTTTACTCTTAGACATGATCTTTCTCTCTTGTCACCTGGCCCTCTCACTGTTTCTCAAATACTCATGCCCTTCTCTCTGTCCCCAACTAGAAACCCCTCCAACAACTTTGCTTCTAGAATCTAAACACTACCCTTTCTTCAAGTATCAACTCCAATCTCTCTTCTGCCATGGAGTCTTCTCAGTCCACTCCAGTTCACCACGATTTTTCATTTTGGAGAATTTACAGCACTTTTTAACAAGTCACTTCACCTTTGGGCATTCTCATTTCCTTATCTGCAAATGGTGACATCATCCACTTCATGCAGTTTGGGAGGACTGAATGAATGACACAAATAGCCCTGTGGTTGGCCATAGTAATTATCAATCACTGTTTGCCATTGCGTTTGGGGATAGAGTGATATTATAATATGGAGGGACAGAGTGAAATTATGGAGAAAATCCTTTGGGTCTGCCAGCATTGGGTTCCAACATCACTTAACCCCCTGAGTTTATAAAATGCAAATAATAATTTTTATCACATAGAGTATGGTGAAGACCAAAGAAGAGAATGTAGATAAAGGTCTTCCTGGCCTTAGCACACTCAGTGTTGTCCCCCTGCCCATTTCCTTAAAGGCAATTGATTCATTTACTCATTTCCTGAACATTTATTGAGAGCTTAGGATACAACTGTGAACAAGACATAAACAGTTTCCCCTTCCATGACATAGCAATGGCAGTGTCCTGATGGGGACTCTCAGGAAGTATATAGGAAAGGCACGTGATCTAAACTTGGGAGGTCAGGAAATCTGGGAGCTGAAGAAGGGTAGGGATTGGTGTGACTGGAAACGGGGGCGATTGTGGTTGTGCATTCTAGGAGAGTCACACTGCACATGCAGAGGCCTACATGTGGAGGGTCCGGACATATGTAAGTTCAACATAGCTGGAACACAATGTGGACAAGATGAGGCAGGAGAGGTCATGTACCCATAGATATGTGTGGTCTTTTAGTGTTTGCAAACATGGTCCACTCTAATCCTCAAAACAACCCAAAGAGGGGGTCAAGGCAGGAATAGTCATCTTCATTTTAAAGATGAGCAAACAAAAGTTCACAAGGATTGAATGACTAGTCCAAGCTCAAAAGCTAATTAAAGGTGAAGTCTTGTGACAGTTCCTAGGCTGCTATCTGGATCATTATTAAACTCTTATTTTCTTGATTTCAAGCTAGGTGACAGGAGTATTAAGACCAATCATGTTTTAAAATTTTATTTTTGCATCCCTCACAGTGCAAGTCACCTAGTAGGTGTTCAGTAAATGTGTGCTGATGTTTGCATGAATTGACTCACTTTCTATAACTTAATGAGAAGAGACACAACAAATCATAACCAGGTACAGCAGATATACAGATTCTAAAATACATGGGTTAAAATTAAGTCCTGTTGGAAACCGTTACAGTGTCTCTGCATTGTAGCTAAATAATAGGTACATAAATGATGCTACATCCATACGCTATTATGCAGCCATGACACTGATGTGGATAGAGCTTTATGATATATTAAAGGGGGGAGAGCAAAGTACAAAATAGTGTATTTTAGTATTTTATGGGTTCATATGTATACCAAATTGGGTGGCAGAAGAAGAATAGACTATATTACTTGTTTATATATAGACCATCTCTTAAAGAAAACTCAACAACTGGTAATAGATATTGCCCTGAGGAGGGGAACTGCATGGCGGAGGGATACTGGTAAGAGAGAATTTTATTGTATACCTTTTTGAGCCATTTTATTGTATTATCCATTTTTAAATTATAACAAATTTTAAATATTTTCTATTGGCAGCTCTGATTTCACTGTTTTCTTGTTTTTTTTTTTTCTTAGAGATTTTGATTTCCTATGAGATCTAAACAGAAACTAGTCTTGTAGGCTAGGTTTTGTTTTGTTTTGTTTTTTGCATAGGGTTTAATTTCAAAGGCGGTGGTTTGCTGGTAAATGTTTAACACCTGGCTCCGTAAGTAGTTTCGCTTTGAATATTGGTTGGTATTTTTGTTTATGTTAATGAATAAGATGAAAGTAAAATGAGGAAGATATCTATCAGAACCTCATTCATCAATGATGTGAGCAATTTCTTTGCTAAATTGTGTAATGGTTTTCAAATACCAAAAAAAATTTATTGGTTTTTGTGCTAGTCACAATGTAATAGAGATTTTAAATTATTACCATTTTCTCTATCATGTTCTTAAGTCTAGTCAATCAACAAAATAATAAATTCCACCTTGAGTTTTGTCTTTTGCCAATTTCCATCATGTAAATAGTCCCACCAAGGCTGATTTTGAGCTACCAATGTTACATCACTGGAAGTAGAATTAAGAAGAAACAAAATAACTTTAAAAGCCTAGGTGTTAGTAAAATGTAGTAAAATAATTAGTAAGCAATGAATTTTTACAATGTTTTCAACTTTGTTTTTAATATCATATATTTAATTGAAAGTGTATATTATTTAATTTGTATAACAACCGTGTTTAGCTTTTAAAAACCTAACAAGCAGCTCTTATGAGCCTGCACAAGTAAGCTCCAACACACTCCTGCTCCTGTGGGAGAGAAGGCCACCTTTGGCTGATAGAACATTCCAGAATATTTTCCTACGGTAGGAGCATATTAGGAATGAATTTAAATAAAAGGGTACCAGCATTTAGCTGACAAAGAAGAACCTTCTGACTTTACCCTGAATAAAGAGAAATACTTAATAATTCATGTTGATCACAAATCAAATCTCAACACCAAGCAGTTGAAAGAGCAAGAGGGCAAGAAAGAAAGAAAGACAAGAGAGAGAGAGAGATGCCTTAGTATTCCTTTCAGCTCAAACATTGTAATAATTTAAGGCTTTATATTCCAAGTACTGTCTTTGTACCTCAGACAAGTTACTTGGCCTCTGAGAGTCTTTTCATTTCTTCATCTGTAAAATGGGGAGATATGATTGTGAGAAAAAAAATGATATTGGTGGTTCATCAGAAACAAACCAATGACCATCAGCAGGTGAATGAATAAACAAATTGTGATTAACCATATGATGGACTACTATCCAGCAACAAAGACGAATGGACTCTGGATACACACCACATGGATAAATATCACACTCCTTTAACTTGAGTGAGTTAAAGAAGCCAGACCCAGGCCAGGCGTGGTGGCTCACACCTGTAATCCCGGCACTTTGGGAGGCCAAGGTGGGTGGATCACGAGGTCAGGAGTTTAAGACCAGCCTTACCAACATGGTGAAACCCCGTCTCTACTAAAAATACAAAAATTAGCTGGGCATGGTGGTGTGTGCCTGTAATCCCAGCTACTTGGGAGGCTGAGGCAGGAGAATGCTTGAACCCGGGAGGTGGAGGTTGCAGTGTGCCAAGATCACGCCACTGCACTCCAGCCTGGGCGACAGGGCAAGACTCCATCCCAAAAAAAAAAAAAAAAAGAAGAAAAGAAGAAGAAGAAGAAGAAGAAGAGGAAGAGGAAGAGGAAGAGGCCAAAAAACTGTACATACTGTGTGAATCATTTCTATAAAATTCTAGAAAATGCAAACAAATGTATGGTAACAGAAAGCAAATATATAGTTGCCTGTGGGGAGGAATGGGAAAGAAGGATGACAAAGGAATACAAGGAGACTTTGGGAGGTAATGAAATGTTTGTTATTTTGATTGTGTTGTTGGTTCCATGTATCAAAATTTATCAAATTGTATTCTTTAAATAGTGCAGGTTATTGTATGTCAGTTATACTTCAATAAGCTATAAAAGGTAGGAGAAACCAAAAAGCAGATTTTTACTCCATAATTTTGAGTTCCTAGTGAATCTTGTCATTTAAGAAGTCACTAAGAGTTATGAATTTGTTTTCTTTGGCAATCCTTTTTCACTATGAAGGGAATGTAAAGTTTTCAAATGGTTTGTGCTCTTATCATGTCCCATGAGACCAATTCACAGGCAAAGGATCATAAGCTATCATGTTTCAGACACTCAAAGACTTACATGAAGGTGTAGTGTGTGTTCATTGTTTCAATTCGTGACTACATGCTATGATCTCTTCTCTTTTCACAGAGATGTCCACCTTTATACAAGTTTAGCAGTTTTGCAAACTGTTATTTGCCAAAATACAGACCTAGTTTCTGGGAGAAGGTAAAAAAAATATATATGACTAGCTTAAATGACAAAACTGGCTGTAGTCAGTGTTTCTATTAAAGGTTCAGTAGAGATAGGTAGATAGATAGATGAGATAATTTTATGTTCTTGAAGTGATATATAAACATGGTACATATTTAAATACAAAACAGTATGTGGGAAAAACCTGAGTCATACACCCCTGCCATTTCTGGCCATTCCCTAATGGTGACCAATGTTAAGAGGTTTTTACTACCTTTCTAGATATACATGGAATTATGCATTCGTATATTCTTCTCCTTCCCCATTAAAAAACAAAACAAACAAACAAACAAACAAAAACCCCAGCAATCTCTGTTTTAACAAGCCTTCCATGTAATCCTGGTGCACACTGAAGTTTGAGAACCACTGACGTTTATAGACTGAATTATGTCCCCCACCAAATTCTGCGTTGAAGCCCTAACCCCCACTGTGACTGTAATTGGAGATACGGGTTATTACAGAGGTATTAAGGTTAAATGATGTCATAAGGTGGGGCCCTAATCCCATAGGACTAGTGTCCTTAAGAAGAAAGAAGAGGCCAGGTGAGGTGGCTCATGTCTGTAATTCCAGCACTTGGGACGCTGAGGTGGGAGAATGGCTTGAGGCCAGGAGTTTGAGGTCAACCTGGGCAACATAGAGAGACTCTTTCTACAAAAAATAAAAACTAAAATAAAAGAAGAAGAGGGGCAGGGCGTGGTGGCTCATGCCTGTAATCTCAGCACTTTGGGAGACCAAGCTGGGTGGATCACCTGAGGTCGGGAGTTCAAGACCAGCCTGACCAACATGGAGAAACCCTGTCTCTACTAAATACAAAATTAGCCAGACGTGGTGGTGCATGCTTGTAATCCCAGCTACTCGGGAGGCTGAGGCAGGAGAATCACTTGAACCTGGGGAGCGGAGGTTGCAGTGAGCCAAGATTGCACCACTGCACTCCAGCCTTGGCTGCAAAAAAAAAAGAGGAAGAGATACCAGAGATTTCTCTCTTTCCACATTAGGGAAAGCCATGTGAGGACACAGTGAGAAGGTGATGTCTACAAACCAGGAAGAAAGGCCTCAAGAGAAACCAACCCTCCCCTGGCACCTTGATCTTGCATTTCCAGCCTCCAGAACTGTGAGAAAATAAGTTCCTATTGTTTAAGCCACCCAATCTGCAGTATTCTGTTATGACAGCGCATGCAGACTAATACCCTGACCTTACATAATTGTATCCTTCTGGGTTGTATCAGTTGTGAAAGGTGGACATCTTTGTCCAAAATTCCCGAGGCAGAAATTACAAAGCCTGGTTCTGAGCTAGAAATGAGGATGAAGGATGGAAGACAAGGGACAAATGAAGGGAGAAAACTCAGATGACATTTCAATTGGTCATCCCAGCTCATGTATTATTCATTTACTACTTGAAACTATAAAACATATGAATTTATAATATATCAAACTTGTGAAACCTCACCACTCATAGATAACTACTTAACACATTGATATATCACTGAAGGCAATGGGACATTTTAAAATTTTATTTAATATTTTTATATGCAAAGATTCAATATTTTCTTTTCTCAACAGTGATCCTACCTTATATAATTTTGTATGTGTATTCTTTCACTAAAGTATATCTAAAGCATTTTCCCCACGATGGGGAGGAAGTTGGATCCACCAGTTGGTGGGGAGGAGAGGAGGTCACAAAGCTTTGGAGATGGGTCTTGAAGGTGACCCAGGGTCTGGGCTGGATCTGCAGTTGTCCAAAATAGTCAGGCAGCTCTGAGCAAGCTGTTCTGAATCTAGGGCCGTTACACACTTGGAAGTCGGCGAGGATTTGGCCTGATACCGGCACATCCATTCTCACTTTGCAGGATCCTTGTTGGTGAGCTGTAGAGTTCAGGGGCTGGGTCCAAATTCAGGAAGGAAGAGTGGCAGCAGCTAGGTAGGGGTACCAGTCCCAGGCCCTAAGAGTGCTTATTTATGAGTAAGGTGGTTGTGAGAAAAGAAATAAGGAGAAAGAAGGAGCAAAAGAGAGAGATGAAATATAGAGTGGCAGAGACAGAGAGACATAAACAAAGAAACTCCTGGATACCCCTTCCAGTCACATCCATCAACATCCACCCCGATTAAGGTTAAGCCTAGACTTAGTCTAGGCTGGATTAGGAAAGTAGTGGTAGGGATGGAGAGGATGCGGTGGATTCCAGAAATAATCTGTAGATAAAATTGGTCTAACATGGTGACTGGTGGGGAAGGAAAGGGAGAAGTACAAAGAAGTTTCCCAACCTTCTCTGCCAAGAATCATCTGGAAGGCTTGTAGACCTACAGAATTCCCAATGCCTTCCCTGGATATTCTAATTTAATAAGTCTGAGGCAGGGCCCAGGAATCTGTGTGTCATTCTTATTGTGGGAAGAATGACTTCCGGGCCTCTGGCTTAGGTAACTGGATAGCAGCAACATAATTAACTGACTTCAGTTTTAGAGATAATAAGTTTAAAATGCCTTTGGAGCATCAAAATCATGGTGACTAAATCTGTTGAGCATTTACCTTAAATGCACTATTTAATTTAATTTATGTACCATTCTTCTGAGGAAATTACAGTACTATGATGTACTCACTTTGCAAGCGAAGAAACTGAGCTCTAGAGACATTAAATTATTTTTCATTATTTAGATAGCTATTAAAGGGCAGACTTGGGTTTTAAACCTAGGCACATCTTATCCCAAAGTCTTTAGCCTTTTTAACTATGCTTTATTGGGTGTACTTTTAGGTAGTATTACCTGAGTCAAATTACAGATTAGGGCTGAAGATAATGTTTGAAAGCAAAAATTTGTTTCAGATTGCCCAAGGGAGCTTGCAGAGAGAGGAGAGTATTGGGCCAATGATGGAGCTTTGTTCCTGTTGGAAACGGAACGGGCAGAGGATGAAAGGCCTTGAGGTTCTTGGAGATTCAAGGAGAACCAGGAGACAAGTGTCTTATAAACTAAGCAATTCAATTCTGAATTGCCAGTAAGAGTGAATTTAAACTCATCAGAGAGTTCCAGTAAAATAAATTATCCATTGACTTTGGTGACGGAGTATAATTTTTTTTTTTTAGACAGAGTCTTGTTCTGTCACCCAGACTAGAGTGCAGTGGCATGATCTTGGCTCACTGCAACCTCCACTTTTTGGGCTCAAGGTATCCTCATGCCTTAGCCTTCCAAGTAGCTGGGGTTACAGGCGTGAGCCACCATCTCTGGCTAATTTTTGTATTTTTAGTAGAGGTGGGGTTGGCCATGTTGGCCAGGCTGGTCTTGAACTCCTGGCCTCATATGATTCACCCACCTCAGTCTCCCAAAGTGCTGGGATTACAGGCATGAGCCACCGTGCCAGGTCCAGGGTGTAATTTTTGATCTTCGCCAGGAAGGTGTGGGGAGAAGCCCAGTCTCTGAAGATTAAGGAGTGAAAAGATGAGGAAAGGGATTGTTAACTAAAAAGTTACTCAATGATACTTATTAAAGATGGTAGGGAAGACTTTATTCAGGACCATTGTGATAGACTTTATTCAGGCACCTCTACAATGGGGTCTTGCAGGAAGGGAGAGACATTGGTCTCAACTCCAAGTACAGCATGGGCAAGTGGGAATTTATAGCCAAGGAGCAAGGTGGGGGTCAGTGGACGGGAAATTACTAAGAAGAAACTTCAGGGGGATTCTGACTAAACGAACTTAAAAGGATTCTTGCTGAAGTCAGATCAGAGTGACCAGGCATCACCTGGGGGATGGTGGAGGATGAGGGACCCATCAGATATCAAGGGTGATCAGATATTGGGTGGTGCAGGGGAGTAGGGGGGCAGGGGCAGGCCTTGCTAAACTGACTTAGCAGGGCTCTTTGCTAAAACTGGGTTTTACATGGAAATACACAGATGGGCCTAGGAGAAGCTTCAGGAGCTTGATTAAGGTTTGGTTAAGCAAAGACTCTTCAGGAGATAGTGACTGAATACCAGCTTTCCAAGGGGCTCAGCTATAACAGAATAATCCCGGAAAGTTATATATTTGTTAACGGCACTCATCTCTAAGTAATATGATTATTACTTAATTTCCTGGCTTCTTTTTTTCTCCTTGAGGCTGAAGGATGCCTTGAGCCTTAGGAACCATTGTTTTGACTGAGAAGGGGCAGGGCTGGAGAAGGGGCAATTTGTGGAAAGCAAGGTTTCCCTTATGTAGCCTGTGGTGGATGTGAGCAGATAAACTGTGGTCCTACCTTCACCTGGGGGCAGACAAGCTAAGGAAACTAAAAAGAACATGCAATATCTTTTTTAAAACATGTAATTTCAACTTTAAAAAGTAACCACGTGTTGATTATAAAGTTTTTTAATAGGAAATTTATTTAAGAACAAGTTTGAGATTCAAGGGCAAAAAGGACGTAAAACTATGCCCAGAGGGGCTTTGTAGTGAAGTTTTTCAAGCTGGGACTACTTATGCCTACTGACAGATGGAGGGAAAAGAGGGTGGAAAAGCAAGGTTTCCTTAGATCAGGATGTCAAAGGAGCAATCAAGCTGGGAAAACTGGAGCCTGGGAGAGAGAGGAAGCCAGACCTTAGGAATTATCATCCCATCACCTGTGGACAATCCCTCTAACATTTTTGGTCTCTACTTCTAATCTGTTTTCCACATATTTATGTAAAGTGTTTTCATTACACAACTGATCATCATTTTGCAATGTAATTTTTTTACTTAATATTATGTTTTATCATGTTGTTAAATATTATTTTAAAATCATATTTCAGTGTCTAATGATCCCTTATGTAGATGCTACATTTTTAGGGCTAGCAAAACATATTTTCAGATTACTCTCTAGAAAAAGCATAACCATTTCTTTCCCACCAGAAATATATCAGTCTCACTTCACCACACTCTCACAAGCTGTTGTGTTATCATTTTTCTCCATCACTGCCAATTTGACAGGGAAAATAGGGTGTGGAGATGTAGATTTTAATCTGCATTTATTTGATTATCTTCAACTTTAGCCATTTTCATGGCTTTATTAGTTACGTATTATTTCTGCTTTAAAATGTTCATGTCCTTTGCCCTTCTATTAAGATAATTTTGCTTTTATTAATTTGAAATAACTTTTTAATAGCAAAAACATTAATATTTGCCATCTTGATCACATGTTTTTAATAAAAAAATTTTCCAGGCACAGTCAAACTCTAAATATCATATTGTAGCTATTGTAGTGTGATGAATGACAATATTTGCAAATACCTGTATATGTTTTTCTTTGCTGACTATATGTTTTAAGTACCAGTAGGCATTATTATCATCATCATCATTATCATGCTTCATTTACTTCAGGTATTCTTTTATTTAATTTTTACTTGAACTAAAGATTTTCAACTATTATTGCTGTGTGGCATTTCACTAATGCCAATAAAAAGTGAGTTTCTTCATGGAATACCCAGGGTTGAGAAGTGGGCAATGGATGAGCTGTACTGCTTTTCTGTAAAAGATCTAATTCCTTCCATGAATGAAAATGAAAATAACCTCAACATTTCATAGTGACTAGGAGTGGCTACAGGCTTTGGAGCCAGAAAGCCCTTACTCCGCATTTACTAACAACAATGTATCCGTGGGCTGTGCTTCCTCTCTGAGTTTCAGTTTCTTCCTGTGTAAAATGGGAATGCTAAGCAGAATTTTTGTGAGAGTTCAAAGAAAGGATGCATAGACAGTGTTTAGTTCTAGGCCTGACACATGACAAGTGCCCTGTAAGTGGTGCCATTCTTGGTTTGATTTGATGCCATGCCACTGCAGAGAGGAACCCCTCATGCTATGACATGCTGTTTTTAATGTGATTCTGCTTTTCAAGCATCTTTTAAAAATCCGAACAACCACCAGCCCTCTTAAGTTCCATTCTACACATAGATCTAACTTTGATTCTTTTATGGTATTATGATAAAATAATACATGTAGAACCTAACTATTATTTCCTGGTCATCAGCTCAGTGATAGTTTTTCTGATAAGGGACCTGGATAAACGGATTAGTTACCACTTAACAACATAAAAAGAAAATACTATGTGATTAAATAAGTTAGTACATGCATAAGAAACTTCCAAATATTCAAAGATACCAAGAGAACTTAGGTGTTGGTGAGTATGGAAAAGTAAAAATAAAACAGGAGAGCTGCTTCATCTGCCCATAAAAAGAGAAGAAATAAGTCTGAGATTCTCATAGCTATTGCTGATGGATGGGGAAGCATTTGTTCTTATGTAGGAACCCAACATTAGAAGTCTCATGGCAAATTGTAGTTGCCTAAAATGCAAAAAAAAAAAAAATAAAAATAAAATAGTAGCCAGCTTTTGATTAGTGGTTTGGTTTAAATTCTGTCAATGAGTTAAAATGGTACTATTTAATAATTCAGCTGGGTGAAGTGGCTCACGCCTTAATCCCAGCACTGTGGGAGGCCAAGGGGGGATGATTGCCTGAGCCTAGGACTTCAAGACCAGCCTGGTGACATAGGGAGACTCCATCTCTATAAAAAACAAAAAACATTAGCCGGGTGTGGTGGCTGCACCTGTAGTGCACCCTCCAACTACTTTGGAGGCTGAGGCGGGAGGATTGCTTTGATTGTGCCGCTGCACTCCACTCTGGGTGACAGAGTGAGATCCTGCCAAAAAAAAAAAAGAGTAGTTGGAGGTTAGAACAATATTTATTCTCCCACTTTTCAACTTTTGAAATTTTCAGACAAAAAGAGACTGCTCCCTGGCTGGCTCTCCTTTACTGGAATGCAAGTTTCAGTTAGAGCAGGACATGTGTTTCAGCACGGTACACAGGGGCAGGCACAGTGCAGGGGCTCGATGTGGCTCCTCCGTGCACACTTGTTGAATGGGAGACCTTCAAAGATCAGATAACAGTTTAAATAAATGATCTCCAAGCTGACTCTTCTCTTTTCATGCTGACTCCCCTTTGTATCTGATGGGGACACATACTTGAAATTTCTCCAGACATGCTCAGCTGAGCCCCTTATAACTCTCCTTTTGTCTCTATTGACTCTTTCCCATGGGGTCCCAGGGAGGCTAAATGGAACTCCAGGGAGTAATGTGGTTACACCCTCTCTCCTTACTGCATGCTAGAATTTGCTCAGAAAATAAGTAAATTTGTAACTAAACTAGGGTATCTTCATGACTTCAGTTGTTCTATACAGATAAGGCTAAAGATATTTTAAAAAAATAAAAATAAAAAAACAAGCCGACTCTTGTTCTCCCGCCCCTGTGAATGACGGAGTTTTCCTTTCCTCCACACTACTCAGGATGAGTGCACCTGGGCCCTGGGAAACCTCACCTACAGCAGAGCTCTTAAGAGACAAGATTTTCATTTTTCAGGTAGCAAAATGAATACAAGTTTGTGGTTACATAAAAACATGGTAACACATGGAAAACAGAGAAAAATGCCAGTCACACAAGTAGAAACACTGAAAGCACTGCCTTCCCATGGAAAATAGATAACCAGCATCAACTTCCTGGCATATCCTCTCAAGAGTAATTTTCTAAGTGCTTATTTATGTCCATAAGCACAGAAATAGCAAGGATGCATTTTCAGGAGGAAATGTCTTTTAATCTGCCACAAACATTTACTTTAAAAAAAAAAGAGACAAATCTTTTTGTTACAGTAGGAAGAAAATGATGGTTTGTTAGTTTAGTTCACAGGTATAACCCAGCACTTAGAACAGTGCCTGGCTCAATAACCACTTGTTTGAATGAATGAATGAATGAAAGCAATAACATCACTCTGTTAAACAAGAAAGCTGCTCAATATTGAGAATGTCTACTTGTTTATGTATTTTTCTTTCCTTGCATCATGTTTCCCTATGTGCAACACTTGGGCAATTCTTCATAATAAATGATAATCTCTCTCTTCAGGAAGGTCTTTAAAAGTACCTTGGGGTCTTTATGGTGAGCATGTCCAAGGTCTAAATCCAAAGTTTATGGAAGTTAATTGAAAAAGCCAACTCAATGGTGAGCCCAGATTTTTGTTTATTCAGAAATAAACAAAACCTTTGAGTGTCTGGCCTGGTCAGAATATAAAAGACTAAAAAGCCGCCTTTTGGTTTGTAGGGAAGGAAAAATCTTCTACTCTTCTACCCTTCTAGGTTCTCAACTGAGTCCCTTGTAAAAAAATACAGACTAACAAAAGAGAAATATGGACATTTATGTACATTCATATCTATCTATCTATCTATCTATCATCTATCATCTATCTATCTCTCTCTATATATATGAGAAACTCAGAGAATAAGTAACACAAGGAAGTGGCTCTGAATTCAGACTTAAATACAATCTTCAGCTGAAAATAAAGAAGGGTGTGTGGATTCTCAAAGGCTTAGTCTTACTAGGTTGCTTGAGTGTCCTTTATTTTAAAGTGTGCATGGAGTGGGGTGAGGGATGGGAGTAGATTACAAAGTGGCATCACGTGTTTCCTGCCATCTTCTATATAGAATTCCTACCAAAAAAAATATTTAATCTGAATCTAACTGTGAGAAACAATCAGACAAACCTGGATCGAGGGGCTGGGCTCCTTAAAAAATGAGCCAGCATCCCATGTGAACCACCAAGAACTGCAGTAAAGTTTAGAGGGCATTTTTTCTATTGGCTCTTATTTCCATTGTCTAGATTCTGAAAGTGAGCTTGCCAGAAATAAGCCTCTTTTGCTCTGGATATTAAAGTAATTTAATACAGAGCATGGCAAAGTCCCATTCATTACCTAATTAACAAGAACATTTCTCCTTGATTACAGTTTGTTGACATCATTACCTTAGACCAGAAGCCAAGAGAATGCAGCTGTCCCTAGAATGTATATTCCTGAGCTAATAGAATTAAAGCCAGATTCACACTGTGCATCTTGGAGTTCTCCCTTTTTTACTCCTAATCACCGGACCCTCTGTGTTAGTCCGTTCTCACACTGCTATAAAGAACTATCTGAGACTAGGTAATTTATGAAGAAAGAGGTTCAACTGACTCACAGTTCTGCAGGCTGTACAGGAGGCATGGCTGGGGAGGCCTCAGGAAACTTACAATCACGGTGGAAGGCAAAGGGGAAGAAAGCCTGGTCTTCACATGATGGCAGGAGAAAGAGAGTGAGGGAGGAGGTGCTGCCCACTTTCAAACAACCAGTTCTCAGGAGAACTCATTCACTCTCATGAGAACAGCAAGGGGGAAAATCCGCCACCATGATCCAATCACCTCCCACCCGGTCTGTCTCCCAACACTGGAGATTACAATTCAGCCTGAGATTTAGCTGGGGACACAGAGCCAATCCATGTCACCCTCTCAGGCACTTACTGCCTGACAAGATATTGGCATCTTGGAGTTTTTCTCTATTCTCTCTGTTCAGCTCCACTGTGCAAAGTGGTCCTAGCCATAGAATAAAGGTGGTTTCCATTCAATAACAGTTTGAGATGTGGTTTCTCATAAAGCAAAGGAAGCACCCCCTAGTTCTAAAATGTATTTACTACCAAAAGTCTGAGGTGGAGAAAAGAACAAGAGGCACCCCTCCTTAAAGCATTGCATTGTACCATTGCCTTTGGAAAGCTAAAAATCTGCCATACCATTTTAACACTCAGAAATATGACCAAGGAGGACAGTTCAGTAATCACAAGGTTTGGCTGGGTGAATTGTGTTTAGATTACTTTTATTAGTTAATTAGTCCAACCCATATTTATTAAATTCCTGATATATATGGGAATTATGGAAGATACAGCTGTGAGTAAGAGAGTGGAGGTCACTGATAGGAATGGGCAGTCAATGGACAACTAATTATATAATTATCTATTTCGCTACTTAAATAGAATTAAGAAAAGGGCTGCAAGAGGGATGTATATGATACCTTGAGAGCACGTAGTAGGAGGATCTATTCTATCTGGGGATACAGAAATGCCTCCCTAAAGCAGCAGCATTAACCTGGATTCTGAGTAGGAGTAGGAGTTGACCAAAAGGAGGGTGGAGGGCATGAAAGGTATTTCTTAAAAGAAGGCCAAAGTTTTGGGTCATAGAGTGCTTGGGGACACCTGGCAACTTGAGGTTAGCAGAGGTCAGAGGGGCTTGCAAGTAGATTTAAGTTTCTGGATTTAACCCTGACAGCAATGGGATGCCACTGAATGGTTTACACAGGTGAGTGACACTGCAGAATAGTGAGGCTGGGGACACTCAGAAATTACCTTTGTGCATAAAGCTTTGTATGCCATTCAGATTACTTCATCAGGATATACTCCTAAATGGAATATTATTTAGGTCAGAGGATGTGAAGTGGCATTTTGTTATTGCTATCTTTGCATTTTATGGAAATTTTTACACACATAAAAAATGGAGAGAATGTACCTATTTCCCAGCATCAAAAGTGATCAGCATACAGTACAAGCAGTCACTTTCCATCTACTCTCCATGCAGGCCCATCCAATCTCCAATGGATAATTTTGAAGCAAATTCTAGACATCGTTATTTTATCTGTAAATACTTTAATACATAGCTCTAAAATATGAAAATGCTTTTCATTTTTTTCTTTATGATACCCTAATTACATCTAATAATTAATAATTATTCTTTAATATGGCCAAATATCCATATAGTGTGGTTTAAACATTTTTTAAGTTTTGGACACACGTTGTTAAACTGCTTTTTGGAAATTCTGAACAAATTTATATTCTCACCCACCACATTGGAGGCTGAGGCTCATCAAATCTCCATCAAACTTGAATATTATTTTTCTTACCTTCACCAGTTTCATAAATAAAAAGTGGTATCTTATCAAAGTTTGAATTTGCATTTCTCTAATTACCAGTGTGGTTGAACATTTTTCCATAAGCTTATGAATTATTTATATTTCCTCTTTTGTGCACTATCCGTTCCTGGCCTTTACATGGCTACCAAGGGACCATCTGGCTTCTGTTTAAACATATCTGGTGACAAAAACACTACCATTTCCATTTCAAGGGCAGTAGTCCTGAAAAAGGGGCTATAATTGTTAGAAAATGCCTTATATTGAACTGAAGTCTTTTTATTAAGTTTAGTAACTTCTTAGTTCTATCAAGTGGAGCTTCCCAAAATGCCTTTCTCAGCAGATGACATCTTCTAAATGTTTGATGACAATTAGTATAGTCCCCCAAATTCTCCAACCTAACATTCTAGTTCCTTTAACTATTCATTTACTGTAATTTCTAAACTCCTCGTTATTGTGGTCATTCTCTCCTAGAAACACTCAAGAGAATTGTGTTGAGAAACACTTAATGCGAAAATGTTTCTTTCTTTCTTTCTTTTTTTTTTTTTTTTTTGATACAGGGTCTCACTGTCACCCCGGCTGGAATACAGTGGTGTATTCATGGCTCATTGCAGCCTCGACTTTCCAGGCTCAGGTGATCCACCTCAGCCTCCTGAGTAGCTGGGACTACAGATGCGCACCACCACCACAACCAGCTAATTTTTGTATTTTTAGTAGAGATGGGGCTCACCATGTTGCCCAGACTGGTCTCAAACTCCTGGGCTCAAGTGATCCACCTGCCTCAGTCACCTAAAGTGCTAGGATTACAGGCATGAGCCACTGCACCTGGCCTAATGTTCCTAATAAAATGTCTTTCTCTGGCTCTGTATTTTTCTTTCTACAAAATGGCTTGTAATGCAAAAGAGATAATTCTCTAATTCTTACCCTCTATTCTGTAAAACTGAGTACACTTCTGTATCTTTTAAGGTCTCAAGATGTAAGTCAAACTTTAACATAGAATTAAGCTTTTAGAATTAGAAAGAAACCATTGTAAATGATTTTATTTAATAAATACTACTGGGATATTTTTATCAAACTGAAATAGTATATTCAACCTGAGAAAGGTGATTTTTAAAAATTTTAAAAATAAACTAGTGCCAATTGCAGTTATTCGAGTGCTATACAAACCCAAGACACCATTTTACACTGACAGCAGGTTTCTGCGTTACAGTACCGCTTCCAGTATACATTTTCTTAACCTTTAAGGATTCTGCAATAATTAGATTATGAAATATTTCTGCCTTATGTAGTGCCAAATTATTTTTTTTAAATCATAGAATATCAGCTAAGGAAAGCACTTTACAGACCCTTCCAGTCCACTCTCCTACCCCAGTTTTCCAGAGAAACAAGCTGAAGTTCAGGGAGGCTAAGAGCTGTTACTAAGGACACACACACAGAGTCAGGGCAGATTTTTGAAGCAGAAGTCCATTGGTCAATCTTTACTGTAGATGTTCTTCAGCTTCTGAAAGAGATTGGTCACCGTGATACAGGGACACAGGACCCCTTTGGATTCTCAAAAGGTTTTCCTAGTTAAAGATATAACAGGTGATAGAATCTGCCAAAATAACTATAGTGAGACAACAGGGAGGGGCTCATAGAAAACACCACTTTTAGATATTAATCATGAGGAATCTAGACAGGATTTTACTGTAGATTGTCTTTTCCAAAGAAAGCCACAACAATAAATCTTTAAGAAGTTTTTATCACCGTTAAATCTACAGATCTACAAGAAATAATAAGCTGTTGGTTTAAGCTATGAAAATCTGAGTGGTTTATTACATAGAAATAGGTCACTGGAACAGGTTAAGTCACCCCCAATTCTTATTTGTCTTTTTTTATAAACTGTTTCTAAATGAATAGGAATCATTAACAGAATGCTAGTGAACCGTGTGTAAATATATTTGGTTCCCTAATGCTAATGTTTAAAACCATTGACCCTCTTTCCCAACCCTATATATTTAGTTTATATGTTGTATTTCAATCCTTGTCAGAACCCTTTAAGAAAGATACTGGCATTCTCACTTCACAGATGAAGTACTCTAGACCGAAAGATAAGAAACACTCCTAGCAGGTAATGGGGCCAGATTCAGACCCACAGCTCACTAACTTTAAATCTGCAGTTCCTTCTACTTTCAAAATTGGCAAAAAGGCAAGACCTTCATTTGTTCTAAGAGAAGCCCTGGCTATAGTTGAACATTAGGAATTAGAAGCAACATTAGGGCCCATCAAGTCTATCTCTACTGATAAATGGCAAAAACCATACAGTTGACCCTTGAACAACGTGAGAGTTAGAGGCGCCAACCCCTGTGCAGTCAAAACTTCATGTATCACTTTTGACTTCCCCAAAACTTAACTACCAATAGTTCTGCTGTTTAGCAGAAGGCTTCCCGGTAAAATAAACACTCAATATTTTGTGTGTTATATGTTTTATATGCTATATTCTTACACTAAGGTAAGCTAGAGAAAAGTTATTAAGAAAATCATAAGAAAGAGAAAATATATTTACTATTCATTAATTGAAAGTGGGTCATCATAAAGGTCTTCAACCTCCTCATCTCCATGCCTAGTAGGCTGAGGAGGAAGAAACAAAGGAGGGCTTGATCTGGCTGTCTCAGGGGTGGCAGAGGCAGAAGAAAATCCACACATAAGTGGACCCACAAAGTTCAAACCCGTGTTTGTTTGTTTGTTTCCAGTTCCTATGGTTGTATTTAAACACAAATAAAACGTAGACATGAGCTGTTTGTTCATTTTCCCCGCCGCACAGCCTGGCATTAGGACTGGTGACTCTGAGGGCCAGCTGGGCTGCTCTTTCCACCATAGCTGTGCTGTTCTTGGAGGAAACACCGAGTGATCTCAGCACGGTAAGATTTCTTGCACGGCAACAGCACTTCCAGTTCCTTGACACTGTGGATCAGGAACTTTCAGAAGCCGCTGAGCAGCATGTGCTTTTTTGTTATTGTTGTTGTTACTCCCATAACCAATGTTGGGCATCAAGATCTGGCCCTTAAATCTTCTACGAACACTGTTGTCAATACCACGGGGTTTCTGCTTAATTTTGACATATCAGTCAGACTGATGCCAGATGAACGTCTTGGTCCTGGTTTTGATGATCATGGGCTTCGTGAGGAGCCCGAGTGTGGCCCTGATGCTAAGTGGGAGATGGCTGCCAACTGCATAGGCAGCGCCAAGGAAGAGAGCGCAAACCCACGTTGTTCAAAGATCAATTGTAATCATTTGACAGTGTTATTGTGAGGATTAAATAAGAAGTTGCATATAAGGCAGTAAGCGCAGTGCCTGTCTGTGGTAGATAGTCTCCAGTATGGCCTCCAAATAATCCCTCCCACCCGGTACACACATACAACTCCTCACACCAACTGGTAGAGTCTATTGCCTTCCACCTTGAATCTGGGCAGCCTGATAATTTCTTTTTCTTCTAGTTTCTAAAATTTGCATGGGGACATTTACAAAATTTGGGTCAAGATGCAAGTGGCATGTTTAGTTATTGCTGTGGAAATTAATAATTCGGCAGTACTTACAACACACTTACTACATGTACTTCTAAATGACTTTCATGATTACAGAACTCAAAATGGTTTTTGCCCCTTTTAAAAATAAGACAAATAGGCTGGGTGCAGTGGCTCACGCCTGTAATCCCAGCACTTTGGGAGGCCAAGGCGGGCGGATTACTTGAGGTCAGGAGTTCGAGATCAGCCTGGGCAACGAGGTGAAACCCCGTCTCTACTACAAACTACAAAATTAGACGGGCGTGGTGGTAGGCACCTGTAATCTCAGCTACCCGTGAGGCTGAGGCAGGAGAATCACTTGAATCCAGGAGGTGGAGGTTGCAGTGAGCCGAGATTGTGCCATTGCACTCCAGCATGGGTGACAGAGCAAAACTGTCTTAAAAAAGAAAAAGACAAATATAGATATATGAATGTATAGAAGGCGAATCTAGTGAAATTTATTCCCAGAGATAATATTCAACAAGTATTGAGATCAATTGAGGAAATTTTAAGTGTGACCTAGTTTTGATGGCCAGAATCAGTGAAAATGATTCTGGGACTTCTAAGCCTGGTCCTTAAGAAGGCTGTTTCTTCTCCTTTAAAATAATCCCTCTTGGAATGCTTGTGACTGCCATGCTGTAAGGAAGCCCAAGTTAGCCACATGGAGGAGAACTGAGGTACCCTGACCACAGCCTCAGCTGATTCTGGTCCTCAGTCAATCTGCCAGCTGAATGCAGCCGCATGAGTAATTTCAGGTGAAACCAACAGAACTGCCCCTACAACATTTGGGATTGTGAGAAATAATTTGTTGTTGTTTTAAGTAACTATACTTTGGGATGGTTTTTTATTCAGCAATAGATAACAAACATAGTCACATATTAATGCTCAGTAAGTAGAGTGTTTTATTATTTCTGTTACTATCATTCAGAAGGCCATATAACAATAATGGGGGGTGGGCACAGTGGTCCACACCTGTAATCTCAGCACTTCGGGAGTCTGACGCGTGTGGATCACTTGATATCAGTAGTTCAAGACCAGCCTGGTCAATATGGTGACACCCTATTTCTACTAAAAATACAATAATTAGCCAGGTATTGCAGTGCACGCCTGTAATCCCAGCTACTCGGGAGGCTGAGGCAGGAGAATCACTTGAGCCCAGAAGGCAGAGCCTGCAGTCAGCCAAGATCACATGACTGCACTCCAGCCTGGGCAACAGTGTGAGAAGCTGTCTCAAAAATAAACAAATAAATAAATAATGGTATTTATTCAGATGAAGAAAATTCTCATTAAGCCTTCAGGAATTTTTAAGATGTAACATAAGAACTTTCCATTTTTAAGTTGTCAAAATAACAACTTCAATTAATTCCAGTCTGGGAAATCCTTACTGCAATAATTGTTGACATACCCAAAATGAAATCTGACCCACTCAATCATTTATATCTTATTAAACCTGTAATCATGTCCTTATCAAATGGGTTTTAAATATGCCTTGTCATATCTTTGCTTTTTTTCTGACTTGCGACTTTGAGTACTTGCTGGCTAAATAGACATTGCAGCAATCATTAATCAGATTTACAGGTTCGAATCTCCTTCCTGGGAGATAGAAGTATCTTCTACAGGCAAAAATATGGACATTCCAACTCTCTCTCACTTCCCTGTCACCCCTACCTGTCTAGAGTTTTAACTGTCTTCATCTATTTTAAACAGAAGAAAGATGTTAGTGAGATATCTCCCCATTAAAAATGATTTGCTTTCTTCCTCCAAGCAGAACCTAGCCCCTTGGGAGAAATTTTAATTTTTTTTTTAACAATGGCATTTTGTTTCTCTAAGAAAATACTGGAGAGAAAAGGAAGGATCCATGTTTGCAAATAATAATTTTTAAAAACCACACTTCCAGGGAAAATGGCAAATGGAGTGCAAAGAGCTAGATGCATCCCTTTCCAAGTCTTCACTTAAATAACACCTAAGGGTTTGGGTTTTGTTTTGTATTCAAGCATAAGCCCATAAGGCTGTGGAGAACATGGGAGAGAACAACAGTAACAAAAGTACGAAAGCTCAGAAGCAAGACAGATAGCAACTGACTCTGAAGAGAGAAAACTGAATCCGGAGTGTATTCTTTTGCTAGGGCTGTTGCAACAAAGTACTACAAACTAGATGGCTCCAGTAATAGAAATGTATTCTCACAATTCTGGAGGCCAGAAGTCCAAGATCAAAGCTTGGTCAGGGGTTGGTTTATTCTGAGGGCTGTGGGAAAATCTGTTCTAGTCCTCTCGCCTAGCTTCCGGTGGTTTGCCGGCAATCCTTGGCATTCCTTGGCTTATGAAACATCACCTCAATCTTTGCCTTTGAGGCAGGAGGTAGGAACAACTCAGGAGGAAAGATCTGACTCTGGAGGCAGGGCTCGGACACTGGACCAAATTGAAGACTAGCTTTGAAAACAGGGATGGAGTGGAAGCAGCTTTCTGTAAGACACACCCACCAGTGTGACATGTCAGTTTACCATTGCCATGGCAGCACCTGGAAGTTACCATCCTTTTCCATGACAACGACCTGATGACTCAGAAGCTACCACCCTTTTTCTAGAAATTTCTGCATAATCTTCCTCTTATTTTGCATATAATTAAAAGTAGATATAAACATGCCTGAAGAACTGCCTCTGAGCTACTCTGGGCACACTGCCTATGGGGTAGCCCTGCTCTGCAGGGAGCAGTACCTCTGCTGATACTCTCTACTGCCGCTTCAATAAAAGTTGCTGTCTACCACCACCAGAGCTCACCCTTGAATTCTTTCCTGGGCAGAGCCTGCCCTGCATCCCCAAGGGGCTTAGCCTGCCCTGCATCATCATCTTCACATGGTGTTCTCCCTGTATGTATGCCTCTGTGTCTACATTTCCCCTTTAAGGACACCAGTCTTATTGGATTAAGGCCCACTCTAATGACCTCATCTTAACTAATTACATCTGTAATAACCTTATTTCCAAAGAAGCCCACATTCTGTGGTACATGAGTTAGAACTTCTATATATGAATTTTGAAGGTGACACAATTTAACCTCTAACACTGAGCCTATAGTGGGAAAACTGAGAACCTGTCTCATTTAATCCTCATAACAACTCATTGCAATGGACATTATTCTTATTTAGCAAACAAGAAGGCTGAGACTCAAGGAGGCTGAGTAATTTGTCCAAGCTGCCTTAAGTTATAAATGCAAACACAGAATTCAAATTCAGGACAGTTTGAGCCCAAAGTACATGTTTTATTTCTGTTATACTGCTTGCCTCAATGACTGGTTGCTTCAAGAACTGGGTAAACATCAGTAAGTTCCTTAAATTCAAATATGATAAACAATATTCACTCTGCAAGACTACTTAAGAAAAGTTTGAAAGGTTTAAATGAGGTAACTTGTGAAAGTTTATTTGGGAGTCTGCATTGCTGTAGAGACACAAAATATCCATCTATCCATGCAGAGAATCCTAACAGAAAAGACTATGCACACAGTTTTGGAAGGCTTTAGAGAACCTTAAAACATATTTGAGTTACTTTATTCTACCTTATCACTGTTGAACTAGTGAATGGAAATTTGGTTGCTGCAGGTGGATGTGTCCTAGCCACATTTAGACCCAGAACGTCAGATACTTCTATGTCTTCCTGAAATGAAGTTTTGTAACTTCAAGTAGTGCTTAGCTCAGGGCAAGGTTCATGGCTCCTGCCTAACGATGTTGTGTGATAAATGAACTAGTCAATAGATAAATACATCGATCAATCAAACAATTCTTAAATCAATTTTTAGATTGCAGGAAACTGTGAGACTCTCTAACCAATGTATGAAGAAATCCTCCTTTTGTACTTGCTTCTTTGGTATATAATTTAAAAATTCCAAAATATGTGGGCCTATTTGGAGATCCCATATAGGCCTGTCTTCTACAGGAGACCTACCAATAGCAAAGAGACATCTGGTATTTTATTTCCATTGCAGATGGTTTGGAATTGGGCTTTTCCCCACTGTAGTAGGCATGACTGCATTTCCACAGAGACTGAAGTTTTCTCTATCTTTGCCTTTGTCACATAAAGATGGTCACAGGGTGTTCTACTGCAGTGCAAAGTACTGTCATGACTGCCAACAGGGAATGCAGCACAGAGGTTTCCCTGTTGGCTTCAAGAGTCCTAGGAGTGGCCTTCATTGACCAGGTTTATTCTTAACAAGAGTTAGCTATAAAACTTCCCTTAACAGGCTTTATAAAGGGCAGTGACTTGAGTCATTGAGTTCCCTGGCATGCTTATTTCTAAGGGGATGTAAATTTGGTGCTGTCTCGGTATTTGGCATCTATGAGGTTAACTGTTACAGGCTATAGCATTGATTTCTACATCAAGAAATTAAATGATTGCTAATGAGACATTTTAAATGCTATTTAGAATGAAAGATTGTTTCCTGATTTCTTCCTAGGGCAGGATGTGATTTCTAGAAAATTTGATTTTTGTTAGCTTAAACATATCTTTATTTTTAATTGAAATGTTTCTTGAGATAATTATAGATTCATATGCAGTTGTAAGAAATAATGCAGAAAGTGGGCCAGGTGCAGTGGCTCACTCCTGTAATCTCAGCACTTCGGGAGGCCGAGGAGGGCGGATCACGAGATCAGGAGTTCGAGACCAGCCTGGCCAACATGGTAAAATCCCATTTCTACCAAAAATGCAAAAATTAGCCAGGCATTGTGGCAGGCACCTGTAATCCCAGCTACGTGGGAGGCTGATGCAGGAGAACCACTTGAACTCGGGGGGCGGAGGTTGCAGTGAGCCGAGACCATGTCATTTTACTCCAGCCTGGGTGACAGAGTGAGACTCCTTCTCAAAATAAATAAAATTAAAACAAAAAAGAAAGAATGCAGAAATTTTGCATACCTTTTACCTACTTTAAACATACCTTTTTAAGTGTTTTGGGGTTGTTCTTTTCATCTTTAGGTGATGAAATTATTTTCTTCTGACTCAGTACTATTGATATTCCATGTCTCCATGAATAATGCAGAAAACTTGGTCAACATTTTACACTCTCTAGTCCTTATTTTTTTTAATATTTAAAAGGAAGAAGTTGCTCTAATTTATTCCTAAGGTTTCATCCAGTTCTGATATTCTATCAGAATCTGCAATTAAGATCTCTGACAAACCTATGGCCACCACTGTCTCTGTGTAGCCCATGAGATAAGGATGGTTTTTGCATTTTAAATAGTGGAAAAAAATCAAAAGAATAGTAACTTTTTGTGATATGTGAGAATTACACAAAATTCAAATTCAGTGTCCATAATAAAGTATTATTGGAACACAGTCAGGCTCATTCATTTACATAGTATAATAGCTGCTTTCACATTACAATAGTTACAATAGAGACCATCTGTCTCACAAAGCCTAAAATATTTACTATCTGGCCCTTTTTAAATCATTCATACCCTTTAACCCTGGAATGCTACTTCTAGGAATTTATCCTAAAGGAAAAGAAGAAATGTTCAACACTAGGAGATTCATTACATAAGATATGTTACCTTTATCAAATGGAGAAGTATGCAGAACATGTTATATAAGAGTGTTTAATTTCCTACCTTGTAAAACTTTGTAGTTATTCTAGTGATAATTGTGTAGTATGTTTATATTCACTTTAAAAGGAAGTCAGTTTCTGAGATACCATTTTGCATCTATCAGATTTACAAAATCTTAAAAATCTGAGTATTGGTAAAGAAACCAGAATTTTCATACACTCATGATGGGAGTGTAGTGTAAATTAGATCAGCTACATTAGAAAACAATTTTCCAATTTCTAGTAAAATTAAAAACACACTTATTCCCCATCATGTCCATTTCTATGTAAATGTTCCAGAAAAATTTTCTCACATGTGCATAAGGATAAAAAATTAGGACAAAGATGTTTATAAACACAATTTTTAAAACTATATAGGAACTAAAGAACTAGAAAGATTCTATATGTCTACCATTAGGAAGATGCATTAATAAAATTTATTTTATTCATGTGAACTGCATACCATCAGGGTTAGATATTATAAAATATTACTAAATAAAAAAGTAAGGTCCAAAATGACATGTATAACATAATATTTATGCAAAAGTGTAACAAAAATCACAAAATATATTATACATAGTCAGCCCTCAGTATCTGTGAGTTCCACATTCATTAATTCAACCAACTGGAATCAAAAATATTCAGGGAAAAACGTGGATAAACATGTACAGACTTTTTCTTTTTTCATCATTATTCTCTAAATAATAAAGTGAAACAACTATTTACACAGCATTTACATTGTATTAGGTATTATAAGTAATCTAGAGATGATTTAAAGTATATGGGAGGATATGTGTAGATTACATGTAGATTAATGCAAACATTAATACTACGCCATTTTAAATCAGGGACTTGAGCATCTGTGGATTTTGGTATCCATGGGATTGGGGGTTCCTGAAACTAACCCTCCATGAATACTCTCTCTGTCTCTCTCTCTCTCTCTCTCTCTCTCTCTCTCTCTCTATATATATATATATATATATATACACACACACACACACACTCTCTCTCTCTATCTCTCTATTATATATATAAACAAACTCTCTCTATATACATATACTCTCTCTATATATTATACTCTCTCTCTATATATATACAGATATATAGAGAGAGTTTGTTTTTACATACAAAAATAGAAAAATATATGAAAATGTAGACTTAAAAGATGCACAGCAGATTTGTGACAGCATTAACCCTGGGAAGGGATGAATGGAATTAGGGCTGGGAAAAGATAAAAAGAGAATTGCAATTTTAACCATAAAGTGTTATTTCATTCCCAAAACAAACAAACAACTTAGACATGTATTTTTTTGGCTAAATATTTGCTTATACAGTCATATTTTTTGCTATATTTTATATGGTTTGAATTTTTTTCCTTACTTTGGCTTTAATAGCCCAAGGAATTCAGTATGGCTAAAGTTCACAGAATGACAGTAGCAAGTCACAAAGAATCTCTAAAAGTAGATGATACTGAGTGATCTCACAATTTATCCTAACTAGTTTGAATTTCTGTCAGTAAGGATATTCTTCTGAGGCCTTATCTCTAGACCTTATCACCCTTGGAAGTCATAAACCTTCTTTGGTTTTATGTTATAATTAGAACCAGAGCCACCAAATCAGTAACACTTCAAAGTTCAATGACAGGTACAATCACAATAATTACCACCCTTTAAAATAACTAGGAAAGAGGGTAGGATTTTTTATTTCAAAATATAAAGACTATGTTTCACAAGCAAAACAAGAATCACAAACCTTCTGAAATAAAGAAAGAAAGAAAGGAAGGAAGGAAGGGAGAGAAGGAGGGAAGGAGGGATGGAGGGATAATTGTTCTTTATTAAGGAGGTAATTCACAGTATTCTATCCTCATAGTAATTATTAACTAATATCAGCTTTCAGAATAGGCATCTGTAGGCCATCTACATTTGATCAAATTCTGCATGTGAAATTTTAAATTACTCTTTATCCATATATATGCATATGTGTGTATGTGTATATAATCATATATATATGTATCTAATCAATATAGTTGAGAGATTAAGAGCACAAGTGTTAGAGAGCCAGAATGCCTGGGTTTGAATCCAAATTATGCCGTTTACTATTTATGAGACTTTATAGAAGTAATTTATTCTTTGTCAGTAATTTGGTTATTTTGGTTATGTAGCCTTTACAATTTCCTTATCTGTAAAATGAGAAATACAATTGTACCTATTTCACAGGGCAATTATATTGAGTGAATGGGTTAATATACACAAAAAGCAAAACATTAACAAAAAATACTCAGTAAGTGTTGGCATTTTGTATATTCCCTGAATACATTCATTACATAAATAGCTAAATGACACTGTCATATTCCCCAAATGTCATGCACTTAGTAGGCACCCAGTAATGCTAACAATAATAAACATGAAACAATCCAAATTTGGACATGAAATCCTTTAAGTCACTACAAAAATCATTATTCAAGCCAGTAGCTTGCTTTGTATCTACTCTTGCATGTTAAGAGCCCATCATTCTTGGCATTTCATGTCACAATGTAGTTTAGCCATCACAATCTGCCTTAAAGATGGCTTCGGAGCCATGGCTTTCAGGAGACACAGTTCTGAAAAGATAAAGTGGCCACCTCCCAATATTGACAATACAATAGTAGAGGCTTCATAAAATTGAACTTCCATTTAGCCTTCTCATCTCTGAACCAAACCATCTTAATTCCTTTTATCTTTTCTTATACATATTGTCTACTCATTTATTTTCCTTTTGTTCCTCTCTAGTCTCAAATATGTGTACTGTAGAGTTCCACATTGGACAGGAATGCCAGCTACTTTCAGTCTGTGTATAGTCCCATCATTACAGAGCAAATCATGGTACTTTCCAAAATAACAATCTCCAGCAGTCACAAACGTTCAGCCTCTGGTGCACCAGATTTTCAGCTCTAGAAATTATGACTTAATGTTACTTTGTATATAGGTATGTGATTAGCTCACAGTAGCCTTATGCTACATATAATTGCAATCAATCATGCAGAATAAATCTTCTGAAGATAGTGAAGATATATGGTAGTAATTCTGTAACCCTGTTCTGATGAGTGTAACCATGGTTTCCTTGCATTTTTAACTTTCCATGGATATTTCTTTGGAAGCAACACAGAATAAATGTAAATTTAACAAACGAATTTAATAAAGAAGATTCTACAACTGAAAAACAAAAAGTTATTTAGAAGTACTTGATCTTAACATTTTACTATGTGTATTTCGATTCTATTAAGAAGCACATTCAAATTTCTCCGCCAGGAATAAGAGAATCACAGATAATTTGAAGTTTTATTAAAAGCAGTACCACCCCCAGAAAAATAAAGACTTTAGCTTTTATAACTGTATTCAAGCCGTTCAATAATAAGCTAAAGTGTGCATATGTGACTCTTCAGGATCTGAAAGCTGCCAGTTTGCCTTCCCATGTATCACTTTTCTCTAATTAATCTTTTAATTAGAAAGATTCTTCCATTCAAACCACATTATTTCATGTGACACATTCTACCAGCCAACCCCCATGACATTTTTACATCAACCCTCAGTAATAAGTGAAGGCTACAAATATAAATAGGCAATTAAAAAGAAGGAAGTAATTAGCTTGTATTAGAGAACACTGAGCTGATTAGTCATCTTGAAGTGTGGCTTGCTCTAGTTATTTTTAGCAGCAGTAAAACATACTTCTTTTCCTGCATTGCCACTGTCTTGTATTCATAGGCCTGACTACTACCTAAAATATTATCCACACAGAGATTTGCGTGGGCAAAGAACAACAATGCAGTGGGAGGTTCTTAGGACATATGGGAAAACGGGTCTGTTCATTTGTTTGTTCATGTATGTTTTTTTTCTTTCCAAATGGCTGTGTGCAGGAATATGAAATGTAGATTTTGATGAAGTCACCTTCCCCAACTGTCTTTTCTGGTTCTGTCTGGATCCAAACCTTACCATGCAAATTATAAGCACAAACTGGCGTTTTAGTCTCTCTTGCCTGCATGGTGCTTACAAAAATATCCTCACTGTGCTCCGAACTCTGTGAAGGCAATGATCCCAAGCTTCCAGTTAAGGTCACTAATCTCTAACTTCAAAATATAAACACAAGTAGAAAACATTGCCTATATTAACTCCTTTTTTGAGTTCATAACATTGGTTTCCCATGAATTGATTACCTATCTTTTTTCAAAAAAGAACTTTGCTTACAAATACACCTGTGATATGTTCTTATCTAAGTTGAAAAAAAAAGCATGATATAATTATTAAGAACTGAACAAAGGTTACAGGAAACATGGTATGATATGGAGCACTTAATTACCATGCCAGCCCCCAGATACGACTGAGTGGCGGTGACTAACAGGTGGTGTCATCTCCCTCCTCCAGGCATAGTAGATCCCCCTGTTATTTATTATAAGAGGCTACTCCTAGTATGGCAGCCCTCTTGTTTAACACTGATATGGCAAGGGTCCTGTTTCTCCAGTTCTTAGCTCCTAAGGAGGGACACTGCCTATAGGTTCAAAGAGTGTAGGGACTCTCGATGGGACCTAGACACTGAGGTAGAGAAGAGTAATGGGATAGCTGATGCTCTACAGTGGGGAAGTCACTCAAACATAATCCCAAGTCAGTGTCATTCAAGCCAGAACTTTGGTTCCAGGAAGCCTCAGAAAAGATGGAGTTTCTGTAGCAGGTAGGGAAGGCACTTAGGGGAGAGAGACAGAAAGCTCTGCATCAGCCATAGGAGAAACAGAAATAATTTCCTATGGAACGCCCAAAGGATCCACCCAGAATCCCACTGGACTCTAGTGGACCTGGAGGAGTTTTGGCCAGATGCTCCTAGAGGCTGGCTATGGGGCTACCAGTGTGGATCCCAGAGTGTTTATATGAACAATGCAGAGTAAGGTAAATATGAATATGATTCCTACTTTGAGAAGCCACACACACACACACACACACACACACACACACACACACCATCAATTCGTTTTTTTTTTTTTTTAATTTTTTTAGTATTTATTGATCATTCTTGGGTGTTTCTCGCAGAGGGGGATTTGGCAGGGTCATAGGACAATAGTGGAGGGAAGGTCAGCAGATAAACAAGTGAACAAAGGTCTCTGGTTTTCCTAGGCAGAGGACCCTGCGGCCTTCCGCAGTGTTTGTGTCCCTGGGTGCTTGAGATTAGGGAGTGGTGATGACTCTTAACGAGCATGCTGCCTTCAAGCATCTGTTTAACAAAGCACATCTTGCACCGCCCTTAATCCATCCAACCCTGAGTGGACACAGCACATGTTTCAGAGAGCACAGGGTTGGGGGTAAGGTCATAGATTAACAGCATCCCAAGGCAGAAGAATTTTTCTTAGTACAGAACAAAATGGAGTCTCCTATGTCTACTTCTTTCTACACAGACACAGCAACAATCTGATTTCTCTATCTTTTCCCCACATTTCCCCCTTTTCTATTCGACAAAACCGCCATCGTCATCATGGCCCGTTCTCAATGAGCTGTTGGGTACACCTCCCAGACGGGGTGGCAGCCGGGCAAAGGGGCTCCTCACTTCCCAGAAGGGGCGGCCGGGCAGAGGCGCCCCCCACCTCCCGGACGGGGCGGCGGCCAGGCGGAGGTGCCCCCACCTCCCTCCCGGACGGGGCGGCTGGCCAGGTGGGGGCTGCCCCCCACCTCCCAGACTGGGCGCTGCCGGGCGGAGACACTCCTGACTTCCCAGACGGGGCGGCTGCCGGGCAGAGATGCTCCTCACCTCCCAGACAGGGTCGTGGCCGGGCAGAGGCGCTCCTCACATCCCAGATGATGGGTGGCCGGGCAGAGACATTCCTCACTTCCTAGACGGGATGGCGGCCGGGAAGAGGCACTCCTCACTTCCCAGACTGGGCAGCCGGGCAGAGGGGCTCCTCACATCCCAGAAGATGGGCGGCCAGGGAGACGCTCCCCACTTCCCAGACGGGGTGGCGGCCGGGCAGAGGCTGCAATCTCGGCACTTTGGGAGGCCAAGGCAGGCAGCTGAGAGGTGGAGGTTGTAGCGAGCCGAGATCACGCCACTGCACTCCAGCCTGGGCAACATTGAGCACTGAGTGAATGAGAGACTCCGTCTGCAATCCCAGCACCTCAGGAGGCCGAGGCTGGCAGATCACTCGCGGTTAGGAGCTGGAGACCAGGCAGGCCAACACAGCGAAACCCCGTCTCCACCAAAAAAATACGAAAACCAGTCAGGTGTGGCGGCACGCGCCTGCAATCCCAGGCACTGGGCAGGCTGAGGCAGGAGAATCAGGCAGGGAGGTTGCAGTGAGCCGAGAAGGCAGCAGTACAGTCCAGCTTCATCTTGGCATCAGAGGGAGACCGTGGAAAGAGAGGGAGAGGGAGACCGTGGGGAGAGGGGGAGGGGGAGGGGGAGGGAGGGGGAGGGAGAGGGAGAGGGACAATTCTATGAAAGGACTCTAGTTGAAGCTGAGATATGGGAGCCAGCATCATTAAGAAAGGGTAGCAAAGACAGCAACCACTGACAACTCATATGGCTTCTCCTGTGACTTCATAATAGTTCTAATATACTTTCTCTTTAACACTTCACAGTTCCTGAAATGATCATTTTCCTAAAAGAGAAACAAATCAAAAAAGAAAAAAATTAGTCTATTGTATAAAGGATGCCATTTTGGTCCCAGCAATCTTTGGATAGAGATATTTCTGTTTTAAAGTTACAATTTTTCTACTCTATTCCTTCTGTAAGAGGGGAAACTTTTAAACTTGAGATCCACAGCCAAACGAAGTATTTTCAGGGTGACTTTATTACCGCTATGGGGCAAACAGAGAAAGTCAGACTTTTCTATAGGAGCAAGGTTTTGTCTAAACATGAACATGATTAAATAAATCAAAATTAAAATGTTCAGTTTTAGAGAAGAGTTAGAAAAACTACCTCTACTTCACCCTCTTCAGATGCCCCCACTGGAATAAAACTGCTGTTGAAATCTGAACCCTGTGTCTAACTGCCAAGTTGGAAACTGCCAGATCTGATGTATAAAATACAAAGTCTGCTGAAGACCCACAAAGTCATTATCCTTGGAACTGAAATTATATTTTCAATCAAGGAAAATAAGACATTTTTCTTTTTCCATTCCATTTTTTTCTAGTAATTTTTAAAAATATATAGTTTCTATAATTTTATTTTAAATTAAGCAAGTATTTGTATGATGCTTTGTAATACATAAAACACATGGGCCAGGCGTGGTGGCTCATGCCTGTAATCCCAGCACTTTGAGAGGCCAAGGCGGGCAGATAACCTGAGGTCAGGAGTTTGAGACCATCCTGACCAACATGGAGAAACCCTGTCACTACTAAAAATACAAAATTAGCCTGGAGTGATAGCACGTGTCTGTAATCCCAACTACTTGGGTGGCTGAGGCAGGAGAATCACTTGAACCCGGGAGGCGGAGGATGCAGTGAGCTGAGATTGTGCCATTGCACTCCAGCCTGGGCAACAAGAGTGAAACTCCAGCTCAAAAAAAAAGGAAAGAAACACACACACACACACACACACACACACACACACACACACACACACACACACAAACATATTACATATTTGAGACAGTCTTGCTCTGTCACCCAGGCTAGAGTCCAGTGGCATGATCTCAGTTCACTGCAACCTTGCCTCCCGGGTTCAAGCGATTCTCCCACCTCAGCCTCCCTAGTAGCGAGATTACAGGTGTGAGCCACTGTGCCCAGCTGGCCTTGAACTCCTAGCCTCAAGTGATTTGCCTGCCTCAGCCTCCCAAAGGGCTGGGATTACAGGCGTTGAGCCACCGTGCCTGGCCATATTGCCTTATTTAACCTTCACAACAACCATTTGAAGCAGATTAGTCCTCTTTGACAGATAAAAAATGTTAGTCCTCTTTGACAGATGAAAAAACTGAGACTCAATGAACCTAATTTCTTTATCCAAGGGTTCTAAGCTGCTAAGTGTCATGGGTAGGACTTAAGCCAGGTTTTAGATTCTAAACCCAGAGTTCTTTCTATTAGGTTGGAGCAAAGGTAATTGCGTTTTTTTGCCAAAGCAATGGCAAAAAACACAATTACTTTTGCGCCAACCTAATACTACATGTGGTTCTTCTCACCTCCAGTCATTTTCCTGCATGTTTCATTTTCAGACATTTTCCTGAAATCAAGGCCCACTGTGTGTTGAAAACATACAGAGGTTGCAAGACTCTTTGCCAAAAATATTTTCATTTAATTCAATTCCACACATATTTATTAAACTCAGTGATTATGACACAGAGGCTTGCTCTTTATTGGGAAGGCAGGGTATTACAGTAGGCTAACCACTCTGGAAACAGACTACCTAGGCTTGAATCCCAGCCCACCACTTTCTAAAAGCATTACCTTGGGTAGCTTACTGTGCTTACATTTCCCCATCTGTATATAGGGTATAATAATATTACCTACTCCATAAAGTTGTTATGAGAACTAAGTGATGTAATTCTTATCAAACACTTAGAACAATGACTGGGACTTAGTAAGAACCAAATAAATCCTGGTTAATATTTGGAGGGACAAAGATTTGTGGTGACCATAGCTACACGAATACCTATTTGAATGCATAAATAACTCTGCCACCTGCAGTAGGCCGATAATTGTAGTAGAATAGGTATTAATCAGATGTTATTATGGTTCTGTCTAGGAAAGCAGGAGCCCAGGAGGAGGCTGTTTGAGAAGGCCTGTGGGTGGAGGACAATTTTATAGGGTTTAGAACAAGCAGAGACATTTGGGGAGCAAAAACTATGGTGATCAAAATTAGTACTTGATTTAATGGTTGTTTAAAGCAATGCAACCACGGGTATCAAGCTTCAGGAGTATGACATAGAAAATGGAAGGGCTTCCAGACCTACCCATCTCCCCATCCCGAGGAAGCAACTGACTTGAAGAGCAGAACTTCCCAATCAGCTACTGTACAATGATGCCATCAAGTCTTCAAGAAGACAAGTGAAATATTCCTGCCGAAGAGACTAAAGCCTCCAGGTCACAGTGTGACTTCCCCTTCAGTTCTGACTTCCCCTATGACTTACCTAACTCACATAGCTCCTTGAGGACCCCTCCCTGCTTCTTCCTTCCCCCTTTCTCCTTCCTCTTCTTCCTTCCCTTCTCATATTATTCTACCTAATGGTGTTTTATGAAGAATGACTAAAATGCATAAAATCATTTTGTAAAAATGCAAAATGCCCTGTGGTTTAATGATGACTAAGCACAAAAGAAAAACAAAGCTGAAAATGCATAGCTATCTTTTAATCTTCATGAGAATTAGCTTGCTCAATGATTTCAAACGTGTTAATCATGCCTCAGACCCCTGGGCTTGATACTGTTTTATATAGGAGGTTTATGCTGGGTTTTGGTTTTGTTTTTGAGACAGAGTCTCCCTCTGTCACCCAGGCTGGAGTGCAGTGGTGCTATCTCGGCTCACTGCAACTTTCACCCCCTGGGTTCAAGCAAGTCTCCTGCCTCAGCCTCCTGAGTAGCTGAGATTACAGTTGTGTGCCACCATGCCTGTATTTTTAGTAGAGATGAGGTTTCACCATGTTGGCCAGGCTGCTTTTGAACTCCTGACTTCAAGTGATCCTCCCACCTCAGCCTCCCAAAGTTCTGGAATTACAGGTGTGAGCCACCACGCCTGGCCTATGCTGTTTATAGAAAAGTAAACTGTGACATAGAAGCAATTTTTCTTAAAAGAAGCCTGTGATTTAGCAGTAGAGCTGGCGAAAGGCCTGCAAGACCTGGCTTCTGGCTGGACTAGCAGCCTAAAGGTAGCTTCCACTTGCTTTAGACTGAGACCTTCTTCTGCTACATACTCTAGCAATTGAGGGGGATGCCCTCAGGGATATAAAACTAAGTTATGGAAAAAAGCCCTGTAACCACATGTTAATTCTCAGCCCTGTAAATTCTCATCATGGCCCCTTACTGGACAAGTCTTTCCGCCTTTGTGGTAGTGACTCTGTCCTTTTGATGATAGTTTTAAGTATCTTTCCAGATGGCCAACGTAAGGTTATTTAATTCAGTAAAAAAACATTGTTTTCCTCCTTTCGAGACTCTTTCTAAGGAAATTTTCCAGCTCCACAGGATGGGACAGAGCCTTGATGTATTTTTCTTTCCTGAACCTAATTGTGGAAAGAAAAGCAAAAATAAAACTAAAGCTGGAAGCAAGAGGCTAAGTCCTTAAAAAGAAAAAAAAAACCATAAAACTTTCTGAAGGGGAAGGAAGATAATCTTAAGAATGTCTTAAACATAATGAATATGTATTTCCTCTGCAAGCCCTAAACCAGGGTGATATATGTAATTCTATATTAAATAATGCTGAGGTTTCAGAAGTTGAAGTCACTGTGTTGCAAAGTGACATCTTAGCATCTCAAGCTGGGAGGAAGATTGATCCAAATCAGAGCTTTTCACCTGGCGTGTCTTTGCCTCTTTCCCCCAGAGAAGCCTCTGGGCCCAGGGTGGAGACTGCTGTATCCAGGAGGTTTAGGAGTGGTGTTCAGGGAATGCAGTCTCCTGCCAGCTTGGAGGTCTGAAAGAATGTGGCAGGTCAGTTCTCTCTGGCCTCCTCCCCTCTCCATACGGCTTGACTGTTTCTTTTGATCTCCTCCGAGATCTGACAATGCTCAAGACTTTCAAACAGTTGCTGGAGCCTGCTGCAGCTCTGACCTGGCTGATATGGCAGGGGGTGTTTCTGTGGAGAGCAAGGAGGAGACAGAACCAAGATCTTATCCCAGGGAACACGAATGAATTCTAATATATCCATTATCATACCTACTCCTCCTTCAAGTACACCTCTCCTCACACTCACACAAAGAAAAGTAAACATCAGAGCATCAGGTCAGGCTCCAAGGAATCTGTATCTGCTTAACATAAACTTTTCAGTAACTTCCATAGGATACTTCTGTGGAATTTCCTCCAGATGAGGGACACATTCAAGCAAGGTAACTGGCATCGAAATCAAACAGATCTACCAACTCAGCTCTGCCATTCAGCAACTTTGTGGCCCCGGTTTTTCCATCTCTAAAATAGAGATGATTACATCATCTCCTTTGTGTGGTTGTTTTGAGAATGAAATGAGATAGCACATGTCAAGCACATGGTACTATTCCTGGCTCATAATAGAGCATCAATAAATATTAGTCTTCCCTTGTCCAGTGCCATTTCACACAGGTCCAATTGGAATGTGCTAGACAACTTACCCAATCCTGCTACATTCTCATCATGGCCCCTTACTAAAAGCCACAGTAAAATTTGGAGAGATCTGGAATGTTCTACAAAGAAAGATAGCTCAACCCAAATTTAACTTTAAAAATAAGCATTTGTGGAGCACAAGCTATGCTCTTTGTAGGTACTTGCAGTTAAAGATAATTTCTGGTTACCTATGGCCAAAATCACCCCAAAACGTAATTTTATTAGTCTGTTCTTGCATTCCTATAAAGGAATATCTGAGACAGGGTAATTTATAAAGAAAAGAGGTTTAATTGGCTCATGGTTCCATGGGCTATAGAGGAATATGGCAGCATCTGCTTCCGGGGAAGCCTCAGGGAGATTGTACTCATAGTGGGAAACAAAGTGGGGACAGATCTCTTACATGGCAGGAGCAGAACCAAGAAAGAGAGATGGTGGAGGTGCTATACTCCTTTAAACAACTAGATCTCATGATAACTCACTCACTGTCACAAGAACAGCACCGAGGGGGTGGTACCAAACTGTTTATGAGAAACCACCCACATGATCCAATCATCTCCCACTAGGCTCCACCTCCAACACTGGGGATTACAATTCAACATAAGATTTGGGTGCAGATACAGATCCAAACCATACTATTCTTCCCCTGAGCCCTCCCAATTCTCATGTCCTTCTTGAATTGCAAAATACAATAATGCCTTCCCAACAGTCCCACAAAGTCTTAACTCATTTCAGCATTAACTCAAAAGTCCAAAGTCCAAAGTCTCATCTGAGACAAGGCAAGCCCCTTCTACCTATGAGCCTGCAAAATCAAAAACAAGTTAGTTACTTTCAAGATACAATGGGGGAGCTTGGAATGGTGGCTCATGCCTGTAATCCCAGCACTTTTGGAGGCTGAGGCAGGCATATTGCTTGATACTAGGAGTTTGAAGTCAGCCTGGTCAACATGGTGAAACCCCATCTCTACAAAAAAATACAAACATTAGCTGGGCATGGTGGTGTGTGCCTGTGGTCCCAGCTACTCAGGAGGCTGAGGTGGGAGGATTGGCTGAGCCCAGGAGGCAAATGTTGCAGTGAACTGAGATCACACCACTGCACTCCAGCCTAGACAACAGAGTGTGACCCTGTCTCAAAAAAAAAAAAAAAAGAAAGAAAAAGAAAGAAAGAAAGATACAATGGGGGTACCAGCATTGGGTAAAACACTCCCATTCCAAAAAGGAGAAACTGGCCAAAAGAAAGGGACTACGGGCCCCATGCAAGTTCAAAACCTATCCGGGCAGCCATTGAACCTTAAAGCTCCAAAATAATCTCTTTTGACACCATGTCCCACATTCAGGGCACTCTCATGCAAATGGTGGGCTCCCAAGGCCTTGGGCATCTCCACCCCTGTGGCTTTGCAGGAGTCAGCCCCTGTGGCTGCTTTCATGGGTTGGTGCTGAGTGTGGCTTTTCCAGGTTCAGGGTACAAGCTGCCAGTGGATCTACCATTCTGGGGTCTGGAGGGCAGTGGCCCCCTTCTCACAGCTCCACTAGGCATAGGCAGAGCCCCAATGGGGACTCTGGGTTGGGGGTCCAACCTCACATTTCCCCTCTGCACTGCCCTAGTAGAGGTTCTCTGTAAGGGCTCCACCTCTGCAGTAGGCTTCTGTCTGGACATCCAGGCTTTTCAGTACGTCCTCTGAAATTTAGGTGGAGGCTCCCAAGCCTTAACTCTTACACTCTGTGCACCTGCAGTCTTAACACCACGTGGAAGCTGCCAATGCTTATTGATGGCACCCTCTGAATCAGTGGCCCAAGCTCTACCTGGGCCCCTTTGAGCCACGGATGGAGCTGGAGTATCCAGGACCCTGATGCTGCACAGTGCAGTGAGACCCTGGGCCTGGCCCATGAAACCATTCTTGTCTCCTAGTCCTTTGGGCCTGTGATGGGCAGTACTGCTGGAAAGGTTTCTGAAATGCCATTGAGGCCTTTCCCATTGTCTTGGATATTAGCACTTATCTCCTTTTTACTTATGTGAATTTCTGCAGCCCACTTGAGTTTCTCCTCTGAAAAACGGGCTTTTCTTTTCTAACACATGGCTGGGCTGCAAATTTTTCAAACTTTTATGCTCTGCTTCCCCTTTAAATGTAAGTTCCAGTTTTACATCATTTCTTTGCTCATGCATATGAACATTGGGTGTTAGAAGCAGACAGGTCACGTCTTGAACACTTTGCCACTCAGAAATGTATTCTGCCAGATACCCTAAATTATCATTCTCAAGTTCAAAGTTCCACAAATCACTAGAGCAGGGGCACAATGGCTCCAAGTGTTTTGCTAATGCATAACAAAAGTGACCTTTGCTCCAGTTCCCAATAAGTTCCTCATCTCCATCTGACACCTCCTCAGCATGGACTTACTGTCCATATCACTCTCAGCATTTTGGTCACAACCATTCAACAAGTTTCTAGGAAGTTCCAAACTTTCTCTCATCTTCCTGTCTTCTTCTGAGCCCTCCAAACTGTTCCAACCTTTGCCCATTACCCAATTTCAAAGCTGCTTCTACATTTTCAGATATCTGTATAGCAATGCCCCACTACTTGGTACCAATTTTCTGTATTAGTCTGTTCTCACATTGCTACAAAGAAATACCTGAGACTGGGTAATTTATAAAGAAAAGGGTTTCAATTGGTTATCAGCCAGGACCAAGAGTGGGGGAAGAGGTGCTACCACTTTTAAACAATCAGATTTCACAATAATTCACTCACTCGCTATCATGACAACAGCACTGAGGTCATGGTGCTTTAAACTATTCATGAGAAACTGCCTCCATGATCCAATCACCTCCTACCAGACCTTACCTCCAACACTGGGGGTTACAATTGAACATGAGATTTGGATGAGGACACAGATCCAAACCATATCAGTAGGGTCTTAAAACAACAATGTATTGTTGACTCTCATGGTTCTGAAGATTTACTAAACCTGGCTGGTTGGTTCTCATGCAATGGCAGTCAGCAGTTGAGTCATCTGGAGGCTTGTCTGGGCTGGGCTTCCAAGACAGCTTCTTCACCCTCTATTTTATTGCCTCCATGCTCCTCCACATGGTGTCTTTCTCCAGAAGAGTAGTCTAGATGTACTGTATGGTGACTTAATGCTCTAAGAAAAGGAAGAAACAGGAAGCAGAAACTACCAATAATCTTAGAACCTTAGCCCAGAAATGGCCCAGGTCTCTTATGCCATATTCTGATAGCGAAAGGCAAGTACAGACCAGCCAAGATTCAAGAAGGAGGAGGGGTAGTTTCCACCTCTCCATAGGGGAATGGCATGTATGTGCACAAAGGGAAGGGATTAATGGTGAATGTCTTTGGAGACAAGCTACCACTGATGGATAAGATATATGAGTTTCATGTGCGTAGAAACACAAGATGTTTACTTGTGTTATTTTTTAGTTGGAAGTTCTTCAACCAAGTGCAAGATAGACATCATCTACCACATGCCTCAGGCTTCTGAGTTCCTACCAATTAAAACTATTCCCAAAAAAAGGGCAAATTTTTGTATCGGATTATGTTTTCCTCACGACTAAGATGATTTTGTCACCTTGGGCTTTTTTTTTTTAGCCAGCAAATTTTATCCTCCATGTGAGCCTGTCACTGTGTAACTCATTGCTCTGTCTCTAGAGTAAAAACCAAGAATTCTGATCATTCAAACCAAATGCCTGCTCTTGCTCCCATCTCCTGATACTGCCCTATTTCCTTCTATGTTTCCAGTAATTATAGATTCCAATGAGTTATTCAGGTAATTCTTCTAAAAAGAATAAGGTACATGCTTTAATAGCTCCTTGTACTTCTTCAGGGCACTTACCTTAGTTTGTAATTTAATATTTGTATGATTGTTGGATTACCCTCTATCTTCCTCACCAGAGCCTAAGCTCTATATAGTCAGATATTATTTATCTCCAGCACATAGGTCTGAGGCTTGCATATACTAGATGCTCAATAATATTCTTTGAATGAATGAATTGTTCCTTCTCTCCAGAAATATTTAATGATGAAATAAAAAAGTCAGCCCCATTAAAATGGAAAGCAATTTTAGGAATTTATTTTCACAAGCATGGTGTTTGATTTTTAAGTGTCGAACCTTAGAAAAATCATGATATCCGATTTTTAAAAAGCAAAATTATTTGATTCTGTGACTCAAGCAATACCAACTAAGTAGTTCTCTTTAAGAATTCCCTCCACAGCAGCAGACATGATCTCAGGCATGCCAGGCTCTACTGAAGGAGTATATCTAGCTTTCAATCTCCACTCACTATTTCAGACCTCCTTGCTCTGTTCCTGCATCTCAGATTCCTTCCTTGTTGCCTCATACCTGATTGCCCAAACCCTTCAGATGGATGTTGCAGTTGGAGTATACATTTGGCTTGAAATCTGCCTGAACTCTCTGCTCCCCTTGAATAACATCTTTCCAAAGCCTGTCCTGCCTCACCTCCACACCCACACAAAACTCTGGAATCTGCTACTAAATTCCAACACCCTGCTTCTCAGCATATTCAGACATAGCCTCATTTAGCTTTGGTGTTCCCCAAACTGGAAACACAAATGAGCAATTGGACTTCAGAGATCTTTTTATTTTTACTTTTTACTATGGAAATTTTTAACGTTAAAGAAAATATAGTGATAAACTTTAATAGGACCATCACCCAGTTTCAATTATTATTAGCTCATGACCAGTCTTATTTCTTCCACACCCTAATCCACTTCCCTGCTGCCCTAAATGATTTCGAAGCAAGCCTTAGCTAGATATCACAGTGCTTTATCCATAACTATTCTGGTATCTATCTTTAAAAGATAAGTACTTTTTAAAAACACAACTAAAAACATTACCACACCTGAAAATACTCTGGGTACTCTTTAAGTTTCAGCAACTGATAATTTTCAGTCCAAAAGATATTGAGGTGATAAAGCTCCATGAAGCTAGCTCTTTACGACTGCTGTCCTCCTACACATACCCCACATATGAACACACCTACACACTCTCTGAAGGATGGAAAGGCGCTTCTAATGAGATTTTTTGTTGTCCCATGCAAGACATGGTGCCGACAATCAGCTTTGCTGTTATCTATACTCTCAGACAAAGACTGCCAGAGACACCTGTAGTTGAACAAGTTGGGTTTTTCACAAACTGCAGTAAGGGAAAATACCTTGAAAACTCCATGAAAGTGTCATGGAGTATCTCAGAAAAGGGTTGTCAAAAACAACCCGGTATAGAATTTGGGGTTTGGTTGAGTAATTTTAGGGAGAGTCTAAGAAAACAGGGTTCTCTCCAGATTGGGTATTATCAGTAAGTGGAGGCAATCCTACTTTTGGGAATCTCGATAGGTCTTATCTGTGGGGAACACACAGCCTAGGGAGACATTAAAGCTGTCATTGGTAAAGAAGTCACTGTCACTCATTCAGCAAGAGAAGAAAATATCTGTTATTTTGTGTTGCACAGTGACCTTATTTTTGTCTCACTTTATCATGGCCTAAGAGTGACCTCGTTAGATATAGATATTCTGTGAGATTGTTTATATTCAAGAGGAAAATAACATGGCCTGGCTGTGTGTGTCAGACCAACTTGTAATAGCATTGAGGTCTAGGTGTGAATGTCAAGTCAGTCCTAAATGTCAGAGGGTACTCCTATCCTTTTTCATTGTTTTACCACTTTCCAGGGTGTGTGAGTTTACTGAATACTGCTACCTTCAGTCCTGGTTCCATACCACCTTCTCAACCTATTTTTCTGTTTGGATTATTTTTACCACTCATTATTTACAGTGTGTATGTTATGTTATATTATATTCAAGTGTTTATAAGCTTTTTAAAATCCTTTTCTAGAGAAGAAAAAAAATCATGTTTGAATGAAGAAAAACAAAGAGTATCTGAAAATGTAAGATATTCTTGCTACGTATTTATTATTGCCCACTCTATAATCAAATGCATTTTGAGTAGATATCTGGCAACATTTTACTTGTAGAGGGCAGTAAGCTGGACTGCTTTGCAATCTGTTCATTCAGTTAACAAGGAAAATTTCTCAAACTACTCTCCTCTGCTGGAACCCTCAGTAAGAAGCACATTATACTCAGTATAAACTATACCACAAAATATAACACACACACACACACACACACACACACACACACATACTCATACCTTACCAGATTAAAAATTTAACAAAACAATATTTATTCTTACTAATTGTGATGTACTCCAGTATTCTCTATTTCCTTCTATTTTTATTTCATTTTTAAAATTAAATACTGACCTTCTAAGTTGAGCTCATGACTCCCTACTGGATCTCAATCTGCATTTGAAAAAACTTACTGGGCACTAGGACATTACTTTTCACAAAACAAAATATTTGTGGATATTTCATTGAATTAATTTTGACGCTGCTGCTGTTTTTTAAAACCATGGTGGGTGTTTTGTAATAATCACCTAAAAATCTTTCTTGGCTAAATGATGGCAAATTATGTTGAATCATATAAAATACAACAAATTATTTGGAGAGAGAAATCTTAGCCTTGCCTCTTATTACTGGCTTGGCCATCACCAAGCAGAGATGACCTATGTTGGGCGTGTGTCTTCATTATGCACCAAGATTCTCATAACTGGATTTTAAACCAGATTCAGACTTTAATTATTAGCACAGAATAACTGAATTCCAATACTTGTCAAGAAGAATGACCTCTCTTCTCCCTTCCCAAAAGCTTAGCTGTCAGAAATGACTGTGAAAGGGACAGGGACAGTGGCTCACTCTTGTAATCCCAGCACTTTGGGAGGCGGAGGTGGGTGGATGGCTTGAGCCCAGGAGTTCAAGAGCAGCCTGGCCAACATGGAGAAACCTGATCTCTACCAAAAATACAAAAGTAAGCCGGGCGTGGTGGTGTGCACCTGTAATTCCAGGTACTCAGGAGGCTGAGACAGGAGAATCCCTTGAACCTGGGAGGTGGAGGCTCCGCTGAGCCAAGATCACGCCACTGCACTCCAGCCTGGGTGACAGAGGGAGACTTTGTCTCAAAAAAAAAAAAAAAAAAAAAAAAAGAAAGAAGGAAAAGAAAAAAGACATGACCGTGAAAGGATGATATTTGGAATGTATATTAAACCTAAGTCTTTCTTTGCTGACTCCCCATTTCTACCCTTATTACTGTCAACATTATTCTTTATGATCTAAATTTACCCTGACAGAGTAAATGATATTCTGAATGAAGTTTTTAAACTCACCATCAAAAGTAGACTTAAACTTGGTATTGAATATCAAGAGCAGAAGAGACCAAGAAGTTTATTTATCAATAACAGGTTAGAGATCAAAGAAGAACACAGTAGCAGGACCAAGTTGAATACTTCAGGATGGACAGCCTGGTGTGTGGGCAGGTGGGATTGTGGTAGGGTTGGTAATGTAAATTAACAAAGGAAGGGGGGTGTTGGTAATTGAGATTAATAAGGAAGGGGCATTATTACTCTGGAGGCTAGGGGAGCCATGCCAGGTGTATTAGTCCATTTTCACACTGCTATAAAGACATACCTGAGGCTGGGTAATTTTTAAAGGAAAGAAGTTTAATTGACTCACAGGTCCACATGACTGGGGAAGCCTCAGAAAACTTACAATCATGGTGGAAGGCAAAGGAGAAGCAAGTACCTTCTTCACAAGGCAGCAGGAAAGAGAGAAGAGAAAATGAAGGCGGAAGATCCCCTTATAAAACTGTCAGACCTTGTGAAAACTTGTTCACTGTCATGAGAATAACACGGGGGAAACTGCCCCCATGATCCAATCACTTCCCTTCCTCCACACATGGGGATTACAATTCGAGATGAGATTTGGATGGAGACACAAAGCCAAACCATATCACTGAGGAAACCTGACTAGACAGGACAACTCGTTGAGAGTGGAGTAGCATCAGGGTACTGCCCATCCCTGCTAGGGTGAGCACGGTGACAGACTGTGGACCCAATACCCTGGATTGCCCATTGCCAAATCACCTGAGGAGAGCAATTCAATTTTAACTAATCATTTTTGCAAGCTTAGTTGTTCTAGCTGCTGAAAAAAAAAGCACGAGTCTCTTTAAAAGGAATAAAATTCTGACACATGCTATAACATGGATAAACCTTGAAACATTATGATAAGTGAAATAAATCCATTACAAAAGGACAAATATTGTATGCTTCTATTTACATGAGGTACCTAGAATAGTCAAATTCACAGACAGAGAAAGTAAAATAGTGGTTACTAGGGACTGGGAGGAGGCTAGAATGGGGAGCTGGTGTTTAATGGGTATAGAATTTCAGCTTGGAAAGATTAAAAAGTTTTAGAGATGAGTACTGATGATAGTTGCACAAGGATGCCACTTAATGCCACTGAATTGTATACTTTAAAATGATTATAATGGTAAATTTTATGTAATATATATATTGCTACAATTTTTTAAAAGAGTGTGGGTCCAGGCTGGGTGCGGTGGCTCACGCCTGTAATCCCAGCAGTTTGGGAGTCCGAGGCGAGTGGATTACCTGAGGTCAGGAGTTTGAGACCAGCCTGGCCAACATGGGGAAACCCCATTTCTACTAAAAGTATAAAAATTGACATATGATATGATATGATATGATATGATATGACATATCATATCATAATTTGTAAATTAAATACAAAGTAGGAGGTAATAAGTGCCAGAAAAAAGAAAAATATATGCTGTTTGAGTTTAGAATCAAGAACCTGAAGTGTGTGTGTGTGTGTGTGTACAAAGGGAGAATTAATTTGAGAAAGTTCCAAGTAATTATATTTTAAATATATATACTGAACACTTACATTATATATAAAGCACATATCTATTGTGCATTTTGTACTTTTTGCTTACAAAATTATATTATGACCTAAATAAATGAAATAGTCTTCTCTTTGTCTGCATTCTTATTGAGATCCAAGTCAACATAGTTGCTTAAAGACAGTTCTCAAACTTTTGATGACAGTAAAATTATGACATATGAGTCAGGAAAGATTAAGGAATACAGTATAAAGTGACCCTGTGCAACACTGGCGTGGATGTGGGAAGGGCTGGAGTTCAAGACCCACATTTGCGTAGCCTTGGGCACTATCTCACCAGGCCCCCATTATCTTATCTACAATATAACTAGTTTGGGCTAGATAACTTTCTAGCTCTGTCAGTCTCTGATTCTAGGGAGTAAAATAGTCTTAGCTGTGTTATGAATCCATCTATCTCCTTCACCGTAGCAATCACCAGCTTCCTTGGCCAATTGTTGCTGTGTCTCCGCACCCACCCACACTAGTGTCGCAAATCCCCAGACATATCATTTCATCTGCTTTTCCTTACCAGAAGAAATGAAGAAAGAAAAAGTGTTTTAACTTGGTGCACCACAATGTCACATTTGCTCCTCTATAGAAATGTGAGGAGAAAGAGTTTTCGTTTAATGGTGTAATTGCAAATGGACAACAGTTTTAGAAAACAGGAGTAATTTTAAGAGGCATGATAACCAGCTTCATAGTAAAGAAACAGTAAAAAGTAAAAACATGATTTTTCTCAGAGTATTCTTCACATTTAAAAATAGTTCTCTGCGGCCTTTTGGCAGCTCAAAGTGAAGAAATTCTTATGAATGAGCTGGGGAATCAAAGAGAGAATGTGTGAGCCACAGGCAGAAAGCAAGTTCCATTCTAGCAGCAGTTGGCCACAATCTGCTTTTCTGCTTGGGCCTCAGCTTTTGGACAGCTGTGTGCCTGAGACTGCAAGGTCATTTCTGGCCTTGCCAATGTTGCTTTCAGCTCTTGAGCTTTGGGCTGATTTGTTACACAACAATCACTAACCAACACAGAAGAAAATGCAAAATCTCCAATCCTGATATTAGACAATATTCTGTCAACAAAATGACCACTTATTATTAATAATAATGTAATAATTAAATCCCCTATATGTATTTCTTCAGGTCACTTTTACCTGAGTGGGTGGTGAAGAAGGAGGCTGAGTGAGCAGGAGACTTGGCCATATATGGTTAGAGCTGGTAGTTGGGGTTACGTGGCTGCCAAGCTTTCTGCTATGGACATTCTGTTTTTCCCTGCATGGCAGCAGCTAGAGTCCTAGCCCAGAAGTCAGAGGATGTTTACTCTAATTCTGTCTCTGCCACTTGCTGGTTGTGTGAACTTTGGCTACTCTCTAGACCTCTCTGGCCTCAGTTTCCTCATTCATAAAAAATACTGGCTATAATAATCCCTACCTGGCTGGCCTGCCCACTTCATTGGCGGGATCGAGTAAGATGATGATAGGAACACACAGTGAATACTGAAAGATAGTCATACACATACACACTCATGAGATGACGTGAGGATGTGATGTAGGATCTCAACTGAATACACTATAGTTTTGCCTGGACTATTCAAAATATCTGATAATATTTTCTGTTAAAAAAAAGTCAGTGTTTAGTATATGATGCCAAATCCTGGACTTCATTTTACAAAATAAATAAAGTTTTGTGTATGATAGTATATGTAATCAATGCTATAAACGGATTAATAATTGGCTAACCCTGGATAACCAATTACTCTGCTTCATAGGTGAAGTGACTGAGACTCTGAGAGATTAAGTAACTTCTCAAGGGCAACAGTTACTAAGCAGTAGAGCCAGAACTTATACCCAGGGACCCTTTCCATTATATCCCAGCAAGGTTTCTCAAAAAGATTGAAGGCAAGTTGGCCTCAAAGGCACACTTACATCACTGACTCTGAGAAGGTAGCTTTATGTGGGATGACGCCCAGGCATCTTCACAAGAACAAAGCAGGAAGCAAATCCCTTCAGCCAGGGAGTTTTGGAGATCTTTTTGTTTCTCTTCTTTGCCTGCACTAAAGAGCTGGTGAATAAACCATGGGGTTGGCAGGCAGTACTTGAAGGCACCATTGACTTCACAGTGAATGAATACTAGAGGTATCTTGGGTCTGGGCAGAGGGAGACCCCACGGATGGTGGTGGATGAGATTGTACTGATTTGGGGCCTCCCAGCCAGCACATGCACATAGCAGAGGAACATGGCTGAAGCTTCTTGTGTGTCACATCCCTGTCTGAAACATAACTGTCCAGACTGTAAGAAAGTGTTCTGTATGATGGTATTTTTCAGGTGTTTATGTTTTTGTGGTGGTGGTGGAGAGAAATATTATGCTTGAACCAAATAGAATCACGTCTCTCCTTCTTAGTCCTCTCTTCAAGCCCTTCCTCCCCCAACTCACCCCACCTTGCCAGTTGCATTTGTGAACTTGAGTAGCTCTCAATTCAATTATCAACAAGTGATAATACTTTAAGTGTTAAGTTGAATTTTAAAATGCATTCAAAATTATTAATACATAAGAATCACAAGAGCATATACATTTTAGCCTCAGCAGCTTAGGTAATTAGATAGATGGTTAATCCAAAAGGGACCAAAACTAAAGGTACAAGAAGTAGATAAATGATCCTGTCTTGTATTTTTTCTTTTTTTTCATAAAAATGAATTTTTAATTTCATGAGTATTAAAAAGAAAACCCAAACCTGTCACATTTCCCTCCTACTCATACAAACAGTTTTCAAAAGAGATTCTTCAAATTTTACATTTTTTCCATTCTGGCTCATTCTTTGCTTCCTCATCATCAGATTCAACTTGGCCAAACATGATTCTGGGCTGAGTCTTGGAATGTGTTGGAGAAACCCAATATGGGTTGTCTTCTGCGCTTTGGCATGATGCAAAATGGCTTCCCAAGGATTACGGTCGTCAGTCTTGTCCAAAGCAATGTTCTTCACAATATAGAAAGAAAGAGTGCCCTTGTGGGTCCCACCACAACCTGGGTCTGCTACAGGAGGTTCAGGTTTATGCAACTTCAGGGGATCCAGTCTGTCCTTCTCTAGCTGTTTCCTTGTACTCCGTTCGTGGGGCTCACAGAACATAGGCAAGACATGAGGGGCGATGATGTAGTCCTGGGTTAGTGTCTCAGCTTGTTTTGCCTCCCACTGGTTATTTGTTTGTTAGAAAAGCCAGCATAAAGCACTTTTATTGCAATAACAAAACTTGAAACCCATATATGGTGCCGGGGTGGGTGAGGCAGCAATGATTTCTCTCACCCAACCACTACACAGGACAGCAAAGGGGGTGAGAAGGGCCTGAGGGAGGAAAAGCTAGGAAACTGAAATCAGCAGTGAGAGCCAAGCATGAAAAAACAGGAGATGCTGAAGCTGCGATGACCAGCATTATTTTCTTAAGAGAACATTCAAGGATTTGTCATGATGCCTGGGCTTTCATTGGGTGTTAAGTCACAAACAGCACCTACAATTTAAACTGTCAATTAAAGTTTTTAAAATTTAGGAAGTGGTGGAGCTTGGAAAGTTATGAGATTACAAAATTCCTGAAAGTCCACTAGAAAAACCACAGGATGGAAAAATAAATAAATACATAAGCCAGGCCACAAAGAAGACTTCAGAGGTCCCCACTGGCCTAGGGACAGACCTGTAGTGTCCAGCATGGCAGTGAACATGATCTGCTTTCAAAGGCATAGGGTTTAAGGGGACGGTGGGGTGAGACCAGTGGAAGCAAAGGCTCTCCCCATCCCCACCTCAGTTTGAGGTAGGGCTTTTAATTTAACCTAAGGACATCTCTCAACGTGGAGAATAATTGAGCCCTCAACAGTGCCTCAAATCTGCTATGGCTTTGCAGCGCAGCAGAAAGAATGTTTAATATATAATAGATTAAAATTTCATCCAAAAAAATTAAAATAAAATATTCTTGCAACCCCCACCCCCGCCCCACACCAATTCCTATTCTAAAGTTAACCTATCACTTGTGCTGTTAATACTTGACCATATACTTATTGGAAACCTAGATCCAAAAGACTGAAACTGAATCTTCACCCCAAAATGAAAACAAAATAAAATGAATAACTTGAGGTTTATGGCGTACAGTTTAGGTAAACACACGTACGAGGAGAAAGGGGAAGAGGAGATGGAGGTGTTGGAAGCAAAGCTGAGTGACAGAACACATTCAGTCAGGGTTGATGTCTATACAGAGTGGAGTGGAACATCAGGAAAAGCTCCATATGGATTCATGTGCACGCGTCTGGAGGCACCAGATCCCTCCTTGGCAGATCCAAGAACAGGGATCTGGATCTTGGATCATTCTAAAACTGGAATGACAGGAGGAGGCCATTCCTGTCATTCTAGTTTTAGAAGCTCCACATCGAAGACGAGAGTGGCGTGTGGTGGGATGATGCCTGGGTGCCCAGTGGCACCGTAGGCATAATCTGGAGATACAGTCAGTTTGGCTGTCACTAAATTGGCGGGTCACCGCACTCATCTGGACAACCCTTTCTTCCCAGGCTGGGATCACCTCCTGCTTGCCAAGCATAAGCTTAAAGGGCTTTTTCTGTCCCAGGAGGAATCAAATTTCTTTCCATCTTCAAGCATCCCGGTGTAGTGCATCACGCAGGTCTGGCCGCGCTTCAGGAGGGTGTGCGCGTCTCCTGGGGCGATGGTTTCCACCTGCACTCCCATGGCGGCTGCGGACGCTGGGTGGGCAGGCAGCGCGAGGGGCGGCGTGGACTCACAGCGACCTGGCAGCGGTTCCATGGCTCTGCCTAGTCCCCTTTCGCCGGGTTTTAACCACATATAATTTTGCTCCTCTCTGACTCTTGTTGGGGTTGTAATAGACTTTAGACAATCATTTCCAGTTCCAACCATGATCTGGTTCAGCCTTGGATGCCGCAGGCAGCGTCTGTGATGTCTGTTTCATACACCCTTTGGAAAGTCCTACGCTCAAGGCAAACAAGTTTGCCGCTGCCACATCCCCTTTGAACAGACGTACCAGTGACTATGAGCTTATCATCTGGACTGAAACAGCAGTCAATCATTGGGAACATGGTGGGAAGACCCGAGGCTGAAAAAAGTGCTTATTAAATTGTCGGATGTCCCATAATTTTAACGAATCATCACCTCCACGAGAGGCAAGGACATTACCATCATAGGAAAAAGTCACGCCAAGAAGTGTCTGTGCCCAAGTAATGAGGCTGTTTATAGTTGAACTTAGGATGAACCGTCAGATATCGGTCCCAGATCTGCATGCTTCCATTCTGGCAGGCGGCTGCTATGAGATTTCCATCTCTACTATATGTGCACGTTGTGGGAATGACATTTTTTTGTTCTGCATCGTCCGTGGTTTAAACACACTTTTTTTGTTTCTTTGGGTTTTCAATTTCCCACGTCCTCACAGTCCTGTAATCCAGGACAGTATAAACATTCTTGCCCCTGCTGGTTCCACAGTACTCCTCTCCTGGGTACACTTCCGTATTTCTTGCTGAACTTAAAATGCCAATAGAAGCTATTTCTTCACCTCCGTCAGGGTTACACTTCAGGAAAAGGAAGCAGGGGTTTTCATGTTGGTTGTCCGGGCCTCTCTTCAAACTCACCAGATCCTGGCCTGCAGCACGCGGCGCCAGCAGCTCCTCACTTTCGAAGTCGCGGGCTCTGAGACTGCCCGAGTGAGAAGGAGGCTGTGGGTCAGGGCCCCGCCCTGCGGCATCCCAGGAAGAGGACAGCGTGGGGCCGGAGTCAGGCCCGGTCCTGGGTCCGTGTCTCCATTCCGCCGCCTACTGCCAGGCCAGCCCAGCCCCGGAACTTCTCTTCCAGTGCTTGAGGGTCCGCCCGTGCAGTGTGGAAGTGGGCAGGCAGGGTGACTTCCAGCTCACTCCCCTGTCTTGTATTTTCCATAGTCTGGTTTAACAGTTGTATGTCGGTGGCAGTCATTATCGTCATCATCACTATTATCAGCGCGTATTTTATGGTGCCTTGATTAAGTGGAGGCACCGTGCTAGGTACAGTTAAGGACTTTACCTTTCTATAAGATACTGTCACCGTTTTTAAGGAGTGTCCCATCTCCATTTCTGGCCCAGAGGTAAGATTAGAGGTTCTGACATGGTGATAAGTTTGAAAAACAGATACAGCCCTGAAAGTCCCGGGAAGAAGGGAGGAGGAGAGGGAACAAGCTTCAGAGTGCTGGCTTCCAAAGTCCTTCCGCAGATAGCCAGTGTGCTTCCAGCTGCTCAGTGGGAAGAGACTCAGAAATAGTGGAACGCTGCAAGGAGGTCAAAGGAGAATGAAGCCTGAGACATGGCCACGGGGTTCAGTAACGGGTAATGGCACTGATGAACTTGCCATAGTGAGACTGGGACAGGAACCAGATGGCAAGAGGTTAACAAATCAGAGGGGGCTGGGAACTGGAGAGACAGGCTTGGTCAAGAGGAGAAAGGAGCAGGGTCAAGGGAAGATGTTTCCAAGACAGAATTCAAAAATGGAAAAATTTGATTATTTCTGGTTGTTTGATGGGTAAATGGGAGTTCATTATACAATTCTCTATACCTAGTGGGTATTTTTTAACTTCTTTAATAAAAATTTAGGAAAGGCAAAGTGAGAACTGAGACTGTGTGAAGAGAATGAAGAGATAGGTAAGAGAGGATACTAAATCTTTAAGACAGAATAATGATAATTGGTGGTACAGTCTCAGGGAAGGTTTAGAGATGGGAACAAAAGCACCAGTGAGGGAATTAATCTGCTGACAGGGGAAAGATAATAAAAATGGATGAAGATAAGAATAAAATGTGGATGAAAGAGGAAAGTGTTCATATAAAAATATTATAAGGCTGAAAGGAAGATGGATGAAGGAACTTGGGCCTTCATTTCTGCAAGTGGGAGGAGAGGTTATAACTCTCAAAGGAGTTGGGGCGAGGGAGGAGGGAGGGTTTGAGGAATGTGGAAAAGGGTTGGAATAACAGTTGCGGAATGCAGTAGGGAGTGAGTAAGAGGGGAAGATGACTGTTGAGAAGCAGGCCCATCTAAAGAAAGGCAGCCCAAGCTTTTAACCGATTCATACTTTGACAACCACCACCATAAAGCATGCAGAAAACAGCAAGCTAGAGTGATGTGGGGTCTCTTCCGACCCTAGAGCCTTCTGAAATCCCTAAGCTGGCAAGTGACTGTCCCAAGAACAAAAGTTTGTTAGAGCAAGTAGCAACTACTTGAAACACCCCACAATGAGCTGCTCCAGTGGGAAGTCTAAGGAAGGGCATCCATTTGCCCCAAAGTAAGCAGAGTAATAAATGTGTCCAGCCTCAATGTATGGCCCTCCGACTGCCAGAATCACCTGAAGCTTGTTAGAAATTCAAAATCTAAGGCCCTGTCCCAGACTTTCTAAATCAGAATCTGTATTTTAACAAGATTGCAGATGATTTACATGCACATTAAAATTTGAGAAGCCTTGGTCTGTAACTTTGCTAGAAGCTTTGATATACATATGGGTAATCACAGAAAAGCTAATGTCAATTTAAAAATAAATTGGGCCTCTACATTGTGCCTCACACTGTGAAGACCACCAAAGACCTGGATGCATTTCTCTACCCTTTAGGTTTAATCACAGTAGTTATTGCAAGTAGGAATTATTTTTGCAATTGCAGTTCAGTCTTGAAAACCTATAAAAGGGAAAAGGTTTATCTAACTTTGACATTCTGTGAATTGGAACTGATTATTCAATTTTAAGCAAGGGAGTTTATCATTTGACCTTGCTTCTGGACTCTCCACCACTGTCAGTGGCAGGGTAGCTCAGGTGCACTTAGAGCAGTCACACATCCTACCAATTACTACACTGAGTTACTTCCTTTTAAAACTTAGTTTTAATGTTTTTACCGCCTTAGAATTTGGTCTTATCCATAATTTTTGCTCTCTTTGCTCAGTCCTTTGGCAACTAGAAATCCATAGTTAGAGTCAGTGAGAGCATCTTTGAGCAGTGGGACAACATGTCCCTTCCAACTCGTTGGCATTGCTCTTTTCTTTCATAAGACACGCACTCAGTCTAAAGAGTGTGGGCTTGGGTTCAAGTGCTGACTTGCTTTCTAGCTGTGTGGTTTTGAGCAAACTCTTTACCCCCTGAGCCTCAACTTCCTTCCATATAGCAAAGAGGGAGGTTACTGGGTTACTATCACCCATCTCAGAGGGACATTGTGAGTTAATATTGAAAAGCATTAAAGTTATACCTAGCATGTAACAAGCTTACAGTAAATATTACTACATAATGTAATTTTATCAAAATTCTATTCTTGGCAATGAATAGTTTCAAAGGAGCCTATTCAGGGGAGCCTTCCCTATCCTGACTGGAATCCCCCTGTTACCCTATATGCTTTCATAGCTCTCTCTAGTCCATGGAACAAATTATAGTTTGTTATTATATGTTTTTGAGACGGTTTGATTAATGAAAGGCAACATGCGTAGAGGTTAAGAGCACAGACTTTTTTTTTTTAAACTAGATTGCTTGAGATCAAATCCTGTCTCCTGCTACTAGTGATGAGATCTTGGGAAAGTTACTTAATCTCTCTGGGATACAGTTTCCTTATGAGTAAAATTCAGATTAAAATAGAACCAACTTCATACAATTGCTCTGTTTTCTGTTATTAGCATTATTAATATCTATCTTCCTTTTCTTATAAGCTCTGTCCATTTAACACGTCTCCAGTACCTGACACATCAGTGCTCAAAAAATGTGCTAAAAGAATAAATATACAAAAGCTAAAATTGACCCCCATGAAAGTTCACTGACATGAAATTTTAAGACAGTTGTTTTTGATGTTTTTTTTTTTTTCCAAATTGTGCTTGCTGTCTTGGTGTTGTTATCATTTCCCAATATGTTTGTAAATTTTTATAAGCAAAAATTATTTGGAAAAATAATTTTTAAAAACTAATGGGGAAACACTTGTACAAAGGCACAGACAAAAAGAATAATACATAATTATATAAAGTCAGATTTATAGAAATTAAAAACACATGCAGTGTTAAAATTTCTCTGCATTTTAAAGCCATAACATGAATTTTTAAACTTGGTTTCTTTTTGAACCCATGTTTAATTTTAAAAAGAAGATGAGGAACCGCAGTTAGTGATGTTTTACCTTACGGAGAGTGGGTGAGGGGTGAGTTCCTGTTGAAAGTTAACTTCTCACCTATAACCATGATGATATCAAAGAATGCTAAAACAAATCAATATTTGGGCAGGTCATCTGGGACAGATTTACCAGCCAGAGCTCATGCCTCTCTGAGAGGTCACAGCTGTGCCCTTTTGTACTGAGACCTGCATTAGAGAGGACTATATAGCACCCCTTTGAGTCATGAGGCAGGAAGAGATTTGCATTTCTCATTCTAATTTTGAAAACAACTGGAGATACTTTTAAGGTGTAGATGGTGCCTGCTAGCTCCTCAAGTGCAAATCCTAACTCAGGCTGTGTCTACCCATACACAATTGTGGGAATTATCCAGATAATTTACCCTGTAGCAGAGAAAGGCCCTTGATTTAAACCTAAATGCATGCAGGCTGTCCTCTCTGTGTTGAGCAAACAATAGGTACCAGTCTTTGGTTTCTGAAGCAGGATATTGTGGTGATTAAGAGGATGGTCTCTATAATCAGACTCCTTTGGTTTAAATCTACCTTTATCTCTGTGGTGAATTAAAGCTGGCCAGAAATTCTCTGACATTTCTTTCATAAAGAGGTGAGGTCTATGTTCCCTCCCCTTGAATTTGAGATCATTCTGACTACACTGACCAATAAAATTGGCCAAAGTGACCCTGTCCCATTTTCTGGCCCAGGCCTTAAGACAATGGCAGCTTCTACTTATATCTCAGAGCCTTATGTTACCATGTAAAAGTCTAACTACAGTGTTGCAGAAACCACATGGAGAGCCCTGAGACTAAAGGAAGAAAAAGAGGGGCCCAGCTTTATATGAGCCCAGTGTTATAGCTGTTCCCATCAAGCCACCTTGATATATAAGTGAAACCACCTTGGATTCTGCACACCAATGTGGCCACAACTGAACAACAGCAAATAACCGCAATCAATACTACTTGGAGCAGAATAATCACCCAGTTTGTCTCAACCCATCTTCCTGACCCACAAAATCCTGAGATAAAGTAAAATGATTATTGTTTTAAATACACAGTTTTGAGTTGGTTTATTATACATCAAAAGATAACCAGTGGCCTGATGTGGTGGCTTACACCTGTATCCCAACAATTTGAGAGGCAGAGGCAGGAGGATTGCTTGAGCCCAGGAGTTTGAGACCAGCCTGGCCAAAATGGTGAAACCCCGTCTCTACTAGAAATACAAAAATTAGCTGGGCATGGTGGCACATGCCTGTGTTCTCAGCTACTCGGGAGGCTGAGGCAGAAGAATTGCTTGAACCTGGGAAGCAGAGGCTGCAGTGAGCTGAGATTGTGCCACTGCACTCCAGCCTGGGCAACAGAGTGAGACTCTGTCTCAAAAAAAAGAAAATTAGCCTGGTATGGTGGCATGTGCCTGTGGTCCCTCAGGAGGATAAGGCAGGAGGATCGCTTGAGCTCAGGCAGTGAAGGCTTTGGTGAGCTGAGATTGTGCCACTGCACTCCAGTCTGGGTGACAGAGTGATACCCGGTTCCAAAAAAAAAAAAAGATAACCAGAACAGTGTTTACCACTTGTTTTTGTTTCCTCATCTCTAAAATAGGGACAATAATGTCATGTAATTGCTTGCTTCTATAGAGCTCGATGACAACTCTAGATAGTGAGATAGAGACATCTGAGAGGGAGGTCTGTTTCTTCTAGTTCTCCAGACCATGTGGCCCTTTAGTAGTTCAGCCTCTCCCAGGACCCCGGTGCTTTAGGGAACACTCATGTTGAAGTGGCCCAGGCATGGAGGAGTCAGTCATGAAGCGTCAGAGCTCTTAGAGAATAGTGACTGTCTTCCCTTAGACAAAATATTTCACATTTCTTTGTTCGTGGAGGCCAAGTTGGCTCTCAACCCTGCTCCCAGCTCACCAACTTGGCACCTCACAATCTCCCCAAATCGTGCTTCATCCCATCTTCCATCTTTGCTCTTGTTATACTTCCTTGTCTCAAATCACCCCTCACTTTCTCTCTGCCAACACAGATTCCATCACAAGCACTTGGGAAATGAGTAAGCTCCAAGTTTTCCAAAGGATGTTCTGGAAAATCCTGGTCCTGCCAGCTACAGGATACAAAAGATGGGTTCTGCAGGCATTGAAGCTTGGAAAACGCTGGGTACTATATTTCTCAGCTCTCCAATAATTACACATGCACTTGCAAATTAAAGGCCCTAAAAAGTTCTCATTCAGAGCCCTATTTTGCTCTGTGTTATTCAGATTTCCCAAACATATCTTGACAGTAAAACAGTTTTCTTATAAAACAAGACTTCTTAGAAAAAGTGACCACTGAGCTGAGTCCTGGAGGGGTGTAGCAGGAAAGCAGGAGAAGCGGGCAGAGCAGGAAGCAGGAAGACAGGAGGGCTGATCTGGCTGGAAGACAAATCAGGGAGGACTAAGTTTAAGATCTGAGGGCCATGGAAGCCTCCTGAAGGCTTTCAGCAAAAATGTAATATCAGTTTAGCATTTATAGAGATCACTAGTTCTCACTTTATAAAGATCACTAACTTTCACTACCTGATTTGATCTTTATTTTTTGATTGAAGACCTATAGTAAGCAAAACATGTTGCATTATTACCTAACATCTATGCACACATAACAAAAATTTCATAAAATGGCTCTTATTACATGCAATGCCCACTAATATTTTCTATTATTTTTTTCCTCCTTTGGAAAATCACTTTTAACAATCTATTTTCATCATCCAGGTAAGCAAAGATGAAGACCTGAATTTTATTTGAATGCAAATGTGTGGAGACCCCTGTCTTCTTCCTGATATTCTGTGTGAATAGATGAGAATGCTCTGCTTTAAGACAAGCAGAAGAAGCCATGTCTTGTTCTTCTGCTAAGGGGCAGTTACTCATTTAACCTCTGTGTATGGCTTCTCTTGTCTCTTGTCACAAGTAGAAGGTTGTAACATCATTGAGGGCAGAAAGCAAGTCTTAGATTTATTTTATTCACAAGGACAGTATTTGGCACATTGGTGGACATACCATGCATGTAACAATACACTTATCGATTGCACTGAATTGACAGCTCTTCACCCATTTCAGGGTGAATGTCTTCTGCTCCTGTGCTTGTTAGCTGAGGAATTGACTTCCTGCATCACTGGAAGGAACCCCTAGACTTCCTGCTGCTTAGTCCCGTATGGTCAAACCTCACATCCGGTGAGGTCCATGGAGATAGTGCCCATATTCACATTCTTCTCCTTTTCTTCCCCCAAGGATCCCTCCTGTCTTTCTATCCCTTCCAGGGCTACTATTTGCTCTCACTTCTGAAGTCTCCATAGAAGGCTAGTGACAGAATGGGGCTTAGTGTCCTCAGCCACTTCCTTCTTGCTGTTTCTGAAAACAAGGGAGTTAGCCTTTTTGGTTTAAAGCCTTCACTGCTAAACACCCAGAGGAACAGAATAAGCAATAAACTATCAAGTAGGAGTATCACAAAAATGATTCCCAGAATCTCACACAATTTTCCCTTGCCCCCAAAGCAGTCTGTTGGTGACCTCCCTGCTACACTTCCAGAGAGTGAATTTCACCAAGGTTCCCATCCCCCCCACGATTCCCTCTCTCCAGATTAGATATTCTACTTCTTGCCTGGAGGTCTGAAGGCACAATTAATAATTGAACAATTAATGAGTTAGTCACTATCCAAGTGTTTGAAGTCTGAAGTGGTCAGGGCATTCCAGGAAAGTGACTGTTTTTCAGTGTTTCTCTTCCTCTACCCAGGAAATAAGTTACCTCAGGCTTGAAAGAAAACTGAAGTGTGGTCCACAATATTTCTTACTTTCATCTAGTCACTCAGACAGTATACATGGGTAACTCCAGTTGTGCATCTGAAAAATCTAGGACAACAGGGCTAGTGTTGGTCAAATGCCATGATGGTAACTTCTAGAAGCAAACGGTGTAGTCCAGGGAGAAAGGAGAAAGCTGCCCAGTCCCCAGAGAGAAGCTGCCTAGCTCTAAGTAGCATATGCATTTGATTAACCCAATCCACTCACCCCCAGGACTGTTGCCTTTAGAGTTCATATGCTCAAGACTCCCTGTCAGAAGCCAGTGGGTTATAAATAAAGTTCATTTGCACCTGCCTGGAGTGTTGGAAAACAGCTGTCAGCACAGTGATGACAGCCCTTGTTTGCTTCTGGTGGAAACACAGCTGGTTTTCTTTTTCTTCCTTTTGCTTGTCTGTATATCCAATTTTTCTACCAAAAAAAGTCACATTATTTTGTAATAAGGAATAAAATCACAGTTTGTTGTTGTGTTCAGAAGGGTCTCCTACTGTGTGCATATACCTCACACACAGTGTCATTCTATTGTTTATATTTAAAAGATGATGTTTTGTTGTTTGTTTGTTTTCAAAAAGGAAAATCTATGAGAGAGAACATAGCCTGGGTTTTGGCAACACAGAGCTGGAGAGGAGGTAGGCTAATGGGTATGAACATACAGTTAGCCAAAGGGATAACCTCTGTTGTTTGACATTACAGTAAAGTGACCATGGTTAGTGATAATGTATTATAGATTGCAAAGTAGCTAGAAGAGAGGACTTAAATTGTTCCCAGCACATAGAAATGATCAATATTCAGTGATGGATACCCCCAAATACCCTGGCTTAATCACTACATATTCTACACATGTAAAATATCACACGTACCCCATAAATGTGTAAAATAGTATGTATAAATAAAAAATAAAATCTTAGCTCTTCTTCTTATGCTGAGATGAGCTTGCAAAAATCACTTTGAGCAGAAGCATCCCCACTTGTGAAGGGGGCATGACACCTTCTTCACAGAAGGGTGAAGAACATTTAAGGTGCTCATTCGTGCTTGGAGTATTATGCATGGCTCAATAAACATTTGCTGTTTTTCTGCTTTCTTTCTCATCCTGACCCTGAGATTTCTAAGTATCTTTATAAAGCAACCAGTACTCATTTCTTAGAAATTTTAGAAGGAGCCTCAACATTTTTCCAGTCTGACTTTTCTGGAATCCTTCCCACAGCTTCCCTTTCCAAGGGCCTCTGAGCCTTGGCAAAGCCCAGTCCATGGCTTCCTTGTGAGCAGGTGGCCTATTCCACGGTAGGACAGGTCTTACCATGGTAATAATGTCACTTGCTTTTTATTTAGCTAAAATTTGACTCCCTAAAATATTCGACCTATTTTAACCTCTAGATTCTCAATGAAGAACTAGTAAGACTTCCAGTTCCACCTCTTAATCCTTCAGCTGTTATGTAATACCAGTACCAGGCAGGGCCATCGCATAATGTAGAGCTTGGTCCAGGCGTGGCAGAGAACTTCTTAAGTGACACAAAGCAAATGAATGAATCATGCCCCTGGCAGTTGGCAAACTTTCTAATAGGGGTGTGTTTTACTGCCTCCTGCACTCTATAACTGCTCTTCCAACTGTGTCTTCTCCCCAGTCAACTCATCAGGACCTTTTCTCTCCCTCTCTACCAATGCTGACCTTCCTTTCCCCTTAGCCTTAGTGGATGATGGTTTCTTTATTCCTATATGGAAGACATAGCTGAGAAAGTTGATTAGGAAAACTGTTTTTGCTAATTCCATCACATCGTGTAGGGAAAAGATAGAACTTAATTACTTAATTGCGTAACAAGTAGAGAAACACAGCAATCAGACAATAAAATGAACAGTAGCTTTTTGCCTTAAACAATTCTTTTAAGTCTGAGCTCAATGATACACAACTAGACCATCAAATTATTTTGATATTGAGGAAAACAGAAGCTCTTTTGGATAACCCTGAATTCCAGGCTTTCAGTGGAAAAGACAAAGACACGCACTGTACACCATTAAGTACTTGGGAGACATGATTTTAACCAGGATGTAACTCAATTATATTAGTGATTTATAAAGAGTCTGGAGAAAATATTTCTTTATTTGGGCATGGGCACTGTCAGATTAAAGGTGCAGTGGTTCTAAATGCTGTTTGTTCCAGCCCTGTCTTCGATTGCAACAATGTGAGTGTCTTGTCTGTGCTGGTGGATTATTAACAGAGGTTATTGGTCTCCATGGCAAAACGATTGAATGATTGCTCTGAACGTAATCTCATTTATGGGGGTGCAAAAAACAAAGCACTTCAGGTCAGGGAGAATGTATAAATGTCCATTGCCATCGAGGTTCTGCTATTTTTGAGAAGCTGAAGCAACTCCAAGGACACAGTTCACAGAAATTTGGTTCTCAGCCCCAAAATACTGATTGAATTGGAGACAATTACAAGGACTCTCTGGCCAAAAACCCTTGAAGAGGCCCCGTGAAGGAGGCAGTGAGGAGCTTTTGATTGCTGACCTGTGTCGTACCACCCCAGAATGTGCACTGGGGGCTGTGCCAGATGCCTGGGGGGGACCCTCATTCCCCTTGCTTTTTTTGGCTTCCTGGCTAACATCCTGTTATTTTTTCCTGGAGGAAAAGTGATAGATGACAACGACCACCTTTCCCAAGAGATCTGGTTTTTCGGAGGAATATTAGGAAGCGGTGTCTTGGTGAGTAGGGAAGCTTAAAATCCCCCTAAGGGAGATTTTCCCTTCCCCACAATCCTTTTTAAATCAGGTACTTATTGAACAGGGAGATATTTAGTTGGTAATAGAAGCTCAAGCATTGCATGGTGAGAGGTCAATGCCTTAATTTTTTTCTCGTTTCTGTTAGGATCTGACAAGGACACGTCAGCTAAATTTACTAAGTAATTAATCTCTAAGCTTGGGCTGACAGTTCTCATGGGTCATTTGAGTCCCATGAACCGAAGTGAAGGTCGCATAGTTTCTTGATTCCAACAAGATAGTGCCCAAAACAATAACAACAACAAACCCACGATGCAAACCCACTAGAAAAGCAAATTGACTTAAAACCACCATGAGAAGCTGTTGTCAGTGTGGTCGTCTTCCACTTAGGACCTAATGATTTCTTTACCTCTGGTTTCCAATAGAATTGGGAACCTCCGTTTGAGAGAGTGAAAGGGAGAGAGACTCACTCTTCATGACAATTGAGGAAAAGTTTGTTATTCTTTTTTCTAACACACCATCTAAATGGAAACTCAGATTTTGAAATCTTGCCTCATTGAAGCTGGTTAGTCAGCCCAAATGGAATCTAAGTACTCCATAACACTCCATTACCCCTCCAGCCATGCTCTGTTACTTTGCCATTCCCTTTGGGCCTCCAAATCCCTCATTGTGGATGGGGCTCCTTATACAGTCAGGCAGGCTCGGGCCCTCCCTTCAACTCCTGGACTCTCTCTGAGGTGCCTCTTCTCCTGGTAGATGATCTTCCCTGCGCTGGTGTTCTTGGGCCTGAAGAACAATGACTGCTGTGGGTGCTGCGGCAACGAGGGCTGTGGGAAGCGATTTGCGGTGAGTTACCATGGGGGGCAGCTACTAGAATTACTCCAGGGTGCTCTGTGCTTTTGTGCTGGGCAGCATGGGGATGGAGACAAGTTATCAGCTCCAGCCAGGACTCTGGGAGCAGCTGGTGAAGGGATAAAACTGTGATTTTTCCTGCCAGTGTGAAATAATAATAATTTTCCAAAATACCATAGCCCTCATACTTATAGGGTATGAATATTGTATTAGATTTTACAAACCGACAGGGATGTCAGAACTGGAGATTCAGAGGGGTCCCATATACAGAATGCAAGCCTGGAAGGCAGAGATGAAGCTGCAGCATTCCTCTGCCACTGAGAGGCCATAAGAACTTGGACAAGTCATTTCCCTTTTCTGGCCCTGAATTGCCTCATCTGCAAAGGGGACTTGGGACAGGACAAAAGATGGTATCCTCCCCTCCCCAGTAGGCTTCTAGGTTCCTCACTCACACCACTTCCATGTTCTCTATTTCTGAGGCCCAGCGCCTCTGGCTTCCACCAGGCTCTGCTTCAGGACTTCTGTTTCCTCTCTTGTTTCATGCGGCCATCGATCTTGAACTAGAGACGTTAGGCATCAAAGTTCCAGAGTGCAGTGGAAAGAATGCTGGGACATGGGGACAGGACCCATTCTGCAATTGAGCAAGTCATTCTACTGCTCTGCCTCCCTTTGCTCATGTATAAAGCAGGAAGCTGGACTAGACCAGAATTTCTCAAGTATGGGACAAGCTCTGGTGCTACACAGATGTGCTATATCTTTCCACAACATAGAATGTCATTCCCATTCAATTCTCCTTCAATCCTTTTGAATCTATCAATCTATCAAGAAAAAGATCTTATTTTGGTAGACATAAGTCTTTCTTTTTTCTTTTCTGTTTTTTTTTGTTTTTGTTTTTGTTTTTTTTTTTTTTTTTGAGACAGGGTCTCACTCTGTTTGCCCAGGCTAGATCTTGGCTCACAGCAGGCTTGAACTTCTGGGCTCAAGTGATTCTCCCACCTCAGCCTTCCAAGTAGCTGGGAGTACAAGTGTGCCACCCCACGCAGCTGATTTTTTGTATTTTTAGTAGAGACAGAGTTTGGGCATGTTTCCTAGGCTGGTCTCAAACTCCCGGACTCAAGCAATCCGCCCACCTGAGCCTCCCAAAGTGCTGGGATTACAGGTGTGAGGCACTGTGCCCAGTCGTCTTTACTATTTTTTACCCTTTATAATCTCCCTTTCTAACAAAGAGAGGACAAGTCTTAGGCTCCAGGAATGAATGCAACGTTGTTTAACTAAAATGCAACTATATTGTGTTTCTATCTGCCAATGATTCTAATTTTTCATTCATATAGTGATATAAATGAACACAATGAGAGCTGACAAAAAATATTAAGAGTTAGATATATTGATGAGGCAGAAATGAAGCATAGTAGAACTGGAATTACTGGTCTGAAAAATGAGGAAGATCAGTTTCTCCTGTAATCTCCCATGGTTCACATGTCCACCTAAAAGATTCATGAACCACAATAATGAATTAACCACATTTACTTTAACTTCCTAAAGGGAAAGGTGCATCTATCCATTCTGAAACAGGATCCTTTTAACATTTCTTTCTTAGCATTATTTGTTCATTTATTCAATCAAAAAATATTGAGCACATGTGAAAGGCTGAGGCTGCTCCAATGTGCATACATTACAGTTTCCATGTGAGTTCAAAGGTCAAAGAAAATATAACATCATGAGTCCCAAAAAAGTATTGATGATTGTTATGTTAACATTTAAAATCATCATTTACAAAGAGTTCTTTTTAAAAAACCCACAATTTAATATAATCATGTAATATACGTTTTATATAACAAAGGATATTTTATGTAATTATAAAGGAAAAGAAGGTATTTATAACTTATTTTCCCCTTGAATTATAATCCCATTATATGTTGTGAACTTTTGGGGGATAGAAGTTGGAGATGAGGATTTTTTTTTTAATTAGCTATTAAGAAAATAGGATGAAAAGAAAGAAGAGTCATTTATTTTAGAAATCTAAAATTTCACACCTGGTGCTGAGTAAAAGGCTAAAGACTGGCTAATATAAAAATAAGGGATCTTTTGTTTGCTTGATTTTTGTTTTTAGGTTTACATATAACCACAGTGAGAAGTGAGATAGCATTCTAAGTATTACACAAAACTTGGTTTTTAAAATCAGATGTAAATGAAATCCAAGATGAAGGCAAAAAAAGTTTGTCTTTTTGTTGTTGTTGTTTGTTTGAGATGGAGTTTAGCTCTTGTTGCCCAGGCTGGAGCGCAATGGCGCGATCTCGGCTCACTGCAACCTCTGCCTCTTGGGTTCAAGCGATTCTCCTGCCTCAGCCTCCCAAGTAGCTGGGATTACAGCCATGTGCCACCATGCCCAGCTAATTTTGTATTTTTAGTAGAGATGCTGTTTCTCCATGTTAGCCAGGCTGGTCTGGAACTCCCAGCCTCAGGTGATCCACCCACCTCGTCATCCCAAAGTGCTGGCATTACAGTCATGAGCCACTACACCTGGCCGGAAAAAAAATGTTTTTATAAGCACATTTCATTAAAAAAAATTTTGAGTCAATAGGATCTGAAATATTTGGGCTTCCCAATATAGGTTGTCTGTGGGGGCTGTCTAAGCCTCCATGTGGAACCTGCCCTTGGCATGAATTGAGGATAACTCCTCCAAATGACCAACTGACCATCCAAATCATGAGGCAGTGTCCATCAAAGGACCAGCTGTGCCAGATTGTAAACCAAGGCACCTAGCACGGCTGCCCTGGGCCAGGGTCGACCACATGCTGGGTAGCCAGCAGAAGGATTTCTTGTCTTTGATTTTTTTGTTTTGTTCTATTTTGTTTTTTTGAGGCGAAGTCTCGCTCTTGTCCCCCAGCAGGCTGGAGTGAGATGATGCAATCTCAGCTCACTGCAACCTCCACCTCTTGGGTACAAGCAATTCTCCTGCCTTAGCCTCCCGAGTAGCTGGGATTACAAGTGCTTGCCACCATGCTCGGCTAATTTTTTTTGTATTTTTGTTAGAGACGGGGTTTCACCATGTTGGCCAGGCTGGTCTCGAACTCCTGACCTCAGGTGATCTGCCTGCCTTAACCTCCCAAAGTGCTGGGATTACAGGCGTGAGCCACTGCGCCTGGCCGATTGTTCTGTTTTTTAATCAGCTCCCAATTTTTAAAAATTCAGAGAGAGAACATTTTTTCCCCAAGAAATAAAAAATTAATCTGGCACCCCTAGCCTGCATTTTGGCACAACAGCACCCTTCACTGGGCCTGGCTGAGCTCCACAGGGCCCACCCTGGCTGCTCTACTCAGTTAGGGTCCCTTCCCTGCCCCTAAGACCATTGAGCTCATGCCCCCTGCTTCAGACTCTTGTTTGCTTAATGTTATGTTCTAAGGCTTTGGAGCATCAAACAATAATCATTTCTTTTTCTTTTCTTTTCTTTTTTTTTTTTTTGAGGTTATTGGGGGGTCTCACTATGTTGCCCAGGTTGGTCCCAAACTTCTGGAACTCCTGAACTCAAGCAATCCTCCCCACTCAGCCTCCTGAGTAGCTGGTGCTACAGGTGCTCACCACCTCACCTGGCTAATCATTTCTCCAAAATGAGGTATTTGCATTTTGTCAGACAAGAAGCAAAAACTGCAGACTAATTTGGGGAGAACTAAACTGCTGAAGTTCTGAATTATTTTCCAAAGGCTCACGCATTCCCCTCCAGGCCCCAGCTCCTTCGGGGACACGGGGCTTCTGTGGAGCACTGCAATAGGGAGCATTGCATAGGAAGCCCTGCAGGTGGAAAGGCCTGTGAGGCAGACACAGACTGGGCCACCAGCTGCTGGGCTGAATCCTCTGTCCTCTCTACAGTCTGCTTTCTGTCATTTATTTTCCCGGTTCCTCTCTCTCTTCTCTCATCTGCATTATATCTTTCTGGAACATTCCCCAGAGGCCAACTGCACCATTCTCTTCCCTTTCCTCGGGTAGCAAAACCAAGTAGGAGATAGGAGAAGCAGGATGTGGTGGCTGCAGAGATAAAGCAAGACAATAAGCTGGAAAGAATCTTGGATCACCTGATTCATAGTTTCTTGGTAAAGCCGAGAAAATGGCTCTCCTCTGAGGCAGAGCAAGACTGAAGCTGAGCTCCAAAGGCCTGCGCTCTTTCAAATAAATTAGGCTAAAGGAGAGCCGGGAAAAGTGAGCCCTGGAGCAAAAATAGTAAGAACCCCGGCCTGGGTTTGTTTTCAGGTCACAGCTTCTTCCTCCCAAACCCGAGATTCCCAGTGGCTTCTTGGCAGCATGTCGGTGGCTGGTCAGCATCTCTTGCCCTCTAATCCTTCTAAAAAATGGATCTCTTGGGGCGCAGTGGGGGAGCAAATTAATTTTGTCAACTCGTTTATGTTAAGTACGTATTTTATTAAGAGCCTTTTGTAAATCTTGGATTTGACTCAAAGGAGTGTCTTTAATAATGAGACCAAAGGTAGACTGATGAGGATATGTGTTGGGTAGGCATGTATTTCACCATCCTTAAAGCATATTAGATAGATCAAGGCCCGCCCCACCCACAGGCAGGGCCAGATGATCAACCTCCCTGTTTTGAAGAAAGGTCTTGGTCAGGTCCTAATGCGGTCTGTGTGTTGTGGTCAGCACTTCTTCCCGTGCCTGGCTCATCAGTGCCCCCTAGAGACACCTCCTGAGTGAGCGTTTCTGGGGACTCCCTCTTGCAGAGGTCCTGCAGGCCAAAAGCATCCCTAATCTACCTCCTCATTCCTTGGAATGACAGCCAACTTGAGGAATATTTTAGAAAGACATTTCCTTTAGAGAAATGGAATATATTGAAAGAAAAAAAAATAAAGTATGGAATTTTATTTCTTCTTTTTTCCAGATGTTTTCTCCCTAAGCTCCTATTTTTATTCTACTTCTACATATTTTATTTTATTTTTATTTATTTATATTTTGAGACAGAGTCTTGCACTGTTGCCCGGGCTGGTGTGCAAGAGGTTGGCGCGATCTCGGCTCGCTGCAACCTCCGCCTCCTGGATTCACGCGATTCTCCTGTCTCAGCCTCCCGGGTAGCTGGGATTACAGGCGCCGGCCACCACGCCCAGCTAATTTTTTGTATTTTTAGTAGAGACTGCATTTCACTATGTTGGCCAGGCTGGTCTCAAACTTCTGACCTCTTGATCTGCCTGCCTTAGCCTCCCAAAGTGCTGGGATTACAGTAGTGAGCCACCACGCCGGCATCTTCAGTAAATATTTTCTATGCTTCAAAATCCTCTGCTACAAAATGGATCCTGGCAGTTACTGTCTCTCATAAGGATGTTGTAAGTTCTAGGGGAAGATTTTGCAAGCATTTGGTGTAAGGGAAGTACCAACTAAGTGCCTAGGGTATGGAGGACACATAGATCCTCAATAAGTACTTGCTGGATGGATGAAGTAAGTGAACACCTAGGAGAGGAAACGGGCTTCCATATTTATCACACTCAATCCTCACAATAACCCTGTGAATTCAGCATTAAACTCCTCATTTTATAAATGAGGAAACTGGGGCTACTGCAAGTTAAGTTTCTGACTGCCACTTCCCCCACTCCCTTCCCAAGCCTAGCACAGGCAAAAAATAGAGGATATTAATTTTTAAGAAGAAAAAACACTTCAGGTAATCTCTATTCCTCCTTACTAAGGAGGAATGTCCATGCCCTAAGGACATGCTTTGGCCAACATAAGCACCTACATGACCCCAGGACACACCATGTGTGGAGACAGCTGGGATCTGATGGTACCTGTCTGTCTCCAGAGCCCAACAGAAAGGGAGATCTTCAAGCTGGCAATTGGTGAGTTAGAGGACATATGATCTCAGGCCTTCTTATCTACTCTTTCAAGGGAAACATTTGCAGTGTATGCTATATACATTTCTTTAACCATGTGAGCAGAATATGTGCACTGAGCAGCTGCGAGGGAATTAGCCCGTTGAATTTTTTCTCTCCAGAGTTATGCTCTCTGTATTTGTGGAAAGTAAGTGTGTGTGAGGATATGATAACAAAAATACTATAATATAATAATGACATTGATCAAGTGCTTGTTAATGTCATGGGAAATTATCCAAACCTTGGGAACAGGAAAAATAATTCTAGGTGTCCTATCAGTGAGGCACTGGGGATTACTAGCAGCCTATCCCACGTGGGGATGATCTGATTTTCGAGAGGTGTGTGCCTTTACTAATTAGGCTATCTTACATATTATCTGTAAGGCAGGTACTTATTAATGAGCCTTATTTTACAGAAGAAGAACTGGAATAAAAAAGATTAACTTCCCAAGATCATGAGGGAGGAACCAGAACTCAGATCCAGATCCATCTGCCTGTAATCCATACCTTTGACAACAACACAGTAGTGTCCTTCTTCACCATTTATTCACTTAGACCAGGTAGAGTATGCCCATAGCACAAAAACCGCAAAGGAAGACTCCCTTATCTGATTCCAAAGTCTGCCAACTTCCCTCCTCAGAGGTCCCCACTATTCTCAATTACTGTCTCCTTCCAGAGATATCCCAGGACTTTTGCCTATTTACTGTAAATAATACCAATTTTGAAGTGTCTACCCTCTAATGTACTCAACTTGGTCTCAAGAATCTTTCTTTTCTTTTTTTCTAGACAGGGTCTGGCTCTGTTGCCCAGGCTGAAGTGCAGTGGTGCAATCTCAGCTCACTGCAACCTCTGCCTCCTGGGCTCAAGCAATCCTCCCACCTCAGCCTCCTGAGTAGCTAGGACTACAAGCACACACCACCACCCCTCACTAATTTTTGTATTTCTTGTAGAGATGGAATTTCACCATTTTGGCCAGGCTGGTCTCGAACTCCTGGGCTCAAGCGGTCTGCCAGCTTTGGCCTCCCAAAGTGCTGGGATTACAGGCATGAGCCACCAAGCCCGGCCTTTCTTTCTTTTAACATTTTGTGTCATGAAACCCATGATAAATTGAAGTTATTCTATGCTGGCTTTTTGACTGATCATATCTCTAAGAATTTATTCTAGAGAATTTATCATTTTTAAGACTTCCCAATGTGAAATAACTTAAAGCAACATGACGCAGCATGTATCTTTCTTCCTGTGATTTATCCATAAAATGTGCCAAGACCCCCCTCCTTCATAGAATCTGTTTTTCTCTGTGACAACCTGGACTTTCATGAAGACAACTCAATCTGCCATATGTCAACAAATGTTTCCAGACCACTCAGAACCTATTTCTGAAAGGGTGGTAGGTAGCATTAGAAGAAACTGCCCTAAGTGTAAGATTTCTCTTGCTCTCGTCCTAGAGTTATACTAGCTGTATCTAACTGAACAGAAATTTGGTTGGAGCATGGAGGCGGCTAAGAAACAGAAAACCAGCCATATAAACTCTCAGTAAGAATTGTAGGCCAGGTATGATGGCTCAGTAATCCCAGTACTGTAATCCCAGTATTTTGGGAGGCCAAGGAAGGAGGATGGCTTGAGACCAGGAGTTCGAGACCAGCCTGGGCAACACAGTGAGACCCCATCTCTATTTAAAATCAACTATAACAAAAAAAAGAATTGTAGCAGTATTTTCCAAAGTGTTTTCTTACAAGGAGTCACAGGAAAAAAAAAAAAACCAAAAACTTATAGGATCCAATAAGAATGGAAAACTGCAAGTACCATGTATACTGAACTGCAGGTATAAGGCAAATCTGAACATAAAAGCATGTCTTATTTTCCCATAAAGAAACTTCAAAAAAGCTCCTTAGCCAACAATAATATATAAACTTTCAGTGACATAAACATATTTTAAATCATGTTATATAAAATATGAAATAATTTTAATATATTGATTGTGAACTGACATTTCTCCCATTTATTTATATATTACTATTTTGAGACAGAGTCTCACTCTGTCGCCCATACTGGAGTGCAGCGGTGTGATCTCGGCTCGCTGCAACCCGTGCGTCCCATGCTGAAGCAATTCTCCCACCTCAGCCTCCTGAGTAGCTGGGACTACAGGTGCACACTACCATGCCTGGCTAATTTTTGTAGCTTTTGTAGAGATGAGGTTTTGCCATGTTGCCCAGGCTGGGCTTGAACTCCTGGGCGCAAGTGATATGCCCACCTCAGCCTCCCACAGTGCTGGGATTACAGGCTTGAGCCACTGTGCCGGGCCCGTTTATTTTAAAATAAATAAATATTCATGTTTCTTTTAATCAATGTCTTTGCTACTACTAAAGACACACTTTGAGCCATCAAAAGACTCCCACAGCACATCTTCTTTTCCGTTTGAGTCTGAATACAACATTTATGTGTCTATGCATGATGTTGTCAGGGAAAATTTCACCCTTAGTCACAAATATCAATTCTCATAAGACAAAGACAATGTCCAAACATTCCTCCTACAGGTACATATTAATGATCTCCACAATTATAAACAAGAAGTGTGCTTATTTTAGAATGCAATTGTTTATTTATTTATTTATTTTATTTTTTTGAGATGGACTCTCGCTCTGTCACCCAGGCTGGAGTGTAGTGGTGCCATCTTGGCTCACTGCAACCTCTGCCTCTCGGGCTCAAGCGATTCTCCTGCCTCAGCCTCTTGAGTAACTGGGATTACAGGCATGGGCCACCACACCCCGCTAATTTTTTTTTTTTTTTTTTGGAGGCGGAGTCTCGTTCTGTTGCCCAGGCTGGAGTGCAGTAGCGTGATCTCAGCTCACTGCCACCTCCGCCTCCCGGGTTCAAGCAATTCTTCTGCCTTGGCCTCCCGAGTAACTGGGAAAATAGGCATGCACCACTGTGCCTGGCTAATTTTTATATATTTTTAATAGAGATGGGGTTTCACCATATTGGCCAGGCTGGTCTGGAACTCCTGACCTCGTGATCCACCAGCCTCGGCCCCGCAAAGTGCTGGGATTACAGTCGTGAGCCACCACGCTAGGCCTAGAATACCCTTTAAACTATAACAAGGCCTAGAATACCTTGTTAACTATAATATCCAGAACTAGGAACTATGGGTTCAACCTTTTTATAATAATTAATAAATATGTGTTAAGAAAAAATTTTTAACACAATTCTGTCATCTAACAATGATTGAGTTGTTTCTGACTGATGTCTTCTCTAGGCAGTACTTGGTTGTTCAAAATAAAGTGTTTGAGGAAATACATTATTACCTGATAGATGAAATAAGGACTCAACTCTAAGGTAATTCCTTCATTTCTGAGGAATAATGTGAGAGTGAATGATTTTCCTTATATTCCAGCATATGTAGTAGATTTCCTTCTCAGAAGTTTACACAAATTCATGTTTCATAAGTACTATATTTTTAGAAGTGCAGCAGGAATGAAACTTAGTTATGTAATCCAGCAATTCTCAAACTTATTCAACCTTACATCCTTTGGAAAAGAGATTGCCTGTTCTAACACGAGAAATTTACCAAAATGTTCACTTACTTCTGACCTAGGTTAAAGTCATGAATGTTCTGGATGCTGAGAGTGGATTTAGATACCCTAAACATAAACAATAAGGGGAAAAATCTAAACAATTAGTAATATGAAACCTTAGTCATTGAAAACATGCAACAAGTCATTATCCAGTGCCTTTGATAAGCTAGGAAGAAGGAAAACTGTAAAACTATGCTAAGTGTGGAAAAATGCCCTATCTTCAAATAACTTATTGTCTGTGACTTCAAGGAACTTGTGCTCTATTTGGAGAAGACAGCCATAAAAAGCTAAGCATTAGTTGGGCATGGTGGTGCATGCCTGTAGTCCTAGCTCCTTAGGAGACTGAGGTGGGAGGATCACTTGAGCCCAGGAAGTTGAGGCTGCAGTGAACCACGATTGCACCACTGCACTCAGCCTGGGTGACAGGGCAAGACCCTGTCTAAAAACAAAAACAAAAACAAAAACAAAAAAACCTATGCATTATTGTATTAGAGGCATTGTGCTGTGATAGAAATTTGTGCAATCTAGAGTACAGGGGTTGGAAGAGATGAAGAATGAAGGGTCAGTTCTACAAGGAGAGTCAGACAAAGCACATGAATAGAGCTTGGTATTAAAACGTTGCATCAATCAGATGAGTTGGCAAAAGAGTTAAATTTTCTATTAAAAAGACTTTTTTTAAAAGTTGCATCCAAAATACATTGATATATGATATGAAAATGAATCCCAGCTAAAGTAGAACTCCATTATTACATAGATTCCAATCACCCAGGCACGATCAGGTCCTCTTCACCTTCAAACCTTACCCCATCCCAGATATGTACTATGATAATATTGTTAATAACATGAAAGGGGAAAGGGAAAATAGCCGACATTTAGCTTAAGCTGCCACGTCTAATTTTCACAACAGATATTTAAGGTGGGCTCTATCATGCCCATTTTAAGATGATAAAACTAAGGCTCTGAGGACACATTCATTATGCAAAGTCATTACACAGAGAAGACTAGCAAAGCTGAGATATGAGCCTGGGTCTGGGTCTGCTGACTTTAAACCCTGTGCTTCGTCATCAAAGCAACAGAGGTGATCGTTTTCTGCCTCTTCTTCCAAAATTTTAAATGTTTTCATTCTACTTTCTAGTTACTGTCTAGAATGGATATTGCAAAAGTTCTTAACATCCTGGGCCTACATTTTTTCATCCGTAAGAGGGAGTTAACCTAGCTGGGTTCCAGGATTGCTTCTGCCTTTTGCAGTCAATAATTCTATTTTGATTTTATAATTGAAAACAAAATATGGTAGTCTAATCTGTTTTTCATTAATCTCCATCATAGAAAAATATTTAAAAGAATGGAATTTTTTGATTGTTTAACTTAAAGAAGAGAAAATGCTCCGAGGGTGGAAGGGGTGAGAGATGTCAAGGCAATCTTCAGATATTTTAAAGACTGATGCCAAATGGAAGACAGGTTAGACTTGATCTTTTTGGCCTCGAGGAACATAATGAGGGCCAATGAGGAGGGGTTCTAAACTTTTACTCTTTCTCATAAGTAGAACCTGCCTGTCACATGAGACATCACAGTGACTGGCCTTAGCAGGATAATTTGACCAGAAAACTTAAGATTACTGCCAGGCCAGGTGCGGTGACTCACATCTGTAATCCCAGCACTTTGGGAGGCCAAGGCAGGCGAATCAACTGAGGTCAATAGTTCAAGACCAGCCTAGCCAACATGGTGAAACCCTGTCTCTACTAAAAATACAAAAAAGTAGCCAGGCATGGTGGCGCACGCCTGTAACCCCAGCTACTCAGGAGGCTGAGGCAGGAGAATCCCCTGAACCTGGGAAGTGAAGGTTGCAGTGAGCTGAGATCACACCATTGCACTCCAGACTGAGCGACAAGGGTGAAACTCCGTCTCAAAAAAAAAGATTACGCCAATCCTAAGGTTCTTTGATTCTATAATAGATTGGCTTTATATATCAGCCCTGGGGAGGAGAGTTTATCTTTAACAAGGTTAAAAGGCCATGGCTCAAAGGTAACAGAACCAACACCTCTGTCATCAATGAAAAGGTGAAAAAGAAATGGAAATGGGAGTGAAGAAGGGAAAAGAAGACACCAAAATTCATTCTAGAAGACCCCACAGGCCCCATCTACTATAAAGACTAGCTCCTACTCCATAACTTCTTGTAGTCACCATGTTCAACAGCAGGTGGATTAGGTTTGTTGAGTGTATCCTCTGGACCACCTGGAGAATGTGACTGTCTCTCTTCCTCTCTTTCAGATGTTCACCTCCACGATATTTGCTGTGGTTGGATTCTTGGGAGCTGGATACTCGTTTATCATCTCAGCCATTTCAATCAACAAGGGTCCTAAATGCCTCATGGCCAATAGTACATGGGGCTACCCCTTCCACGACGGGTAAGGCCACACCCTGCAATGCCCACCTGTCACCACAAGGGGCATGGGCAGATAAATTGCCCAAGGGGAGACTGCACACAATGCCATGTCTTCATCCTTATGCAAGCCTCAGGCTCGGTGCTCCTTTGAGGCAGAGATGGAGTTGTGGAATACAGCAAAGTTGCATAGGCTCTCACCTCTAATTGCTCCTTTGACAGACCCCAGGAGAAATAACTAAAAGAGGACGGATGCCTCCTTTGGCCTGAGGGAAGGAAGAGATTTGTTGTGTCATCACTTGCACCCAAATATTTATTAGCAGCAACACAAGGCAACTAATAATATTAATAAACAGAGTAATAGTTTTCATTACAAATCTCATAATAGAAAACAAGAATAATTAACCACTAACTGGGCCCAAGGGCTTTCATTAATACCCCAAATTGCCTATAATTAAACAATCATTTAAGTGCAAATGTACAGAAAATGACATTGAAATCATTGTAGGTTTCTCATGTTAATGTTAATAGACTCATTAAAATAACATTTCATGTTTTCATGGTACTTTGTAGATTGTAAAGACCTTTATCCCACAAATTTATAATTTAATCTTCATAGTAACCTCAAGAGGTAATTACTCTGTGCCAAGGCAGGCTTAATAAGCTTAACTAGCTTCAAAGTCACATTGTTAGTTGAGGACAGTGCCAGGGCTCAAACTCAGGACTTCTGACTTCAAGTCTTAGCCTTTCATAGTACACATCCTCCTGTCCTGCACTGACCAGGACGGCACTGTTCAGTCCAGTAGCCAGCAGCCATATGGAGCTATTTAAACTCAAATTCATTTATAGAAATAAAGTTAAAAATTCAGTTCCTTAATCACACTAGCCATATTTCAAGTACCCAGTAGCCATATAGGGTTTGTAGCTACTGTATTGAATAGCACAGATCTAGAACATTTCCATCATGGTAAATGGATCTGTTAGGCAAAGCTGCACTAGACTTTAACCTCCAAGGGGGCTTGGAGCATTTTTGTTTTGTTCACCGTCTCAGCCCCTCTGCCTGACAGTGACTGGCACATCCCACAGAGTCAGGAAATATAACTATAGGGTCTTTCTGCACATGAAGAATGGATTTGTGCCTAAAAAAAATCTGTAGAACACCAATATATTAACTCAAACCTCTACGTATTCATTTACTGTGAGATCCTAAAGAATCTTAAGAACAGGCTTCAGGCTGGGGAAGTGAAGGGGCCTAGTTCTCTGTGATACATGGTCTTGGTTTGTTCACAGACGTCCCACATGAAATATCCCCATCTTTCTCATAGTTAAGCAATACAAGGTCTCTAACATCCTCATACCTTGTGCAGCGGTTTCCAAATACATTTAGTTTACTGTGTGAAAAGCCCTCTTATCATGCAGAGAGGACTGTTGGGGCTACACTACCATGGGGTTGGCTTGCTTGAGCATCAAACTCAGATCCCAGCAGGCTGAGCCCCCACAACCCGCCCCCATTGAGGCTCTTCCCCTGACAGCTCACTCTCTCCACCTAGGGGTGTGTGTGTGAAGCTACAGATTATGTCTTTCTTCAAGGAGCCCTCTATTAATTCCAGCAACATCAGTGCCACAGTAAACATATTTTTCTATTTTTTCTGTTATGTGAATAATACTACCCTAGGAATTTAAAGTCAATTGAAATAAATCTATGTCCAAAACAAAGGAGGGAGAAAGAAAACAAAACAGATGCCAAAAAACACTCCAAAGCCATACAATGGCCTCACATGTTCTGACTGCAGGAACTAACACCCTCCCCTCACACACGCACGCCCTACTTGGGATGGGATGGGATCAATGCCCAAGATCAGGAGTGACAGCTGGCCTGTGGGTCACCACACGAAATGCCAAACTGAGGGAAGGACAGGAAACGACTTTTGGAAGTTCTTCATATTAGTACTTCTGGAGAAGCAAGTTTTCATTCTCATTGCAGCCATTTATTGTGTATTGCTCTGTAATAGATGCTTTCAAATATGTTATTTTATCTACCCCTCACAACAGCAACTAACCAGCATCAAGAACAGGTACCAGATTATAAAGATTTGATAATAAAAACAGAATAGGGTAAACCTTGCAGGCAAGCGGGAACATTTCAGAATTCTCTATTTATCTCCTGTTCACTGTACAGCTTTGATAATTACCTGAAGGGAGAATGATTTGAACACCGAGACATCTGTACAGCTGCTTCAAACTATAATGTGATAAAAAATTACTGTACAGGGATGTATTACAAAACCGTATATATCACAGTTTCCAGATGATTTATAGGCTATTTAAGAATGATTTTGACTACTTATGTTTTAATTTAATCCCTTGTAAGATGTAAGACTGCTCTTTGTGCAAGGTATAAAATATGCCATGATGGTTACAGGAAGGGCATTCAGGGGATGGGCCCAGGTTTCACTGCACCCTCTTTGCCATCTGGCAAACCTTCAGCAGCATTCTGTTGTCTCCTCAAATCCTGTTTCCTCCCTTCTGAGACAAGAGCTCACATTCCTTTTTGATGTTATCTACTACTGCCAGCTCCAAATCTTCCCTCTAACTGCAGAAGTTCACCTTGAATTTCTTATGGCAATAATTGAAACTTCTATTGCTTGGTGTTTTCAGTTAACAAAGTGCTGTCACCTATATTGTTTCATTTGATCCTCACAAAAAGTTTATGAGATTGTTTAACTCTCCTTCAGAGGCAGGACAGCCAAGGCCCAGAGAGGACAAGTGGCTTGCCAAGAGGAATACAGTTTCTTAGTGGCAGAAGCTCAAATCCAAGTTTTCTCACTCCAAGTCACAGTGCTTTTTCTAGAACACAGTTTATATTGACTCATATTGTCTGCTTTTTGCCTAGATTCCCTGTTGGCAAAACTCATGGGATTCTACCTCCTACTCCTTTTACTATACAGTACTATACTGGTATCTGATAGTTAAAAAGGGTGTGTGGACTCTTCTTATCCACATAAGCATATAGTAACTGTTGTTATAGCTGCAAACCTAACACTCATACACAGCTGCTCAGAGAGTAGAAAGGATCAGTCACTTGTATGAGCCAAAAACAAGAAAACTCAAGACAGTTGTCATTTGTCCCTTATTACCAAAGGGCAGCCATGGTAGCAACTGCTTCTTCTTCTTGTTCTTGTTCTTCTTCCTCTTCCCTCCCCTCTTTTTCTTCTTTTCCTTCTCTTTTTTCTTTCTCTCCTCTTCCTCCTTTTCCTTCTTTTTCTTCCCAGTGAGTAAGTGCTAAGTGTTTTTATGTGCATTATCTCACCTAATCTTCCTCATAAATCTGAGAAGAATTTTTATCCCTGAAGGAGAAAAATGAAGCTCAAGAAGGTTAATTTTCCCAGGGCTCCATGGCTAGTAATTAGTAAAAGGATTTTTTTTTTTAATTAGCTGGGAGTGTTGGCTCATGCCTGTAATCTCAGCACTTTGGGATGCTGAGGTGGAAGGATTGCTTGAGCCCAGGAGTTCAAGACCAGCTTGGGCAACATAGGGAGAACTCCCTGCTCCAGCGCCCCTCTACAAAAAAAAAAAATTAAAAAATTAGCTGGGCATGGTTGTGCATGCCTGCAGTCCCAGCTACTCCAGGTGCCTGATGTGGGAGGATCGTTTGGGCCCAGGAGGTCAAGGCTGCAGTAAGCCATAATCATGCCACTGCATTCTAGCCTGGGCAACAGAGCCAGACCCTGTCTCAAACAAAAAACAAAACAAAACAAAACAAAACAAAAATATATATATATACACACACACACATTTATATATCTACATATGCACATATCTACTTTTATATATGTGTACATATATATACACACACACATATATATATGTAGTCAGTATCTTATTTTGTGCTGAAGCCTATCTCAAACATGGAACAAAAAACGAATAGACATGGTTCCTTTCCTATCAGCATATGGGTTAGGGTGAACACATGGAACAGATCCTCATAATGCAGAAAGTGTGAGATGGAGAAGGAGTGCGGGGGGAAACTTCTTCGAGAAGGTGACATGGGCTGATTTTGGAGGATGAGCAGAAGTTTGCCTTCCAGTGAGGAAGGAGAAGCACATTTCAGGCATGAAAAGGCTGACATGCTCAGGGAACCTCAGAGCACTGTGTGGCAGAAGCTCAGTGTGAATGAGGAGAGATTTGCAGAAGGGGCCGCCACACGATGTGGTGAGACTGAGAGGCAGCCAGACCTTCAGGACATCAGGGCACAGCAGGGGACTTCAAGCAAGACATGGCATGGCTACTTTGGACTTTTAGAGGCATGATGGTTCTAGTGATGTGGAAAGTGAATAGGAGGATTCAGGAACTAAAGAGAGATAAAAGCTGGCATCATAATCCAGATAAGATGATGAACATCACCCAGGCAGCAGAATTGGGGCTCAAAAAAGACAAATTTCAGAGAATGTTTGAGATGGAGTCATCAGGTTTAGGTGTGAGGAGAAAAGAGGAAGGTAATCAAGGTGGACTCTGAGATTTCGAACTTAGTGCACAAAATCCAGGGCTCTGCAATGCCATAGCATTTAGCACTGTTTTCCTCAGAAATGTTTTTTGGTGATAATATTAAGGGAGGGAGCAAAAGTAGTTAACTCATTCTGTCCTGAGAACCATATTAAAGAACACCCTAGAAGGAAAAAGAAACCTGGGCATTTTGAAATATACCCTCTTGGTTTCCTTTGAAGTAGAACCTCCTCCCATCCAAGGTCTTCCTCCCTGAGACAATTGGCCATCCCTCCCTTGACCCTGAGCTGCTGAAAGGAAAGCAGCCTGCACAGGGTGTGGGGACAGCCATAGGAGGGGAAGCAGAGGATGAGCCAGGAGTGGTCAGTAGTCAGGGAGGGACGGGGCTATGCATGGCACTCCTGGGCCAGGCTGCAACTCTTTACCTCCTTAGAAAGAGTCAAGGGCAAGGAGAGCACCCTCACATCTGTGGTTCAGACACCGAGACACTGAACTGAACACAGTTAAATGTTCTGCCTTGACATTCAGCTAAGACCATCTGGATTTGCACTTCAGAAATTACTTATTAGCAAAGAACATCATAAGCTGCTTGTAAACATATTCCCAAGAGCTGAAAGCCACCTTAATAGGATGAGATTGGATTTGCACCATGTAATCTTAGCTTTCATGAACCAGAAACAGTTCACAAATGTTAGGAGCCAGTTTTGCCCTTGGCTGACTTAGGGTCTAGCCACACCTCTGCCATATACCATTTATCTCTCAGGCTTCATCTGTGAAATGAATGGGAGTAACAGCAACATCCACCTCACAGGTTCAGGTAAGAGTAAATAACACAAGGTACATAAAGCACTCAGCACAGTTCCTACCACATACTTGCTTGATTCAGCCTTATTATTCATTTTTATGAATATAAAGTATTATGGTAAATGGAATTTATTTTTATGCATTAAAACTTTAAAAATGTTATGCTTTTATAATGATTCTGTGACTTAATTTCAACCAGGCATAAATAAGGCTCAAAAAAAACCTCTTTATTGTGATATAAGTAACCCTTGATTCACATACTATTATAGATGTATAAATCAAATGTCATAAATAAATCATTTCAAATATGCTAAGGAAATAACTACTCCAACAAAGGGCATTTGTGTAATGGGTCAGAGCACTGGATTTGGAGTCAGACAGACCTAAGTTCAAACCCAGGCACTTCCATTTACTAGCCTCACCTTCTTAATCTGTAAAATGGGTATATGTTCATTCATTCAGTGAGTGTTTACTGAAGGTTACTCTATGCCAAGCACTGTTCAAATAAAGTAGCATCTCCTTGGAGCATTAGGAAAGATGATGGAAAGCAGCTAGCCCAGAGCCTGGCACTAGAGGACCCAGGAAATGAGAGCTGCTGCTATTTATGAAGCACTGCCTGTGCTGGAACTGGGGACAGAGACAGTGGCACATGGTCTTTGCCCTTGGAAGTTTATCGTCCTGAAGAGAGGACAAACAAATGGACAGGTGATGGCAGCGCAGGGTCCAGGGGCTCTGTACAACAGGGGCGGAAACACAGAGCGCTGGGGAGCACAGAAGGAAACCAAACCCAGGCTGAGGGCAGAAGCATTGTGGAGCTTCTCCCAGAGGAGGTGGCATCTGAATTCACCAGACAGAGCGCGCCAGCAAAGCATTCGTATTCAGGCCCCCTGGTTTCTGTCTTCAGCTGAGAAGAGAGTTCTGTGAAATTCGTGCCTTTCTGCTCCCACTTTGATGGGATTACTACAGCTCAGGTGGAAATACCTGCATAATAATTGGATGCTTTAAAATGTCAGTTAAGTGCATCTAAACTGCTTCTGCTCTCCTTGCTTCACTGCCAGGTCCATGAAAAACTGAGGACCCCTCTCTCCCTGGGTTTGGGGAGTTGGACACAGTGATCAAACTGAACGTGAACACAGGCTTTTTTGCCAGACTCTCAAAGACTGCCAGAACCAGAGAGTTTGAAGGGAGAGAAGAAGGGCCTGAGTGTGGCTATGTGGTGGTTTGTGAGGGGTGAGGCTGCAGCAGGAGTGGAACTCATGATTTCTCCAGGCAACCAAATTCAATCCTTGCTTCTACGTTCGCCGTAAACGTTTCACAAATCCTACCACCAGGAGGTGCTGTCATGCCACTGCTGTGCAGGCTCTCCAAAGAGGCCCGAAACTCAGGATTGCCAATTCTTTCACCTCAGGATCTTTTCTTCATAAAGTGTGCCTGGAAAATATTGCATCTTTATAACCTTTTATAATTACCAAGTTTTAAAATTGTAAAGATAGAAAGGACTAAATGGAAAAATGCAGAACAGAAAGATGGGTGTTTCATGTTGGAAAAAAAAAGGCATTTTCACAACGGGTTTGCCACCAAAACACAGGTGTCATGAAAACCACCCCTAAATCAAAACCAAAATGGGAAAGAAAAGGATTCATATCAATATCGTCGTTATTGGACACGTAGATTCAGGTAAGTCCACTGCTACTTGCCAACTGATCGACAAACATGATATAAATCACCAAAGAACCATCGATGAATTTGAGAAGGAGGCTGCTAAGAAGGGAAAGAGCTCTTTCAGGTATGCTTGGGTCTTGAATAAATGGTAAGATGAGTGTGAGTGTGACACATCACCCTGTGGAAGTTTGAGACCAGCAAGTACTGCATGAGTCATTGATGCTCAGGACAGAGACTTTATCAGAAACATGATTACAGGCACATCTCAGTCTGACTGTGCTATCCTGATTGTTGCTGTTGGTGTTGGTGAATCTGAAGCCGATATCTCCATGGGCAGACCCATGAACATGCCCTTCGTGCTTACACACTGGGGATGAAACAACCAATTGTTGGTGTTAACAAAATGGATTCCACAGAGCCCCTCTACAGCCAGAAGAGACATGAGAAAATCATTAAGAAAGTCAGCTCTTACATTAAGAAAATTGGCTACAACCCCAGCACAGCAGCAGCTGTACCAATTTCCAGTTGGAATGGTGACAATATGCTAGAGCCAAGTAGTAACATGCCTTGGTTCAAGGGATGTAAAGTCACCCATGAAGATGGCAATGCCAATGGAACCATGCTGCTTGAAGGTCTGGACTGTGTCCTACCACCAACTCATCCAACCGACAAGCCCTTGCATCTGCCCCTCCAGATGTCTACAAAGTTGGTGGCATTGGTCCCTATGTGCTAAGTGGAAACTGGTGTTCTCAAACCCAGCATGGTGGTCACCTTTGCTCCAGTCAACGTTACAACTAAAGTCTGTTGAAATGCACCATGTTGCAAGCTCTTCCTGGGGAAAATGTGGGCTTCAGTGTTAAGAACGCATCTGTCAAAGATTTTTGTAATGGCAACATTGCTGGTAACAGCAAAAATGACCCACCAATGGGAGCAGCTGGCTTCACTGCTGAAGTGTTTATCTTGCACCACCCAGGCCAAATCAGTGCTAGCTACACCCCTCTGCTGCTAGTCACACAGGTCACATTGCTTCCAAGTTTGCTGAGCTGAAGGAAAAGATCGATCATCGTTCTAGTAAGAAGCAGGCCTTAAATTCTCGAAATCCGGTGATGCTGCCATCATCAATGTGGTTCCTGGGAAGCCCATGTGTGTTGAGAGCTCCTCTGACTATCCTCCTCTGGGTCATGTTGCTGTTTGTGATATGAGACAGACAGTCGCTCTGGGTGTCATCAAAGCCAGGAACAAGAAGGTTGCTGACCAGAAGGCTTGGCAAGGTCACCAAGTCTGCCCAGAAAGCTCAGAAGGCTAAGTGAATATTGTTCCTAACACCTGCCACTACAGTCTTAATCAGTGGTAGAAGAATGACCTCAGAACTGTTTGTCTCATTTGGCCGTTGAAGTTTAATAGTAAAAGACTGGTTAATGTTAACAATTAAAACCTTCAGAAGGAAAGGAGAATGTTTTGTTGACCATTTGGGATTTTTTTTTTTCATGCAGCAGTTTTAAGTTACTAGGTTGTTTGTTTGTTTTTCGAGATGGGGTCTCACTCTGTCACCCAGGCTGGAGTGCAGTGGCACAACCTCAGCTTACTGCACACTTTGCCTCATGGGCTCAAGCGATTCTCCCACCTCAGCCTCCCAAGTAGGTGGGATTATAGGTGCGTGTCCCCACACCTGGCTAGGTTATTAGTTTCTAAAATCGGTACTTTTTAATGGAAACAACTTGACCAAAAATCTGCCACAGAATTTTGAGACCCTCTATAGCAAAGTTTAATGAGAAAAAAAAAGTACTGAAAAGAACAATCGGCCAGATGCCGTGGCTCACAACTGTAATCCCAACACTTTGGGCGGATCACCCGAGGTCGGGAGTTCGAGACCAGCCTGACCAACATGGAGAAACCCCGCCTCTACCAAAAATACAAAATTAGCCGGATGTGGTGGCATGTGTCTGTAATCCCAGCTACTCGGGAAACTGAAGCAGGAGAACCGCTTGAACCCGGGAGGCACAGGTTGCAGTGAGCCGAGATTGTGCCATTGCACTCCAGCCTGGGCAACAAGAGCGAAACTCCGTCTCAAAAAAATAAAAAAGGACAATCTCACACAACTATACAGAAGGTATGTCATCTCAGTGAATTCTCACAATTGTGATGTGGTTCTTAGTCTGTTATATAGATTAAAAAAAAAAAAAACTGATGCTGGCTGGGCGTGGTGACTCACACCTGTAATCACCGCACTTTGGGAAGCCAAGGTGGGAGGACTGACCTCAGGAGTTTGAGACCAGCCTGGGCAGTATAGTGAGACCTCCGTGTCTATTTTTTTAAAAAAAGAGAAAAAGAAACTGATGTTAAAGGAAGTGAGTAACTTGCATGAGGAATACATAGCTAGTAAGGGGAATGCTTGGGTTCAAACCCGGGTACATCTGAATCCAAAATACCAGCTCTTTCCATTAGACTAGACTGCTTAGATTAAGTAAAATAATGACAATACTAGCCTTTATTGAGGACTTACTATATGCTAAGCACTGATCTAAGCACTTTACTCATACTAACTCACATAGTCCTGACAATAACCCTAAGATATGATAATGTAACTCCCATTTTATAGGTAAGTACACAAGGCACACAGCTAGCAAGCTGCTAGTACCTGTACTCTTATGGAAAGATGAATCAATGCTATAAACAATGTTTTATTTTGAAATCAAAAGCAAAATGTTCATTCCTTCCTTTTCTGTGAAGGTTATCATAAAGATCTAAAAACAATAACATCAACATTAATTCAGTAGATAGATAAAGAGTTTTTCATTAAGGCTCTGAAAGGATGGAGGAAACAAAGAGACCAATTTGGGGCTCTAAGAATGTAAAGAGTCATAATATTCCACAAGATTTTACCACTTTACTCATTTTTGTCTCAAAATCGTACACTTCACATTTATCCTTCAAGGCACAATGCCCTTTATTTTTATTTTTTGAGATGGAGTTTCGTTCTTGTTGCCCAGGCTGGAGTGCAATGGCATGATCTTGGCTCACTGCAACCTCCACCTCCCGGGTTCAAGCAATTCTCCAGCCTTAGTCTCCTGAGTAGCTGGGATTACAGGTGCCCACCAGCATGCCCAGCTAATTTTTGTATTTTTAGAAGAGACAGGGTTTTGCCATGTTGGCCAGGCTGGTCTCGAACTCCTGACTTCAGGTGATCTGCCCACTTTGGCCTCCCAAAGTGCTGGGATTACAGGTGTGAGTCACCGCGCCCGGCCACAATGCCCTTTATATTGCAATAAACTCTTTATATAATAAAATATAAATATATTGCAGTTTCTCCTAATTCACAGCTTATGTAAAACATGTATTAAGGCAACAGACTATTTGTTCCTTTTGAAGAAAATTAATTACATCTTTGTGTGTGAGAGATTCCTACATGTTAACAAAAATATAGTGAGTCAAATTCACAATTTGGTTAAAATTAGGCCTTGAAATCAGGCTCTTCCCTTTAGCTATATGACACATTTGTACTTTACATGGCTTCAGATGGCCACTACACTTGACAAGTCATCTGTCAAAAGTCAAAACGGTCTCTAACAATGATAGCTAGGATAAAGCTGTGAACATTTGTGAAATTCTACTGCTGGAGTGTCTCTATTTTCCTGTCCCCATCATAGATGGTGAATTTGCCTGTCTTTTTGGACAGCTAATGAAAATTGTTCTGCCAGTTCTGTGACCTGGGAGAAAGTAACTTAGCCTCTCTGTGCCTCTGCTTCCTTATTTGTGAAACCGAAAAAGAGAACCCAGAGGTTTCTTTGGGGAATAAATGAGTGAATATGTGCGAAGTGATTAGAACAGGGTCTGGCACACAGGGTGTACTCAATAAAAACTGTACATTTTGTGGTATTTAAATTGTTAGTACAGAGTATTTTCTCGTGAAGCTAGTTTTGGGTGGAAAGTAGTGCATGAGAAACATTGTTATGGTAACTTTCTAGTGGAGGGAATTGCACACTTTTTACAAATGTTTCCTTTGTCCCCTATATCACCAACAGGGATTATCTCAATGATGAGGCCTTATGGAACAAGTGCCGAGAGCCTCTCAATGTGGTTCCCTGGAATCTGACCCTCTTCTCCATCCTGCTGGTCGTAGGAGGAATCCAGATGGTTCTCTGCGCCATCCAGGTGGTCAATGGCCTCCTGGGGACCCTCTGTGGGGACTGCCAGTGTTGTGGCTGCTGTGGGGTAAGTTCAGGCTTTTGCTGTTTCTTCTCAGCATGAGGGAGGCCAGGTCAGGCCACTAGCATAAGGGAGGCCAGGTCAGGCCACCAGCACTGAAGGAATGAGGGGGTAAGTGTGGCCACCTGCAGAAAACCAGCCCAGGTTGGGAAGCCCAGTCAGCCCTGTCTGTCAGCTCATGGAGACAGACACATTGCATTACTGGAACCCAGAGCATGTTAAAACACCCAGGCTGAAGTTGGCCATAATTTTCAGCCTCACATCCAGTTGACCGTAGTTCTAGAGACAAAGGACTCTGTCTATATATAAACATTTACAATGATGTTTATATGAAGATCCACCTGAAGTGAGCATTTGTCATATGGGTACAGTGTCAGCGATAGTACATCACGGTCTGGGCTGGCATGTTCTCACTTCCTCAGATGAACAGAACATACCAATGCAAAACCTATATTTGATATGATTTCTGATACAGAAAAAGAGGTAGTTCTTATATGGGAAGAAAAAAGGGAAATCACTCAGGCTTTAGTCTCTAAATAATATTGTAAAATACCAACAACAAATTACTAAAAATAAAAACAGACTTGCAGACAGTAAGACAGTCTGATTATTTCAACTAATACCCAAATCAAATTAGGCAATTATTCACACACATACACAAAGTTATTACAAGCACAGATTGATGTATGAAGAAAAAAATAAAACTTGAGGGTTCCCTAACTGGGGGATTATGTAAATATATGTAAATAAAGGTCTATTCACTTAATATTATGGTAAAACTTTAAAAGACTCAAATTATTTTATTTAAATTTTAAATAAGAAGGTCAAGCATAGTGGCACATGCCTGTAGCTCCAGCTACTCAGGAGACTGAGGCACGAGAATCACTTGAATCTGGGAGGCAGAGGTTGCAGTGAGCCGAGATCTCACCACCGCACTCCAGTCTGTGTGACAGAGTGAGACCCTGTCTCAATAAATAAATAAATAAATACATTTATTTTAAATAAGCATTACATGTATATAACTCAAAAACTAAATATGTACATGTATACACACACAGAGAAATATATAAAGGTATTCAGTTGGAAAGTCTCCCTCCGGCCTTTGTCTTCTATCCAGCCAGTTCCCTCCAATCTCCTCACCTAGGTAAGGTTACCTAATTTCTTATATAGCTTGTCACAGTATCTCTTTTTATTATTTTATTCTCCCTATCTTAAAAGAATGTTTCCCCCAAAATTGCAGTAATATTGAAAATCCTTATGAGATACTGTTATTAGCAGGATACAAAAATTGTACTTAATATACAATTATACAAGGAGGAAAAAACAAAATTCTGTGAATAGAAAAATAAAACAAAAAACTAAAGGAAATCCAACCAAAAGTTAAATAATCATTATTTCTAGGTAAGAAGACTGACTTTTTTCCTTTAATCTAGCCTATAGTATTAAAAAATTTTAATAATTATATATTACTTTTTTCAATGAAAAATATAAATAAGTCCCCCAAATCAGCAGTAAAATGTGTGTATTACAAATAAATTTCACTGTGTATTGCATTTTTATTCTACAAATTTTCAGTTCTACTGTATTGTATTCAAATGTTTTGGTCTTTAAACATACTAGAGAGGAAAAGCAACTACCAACTAGTAATCCACCAAAATTATTTTTATGATAGTGATTGAAAATATTGAGCATTTATATCTTGTAATTCATCCAAAGTGAATGAATGTTTGCTAAATTATATATTGAAGTTTCAGTTTCTACATATTTTAGCTGGGTGGTAAATTTTCTTTGCAAGATTTATTGAAAATATGATTACTTTGGCTGGACATGGTGGCTCATGTCTGTAATCCCAGCACTTTGGGAGGCCAAGGCAAGAAGATCACTTGAACCCAAAAGTTCAAGACCAGCTTTGAACTGGTCTTGACCATGGCAACATGGTGAAACCCCATCTCTACTAAAAATACAAAAAATTAACCAGATGTGGTGGCATGCACCTGTAGTCCCAGCTACTCAGGAGGCTGAGCTGGGAGCATCAGCTGAGCCCACGATGCTGAGGCTGCATGAGCTGAGATCTTGCCCCTGCACTGCACCCTGGATAACAGAACAAGACCTTTCCAAAAAAAAAAAAAAAAGAGAGAGAGAGAAAGAAAGAAAGAAAATATGATTACTCTTTGAATTGTTGATAATACTTTGCTAAATCTGAGAATTATCTCTCAATTTAAAAACACATTCATAGGTGTCAGCACGTTGGTTCCTTTTAGTGAGTTTCATTTATTTGGATACCATATTTTGGAGAACTTAATAACTGAGTCACTCGATAGGTTGAAAGACAGTAGATGGACTCCATGGTTATCAGTGCATGGGCACCAGAGACTCACAGAGGGTGAATGTACACACAAGAATTGTCCATTTTTTTCCCTTCCTTTCTTCCTCCCTCCCTTCATCTCTCCTCTCTGTCTCTCTCCCCACTCCTCCTCCAACTTTCTATTTTGAAAACTTCAAATCTACATAAAGTTGAAGGAATGGTGCAATGAACACCTGTATACTTTCACCCATGTTCACAAAATTCTTAATATTTTCTCACCCTCTCTGTTTCTGGACTCTTGGAAAGTAATTTTTGGACATCACAAAGTTTCACTACTAAATATTTCAGTGCACAAGAGCTGCAGTTTTAAAGTCAGTCTGCTGAAGATTCCTTTCTCTTGGGCAGCTGGCCTCTCATGGGGCTGGTCAGCATTCCTGCCCCAGTAGGACACTGAGGAAAGACTTGGGCTCTCAGCCTAGTTCCACAGCTTACTAGCTGAGTGACTCCAGCAAGCTGACTAACTTCTCATAGTCTCAGTTATTCCAACTGCCTCTTGCCTAACTTATGGAGAGAGTGTAAGATCAACATCTATCCATTCAGGCGGAAAGTATTTACTGAGAGCTTCCTGAGCCTGGCACAGTCCTTAAATGAAGTGGTAGTTGGGAATGTGCCTTAAAATACATGCTATGAGACCTGGTTTGAATGTCAGCTGTGTGGTCTTGGCCCAGTCAGTAGCCCTCAACTGCTCCTTGTCTGTAAAATGTGGCTATTAATACCTACTCCTACGGTTGTCAATGGAGTGCCTAGTACAGGGTGACAAGCATGAATTCATTTGAATCCTTAGAAGGCTCAGTAAATGGCATTGAATGTTATTTACTAACCTTATGAAAGTCAGTGAGGTAGCATAGCTTCAAGTTTCCTTTAACACAATCTCTGGGTTCTGCCTCCCTGGTTCAAATCCCAGCTCTCCTACTTGTTAGTGGTGGCTTTCCACATAGCACTTGGTCTCTCAGCACCTCTTACCAAATTATTTTTTTAAATAAATGATGCATATTGTATACAATGTATTCTCCTCAGGTGATGGGTGCACTGCAGTTTCAGAATTCATCAGTACCTAATTCATCATCCACAGAACCAACAACCACTTGTACCCCAAAAGCTATTGAAATTTAAAAAAATTAAAAACAAAATAAAACAAAAATAAATAAATAAAATGTAACTTCCTTGAGGACTAAATAAATAAATACATGATGCAAAACAAAATGAAGCTTCCATTCCTATAACCTCAACACAGGTGGGTGCCAGAGTAAAGCCCTGAAACAAAGCCAGAAAAGTATAGGAAACATTCAATAGGCAACCATTAAGAGCCAGGAGGAAGGCAGGTGATGGGGATGGGAAGGAGGGGAAAAGCAAAAATTTACATAAATCATGACATCATAGTTAATTCACCTTTTCTACCTTCTAGGGAGATGGACCCGTTTAAACCTCCGAGATGAGCTGCTCAGACTCTACAGCATGACGACTACAATTTCTTTTCATAAAACTTCTTCTCTTCTTGGAATTATTAATTCCTATCTGCTTCCTAGCTGATAAAGCTTAGAAAAGGCAGTTATTCCTTCTTTCCAACCAGCTTTGCTCGAGTTAGAATTTTGTTATTTTCAAATAAAAAATAGTTTGGCCACTTAACAAATTTGATTTATAAATCTTTCAAATTAGTTCCTTTTTAGAATTTACCAACAGGTTCAAAGCATACTTTTCATGATTTTTTTATTACAAATGTAAAATGTATAAAGTCACATGTACTGCCATACTACTTCTTTGTATATAAAGATGTTTATATCTTTGGAAGTTTTACATAAATCAAAGGAAGAAAGCACATTTAAAATGAGAAACTAAGACCAATTTCTGTTTTTAAGAGGAAAAAGAATGATTGATGTATCCTAAGTATTGTTATTTGTTGTCTTTTTTTGCTGCCTTGCTTGAGTTGCTTGTGACTGATCTTTTGAGGCTGTCATCATGGCTAGGGTTCTTTTATGTATGTTAAATTAAAACCTGAATTCAGAGGTAACGTAACAAAGATTGTGTGTGTTTTAGGAGGGGGGACAAAACGTTGAATGAATAACAACTCATCTTTTCTACAAATGCTTCCTTTGATCAAACAAAAAAAAGTTTTTAAAAAATTGATTTAAGTAATAATTTTGTCAGCCTATTGCCCAGGGTTAAGGTAATAAGTATTAGTATTCTATGTGTCTTATTAAGACTAACTGGCTTTATGAGTCAGGCACTAACAGGGCATCAGATCCATTCTGTTGATTTGTGTTCAAACCCCAACTTCACCACAAACCAGCTTAGGGGTCCCGGGACAGTTATTTTCAAAGTCTCAGTTTCCCCATCTGTAAAAGGACACCTGAGAGACAACCAGTCATACTGGAAATTTTGAAGTTGCCAAGGGTGAAGCAAAGGCCTGTGTGCTGCCAACGTGACTGTGTGCAATAAGAAGGGTCTCAGGGAAGTCCAAGCCAGAAAGTCTCCCTTCTGCCCTTGCCAAGCTAATAGGCTGCACCACGTAGGTCAGGCACACTGAAAACTGGGTTTGTCAAAGCCATCAATAAAGTAATTAATGATCACCTACTGTGTGCTGGCCCCCGCGGGGCTAGGCACTGAAGATACAAAGAGTTACACGCTGTAGTTTTGCCCTCACTACAATGAGAACTCTATGAGATCAGGGATTGTGTCTGACATCTGAAACTTAATAGGCAGAGGCAAGAAAGGCAGATACACTGAAGATCTCGTTGCGGGAACTATACACACACACACACACACACACTCACACACACACACACGGTGTTTCGATTCAGTTTAGACCATTTGTTTTCAAACATGGCTGATCATCAAAATTACCTAGGAAATGTTCTGAAATTACAGATTTCTGAGCTACAGCCTAGACTCACTGCATTTGCAAATCGGGGCATGAGACATGGAAGTCTGTTTTTTTTGTCAGTCTTTTCTTTTCTTTTTTTTTTTTTTGTTGTTATTGTTTGTTTGTTTTGAGACAGAGTCTCGCTGTCTGTCACCCAGGCTGGCGTGCAGTGGCGCAGCCATGTTGGCTCACTGTGACCTCCGCCTCCTGGGCTCAAGAGATTCTCCTGCCTCAGCCTCCTGAGTAGCTGGGATTACAGGCACCCACCACCACGCCTGGCTAATTTTTGTATTTTTAGTAGAGACAGGGTTTCATCACATTGGTCAGGCTGATCTCAAACTCCAGACCTCAGGTGGTCTGCCCGCCTCAGCCTCCCAAAGTGCTGAGATTACAGGCATGAGCCACCGCACCCTGCCAGTCATTTCATTTTTTAAAGCACAACAGGTGATGTCGAAAACCAGCTACTCTGAGCAACCATTGCCTTAGAACATCACCTGCAGGCACAAGGATGAAGACTGAGTCAGATCCCATTACTGCCCACCAGGAGCTCACATATCACAGATTAATACAAGGTGGTACATGCTAAATACTAAACGGTGACCCAGGTAATGATGTTCCGGGATAATGGTGTCCCGGAAGATCAGAGATGTCGGGCTATTAGGACTGATTCACTTGCCTGAGTTCTTTGATGAGGGAATTTGAATGTGGCTAAGAGGCATCAATTCTTTATCCAGGGGTTTGCAGGGATTCATTATTTTAGATAAAAAGAAATTGTAGTCATCATGAAATCTGCTCTCATTATTTTATAGATGAAGAACTGAAATAACCTTTGACGAGTTTTCACAAAAGGCCATTTTTCAAAACCAGTTACCATAAAATTACAGGAAATTGCTTACCATGGATAAGAAGACTTAAAAGGAAGAGACAGGAAACAAAGAGTAAAGATGAATGCGCCTCTCCCTTAGAGACCTCCAGATGCACACACACACCTCAAGGATGGTCTTCAGACTGTCCAGAGACTTCTGTTATGGGAGTTGCCATCTTCATTTTGCTTAATGGAGTACATTTCTTTATTTTTCTATGCTTTGGATTACAAGTTACTTGAAGCAAGAAAAGAATCTGATTCAAGTCTAGGTACTAGGAGTACCTAACCTAGCACATATTCTGATTCAAGTCTAGGTACTAGGAGTACCTAACCTAGCACATATTCGGCAATTCATAAATTTGTTGTGTGAATGGAGGTGCCCAGAGCTCTTAATTTTCTTTCTCCTGCACTCTCTAAGTGAAGTAGTGTCCTTTGCCCTGAAATAAACTGAAGAAGATTTCAAAAATGAATAGACAAGGCCAGGTGCAGTGGCTCACACCTGTAATCCCAGCACTTTGGGAGGCCAAAGCAGGAGGATCACTTGAGCCCAGAGTTCAAGACCAGCCTAAGCAACATAGTAAGACCTTGTCTCTACAAAAAAACAGAAAAATTAGCCAAGCGTGGTGACACATGACTCTAGTCCCAACTACTTGGAGGCTGAGGCAGGAGGATTCACTGAGCATGGCAGGTGGAGGCCGTGATCATGCCACTGCACTCCAGCCTGAGTGACAGGCTAAAAAAAAAAACCTAAAAAAGTAATTTAAGGCTGGGCGCAGTGGCTCATGCCTGTAATCCCAACGCTTTGGGAGGCCGAGGTGGGCAGATCACTTGAGGTCAGGAGTTCGAGACCAGCCTGGCCAACATGGTGATATCCCTTCTATACCAAAAATACAAAAATTAGCCGGATGTGGTGGTGGGTGTCTGTAATCCCAGCTATTCAGGAGGCTGAGGCAGGAAAATTGCTTGAACCTGGAAGGCGGAGGTTGCAGTGAGCTAAGATCATGCCACTGCACTCCAGCCTGGGTGACAGAATGAGACTCCATCTAAAAAAAAATAATAATAACAATAATTTTAAAAAAGAGTTGACAAAACAAGTAGGAAAGTGGATGTCTATGTGAAAATTAAACATGAGGCCGGAGTGGTCTCAGTACACAGATCCATGAGTATAAAAACTAAAATTATATTTTCTATAACCACATTTGCTTTCTAGCTCTGAATGCCATTGACCAGGCTTTACCTTGGGTCATTCTTGGGATTTTCCACCCTGCCTTAGCATTCTACTGGGCTGATGAGCACAGGGCCAACAATCCACTTGAATAGAGGAAAGGAAAAAGAGAAATACTAGCAAGACAAAACCTAAATTATTATCTCAAAATATCACCCAGCTACATATACATAATATGCTGATGGACCTGAGCTATTGGTGATGATGGGAAAAAAGGGATGAAACGAATTTGTGGATCATACTCAAACACATCAGCCACATGTACAGTTGTCGGCAAAAAGCCATTATAACAAGGTGCTGAACAAAGTTAGTGTGAGTGACATCCAGCTTCTCCTCTCACTGTTCAAACCCAGTAGTGTCTGAGGACAGCTCTGCTCTGAGCAGATTAAGGAAGACACAGAGGCTCTAGAGGATCTCCAGATGGGGGTAAAAAAAACAAAGGGTTAAATAGAGCATTCCAAAACAAACATGATTCTTTAATCTACAGAGAACCAGGAGGCAACAGGATATGGCTGAAGATTCTGGTTTGATCTCATAAAAAAGAAATCAAAACACTTGCAGTACATTCCAATTTAGTCACCACGACATGGAATAACTGCCTTGGCACTCAACTCTTAAAATGCAGGAAAGAGAATTCTAGGACACACCATAATTTATTCCCAGTCTAAGCATCCAAAGATGATTTAGGGAAAAAAAAGAAAGAAAAGAAAAGAAAAGAAGAAAAGAATACATCCAGGGTTTAGAACAATTAATGAGGGAGGACCACTGATATTGGCCCCAGGGGGGCAAATATCCACCTTTCTACAAAATTACCTTTTCCTGTGTTAGAAACATTAATAGTGTGACCTTGACTTTAACCCAATGTATCAGTCAGGGTTCAATCAGAGATCAAATACCTATGTCTACACACACACACACACACACACACACACACACACAAATTTGCTACAGGGATTTGACCTTACATAATTGTTGGAACTAGTTAAACAGTCTCTGTCAGAGAGTCGTCTTTGTGACTGATGCTGGATCTTGAAGTCCACAGAGCAGGCAATCAACAGGGCAGTCAGATTTGGATGTAAAGCCTGAGAGAGAAGAACAAGCTGTAACCCATAAGCACGAATTGGAGCCATGAGGGTGGACTGGAACCCTTTTCATTCTTGTTGCCTCTGACGGTATGGGTGCCTGCAGAAGCTGGAGCCCTTTGTCACGGAGCTAAAGACACACTGGCTGGCCCAGGAGACCCAGGCACTGAAGGAGAATCCTGGGGAAGATGAACAGTTGCAGGCCCAGTAGTCCTGTGTCAGTGAGGGGAGGCAGTGGATAGCAACCGTGCATGCAAGCTAAAAAGCAGATACTCCTTCTCTTCTGCCTCCAAAACTTTCAAGAATCCCTCCTGCGGCGCGCCCTAACAGGAAACACAGGAAAGGGAATTTGGGGAAATGTAGTTCTGTTTAGCCTGGCACATTATCAAACTGCTGTACCCGATGTAGAGAAGAGAGTGGCTTTTTAGTTTTCTTGTCTGTGTGTGTGTGTGGTTTCTTAGTCTAGGTCAGGGTTTCTCAACCTCTACACTACGGAAAACCTGCCACATTCTCCCATGACACGCTGTACGTGTCTGATTGCCTGTGTCACATTAGGTCACCAAACTTGTTCTTCCCCCTGGACTGAGAACTCAGAGACTATCTCATCAACGTTTGCATCTCTTTCAAGCGCTGGGCCTGGCACATGGTAGGTGCTCACTCAGTGGGATGTTATCATTGTTATGATGGTGTGACAAAGTTATTCTGCTCAAGGGAAAATGAAAGGGCTGCTCAAGCATTTTGGAATCGGGCCGTTCATAATAAAAATAACCCCAGACCTTGGTAAGTGATGTGATTGACCAAGTGATTGACCACATGTTCACAGTTGCCCGTTTCTTACCCTCTGCTTTGTCATGACCACACTTTAGTCAGGCCCCAGCTCTGCTTGCCCCAAAGCCTGAGCTGGCATGAAAATCCCCATTATCAGCTTAGCCAGAGAACTGTTCCTGTCAGTCTCTGCCCCCTTGCTTGCCCAACTTCCCGTTTCTGCTAAGCTCTGCCTACCTCTCCCAATAAAAGAAAATCTTTTTCTGTTTGTCTCTGAGACATTTGCAAATTCCTGAGATTGGAGTGTTTTCCCTATTGCAATAGTCCTTTTGAGTAGTGTTTCTCCTTATCTAAGTGCATGTTTGTTTTTATTTGACACAAGCCTATGATATAGAAACAACGATAAGCCCCATTTTGCATAAAAGTAAAGTGAGGCTTAGAAAAAATAAATAACTTTCCCAGGGTCCCATAAACAGCAAATAGGAAATTCAGGATCCAAAGCCAAATAAATGGTCTGACTGAGGGTGAGTCCACTCCCTCCACCACTGAGCTAGATATCTCACCAATTCTAAAATCATCTAGGAAGGAATGCTTGGATTCCTACATAGAACTGAAAATAATAAAAAGTGTTTTTTGTTTTTGCTTGTTGGGGTTGTTTGTTTTGTTTTGTTTTGTTTTTGAGACAGAGTCTCGTTCTGTAGCCCAGGCTGGAGTGCAGTGGCACGATCTCGGCTCACTGCAACCTCCACCTCCCGGGTTCAAGTGATTATCCTGCCTCAGCCTCCCGAGTGGCTGGGATTACAAGGTGCCCACCACCACACCCGGCTAATTTTTGTATTTTTAGTAGAGATGAAGTTTTCACCATGTTGGCCAGGCTGGCCTCTAACTCCTGGCCTCAAGTGATCCACTCGCTTCGGCCTCCCAAAATGTTGGGATTACAGAAGTGAGCCACCGCACCCGGCCAAAGTGTTACTCTTTTTAGTGGCATAATTTTTACTGTTCATTTCACCTGAATTAGGGAAAACTATCAACTAAAATATAATCAATATCAGTATTTTTATATGATTACTCAAAGCACCTCTCATGAAGAGAACTGCACATAGCAGCCTGCACTTATTCCTATGCTTTTTATTTCCCAAGTCATTCTATTTAGTGGTTTTACTTTGTCTGTGTGTAAGAGGCCAGAATGCAGAGACAGGCTTCTATAATCCTCAGAGTTAAAAGAAAAGAAAAGGCAACTCCCTGTGATCTCTGCCTTCTGTGATGGGCTGATCCTGTCCCTTCTCCCCTGCCCACCTTCCCACCAAGAGCTCTCACTCTGGTACAAACATGTCCTTCAGGGATAGCTGTGCTATTATCACCCTACTTGAAAGCTGAGGAAACTGAGGCTTGAAGAGGTTGCACAACAAGCCAAGGACACTGAGCTAGTCATGGCAGAACAGGCATTAAACCTAGGACACCTGTACCTCAAGTCCAAGCTCCCCACCACCTGGCTGTCCTGCCTGTCCCCCTAAGTGTCAACACAAAGACGTCCAATGGCGGAACTACAGCTCTCCTGCACTCCACTGGTCAGGCAAGGAGAAGCTCAAGGAACCAAGCTGTATGAAAAGGAGCAGCAAGTACTGATGAGATGGGGCCAAAGGGGAAAATCCCCTGGAGGCTGATGTCAATGATCAGCCGCTAAACCTCCCAGGCTACTTTTAAACTTGCATAACTTAACTTTCCAGGCTTCTTCCACAGTGCTTTGATTTCAATATTTCCCTGTGTGGCCTTTCCTGGAGCAGGGAGAGAAGGAGAGCTGGGTGCTAACTGTGATACTCAGCAATGGTGTAGCCTTGGAAAACCTCCCCATTTCTTTGGGCCTCAGTTTCCTTCTCAGTAAATGAGAGCAATTGAGTCAGGCTGTTGCTAAGTTCCTCTTTAGTGCTATCATGCTCTGGTTTTGGAGTTGTCATAAGTAGCCTGGGGCCAGGCGCAGTGGCTCATGCCTGTAATCCTAGCACTTTGGGAGGTTGAGGCAGGAGGATCACTTGAGCCCAGGAGTTCGAGGCTGCAGTGAGCTATGACTGCACCAGTGTACTACAGCCTGAGCAACAGAACAAGATCCTGTCTCTAAAAGGAAGAAGAAGAAGGAGGAGGAGGAGGAGGAGAGAAAAGTAGCCTGGGTCTACAGAGCTTAGCTCCTTTGCAGAGCTTTTAAAAATCCCAGTGTCCATTCCCGCCCCACTTCCAGGTATATTAATTTAATTAAGTGAGTTTGGAGGCCAGGCATCAGACATCAGTCCTTTTTATTTTTAACTCACCAGGTGATTCTAATAAGGAAGCAGGTTGGAGAACTGTTCTGGAGTGTTTTCAAACTCGAGTCCTGGGGGGTTTGCTAAACACAGAGTGCCAGCTCCCACCCCAGAGTTGCTGATTCAGTAGGCTTGGGGGTCGAGTATTGCTTCTTTTTTTTTCTTTCTTTTCTTTTCTTTCTTTTCCTTTCTTTTTCTTTTTCTTTAGCTGTCTTTCTCTTTCTTTCCCTCCCTCCTCTTCTTTCCTTCCTTCCTTCTTTTCCCTCCCTCTTTCTTTCTTTCCTTCTTTCTTTCTTTCCTTCCTTCCTTTCCTTCTTTCTTTTCTTTCTTTCTCTCTTCCTCTCTCTCTTTCTTTCTCTCTCTCTCTCTTTCTTTCTTTCTTTTCTTTCTTTCTTTCTTCCTCTTTCTTTTTTGACAGTTTCTCTTTTGTTGCCCAAGCTGGAATGCAATGGTGCTATCTCCATTCACTGCAACCTCCGCCTCATGAGTTCAAGTGATTCTCCTGCCTCAGCCTCCCGAGTAGCGGGATTACAGGTGCACACCACCACGCCCGGCTAATTTTTTGTATTTTTAGTAGAAACAGGGTTTCACCGTGTTAGCCAGCTGGTCTTGAACTCCTGACCTCAGGTGATCCACTTGCCTTGGCCTCCCAAAGTGTTGGGATTACAGGTGTGAGCCACTGCACCCAGCCTCCTTCTTTTTGTAGAGATGGGGCCTTGCTGTGTTGCCCAGGCTGGTCTCCTATCTTGGCCTCAAGCTATCCTCCTACACTGGCCTCCTAAATGCTGGGATTACAGACCTACCCCACCATGCCCTGCTGGACGTTTCTATTAAGTTCCTTAATGATGCTAATGCTGCCAGCCCAGATTCCACACTTTGAGAACTGCAGAAGTGTTTACACTCTCTTAAATAGTACCTACGGTCACATGAATTATTTTTTCCCAGCCTTGGAGAGCCTGAAGATTTCATCGCATTCTTAAAGATCCATGACCCCAGAAAAATTAAGAGCCAGATTAGAGTCTAATTATGCATTGAAAGCTTTTTCTAGGCAGGGTTTCACAGGAGATGATTTTGCAACTGGTTCAGTCTTGGAGTAGTCCCAAGGGTGTATATTTGTGTTTGCTTAAGCACCTGGGCATTGCAGGCTATATGATGCCAACACCCTTACCAGTCCACACTCAGTTTCCTACCAAGAAATTGCAATACTAGGAGCATCAGCTTGGTAAAGAGAGTAAACATGACAACTTTTCCCAGCATCAAATGTGAATATTGTGGAGAGGTAGAAAAACAGGGAGAGGGGAAGAAAGAGAATTCCCGTGATGCTATTGAAGCAGAAATAAAACCTCTGCAGATAATCCTGCTGCCTATTGATGTTGGGGCCACAAACTTGGGAAAATGAATGTTGTGCCATCATAATCACCCTAAGGATCAGTTACATAACATTTAATCATAAATTATACTCATCCAAAATGTGGCATGGGAAGTTCATATGTAAACTTTAATGTATTTTTTTATTCTTTAAAAATTTCCATTTTTGTGAATGTTTTATAATGTACACAATACACTAGAACAGTCATTTTGTATTTAATTTATAACATTAAAAAATAAACAAGCAAACATACATACATCGGGGCTCCATGATGAAAAAAAAAATTGGAGATTACTCCTTAGGTGTCAAACTTGACTGCACCAGAATCACATGGAAGCTCACCGAACAAATGCAGAGTCTCAGACCTCAGTCTCTTTCAGGTTCAGGAGGTCTGAGAAATTCACAGTTACACCAACAACTTGGGAAATTCTAAGGCAGGTGAGCCATTGACTCTACTGTGAACCCTGCTCTGAAAATGACTTTAGTTTTTTTTGTTTTTTTTTCTCTTTGTACTTAATAACTTTATTCTGACTCAAAAGCCATAGAACTCCTCACCAAAGGACACATAGGTCAGTGCAAAGAAGGAAACAAACACGTCTGTATTCTGCATGTCTTTCTCCTTCCCCCTTCAGCAATGCCCCATCCTATTCCCAGCCCTGGTCGGCTGCACCCCCTGAGCCAGGCTCTGGTCACTCACTACACCATGACAAAGCCACCTGCCGCCTGCTAATGGTGACTCGGCTCAGCCATTAGAGGGCAGCAGATAACAGGTCACTAAGCAGATAATTTCTCCGCGAGCAGGTTTGCCCATCTTTCTAAATAATCCAATTTTTCTTGAATATTTTCTCATCAAGGAACATTTTCCAAAAACCTCATAAATGCAAGTCATGGAAGTGACAGCAAACAAGCCCAAGATTGCACTGTCCAAAGGAAAGGTTTCCGTGTTAGGCATGGCTCAAGGTGCTAGGTACAAAGCAAACAAAATCCCTGCTCTCATGCAGCTGACAAGTTAATGGGGGACAATCGAAAAGTAAGTTATCTCTCACTGTTAGATGGTGGTAAACGCTGCGGAGAAAGACATGGCCTGGGCCAAGAGAAGGAAAAGCTCAAAGAAGGGAATGAATATTTATTGACCATCTATGAACGACTGGTTTTCACATAAGTCACTTCTCTTCATCTTCACCACTCTCTCATTGTACCCCTCCCTTTTTTATTATGCCAATTTTACATGTAAAGAAACTGAAGTTCCCACCGGGCACGGTGGCTCACACCTGTAATCCCATCACTTTGGGAGACCGAGGCGGGCGGATCACCTGAGGTCGGGAGTTCGAGACCAGCCTGACCAACATGGTGAAACCCTGTCTCTACTAAAAATATAAAATTAGCTGGGCCTGGTGGTACATGCCTGTAATCCCAGCTACTCCAGAGGCTGAGGCAGGAGAATCACTTGAACCCAGGAGGCGGAGGTTGCGGTGAGAGAAGATCATGGCCATTGCACTCCAGCCTGGGCAACAAGAACAAAACTCCATCTCAAAAAAAAAAAAAAAAAAGAAAGAAAGAAACTTAAGTTCTGAGACTTTAAGAAACTTGGCTAAGGCCACGGCATTAATGAATACCTGCACAGTACTGAACTTCTTAACTTGTTGTCATAATGAAGCCCAGCGCGAATTGTAAAGGAGACTGCCCACACATGCATTTTACTAGTGCTCACACACCTCACCTTCTCCAGGACTCAATATGCTACGTGGAATGTGCCGGGCCTCCTCTTCCCCAATTAATGTTTCACCCTTATTTTGGTACTCTGAAACTCTTATTTTGCTCTATGCTAATCCCATAAATTGGTTCTCATTCTAGAGTGCAGACAGTAATGACTGTTAACTTCTGCTAAGCCCACAAATTAGTTTTCTCCATTTGTAGCCCAATTGATCACATTATCATTCCCCAGGGAAGATATTTGGTGGAGGTGGGGGGCTTTTTCTGGAAAGAGTACTCTAATCCTAATGGTAGAAGTGTCAGCTTTTCTGATTGGGTAGTGAGAAATATGCTTTGTAATTTGGCTTGCTGAAGTTATGCCATTTATAAAGGTTAGAGTCAGAGTTAAAATATCAGTTTCTCAACCTCCTGTCTGTTATAGCTATCAGACTCAGAAGTGCTTTAAGAAAAGGAGTGTGGGCCGGGTGCAGGGGCTCACGCTTATAATCCCAGAACTTTGGGAGTCCAAGGCGGGCGGATCACGAGGTCAGGAGTTTGAGACCAGCCTGGCCAACACAGTGAAACGCCATCTCTACTAAAAATACAAGAATTAGCTGGACGTGGTGGCAGGTGCCTGTAATCCCAGCTACTTGGGAGGCTGAGGAAGGAGAATCACTTGAACCCAGGAGGCAGAGGTTGCAGTGAGCTGAGCTGAGCTAATGCCACTGCACTCCAGCCTGGGCCGTAGAGCTAGACTCCATCTCCAAAAAAAAAAAAAAAAAAAATAGAAAAAAAAGAGTGTGTGTTTGTGTACATGAACAAATGTAGAACATTCGTTCAAACACTAAGGAAGAAGATAGAATGGGAGAGTTTTAGACCATAGCAAAGGGAGGCTTTTATAGGTAAAGAGAATAAAGAATGAGACCTAAAAAGCTTAAGCAGATCTCAGGAGATTACAATTGTATCTATTATTTCTGATAGTGCTGGCATTAGTGCCTGACTTCCAAGACTGAGGTTACTGAGGGTTTCGTTTGTTTGTCTACTCATCTTCAGATCTCATTTCTGAGAAAGCTGAGAAAAGAGATGGAATCGAAAGACTTAGAATTATAAAGATGTCAATTCTGCCTACCTGACTCTTAAAGTGTAATCCTATTCCAATAAAAATACACACACATATAGGAAGTAATGACGCCTAGCTCCAGAACACAGTAGGTTGTCAGCATATATTGTTTCCCTTCCATTTCTCCTCCTGTGCCTTTGTTTACCAGTTTTCCATTCCCAGAAGTCTCTGCCTTGGCTTCCCTGATGTTACCTCACCACCAAGCCCCAAATGATCTTTCTCTCCTAATCTTTATTAGCATTAACTTTGTGCTAAATACACAGTAGTATATAAGCTTTGTGGAGGCAGAGGCCATGGTTTCAATTCCTTCCTATGCTCATAGTACCAAATAGATCCTTGTACAAGGAGAGGGCCGCCAACTCCTCTCCATTTTGGTTCATCTTCACTTTTTCACTTGTTTTCTTTAAGTCACTCTACTATTAAAAATCTTCCTGTGGCTTCTATTGTATAGGATAAACTCCAACTCTGACTCAAAGCATACAAACTTTTTCACGGATTACTCTCCATCAACCTTGTTCGGTCTCAGCTCCCACCTTATTGCCCTCACACTCTCGCTCTCCAGGGCCATAGACCTTCTTGTCACTCCTCTTTTAAAATTCTGTGCTTTCGGGTAGGCTGTCTCCTTTACCTGAAATGCCTGGGAAACTCCTTGGTGAATAAGGCTCAGACATCGGGACCTATTTGCGACTGTTCACAACTCTTTTCCTTCTCTACCTTGAGCTCCTATAACTCTTTGTCCCATAATGTATGGCCCCGATTAAACCATGGGGTTGAGTTTTCTTCATCCTTGTTTTTCCTATGACTATTTAGTGCCTTCAACATGCCAGAAACTCAGCAAGTACTTACTGACGATTCAATTAATGGACTCTCTCTCTCTCCCTCCTGGTTGGTTGGTATTGCTGACTCAGAATATTGGGGGATGTCAATGAAAGAAGGTCTTAAGAATTCTGTATTCTTTAGTTCCCTCAGGAGAAACCAAATCTGACTTAGGGCCAGGGCCCCCAGACCCACCTGACTCTCTCCAACTATGAGAAACACCACTAGCTGCCTGGAAATTTTGGTGAGAGGCTGTTTTAGGAGAAAATGCTGATAATTTCCCAGATTAATGCTTATAATTATTTCTTTTTTATAAATCCTTTGCCCCCACCCAGGGCCCCACACTCAGAAGAGCCCCACGCTTGGTGTAATGCTCTGCTGCCACCATCTTGAAGTTCTTTTAAATTTGAGCAGGGGGCCCCGTATTTTTATTTTTCACTAGGTCCCGCAAATTATGTAGCCCATCCTGCCAATGACTACATGATACATACTTCCCAACGTTTCCTGATTTGACAGTTTTTTTTTGTTGTTGTTGTTGTTGTTGTTTTGGGTTTTGTTTTTTTTTTTTCTTTTTTCTTTTTGACAGAGTCTCACTCTGTCACCAAGCTGGAGTGCAGTGGCATGATCTCGGCTCACTGCAAGCTCTGCCTCCCGGGTTCAAGGGATTCCCCTGCCTCAGCCTCCAGAGTAGCTGGGACTACAGGCGCCCGCCATTACACCCGGCTAATTTTTTGTATTTTAGTAGAGACGGGGTTTCACCATGTTGGCCAGGTTGGTCTTGATCTCCTGACCTCATGATTCGCCCACCTCTGCCTCCCAAAGTGCTGGGACTACAGGCATGAGCCACCATGCGCCTGGCCGATTGGACAGTTTTAACACTGAAATTCCTGAATCTGGAAAAGCCCTTAGTCCTGGGCAAACCAGGAGAGTTGTCACCTTACTTCTGGTCCTCAAACTGCAAACCAATGTGCCATGCATTACTTTGACCTAATGACTTACAAGCAGAAAAGGTTATTTAGGACACGTAAGCTTCCCCAGCATATTCTATCTGTGACCCCTATAAATAAATATTTCTAAACACAATTCTCTGCTAATTACAGTTCAAGGTTTTATCAACTCAAACTTTTAAGTTACAAGAAACCGATTTCAAAAACAGCCAGTAGGAAAAGGTTGCAGAGTCTAGGTCAATGAAAGAGTTCCAGCAAGCCTATGAGCCACTGGGAATTCAGTCATTATTTATCTAAATTTCTGATTTGGAATGAGGTTGGTAAATTAGTCACCAGCCAGTTTCATCTTCTATAAACTTTCCATTCACATTATTGATCCATATTTCTATTGGGCTGTTTGTTTTTTCTATTGGTTTATAAGAGTTTGTTGTATATTCTACACCACCATACCTGGCTAATGTTTATATATTTTTGTAGAGACAAGGTCTCACAATGTTACCCAGGCTGGTCTCAAACTGCTGGGCTCAAGCAATGCTCCCGCCTCAGCCTCCCAAATTGCCAGGATTACAGGCATAAGCCATCGTGCCCAGCAAGAATCCTGTATTTTTGATGGTCTTGTCAAATCTGTGAGGGTGTTGGGAGGACAATGATGTGATATATATATATTTAAAGGTATATGTTTTTATTTTTAAAGGTGTATATATACACCTTTAAAAACCTCAGTGGACATTGTAAATAAAGTGGAAACTAGAATTCTGTGAACATTTAGAATGTTGAAGGCCAGGCACGTGAGCCAAGAAATTGTTTGCCTGCAGATTTTTCTTTCTTTCATTGTCTGCCAGGAGGGTTACATAAGCCTGTCTTCAGTACCACCCAAATCCCCTAGTAAAAGGAACACAGACAAATAATGAAAAGTCAAAAGCTCCAAGTGGAAGTTCAATTGTCTTTATTTTTCTTATACAGATTCAGAGAAGTAAAAACCAGTACCAAACTCCAGGTAAAATGGTTTGATCTGATCGATTTGGCTGCATACTTTCGGTACGTATAACATTCTAAACTTAAAATAGAAATTTTTATATTACAAAACGTAGAAGTAAAATTTTAAAAAGTTAAAGTACTAGCACATATATGTGTTAGGAAAATGGTCTCTGTCAATTGCCCATTTTCCCAATTAAATTAACCTACGATTTCCTTTTTTTAACAGCTTATTTTTTTCATAAAAGTTGTACTTTGAGAAGTTACTTTCTAATTACGTCATGAGAACACAACTTGTAATTAGCAACACTTCTGTCAGTCTAGATCACTTCTTCTGCAGAGAGCTTTTCAACCAAGTTGGCATCAACCAGCACAATAAAGTTTTCACTGTTTTACCTGTTTCCTGTATATGGTGTAATCAGTGAAAGAAATGGCATTTCACATCCTAAATAATACGGTGAAACACTGTCTAAAAATTACTTAGATTTAACAGAATTGCAATTAGGTTTTGACAATGTATTTACTTCAAGACAATGTATTTTATCAGGAAAAAATATCTTGAAAGAAAGATCTCTGAAATTATTTTTCATTTGATACGCCTTTTCTGTGACAAAATTTTGGGGTGAAATGATGATGTTTACTGATTGATTTAGTACTAAAAAGACTAGTACTAAGAAGACTAAAGACAGTTATCTTATAATAAGAAATATAGTATAAATAGCACCTTATCAAGAATTCTGCAGGGGTTTTAACACTTACAATAATAGGAAATAGCCATTAAAAAGTTGCTCTAACTTTAGATTTCTAACTTTAGTGTTCTTTAACAAAGGCCATATTTTGTGGCCTTAAAAACAAAAAATTATATCTGGCTTTATCTATTAGTAAACACAAAGGGTCCATATTTTATTCTGAAAAAATATTTATTATATTCATTCATAAATGTTCTAACTAATTTAACTAAAAAAATCTTCTAGTATTTTCTGATGCCACAAGCTTACTAGAAAATTACTTCTAAAAATTGGTAATATAAATCATCAATGATTTACCTACTTTAAAAAAGAGGGGTATCTGTTTCTCTTACATTTAATAACCTGAAAATGAGTCTATAAAAATATTTTTTAAAAATACAGTAACACTGCTGAGTTTTGTTAGGTCCCTTGTTTTTTTAATTTTTTATTTATTTATTTATTTTTAGCAAGAATGTACAATTCTTTTTGCAATTTTTTGCTAACAAAAGACAAAAAGAAATAGTGCTCCCTTCAATTTAGTAGCAATAAAATCATCTATCTTCATCTCTCTCAGAGGGCTTAGGGAGAGTGAAAGGAATTAGAGGAACATAAACCATGGGTCCTTCAGGTAAAATAAGTCATTTCATAGTGATGGAGGCAACAGCAGGCTACGCTCTTGTCTGCCTGTACGCTCAGCATCAGCATGCCCTGCCCCTCCTCCTCCCACATAAGGTGCACCAAAGCCTTCTTTTCTTCTACAACAGAGTCTTCCGGTATAAAGGTGGCAACAGAAAATTGTTGCTTTGTCCTTTTGGGGCATCTCTTGCATCTCCTGCTTGTTTTGCTTTTGGGGTACTATAACTTGTCTCTTTCCATTTCACAACTAGTATCCTTTCCACGATATTCCATAACTTTGCTACTTCATCTCTGACCTTTTCACTTGCCTTCTTTCCAACATGATCCAATGTACTCTGTACATGTATATTCCGGTAGATCAAAAGGAATCTTATTTAAGATCCCCAACAAATAAGTCCCCCATGGAAATTGAAAGTATCCTCTCAGAGACTCAAATTATTAAAGTCTTTCAAAAAAGATTAAATTCATAGATTATAAATAATATTAGTTCAAAATATTAAACAGTTGAGGACTTCATTGGCAATGCAGGCAGACTGCATGCCAGTTGAACATGATGCTCTCTCAGTCCTTAAAAGCTAATTAAAAATGGTTTTGGTTACATAAGAGGTATTGAATACATATTTCATGCCTTTTTATACCAACTGTAGCAAACAGGATTAGGATAATATACTTAGGAATCAATTTTACTGAATTCAGAAACATTTATCTCCACCATACACCCTCAAAGGGCATTTTTTTTTACATGTCAGTCAGAGATCTGCTTCATCCTTCAGTTTCATAGATAGAATTATTTTAAACACTTGAAATCTAGGAAGCAAACCTGACAAGGCTTCAGAATTTAAAAAGCAACAGCTCACTGTGTGTGGTGTGCTATCAGGTTGAAATCTATGTTGTCCTGATGTTTTCAGAGTTATTTCAAAAGACAAAAATACAGTTGCCACTGATTTATCAAAAACATTTGGCTGCCTTTTGTCATCAGCTACAAAATTACAGTGCTTTATAAAATAAACATCAAGGCCGGGTGCGGTGGCTCACGCCAGTAATCCCAGCACTTTGGGAGGCCGAGATGGGTGGATCACCTGAGATCAGGAGTTTGAGAACAGCCTGACCATTATGGTGAAACCCCGTCTCTACTCAAAATACAAAAAATTAGCCGGACGTGGTGGCAGGTGCCTGTAATCCCAGCTACTCGGGAGGCTAAGGCAGGAGAATCGCTTGAACCCAGAAGGCAGAGGTTGCAGTGAGCCGAGATTGTGCCATTGCATTCCAGCCTGGACAACAAGAGCAAAACTCGATCTCAAAAACAAACAAACAACATCAAGAAAAAAAAAAACCATCAGATTCTAAGCTGCAATTTTTTAAATCCCCAGTTGTAATATTTCAAAAACTTTTGTTTGAATAAAATGCTCATAATTAGTACCAAACTGGTCTCTTTCACAAGATCTGTAGTGTAAGACCTGTGACTAATGCTGCTGCTGCTACTTTCCCGCTGGAGGGACTAAGTTGTCTAGATGCTCTGCAGTAAAATAACGAAAGATAAGCTACAATAGGACTGTGTGCCTTTATAAATACAGACTAATAAGAGCCATCAGAGCCAGCATGGATTCAAAATTACATTGTATTCCATACAGTAGAATTTTACTATCCATACAATGATTTTTAAAGCTCAAGTTAAATAGTTTTTAAAGCATTTGGTACTACTGTCATCAATACAGTTTTTGAAACTGTAAATCAGGTCGAATTTTGTGCACATTTCCTGGACCAAGATGCCCTCAGAAGTAACTGCCTGTGGTCAGCTTTTTATGGTTTAAAATCAATTGGTGTATAAATTTCAATTAACACCCATAAAGCTTAGCCATGGGGCAGCAGAGAAGAAAGAGAAAAGTATTCTGCATAATCAATCCTGCAGACACAATTCTGTATAATCTGTCACAAGAACGCAGGCTTGCAGAAAATGAAAATAGAATATTTATTTATGTTTAACTTAAGTTACTCTCAATCAAAACCAGGCAATGATTAAACTGGCAACATAAAAAGGAGGGAGCACGAGTCATGGAGGCGGGAAGTGGTGCACCTGCAGACTTGCTCTGCTCCATCACTTTTTCCAAGAGGCCCAGGAAATGTAAGGTCATGGCTACATCCAAGTTACAATGGTAGTGATTACAGCCAGGTTAGAAAGGGCTCACTTTTGTTCAGAGCAGACTCTACATCATTGAAGAGGGGGATCAGGTCTTCAGATTCCAAAGTTCCTAAGTCAACGTTTGTTCCTGGAAGACAGTCAAGGAAATCAGGGAAACGGGTCTGTTGGGGATTGATGTTCATGGGTGTTTGTCCTGCGTTTTCTCCTATAACAAAATGAAAAGAAACCATTTTAATTCCTTCTTTTAGGCTCTTGAAGGAGGAACAGTTCAAGTATTTACATAACCCTCACCTTCATGTCTTCAACTACCACATTATTGACCCTTACTCATAAGAGGTACAGAGATGTGGAAGAAATCGAAAATTATTTCTGGATAGGTGTGGTCCAGAATGGAAAAGGCCAAGGAGATAAGAAAGGAGCATGTGAAAGGCACTGTGGATCTGATCTATGATCTGTGCCTTCCCATGACAAAGGTGTGAAGAACTGTTTTACAAAAGAGTAGAGAGGCCTTGTCTGTAATAAACAGCTTATTACAGAACTATAATCTACAGGTTTCATTGTAAGCTTAGGTTTACCCATACCATCCTTCTTTATGTTCAAAGAGAATGGTGTGAAGCTTCTTTTAACCAGGCTATTAAAAAGTTGTCTTCATTGATGACTTTAGGCATCATTTATAAAGGCAGTTCTGCAGACGTTTTCCCTCTTTCTGTAATACCTACACCCTACAACTATCTGCCTTTCTCACAAGCATATGAGCACAGTGCATATGAGCATGTTAAGGCTTTAAGTCTTAGAGTAAAGAAATCTTTTGTTTTCTTTAAGACACTATTTCCTAAACCCATTTAATCACCTAAACCTATTTTGGCAGTATGTGTATTCAAATAAAACTGAAGTTCTACAGAACACAGGTGAGAAAATGCTGTACTAGAGGAAAAGTAGGTGTCTGGGATATGACATGAAGAATATAGGTTCTTTATGTGTCATAGTATGGGACAGAATGCACTACTGACTTTGGTGTCATTAGATCGAGCTTTGTGGCTGTGTAAGCTTAGACACACTTAACCTGCCTGATTCTCAGTTTACCCATCTAGAAATTGGGATCATATGCTCCTTTTACAAAAGTTAGAGTAAAGTGCCATATAGTGTCTGCCACATATCCATGGCTCTGGGTGTCATTGATATATACAAAGTTATATACATACAAAAATATAATAAATGTTCATTGTCCTGAGAGAAAGAAAAACCCAGGTCTTCAGCCACTATTAATTACACAATATCAAAACAACAGGTTAATTCAAAAAGTCCCAAACAATTTTCTGAAGAGATAATATCTACTTCAAAAATTGAGAAGCATTGATAACTAAGGCCAGCTTCCACCATAACGTCATTTTTTAAAAACTTGTTAAATTATCTTTTGTGTGTTACAAGTGCAGTAGCCTTCCTGAAACGTGTGTAGGGAAGTTTCACTATTTTAAGCAAAATTGCCGAAAGTTCACTTTAGCAATCTGTGTTTTCCAGGGAGAAAAATTATATCCTTCCAAATGATGAAGGAACCATCATCCAATTTGGATTTTGGTGATAGCAAAACACAATGGCTTTTCTAGAAGTCACAAAATATAAATGACTCCTGGGTAACATTTTACAGTATTTTCATTGCAAAGGGTAGTAAACTGAAAAATTAAATCAAATTCAACAATATGACCTCAATATAGTGTTACTGATATTGAAAAATAACGTTAAACGAAAAAACAAAATCCAAAATAACTTTCTTCTACTTACTAGAGTGTAACAGATAAAAATGAGGCTTTAAAAAGTGTCTAAAAAACAATCTGATCTAATGTGCTGGATGCCTTTTTTTCTCTTCATCTCCAGTTAGAATCATTCATTTTTACTAATTTCCCATTTTAACTTTCAGATACTCAAGAATATAATTTTTAGCCAAGCAAAATCTCTGTTTTAAAGAATTCCTAGGCCGGGTGTGGTGGCTCATGCCTGTAATCCCAGCACTTTGGGAGGCCGAGGTGGGTGGATCACCTGAGGTCAGGAGTTCAAGAACAGCCTTGCCAACATGGTGAAACCCTGTCTCTACTAAAAATACAACAAACAAACAAACAAAAAAACCCCAAAAAAACAGTGCCAGGCATGGTGGCGCACCCCTGTAATCCCAGCTACTCAGGAGGCTGAGGCCCGAGACTCGTTTGAATCCAGGAGGTAGAGGTTGCAATGAGCTGAGATCACACCACTGCACTCCAGCCTGGGTGACAGAATGAGACCCCGTATTAAAAAAAAAAAAAAAAATTACTCTTATCCTTTCTTCTCAGGATGGAAGGCATGAGGATACTGGCTAAGCTTCTTCATTAAAGTTAACAATCTTAAAATAGAAGCAGCTCTGCAATCTCATAGTAATCTTTTTGGTCTTTGCAGTTTATCCACTTAAAAAGTGGAAGAGACAAACACAAGGCAATTCTTTTTTTTTTTTTTGAGATGGAGTTTCGCTCTTGCTGCCCAAGCTAGAGTGCAATGGCACAATCTCGGCTCACTGCAACCTCCGCCTCCTGGGTTCAAGTGATTCTCCTGCCTCAGCTTCCCGAGTGGCTGGGATCACAGGCATGTGCCACCACGCCCAGCTAATTTTGTATTCTTAGTAGACACAAGATTTCTCCATGTTGGTCAGGCTGGTCTTGAACTCCCAACCTCAGGTGATCCACCCACCTCGGCCTACCAAAGTGCTGGGATTACAGGTGTGAACCACCGTGCCCAGCCACAAGGCAATTCTTAAAAGGGTGTGATTACTGCAGAATATTCTGGAAGGATGGATGATTTCCCAGCCTTTGCTCATGTTATTCCCTTTACTGGATCTTCGCACCAAGCCCAGCTGTTGCTGCCATGTATGTTTTGCAAATGGAGTGCTCAGCTGGCTCGTTTCCCTTCAGCATGTGGCCAGCGCGTGGTCCACAGGCCTGATAGATCTTTTCTAGCCACACTTGAGCTCTGCCTGCCCCCACAGCTTCCCTCATTTTGCTACTGTATAATTAACATTTCTCCCCTTGAGAAGATGTATGTCCAGTTCCTACAAAGACTTCACAGAGGTGGCCCCACACTCAATGAGCTGACTCTAACTTAACCAGGTTAACTTGGCACTCACATTCCCACACTCAATGAGCTGATTCTCACTTAACCAGGTTAACGTGGCACTCTGACATTATCAAGTCCATTGTATGTATGACATCAGTCTTCTTACTGGAGAAGAGCACTTTGAGCTGGTCTCTGTGATCTCATGACTCCTCACAACTCTGCCGTGAGCATATCACTCCCACTTTATGGGTGAGAAATCTGAGGCTCACGGAGGTTATGCAACTTACCCAAAGGCGCTACTAGGAATGGAGAAGCAAGGATTCAAATCAGGCTGCCTGTTGGCTAAAACTATGTTCTTTTCAGGACGTCATTTAATTCCACATTACGGCTTCAAAATAAAACACTCCCTACTTACCCACTTGAGGTTATTTTAAAGAGACATAGAGTAGAATCCATCCTCTTTTATGGTTTTTTTTTTTTTTTTTTGAATGTCAAACTTAGATTTAGATCTCCTGAGCTTTTTTCCTTAACTTTGCTTTTTATCCTTACTGGCTTCCCAGTGTTTAGAAGATGAAAGTAAAGAATTATTAAACATAGGAAGGAGCCACTTCCTAAGGCTATTCCAAAGATAGCAAAATAAATCTCACACTCAAAAAGCAGAGAGAGAGATAAAGGTGGCAGGGGGTGGTGGTGGGGGAAGAACTGAAGTAATAAACTGAAGAACAGTAAAACAATCAGTGCAAACTATTCCTGTGTCACTCCTCACAAGATAGTCTTTGCAATCTTCTCAATGCAAAGATGACAACCTACACGAAAGACGCCAGGGGAGCAGCTTTAATGTACTGCATTTGTAAGACACCTGGCTATGAGTTTGACTCTTGATCTTTCCAACAATTTAGACTCACAACACAAAGAGAAGCCATCAAAGAGTAGAGTGTAAAAAACTACAGGCACTATGGCAAACACTTTGGGGGAAGGAATTTTTTATTTTCAACACAAAACAATTACTTTCGTCAATGATAATGGAGAAGGAACTTTCATGAATAACTCCAAATAGTGGACACCCTGGCTGTCATTTATTTTTGGTTCTAGAATATCTTCTTAGAGTTTATGACTTTCATAATTAAGTCTAGGTAAGGCTAATAAGACTAACTTCAGTTTCTGCAATTGGAAGTCTCACTCCTTGAGAAAAGGAGAAAAAGAAAGGTAATCGGGAAGCCTGGTGAGGCTGGACCTGAAGGATGCACAGGCTGGGGACAAGGTAAGAGTAACCCTGACTCTCTTCTCTTTAATTCCTGAGGGAGGATGTCGTTACCATGTTGGAACTTGGAAGTGACAATTTTGAATCCTCTGAGTTGCTCAGCATTCCAAATACCCACTGCCAATTGCTTTTCAAATGCAGTGAATGACATGAAAAAAATTGGATACTAGAACTATAAACCAGTGTCACTTTCCAGGAGAAAGGGTGGCCCATATATTACAACTAAAAACTAGAACAGCATAAATACCCCAATGTGGAAACATGGCAAACAAACAGTGGTGTCTTGATGCAATTGTGAGGAAGGGACTATATGGAGCAAAGATGAATTAAAAAAAAAAAACAACAGAATTTAAAATCCTGCGCCCAGATGTAAAACTATACTTGTATAATCTATGAGGAAGGGGCTACAGTTTATTAATAGTGCCTGGGGGTTCAGTGGCTTTTCAGCTGTTATTTTATGTTGTCGTTGAGATTGAGTGTTTCTGGTTGGATTTTAAAATTGAGATGACCGTACTCGCTCTGGCAGCACCTATACTAAAACTGGAATGATTAGCATGGCCCCTGCATGAGAATGACATGTAAATTCATGAAGCATTCCATTTTTTTTTTTTTCAACATTTTTACAGACACTCGGGACTACTGGGAGTGGGGAGGAACAAGGGGTGAAAAACAAACTATTGGGTACTATGCTCACTACCTGGGTGACGAGAGCAATCGTATCCCAAACCCCGGCATCACATAACCATGTAGCAAACCTGCACATGTACCCCCAAATATAAAATAAAAGTTGAAATTATAAAAATAAAATAAAAGAAAAATAAAATTGAGATAACCGAAGAGATCATTTAAAAAACACAAACCCATTGTAAGTGCTTGCAGGCTTTGCTCCTACCTGTATCCATCTCATCCACATTGCTGAGGAAGTCCTCCGGAGTTGTGGGGACACTGTAGCACCCTAACCCCAGGCCACTGTCAGTGCTCTGCTCCCTCGAATGATATGGCCCTCTGCAAAGCAAAAGATGAAGAAACTTCAATATGAGCCCACTAAATAAATCTCAAAATTAAAACACAGTCACAAAAGCTCTAAACTAGTGCAGTTGTGCCATGCTGCCCAACTTTCCAGGTTAGGGAGGAAGGAAAGTTTTAATTTTGAAATACATACCCTCATGAAAATGAAAATAATCATGTGTGGCCATTCACAGTAAATTGACATTGATTTCCTTTTCACCTCAAAATAACCATTTGAACATTCTTCAACATACAGAGTATGACACCATTTATGTAAAACTTTAAAAAAAAAAAACAAAAACTATGTTGAATATTGCTTATGGATACATACACTAACGGGCAGTAAGGGGTATAAAAGTCTGTGTGATGGACACACGCCAGTTTCTGAATAGTGGCTACCACTGGGGACAGAAGGGAAAAGAAACGAGATTTCAGTGGTGGGGGGATGGCTTCAAATATTAATTGTAATATTTTATTTGTTAAAAAGTAAGATTAAATAAAACTATGGCAAATCTGGGTAGTGGGTACATGGGTAATTCATGTTATTCTTTGTACTTCTCTGTGTTTCAAATACTTTAAAATCAACAATTTAAAACCTCCATTAATTATTATTTCAGCTACTATTTGTTTTTATCTCTATCTTTAATAATGTTCATAATTGTATTGTTTGTTTGCCAGACGTCTCTGCAAGGGCAGAATAAAAGGCACAGGAAATACAGAATTGCCCTTTTTATTTGATTTAAAAACTACTTCTGCTCATGAAGATATTTCTGGCTAAATTCTCTTTCCCTTTTGCTCCTTTGTTTTAATTACTTTTTAAATTGTGAAATTATTTTAAACTCACATAGAAGACGCAACAAGAGTACAGAGCGTTCCCATGTACCCTTCACCAGCTTCCCCAGTGATAACATCTTACATAACCATAGTGCAATTACCAAAATCAGAAATCTGACACTGTAGAATATTATTTACTAAACTATAGATCTTATTCACATTTCACCCTGAACATCATCTCTTTTCTTTTCTTTCTTTTTTTTTTTTTTGAGATGGAGTTTCACTCTTGTTGCCAAGGCTGGAGTGCAATGGTGCAATCTCGGCTCACTGCAACCTCCGCCTCCCAGGTTCAAGCAATTCTCAGCCTCCCGAGTAGCTGGGATTACAGGCATGCACCACCATGCCCTGCTAATTTTGTATTTTTAGAAGAGACAGGGTTTCTCCATGTTGGTCAGGCTGGTCTCGAACTCCCAACCTCAGGTGATCTGCCCACCTCGGCCTCCCAAAGTGCTGGGATTATAGGCATGAGCCACCATGCCTGGCCGAACATAATCTCTTAATTGTTCTGTTCTCAATTTGCCATATGGCATGCTTTTATCCCCTGTTGGTTACATAAAACCAGAAGATTCTTCCAAGTATAAGTACTAGACGACACCATCATGTTTAAAAATATAAGTTCATGCCCATTTTCAAATTCTTGACTAGGGGTTTACTCTACGTCCTATCACCAATTTTTTAATTTGGAAATTTTTTAACAGGCAGATGATTTCCCCTGCTTTTCTTTTTTCTGCCAGCTCCTCCCACTTCCTCCCTTTATTCTCACCCTCAACCCTCAAGCTCCCCACCTCTTCCCAATGTAAACAAAGATCCTATTATAGTCTAGATCACATAATAAAGAGAATAAAAATAAGTGGCCCCCAAATATTAACTTACCCATTGAGGAAAGGATCTGAGCTATTATTAGTGATGGATCTCATGTCTGGGGTCATCGTGGGTGGGTTGACAGCAGCCTGAACTGGGGCAAGAGTCTCAGCTTCCATGGGGAGCTGTCGACAGAGGGCAGCTTCCTACAGTCAGAATGGGAAGCAAGAGTCATGCACTCATTGTCACAAGGCATGGAGCAAAGTGTACTTCACATCAAAACTTTTCACCAAATACAAAGCACTGTGTATTTACTCCCAGCAAGTCAAAATCACCAGGCAACCATTAGTATTCTTTCTCCGAAGAAAGTCTTACAGACATAAGTCACTTCACATTCACAAAGTTAATGGGAAGCTCAGCTATTATTTGATCTAAGGGCACTTAATGTTGCAATCATCCCACCCATGCAATTATTTAAACACCCAAATCATAGAAAGCCCTCTCAAAACACTTTGTCAGAGACAAGGCTTTTTCTATCTCAGGTTCTCAAACCAAATCTACATCAATCAAAGCAATCAGACTCCTCTGGACTATAAAGTACATTCTGGTCTTTGCCACTTACAGGCCAGTAAAACTGTGGAATTACAGAGTCCAGGCTCTACATTAAATTGCATCTGGCAGTTTTATGTTTACAGACAGGAAAGCAAAACAATGAGTTGAAAGTTTACTTTAAAAAGTCAATCAGTGGCCAGGGGTGGTGGCTCACGTCCATAATCCCAGCACTTTGGGAGGTCGAGGTGGGCGGATCACTGGAGCCCACAAGTTCGAGACCAGCCTGCAACATGGTGAAACCCTGTCTCTACAAAAAATACAAAAATTAGTTGGGTGTGGTGCTACTTGGGAGGCTGAGGCAGGAGGAGCCCTGTGCCTGGGAGGTTGAGACTAAAGTGAGCAGAGATCACGACACTGTACTCCAGCCTGGGTGACAGAGTGAGACGCTGTCTCAAAAAAAACAAAAAAACAAAAAAGTCAATCTATTTGACTACTTTGTTGACTAAAATGCTGAAGGTTGGGGAACCATGTAGATCCAATCCAAATCCCACAGACAAGTAACTGTTTCACAGCATATGGATTTCATTAGCAGAAACAAATAATACAAGCATTATTTTATAAAAGCTAGCATTACATTGCTAAGAAGAGTCTATCCAAAAGGCTACAAATTTACTGACTGCAACTACTTTCTCTAGGTATAATCTCCAGGAGTCTCTCCATCTTGACAAACATAACCAGACATCAAATTCCTTTCAAATTTGCTGATGTTTCCAGAGAATACTTTTGTATGTTTACATTTGCATCCCAAACCAAGGTTAGGCCTTTCCCCATATTTATGCCTATCAGTTTCCCACTTTCCATGCTGAAGTCATTGGTCTCACTGTCCCTCAAACCCTAAAACCATGGCTACAATGGCAAACAGAACATTTAGGACTTCTAAATTACAGTATCTTCGTTAGATCTCTTCCAGCCCTAACATGATGTGACTTTAGAGGGTAGCTGCTGTCTAGACAAGTCCTAGTGAAGTCATCGGCTATAAAAATTTTCAGTTACTAGAGTTGGTTGCACTGTTACAAACCATGAGAGACCTGATTGATTTAAAAAAAAACTGTATTGTTAACTTATACTGAAATAAATCTAGCTGGAAAGGGTCTTTGGCTCACTTCTGTTCATCTAGATTGCAAATAATCAAATACTTAACTAACAAATTTTATTCAGGAATCTACAAAAAGCAAACCAAAAACTGGAGATTTTTTTGGTAAAAAGTGATTTTCATCATCTAAATCTTGGAAGTGCCTTCTGAATAAACCTAGAAAAATCAAATTATTTTCTGATAGTTGTTTTTAACATGGCAGGCAGGGTGCATTAGAAACCTTATTATCCAACCAAAGTTTTCCTGAAAGCCTCAGAAGGAACAACAGGGATTGAATCTGGCATAAAAAGCCTGAGTCCCACCAGTCCCCATCCCTCAAGCACACTCATACACCCTGAGCCACAGTTTGAAAAAATGTATCTCATCAATGGTAAATTTCTAATACTTTATTAACCATAAATGCAAGAATCTTTTGACTCATAACCCTCATTATCCAAAAACATGAACTTTACTAGAATATTCCATTTTTCAACCATTCTGAATAAATGTGGGAGTTTACCTCTAAACAAATACACTTTTAATTTAAAAGTTGATGAGATGGCTGCATTCCTTTGTATTGAAAAAACTTTATCAACATATGTCTTAAGAATACAAGTTGAGGCCGGGCGGTGGCTCACACCTGTAATCCCAGCACTTTGGGAGGCTGAGGCGGGTGGATCACGAGGTCAGGAGATCAAGACCACCCTGGCTAACAAGGTGAAACCCTGTCTCTACTAAAAATACAAAATATTAGCCGGGTGTGGTGGCATGCACCTGTGGTCCCAGATACTCAGGAGGCTGAGGCAGGAAAATCACTTGAATTTGGGGAGGCGGAGGTTGCATTGAGCCGAGATTGCACCACCATACTCCAGCCTGGGCGACAAAGCGAGACTCTGTCTCAAAAAAAGAAAAAAAAAATACAAGTTGAATCTGCAATTTCCAGGAGTTCTAAATTTATATATGGTAAGAATCATTTCTGGAACTTCATGGGATAAAAAAATACACTATATATAACACACATGAATTGTTATCTGTAATAATATATAAAATTATAAGAACAAATATCAAAAATTAGATATAAAATAAATAGTTCTAAACTTTCCTATTAATTTAAATTACTCCTAGCTATTTCCAGTAAATAAAACATAAAATAATGCTTGTGTGTGTCTAAATATATAAATAAAATATATAAATAAAATTTAAAGGATTATTTATGATAACCAAAGCTGAAAAACCTATACTATATTGGAGGAAATGTTTCACTGTGCCATTTCACATTTGTTCCATCTGTTCTAAATCAAAGAGAACAGAAGCTCTAGTCTCCAGCACTGATGTTTCCCTAACTACCCTGAAGACTTAATCACCAAGTCATCCTAAGGGCAAATGCCGCCTTCTGTCTGTAGGGGGCTCACAGTATCATTTTCTACCTTCAACTGACTAACAAATAAGAGAAAAATCAGAAAGGGTGTTGAATGTACCCGGAATGATTGCTTTTTTTTTTTTTTGAGATGGAGTCTCACTCTCTCAGCCAGGCTGGAGTGCAGTGGCGTGATCTCAGCTCACTGCAACCTTCACCTACCGGGTTCAAGCAAGTCTTGTGCCTCAGCCTCCCGAGTAGCTGGGACTACAGGCATGTGCCACCACGCCCAGCTAATTTTTGTATTTTTAGTGGAGATATGGTTGCGCCATGTTGCCCATGCTGGTCTCGAACTCCTGGCCTCAAATGATCTGCCCACCTTGGCCTCCCAAAGTGCTGGGATTACAGGCGTGAGCCACTGCACCCGGCCTGAATAATAGCTTTGAAATATAAATTAGGCCAGTCTGAGTTAGAAAGTTATTATTTATAATAGGACACTTTGTCTAAGATTATTCCAAAATCATTCTTAGGTCACAAGTTATTCCACATAGCAGCCAAAGTGAAGCTCACGTGACCCCCTGCTCTAAAGCGACCTGCTTCTTGTTCCACCTGGATGGTAAATAGAGGCAGGTCCTCACTGCAGACCACCACACCCTGCATAACAGCCCTGGCCACCCTTTCCTCCCATGTCTCTGATGTGCTCCCCTCCTTCACCCCCTTCCAGTCTCCTGGTTTCTCTGCTGCTCCTCCCACCTCCTGCACCTGCGCCAACTGTTCTATCTGCTTGCAAGGTGTTCCTCGAGTCTTCCTAAAGCTTATTCCCTCACTTAACGCCTGCCTCCTACAGACGCCATCTCTTCAGAGATGCTCCTACCTCACCCCTGTCTAAAATGGCCTCACCCCTGTCATTTTCTGTCTCTTAATCTGCATTAATTTTCTTCAGTGCAACTTAAGTTTTCATTCTCTGTCTTTCCTACTAGAATGTAAGCTCCACGAGGGAAGGGGCCTTGTTTGTCATGTTCACTCCTGTACCCAACTACCTTAACAGTGCTAGGCATACAGTGGGTACTTGGAAATATAAACTAAGAACATGCAATCTCACCTCAGCCACAAATATGAGAGAAATAATAGCCTATTGTATACAACCCAACTAGCCAGGTGCAGGCTCCATCCTCAAGAAATGGTCCTGCTGCACTCTTTCCTGCTCCTCACATAGGATGAACAGGAGGGCCGAGTGGCCAGGAGCTAGATGCTTGAATTGGAAACCTGGTCCTGCTATCTAACAGAAAGTTATTTAACCCTCTGTTCTTCATTTGTAAAGTGGGGATAATAAGAGCACCCACCCAAGAAGGCTGCTGTGATGATAAAACGGGATAACACTACAAGGTGCTTAGAACAGTGCCAGGCACTCAAGATCACATAATAAATACTGAAGGAATTATTATTATTTCATTTTCTGAATTCCAATCTCAAAAAAAACAAAATAAACAATTTTAAAAGTCACACTGTCATGTGGAACTGATCCACTTTAAGTGGTGAGAGGTTTCTTCCTGGTCAACTTTCACCTTGGAGGGATTAAACCAAAGTGTGAAATTCATCATAATGGTCACCAAGGCTAAGAAAACAATTTTTTTTAAACAAGGAGAGGTTTATAAACCATTTTTATATAACATAAAATTTGTTCGAATATAAATGGAAAGTAGTGAGATGTTTTACTTCACTTAAATTTTATAATACGAGTTCTATATTTAGAACTTTAAAAATTCTAGCCTTTTTTTGAATGAAAATACTTCCCTATTCCAACTCATGAACTGAAAGAGAAAAAGAAACTGTACAAAACCCGAGGTCTGAAAATAAAAGGGCTAACCTCACCAACATGTTGCCATCCAAACAGGGGAGGGTTTTGTTTTAAACTAAATTTAGGTATAAAATTAAAGCCCAGACCCAGTAGGATTTGGACTGCCACATGACATCCACTACCCTTGCGTGGGTAAAAATGAAAGGCAAACGTCTGACTTAGACCAAACAGCAGCAGTCAAAATGGATGAAACTAAAGCAGCTGAAGCAAAGACAAAGACAGGCACTGGATGAAGTAAGCTTCCATGGAAACAGAGGGGTGACAGTTGGTCAAGGCTGGCTGAGGGCATAACTCAAGGCCTCTGCCGCTGAGCATCGGTGGTGCAGCTGCCTTCACTCAGCACCCCTTCCTTCCTCTGCTCCCTCTAGTCGAGGCAGGAAAACAAACGCTAAGCTGGCTTGTCACTCATTTCCCACTGTGCTCCAGTTAAACATGTATATTCACAGATCCCTTCCAGGGTCCCCTCTGTGTCCACCCTGCCCTCCAAACAAACCTTCAGTTTCCTAGACCAAGCTCAAAACCTGCTTTCTGTCTCAAGAAGCAGGTCATCATTGCTTCTCTAGCTAGTCCAACTGACCTCTTCCTCCAATCAACCTTCAAGTGCAAGGCTGCATCCAGGTCCCTACCCAACACTTTATCTTACTGAAATCTTTTCAAAGAGTGACCAGAGACCAATCAGGATAGAGAGGGGTCAGGGCATCACATCCTATGAAGAAGAGTGGGGCTATTTAACCACAGGGGAAGACTAGAAGGGCACACAGTGGCTCTCAAATTATTAATGAACTGTCACAGGAAAGAAGGAAGATCTCTTCTAGCCTAGATTTGAGGCAGATACGATGAAGGGCTTTCTAGTTACTTATCAGTTCAGGGCAGGAACTGCCTTCTTCTCAATTCTCCAGGCTATTAGCCACCGGATTTCTGAAACAGTAGTTGGGGTTTAAGTTGGGGTCCAGAGCTTGGCACCGAAAAGGCAGCATGGCACAAGAGCAAAACTGTCTTTGGAACCAGAAAGATTGGAGTTCAAATCCCAGTTCAGTTACTACATGTTGTGGCATCTTGAACTAAATTCTTAACCTTTCTTGACAGTTTGTTCACCTGAAAAAAAAAAGGTGGTTTATAAGACTGATCTTGCTGGGATGCTATAAAGATTAGAAAGCGTACTTATAATGGACCTGGCACATTGACGCAGTTAACAGAACAAGCTGCTGATAGTGTTAAATGGTGTGGGAGGCAGAGATACTAGCTAAAAATTGCATATTGCTTACTGTGTGTGAAACACTGTTCTAAGCCCTTTAACATGTTATTTCCCATCCTGGCTAACATGGTGAAACCTTGTTTCTACTAAAGATACAAAAAAATTAGCCGGGCATGGTGGCATGTGCCTGTAGTCCCAGCTACTTGGGAGGCTGAGGCAGGAGAATTGCTTGAACCCAGGAGGCGGAGGTTGCAGTGAGCCAAGATAGTGCCACTGCACTCCAGTGTGGGTAACAGAATGAGACTCTGTCTAAAAAAAAAGAAAGAAAAAGAAAAGAAAAGAAAAGAAAAACGTGTTATTTCATCTCTTCCTCGTGACAACCCAATTGTCTCCATTTTACAGATGAGGAAACTGAGGCTCAGAGTTAAGAGTGTGGCAAAGTCTCAGTGTGGCAGAGAAAGAAAAGTTGAGGGTTGAGGTTGACAGACCTCAAATTGTCAACCCTTTCACCTGCTGGCTGTGAGAACTGGGCAAGTTACTTCACTTTTCCGAGCCTGTTTTCCCAGCAATAAAATAGAAAGACCAACCCCTCTACCTCAGACAGTTCAGAGGAAATTTAATGAAACAGCCGATTTAACTTTCCTGAACATAGTTTTCCTCCCTGAACAGGGCAACAGAATGAACTGGATGTATTCAATGATAGTTTTCAACGTATATGAGTGGAGCTCATGTCCTAGGAATTCACAACCCATCAAGCAAAGTTACAAGTTCCAATTTCAAGGGCACTTTTCAGAAGGAAAGCTCTCCCTGCTGACCCTGACCCAACCCTCCTCCAACAAATTTATTTTTGTCTATGTCCAAGCTTGGGGTGGAAAGACTTGCAAAATAAGGGCTCAAGAATCTCTTGGTGAGTTTGTGGTCAACTATCTAGCTCTCTGAAGTGAGTAATTATTTATGGGCTAAAAAATACCCTTTCCTAGCAGCTGGAGGACGGGTGATGTGTAAAATAGCTGAAGAAGTAAGGATGTGAAAGACAAATGATTATTTGTGAGCTGAAGGTGTCCCAGGAAGCAAACCTCAAACCTCCTCTCCTTCTAGGTCCTTGGCCTGCAGCTTGCCTGTGGAATAAACCAACAGAGGAGGTGAGAAAGTAAACGGCAGCTGAAAGCATCTGCAGCTCTGTCCCGCCTTGGCTGAGGGAACACTCTGCCAGCCAGCTCCTGCCCTCACCAGAATGCACTTCAAAAGGGAAACAAATGACAATCAGCTCTTCAGAGGCTGCTCTGCTTGATTTAAGTGTGTGTGGCCAGGGACTCTACAAACATGGAAGATTGGATTGTTTTAATTATAAAGGGTGGGGTGAGTAGAAAGAAAATGAAAAAAAAAAAGACAGTATTTTGAAATCCTAACATTAAAATAGTTATTCTGGATGCAGAGAAATTGCTTTCTCTGCCAAAACCCTGAGGGACTTCAGAGAGAGAATGCCGAATTATTTACCTTCTTTACGGGGGACGGCGGGGGGAACAAAAAAAAATTACTGATGTATATTTCTTTTTAATTCGGTGCCAAGGGATTCTAAAATGCACTGTCACACTTCCCGGAGACTGCCTTTTTGAAACAACTCATCACTAATGCTCAGCTGCCAGACTGTCCCTACAAAAGAACAATCGAAACTGCGATACTTTTAGGAAGCCATTTACTAAGTTTGTCATTATTATCTATGGTCTATTTGTTGCTCTTTTTACTCAGAGTGCATAAAGCAAATTTGTATTATTCCACAACTGGTTTCTGTTGTCCTTTCAAATCACATTAAAGAAAACATTATAATTTAGATACTCGTCTGTCTTCACTTAAAAAAAAAAAAAAAGGCTGAGGCCTGGTGCAGTGGCTCACACCTGTAATCCCAGCACTTTGGGAGGCCAGGGTGGGCAGATCACTTGAGGCCAGGAGTTCGAGACCAGCCTGGCCAACATGGCAAAACCCCGTCTCTACTAAAACACAAAAAATTAGCCAGGCGTGATGATGCGCACCTGTAATCCCAGCTACTCAGGAGGCTGAGGCATGAGAATCACTTGAACCTGGGAGGTGAAGGTTGCAGTGAGCCAAGATTGTGCCACAGCACTCCAGCCTAGGTGATGAAGTGAGACTGTGTCTCAAAAAGAGAAGAAAAAGAAAAAAAAAGACTTGAATTGATACTATTGTTCAACAACAAGGGCACACTGGGACATTTTGGAAAATGGATTATTTCTGGGACATGTAAGCAAATAAAACGCTTGACACAAGCTAGAATGGAAGCTCTGTGAGGGAAGGGGCTGGGGTCTGTTGTTCACAGCTGTACTTTTAATGCCTAGAGCATTTGTAAAACAAATATATGAACGAATGAACTTAAATAGCCAAGCTTATATGGAGGGATTTATAGATTCACAAAATATTAGACTACGTGACCTCTGTTAACCCAGTCAACTCTGAAACCTAATGCTATGAAATGCTTTTCTAAAAGTTAAATAGTCCCCTGTTCTGAAGCAAAGGCTATGAAATAGCCTACATTTATGCTTCATGATCTGCTCCAATACGACACTCTCCTAGCTCGCTAAATAGCTATTCTTTGCATGACAAAAAAAAAAAGGGGGGGGCCTCAGAACCTTCCCCAGGCCAGTGCTGCTCACAGCCAGGTGTGTCCCCCTCCAGGAGCCCTCTGTCAGGATGGCTGTGCGAGGTCAGCCAGCTGGCCCGCCGCGCCTGGTGGCTGTCAAGCCTGGCAGAAATCCCACAGACCTGCCAAAAGAATTCCGAGGCCTCCCTCTTTTCTCGTCCCTGTTGCCCCGGCGACCCGAGGCCAGGCTTAGTCAGCATTTTTGTTTGACAAACTGCATTCTCCTGTCCCCCAACCCCCAAATTAAAAAAAAAAAAAAAAAGAAAGAAAAGGTTGAGGGTAAAAGCAGGGCTGAATTTGCTTTGGGAATAATGATTTCTCTACAAGGCAGCCCCCGTGAAGGGACAAGGGGGAGCCAAGGCTTTGCCACTTACTCGTCTTCCAGGTCCTGGTCCTCGAGGTTAAAATCTTCCAGAAAGATGGCCCCAAACCGTTATATTTAAATGAATAACACACATGAAAAGAAATACTCTCTTCAGGTAAAGCCATATGCCTGTTTTCATGTCAAGGAATTGTTCTTTTAGATAAACAGGCATTGAGAAGCCTGTTTCTCAATGTCTGACCTGTGACTACGATTTCCCACTTCATTTGGTAAAGTTGCAATTGTGCCTTTTAGGATACTGAGCAAATATTGCGTTGAATTTTTCAGTTGTAACAACAGAATACTCTGTAGTCATTGTGGGTGTGTGTGGCTCATGACATTTAAAAATTTATGTACGGCCTGTTGTAGAAAGGATTCTAGGCGCTTTGGAATGGGTACATACAAAGTCACAGCACAACTTCATGGCTGACACAGAATAAAAAAATGACTTCCCAATATATTAAGAAGAGGCAACAAAGCAGTATTAAAGTATGCTACCACTTTTGTGTTTTAAAAAACAAAGTAGACACATTGATACACATGATACATACAAAAAGACTAGAAAGAAATCATCAGCATATTTACAGCCACTCTTTCTAGGTAAGAGTATAGGTGATTATAATTTCCTTCTTTGTTGTTTAGTATTTTATACATTCCGTACCATAAACATACGTTTTGTCTTTTTGTGTGTAGCAATTCGTTTTCTTTTATTATTCTTTTTGTTTACATACAGTAAAATTCACTCTTTGTGGTATACATGTCTGAGTTTTGACAAATGTAGAGCTGTGAAATAGCCACCACAACCAAGACACGGAACTGTGCCATCTGCCCCACAATTCCTCAGTGCTGCCCCTTTGGAGTCTACTCTTTCTGTACTGTCAACCCTGGCAAGTGCTCATCTCTTCTCTGTCCCCATAGTTTTGCTTTTCCAGAACGTCACATAAATGGAATCATACAGGATGTAGTTTTGGGGGGAAGTCTGGTTTCTTGCACTTAGCAAAAACACTTTTTTAAATGCTAATCACTAAAGTAACTCAGTAAATTATATTTTTAATTTTTTTTTTTTGAGACAGAGTCTCACTCTGTTGCCCAGGCTGGAGTGCAGTGGCTCGATCTCAGCTCACTGCAACCTCCACCTCCCAGGTCCAAGAGATTCTCCTGCCTCAGCCTCCTGAGTAGCTGAGACTACCGGCACCCGCCATTATGTCTGGCTAATTTTTGTATTTTTACTAGAGACAGGGTTTCACCATGTCGGCCAGGCTGGTCTCGAACTCCTGACCTCAAGTGATCTGCCCGCCTTGGCTTCCCGAAGTGCTGGGATTACACGCGTCAGCCACCACGCTTAGTCAAAAATTAAAATTTTTTTCTACTTAAAAAAACTCAACAAATCAAATTTTAATTTCCTTAAAAAAATGAAGAGAAAGCAAAACTTCAATAAGAATTGCTTTTTTTTTCTAGAGTTGCCATTTCTTTGGTGAACCTGAAGTAGCCTCACAGCCTTTGGGAAATTCAGTAAAAATAAAAGAAAACTCTATCACAGACAAAAGACTTCCTTTCACAGAAATGCACTCTTTATGTCTTCCATGTTAGATTCCTGGTACCCCTCCACTTGAAGTGTCTGCCGCATTCCAAGATAATTCATCAATTATCAGATACAAGTAGCTCAGCTCTGTTGCTACACCAGCCAATGCTAGATTGGAGGGACTGCATTTAAGGAAATTCTCCTGCTTCAGAAGATTCCTTATCAGCAGAGATACCAAACCTTACTGGCTCTTTTGATCCTAATTCTGTAGCCAGTAACCTGAGGGGTCACTGGAAAGAAAAAGGAGTATCTGATGCTCACTTTCACAGAACTCTGCTCAGGTGCATCTGGTCTCAGTTCCAGTAATGAAAGTCAAAGATGGTAGCCACTGGGCCCCTGTGAAGCAGGGAATGGTTTTAATTTACTCTTCTGGTCTTTAACTTGGATTAAAGTTAATTATTTTTCCTTTTCTGCAAAAATACAAGTTATCTGAAGGCAGTCACATCCCATTTACCTGTCTGTTATTTTCTACTAAATAAATATTGATTGAATGAATGAAGAGATAAAGGAATGAAGGAAGGAAAAAAAATATGAGCTTCCATACTGAAATAATGAAGGCTCACTTTAGATTTGTAATCAAAGTTTCCTCAGATCCATTTTGTTAATGTTCTCGCATGATTTCAATGCCAATGAGTTAATAGGTGACCCTTTGGCATTGTGGTATACATCAAATCATGCAACAAGGACCAAGGAGTTGTTTTTTTCATGGCACAACATCATCAAACTATATGCCTAGTGGAACAACGGCATAGCAGAAGGAACAGGAAGAAAAATGAAACAATATTTATATAGCATATTCTCCACAGGGATCTTTCAGATTCGTCGTATCATTCAAGAATGATAAAACTATAGACAGCGTGATAATTTATTAGTAATTAGGGGATAAATTCATCTACTTATTAAATTTTGCCAACCTCCCTTTCTACTACAGAAAGAGAGCATAGCCTGGGGCCTTGCTCCCAGACAGGCTCAGTTGGTAGAAGGGCAGGTAGGTCTAGGCCTACCTGCAGGGCCTGGGCCCCAAGAAGACAGGCTGTACAATTAAGGCCGCCTACAAGCAAGAGGAGAGCCAGTGTAATTACAAACTGTCCACTGAGCAAGGGATATTCAGGCAGTTGTTGACTACCCAGGACATAGGGGTAGGACAGAGAGAACAAACAGAAGTGTACAGATAATCTTTAAATTTCACCAGAACCACCACTTCCCCCATCTCTCCAAATTCCTACCAGATGCTGGAAGGCAACTAAACAAGTGAGCCAAAGATCACTTTTAATTCCAGTCCATTTCCCTGCTGCTGCCATGGCTTAGGTTCAAAAAGTGAAGCAGAAAATCACCAAAAGAGTTCAAAAAATCCACCAAGATGAAACACAGAGCCCACACCTGAATACTGAATAATCAGGTGTCCTGGCAAATGCCCCAGAAAACTATTATAGAACACTCCAATGCCATTTATTATATGGTCTTAAATCATATCTTTGACAATCAGGAGCATGCTGCTTCTGCATGGGGAAAAAATCTGCCATGATTAAAAAGTCTATTTAGACCTTTTCCTGTACTCCCTAACAAAAATAAAAAGGCATCAGAACACCAGAACCAACCACTCCACCATTCCATCTCCTCCTAACTACACACACACACACACACACACACACACACACACACACACACACAGAGTCAAGGCTGAACTACATGAGTCCCTGTGAGCAAATCTGGACAATCTTTTCTCCTGCTTCATATACAATGCAACAATGCAATTGCTCACTATGATGCAGCACAACGCCCCACGTTCCACAGCCTCCAAGGATCAGCATTTAAGGAACTTGGTTGGCATTTCTGTAATATGAACCATCAGTACTACATCCTGGTTCAAAGGCACCTACAGCTGGAATAAAGGAAACAATTTGGGGCACTTTTCCCACCCCTTTTCAGAAATACTTTCTGTGGGAAAGAAGGAGGAGAAGCAAGAGAAAGAGAAACACACCCGCAAAAACAGAGAAGCAAGTCATTCTTTGCAGAATGGTCACAACTTTGTGTAAAGAAAAAACTCACTAAAGCTCATTTAAGTATAAAACTGAGAATGTATAAAATGCTGTTGGGATACTGTTTAATTTACCTTACATTATAAAACAGAAAAATTATTCCAAATAAAATTATTATTCAAAGACAGAAAACAATTAACAATACAATTACTTCCCATCAAGAAACATGACACTATATATCTAAAATCAGTATAAACAACCGTTAGCCTGAAATAACCGTGAAAGTTCAAACATAAATCCTCAGGGTAAAAGACACAACTGTAGTTACCTAATTATTAAGTTGTATTCCTCAAATTTGGAGGAAAGTTCAGCTGAGCAACAAAGCACAATTTATATTCATTTTCCTTATTTTCAAAGACTATATCTGAGAAATGATTTTAATTTACCATGCATTTTAAACCTCACACAATATAGATTTCTTATATCCTGGAATGTATTTGATGAGAAATACATTATTCATTCATGGAAGTCAATGTGTATTTTTGAAAGTATCAAATGTAGCTTTAAAAAAACAGCATTTACCCTAACATGCTCGGTCCTTTCCTCCAAGAAAGTTCTCTGGAATGTTAAAACTACTTATTTCTCTAATTTCTCTAAAGTAGCAAAAGGAAGTTATTCATGTATCTTGCTTCATGTGAGTCACAAAACAAAGTCTGAAAAGTTAAAACAATAAACTGAAGCTTTTCTCCCCAAAAATGTAGCCAGAAAAAAAGCATGAGACCTGAAAACATGGGTTATATTAGTTTAGCAACACAGAAGAAAGAATTCTGCTCTTCCATAGACCAAGCCACTGAAACAGGGAGAGCACTGTGGGTTCTTTTAGGAATTCTCTTGTATTCGTTTTTGAAGTACAGCACTGAGCCTGACCCACAGAGGGCACACGGCAACACACTCCTGACTGACGGAATGAAAACTGAATGAATGGAGTATGGTACAAAAGTGCCTGATTGATGCCCAGGCAGTTTTGCAGAGCACTCTGTTGGAGTCCATATACAAACCACTTTCCCTTCTCATTCTCCCTTCAGCTTCCCTCTTTTTCATGCTCTGTGGTGGACCAAGATCCTTTGTCATTTCTTCTGAGGAACATCCACTCCACTATCTGCTTGAATCTCGGGGGGTTCTCTGTGACTACTTTGACCAAGAGAGTGTGGCAAAAGCGACTCCACGACCGTTTCCAGAGCTAGGCCCCAAGAAATTGGCAACTTCTACTTCCTGTCTCTTAGAATGCTTTTTCTTGAAAACCCAGCTGCTATGGAATGAGTACCACTACTCTGAGATCGCCACACCATAGATCCCAGGCTTTTGTTCCAGCTTAGCCCAGTCTTCCAGCAATCCTCACCATCATGCCACCCACTTAGGTAAAGCCATTGTGAACTATCCAGACCAACCCACCTACCAGTTGAATACCACTAAATGACCTCAGTCAATGCCATGTAGAGCAGAAGAATATCCCAGGTGAGCCCCTTCTAAATTCTGACCCACAAAATTGTGCGATATAATGAAATGGCTATTTAAGCAACTACATTTTGGGATAATTTGTTACACAACAACAGACTCTTGTCTCTCTACTTTCTCCTTTCTCTCCTTCTAAAGACTAGCAGTGGAAGCCAAAGGCAGCCATGCTAATACAGCTCGTCCTTGTACCCTTAAGCTTCGTTCTGAAAAGGCAGGCAGAACACTGAGAGAAGAAACTGGATTTTAATCAAGAGGCTTGGAGTAGGGCTTTGAGCCCTATTGTCTCTTCTTCTCTAGAAGAATTACCCTGAAGGTAAGCAGCTACCTACCCATCAGCTTTGGCACCAAGGCCAGGGAGCCTCCACCAGACACCATGGAAAGCCATACCTGCCTCATGAGCTCCTCTTGGCGCATTCGAATCCTTTCTCTCTCCATCTGGATTCTCTGAAGCCGCAGTTTCTGCTGCTGCTGCTGCTGAGTGGTCAGCGCATTGGGCATACTCATGAGCCCTGCGGGTGGGTTCTGAGTGGGGTGGTTCTGCTGGCTCAGGGTACTGGGGGCCATCTGCTGCTGGTGTTGGTGATTCATCACTGCAAGAGGGAAGAACATACAGATTAATGACCAGGGCCCACAATACCTTATCAAAAATAGACCATCAGAATGTTTTCTGCTTTGGAGTATAGATTCCTGAGATTCCTTCCAAAGTACTTTCCTGTTAACCATTACTGTTTAAGTAATTATTACCTTAATTCAATTCACGGAGGCTCGAATACTGGCCCCAATCCTGACTCATCTAGCCTCGGCTTTTGTTTCTGTTAAAATCTCATTTCACACCTCCCTGTCTAGAGTACATTTTAAGCCTTACATAGAACATAGTGGTCTAAAGCAAATTCCACAAAGGTTATCACAAGTTATGAGATAATTTCACCAGATCATTTGTGTGTGTGTGTGTGTGTGCATGTGTATACTTTCTCAGTTAATTTGTGTGTTTATGGCAGAGGTAAGGAGGGCATGTGATCTTTGGTACACAAACCAGTGAATTGACAAACAACATGTAACACAAAGCACCTAGATCAGGAGCCGACATATAAGGAGGACTCCATTAATCCTTTGTTTGAAAAGCATGCTGCAAGGAAGCCTGAGCTATGAGCTAAACTCAGGAACAAATATCTGACTGAGAAAAAAATGTTTGTTTCTTCAAAGGGAGAAATTAGTGAGAAAGAAATTATGCAGAAATGCTAAACATGTTGTGCCTGGATAAACGCATGAGAAATATTTTCAATTTTTTTAAAATGCTCTATTTATCTGCATTTAACAACCAGTGAAATTTCAGCATATAGAACTTCACTTTACGGCCAGGAGCAGTGGCTCACGCCTGTAATCCCAGCACTTTGGAAGGCCAAGGCGAACGGATCATGAGGTCAGGAGATCGAGACCATCCTGGCCAACATGGTGAAACCCCATCTCTATTAAAATACAAAATAATTAGCCGGGCATGATGGTGCATGCGTGTAGTCCCAGCTACTCAGGAGGCAAAGGTCAGGGACTCGCTTGAACCCGGGAGGCGGAGGTTGCAGTGAGCCGAGATCGCGCCACTACACTCCAGCCTGGTGACAAAGAAAGACTCTGTCTCAAAAAAAAAAAAAAAAAAAAAAAGAACTTCACTTTACAAAAATAATTTTAAAATCCTTAAATAAATTTTATAATTGGTATTTCTGCAAAAATGCATTTATAAAAGTGCTAGTTTTTCTCAAAATTGTTTACCAGTCAAATTTGCTTAACTTCTGCTGGGCAATGTCATGTAATAAAGAAAACCATGCTTTTCAGTCTATTTCCTCCTAGGTCAGGGTCAAAGAAAACAAGGTATAATTTTATATACTCACTTCATTTCTGAGAAAAAAATTCTCAATTTTTGCTATATTTGGTATCATTAACTTTAAAACATTTTATAATATATGTATATTTTTTATAATATTTCATATATATGTATATATTTTAAACATAGAGACGAGGTTTCACTATGTTGCCTAGGCTGGTCTTGAATTCCTGGGCTCAAGCAATCCTCTTACCTTGGCCTCCCAAAGTGCTGGGATTGCAGGTGGAAGCCACCACGCCTGGTGGCTTAAGTTAAATACTTTTCATCTTCAGTTTGCTATGCATATTATGTAGAAATATGATTTACAAGTAAATCTCCTTAAATGAATTTAAGTAGCCCAAATCTCCATATATTAAATATATGTATTAAATGTATAATATATGTGTATATTTGAACGACATATATGTACATTTGAAAGACAATACCAACACTGAAGCTTTTCTAGAGAAGAATAGATTTCTTTGAGGAAGAATTCAATGGCAAAGATTTCTCCAGGATGGAGGTGAGGGTGGGATAAAAATGTTCTTTTTTGTCCATACGCTCACTGAAATTGTTATTGCAATTCCTGCTGCGTGTCATGCACTGGGCTTAAACTTGGAAAAATAGCTCCTGCCTTCATGAGAACTAACGGACTGGTGGAAGAGAGGTGTGAAGAAATGAGATGGATTTTTATGAGTGGCTTATGGAACATGAAACTGTTAGGCTACATAAGGAACCTGGGAGATTATCTAGTCCATCCCCTTATTTTATGGAATAGGGACTGTAACCCAGAAAGGTTAAGGGATGTGCCCTGGTTAGTGGCAAGTAGAGCCAAGACCAAAATCGAGATCCTCTTGTACCCCGTCCAACTGTCCCTAGCCACCTTCTGTCACATCTTAGACTGAAGAAGAGGAACAACTGCTGAAGCCTCAGAGCAACCCTGTAAAGACAATCTGCCTTCAATTGTTTGCAAGAAAGTACCACACACACAGCAGGTCATCAAAATAGGGACCCAAATGTTGCTTGCGTTACTAAGAGGAAGGGCTCGAGGAAAGCCTGGATAGATTTACAACTCTGGGCCCAATAACATGCTAGTAAAAGGGAAGATATCAGTGTATATTGCCTAGACAGTTTAGGTTTCCCCCTTAGAATTAAGCCTGCCACCAAGGACTCTCACCTCCTGGCACAATCCCAGGTACACAGGGAAAGCTCAGGAAACGATCTGATGAATGAATAAAATCAGTTGGGCATTTCTTACACTCTTAGATTAAGAACAAGAGAAAAAGCACAGTCATGATTGATGCCAAAAAACCTGAGATGAGTATTTCACTTCTAGAGCTTGTTATAGTATAATTACAACTTCTACTTGAAGGCCTGGGGTGGGAGGTAAAGGGTTTTGCACAGATGGTGTCGCAGGGGAAAAGTTCCCTTAAGTACAGATTCAAGTAAGACAAAATCCAGACATCCAGAAGGGTTTAATTCATGAAACCTATTTCAAGCCAGGGAAGAGAGGCGCAGATGGAAGAATGATAATTATTTCAAGGAACAGGCATTTCTGAACCTTCTATAAAAGTATGTTCTTACTAGTAGTTATATTTAATATGGTAGTATCTGACACAACTACTAGAGACAAAAAAGATGCCCAATAGTTCTGATATCAGAAATACCCAGGTTAGGAAAACAAGGCTTCAAAGGCACAGGTTGTTAACCCTATGTTGTTGTTGTTATTGTTGTTTTGAGACAGAGTGTCACTCTATCACCCAGGCTGGAGTGCAGTGGTGCCATCTTGGCTCACTGCAACCTCTGCCTCCCGGTTTCAAGAGATTCTCCTGTCTTAGCCTCCCGAGTAGCTAGGATTACAGTCGTGTGCCACCCTGCCCCGCTAATTTTTGTATTTTTAGTAGAGACAGGATTTTGCCATGTTGGCAGGCTGGTCTCCAACTCCTGGCCTCGAGTGATCCACCTGCCTCAGCCTCCCAAAGTGCTGGGATTACAGGCATGAGCCACCGCGCCCAGCCCTATGTTAATTTTTATAACTTAGATACTTTGGAAAATTTTATAACTGACTCAGGTGACTTACTGACATAACAAATTCTAGTAGGACTATCATCAGTCACTTAGGTAGACTGCCCTTGTCGGTGTACAAAATGCTGCATTGGGCGTACTCTCAAGCAGTGTACTGTATTACTGAAAGCCACATAGCAACCAGATATTGCTCAGCAGATTTTATTAATACCTGAATCCTAATCTGGAGGAGTTTCAGACTTGGAGAGGAGCTCTTCCCAAGCCACATCTATGTGAGTCTTTAAAACACTTGCCCCTACTTGAGACATTCACAGGAGGTAATGGTGGAAACACTGGTTTCTTCCATTTAATTTAGATTTGATCTTTCAGACTAAACATCTCTCATTATTAACTGTAGAGTCTGGAAAAGGGTGGAACTTAGATGATAGCTTTGTTTTCAAAGTAAAGCACATATCAACAGAGCAGTTTGTACAAGGATATTCAAAACAGTATTGTTTATAATTGCAAAAGATTAAAAATGATCTTAATGTCCATCAGTGGGAGATATGGTCCACCCATTTAGAGAAATTCTGTATGATGATTCCAATGTTTCTTAGAGATCGTCCAGAAGGGGAAAAACCCAAAGGACAGAACTGTATTATGAGCATGTTACTAGTTGTGGTTAGAAAAGGTGGGGCATGTTATGCATGTGCAGCAAATCTCCACAGAAGGGCACACCTGAGACCGGCAACAGCGAGCACCTCGGCAGAAGAAACTGGGTATCAGGGATGGGAGATCTTCCTTTTCCTTTTCTGTACTATTTTAAGTTTTCCCACATGAATTTATCATTTAATGTAAAACATAAGTGAAAATAAAAATTTTAAAGCATAAAACAAAAACATGGCCATGTAAGCTTCAAACTCAATATTTTGTTGGTAGAGTGAAAGAAAGAAGCCCCAAATTATCTGAAAAACAACAAATACAGCTTAGGATATAATCAAGACTGTCAAAGCTGAGAGTCTGCTTGGTGCAACCTCTCCTTATGGAGATGAGGAAACCAAAACTCAGAGAAAGTGAATTTTATCAAGGTCATAAAACCGGTCGGTATCCTAGAAGCCAGGTGACTTGTCTCAACCCAGGAACCCACCATTCACCTTGCCACTATGCTCCCTCTAGTTGTTTAATTTCAAACCATACTGAACCATCATTGACACTGGAGCTCATGAGCTTCACTTGTGGTTGAGGTTCCTTAAAACCACCGCTTTTGACACTGAGGGCAGAGGAGGCCTAAGGCAGAGAAAAAGAGAAACAAAGTCCTCAGCAGAGCATGGGAAGGCAAAACATCTAAATTTGTGATGAACAAAATACTCCTTGGGATAATATTCCAGAACATTTTAGGGAGAGAACAATAGTTCCATTAAAAAAAAAAAAAAAAGAGCTAGGCGAGGTGGCTTACGTCTGTAATCCCAGCACTTTGGGAGGTCGAGGCAGATGGATTGCCTGAGGTCAGGAGTTCGAGACCAGCCTGGCCAACACAGTAAAACCCCGTCTCTACTAAAAATACAAAAAATTATCTGGGCTTGTTGGCAGGTGCCTATAATCCCAGCTACTCGGGAGGCTGAGGAGGGAGAATGGCTTGAACCCGGGACGTGGAGGTTGCAGTCACCCGAGATCACGCCATTGCACTCCAGCCTGAGCAACAAGAGCGAAACTCCAGCTTAAAAAAAAAGAAAAGAAAAGGCAGAGTATTCCAAATGCAGTATCTGAGGCCAAGCCGGATTAAGGGCAGACTGCCACAAACTGCCTCAAAAAGGCTAAAGACCTCGTCAGCTCTAGACCGTTGCCAGTCCCCCCAGAAAGGAATAACCCAAACAGAAGATTTCTCCATAGAAGCAGGAATGCATCAAAGCTAAAGCAGGGACATCTTTTTTGTTTTTCCTTCCAAGAGAGTCAGAATTTAAATTTAGATTCCCATTTATCTTTTTCTTTTTCATTGTTTTCATCTCCTTTTCCCTTTTTCTTTTTTTTTTTTTTAATAATTGGCTTTCTCTTCTGTGTTTGGAAATTGATAAAACCATGCTCTGCAGATGTGTGACCAGAAACATTTAATTGGCATTATTCAATATAAAGGAAAAAATCACACACACACACACACACACAAAACCGCCAGTGCCAAGGCATCTGAGATACAAACACACTTTTGATTCAATGACTGTGTCCTTGGTGAAGCAAACAGTCAACACGGGAATGGGGCGGGGGGTGGGGTTATTTACGTAGGACATGACCCTCTGGTTAGTGCTGCCTGGGGCAATATACACTTGGTCATTTCTACAAAGCTCTAAGTGTATGCTCAAGGCAAGAAAGTCGCCCGGACTCAATTCTAAGCCAGCACAAGATTTGCTATATAAGAAGCAAACATGGAAAAGGTAAAGGCTTCAATCCTGAACTTTTGCCTTTTGCAACACCAGGAAACAGAGAGCCACAGCTCGTAGAGAAAGTGCTTTTGGCAGCTTCCCTAAGCCAGGAGCTGCAGACGATGAGGGAGGCCAGTGAATCAGAGGCTGCCCAGAGCACCTCCTGGAATGTTTCACAAACGTCTTTTTGGCCTCGGCAGGTTTCAGTGGCTTGCTCTTCTATGTCCTGGGCTTGCTTCCCTCATTTTTAAAATAGGTTTTAGTTACACACATACACATATACAATGCCAAGTGAAGAAAACAAAACCATAAGGGTAGGCTCAACTACGAAAACCATAGCGGACAGGCCTGCAAGGGGCTGGCTCTGAGTAGATCATGGAAAGAACAGCTGGCGCCCAGTGGCTAGAAGTCACACCTAAGTGCTAGGAAGACACAGAAATTACTTGGCTCCCTTCAAATCCTTCTCCTCAGTTCACATGTGAGTCTTGGAAGGTGAAGAAGAATATCTTCGGCTAGTATGCGTTTCTTGTTGTATCTCCCTCCTCTCTCCTTTCGACAACAAACTTCTCAGTGGAGGTATCTCTACTCTTGGCACTTTGAGGTGAATTTTTTAGAATATGTGGTTTTGTTAATGTGTCAGAGGCACAATTCCATTTAAGTGAATGGGTAAGGCCTCCCCAAGCCCTCCATGACTTTTTCCATCCCCAGCACCTATTTCCTAACAGTACTTCGGTTCCAACAATAATAGGGAGTTTTCACAGGCTGTAGACTGTGGTTCATTAGTTTACTAAAAATGTAATTTCCACAAATCCATATTCATATGAACAGATAATTAAACAAATAAATGGATGAAGGAGAGACAAATCTCCCTTACAGAGGAATTCAAAATCATTTATGTAGACACACCATGCTCAAAGGCCGGGGGGATGGGAGGCAACATAACTGCAAATAGTGAGTTCATTCCAAAGAACACAGGATTGAATGAGTGGTGGCTGATGGGAGTTGGGGGGCAACATTACTGTGCAAAAACTTGGAAGATACTACCTTGGCCAGGTGATCAAGGTCAACATTAACAGTGACAAGTCATGATAATGGTGTGCACCCTTGATGTGATGTAATTAGAATAACACTTTATATCTGTAGTCTTCCTCCAAAAACCTATAACTCCAGTCTACCTAAGAGAAAAATATCAGACAAATTTCAATAGAAAGGCATCTTACAAAATACGAAAGCAACACTCCTTAAAACTATTGAGGTCATCAAAAACAAGGAAAGTTTAAGAAACTGTCACAGCCAAAAGGAGCCTAAGGAGATATGATGAGTAAAGGTAATGGGGGCTGAGCGCCATGGCTCACGCCTGTAATGCCAGCACTTTGGGAGGCCGAGGCAGGAGAATCACTGGAAGCCAGGAGTTCAAGACCAACCTAGGCAACATAGTGAGACCCTGTCTCTACAAAAAATTTTAAAAATTAGCTGGGCATGGTGGCATGCATTCGTGGTCCCAGCTACTTGGGAGGCTGGGGCAGGAGGATCACTTGAGCCCAGGAGGAAGAGACTACAATGAGCCATAATCATACTATTGCACTCCAGCCTGGGCAACAGAGTGAAACCTTGTCTCAAAAAAACAAAAAACAAAAAACAAAACAAAACAAAACAAAAAGGTAATTTGGTATTCTGTATGGGACTCTGGAACAGAAAAAGATATTAGATAAAAACTAAAGAAATCTGAATAAAGTATGGATTTAATAATAACTGGCTCACTAATTATAACAAATGTAGCATATTAATGTAATACACTAACAACAGGGGAAACTGGGTGAGTGAGTGTATAGGAACTCTCTTCTCAATTTTAATATAAAACTAAAACTGGTTTGAAAAACAGCAAATTTTAACGTGCCCAGTGAATACCAGGAACTTTGCTGGCTACTCTCTTTTTAATAGTCAATATTAATTTAATAGTCAATGGTTGGGGTATGTACAAATGGACACAATCTTTAAGAGAAAATCTGGTCTATAATGTGTCCCAGGGGAATAAATAGATATTAAGCTAAAACTTTTTAAATTGCTTCTAGAAGTGTTCCCTGGTCTAATAAGACTGGGAAATGTTGGGCTAAAGAAAGTTAAAATAATTTATTTTATTGGAAGATTTGTCAGTCTTTAGAGTAATAGGGGGTACCAAGACTTTCTGAAAGAGATATATGAATTCAACAACTCGTTTCTCAAACTTGCAAGGCTGATATTCTTCTGGATAGGAATACTAGGAAATGCTGGTCCACTGTAACTCAGTGGATGTCTTGGCAGAGTACTGAATTATAAATTAAATATGAATGAATATTATATTAAGTCCCTACTGTGTGCTTAGCTCTTTAAAATTAATTAAAGAAGCTGTTTAGGACACGGAGCCAGAGAAGGGAAAAAAGCGGACAGGGAATGTTGAACAAAGCAGTTTCATGTGCCTAGAATGAGGGACTGCTGTTCAAGATACAGAGTAATAGAAAAACAAAGCAAAACAAAATACAGGAAAAGCAAGGGTTATAAAAGACTGCTTGAATATCTGCTGACATTTTCCATAAGCACGTGATGATTTAAAAAGAAAATTTCAAAGATGGCTTAACTTCCGTATCAGTTTTCACAGGTAGTTAGCAAAGCCTTGCTAAATTAACTTCAGTTACATATATTCCAAATTATCTATCTTTTAGTTTTTTTTTTTCTTTAAAAAGCTTGCTTCTATAATAAAACCACATCAACTATTCCAAATAACACTTCTAACATCATCCTTTAAGAGTAGAACAGGTAAAGCCGGCACGGTGGCTCAGGCAGTAATCCCAGCACTTTGGGAGGCTGAGGCGGGCAAATCACCTGAGGTCGGGAGTTTGAGACCAGCCTGACCAACATGGAGAAACCCCATCTCTATTAAAAATACAAAATTAGCTGGGCATAGTGGTGCATGCCTTTAATCCCAGCTACTCGGGAGTCTGCGGCAGGAGAATCGTTTGAACCCAGGAGGCAGGAGGTTGCGGTGAGCCAAGACCACGCCATTGCTCTCCAGCCTGGGCAGCAAGAGTGAAACTTCGTCTCCAAAAAAAAAAGAGTAGAACAGGTAGAGGCTGACATTGTTTTTAAAACTTGAATGCAGTCTCTTCAAAATAGGTAAATATGCAACATTCAAAGGCATACACTGGGTAATACACTTGATATGGCATCTGGGAAACTTCCTCCTTGGAACAAGTGTTTAATTCAGTTTGATATTTGGGCCAGTAAGTTCATATAAACTTCATCAGAAACACTTTCCAGGAACCTAAACCCAACATGAGAGGGGAGCATAAAAGCTTCCAAAAGTTAGAATGCAAAGCTTTACAATCACCTCATTCTCTTCTTCTCTGTCACAGAGGGTGACCAATTATCCTGGTTTGCCTGGGACTGAGGGGTTTCCCAGAACACAGGTCACAGTGCTAAATCTGGGAAAGTCCCAGGCAAATGGGATGGTTTTTCACTCCAGGCCTATGGCCATCCATAGACCTAGGGCTAACTCAGGGCAGCAGAACTCAAATTTCCTATTTCCACCCTAATGCCTTCCCTTAAAAAGAGAACCAGGAGCCAGTACAAAATGACCTTTCATTATTCAGAACTGTCAGGCTATCCAGATTAGCTGTCAGTGTGTCCTCCTTGGATTAAAAATTGGTGGTTGTCCTTTTGTATCCATATTATGTGATAATTGGAATGGGAATATTACATACTCATTTTGTCTGTAATTTTTGAAGGAAATCAAGCACTATTTATGACATTTATTTTATGACTGCATTATATCACCCATAAACATGCACTTGGTTAAATGCAAAAGTCAGGAAAACCTTTCCTGTTGGACTCCTGGTTGAGCCATACATCTGAAGTAAAGCTCTTTTAAGAAACATTGAACTATTCTCTTCCTGTGATTTGAACTAACTCTCATGTTCCTGGACTTGTGCTCTTTATAAACAAGACCTGGGAAAGAGCAAAGTCTCCCCCTACCCCTCAGGACCAATCACAATGATATGGATCTTCCTTTCTTACAAAAATGGAACAAAAATAATTTTAGTGCATTTCAAATCTGATTAAGGCACAGAGTAGGCACTAAATACATTCTCCCCAAAGTAAGGTTAAGGGAGGTTAGAAATTGGTAACAAAATATCAGTTCCATTTATAGCAAGATGATCATCATAGGCTTTTTAAATTTCAAATAGAAACATAATCAAGATGAGAACTGAGAAAAAAACTGGCAACGCCTCACCCATAACTCATCTTCTCTAGAGGATGCATTTTAACCCTTACCTCTAGAGTTTCATAGGGGAATATCCAAAGGGTACCACATTCTAGTTGCTGCTTCCTCTTACTTCCAGAGCATAGTTGCCTGCTTAGCCCCATTTCATTCTGAGTTTCACACATGATTTACAAACTCATCACTTTCCCCACAGCACTCATTATAGGTGAGGGCCATGTATTTACCCGAGTTTGTGCTATCACCATAGAAATTCAGGATAGAAGGGTCTTAGTCCATTTAGAGCAATGGTTCTCAAACTTTTCTTTAGTAGTAGAATCCTTCTCCAGAGCCAAGTGTACGGCTTGAAGCAGAGGCTATCCTTATGTCCCAGGGTTCTTTCATCAGCTGAGGAAATTAGCACTTAAAGTCAGCACCTTTGACTGTCTTCTCTAAATCATCTTGGTCTTGCTTTCACTCTGCTTTCCCTTCAGGCATTTCTCAAGTGTCATGCTGAAACTTTAAACAAATGTTTAAAACACATTGAACAGGGCCCAGCTTTTGGAAACTGAACACTAAGGTTAGCTTCTGCTCACATCCCCCTGAGATTCTAGCATGGGACTTTGGGACAGACTTTAAAACCAATGATTTAGACTAATTCAGTTATTTTAGAGATGAAGAATATTGGAAGATTAAATGCCTCAGCCCAGATCTCAGGAACAGGCTGCGACAAACCTAGGAAACCCGGAACGCCTGCTAGAATACTACAGCTGGCATCAGCTGCATGGATCACCAATTACTGCCCAATGATCACCAACGGATCACCAATCACTGCCCAATCCTTTTTCGTAGTCATCAAAATATACGTGATAAGTTAAATTTGGTGATGAGGCCAAGTAGTGTTTCCTTTTCCCTATTTCATGAAAAAGTCTAACAGACTATTTTAATTAACTTATTTACTTTAAAATGATGGGATCAACGTGAATCGCATGTTTTGATGACACCATTTGTGTGACCTCACTTTATAGAAATGGTAGAGCATTTTGTTCTTCAATCCTCCAAAAAAAAAAGACAAAAATCAAATAAACTTTGAAAACTCACATTTCATAATTTAGAAAGGCTTATATATGGGAAGGAGAGGTGCTGCCATCAGCCAATGGTAGACCTTCTGGCCATAGAGGCTTTGTGGGAATAATGATATGCAACTGAAAGAAGCAAGCCAAAACATACAGGTGTAAATCGTTTCTGACTTATGTGCAGACCCAGCCACATCAAGCTTTGAAAAATATTTCAGCATCAAGAGTGTCTGGGTGCAGCTGCGGGTCTTTTCCTCTGTTTATGCGCCGTCCATGGCTTAACTCATGTGAACTGGCCAACGTCAGGTGTCACGCAGCCCTGTCTGATGGAAAACATATGTCTACAGAGGTAGGAAGAAAAACCCAGCCACAATCCAGCCTTGACTCAGTCACGATACAATGAAGGGAAAAAAAGGGCTGCAGACGCGTCTCTCGCCCTCCTTGTGTCTCTCTCAGCTCCTGCCAACAATGAGCCGCTTGTTTCTCTTATTTCCCAGAAACAGTATTAGCCATCCAACAAGGTCAGCAAAAAAAAAGCAGCTTTTCACTTCAGGGTGCATTTGGTTCCAAAAATCTGTAAAGTATTAAACCGAGAAGTTGTACTATCCCAACTTCACACTGAGCCCTTTATTCCAATTCTGGGTGAGAATAACTGCAAGGAAATTTCTCAGCCGGCTCAGTTGATAAGGCACAGAGCTCTGGAATATATGTTGATTCAGCCACACTTTCCCAGCTTCACTGTTTCAAGCCTTAAAACCACTTCCAGGTGCCCCAAAGCTTGCCAGATGGGCCTCCGGTCCTCCAGATGCCCCAAGCCTGTCTAGTTTTAGACTTGTAACCCAAGCTTCGTTTACTTCACAGGAAACCCTGAATTTTTAGCACCAGGAAATGATTTTCCTACTTGCTATCCTGCCTGCCCATCCAAACAATAATGTAGTCCACACACCAGTGTGCAAGTATCTAGGCAACTCTCCTTTTTCAGGTGTAAAATAGAAATGCCTGTAACACTGGCTTTTATATTTTCATAATAACTGCATTACCCCAAATGTATATTTTATTGGCATTTAAAGGATTCAGACATTAGTTCTCATCATTATAATATATCCAGGGAAGTCTAGGGAAAAAAAAAAATCACATCTTTCTGGCAGGCTGATTTCTTCTGGATCCTTTTTCCTGTAAAGAAAGAACTCTTTCTTCCACCTAAAGCAGCATCAGAATGTGCTACTCTGACTCCATTTGATTGCAGGGATATCTCAAGATTTATCACAAGTGGCCCGTGGCAGGAAGCACCTCTATGGAGTTAGTGAATTTAGAAAAACAATTATCTAGCCTGTGAAAAAGAGGAAATTTAGTTATTCACTTTGCTGCTTCACAAAGTTGTCCTTGTGATTTTGAATATAATTCCATGGTTGGGCAATAGCAGTACAACTACAACTGTTTTGTTATCTTCAGACAATAGGTATACTTTTATCCAGCAGGAAATGGAAACTCTGATTCATGCATTTATTTTTCTTTAGTCAGTAGAGAGTTTATTGTAGCTTTTTATTGGTTAGCTTTCCTGAATCATTTTAAAACTACTCCAGGTGCGAAGTATGGCAGTTGCCCAAGCTAAGAGAAAACGAATCTACAGCTGTGTTCCACACGGAATGGAAGAAAAGTTGCCAGCGTGAGTTGCTAGTTTTTAATGTGTGCATGTGTTTTTTAATAGCATGCCCTTTTAGTAAACATCTTTATTATGGAGATCATGTAACAGATACTAAGATTCCAAGAGGTAGTCAAAAGACTTGAACGATTCATAAAAGAGAACATGCAATTAGTAATAAAATATGGCAAATTATCAGCTTCGTAAGGAATCACACTAATGCAAATTAAAGAAACAGCCTTTTTCAGCAATCAAATAAGCAAAAACAATAGTGTGGTTTAGGTGCTTTGCATTGGGCCAGGACCACTCAGGAAAAAAAAAAAAAACGAAAGAAGAATGTAACCAGGGGTAACAGGATTAGGAAATCTGGTAGAAGTATATGCCAAATTTTGGAAACCTGTATAAATATGCATTTCATTGAGGACTGTACCCATATATCTTATAGGATTTCTAGTGACCCCCAAAAAGTTAATTACCTTTGAAATGAAAAAGTATTAGAATATTAACAGTGGTGGTGTTTCGCTTATAGAACTATAGATGATTTTTTTTCTTTCCAATGATCTACGGTTCACCTAGCTATTCATTTCCCCTGTTTCTAGGAAGTAGAGATACAATGATGAACAAGACAGCAAGGTCCCTGCCCTGTAGGAGATTATCGTCTAACGAAAAGACAGGCTATAACAAATGTACAGAATAATTTTAGTGATAAGGGATTTGAACAAAGAAATGTGGAGCTATTTTAGGCAGGGAAGTTAAGAAAGGCCTCTGTGAAGCAGTGATGTGTGCTCTAAATCTGAATGAAGTATGGAAATCAGGGTGGGGGACAAGTACAAAGATCCTAAGGTGGAAACTGTGAGCTTGGAGTACTTGTGCAAAATCAGAGCAGCCCATGTGGCTGAGGAGCAGAGGGTGAGGGGCCGGGACCAGGTCCCTTGAGGCCTCTTGCCTGTGGTGAGCACTGTGGTTGGCCTCTATTCCAGACTGATAGAAATCTCCTTCCAGCTGACTGCCTGGACTGCATGGGAAACTGCCAGATTATTTCACACTCTATGGTAAAATTTAAAATTCTGAAGAAATCCAGAGACTCTGGGGGCACACAGTGAAGTGAGTCAAAAAGTGTGAAGCAGGCCGGGTGCAGGGGCTCATGCCTGTAATCCCAGCACTTTGGGAGGCCGAGGTGGGCAGATCACAAGGTCAGGAGTTCCAGACCAGCCTTGCCAACATAGTGAAACCCCGTCTCTACTAAAATTACAAAAATTAGCTGGGTATGGTGGCACGCGCCTGTAGTCCCAGCTACTTGGGAAGCTGAGGCGGGAGAATTGCTTGAACCCGGAAGGTGGAGGTTGCAGTGAGCCGAGATCGCGCCACTGCACTCCAGCCTGGGAGACAGAGTGAGATGCCGTCTCAAAAACAAACAAACAAACAAACCATGAAGGAAAGAGGCCACTCCTTGGGATCAATGCCTCTCGGTTTGTTGTCTCTCAGCCCTGTAAAGTGGTTCAGGATCTTTGGGAAGGAAAGGAATAAGGTTTGGGGCAAGGATGGGGGAACAGACAGAAACCAAAGCAGCTCTGCTTTTAAACACTTACAAAGAGGAGATTCTGATCCCAAGCAAAACAAAATAAAAGCCTGTAGCTCTAAATTTTATTTGAGAAGGTGTGTCAAAAGGAGCTTCCTTCTTAAAAATGAAAACAAAACATACAACAAAAAAACTACAGTTCTGGATTTTCTAAATGTTATCCTTGAATCAAAATGCATATGTAGTATACACTCATTTTGGTCTTCTGTGAACACTGGCTGGTGCTCTGAGATCATGCCACTACCCAGTATTTAAAAAGACTATAGAAAACTTCCCCATAAAACTCCTAGTGTTCCCTACTGGAATCTTCTTTTTTTTTTTTTTTTTTTTTTTTTTTGAGACAGAGTTTCACTCTGTCACCCAGGCTGGAGTGCAATGGCACGGTCTCAGCTCACTGCAACCTCCGCCTCCCTGATTCAAGCGATTCTCTTACCTCAGCCTCCCAAGTAGTTGAGATTACAGGCGCCCACCACCACGCCCAGCTAATTTTTGTATTTTTTAATAGAGATGGGATTTCACCATATTGGCCAGGCTGATCTCGAACGCCTGACCTCAGCTGATCCGCCCGCCTGGGCCTCCCAAAGTGCTGGGATTACAGGCGTGAGCCACTGTGCCAGGCCACTACTGTAATTTCTTTTTTAAGGACATTGTCCCCTAGATCACAGAGTCTAGATGACTTACGGGGAAGTACAGGAGAACTCCCTCTTACATCTCTGTGTCTAGAAAAACTACATTTCTCTTCAACACCATGAAAGCCTTTATCTCTTGAGTGATCTGACTCCTATAACAGAGCATATTATCTTCTTTACAAGATCCCCCAGGAATCTCACAGCCAAATCTGTAGGTACCTCTAGCAACCACACAAGGCCCCATGGTATGCATTTTTTCCCTGGCTTTTTTTCTCAGCCACAGTCCTTTACCCCAACTTAATTCAATTATTTATTTTTATCCTTTTGAATTACATGTTTTGGCCAGGCACAGTGGCTCACCCCTGTAATCCCAACACTTTGGGAGGCTGAGGCGGGAGGATCACCTGAGGTCAGGAGTTCAAGACCAGCCTGGCCAACATGGTGAAACCCCATCTCTACTAAAAATACAAAAATTAGACAAGCGTGGCGGTGTGTGCCTGTAGTCTCTGCTACTGGGGAGGCTGAGGCACGAGAATCACTTGGACCAGGGAGGTGGATGTTGCAGTGAGCGGAGATCACGCCATTGCACTCCAACCTGGGTGACAGAGCAAGGCTCCATCTCAAAAAAAAAAAAAAAAAAGAATTATATGTTTTTTAAGATGCAAGAGTAGGGAACAAATGAATGGAAGCATCATAATTTCATTTTAAAACTACTCGTGTGTCAGTCACAGATTGCCCTCAATGAGAAACTTGTAAACCTGTGAATGGGCCCCAAGCAGTACACCTGCCAGTCTAGGACTCAGAATGAAGTGAAGGAGAAATGGGTTTTTTGTGGTCTTGAGTCACACTGAGACAGTCAACTGCTTGTGACTCTAATAAACATAGCCTACCTTTTGTAAATAAATTAAAAAAAAAACCTACCTGTGTGTATATAGCTGCACAGATATATTATGTGTCAAATAAATAATGTTCTGTGAAGCTTAACTGAGCAGGTTGGAAATTTTACTTGTTAGTCATCCCGAGGGGAAGAGTTTACATGATTTTAGGCCATACCTTATAGAGACCTGGTAGACCAAAAAGCCTTTCCACATATTTCATTAGCTTTACAGAACATATTCATTAGAGGAGCCATTTGGCACAAGCATGCTCTGCTGCCCCCACCCCACCTTCCATAGACACTACCTTCATCAAGTGATCAAAGCTAATGTCACCTATAGTGGAACAAATCGTGTGCCTCCTGATAGGATTCAATGAGAAGAACACAACATCACTTCCATGGTATTCCTGCCAAAAATTTATAACCTAAACCAAAATCACGAAGAAATGCCGGACAAATCCAAATTTAAAAATGATTCACAAAATAACTGGCCTATATATTCCTCAAAAATGTCAAGGTCCAGAACACAAGGACCGAAGACTTGTTCCAAATTAGAAGAGATTATGGAAACAGGACAACTAAATGCAATGTGAGATCCTCAATCACATCCTGGGCCAGAAACAAAAATAGCCACAAAGGACATCACCGGGACAACTGAAGACATTTCGAATCTGGGCTATTAGATAAGAGTATTGTATCAATGTTAAATTTCCTGATTTTGATACCTACACTGTGCTTATATAAGAAAATGTCCAGCTGGGCACGGTGGCTCACGCCTGTATTCCCAGCACTTTGGGAGGCCAAGGCAGGCAGATCACCTGAGGTTAGGAGTTCCAGACCAGCCTGGCCAACATGGGGAAACCCCATCTCTACTAAAAATACAAAAATTTGCCAGGCGTAGTGGCACACACCTGTAGTCCCAGCTACTTGGGAGGCTGCAGCAGGGGAATTGCTTGAACCCAGGAGATGGAGGTTTCAATGAGACGAGATCATGCCACTGCACTCCAGCCTGGGCAACAGAGCAAGACTCCATCTCAAAAAAAAAAAAAAAAAAAAGAAAAGAAAAGAAAAAAGAAAAAAAGAAAAAGTCTTTTGAGAAAATATAAGTATTTCTGGGTAAAGGAGAATGATGTCTCCAACTTTGTCTCAAATGGTTCAGAAAAAAAAATATGTAGATAGATAGATAGATGGATAGATGGATAGATGCAACCGTGGCTATGTTTATAAGCAAACAATTAACAAAGGCAGATCTGGGGAAAAGGTATATGGGAATTCCTTAGACTAAACTTGAAACTCTTCTGTAAGTTTACAATTCTTTCAAAATAAATAGTGACATTTAAAAAAATAAAACCTCTCTACACATACCTCAAACCTCCTGGAGACAGAATTCTCAGTCCGGCAGGGACCAGAGAAACTGTGTTATGTATGGGCCATTGTTCTGTGGCACTGTTGAACTTTGAGGAAACTCCTATTAAACAATGCTTTTGATAACTGATTGGAATTTGGATGGAACAGAATCCCAGCTGCAATCTGTGCTACATAATTCTGATACCTCATACTCATAGTTCCTTCCAGCCTCCCACCTCTATCCCCAACCCCAACTGTTAAATGATTCTAATTTTAAAACATAGACAGCCTAGGAAGACAGGACAAAGAGCTACCCCAACAGACCGGTTGGAGGTCTTTCAGAAGAAACGCCACTGGATAGCTGCCCCTGAGGACCAGACACCCAGAATAGGAAATTGCAGGTTTTCTTGGGAAGGACCTGGGACACCAAGAGAGTTGACTGTCAAGCTTGAGATCTGTTGTGAAAGGTCCTTACATCCCAGGGTCAGAGCTGAGACATTGCTCCATTTAGGTCTTCTTGATAGGAGGAAAAATGAGCAAGCTAAGAGTGGAGGATGGAGAAGGCACCAGTGAATGCAAACATATGAAATAGGGAATGCCTCAGGCGAAAGCCATCTGATTTTAATATATCGTAGTTTCGACACTGAGATTCCCTCAAATTGCAGGAAAAATATAATGTGTACTTAAAACTAGAGGAGACACAGAGGAGAGGAGAAAGCACAAGCAAAGAAGACATGCTGAGGATCCCAGAAGAGAAGTCTCCCAAGGGGCAGCCCTAGGCTGCAGTGACCCAGGCAGAAATGATATAGGGAAGGTGTCCAGAAACCTCCAGCATGGAGCCGCCCTGAGCATTTGTTTTGTTAGGATGGGATGATCCAATTCCATTTGGAGAGAAATTATAGTTCCATTCTAATTAATTCAGGCATTACAGCAGTTGATACGGCAGAAATTAAGAGAATATTTTTCTTGACATTTGAAGTGTGAGCTTTGAAGCAGCTAAATGAAGGCCTTGTGAACCAAGACTAAATCAGCCACATTAATTTTTTTTTAACTTTCTTTCTTTCCAGCGCTGCAAATATTTAAGTCTTGGCAAAATTCAAAACTCACAACTCACTCTTCACTGGTATCTGAGAAATATAATACTGAAAAGGAAAAGGACGAAAATAATATGGAATGAAATGCATGACATGTACTGGGAAGCAAAATAACTTCCAACGAAACTTCCATTTATGGCTTAGTCAAAAACATATGGATATACAAGCTGAAAAACAGAGTTAGTGGGAAAGCTAGGTGGCTGGTTAAAAATACACTTTTTGTGGTAATGTTACATTATTTTTTAAAAGAAAGTAACACCCCCCCCCGCAAAAAATCCCCTGCTCCAGGATCTTTAGACAATTCCTTAGTTTGATAAAAGCAAACCATGTCAAAATTGTATTTTTTAAGAAATGTTTATATTTTATTCAGAAACATTCCAAAGAAACTGGAAAAGTGAGGAAATTAAAGGTGGGCACAAAAATGTATGTGTGTGCAAGAAAATGTATTGAAACATCATTTATAATGATAAAAAATAGAATCAACCTATATGTCTCTCAATAGAAGAATTGGTTAAATAAATTATGGCATTATTGGTTAAATAAATTCACAAAAGGACTACTGTGCAGCCATTAACATGATGTGATGGTTTATGAACAAAAGAAGTATGTCCAAGTCTATTCATAAGTTAAAAAAAAAGAACATACTGAGAATCTAGTTTGTAGCTATCAGAATAGTAAAGGCTATAAGTTTAATCATAGATATTATTGGCCAGGGTACGGGGAAGAAAACACACTTTATTGGTAGGGGTGTCAATTGGTATACCTTTTTGGAAAGAAATGGAACAACAGTTTTAAAAACTTTAAATGTACATACTCTTTGATCCAGGAATTCCACTTCTGCAAAATTATCCTATACATAAACAGCATATGGCACAAGGATTTATGTCCAAGGCTGCACACTGTGGCATTGTTTAGTAATAGTGACCAACCAGAAAATAAACTAAATATCCAGCACACAGGACTGGTTAAACCAAGTACAGTATCTCAACGGAGTGGAACATTACATATTGCTGACAAACAATGAACAAATCAGTAAGTACTAATTTGGAAGGCTCTCTAAGATATGTTAAGTTTTAAAAAGACATACTGTATATGCCCAAGCATGCATGTGTATGTAGAGCATGTCTAGAATAATGCTCAGGAAGCTGGTAGTAGTGTTTCCCTGGAAAGGAGAAAAGGGCTGGGGGTCATGGTGGGAAGGAGACCTAATTTTTCATAAATACCCTTTGGAACTATTTGGATTTTTTGCCATATGCGTGTGTTACTTTTCTAATTAAAACAACTCATCAAAAAATATTATAGAAAAATATTTACTGGCCAGGCGCAGTTGCTTACACCTGTAATCCCAACACTTTGGGGGCCGAGGCGGGCGGATCACCTGAGGTCAGGAGTTCAAGACCGGCCTCGCCAACATGGTGAAACCCTGTCTCTACTAAAAATACAAAAATTAGCCGGGCATGGTGGCGTGTGCCTGTAGTCCCAGCTACTCAGGAGGCTGAAGCAGGAGAATGGCTTGAACCTGGGAGGCAGAGGTTGCAGTGAGCCGAGGTCTTGCCACTGCACTCCAGCCTGGGCGACAGAACGAGATTCTGTCTCAAAAAAAAAAAAAAATTACTGAAATGGGAAGATGCTCATGGTATATTAAAAACAAGCTACAAAAAAGAATATAGAGGAGTTTCCAACTATTTTTATGTTTGCATTGAAGAAAGTCAAGAAAATATATGAAAACACACTAGTGTCATTTTGAATGGTACCATGGCTTTTTATTTTCTCATGTTTTGCCAATCAGCATTTTCTACAGTGACCAAATAGCAATTATGTAATATGGAAAAAAATAACATTCTTGAATCTTGCTGCTTCAAAAATGTTTAGAACCTTTTTTTTTTCTGCCTTAAAATACAGACACACACACACACACACACACACACACACACACACACACACACACAAAGGGGGAGGGGTGATCTTCTTTTTAGCACTTAAGGAGAAAGACAATCAAGGCTTTTGTTTTCCTGAGGCTTCACTTAAATGATATTGTTTTGCTGACTTCATCCTGGAGAACTATTCAGAATAAAGCATGGAAGAACAGCTGTTCTTGACCACCAGCAACTGCAAAACACCCAGGGAATAAATTTAGACTTCCAGAAAGGAAGAAGAAATCAATCAGTTGGTACCTGGGTGGGAGAGGTGATGATCACACACAGGCGGGAGCAATATTACCAGGGACGCCAAAGAGGAGATCAAAGAGAAGTGTCAAAATATCACTCAGCACTTATCAATTTGGAACAAGTGGCTGAATGACAAACCACCTCGAATCCCACTGCCTGCCTTTCACCCTTAACTGGGTGAAATTCTCCATAGCAAGGAAGCTCCTGAGGGCAAACTTTTGGAAGTCAGCCAGCAAACAGGATGAAAATTGTCAAAATTATTTTTAAAACTCTCAACAGAGGTCTACAGCTCGGTGAAGAAATTAGACTCCATTACAAATTAATTAATTAACTAATTAATTAATGTGGTGCAAACAAAGAAAGGACTAAAAAAGAAAACAAGTTTGACCTAGCCTTCACCTTCCTAAAAGGCCTCCCTCTTCCCCAGGTGTGGGGGTGCTTCTCTGGAATTCGTCACGGTTTAGGCTTACGAAGGCCTGATGGATTCTCAGGCCCACTCTCTGCAAGCAAAACTGAAGCAGACTTGTACATTTACCCAGTGGATTAAACAATACATTTCAAGAATCTGGATCCCAAGCTATAATTTTCCTCCTCATTTTTGAAGTTTACTTGGAATATTTGGGGTCAAGATGCTCTGGGAAGCCGCTTCAGCATTCACTTACCCAATGCTCATGTGCGCACTAACACCAAGCACCAAAATGACAAAAGTCAATGCCCTAGTAAATGTCTATTTCAGACAAAGAATCAGTTAAAAAGTTGGTGGGCATACTCCAAGTCCTTTTCAGATAAATTAAAGACTGAACGATTGAGTAGGTTCTTGTATTTTTATTATACTGGCATTTTCCCATCACTGTGCTAACGTACACAATTCTTTTTTTGTTTTGTTTTGTTTTGCTTTGCTTTGAGGCGGAGTCTGGCTCTGTCACCCAGGCTGCAGTGCAGCAGCTCCATCTTGGCTCACTGCAACCTCCACCTCCTGGGTTCAAGCGATTCTCCTTCCTGAGCCTCCCAAGTAGCTGGGACTACAGGTGTGTGCCACCACACCTGGCTAATTTTTTTGTGTTTTTGGTGGAGACGGGGTTTCGCCATGTTGGCCAGGCTGGTCTCAAACTCCTGACCTCAGGTGATCTGCCCGCCTTGGCCTCCCAAAGCGCTGGGATTACAGGTGTGAGACACTGCACTTGGCCTTAACATACACAATTTGATTGTGGCTCCCACACCTGGCTGATGATCAGAGTCATCTGAGCACTCGAAAACAGCATACCTTTCCAGATTCCACCCTACATTTACTGACACAGAAATTTCCAGGGCATATTCCTCCTAGCAGCAGCCCAGGATAATTCTTTTGGGAGCAAACAAACCACTGTATTCTAAAAATGTATGTTTAACAAATGCCCCCAAGTGATCCAGCTAGTGGTAGATCTGGACCACGCTTGGATAAACACTGATCTTAGAGACTAGTGAATAATCTATTTGCCACAGGCAGACTTGCTCAACTGCAGAGGCCTGAGCATTCTTGGTTTTGTCTTTAATACACATGGGGCCTGGAGCCTTTTTTCCAACACACTGTTCTCCTCTTCCACCACAAAAAGCTCAAGGTTCTCCCCTGTTGTTCTCACTCTTTTTTTTTTTTTTTCTCCTTTTGGCTATTACAAAAGTAATATAACCGCATTACAGAGAAAATAGAGGGAATCACCCTTAACTCAAAGGCTTAACTATAATCACTATTAACATTTAAAAATACATAACTGACTTACTCAACACATTTATTCTACAGAAGAGTACACCTATGATGCCTAATGAGCTTTGCTTGGGGCTAGAAATACACAGATGGAGATCAAGTTCCTGTCCTCAAGAAGCTTAGTCTTGTGAAAAAATGGAAAGAATCTAAGCAATGTGTTTTTCAAAAAAATAGAAGTATAATTATAGCATAAACAATTTGTCATGCTGTGTAAAATTAGAATGTTACAACAAAGTTTTCCATGTGTCTACATGGTCTATATCCATTATTTCACTGCTTATAAATATATTTGTGGCTAGGCGCAGTGGCTCAAGCCTGTAATCCCAGCACTTACTTTGGGAAGCTGAGGCAGGTGGGTCACTTGAGGTTAGGTGTTTGAGACTCACCTGGCCAACGTGGTGAAAACCTACCTCTACTAAAAAGTACAAAAATTGGCTGGGTGTGGTGGTGGGCACCTATAATCCCAGATACTCGGGGGCTGAGCTGGGAGGATGGCTTGAACCTGGGAGGCAGAGGTTGCAGTGAGCCGAGATCACACCACTGCGCTCCAGCCAGGGCAACGGACCAAGATTGCATCTCAGAAAATAAATAAATAAATAAATTTATTTATTTTCATATTTCAGGCATTTGTTTATTTACTGGCTATTATAACTAACACATCTTTGTGTATGGTTCCCAAAATATTCACCTAGCATACTACTTTTTTTTTTTAAGGAAAATTGTGGCATCAGACATTTTTCATGGCTTTTATTATTTCTTATCAAAGAAGAAATTTTCTACCTAAATTTCTAAATTTCATATAATAAAACCTATAAGTCTCCATCACCTAATCTTAATAAAGACTCATCCACATTAAGATAAGTGGAACATAGCCATGAAAACATAAGATTTATTTTTTATATGCTATTATGTCCTGCTTTATTACATAAAAGGAACTCAATCCGTTGATTTGGTAATTTTTTTCAGTCTCATTTCACATATTCCTTAAAAACCGTAAAAGAAAGGAACTATAAAGAATGTCCTTTTCAGGCCGGGTGCTCGTGCCTGTAATCCCAGCACTTTGGGAGGCTGAGGTGGGCGGATCACCTGAGGTCAGGAGTTTGAGACCAGCCTGACCAACACAGAGAAACCCCGTCTCTACTAAAAATACAAAATTAGCCAGGCATGGTGGCACATGCCTGTAATCCCAGCTACTTGGGAGGCTGAGGCAGGAGAATTGCTTGAACCCGGGAGGTGGAGGTTGTGGGGAGGTGGAGGTTGCGGTGAGCTGAGATTGTGCCATTGCACTCCAGCCTGAGCAACAAGAGCGAAACTCTGTCTCAAAAAAAAAAAAAAAAAAAAGAATCTCCTCTTCGAAACCCCAAAGAAGGTAGCCTTCAATAATGCTGATTAACTAGAGTGTATTTGACAATAGATAGCTTCCTCAAAATCTAAGAAAATTGAGGGCACAGTGGCTCACACCTGTAATCCCAGCATTTTGGGAGGCCAAGGTGGGAGGATCACTTGAGACTAAGAGTTCGAGACCAGCCTAAGCAACATGGTGAGACGCCCCAATCTCTACAAAATAAAAAGAAAATTGATTTTCTACAGTGTTTAGAAAACTTTTCCTTCTTTTTTTTAATCAAGAAAATCATTTTTAAATAGAAACCTTTCCCCCTGTCCTGTGCCCACCAGTGTTCCTTTTCTTCCATAAACACAAACTTTCCACCACAACAATCCTACAACACCTACAACACCCACAACACCCAACACTTCACTTCCACCATCTCCCAAAAAGTGTATGGGTATTTTTTTGTTTGTTTGTCTCTGGGTTTGTGCGTGTATGTGCCGGTGCACTTTAGGCTAATCTATGCTGCATAAACCACAAAGTTCCAAAAGCAGTGAGAACATCAGAGCTGGAAAAATCACAGTAGCCAGATGTGTCTGCCGTGAACTCACCATGTAAATTTGATTAAGAAAAAAACTAATGGAAAAAAAGGAAAACATAAGATGCCTAAGTAGAAATCTGACTTCTAGTGAACTTTCAGCATGTCTTTCCAAGTGCTTTAAGCAACCCAGGGCTTCGATATCCCTTAGCTATTTTATTTGCTCTTGATACAATGCTAAGCCTCTTTGTATACTTCCTAGAGAGAACAGCAAGCCAACTTAGCAAACTGAGCACAGACAAGATTTTCCATCTTGTCTTGAAAAGTATGCCCTGAAAAGAAAAAAAAAAAAAAACACACATGTGTTTATAATTTGAAGTACAGCTCGAGACACAGACCTGGAGGACTTAGACTCTGGGCTGGTGGATGGCACATCTTCAAAGGGGTAAGTAAGTGCGTGTGTGTGCATGTGTGTATATGTAACTTTAAAAATTTCCTATAGTATTGAAAATACACTCTAGTTGCACTTTACCAAAAGTTTCTGAATTGGCTAGGGTTCGCAGGCTGGTGAAGTTGTTATAGTCTTTATTTTTTCCTGTACTGTCAGGAAGGATACTAGCATCTCAGGTCAGGGTCTCATTCCAACAAAAAGCCTCATTAGTGTGTGACAGCAGCTCAGCACACCATGGTTTATGATCACTAGGATTATCACCAAAAAGGCAAAAAAAAAAAGAAAGGAAAAAAGCATGACACTTTCTTTTGGTAAAAACATTTTAAAATATGGAGCTACTTTAAGTTGTTGCATGTTTTCAGTATTTGTCTGCTGAGGAATGGGAAAATCTAACACTTCACTACTTGCAGAGGGGAAAATGTTCTTCACTTAGAACTCAGAAGTGTGACTGCTCTTCACAAACTCCCTCTGTGAATGACCTGACAGTCACAAGCTTGCTCCTCTTCATCTTCTCACAATTGCTGTCCGAGGTTAAATGTTATTTTTTGGTACCACACCAGCTAGTTTCACAATTTGTAAGCAAAAGTGCCCAAACAAATATAAGTTGCAGTAACCATGGTTGGGTCTTCCTGAAGGAGGAATGGAATGGCTTTCTAACAGAGCATATCAAAGGATCTTCCTCTGATTACACAGGAGCCAGAAAGGGGAGGAAAAATGAGGCAACTGGCTAACAATAATAGCTATAACAATACAAGTGCTGGCAGCTTACTATACATCAGGTACCAAGACATGGACTACCTAAATACTCAAAACAACGTTATCAGATAGGTACTATCATTATCACCATTTTACAGATAAGGAAAATGAGACTCAGAGGTTAAATAACCCAATACATAAACGTCTAAATTAAGAGAAACTCAGTTCTGACTTCAAGTTCTTCCAAAACAGTCCCCACCCTCCATCCCACTTCCATGCCCACTTCGCCACCACTCTAACCAAGGACTAAGATCTGCAGCAGGCTTCATTTTCTCAAGCCCATTGTTTTATACATTATAACAGAGCCTGTGTAGGCAGTCTATTTTTTTCCCTCTTTTGTTTCCCTCTTATTCTCTTTTTTAAAATTTTAGTAAGTATTAATAGTAAGGAAGGCCCACAACCTACTTAAAACATACAAACTTCTGGCTGGGTGCAGTGGCTCACGCCTGTAATCCCAGCACTTTGGGAGGCTGAGATGGGCGGATTGCCTGAGGTCAGGAGTTCGAGACCACCCTGGCCAACATGGTGAAACCCCATCTCTACTAAAAATACAAAAATTAGCTGGGTGTGGTGGCGGGCGCCTGTAATCCCAGCTACTCCAGAGGCTGAGGCAGGATAATTGCTTGAACCTGGGAGGTGGAGGTTGCAGTGAGCCAAGTCTAAAGTCCCCCAAGGTCGTCTTTTCTTCTTCCATTTATTGCATATGTCTGGGAATTCAGGCTTAAAGGCCATTACTCTGCTCAGACAGAATCCAAATTGGTAAAGCCTGATTTGGCAAATACAAAAACTAAAATTTTAGTTTTAAGCTAGACGAAACTGGAGATGGCTATTTGAATTAAAGTGCAAAAAAAAAAAAAAAAAAAAAAAAAAAAAAAAAAAAACCATATTTTTGCAATTTTCCCCTTCAGAGCTTATTTCATTTTACTTAGACTCAGTGTTCAACAAATCTGCCAACCTGCAGAAAGAATCCTCTGTTTTTACAAAGTCACTCACTCCAGGATGACTAAGTAATGGGTCTTTCCTCTTGCAATAAAAATATGGTTTGATTTACAAGTCGCATTACAGGAATACATCTAAAGCTCTTTTTGTTGTTGTTTTTGTTGTTGAGACGGAGTCTCGCTCTGTCGCCCAGGCTGGAGTGCAGTGGCGCAATCTCGGCTCACTGCAAGCTCCGCCTCCCGGGTTCACGCCATTCTCCTGCCTCAGCCTCCCGAGCAGCTGGGACTACAGGCGCCCGCCACCACACCCAGCTAATTTTTTGCATTTTTAGTAGAGACGGGGTTTCACCGTGTTAGCCATCACGGTCTCGATCTCCTGACCTCGTGATCCTCCCACCTCGGTCTCCCAAAGTGCTGGGATTACAGGTGTGAGCCACCGCGCCCGGCATCTAAAGCTCTTATAAAAAATAAGGTGTCTAGTGATAAGAAGTTTCTCCTGGGAGAGGTAACTTAAACATTTCCACCAGAGGGCACTATCCTCACTGAAGGTAATGAATACATTGTTCCTAATTTAAAACACTTTGCAATCTAACCAGCCCAAAATAAATCATTTTTATTCTAGAAAGCACTTATAAAGAACAGTTAAATTGTCTTAAAATATAACATGCTATAGTTAAATAAAATATAAAATATTTTTTGCCATAAAAATAATGATAATAAACATATATTTTAGCTTACTATGTGGCAATCATAGTTCTAAGCACTTTGCATATATAAACTCGTAAGTTCCTCATATATTAATAATCCCCATTGTACATATGATGAAATCAAAGCACAGACAAATAACTTAAGGGTCACCAAACTAGTAACTACAGAGCCAGGATTCAAATTCTGGCAGTCAGACACCCAAGTCCATGTACCTAACCTACAGAAACATACAGGGACCAAATACAAGATTTGTTTCTGAATGTAGTTAACTATGCCACTGATTATATCACGGCTCTAGAAATAAATAAAATTAGTTATAAAAGGTACTATTCTATCATCTGATAGTAATGCTATTAACTGTATTTTGACATCCTTTTCACATGTATATAAATGCCTTGCATTAAAGAAGACCTATCACTTTAGTTCACTTATTTGACAGCTACATTCCATTGAAAAGTACCAAAGTTCTAGATTTAAGAAGAAGGAAGAGTGGGAGGAGAAGAATCTGCTCTTTTCTTTTTCTAGTTTTTAAGAGTTGGGGGTCTCACTATGTTGCCCAGGCTGGCCTCAAACTCCTATGCCCAAGAGATCCTCCCACCTCAGAGCCTTCCAAGTAGCTGGGACTACAGGGATGCACCTCTACACCCAGCTCTGCTCTTTTTATTTTTATATGTTTAAAGATATATAATAAAGACTATGAACCACAGGCAGAGTTATGGCTTGAAATGAAATAGTCTGAGTAAATCATTTATTATTCTGACTGTATTGAGACTCTCTAAATTAAGTCCTGGTCTTTGGAACTTACTTGGCATTCCAAGTTGTATTTCCATCCTTCAGACACATCTGTGATTCTCCATAAGCTAGAAACACACTTTGCAATGGGCAAATACACAAATATTGTTGGAAAAACCCCAGAATGTGCGTCTTGAGAAATTCACTGCCTTATTAGAAATCTGGAAACTGCTGGGTGCCGGGTCTCACGCCTGTAGTCCCAGCGCTTTGGGAGGCTGAGGCAAGCGGATCGCCAGGGGTCAGGAGTTCGGGACCAACTTGGCCAACATGGTGAAATCCCGTCTCTACTAAAAATACAAAAATTAGCTGGGCGTGATGATACATGCACATAGTCCCAGCTACTGGGGAAGCTGAGGCATGAGAATTGCTTGAACCAGGAGGCAGAGGTTGCAGTGAGCTGAGATCGTGCCACTGCACTCCAGCCCGGATGACAGGGTGAGCCTCTTTCTCAAAATAATAATAATAATAATAATAATAATAATAATAACAAAAATTAAATAAAAATAGAAATCTGGAAACTAAGGTATTTTACTGAGCTACAGGTAAATTTGTTTCAGAATGTTCAGATTACAACTTCTTTAGATATACTTTACTAGTGCAATTGGACTTTGTGTGTGTGTGTGCATATGCATGCATGTATGCACATACAGGCAGACTCACATGTGCCTTCAATATCTAGTTCCAAGCATTCAAGCTTCTTTTAATTAGTCCACTTCCTACATATCGCACAAATTTTAAAAATTAAGGAGAATGCATAAAAGAACATGACAAAGGATATCCACTCCAGTATTTGTATGCTAGCAACACACTAGTAACAACCTAAATATCTACCAGATAGGAGTTAGTTAAATAAACTAATTATAGCATATTAATATAGTAGACTAATAGGCAAATTTTTAAAAGAATGAAGCAGCTCTATATGTATGGACAGGCAGGTGAAAAAAGCAAGATACAGAACAGTGGTTATGATATGCTAACCTTAGTATGATTAAACATACACACACACACAACTAGAAACACTGGTTGGCTCCAGGAAACAAACTTGGGGACTGAGGAAAGGGAGATTGGAGGAAGTGTTTGAATTTTTTTTTCTTTTCTTTTTTTTTTTTTTTTTTTTTTGTAAACTGGGTTCATGAAAGATTTTTTTCCGATTATAATTGATTACAAAGTTAAAGTTAAAACTTTAATAATCAGTTTTTAGAATTTTCGATGAAAATTAAATGGTTAAACAAACTGTAAAAACCAGTCTAATGCCACCTAATTTGGGGTCTCTTTACTACAGTGGCATCTGATTTCTACACGAGCTCCTGTATATTTGGGACAAAATAACTCACTGGAGGCTTTGGTTTACCACTGCTGGTACCAGAACTGGTTGCATTTTCTTTGATCTGCCCTTTAGATAAGGAACTCCACAGAGGTTGTTCCATGTCATTTGCTTTTTGGAAACTGTACATCTGCAAGCTTTAAAGCAGTAGGTTCAGACTTCCTGGAAGAACTGACACTTGAAGCTGACTAGGGTCTACTTGAGTTCATACTCACTTTGGCTAAGCCACAGTATGAGGGAAGGGTGTCCAGGAATAACGCTTCCATTTTTATCTTGTTCATTCCTGAAAATCCAACAGGAGATTCTTTTCACTCCCTAAAATTAACTGTTCTGTGTATAAAGCATATCTGGATATCTGATCTTAAATGGAAATGTTATCTGAAAATGGCACCAACTTTTCTAAAACTTTAAAATTGGCCCTTTTTTATTTTTAGCCCTGGGGGAGAAGGAAGGGAATGATTACCAAAAAAGCTGACTGGTTCCGTTGCTGCAGTGTATTAATTCACTGGTGATTATCTCTAGTGGGGATAATTTTAGCAGAAAATATTCTCTTCTCAAGTCTAAAATCGCACTTATTAAGTATTGTAAATGAAGTAAAAAGTGAGCCATATTATCCCACGGCAGGTATGGGGAGAAGCCACCTGCAGGTTATGTAATGGTTAACTCCCTTCTAAAATCAGACTAGCCTGCTCTCCAGCTCTGCTCTCCACAAGCTGCAAGACTTTCGGAAAGTTTCTTCATGTATAAACTGGAGAGCCTGCTACTTTTTGCAGGGGTTTTGGAAGGCTTTCATAAGGTAAGGCATGGAAGCACTTGGCATGCTATCTGACACATGTTATGCAGCAATTATGAAAAAAAAAGGAAAAAAGGGAAATAAGGATAGGGATTTGAGACTAGAATTGTACCTGTAGGCAGTCGCCAGGAGCCAAAGTCACCCAAAGCGTGTATGTGTCCTACTTGCCTCAGGCTAGATGAAGACAGGAGGCCTAACTGATTTTTCTACCCCAATTAAGGCCATTGGAGGGAAGGTCAGAACTGTAGTTTAAAACTGAGGCAGCAGTATCATGAGTTGGTGGTAAAGAGACCAAGTAAAGAAGAAAAAGCCGGCAGAAGGGTAACACGGTATTGCAGCCAAGAAGAAGGAGCAAACACCGTCTGGGTGCATGAAGAGACATAGAAACAGCCAGAACCACTTATGAGCCCCGCCACCCCTTGATTGAACACCATTTCTTCAGCTTGGAGTCAAAGCTTGGGGCTCCACCAGGCACAGTGGTTCATGCCTGTTATCGCAGCACTTTGGGAGACTGAGGTGTTAGGATTGTTTGAGCCCACGAGTTCAACACCAGCCTGGGCAACAAAGGGAGACCCCAACTCTACAAAAAAAAAATATCTTTTTTAATTTTAAAAAAGCTTGAGGCTTACCGAGATTTGGCTGGGATACTGCCATGGACCTCTGAGGCACTGGTGTGGAACTGACGGCAGGGTGGAGGTTCATATGATTCAGAGGCTGATTCATCGCCTTCCTAGGGTCTTGCCATGTGGTGATTTTTTCTATGTGACTAAAAGAAGGAAAACAATTAATTATCTTTTTAATTGTCAGCATCATTATCATCATCACCAACAACAGCATAATAGTTAATGACACTAATTCTTCCCTTAGGATCTGCTTGAGTGGTTGATAGATTGTGCTTGGTTTCATCCAAGGACATACTTGCCTATTTTTCCCTGCATCCTGGTTAGGCCACACTGGGGATTCTGCAAGCAGCTCTCTAAACACAAGCCCAAGACATCGCTGTCCAGACAGCCCTTGCATGCAGTGAGCCCCAGTGAACTTCCCCTCGGCCCGTGGAGCTTGTATTCCCCAGCACCTCAGTTGCTTCTCAGCCATCCAATCACTGGAGTGCCATAGTGTGAGCTCCTTCCTGGAAGGGGAGCCATGCTCACCTTCCCAGCCAGTACCCCATACTCTCCTGACTCATAGAATTGACATAATGAGGATCCCTTTGGCTGTCATCAAGCAAAAGATGGGCCCATGAAACCAGCTTCTGAACACCACATTAGTGAGCTCTCACAGTAGGAGTGTAAGGTATTTCAAGGTCCCCAAAGGTGACACATAAAACCCTCAAGAAGCTCACTGTCACCAAGCAAGGTGACAATAGGGTAGCTGGAAGGCAGAGTATTAGAAAATAATAGTAGGAAAGTCAACTAGTGCCAGCTTATGGAGAAACTTAGATATTGAGGCATGAAGGTTTACAAGGGAGAAGACATGATTACATGTTTGATCACATACAACTTCCAGTTTGTTACTGTGACTTAATCACAGAGAAACTAACCCAACATGAAACATGAGCTTCTGCTCAGAGTTTCCAGTACATTCTAAGAAAGGTGGACATGGCCTCCAGCTTTGCCTACCACCTTCCAAATCACATTGCAGGTCACTCCTGGTACCTTAGAGACTCTGTCCCACTCCATCAAACTCTTCCTTTAGTGAAAGTTTGTGATATATATATATATATGATGAGTAGATTCATCCCGTTCCTCTACTTTGTTTTATAAACAGTATCAGAAATCTTCCTTCTCCTCCTTCTCCTTCTTTTTTGTTTTTTCGAGACATGATCTTGCTCTGTTACCCAGGCTGGAGTACAGTGGCATAATCATGGCCCATTGCAGCCCCGACATCCTGGGCTGAAGCAATCTTCCCACCTTGGCCTACTGAGTACCTGGGACCACAGGCACCTGCGACCACACCTGGCTCATTTTTTTTAAAAAATTTTTTTTGTAGAGGTGGGTGTCTCCTTATGTTGCCCAGGCTGGTCTCGAACTCCTGAGCTCAAGTGATCCTCCCACCTCAGTCTCCCAAAGTGCTGGGATTACAGGCACAAGCCACCGCACCCAGCCCAGTATCAGAGATCTTTCCATATCCATCAAAGACAACAAACATGATAGAAGAAACTGAATGTTAGCCCTTTGTTTTGGGCCTCACAACCAGGTGGGTCTCTTCCAGTCAGGCCCCCACCATTGACCTTCCTTAGACATACAACAAAAGGAGCATGATTGTTGTTTCTGTTAAACACACCTCACTTTTGAATAACAATGGCCTCCTTTGAATCTTTAAGGTAGGAAACCACTTTTACTTTCGTTATGTTTAATCAGTCTAGAAACTTCCTTGCATTGAAGTTGTATTTGTCTTGTTTTCTTTTCAGTCTGTCTCCTCATTTTTAAATGCTTCCTCTGCTAAAATTGTTATTCAGATTTCTTAATGCAAGACTTGAAGGTATTGCCAAGGGGAACTCATCCATTGCCTTGCGTGAAAACTTGGGTCTAAAGGTCTAAGGTTTTAGAATAAATGTGATTAAAAAAAAAAAAAAAAAGGCCGGGGGCGGTGGCTCACGCCTCTAATCCCAGCACTTTGGGAGGCCGAGGCGGGTGGATCACCACAGGTCAAGAGTTCGAGACCAGCCTGGCCAACATGGTGAAACCCCAGCTCTATTAAAAATATAAAAAGTAGCCGGCATGGTGATGCACGCGTGTAACCCCAGCTACTCGGGAGGCTGAGACAGGAGAATCGCTTGAACCCGGGAGGTGGAGGTTGCAGTGAGTTGGGATCATGCCACTGCACTCCAGCCTAGGCAGCAGAGTGAGACTCCATCCCCCCCAAAAAAAAAAGATGGGGAAATACTGAAGTAAAGAGATGAAAATCATTTCCCTAAGTATAAAGTAAATAATAATAAAAACAATAGTTTTAGTTTACACTTTCAGTTTCACAATTGTAGTTCTGTTTAAAGCTTTCATAAAATCCATCAACTTCTGGGCAGGTGGAAACTCATAGCCAGCCTCAGGCTTGTCACAGGCCTTCCAAGTGAGGAACTAATTGATGAGGATGTCAAAATTAAGTAACTCCCTTTAGCAAAATAATTAGACCTAAGAAATGCTTTGATTATTCCTTCAGAACTCATTCTATTAAAGCAGCATGTTTTCCAAGGCAGACATGTGCTACATAAATAGTTTTCACTCTGGTACCAGAAGGAAAAGAATCCTTCTCTCTTTCATAAACCTTTCTTAGACTCTCTGACATCATGGATATTGATGCTGTGCTAGAACCAACATCAGCACAGGCCCCGGTGAGATGTGGAAATATACATCATTTGCTGGAAGATGTTCAAGGACACTTCCGTGGTCAGAATTTCAGCTACCAGCTCTAGGAATAATACAGGAGCTGGAATGATGCATTCCTAAATGCTCGTCCCCCACTCTCCCCTCCCGTTCTGAACAAGTGGGCTGTGGCTCCTGAATGCGGCAAGAGCAGGAACATCTAGCATAGGAAGCCCAGCATCTGAAGTGGCAGATGAGCTCATCTTGCCCCAGGAGTGCCAGCACAGCTTGCCAGCCTAAATCCCCTGGGACAGAGTGTGGGGCCTTCTGGGTGGACCTCATCCTGACAGTTCTGACCGAGCTTACCCATGGCTTGAAGTCCCAGCACTCCTGCAGTGCAGTGGGAGCCTCCACGGCCCACCCTTCAAACTCCACACCCAGCCAACACATTTAAAGGAGTTTTGTTCCCAGTGGATTTGTTAATTAAAAGTGTCACTCACAGCATTCCCCAAAGGCTGGAGTACAAGAGGGAGCCTTTCTTAAGTGAGCAGTTCTCATTGCTCCAAAACAACTCTGAGAAGAAAGCCCAAATTCCTGGCTCTGCAGACCAGTCGACCTGACATCAGCTGTAAGGCTGCGCTAACATGGTGTCAAGAGTGGCTCCCAGGCTGAATGCAACAAGTAAGAGTGAGCTATTGCTCACAAGAGGCACTTAATACAGCCTTGATGATTTCATCTGAAAACTAAATTCTCCTATTGTTCTAATCACTTAGTGCCTCAGGCTCCAGCTCCCCCTACTTCCCACCACTTCCCAAACCCAGGATACGCCATTCACTCTTTCACTCTGCTGTCTCATCTCTGCTCCCTCTCTCAATGTTACTGAGTCATTTCCTTTCTCGTATTTCACAGTGTAATCTCAGTGTTTGCCAGGACCCACAATTTAGCTAGATTAATCCCCACTTCCCCGCTACTCCCACCTCCTTCCTGGCTTCACTCCCTTGCTTAGTCTACTTCAAGAAAAACTCTCTGCTGTTTTAAAAGTATAACTTCCCTTGGAAATGCACACACATATACAAATATATTTAACCTGCCTATATATGTGTATTGTATAAATACATACACTGTACAGGTTTCATATTTGAAAATGGAACAAAAAAGGAAAAAGAAACATATCAAACTATTTATGGTGATATATGCAAATAACAGGCTCACTGGTAATTTTTTTTTTCTTATCTAAACTGCTTTGTACTTTCCAGATTTTTAGCAGTGATTATGTATTGTTTTCACAACCAGTAAAAACAAAAATACTAATGAAGGTACAAAAAGACAAAAAAGAAAATTGATGCATGAATACACAGGTCATAAGGTATAAGCAGCACTTTGGGAGGCCGAGGTGGGCAGATCACCTGAGGTTGGGAGTTCGAGACCAGCCTGACCAACATGGAGAAGCCCTGTCTCTACTAAAAATACAAAATTAGCCGGCTGTGGTGGCACATGCCTGTAATCCCAGCTACTCAGGAGGCTGAGGCAGGAGAATTGCTTGAACCCAGGAGGCGGAGATTGTGGTGAGCCGAGATCGCACCATTGCACTCCAGCCTGGGCAACAAGAGAGAAACTCAGTCTCAAAGAACAAACAAACAAACAAACAAAAAGAGTTCCTGAAGATAAACTACACTTTTGGCTCCTATCTTCGTGTGGCTCAAATCAGGGGACAAATGGAATCAATCACCTGATCCCATGCTGTTTATAAAGAAAAAGAATAGCAGTTCCTACGGGGAAGAAAAGCTTTTCTTGACAGTAAACATTTTTTTCCTCGACTTAAAAAAAAGAAAAATCCTCTACAAGTGCTTCCCATGGAGAGCCCTGGTGGTATGTGGGGTTAACGGTACCTGTAACAAATATAAGCGGGAGTGGGCTTTTTCCCCTTCCTTCAAGAGCCCCTTGGACCACTACTTCCCAGACAGCCTCCTTCTCTCAGTCCCAGAAAGACCAACCAATTCCTGGCCTCCAATTACATTATGAGTCTCTGCTTAGAGAACTGCCCAGGTTGGACAAAAGCATGGAGTTTGCTAAGGGGCAAGAAAGGTCACCACGTCTCTGAGAAGATATTTGGCTGGAAATGGTAGGTTATGAAAAACCATGTCGTGTGAAATCAGTTTTCCCTCATGGATTAATATTTTCCTCCAGAAAGACGCAAATGTAGAAAGCCATTTTATTTAACAGGTAAATTGTGTGTTTGGGGTTAAAATGTTTTGAAATTGGTGGGGTGGCACTCCCACCCTCCAAGTCACCCTCCCCTCAGACTGGCCTCCCCATCAGCCTGCGGAGGGGGTGTTAACTTTGCTCCAGTTTCCTCCTCTCAAGCCACTGCTACCTCCTTCTACCTCCTTCATGACCTTTCACCTTGATGAGGGCAATGGCCTCTGGGCTTCCCTTCTGCCAATCTTTCTGGTTTTCCTCCCTTCCTCCTTCCCTCCCCCCACCCTCTCTGCCTGACAATCCATTCACTATCTCACCTCCAGGCACATATCCCAAGGACACCTGGTATCCAAGTCCCCCTGGGTCACCATGGCCCATGAAATAACAGCACAACTCACATAGGCATCTCCCAGACACAGCAGCCTACTGCCAGACTCTGTGGGCTCTGCAAAGACCACACGCAGTTGTGGAGTCACATATACCTGGGTGCCCGGGTTTAATATTAGCTCTGACCCTGTGTGATCTAATTGGATATCCTAGTCACACTACCCATATGCATGAGACAGGGGTAAAAAAGCTAACAATATACTGGTTCCTCACTGTGAGGATAAAGCAGGTCTGTTCTGGGAATATTATGACCACCAAAGTCACTTACAGATTTCATGGCCAGTTCTCCTGGCTTCCCAAACTCACTCAGCAGTGAGTGCAGAGAAGGCAGCTCTGGCCTTCCAAGGTTGGCAACACTTGGTTCAAGTTTTTTCAACAACCATAGATCGTATACCTATTATGCATGATGGGTGATGTACTGGTTAGGTGTAAAAATCAAAAACATTGTGCAAACATAGTAAAGGCAAAGATAAAAATCTTATCTGTAAAAATAGAATAATCAGGCCGGGCACAGTGGCCTGTAATCCCAGCACTTTGGGAGGCCGAGGCGGGTGGATCACCTGAGGTCGGGAGTTAGAGACTAGCCTGGCGAACATGGAGAAACCCTGTCTCTACTAAAAATACAAAATTAGACAGGCATGGTGGTGCTACTCGGGAGGCAGAGGCAAGAGAAACACTTGAACCGGGGAGGCGGAGGTTGCAGTGAGCTGAGAGAGCGCCATTATTGCACTCCAGCCTGGGCAACAAGAGTGAAACTCCATCTCAAAAAAAATAAAATAAAATAGAATCCTCCAGCTTCTTACCACCCAGGAAAAGGCCTGGTGTTTTTGGATGAATTTACCCACACTAACTTTATGATGAAGGAAGCCGTATAACAAGGACTTTCTGAAATAGAGAATCCCATGTAATGTATTTTGTATTGCTGGAAGCATACAAAGATATAAAAATAGGAATGATTACAAGTGCTTCATTTTGAAAGAATTTAAAACTATTAGCAGCATGTTGCTTATTTCTATGGGCAAAGATTTTGTCTTCAAACATAAGTGTTTTGTCTTTTTTCTGCCCACCATTTATTTAATAAATGAGAGTTTCATACAGTGTCAGACATCAGGGCTCCCCTCCATCAGCAGAGTGGTTAGGACGGGACCTGGAAGCAGCCTCCAAACTGCCTCTTCTTTTGCCACAACCTAGCTGAGCAGTTAAAGAGAACCACACCAATGAGATGAGAATTTAAAGACAGCCTGGGGTCATAAAACCAAGGCAGACTGGTTTAAAACTCAATCATACTCACTGCTCCCTGTCTTCATCCCCTCAGTGAAATTCCTCTGTAGCCTCTGTCCTTACTACCTCCTTTTTTCTCTTCCAGTAGAATACAAGCTCTTCCAGAAGAAATGTTCCACAGATAATGCTAGCCAGGTGTGGTGGCTCACACCTGTAATCTTAGCACTCTGGGAGGCTGAGGCGGGAGGACTGCTTGAGCCCCAGAGTTGGAGACCAGCTTGGGCAACATAAAAAGACCCTAGCTCTTAAAAAACAAAAAAGAAAAAAAGCTGCCAAGCCTATGATATTTACAATCCCCATTTAAGTATAAGCAAACTGTCTTATTTCAGAAAATCAGATTTTTAAAACTTTTTTGATTTACTAGGCCAATTCACCATCCTCTTAATGTTAAAACAAATGTACATACTGAAGACAATTAGCTTAAAATTTGCTAAATGAAACAGCTTTGCAACTTGCTTCTTGTGACTCAGTCCAATTAGACCCACTAGTGTTAAAAATGGAAACTGAAACAGATTTGGATGAGGTTGATAAATTCCCAGATAGGGCCTGCCAAGTAAATCTGACCCACTGTCAGTAGACAACAAATGCTATGCCAATTTTTAATCCTGTACCAGATGGCAAGGAGTCTTGCCGAAGACTTATATTAAACTTTTAAAATTTTCCTCAACTGGAATTAGAATACAAGTATGCAAAAGGTGGTTTACTTTCTCGTTGTATGTTGGGGATAAATACTGTTTGCATTTAAATCAAATTAAACATTCTATTAGTGTGATCTTATTTAGATTTCAAGACCTAGGAAATGACATATATCTTACTCATATCTTACATTTCTTTTAGTAGTACCTTTTGTTTTGCCAACGGTACTTAGCTCTGCTAACCAACACCAGAGATGAGTCTTAACCACAAGAACAAAGACAGGGGTGGTATGCACACTTACTAATTCTCCCAGGCCCAGATGCACACTTTCTCCAGGTAGTCCCTCTGCTGTCACCTAAAACCACAATGCAATGGGAGCTGAGCACAGTGGAAGCCCATTGCAGTGGGAGCCCATTGCAGGAGAAACCCCAGGGAGCTCATCACAGAAGGGAGGCCACATCACAGAGGGAGCCCATGACAGTAGAAGCCCCATCGCAGTGGATGCTCAGCTCACCACCCACATCTAAACTAGCAACCCGACCTGATCATGTTTGTAATACTAAGATTAGGTTTTTTGTTTGTTTGTTTGTTTTTGAGACGGAGTTTCGCTCTTGTCACCCAGGCTGGAGTGCAATGGTGCGATCTCAGCTCCCTGCAGCCTCTGCCTTCCGGTTCAGGCAATTCTCCTCCTTTAGCCTCCCAAGTAGCTGGGATTATAGGCGTGTGCCACCACACCTGGCTAACTTTTGTATTTTTAGTAGAGATGGGGTTTCACCATATTGGCCAGGCTGATCTAAACTCTTGACCTCAGGCCATCCACCCGCCTCAGGCTCCCAAAGTGCTGGGATTATAGGCGTGAGCCACCGCGCCTGGCGACAATATTAAGATTAGTAGCCATCCAGTACATTGATCTCCTCTGCTTAACGTTATCAGTCTATTTGCATAATGTGGAGTCGGCTTTTGAACTTCGATATGTTGACAATCAGAAATAAAGTAATAGCTCTTCACATGGTTGAAGAGATACATAGCTTAGGTTTTACTGTATTTCTAGAAACCCTAATCAATCTTCCTCCCACGTTGTCATTCTTTCTACCACCCTAATTAATAATTCTTTGTCCCAAGGCAGCTTTTAAAACACTATTATTGGTTATAATGATTCTTCCATTCTGCCCAAATCCTAAACGGCACCATCTCCTGCTATTTTTAATGCATCAGAATAGAAGATACAAAGAGGTAAAAGTCAAGCTGCCAATGTGCACAGCTGACACATCTATTAGCAAAGCATTCAGAGTTTAAACCCCAAAGCTATTAAAAAAAAAAAAAGACTCATGCCATATAATAAAGGTGACTCTTCACACAGCAGAAATGTGTTAGATGAGAAAGTTCATCCTTCTTTGAAACCACAAAGAATTTATAGTTGAAAGTTTCCGGTCAGATTTTCACTTAAGCAGCTCATCAAACATAGCTGCAGTCTATGACACAGAAATAATAACTGATATATAAATAGGGGATTTTTTTAGGATCCTCTAATAAAAGATGATACAAGACCAGAGAAGTTATTTCAGTGTATGGTTCCGGTCTCTACCATTCACTTGCCAATTCAAAAAATTTCAGCATTCTCTGGAATTCTGAATGAATGGCAGGGATTGTATTTTTAACTACCAGGCTCTAATCCTCGACTTCCCTCACAGACTTGCCAAGAAGTTTCCACTTGTTTAAGTTAGCAGCAGTAGGCACAGCAGCCATGTGAAAGGTCTCCTAGTGCCTCTGCCCTGGCCAGCTGTGGTGATCCATCTCCCTCACGTCCTTCCCACTGAGCACCACCGACTTTTCTGCAGACTCATTCTGTCTGAACCTACTCAGTCAGGCAGAAGCTGAGTCAAGCAAAGCTGCTGTCAGCCCCAAAGAGCAGATGAGCCAAATCAGGACTGTAATACCCGTGGTTCCTGCAGGGATTCATTTACCAGAGTTTTGTCCCTGGGGTGGGAAAAAAAAGTGGCACTGTGAAGTGCCACTTCCCAGAGAAAACCACTTTGGAAGGCTGGTGACTCATCAAGACAGCCCCAGGTGTGACTCAGGAGCCTCACTTCAGAAGGTGAACAGTTCAGTCACTGTGTTAGAGACACCCCGTCATATGCTGCACGCACCCCAACAGCACCCGGCCCTGGCAAGCCTCACTTTGCCTCTGCAAACTGAGCAAAATTCTTGCTTAACCTCATTTTTCCTATTTTGTGAAAACATAAGAAGGAAAAAAAAAAAAGGACTGGGAGTTTCTGTTGCTTGTTTGATTTGGGCCAAGAGCCATATTAAAGAACTTTGGCTGCGTTGCAAACAATTTTATTATTAGTACCAGCATTTTTTTTTCTCCTCTCATGCCAGGATCAATAATGCTATTAAAAAATGTATAGTCCAGACACAGTGGCTCACGCCTGTAATCCTAGCACTTTGGGAGGCTGAGGCAGGAGGATTGCTTGAGCATAGGAGTTCAAGGCCAGCCTGGGCAACATAGGGAGATCTTATCTCTAAAAAAAAAAAAATCAAAATATGAGTCGGGCGTGGTGGTATATGCCTGTGGTCCCAGCTTCTTGGGAGGCTGAAGCGGAAGATTACTTCAGCCTGGGAGGTCGAGGCTGCAGTGAGCCGTGATCATACCACTGCACCCCAGTGTGGGCGGCAGAGCAAAACTCTGTCTCAAAAATAATAATAAAATAAAATAAATAAAAGATGTATAAATCACCTTAAGTTTATTGTGTTGGAACTCCACAACAATGTGAGAGTCTATTTCACGATATTATTTCCAGATGTCAAGTATAAAATATGTACTTGGTAGAGTCTTTATTTCACTTTTCTCCTTTCTCACAAACAAAAACATGGGATGAGAATCAGAAGTAGAGAAAAGATGAGACGCTTTATGAATGGTGAATTATTATTACTCTTATTTTTTTCTGAGATGGAGTTTCACTCTTTCAACCAGGCTGGAGTGAAGTGGCACAATCTTGGTTCACTGCAACCTCCGCCCCTCAGGTTCAAGCGATTCTCCTGCCTCAACCTCCTGAGTAGCTAGGATTATAGGCGTGTGCCACCACACCTGACGAATTTTTGTATTTTTAGTAGAGGCAGGGTTTCACCATGTTGGCCAGGCTGGTCCTGAACTCTTGACCTCATGTTATCCACCCGCTTCGGCCTCCCAAAGTGCTAGGATGACAGGCATGAGCCACCACGCCCAGCCACATGAATAGTGAATTCTAGAATAATTAATAGGAAGTGGAATGTATTCATCCATTTTTTCATTAGACAAGTATTTACAGTGGGGTACATCTTCCATAGGGATTCAGTTCCAAACTCAGTTTTCTTTTGTTTGAAAGAGATGCTGCCCAGGCTGGACTCCAACAGTTGGGCTTAAGTGATCCTCCTGCCTCAGCCTCCCGAGGCTGGGTCTACACATGCGTGCCACCTTGCTCTGCTCCCCAAAATCAGTTTTGGCAAATGTGGAGTGTGGTAAAAATTACCACTGAAAAACTTTTGAATATACAGTCCACTAGGCTTTGTGTACATTATATTATCTTTCAGTAAGCCCAATGCAGCCAGTTTCTTCCAGGGTTAGAATATGGTGCTATTTCTACACCCAAGATCCAGATGAAGTGATGCTGTACCCAAATATGTATGTCGGGATTTGCTAGGCACTCAGTGATGAATTCACGACACTTCAACATGCATACGGTGATGAGTGCCTGTAATACCTAGGCCCTCAAGGAGCTGGCAGTCAAATGAGCAGGGAGAAGGTGGCAGTGAAACAACGAGCAGTATGGTGGTAAACAGCACAGACTCTATTGTTTTTGTTATTATAAATGGTCCAGAGCCTGACACTCTGTCTCAACAGCTGTATGTTAGAAATGTTTCCCATATCAACTGCATCTAACATCTAGGAATCAGCTTCAATCTCACAATAAGTCTTAAAAAGAAGTTAGTATTTTAGAGTAGCCACTAAGCTACTCTAAATGCTAAAATACTTTGACAATTGTTTTTCCATGCTCTCTGTGCCTAACACGTTTTTAACATGTTGTTTTTTCCAGTTGTTCTTAAATGGGACACTGACCCAGTGCTTGGCTGCTCCGAAGCCACTCCAAATGTGAAATATGTCGAAGCTAAAGCTGCACTGCCCTCCTTTCTCTTCTTTCTAATGGGGCCAAGTGAATTAAATGTCACTCATCCCAAAAAAGAAGGCAAATCCTCTTTAAAACCAAAAATTCTTTTGGGTTAGGCTAGCTTCTCCTCTATTCATGTGAAGAGATTTAATTCCTTTTTGTTGGTTTTGTTTTTTTCAATTCTGGGAAGAGGATGAGCCACCCTGGCTCTGGCCATCAGAGCCACTTTCTTTTTGCACATGTTTGAAAGGCATGACACAACTTGAACTGGAAAAAGGGCTGGCATGAACCCCGGCATCTCAAGAGAGACTAGAGGTGCTTTTCAGAGTGAGGTTCCCATTTTGCAAGAAATTATTTGGAGGATCAAAGACAAAAACTGAGGCATCGAAAGGGACCAACTTAGGCTTCAGAGGAAGGGGAGAGTGCTACTGGGGACCTTGAAAATAATTATCAGGAAACACAGCTTATGGTTCACATTTCAAACCCAGCCTACAATGTTTCTTTACGTGTATTTCTTGGCATCTTCAGTCGAAAATATCACCCAAATGAGGCAGAGTGGTACAGTGGATTTGAGATCTGTTTCTGCCATTAACTGACTAAGAGACTACTGTAAGTAACATCTCCAAGCCTTGGTCTCCTCCAATGTAAAATGGGCATAAGAACATCCATTACATGAGGCTGTTTTGAGAATTTCATCAAATAACAAAAGTAAAGCACCTAGCACAGTGCCGGATATGCATGACACACTATAAATATTAGTTCCCTTCCTTTCCCTTGTGAAAATCTATCCAAACTGTTTAAAGGGATCTGAGTAATTCAAATGCAAAAAAAGAAAAAAAATCAATAAACACCTTATAGTACAATGAACACAAGAAAATGGAGAGAAATAATGGTAGACATCAATTTACTGCAAAAACTACAGATATACTTGATTTCTTTCGTGTGTGTGTGTGTGTGTGTGTGTGTGTGTGTGTTTAAGATGGAGTTTCACTCTTGTCACCCAGACTGGAGAACGATCTCTGCTCACTGCAACCTTCACTTCCCAGGTTCAAGTGATTCTTTTGCCTCAGTCTCCTGAGTAGCTGGCACTACAGGCATGCGCCACTACGCCAGGCTAATTTTTTTGTATTTTTAGTAGAGACGGGGTTTCACCATGTTGGCCAGGCTGGTCTTGAACTCCTGACCTCAGGTGATCTGCCTGCCTCGGCCTCCCAAAGTGCTGGGATTACAGGCATGAGCCACTGCACCTGGCTGATATACTTGATTTCATATAGTCGAGTAGTTAAGTAACAATTGACTCAGAGACAAAAATATTCTTAAAACACAGGTCTAGCTAACCACAAGTCTCACATAGTTCCCCCACCAGCACCCCACAATTTTTTTTTTTTTGCATTCTAATAATAGCAACTCTCAGATTCAGTGTGAGAGGCAGCCAAAGCTGCGATTCCTTTACTGCCCTTGTTGGTAATGAGTGCCTTGGTGGTAATGAGCATCTCATGTCAGCACAAGATTTTCTCTCCCATTTAAAGTAGAAAGGGGACTTCAGCTTGCAGTAAAAAGCACAGTAAGATTGAATGCAAGCAAAAGAATATGTAATGGATTTCCATTTTTCCTAATAAAGAAATGCTCAAGAAGTTTTAATCTAATTTAATTTTTCTAATAATTTACAAGGAGATAATAGTTCCAAAATGTGAGGGGACATACCAGGTACAGAAATGCAGGAAGCCTTGAAGGTTCTATGACTTCAACTAATGGAAAAACAGATTTAGCCTAAAAAATGCTGTTGTTTTTAAACAAGTATGTTTATGCAAACTCCAAACAGTAAGTATCTTTGTACCCACAAGTGGATGTTAATAAAAAATACATGATTGATTTAATTTTTTACTTAACAAAGTACAAAAATATGTACCTGTTTCAATTATGACTTCAAACCCCATCCTTCTTCATGAAAGTAGCAGATAAAAATCATATAAAATCAACATCTATTTGTGCGTATATAACTTTTTGTTTTGATATACCTTTAAACTTATAGGAAAGTTGCAAGAATATATACGGCACGGCCATCTACTGATTCACCAACTTTTTTTTTTTTATTTAAGTTAGTAGCATTAGAATAATCACTTGTTTCTAAATGATCCCTCAGTGATAGTAATCCTTTGGCTGGTCACTTTTCTAACTTTGAAGAGAAGTGAGTTTTATTCTGTAACACTCGCAAGATAAAGAAAGATGAAAAAAAGCTAATATAAACCAATTTGAATAACCAAATCGGGAAACCATGTGTGATATTGTGATATATTAAGAAATAAATCTCTGTCACCATTGCCGATCTAGAGTTCCTATAACCCTTGTAGATAGGGGTGCTAGGAGAATCTTTGGTTTTAATATTTGGTCTTTGACTTCGGCTCCTGACACAGAGCTTCTAATCCCTTGGAATTTTCTGGGTGATAGGAACTTCTCTTGTTTTAATGAGGTGACTGTTGGTGGGCTCCTACATAGCCTTAGGAAGGGGCTGGTTGCCAGGGGGAACCAACCACATGGCTGGAGGATTCGAACTTTCAGTCCCACACCACATCCCAACCTTCAGGGAAGGGAAGAGGGGCTGAAGGATGAGCTGATCACCAGTGATGAAATCAATTATGCCTATGTAATAAAGCCTCCATAAAAATCCATAAGGATAGGGTTCAGAGAGCTTCTGGATAGCTGAACATGTGAAGGCTCCTGGAGGGTGGCACATCCAGAGAGGGTGTGGAAGCTCCAAGTACCTTGTCCTATGTATCTCTTCCACCTGGCTGTTCATCTGAATCCCTTGTAACATTCTTTCTAATAAATGGGTAAAAGTAAGTGAAGTGTCTCCCTGAGTTATGTGAGTCATTCTAGCAAATGGATCAAATCCAAGGAGGGAGTTAGTCAGAAGCACAGGTCACCACCTGTAGCTTGCAATTGGCATCTAAAAAGGTGGGCTGGAGGGGGTGCAGTCTTGTGGGACTAAGCCCTTAGCCTGTGAGATCTGATACTATCTCTGGGTAGGTAGTGTCAGAATTGAATGAAATTACAGGACACCCAGTTGGTGTCTGCTAGGGAATCGGAAGTGCTGTGTTGGATGGTGTGTGAGGGTAAAAAGAAAAAAGTTTGATTTTTTTTTTCCCTTCAGACCTGGTGACACCAAGTTTTTTGATAAAATCTAAAGTAATAACATTTCAGCAGTAATGATGATGACCCCAATGTCCTTCCACTGAAGGAGAAAACAGACCCCACCCAAAAGGTGGGAAGCGCCGGCAGATGATTCCTTTATTTATGGAGCTGCTGATGGTCACACCACGGTGTAATACAAACATTTCTGTCTAAACACTAACTTGGGCAGAGCCACTTTTACACTGTGCCTTGTATTTAATTGACAGGAAGTTTTTCAAAACAGGAGAGAGCTGCCTTACTTTGATTAATGTATTAATTCAACTGGCAACCTCCAAATAAGTTTTCTTAGGAGTAGAGGAAATACGTGCGAATAACATTAAAATGTCCTTCCAGTGCTTGGAATGAATATTCTACTTGTACAGACATAGATTTTGAAGACAAAATTGTAAATAGTAAAATCTCCACCTCACTCTTTATAGAATGTATGATTTAATAAACAAAAGAAAAAATGCAGCTTCAGAAAAATAGCTTTAAAAATGCCCATAAAATGCACACAAAAGAACCTGAAAACTTACGGCGGGTTATTCTCGCATATTACTAGACTTAACTTGGTACCATCTTTCTGAAGAGCAGTATATCAATATGCAACAAAAACCTGGGAAAAGCTTTGATCCAGTAAGTCCATTTGCACAAAGCTTTTATTCCCAGAAAACAATTAGATGGGAATGACAGAGATGGTTGTTGCTTTGGAATATCTGCTCTCCCTTTTTAGGTGCTAAGTATTGCCAAGAGACTAAGTTCTAGACAATGAACAGAAGTGCTGTGTGGGCTTCTGGGAAAGGTTTTTAAACGGAAGCAATAGACATACGTTTCTGCTTCCCACCCTTCCATCTTTTCTCCAGCCTGGCATATGAACGTGATGGCTGGAGCTGCAGCAGACAGCTGGAATTATGAGGAATGGAAGCCACTCAGTAAGAACAACTAAGCAGAAAGGTGCAGCGGAGCCAGCAAACCAGCTCTTGAGTTCCTTAATTCAGATTTCCTTAATGTTAGAGAAATAAATGATCTCATTTCGCATCCCTGTAAATCACAAACATGACTCCAAACCAATACAAGTATGCAGAATGTATGCTTAAGGATGTCCACAGCGGTTTTGTTTCTATCTTTAGTGTATGATGATAGAATGGTTAAACAAATTATGGTACAGTCAGACAGTGGAAGACTGAACAGACATGATAAATTACATGGATCTGTATTTGCTAAAATATATTGTGGGAGTGAACATAATCCCGTTTTGGTAAATAGAACACATATGAACAAGGGGGAAGTAGGCTTTATTCATATCTTTACATTTCTTTGTTCTTTTTGTACAATAAGCATTATTTTTCTAATCAGAAAAAAAATGAGAAAGCTATCCTCCCCCCAAAATGAACCCATTTCCTGCTTAAAAAATGATGCTGCATTCCACATTTGAACCTATACCTGCTCATTACAGCCTCTGAAAATAATTCCACAGCTATAGTGCAGGACTGAAAATCTTGTCTCTGCCTTAACTGTGAGTTGGAAAAGGCGCCACCATAATACTCCCATGAGTGCTTAGCCTAAAGGTGCTCTGAACTAGAGAGAGGCACAAAAGGGGGAAAAATGCAATAGAAGGAAGGGATAAAGAGGATCAAGGGAAGTTCTATAATTAAGCAATATTTTACGGCTGCCTCTGGCAGCTGTTTGAGTGAGCGGGAGAATCTAAACGAGGTGTCAACAGACACAGGAGCTGCCCTCTCCTTGGGCAGATCCAGCAGGGCCTAGCATGTCCTGTACTTCACAGGACAATCTGGGGCATCTTATATCCAGCACCTGTCAGCCTGGGAGACTCCCAGCTGCAATACTGTTATTGCTGTCATCTGCCTAATCCAGAAGGGAGCGGCATTTATTGTATCTAGAAAGAAAGATTAGGCTAAAATATATTTGACTGTTCTTATGAAAGAGAATGCATGCCTCACGTAACTGTGTTTGTTTTCTTCTTGTCCCTCCTGACTTTTTCTGTTTTTATCAAAGGAAGAAACCTACTCTTGCAGCTGTATTTTTCATTTTTAACCCCCACGTTAATCATATATTCACAACAAATAATGGTTTAAATTTAGTCTGACGACCAGCCACAAGGCTCCTTCTCATCCCACTATGAGGCACATCCTGCCTTCAGACTCTTTACGCAATCCTCATTGACTTGGAGAGGAACCCCGTGCAATGAGTTAAACAGGATATAGACCATCATAATTACCAGAGGAAATGGTATTTTCTTTACAGGATACATTTAGATTTTTCCTTTCCATGAGTTTTTTTTTTTTTTAATGGTGTTAAAATGAAAGGAGACTTTAAAGCAGCTTTCAACTTCTCAGTAGCCCCAACTATGGACTAAATGCAGAAGGCCTTACACACAGCAGACATTAAAAAACTACTCATAGAATAAGTGACTGAATTAAAGGAATGAATGAATGAATGAATGAACATATTTAATGGGTTTACTTCGACAAATCATTTTGCTTCTAGGTATCAAATATAACAGTTGAATCTTATTCACATCATATATGTTTTTATCTGTAAGTACTCATAAAACTAATCTAGGAAGATTTGTTCCTTACTTGCCCCAGAAAGGAACAAATTCTAGAGAATGCTGTCACATTCTATTAAACAAATTAAGTCATTCTCAATTCATTCCTGTTGATTCTGCAAACTGCTCGGCTGAGCCTCTACCAGGTACTATACACCATGGGTCCTGAAAGTCCACCATATCTAGCATACAATAGACACTAAATAATAAATGTATGTTGAATGAATTGCTACTTATATTCCTAATAATGACAATCATGGTAATAATGATAGTTACAATAATAATTATTCATATTAATTATTAGTCATAATATTCACAATAACCATGCTGTTAATGTCTGATAATAATAGTTGACATTTATATACCATTTTATGGCTTCAAAAATGATCTTAACTTGATCATTACATAACAGGCTTACTAATCTCTGTTTTTAAGAAATAAAAATGGGCCGGGTGCGGTGGCTTACACCTGTAATCCCAGCACTTTGGGAGGCCGAGGCAGGCGGGTCACCTGAGGTCAGGAGTTTCAGACAAGCCTGGCCAACGTGGTGAAACCCCATCTCTACTAAAAATACAAAAATTCACCAGGCATGGTGGCGGGTGTAATCCCAGCTACTCGAGAGGCTGAGGCAGGAGAATCGCTTGAACCCGGGAGGTGGAGGTTGCAGCGAGCCGAGATCATGCCATTGCACTCCAGCCTGGGTGACAAGAGGGAGACTCCGTCTCAAAAAAAAGATACAGAAACAGAGTTGGGTGAAGTAAACCTACTTAATAAGTTCTTAGTTTCCATGTGGCAGAGCAGAGTCAAATCTTGTTCTCATAATAAGGTCTAGGGCTTTTTCCATGATACAATACTGCCTTGTGAACCCAAAGAGGCTGACGTGCATAACTTGGGCCATTAGGAAGGAAGGAAAAGGGGAGGTGGACCGTCAGCACTGCTGATAGCCTGACTTTGTCCTGGAACAATATCTCCTGCAGGCTTGGTCCTCCTCTTGCTTCAATAACACACCACCATCCCTCCTTGTCCCTCCTGAAACCCTTGAGTCACACAGTATGTCAACTTGCCTGCAAAACTTAGCTTTTTTTTTTTTTTTAACACCCTGGTTTTAATTAGGCATATCCTGTCAAGAAAAGGGACTCTTGTGACAATAAAACAAATTAGGTCCATGTGATCCTGTAGTTGTTAGGGAGAAAGGAAAGAAAGAAATACAAATACTACTTAAAAAAACATAAATACAAAGCGGAACGCCAACTCTCCACTATGACCTAAAAGGAAGAGGTAAAAGGACTCTGAAGATAGATTTGGAGATGCAAGGCAACAGCTGAATATGCCATGAGCAATGCTGGAACCCTAAGCCAGAGCTGGGGATGTGATTCTTAAGGCCCTGCCACTTGGAAAGCCAAAACCTGTTCCTTCAGAAGCCAGTCTCTGATAGTAACTTTAGCCTAACTTGCCTTCCATTTTTATTAATGCTTTTAATATCATATTGCCTTTAGTTTTTATTAATGTTTTCATTATTTTAATAACTAGGGAAAATATTCAAATAGGGCTGTTGTATAAAATGTGTTCAGTCTATAATAAGCTATGTAACCAGCCTTTATAATTGACTATATAACTGTAATTACTTAACTAAAATTCAAGATGTACATTCACTTTTCCTAAATTTTCTCTAAACAAAAAAAAGTAGTAGAGATAAATTCCAATTTTTCTAAGAAATTACCTTTTCATGATAATATCTTATGTTTTAAAACATTTACACAAAAAACATTTTTGCAATGTATTCTGAAATTAAAAATAGTTATATTAGAAGAAACATTTCATTCTGGGTTAGGAATTGTAGTCATTTTAAATGACTTGAGAAAAAAGTTCATGTTTAAATACTCAGACCCGTAATAAATATATTAATACAAAAGTGCGGGAAAATGTACAAATGTTATCATATGTTGCCAAATGTGAGAAACATTGCGGGAGGGGGTAGGAGAAAGAATTAGTGAATACAAAGTCATTGTGAATTCAGCAAAGGGAGAGACACTTCTGATTCTGCCAACTGCATCTGGTATTTCCACCTAAAATCTACTTCTCCGGTAACAAATGCTTTCAGGTTCAACCAGACTGTGAGGAGACACAGCTATGGGGCAAGGTAACCTCAATGATGTTCTATAAAACATCAGTCCTAGAAGATAATCCCCCTCACCCCTGCACCCAAAAGGGTTCTGTTATCAAATAAGTATGGAAAACACTGAATGTTATATTCCTCTCCTAATATTTATACAATACATATGCATATAAAAGATTCTAGTTTTCAATTAGCTTAATCCCACATTTCTGTAATTCATTTTATGTGTAACTTTTTTCACTTAATTATTACTATCCTATAGAATACATTTTAAGAAGTTGCAAAATATACTATTTATGGTATTTATTACAAGCATGACTTCAGATTCAACAGCATTGTCTGAACACACACTGTGCTTCTGACACTATGGCAATATTTTATACCCAACTGACCAGAACTAAAAAAACTACAGGCGTTCCTATCCAAAGGCACTGAATAAATGTAAGTACAATGCTATGAAGCCCTGATGCCAAAGCATCCCAACGACAAAGTTCATTCAAAGCAGAGCTAATATAGATTAGAGAGATTAATCGGCATATATCAGAATATATATATACAGGCATATATGTATGTGTATAAATATATATACATATGTAAAACACACATGTAAATTTCCATATAGCTTGAAATTAACTTGTGTTTTTAAAAAGTGACCTGAACTGTTTATACCCAGAAAGCTTTTAATCGTCCGCTGTATTTTAAAATCAGGAGCCTGTATCTATTCTTAGTGTGCTTTCGAAATAAAGCTTCCCTTGGTTCGGGGTCACAGCTGCTGCAAAGCACTCTGGGTGGCTCCTCTCCATCCCTTTGAAACAGCTGGTGGGAACCTAGTATAAGGCCTTGAACCCAGCTGTTCAATCTTACTTTCTAACTTTAGCAAGTCCCTTCTCCACTAATGTCACTGGGGCATGCCACATTGAAAAACACACCAGAGATGGTAGATTCCTATCCCTGCTAAAAAAAACTCCAGGCACACCGAGCCAAGTTACACTCATGTACCAATCACAGTATCACCCAGATACCGACTGCAGGATCCGCGTGATCTGATTTAGGCTGGGCATACCAATGATTTAAGAAGGCTTCCCTAGACACCACAAATAGGCATGCTGCCATCACTCCTGCCAGTTCAGTGCATTAGAAAGTTACCGACTACCAGTGGCAGAGCCCCACAACGTAGAATCGAGAAGACCATGAAAACCAACCTCAGATTCAAAAGACTTGCACATACAATGTGCTGTCTGGTGGCTTTTGTCTCCACAATGTTAATGCACCGTACACTACTCATGAAGCCCTCATAATGTAATTACTTCTATTTAATTGATTGTACATGCCCTCGTCTTAGTTTTCTTTCTTTTTTTTTTTTTAATTGCATGCTCATTGTAATTACTTGCCCCAAAGCCAGGAGATTTCAGAAATATTTGACTGTTTATTACCCTTTGAGAATTACTAATTAAAATAATTTCCTTCAGTGAAAAGGGTTGCTCTTTTCCTGATTCCACTTCGACACTGCTCACCACTGAAGAGAACTCTAAGAATGCCTTGCTAAGCTCCCCTGTAATTGACTGCCTCCTTTGTTAACACATGCGTGGACTTAAAAAACATTAAACGACTTATACAAATGGAAACAAAATGCTCTTTGAGTTCTATTGATAACTTAACCTTTAGTGTTTTGGATGAAATCCCAATTCTAGGGAAGCAGGGGGAGCCATTGAATGAAACCATTATGTAAAACATTGTTGTGGGAATTATTTTGTGTGAAAATATATACAGTATATCATTTAAAATGTCTTTGAAGGTGGGCTTTCAAAATACCTAATTAAAATATACATATTTTGTATGGCTTCTCTACTTCGTGCTTCCTTTTTCAGGGAAAGAGAAGAAATTTGCATAAGGCAAATGAACCCATGACGCTGGATGTTAGAGTAGGTACCCTTGGGGAATCTGGAAGGGGCGCTTTTTGGAGCTGGGAAAAATCCTGTTTCTTGGGTCAGAGACCTGCTTACGTGGGTGTGTTCAATTTGTGCAAATTCATCAAGCCGTTTATTTATGGTTTGTATACTGTTCTACAAAAATTCTACTTCATTTCTTAAAGTAATCAAGAGAAATTACCTCCATTTTTTTCAAGTAATTTGTATAAAAGACAAAGGGATGTAGTTTCCATATAGCAGAAGCCTAAGAATTACTCTGAGGCATTTACAAGGAATAGAAATTAAGACTGTGGTCAGGGGGCCTCTCTGAACTTATTCTGGTTTAGGAGTTCCCCCTCCCCCTCAAAAAGACTGTAATTGATTTTTCTATGTCGATTTTTTTTAAATGGTGTACAATATTTGGTTTGAGCAAGCCGATGTAAAAAAACACATCTGAGACCATTAGGAATATTTGAATATGTACTGGATATTAAATAATATTTTAAGAAATTATTGCTTCTATCCTGATAAGATACAATAAGAAATTCACAAAATCATTTATGCTGTATTTTTGTGAAAAATTTTAACCTAATTTAATCATAAAGAACCCATCGTGTGTGATAGTGGTCTAAAGTTTTTTTCAAAACAGGTTAAGACGAAAAACAAACAAAATGGTCAAGGGGAGAGACACTTTTTGAATCAGGAGAAACATAATTATTACTAAATGCAATATGTGAATCTGATTGGATCCTGCACTGGGGAAAACAGACACACACACAAACACACACACACCACACACACACACACAGAGCTACAAAAGACATTTTTGGAACAACTGGGGGAATTTGAATAAGGGCTAAATATTAGGTCATATTATTGTACTAAGGTTAATTTTCTTGGGTATAATAATAGAATTTGTTATGGTATAAAAGAATGTCTTATTCTTAGGAAATGCATTCTAAAGTACTTAGGGAAAATCTCATATTGCCTATAACCTCTTTTTTACTTTTTTTTTTTTTTTTTTTTTTTTTTTTTTGAGACGGAGTGTCGCTCTGTTGCCAGGCTGGAGTGCAGTGGCGCGATCTTGGCTCACTGCAACCTCTGCCTCCCAGGTTCAAGCGATTCTCCTGCCTCAGCCTCCCTAGTAGCTGGGACTACAGGCATGCACCACCACGCCCAGCTAATTTTAGTATTTACAGTAGAGACAGGGTTTCACCATGCTGCCCAGGACGGTCTCAATCTCTTAACCTCGTGATCCACTCACCTCGGCCTCCCAAAGTGCTGGGATTACAGGCATGAGCCACCGCGCCCAGCCTTGCCTATAACTTCTTTTGGAAAAAGGTTAACAATTGCTGAACCTAGATAAAGAGCAAACTCTCTTTCAACATTTTTTCAGGTTTGAAAATGTTCAAAAACAAAAGAAAAAAATAGGTTATTGTTGATTTTGTCACACATGTAAATAGTAATTTTGTTATGTAAGAAAATGTTCTTCTTTTTTAGAGGCAACTATTTAAGTATTTAGGAGTAAAATATCATATATTTTATTTGCTTGAAAATACTACTATTAAATAACATATTAAACAAATATACCAAATGTTAACAATTCTTAAATCTAGGCAAGGGGTATATGGTGGGTCATTACCCTATTACTCTCTCCTTGCATGTTTGACATTTTATTACATAAAATGTGATCAGATTTTTTTAACAATAAAATCCTTCCTACTTGGTTCAAGTTTCCAAAATGAACTGCAGTAGAATTCCTCCCAAATTAACATTCATATTATGGTTCAAATTTCTCCATAATTGGGCGAGGCGCGGTGGCCCATGCCTGTAATCCCTGCACTTTGGGAGGCCGAGGCAGGTGAACACCTGAAGTCAGGAGCTCGAGACCAGCCTGTCTAACATGGTGAAACCCCATCTCTACTAAAAATACAAAAATTACCCCAGGCATGGTGGCACGCACCTGTAATCCCAGCTACTCGGGAGGCTGAGGCAGGAGAATCGCTTGAACCCGGGAGGTGGAGGTTGCAGTGAGCAGAGATCACCACATCACTGCACTCCAGCCTGGGCAACATGGTGAGATTCCATCTCTCAAAAAAAAACAAAAACAAAAACAAAAAACCAAGTTCTCCATAAACTGGTATTGTCTTGGGAGACATTATTAGCTCAATGGACTCAAAATTCTTTGTACATAAAATCAAATAGCATATTTCCTTCTATCCTCCAGTTATAACAAAAATTACAGTAAAGGACAGTAAGTGTTCTAAGAGAAGTAGTGAAGTCTGTTCTGAAACTGAAAGTTGTTTGGATGTTTTCCAAAGACAAGCCATCATATTCCTGCCCTGCTCTCTCAGACCTGGCACTGATAACACAACAGCCTTCAGGAATTCATTTTTCTTCTGAATCATTCTCCACTGGGGAATTAGCCCTGGCATTTCTAATTCCCTTGCTGGGCACAAGCAAGCCCTGGCACCACAGCTTTCCCAGAGAAATCCCTCTGTAACCTGTTCCTCTGTCAGTGCACTGATTAAGTTAGAAAAGGTGAGCCCACTTCTCTGTGGCTCGCTGACCTCAGGACATGAGGAACTGTGGATTTGAATACACAAGGCAACAGCCGTAGTGCAGTGGATCTTCTAGTGGACCCGCCACTGGTACACATTTTCTTGACTCTGAGGACAGAGGCTGAAGAGCACTCAGAGCAGTACCTGGTGCCATCACTCAGACTTTGAAGCCATGTTGCATAACAGATAATGATGTGCGCAATGGCGAATCTTGTTTGAAGGTAAGATCTGCCGCTTACTAGCTGTGTGACTTTGGATAAGCTACTGTGCTTCTATTTCTCAGTTTCTACATCTATACAGTGGAGATATTGCACAGTGGTTAAGACGTCTGGAATCAGATTGTGTTCCAATAGTAGCTCCTACACTTTCTACTTAAATTAACTTGGGCAAATTACTTAATCTCTTGGTGCCTCCATTTTCTACCAATATCTATGACACACAAAGACCTTAGAACAAAACCTGGCAGATAGAAAACTATCAATAAATATTAGCTACCATTATGATTAGGACACAATGATCTACTCCATAAAGTTACCCTGAAATTAAAGTTAATAAAGCATGCAAAGCTCTTAACATGGTGCCTAGAACACATAATTGTTTAATAAATGTTAGCTATTGTGATTTGGCTTCACAATAACTGTTAGGTAAACAGTGCCAATATTAGTATTTTATTGATAAGGAAGCCAAGGATCAAAAAGACTCAGTGACTTTCCCTCTGTCGTATGCTGACAACAATGACTTTACTATTCCATGCTCATACTCTTCCTAAAATTCTCTATGCCTTAAGGATCCACTATAAAGAACAGAGAGAAACTAAAATAGGCCAGGAGCCTGTAATCCCAGCACTTTGGAATGCCAAGATGGGTGATAGATTGAGCCTAGAGGTTCGAGACCAGCCTGGGCAACATGGTGAAACCCCAGCTCTACAAAAAAAAAAAAAAAGAAGAAGAAGAAGAAGAAGGAAAAAAAAAAGAAAAAAAGAAAAATTATCTATCTAGGCGTGGCAGCGCACACCTGAAGTCCCAGTGCCTCGAGAGGCTGGGGTGGAAGGATCACCTGAGCTCAAGGGAGGGTGAGGCTGCTGTGAGCTGTGTGAGAGTGAGATCCTGTCTCAAAAAAAAATAAAATAAAGTAAAAAAGATAAACTAAAATAGCATTTGAAGATAGACTCATTAACATCAGCATAAGCATTCTGAAGCTAAGTTTAAAATATAAACTAGTAAATGATGAGACTGGGAAAGATGCTTGGAAGAAAAGCAAGGAGTCCAACCTTGGACACAAGTGCACTTTACTTCGTGCCACTGAAAGTGTAGGCCGAATCCTTTTTTTGTTTGGTTTGCTTGAATCACATTTTAAATGCACAAGAGAGGTCACCCTTTGAAAATTAATTCTGTGCAAATCTTTTTGGAATGATTATTTTTTAAAAGAAATAAGCTCCACCCTTTTATAAATGGGATTGTAGTTAAAGATTTTCTGTATCTGCTTCACTCAAAACAAGCAGCATCTGTACTCAAGTGCATGCCTGCAGGTGAGTGTTGTTGGTTAAGCTCAGGTGAACAGTGAAGGTCCCTGAATATGTGACAGGGCCTAACACAGGTGTTGGTGTTTGACCTACAATGTACCAGAAAAGCCGTAAAGGCAAACCCCCCAATAGATCCTTCACATTACCTGTCTCCTAGCAGCATGTCAAAAATCAGTGCAAACGTAACAGAAGAATGCCAAAGTCAAGAATACAACTGAGAACATCTTGAAGCTACGAATTAGTACTTGCCACCATCCAGCTGTTGGTTGCCTATAGATTATCAAGAATTTTACTTGTATCATTATCTCATTTAATACTCACAATAATCCTGGAAAAATTATTATCCCCATCTTATAAATGAGGAAACTGAGGCTCAAAAGTTTAAAAGACTTGCCTGAAGCTACATAGCTCATAAGTAAAAGAGTAGGAATTTGGACCCAAGTCTGACTGGCACTCAAGCCAAGCACTCTTGAAATTTTCTTTAATCTTCTTTCTAGTGTCTCCTAGTGTCTCCCAAATTGCTTGGATTACAGGCGTGAGCCACTGTGCCTGGCTGGTTTCTGTCTTTTTTCTAATGCATGTTTTTTCCATGGCTGTGACCATATTGTGGAAAATGCTGTATTCCATTTTTTTTTCATTTAACATCATAACAATATTCAAATGCCGTTAAAAACTTTCATCAACATCATAATTTAATTAACAATTCCTTACTGTTAGATATTTATATTTTTCTTTATTCATTACAAATAATGCTTCAACAAACATCCATAAGCATAAGCTTTTCTCAATGTTTTGAGTTATTTCTTTAGGCTAGAGCCCCAGAATCAGTACCACTGGGTCAAAGAGCATGAATGTTTTATCATTTGCTTATTTTTTTTAGAGTGAAAAAAGTACGGCCTTATTACTTGTAAGTCATTATATATGGATTTTTAAATTATTATTTGTACATAAGAACAATTTTAATGATATTTGCACTATCAAATTATCTTTAATTGGCCAACCAATTTTTATGACACACTGACATGTTTGGATTATATCAGTCCATAAGGTAAAGATTCCAAAATGGCAATGACCAAGGTCTACCATAGGCACCTTGGTTAGAAAGTATCACTCTGCATAGTACTGACTTGTAGATGAATAGCTGGATATTGGAAGGAAGATTTGATTCATGAAGGTTAATGGGCTGGGGAAAGCAATGGGTCCAATTAGCAAATGGATTGTTCTTGGACCTTCTGCTAGTCTCAAAAGGATAAGCTTATGGTTCCCATGGCCCATGGCAGAAAACACAGAACAAATAACCAGGTTAAACACTGAAGTTCAAAAGTTGGCCAGTAATGGTTGTCAAGGGCTGTGTCCAGGAAATCCCGCCAGACAGGCACTGTTTGCAAATGGCTGGGAAATATGGTCTGTTGCCATCAAAAACAGATGAAAAGCAGGATTTGGTTAAAAGAGTAAGTCTTTGCGCAAGCAAAACCTTTCCAAAATAAAGAAACAGTGTATAGCTGTTGCCAACTGACCTTGACTGAAAAGAGGGGCCAGTCCTGTACCAATGCTCATTATAACCAGTCTCAAACTACTTAAATGGTGTTGAGTGGAAATAAGACTTAATCAAGTGAAGAACCTGCCAGCTTTGACAGTGGTAATATCCCAAACTAAAATCCTCAAGAGTATCATTAAATCAAAAATTTTTTAAACTTAAAAGTAAAATACACCAAGGCAATAATATCTACTTTAGTATTAAGAGAAACTACAATAATATGAAGGAGGATCCATTAAGTTACATGTTCAAAAACATCAAAATTCCAAGAGTTTGAGACATCTTTAAATAGCGACAAGGTATATAATGGGCCCTTCATCTTCACCTGTTTCACATCCTGGGATTCAACCAACATTGGCCTGAAAATATTCAAAATAAATAATGATAGTACAACAATTTGTAAAAATGAATACAAATAAAAAACAATACAATGATACAGTATAACAACTATTTACATTGCATTTACATTTTATCAGGTATTATAAGTAAATCTAGAGATGATTTAAAGTATAAGAGAGGATGTGTATAGGCTTTATGCAAATATGATGACATTGTCTATAAAGGACTTGAGCGTCGTCAAATTTTTGTATCTTCCAGGGTCCTGGAACCAATCCTTTCCGGACACCAAGGGACAACTGTATATCACACAGTGTAATCAAATGGGGCAAGGGCCTATTAATAATAATCTCTTCAAGTAATGCCATTATTAAGAATCAGTAGCAGTAGCTTTAATTAAGATTCTACCTGTAACACAGTCCCCGATGGGAATATAATTGAGTTAATATATGTAAAGTGCCTGGTACATAGCAAACACTATGAAGTATTAGTTAAGCTAATAAAGTCACAGGGCCAAAAGGGAAAAGAGGAGCCTGACAGCTTCCTCACCCTGATTCTTCTCTGTCCCTCCAAGCACCTCAAGCTGGGACCTCAGTCCTCTGTCCTTGACACTCACTCCACTCACCTGAAGGGGAAGAATAAAATAAAATTGATAATAAGCATTAGTTGTACCTCATGGGCCTGGCACCTTCCTTTATACATTAGTGGAAATAAAGCACCTTCCTCAAGGCAATAGCCACCCTGGGGTACCCATTTGATACATTAAATGAAATCCAAATAAAGTCTTTCCATGAGTCATAAAATTTCCTATTTAAAATTCACATTATCAACTGCTTGACCAATAGAATATGGTAAATATGATGTACCAGTTTCCGGCACCAACTCATGGCTCCTACTTTCTGTTTCATGGAATGCTCACTCTTGGAACCCAGCCACCATGCCATAAGGAAGCTCATGCATTTTGTAGAGAGACCCACTTGGAAAGAAAATGTTGCCTGGCTGACAGTCAACACCAACTTGCTAGTCATGTGGGTGAGCCCCCTTGAAAATTAATCCCTTGTCCCCCAGTCAAGCCACTCCAAATGACACTGCATGAAACAGAGAGAAGCTGTCCCTGTCAAGCAAGCTCTGTTTAAATTTGTGACCAAAATTAATGACTATTTTAACCACCCTCCCAAGTACATTATCTTAGCAAAACATAGACCTATGCTCAGGCTCTAATTATTCAACATTTCCAAATTCAAAAATGTATCAATTTCAAGAGGTAGATGCATATTTTATAATTTTTTATAGTTTTTCTTTCTTTTTGAGACAGAGTCTCACTCTGTTGCCCAGGCTGGAGTGCAATGGAGCCATCTCAGCTCACTGCAACCTCTGCCTCCCAGGTTCAAGCAATACTAGTGCTTCAGCCTCCTGAGTATCTGGGACCACAGGTGACACAGGTGAGCCCCCATACCTGGCTAATTATTGTATTTTTAGTAAAGAGGGGGCTTCACTGTGTTGGCCAGGCTGGTCTGGAACTCCTAACCTCAAGTGATCCACCTGCCTCAGCCTCCCAAAATGCTGGGATTATAGGCATGAGGCACCACACCCAGCCAAGTGGATGCATATTTCAAACAAAGCACCCAAAAATGCCCAGGCATGACCATTTCTCCTTTTCTTGAAACTACAAGGTCAATCCCCTTGGGAACTTCCTAATACTTCTCTAAAAACCAACCTAAAAAACCCAAAACTAATACATCCTCCAATTCTTCAACATGTAAAGTCCTTGTAAACAAAGCTACAATGACCCAGAATATGAAAAAAATTATTTTTTTTTTTTACTTTTTAAAATATTATATAATTCTATTCTTTGGCTACCTTTTAAGGATCCTCCGGTCTACTTGAGAAATAAAACGTGCAGGTTTAAAACACCCAACCGACAATGCTAAAGGCAGTACAGCAAGTAAGCAAGCCATGTAATCATATGGTACAGAGGGAGTGGCTGCCTCAGAACGGAAGAAATTCAACTTGAGCAAAATGTGAGAGATGGGTACATTATGCTTGAAGTTACATTTACCCACAGAGATTTTGCCACACTAGTGGTTGTGGAAAGTCTTATTTCTATCAGATTTTAAACTCCTTTTGAGCCTGGACTACATCTAATTTTCACATTTACCATTAACAACCACAAACCAGGTCCTACTAGAAAAACTACCAATATGCATTTGCAGACACTCAAATAATGCTGGGGGAAAATGAGGAAACAATAAATTTTCCCCCACAGGAGAAAAATGTATCTACGTAGGGCTAAGAGGAAATGTTAAGAAAACCAAAGGCAAAGTTCAGGTAGAATTTTCCGTCTGCAGAGTCATGATATAAGAGGATATTTTAATATCCTTTATATTCTTGAATGAGCATTCACATGTATTTTTGCTAGCAACTATTTTGGAATGAGCTGATGATTTGGATTAAAGAATAAGCAAAGCTATGTGAACAAAGGCAACCCAAGATGGGAAGGCGTTATTGGCAGCAGCGTTCTTTTCACTCTGGACCCTGAGCAACCCTGAAATTCCAGCAGTCACAGGGTCCTAAATACTTGGGGACATTCCGACTCAGTCTCACAGACTGAAAGGTAGAGAGCACAGATCTCAACAGGAACTGAAACTCTAGTGTTGATCATTGCCCTGACACAACTTTAAAGTGGCCACCAAACCCCTCAAATAGCTATTTTCATCCTTGTTTACACTGGCCACACTGACACTCAATTGGTGAGAAAAGGCTTCCCCCCCAACTTTTTTTTGAGACGGAGTCTCACTCTGTTGCCCAGACTGGAGTGCAGTGGCACGATCTCGGCTCACTGCAACCTCTGCTGTCCAGTTTCAAGAGATTCTCCTGCCTCAGCCTCCCGAGTTGCTGGGATTACAGCATCACCACACCCAGCTAATTTTTGTATTTACAGTAGAGACGGGGTTTCACCATGTTGGCCAGGCTGGTCTCGAACTCCTGACCTCAAGTGATCCGCTTGCCTGGGCCTCCCAAAGTGCTGAGATGATAGGCATGAGCCACTGTGCCCGGCCAGAAAAGCCTAATTTTAAAGCCAAAGATAAATAAATAAATAAATAAATAAATAACCAGGCTTCTTTCTACTCTAGGTTTCAACTGTAGAAATCTATTTGCAAACTTCAAAAACTATTAACTTTGGGCAAGAATTTTTAAGATCTGATAAGAGGAGACTCTAAAGTTAATAATGTCTTGCTTTGAGGAACAAGGGTCTCCACCCACCCTGGGCTCATAAACTGCCCCCCTCACTACCACTCTCTGGCTTCCCACCAAGTCCTCAAGAAATGATTTACTAAGTTCAATCAAGGAACCAGATTCTATGAAATAATAAAAGGAAAATGGAGTTCATGACTGAAATCAAGCTGGGCAGAGACATAAAGGGTCTTTGTTAATAACTGTACAAGGGAATGCAAATGAAGACAGGCTTCACAAGGAATTTTGACATCTTAATGAAGATTTATGAAGAATTTGCAGCATATTAACCTCAAATACAAGGGGAATTACATAGTCACATAAAAACACTGCTTTATGATTTCTTTAGCTTAAAAACAATTCAAAAGACAGTTTCTTCATGATAATGCTAATAATTTAGTTACAAAGGTTCCCCACCCCCCCCTTGTACTCCACTCTAATTACATTCTCCATCCCCCATTACATTTCTTTCTTTGGTTAACTCTGAAGTGATACAGCTCATTGGCATGCCCTAAAGCTGTGAACTGCCCCACTGATGAAATCATGACAGTGATTAAATTTCTCTATTCCACACAGAAAGTTTTGTGTTACACAGTTTTCTTTGTTCATGTCCTTAGTAACGCAGAAAATCAACTGACATTTTCTCCTAATAATGAGGGGAATATAAGATAATGTCAATGAAAAAAAAATCCTCTACTGGTGCTACATAAGCGGCATACCAAAAAAAAAAAAAAAAAAAAGCATGTGAAGCTGTACAGATCTCAGTCAAGAACACATTGGCCACATCTAAGGTCAGTGATAGTATTTTGCCACGGTCATAGATTTTATGTTGTATTCATGATACATACAGATAATTAGAAAGACTGAGTTCATTAAATATATTCAAAACACAGAAACTTTTTAAACTCCATAAATAGTAGTAATACTATAAGTAGTAGTACATGAAAAATAGTTTCATATTACATAATATGCAAAGCATTTTTGCTTTTGATTCTCTTAATATTTATTTCATGCTCCAACCCTGTAAGATAAGTATTATCCCAACTTTATAGGCTAAGGACCTGAGACCTAGAAGTTAAATAACTGGCTTAAAATCACACTGCCAACACTGCCAGACAATGGCTGAGGCCTCATTCCCTGTGACAGGGCCACCCCCTCACAGCTCACTGCATGCACACCCCACCACATCCCGGGAAGGAGCTTGCACAGGACTTTAAGGGCACATGACTTGGCTTCCATCTCTACTCATCATCCAGAGATGCTCCTTAGCTAAAAGAGAAGTTAATCTCAGGAAATCAATGCTAGCAGGGCCAGGTTTTACTCTTAGGGTTCTATCTCAAATTTTAGCTACAATTTAGAAAATGCAGGAAGTGAAGGAAGGAGGTCAAAGAAAGAGCCCTGGGACTTCCAGGAGGGCCAGGTGCTCCTTGTGTCACAGTTGCTGCTACAAGGGCTGCCTTAATCCCTAGTCCCCTAGCCCAGCCCCATTCCTCCCAGCCCACATGCTGACCAGCTGCTCAGTGTTTCTCTGTAGGGTATGTGAGGGGCAGATGCAGGCCAGCCCAAGGCTGCTGGCCTTCCGTGTGCTGCCCTTCCTGCTGAAGCGGTACTGGCCCTTCTTCACACCCTCCCAGTCTGCTCAGATCAGACACACTGGCAGGCCAGAAGGCAGGTGGGAGGACAGGTGCCAGGAAAAACCAGGCATAGAGAAAGGCCCACACAGAAGCTGAAGCCATACGTTCTGCATTCTTACCCATGGAGCAAAGGAGGGAAATGTCAATGGAAGGCTTGAGGTGCTGAGGTTCATGGTCACCTTATCCCTTGGATTTCAGGGTAGTGAGATTCATGGATAGGCTTCCAAGCCTGTGCACTGAAGGAGGGAAGGGTCACTAATTGAGAAAACAAGTAATTTAGACAGAAGGAGCAGCACTAAAGGTCCAGAGGCCGGAGACAGCACAATACACAGGAGAAACTGTAAGATCATCAATATGGTTGGAGAGTGGAGACCTGGTCACAGGGCCTCTCATAAGCTAAGGCATTTGAACTTTATCCTAAATGCCAAACGAGGAGCTTCAAAGCACATGCATAATTAAGACATCTGTCTTTTTAGAAAATCACTTTGGCCACAGCATGAGAGTGGATCAGAGGAGAGTAAGACCAGCTACCAGGTAGGAGACCAGTTAGAAGACTATTGCAGGAGCACAAGCAAAGGATGACCTTTCTAGTGTAGTGACCTACACTAGAAAACATAGACAAGGGAGCAGGTTATGGAGGAAATGTATGAGGCGGGACTGAGAGAACTTGGAGGACTGGATGTGATAGGTGAGGAAGAAATAATGGGTGAGGCAGTAATTTGAGCAATGTGGTTACTGAGTTCCATAACAACGGAGAAGGAGCAAGTTCGAGAGTGAGATAATGAATTTGCTTTGGACATGTTGCCTTTGAGGTGACTGTGGCGCATGCAAGTAGACGTGTTTAATGGGCAAAAGAATAGGGTATCCAGCACTCAAAAGAAAGATTTGTGCTAGAGATTTAGACTAGGGACTTATCACCATACAGTTGCTGAAACATTTTCTCTAGTTACTAAAATGTGGTCCCGAGTTACAGACTCCCTCAAGCCCCAGCCACCCCATGAAGCTGCTTTCTTACCACTAGTTAACATTCTGAAGTCCTCTCCTGAATCTAATATCCTGTCCAATACCACTGAGATACTGGAGAAACAAGAGAACACAGCTATAAAGACAAACAGGTACTGTCACAGGTGGCATACTGCTATGGTGTGAATGTCTGTGTCCCCACCAAATTCATATGTTGAAATATAACCTCCCAACATGGGGCCTTTGGAAGGTAGTTAGATCATGGGGGCAGAGCCCACATGGAATGGGATTAAGGCCCTCATGAAAGAGGCCAGAGAGAGCTTGTTTATCCCTTCTACCATATGATGACTCGGGTAGAAGGCATGATCTATGAGGAATAGGCCCTCATAAGACACCACATCTGCTGGTGTCTTGATCTTGTACTTCCTAGCTACCAGAACTGTGAGAAATAAATGTTTGTTGTTTCCTGAGCCACCTAGTTTATGGTATTTTTGTTATAGTAGCCTGGACAGACTGAGAAACATACTAATTATTTCATGCATATGTATTTTCCTGTCCCATTCCGCTTTAAGCGTTTCAGGTCAAAAATGTGTCTGCTATATGCCCTGGGTTTCTCTAAGGCAGTCTTGGTTTCAAACATTCTGGCCCTATGCATTCTTTTATCATTAAAATTTCTAAGAAATCCCAGCATTTCCTCAAATAGTAACTGACCAAATCTAGTCAGTAAACATTATAATATATAGGTCATGAAACACTGAGGTCTACAAAAGATACACAAAACTATGGGGTGAGGAAACATCAGTATTTCTCACTAAATTACACGAATAATAGCTTATATTGATATAGCTTCTTTTGTGAGGGGTGGGTAAAATACCACTTATAGGCTCATTCAAACCAAGTGCTGAGAATAGAGTGATGGGCAATACACACTCCGCCTTCATCCAGCTTCTTGTCAGATAATGACATAAACAATTACAGTTGCTCAGAAGAAGTAAGGATGCTAACAGGGGAAACTTCAGTCCACATAAAACTCAGGGAAAGCTTCCATAAAGAGAAGACCTTTCAAGTTGAGACTTACCAGGAATTAACTAGATGATAAAGGCAGAGAAGGAAGAGATTCCAAAGGGCGGCAAATGTGTGTGTGAAAGACCTGAAGTCAGATTTAACTTTATTCAAAAAGAACTGCGAGGCATCCACTCTGACTAGAAGCAGAGCAAAGCCGGGGTGGCCTGGAGGGGAGTGATACACAGTGAATGCTTTCGCTATTGTTGGACTATTGGTTACGGTTATAATACTACTATTACAATGGTATTTTTTTATTTGTAAAGCCCAAAAATGCCACCCTCATAAAAGCAGACAAAACTCATGATATCAAGGCAAAGCCATGACGCAGTTTTAACAGATATTACTATTTTCAGTTGCTTTTACTTTTTGAAATATTCATCTTTTTTAGTATTCATTGAATAAATGCATGTGAAATCTTTTTTTATGAGGAGAAATGTGTAACATAAATATAAATCCACTAATGCTGCTTAGAAGACTGATAACACGGGTTAACTTCAGTGACCTTTGAGAATTTGACATAGTTCTTTTCTTTTTTTGAGACAGAGTTTCACTCTGTTGCCCAGGTTGGAGTGCAGTAGCGTGATATTGGCTCACTGCAACCTCCACCTCCTGGATTCACGCCATTCTCCTGCCTCAGCCTCCTGAGTAGCTGGGACTACAGGCACACGCCGCAATGCCCGGGTAAATTTTTGTATTTTTAGTAGAGACAGGGTTTCACCATGTTAGCCAGGATGGTCTCGATCTCCTCACCTCGTGATCCGCCCGCCTCGGCCTCCCAAAGTGCTGGGATTACAGGTGTGAGCCACTGCACCCAGCCTTGACGTAGTGATTTTCTAAAGAACTTACTGAATTGATCTTCCCTAAAGTTTTAAATTGATTGAAGTACTTTCCAAATTAACTAATATAACTAAAACGATAGAATTCATTCTTTGTCAGTGAGGAATCAGAGTTCTCTTCAATGATTAACAACTTTAGGCGACTGCAAAAGTCAACAAAGACCTGTGTGACTGTAAAATTTCCTCTGGTAATTCAAAAACATTACTCAGAGATTTCCCAAGAGATAACTGAAACAAAAAAAGAAAAATAAGTAATGAATAAGTACACCTCCTCTGAAAAGTACGAATAAAACCATCTACCTAGCATCTTCAACAGGAGATTCCATTAGAATGCAAGTTTCGTGAGGGCAAATAGTTTAGTCTTCAAGGCCTAAGCCAGTGCCTTGAAGTACATGGTAGGTACTCAAGAACTATTTGTTACATGAATGAATAAATAAATGAATAACTAAAGTAACTGCAAAAATCAATATCTGATATTGTTGAATTCTGAGTATAATTATTCATATACATTTATTATTTTTAATAAAAATAGTGTAAATGCCTAATTGCCCATTATATTGTTTTTATAACTTCAAGAAAGACTGCACAAAATAGAAAAAAAATTTATTTAGAATACTAATATGTACATTTTTGTATTGTAACTACCCTACCATCTGTTTCACACACATGCACACACACAAATGTGCACACACACACAACCACCATCACCAGAGCCTGCACAGTTAGCACATATTAGTTTCTCAACAAATATCTAAATTTTTTTTTTTTTTTGAGATGGAGTCTTGCTCTGTCACCCAGGATGGAGTGCAGTGGCATGATCTTGGCTCACTGCAACCTCCATCTCCTGGGTTCAAGCCATTTTCCTGCCTCAGCCTCCCAAGTAGCTAGGACTACAGGCATGTGCCACCACGCCTGGCTAATTTTTTTGTATTTTTAGTAGAGATGGGGGTTTCACCATACTGGCCAGGCTGGTTTCGAACTCCTGACCTCAAGTGGTCCGCCTGCCTTGGCCTCCCAAAGTGCTAGGATTACAGGTGTGAGTCACCACGCCAGGCCTAAATAATTTTTTAAAAGGTAAATTGCAATAATTATCAGAAGAAGAACCAAAACACAAGTGATAAAGGGTCTAAAACGTTAAGATCAGTCAAGTGGCTCACGCGCTATAATCTCAGCACTTTGGGAGGCCAAAGCAGGAGGACTGCTTGAGCCCAGGAGTTTGAGACCAGCCTGGGCAACATGGCAAAACCCTGTCTTTACAAAAGAAAAAAAATAGAAATAATACAAAAATTAGTGAGCTGTGGTGGCATGTGCCTGTAGTCCCAGCCACTCAGGAGGCTGAGGTGGGAAGATTGCTGGAGCCTTGGAGGTAGAGGTAGCAGTGAGCCCTGATCACACCATTGCCCTCCTGCCTGGGTAGCAAAGTGAGACCTTGTCTCAAAAAAAACCTAATTAATTAATTAAAATAAAATGTTAAGCTCTACACGAAGCCCTAGAAGTCATCTAGTCCAACTTCATCATGTACCAGATGGGCAGCCAAGGTCCAAAGTGCCATTCAGCTTTACACTAACAGGGCAGGGACAAGAACACTGGACTCCTCAAAGCCATCCAACTCCACCAGGAAATTTTCTTCACAAGTTTGGGTTAGCTAATCATAATCGGATTACCTACTAAAAGGTACAGAATGTGTAATGTGTTATCCACTACACCTCCCCACCTAAGAAATTATTGCGCTAGTTCACCAGGATAGGGTCAGCAAACTATGCCCTGCACCCAAATCCTACCCACTACCTGTTTTTGTACAACAGGGAATCTAAGAATGGTTTTTACATTTTTAAATAATTGTAACAAATTAAAATAATACTATTTTGTGACATATGAAAATTCAAATTTTTGTGTCCATAAATACAGTTGTATTGGAACACAGCTACTCTCATTTGTTTCTAAAACTGTCTATGGCTGCTCTCATACCACAACAGCAGAGCTGAAAATTTACAACAGGGACTTTATGGCCCATGAAGTCTAAACTATTTACCTCTAGCCCTTTACAGAAAATGTTTCTCGACCTTTGCACTAGGAGATAGCTAATGTGGCTTTAGTAAGTTTCACCTTCAAAAGAGCCAGGGTTGTCCCCACCAACTTGCAGTCACTCACATGCTATTTCCTCTTCTTTGATTACTGAAACTCCACAGCAAACTATTGTTTTTACCAGTCACCCAGAAAACGAAGATAAACGTTTCCACAGAGGAAATAATAACCTTCCTTTTCCAAGGTCCTCCTCTGCCTCACGTCCAGTGAAATTAAAAGCAATTCTTCATTCACAGGGGTTCTGTGTCATTTTCCCCAACAGAATTCAGAGGACAACATTAATTCACTTTTACAATGAAGGGCTCAGGCAGAAGAAAAGTAGCTAGTAGTGAGTTTATCCTAAGAAAAAAAGGAATGTTTAACATTTTCTGGAACGGAAAGCATTTTTGTTTTCCCTTGAGATGCTATTCTTTCTAACATCAAATGCAAACTGCCATTATATACTATACATCTTCTAAAAATTGAAAATCATAATATCCATACTTAAATTTTCAACTTTCCAGTTTTCCAATTACAAGCAAAGTACCAAATTCATACCTGCTCAGTGTTGCAAAATGATTTTAAAATGTAATGATGTTTTTGTTTGATTTTGTTTCATAGTATTTTCCTCTACCAATGTACAAAACACTCCCTTGTAACAAATAAACTAAGAAAATCGCATTCCCAGGGCCTTGGGAAATAACTTTAAGGGTGTCTCTGTTCACTTACATCATGAACCCAGCTCTTATGCTCCTAAAGTTACAAATGGCCACTCTTCGTTTTAATAGCAGATTTAAAGAAACCTAATGTTAGTTCAACACGGGTAAACAGTCTCTCACACAGTATAAATAAAGAATTCTTTGAGTTGTAAATAGTAGTTGCTCAAAGAAGTGGAAGGGTGGCTGAGGAAGACAGAGAAAAGATGCCTTCTCTCCTCTCTTTCTAGCAGGGCAGGCCAGGGAAAGGAGGCAGGACGCCAGAAGGCTGGAAGAGCTCAGCCATCCAGAAGGACAGCAGGGTTGCCAACTTCTGAAAGCAGCCACCATTCATTCACTGTTCACTCATTTGTCAAACATCAACTGAACACTCTCCTATTTATACAACATCCGGGGGACTCAAAAGAAGAAAACAGCCTGGACACTGCTGTTCATAAGAAGCCTTACTGTCCAGGCACAGTGGCTCACACCTGTAATCCCAACACTTTGGGAGGCCAAGGTGGGAGGATCGCTTGAAGTCAGGAGTTTGAGACCAGCTTGGGCAGTGAACCAAGACCCCATCTGTACAAAAAAAAAAAATTTTTTTTAAATTAGCTGGGCATGGTGGTTCATATGCCTGTGATCCCAGCTACTCAGGAGGCTGAGGTGGGAAGATAGATTGACCCCAGGAATTCAAGGCTGCAGTAAGCTATGATTGCACCACTGCTCCAGCCTGGGTGACAGCAAGACCTCATCTTTAAAAATAAGAATAATAGTAAAAGTTTTTAAAAACTTTTTTTTTAAAAAGAAGGCCACTAACATGCAGGTTAAGGCAAAATGTACGCAGAACCAAGAAAGCTGCGTAGCAAGACAATGACCCATGCCAGGGGTCAGCTAACTACAGCCTGCAGGCCAAGTCTAGCTGGCAGCTTGTTTCTGTGAATAAAGTTTTATTGGAATATGGCCACACTCACTTATCTATGTATTGTCTACAGATGCTTTCACATTACAATGGCACAGTTGAGTGGAAGCAACAGAGACCATGTGTCTGGCAAAGCCAAAAAACAATCTGGACTCTTTCAGAAAGTTTGCCTATCCCTGACATAGGCCAGAGAGGGATCAATCCAACTGGAGTAATCAGAGAAGACTATATGAAAGAACTGACATTTGATCTAAGTTTTGATTACTCAACGTTTCAAAAGGCAGAAATGGGAAAATCATATTGTGAGGGGCAGAATGGCCAAGGCGAGATGAGTCTGAGCAATGAAAGGACTGAATTTGAATGGGGTACAGGATATGAGGTGGGGAGTTGTGGCAAAGTGGCTAATGATACCTACCCAGACTACATGGTTTAACAGTTAATAACATAGCTCCAGAGTGTTTGCTAGCTTACTGGAAATGTCATTCCCCTTTTCTCTAGCTTCCTTCACATTTATGGCTAATTCCATAGCTCACAAATATGTTTGTTCACTGATTGATTACTGTGATCAATCAAAAGTTTGCATGTCAGTTTAATTTCAAAAACACTTCTATTTACATTATTGCCTAGACTTACATTTAATCCTCAATCACATCAGACATTACTATTCCTACTTGACAAATGATAAAAACTGGGCAACTCACCTCATGTCCCATATGGCGTCAGGGGCAAGAGACTGGCTTAGAACCCTGGATTCTCCAACCCATCTCATGACCCACCTTAGGAAGACACTCATATTGGAAAGGTTACCACCTGGACTGTATTCTAGACCAGAAATTCTGATAATCAAACACCAAATAATCAAACAGGAATGCTTTTTTGGGGCATATCCTTGCTATACCTGAACTGTGGCCTGATAGTAGCTCAAAATCCACATCAAAGACCAAGTTCGAGGTACATTCATTTTATACTTAATGAAATCTGGTCAATTCACATAATTTTGTTACAATGGGCATTGGGTAAACGTTCTCACAGATTAACTTAATCCATTATAGGAGGGGAAAAGAAAAAAAAAAAAACTCCACCTACCAGTATATACTTTGGCAGTTGGATCATCATTATTTTGCACTGGAAACCTAGAACCCTTAAGAGAAAGGTATCATTTGTAATTAATTTTCCTGTCCTTTGTACTTGTAAGTAAACAGGTGGTGTTCGGATGAGTCCCTTAAAAGCCCCTGTTGCCTGCCAATTAAGTAATAATATTTTCTTTTCAGGGAAGTGCCATAAAAGAGACTCTAACATCTTGGGTCACTGAGTACTTCCTATGCAGGAGGATATGAGGCTGCAACACTGAATTTTTCCACCAGCAGGATATTCAATGTGATGAGTAAATTAGCAATTAGCATGGAAAATAGGAGTTATTCTCAGCATTTGTCATATGAGAGATCAGAATTCCTGCACTCGTCACGTCTGTATAAATGGTTTCTTTAACCATGAACATCGTCTCCTCTTAACTCCCTCCCCATGTCACTCCACTCACAATCCACCTACACTGATACCTCAAAACATCTCTTCCTACACAATTTTTAATGTTTTATTCCTTTACCTGCTTGCTTTACACAAGCCTGTCTAGAGTCCTCTACAACTAAATTATTTCCATCATCGTTAACTTTAGAACACGGTTCCAATGCCAGTCTGAAAACCATTCTGAAATATCCAACAGCTCTTCTTCCAAAGTGCAGGTGGGTAGGCTGGCAGCAGAGCAGAGATGGCTTTTTATACTTTCAGGATCATAAGGGGAGAGACTACACTCTGCTAGTGTTTTGTCTTCCAGCATCCACCATCTCCTAGCCTTTCCCAACACCCACCTCTTAAAACCTGGGCAGTCTCAGAAGGCAAGACCAGGAAATGTAAAGGCACAGGACCAGACAGAATCATATATGAAAGCCTAACACAGCTTAGGGGACTGGCCTAGGAACTATGGCCAATTATCCTCTCTCTTGGCCTAATGAGATTATGTCATGAAGATGAGTACCACTCCCTACCATCAGTAATGAGAATGCAGAGGCAAGACCCAGGGACCAAGGAAAGGGTTAAAGACAAGCAGCAAGATGAAGGGTAAAAGCTTGCTGGTTCAGAAACATTATCTATCTGCCCCTGACATACTCATCTCAATACAGCCAATCTCCACTCCCGGCATCTCTTCTTTGATTTACTAACTTATATTCTTTTGTTACTTTTTTATTTTTATTTTTGGCAGGGTCTCACTCTGTTGCCCAGGGTGGAGTGCACTGGCACAATCTTGGCTCACTGCAGCCTCGACCCTCCCTGAGTTCAAGTGATCCTCCCACCTCAGCCTCCCAAATAGTTGAAACTACAGGCACATACCACCATACCCAGCTAATTTTTTAATTTTTTGTAGAAATGAGGTCTCACTGTTGCCCAGGCTGGTCTCGAAATCTTGGACTCAAGCGACCTGCCTGCCTCCACCTTTCAAAGTGCTGGTATTAGTGGTGTGAGCCACTACACCCAGCTGGGCTTTTGTTATTTTTCAACAATCAAATAATCCATGTTCATGGTGAAAGAAAATCCACACTCACGGTGAAAAAAAAAATTGTAAAATGCAGATAAACAAAAATGAGAGAGAGAGAAAGATGAATGGAAAAAAGAAAGAAGAGAAAATACATAACTTCCCTATCCATTACTAACACTTCAGTACTGGCTTCCAAATGTGTTCTTGCTTAAATGTCTTTTGAGGGGTCTTGCTTGAACTGCTTTCAAACATCAGATTTTACTTATATTTCATCTGGGAAAATCAGTTCCTCTGAGAGCTATTACTGACACACAGTCATGTGCAGCATGACTTTTGGGTCAACAACAGATGGTACATTCAACAGTGGGCCCATAAGATCATGATGGAGCTAAATAACTCCTACTGCCTGGCAACATCGTAGCTGTGGAAATGTCGTGGCACAACACATTACCTTTCTCTATGTTTAGATACACAAATACTTACCATTGTATTTGTACCACTGTACCATTGAATACCTACAGTATTCAGTACAGTAACATACTGTACAGTTTTTGTAGCTTAGGAGCAATAGGCTATGCATATAGCCTATATGTGTAGTAGACTATACTTTCTATGATGTTCACAAAATGATGAAAACATCTAATGATGCCCTTCTCAGAACATACCCACATCAAGCAGTACTGACTGTACTTTTCAAAGGCAATAGCACTGATGAATAAGAATTTCTTTTCATGTAGTGTAATATAAATGTTTGATTCTACATCTTCCTCCAAAATCATTAAGGCTCTTTTGACCTAAGAAGTCTCTTACAAACAATATGAACATCTTTCAAAAGGAGACATCAGAACGATAGCTTAGGGTGAGCATGGTGGCTCACGCCTGTAATCCCAGTACTTTGGGAAGCCGAGGTGAGTGGATCACTTGAGGTCAGGAGTTCGAGACCAGCCTGGCCAACATGGTGAAACCCTGTCTCTACTAATAATACAAAAATTAGCCGGGTATGGTGGCATGCACCTGTAGTCCCAGCTACTCGGGAGGCTGAGGCAGGAGAATCACTTGAACCAGGGAGGTGGAGTTTACAGTGAGCTGAGATGGCGCCATTGTACTCCAGCCTGGGAGACAAGAGCAAAACTCTGTCTCAAAAAAAAAAAGATAGCTTAGGTGATGGTTACAGGGGGGTACATTATACTAGTCTACTAGTATTGAGGTATGTTTTAAATCTTCCATTAGAAAAAAGTGTTTTGCATATGCACCTAAGTGCTAATCTATGTGCAGACCAGCATGTGGCATGCTCCTTAAATGAAATAAACAATACTGAACTTTCAAAATGCCACTCTTAAAGATTTGCAGACATGTCCTAATTTGGTTGCAGAAATACCTATAATTCAGCTCTGAAAATTGCATTCAAAACACTGGTTTCAACCATTTTTTTATAAGGATTTCTTCTTTGGTCACTGATTTATCAGACTCTTAAAAACTCTCTATACACAAAATTATATGCTCTCCAGAATTTGCTTTAAAATAATTTAGGTAGCAGTTAACCATTACAAATTTAAAACATTTCTAAAAGAGGAAGGGGATCAATGAATAAGAATGGCAGAATGTGGACGATTGCTGAAGTGGAGGGATGGTAGGTACGTGGGAAATTATCATACTGTTCTCTTATGGATATTTGAATATTTCCATAATACAAAGTTTTAAAAAAATCATTGTGAATATATATTGCTCCAATTACGAATCAGTATTTCGTACCCAGTGCACAAATAATTAAGCTCTATTGGAATGGCTACTTACTACGTGCCCAGCACTATTTCTAGCACTTGATACTCATCAATTCCTTGAGACATGCCTGTTCAGTTGGTATTATTGGTCTCATTTGATATCTGAGGAAACAGATCGAAAGAAACAACCCACTTGGCCAAGGACTCAAGGCAAGTGAGATGGAGGAGGGGTAGCGGCCACACCACAGAGGTGTCTGCTACATATATTGTTTGGTCCCTTTATAAATATTATTGTACGTGAGCATGTCTGTTTCATTGTCACTTGCAGTATTTTAGTGCATCCTGTTTTTCTAGAAAAATGAATCAGCCTCTCTCTGTTTATCCAAGATAACAAAACAAAAAAATGGCCTGAGAACAATATTGGTCTGATGGAGGCCATCCTGACTGAAAGAGGAAACGTCCCTGAGTCAATATCCTCAGTGAGAGACATCCCTTCATAAAACAAACCAGGAATATTCCAACAAGGTTCAAATAAGCATAAACATCCACAGAGTTCAGTGGAAGCTACACTGCACTCAGCCACCGGCATTTTTTACTGCCTGTGGGCTTTTCCTGTCTCATCGCAGACTCAATTCTCAAATTCTGTTCCCTCAAATGTCTCAGGCTTTAAAGCTTCCATAAGATCTCATTTTTCCCCTTAATTGAGAATGTCCGCTTCCCACCCTTTCTTTCTGCCTATGAAAATTTGACCCTATCTTTAAAAATTCAGTTCAGGGAACACCCTTCTCTGTAATCCCATGTAATGAAATCCCCTGGCTAGAACTACGTATTTCTTCCTCTGTACTTTCCTAATAAAATGGCTGTCCTCTCTCTCTCTCTCTTTTTTTTTTTTTCCGAGGTGGAGTTTCACTCTTGTTGCCCAGGCTGGAGTGCAATGGCATGATCTCGGCTCACCGCAACCTCTGCCTCCCAGGTTCAAGCAATTCTCCTGCCTCAGCCTCCTGAGTAGCTGGGATTACAGGGACGTGCCACCACACCTGGCTAATTTTGTATTTTTAGTAGAGACAAGGTTTCTCCATGTTGGTCAGGCTGGTCTCCAACTCCCAACCTCAGGTGATCTGCCCGCCTCAGCCTCCCAAAGTGCTGGGATTACAGGCATGAGCCATTGCACCTGGCCTGCTGTCCTCTCTTTTAATAAATTTCTTTCATTCTGCCAGGTATTATGAGAAGTCATTTTCAGATTTCTTTCTAAAACTGAACCTAAGTTATTTAGGACAAAGGCCATGTACTTATTCATTACTACATCCCGCAGTCCCAGCACAAACTAGAAGCTTAAAGTGGAAGAAAAAGTAAGAAGGAGGGAGGGAGGGAGTAAATGTTGCTTTATGTGCATAGGCCAGAGAGTCTAATAAGGGGGTTAGTTTCTAAAGTCACCAAGAAAATGCGAAACTAATGTAGAAAAAAAATGTCCCTGAAAATCTCCTAACTGCATATTAAGTTTATGTGCCATTTTTAGACATGCTATCTCTTAATTAAAACCAGCACACCCAGTTTTACCTCCCGCTTTGGAACAGATAGCTGAGAAGATAGCTGGTTTCCATTTAGGAGCCACCTTGTGCCATGACAAGGTGGTCACAATTTGAGGGTCTCCTGGGGACCATGATGAGCAGAAGGAAAAACGAACTTTCATCTCATCTCACTCTCACTCCAGGGCAATTGGATTGGAGCAGTGTGCAATCCGTCTTCTCTTTCCTTCTGTCCCCATCTCTCTCCAGGCTTATGTAGTAGCATGTGGATAAGTCAATGCACACACAGTGTGTGTGCTTTGCTGTGCTTCTTCAAGTTCAAAACCACTAGAGGCTTATGGCTTTCCACGGATTAGCCACTTTTCATTATTTCTAACTGGCCTCATTCTAACAAAGGATTTGGAACCTTTTAAAATTCCATAAATCAGGCCAGGCGCAGTGGCTCATGCCTATAATCCCAGCACTTTGGGATGCCAAGGCAGGGGGATTACCTGAGGTCACAAGTTCGAGACCAGTCTGGCCAACATGGTGAAATCCTGTCTTCACTAAAAATATGAAAATTAGCTGGGCATGGTGGTACATGCCTGTAGTCCCAGCTACTTGGGAGGCTGAGGCAGGAGAATCACTTGAACCCGGGAGGTGGAGGTTAACAGTGAGCAGGGATTGCATCACTGCACCCCAGCCTGGGAAACAGAGCAAAACTCTGTCTCAAAATAAAGTAAAATAAAATAAAGTTCCATAAATCATACCAATATTCAGAGTCCAATATTATTCATGGACTCTGAAAAATCCCTCCTATGGATACAAAAATAAAATGCAGAATATTCCACCATTGGCTAAAAGAAAACAACGTTATTATAGTACATGCACATAGAAAAATCTGGAAGGATGTATACCAAAGCAAACAGTAGATATACAAATGATAGACTATGGGAGATTTTTCCCCCTTAATTAACAAAGAACTATAATTACTTTTGAAATAACTTTTAAGGGTTACTTTTTAAAGGCTACTGTCAATTTCTTAGGGATGGACTGAAACAAGAGATTCCAAAGATAAAGCCTGTGCTCTTTGCAGGCATGTCCTCTCAGAAGAGCGTCTGAGAATAAGACATTCGAAGGACTGAAGAACAGTACGAAGGACTCCTTGAGCCAACAAGCTGCCTGCCCAGGCTGGCTACAAGCCTGGGTCTACAATGTCTTGCAGCCAACAGATACATCCGGGCATGCTGGTGGGGTCAGCAGACACTGAGGCGCTGGTACCAAGCTTGAGGTAAGGAGAACAACATCTCTCGAGCATCCATCTGTGCTGGTCTTGGTGCCAGCGATACAACATGTATTTATCTCTAATCCTGACAACACCACCCAAGGCAGGCAAGAGGCTAGAGAGCTTACCCAATGTCACACAGCCAGCGTTTGAAGCTCAGTAAGCCAAGCTCCAGAAACTGTTTAACAATCTAATAGCTATGAAAAAGATGTGGTCCCCACATATCTAAAGCTTACAGACAAATGCAGAAAAAGAGAGAGAGAAAGATGTAATGTCAGATGTGAAAAAATATCATCGAAGAATAAGTACAGGGGTTTTGAGGAGTATATAGGAGAAAAACCTTAAAATAGGCAGAGTCGAGACTTGAACACAGCTCTATTTAGACATAAAGTCTCTGTGCCTTGCATTATACTAGGCTGCCTCTCCACGCTGTAGGAGCCTGGAAAGGTAAAGGAAGCTCCAACTGAGAGGGCAGTGACACGACAAGTACAATCCTGTCCCCTCTTCTCCTCCCCCCTCCCCACCACCTCCTGGGCTTCTGAAAGAATCAGTGCAAGAGCCAACATCTCCTTCAACCCATTGACGTCTGTGAGATACCCAGAGACGTTCAACCCAGAGATATCCAGGCTGCTTGCCAAACAAGGAAATCCAAGATAAACGTGCCATTCTGTCATGACCTTATCCTGCTGAGAGACAGACAGAAACAATGGCAGAGAGGAATAGCCTTGCATGTTTTCATGGCACCTTTCAGAAAGAGATGAAATTCACCATCAGTCACACCTCTTGGAGGTTGTACCATTTAGCTGATAAGAAACAGCCAGAGAGGCAGGGAGTATGGACACTCCTGAAGGCAATCCTATGAGGAGCCCCCTGAAACTTCTTGAAGAAGAAAAATAGCACTGTTCCCCTCCCCTTCCAACTCTTCACGCTGACAGGAGTTTCTACGAGGCAGTGTTTGTCAGTAGTATTATTAAAAAAGGAACCAGGCCAGATTAGTGACTCACACCTGTAATCACAACACTTTGAGACGCCAAGGTGAGAGGATTGCTTGAGGCCAGGAGTTCAAGACCAGCCTGGGCAACATAGTGAAATCCTATCTCTACCAAAAGAATTTAAAAATTAGCCAGGCATAGTGGCATGCTCCTGCAGTCCCAGCTACTCAGGAGGCTGAGGCGGGAGTATCACTTGAGCCTAGGAGTTCCAGGTTACAGTAAGCTATGATCACACCACTGTATTCCAGCCTGGGTGACAGAGTAAGATCCTGTCACCAAAAACAAACAAACAAACAGGTATATAGCACTGGTTGATGATTTCTTCAATCTCCACACTCTGTTTATTTTTATTAGAGCACAACAAAGGTAATTTTGTTCAAGCCTACTACTTTAGGTTTAGGCTTGAACTGACTGCCAAGGGACACAGTTTACCTTTCTTGCCCAAAAATGTGGTGGCCCCAGTAATATTGCCTTCTTGGGTTGCTGGTTAATCCTCGCACAGGCTGAAACTGGAGATCATATTATATCAATGGTCTCGTTCTCTCAGGATCTCACAGATCGATTTCTAAATTTTGTTTTCCAAATTGGTGGTCCATTAGAAGCACCCAGGATTCCATCATTACACCTTCCTTTAGTCACCCAATTTGGGACTTAGCTCCATTTAACATCTACACGCTTTGATGTATTTTGGTCCTGGGCTCCATCTTATAGCACTCTTATAGAAAAACGCTTTCTTAAATCCTAGAAACAGCTTTGTTGGGTAGGTGTTTTCGTATCATCTCAGTTTAGAGATGTTGCAAAACCCAAACATTCTGACTACAGAATCCATATTCTTAACCACTACACCAGATTGCCTCCTCCAAAGAGGGTTTCAGACAACTCAGTTTCTTTATTTTTTAGATAAAGAACCCATAAAGGGAAGCGTGGCACACAGAGCATAAACAGAGGTCATGGACACCCCAACCTCCATGATATGAGACCTGAGGATCTAACTGGATCTTTTTGGAACCTCTTTGGTCAGCCATTAAATTGAGGCAACCACAGAATTCATCTTCTAAGATGACAGTAGGTGTGACCACAGAGCTTAGCTGGATTGACAAGTCTTGATGAAGGAGAGAATTTGTGGGCAGTGCCTTCAAACTTAGTTCCAAGTGCCTTAAGGAAGATCCTCTGGGGAGCTGGATCTCATATGTTCTTCTGCACCCCTCCTCCACCGCTCCCCCCCACACACACACACTCATCTTCTTTGTAAAAGACTTCTTTAAAACAACATAGAGTATCTTATCTACTCCACATGACAGAGGATGTTTTTATAGCAGCCAACACAAATGCCTAGATCATTTTTATCTAGGTCCTATTTATCTATCTAGGTCCTCAAGTTCCAGCTCACATCCCATCTGTCTGGAAACTAACAGCATTTCCATTGCAAAAAGTTACAATTGCATCTGCCCCACATGGGGGAATAAACCACACCTCTAGGATGCAGAGCTAGGAGACCACACACATCAGCCTTTACACAAGAATCTCAAGCTTTTCAACTGTAGTGTCCTATGACTATTCTCTTTTCTCAGAATGACACAAGTGGAGAGAATGCAAACAAACTACCAGAAATCTGGAGCATCATAAAAGAATCCATGTCACCCTTGATAGGAACAATTCTGTATTGGAATTAATTTTGCTGAATGAACCACAGGTTCCTGAAAACAAATGTGCTGCCGTTCTTACTTTAGGGTCCTGAAAATGTCACAGAATAACATGCTTTTTCTACCTCAGCTTTTGCTTTGCTTAAACTGTTTTGAAGTATACTAAATATGGCATTTAAAAGGGCAAAAAATATGAACCCAACAGTTTTTAGGCCTCCCTTATAAAGAAACAGTCCTTGTTTTTAAACTTTTCAAGTTTCTTAAATTTGCTTCTTTGCTGTCTGCTTTTAAAAATTCCAGACAGTAATTCTAATCACAGAAGTCTTTGTGAAACTACATTTCTGTAATTTTTTTTTTAACTCAAGTAATGTTATTGGAAGGAAGCAGAAAACCACAGTGCCCAAACAGAAGTGACTAATGCTAGCAGCAAGTGCTGTAATAAATAAGGCCCCGAGAGCAAGAGACCGCTGCACCACAGTAGCTTGTTGTATATTCCCATGGTCAGGACTATTTGGAGACCAGCAACCAGATTTTCCAGAGCTCTTGATGTGTTAATCAAGGTAACCAGGTGCAACTCCTTTCACTAGCAATCTTTTGCTAAAGATGATAGAAAGAAAAAATACAGGAAGAGCAAAAATCTAAAGAGAGGAAGAAGTCCAAATAAAACATTCACTCAGAAGACAGAAATCATACTAATATGGTCTATGCCCAGTTATATTACAGATCAGTTTTTAAATAACTACATATGTTTTAATGTCTGATGTAATGCATTACAGGTGTTCTCAAAGTTGTACATGGACGATGGACCAGTGACCTAACATTAAACTTTGAATTTCTCTACTACTGTTTCAACATGTTGTTGGCACAATTTCCGAATTAGTTACGTGGTTTTTCTTTGCCACCATAAGGATGTCTGCTCTGGGACCCAAAGAGTCAAAATGCCTTAATCAATCATTGAACTTTCCTTATCTTTATTTCAACTCTCACTCACTCACCTTTATCTAAAAAATATTTTGGTAGAGATTATGAATCCATATCCCACACCCTCCTCCTGCACAACCTATCTGCTTCTGCTCACTGCATGCCCCCCAGTCTTATGACATGATTGGTAATAACTATTTTTTTATTATGATAAATTTGATCACCTCAAAATCAGCAAGAGGCTTGTTTTAACCCAGACTTATGAGTTGTTTCTCTGACAATGACATTTCAGGTATAACCTTAAAGCAAATTTGGGATGTTGTTATTATTCTCCCAGGTGCAATGATCTTTTCTATCAAGTTGTTGTTATTTGAAAGATACACTTTGTTTTCAAAAACCATGAAAATATGAATGACCAATTGTCAAAGTAATTTATTAGAGACATTAAATTTATACCAATAATATAATACAAATAACATATAACAATGATAATTATCTTTTTGTACTTACAACCAAACCATATTTTCCCAGAAAGAAAGAAAGGAAGGAAGGAAGGAAGGAAGGAAGGAAGGAAGGAAGGAAGGAAGGAAGGAAGAAAGAAAGAAAGAAAGAAAGAAAGAAAGAAAGAAAGAAAAAGAAAGCAAGCAAGTGAGCGTGCGTCCAGGCGCAGTGGCTCACGCCTGTAATCCCAACATTTTGAGAGGCTGAGCTGGGCAGATCTCTTGAGCTCAGGAGTTCAAGACCAGCCTGGACAACATGGCGAAAACCAAAACCAAACCAAACCAAAACCAAAACCAAACCAAAACTATCTCCACCAAAAATACAGAAAATCAGCCAGGCACAGTGGTGCATGCCTGTAGTCCCAGCTACTCGGGAGGCTGAGGGAGAAGGATCACTTGAGCCCGAGAGGCAGAGGCTGCAGTAAGCTCACATCACACCACTGCGCTCCAGTCTGGGTGACAGAGTGAGACCTTGTCTCAAAATAATAATAATAATGTGCTCGATTCAGTAACCCACTAAAGTGGGTCTGAGTTTATCATTATTCTTTCCTTACTATCCCCATCGAAATTTATGGCAATAATAGCCTTGGATTCAGTAATTCCATTGCTAAGAACAAATTCTAATGAAGCACTCAGGATGCATCTTAAAAATCTTTGAGAATGTTTATCAGCTGGGCACGGTGGCTTATGCCTGTAATCCCAGCACTTTGGGAGGCCGAGGTGGGTGGATCACTTGAGGTCAAGAGTTTGAGACCAGCCTGACCAACATGGTGAAACCCTGTCTCTACCAAAAAAATACAAAATTATTTGAGTGTTGTGGTGCACGCCTGTAATCCCAGCTACTCAGGAGGCTGAGGCAGGAGAATCACTTGAACCTGGGAAGTGGAGGTTGCAGTGAGCCGAGATTGTGCCACTGCACTCCAGCCTGGGCAACAAGAGCAAAACTACATCTCAAAAAAAAGAATGTTTATCATATGGCCATTTAAAGTGTGAAAATGGGAAAGAACCTAAATGCTCAGTAAGAGGGGCTAGATGAACAAAGTAGGGTACAGCTATAAAATGGAATTCTGGGCAGTCCCAAAGGCCATGCTATGATGCCATTAGCTGTGAAAGGCATCCCACATCATTTAAGTTTGCAATATATGTTGTCTTTCTTTCTGATGAATTAATCCATTTTTTGTCCATTGAATGACATCACTTCTACGAACTTGCATTCTGACATCCTTATTTGAATAGGAGAGAAATACTTTCTATGGGTAAATGTAAATCTGTATAAGTGGAAATTATGTAATTGCTTTCAGGGCTAATCATCCACTATGTGACCGTGTAGAGAAGATACAATCCTGATAAGCAAACTAGAGGGCTACTATTTATGGCAAATGGGAATTTATATACAATGCCAGAACCTCACAGTCCTTTCTGAAGGGCCATGCTTCATGGCTGCACTTAATTCTGCATCTCCTCGTTACCTTCATGTAGTTTTGGCAATGTTGTGCTCTCTTGCATATATGCTTAGCTCTCCAGCCAGGCTACAGGGTTAAGGCTAGGGTCCCTATCTCCCATGTGGCTTGCATCACTCTCTGTGGAGAAAGTATGTGGTTATCGTCTGCCCAGAATCACTTCCCTTCGTCCGGCCACATCCCTCCCCACCACTACCATGACCACTTCCATTGAGGAACTAAATCTTTCTCCATTCTAACTCTGTGATTCCTGAATGATGAACAATCCAGTACCCTTCTCTGCTGAGCTCACAGGAGGTCAAATGAACAGATACTGGCATACATTGAAGTGGGCGGGTGAGGGCGGGTAGAGGGAAGCCCTCTTGTCCCTTTAGAGGCTGCTCGTTTGGGATGTGGATGCCCAACCTTCCTGAGGCCATATTCCTGCCAATGGAGAAGGCAATATGGCCAAGAGGCAGAGAGATGAGAAGTCTAAATGATACTAATGAAGTCCCTGGATCTGGAGCCAACCTTGGCCTCACTTGGTTCATGCACCAGCTAGTGTGAGCTAGACCTCTGTCATCTTCAGCTGGAACAGTCCTGACTAGTCCACCCTCCATCACACAAGCCAGAGACAGGAATCTATATTCTGTGCTGCATTCATGGCCAAACAGCCCAGTCTCTGTTCTTCAAGCTGTCCAGGCTGGCTACCACCTTGGAGATGGGAGCCACACTTGGGACTATATAAGATCAAGTTTGCTGCATCCTTCTAAAATAACATTGCTTCTGCTAAGGGGAATGAACTGATACGTACTGTTTCTTAATAAACTTAGAAAAAGAAATCATAATCATTTTTAACCTTTTTTTTTAGATGGAGTTTGACTCTGTCACCCAGGCTGGAGTGCAGTGGCGTGACCTCGGCTCACCACAATCTCCACCTCCCAGGTTCAAGCAATTCTCCTGCCTCAGCCTCCCAAGTAGCTGGCATTACAGGCATGTGCCACCATGCCCAGCTAATTCATTTTATTTATTTTATTTTATTTATTTATTTTTTTATTTTTAGTAGAGGTGGGGTTTCACCATGTTGGCCAGGCTGGTCTCAAACTCCTGACCTCAAGTGATCCACACACCTCAGCCTCCCAAAGCGCTGGGATTATATGTGTGAGCCACCATGCCCGTACCATTCTTAATCTTTACAGAAAGTCCTTTTTCAGGAAAAGTTGGTTGTTAGTGAAATAGACAACTCTACCCTTTTTTTTTTTTTTTTTTTTGGTTTTTTTGGTTTTTTTTGTGACGGAGTCTCGCTCTGTTGCCCAGGCTGGAGTGCAGTGGTGCGATCTCAGCTCACTGCAAGCTCTGCCTCCCGGGTTCATGCCATTCTCCTGCCTCAGCCTCCCAAGTAGCTGGGACTATAGGCGCCCACCACGCCCGGCTAATTTTTTGTATTTTTAGTAGAGCTTGGGTTTCATCATGTTAGCCAGGATGGTCTCGATCTCCTGACCTCGTGATCCACCCGCCTAAGCCTCCCAAAATGCTGGGATTACAGGCTTGAGCCACTGCGCCCGGCCAACTCTACCCTTTTTCATCCCTGCCTTCTGTGACAGAATTATAGTGACTCAAATTTTGTTTTTGTTTTAATAAAGCAAAAATTAGGGGCTGAGCATGGTATGGTGGCTCATGCCTGTAATCCCAGCACTTTGGAAGGCCAAGGTGGGTGAATCATCCAAGGTCAGGAGTTCAAGAACAGCCTGGCTAACATGGTGAAACCCCATCTCTACTAAAAATACAAAAACTAGCTGGGCATGGTGGCACATGCCTGTAATCCCAGCTACTTGGAAGGCTGAGGCAGGAGAATCACTTGAACCCACGAGGCAGAGGTTGCAGTGAACTGAGACTGCACCACTGTACTCCAGCCTGGGCGACACAGCGAGATTCCAAATAAAAAAAAAAAAAGCGGAAATTAGCATCACATGCAAACAATTATATTCTCAAAAGGAAACAAGTTGTTCTATGCATAGCACTAAAAGCCCTGACTCAAACCAAATGCCACCTCCTTAATCACCTCCATGCAGCACCCTGAGTTTACCATTTAAGTACCTACCAAGTCCCTCCCTTCCTAGACGTCTGACACCCAGTTGAGCTCATGGATTAAGGTGACACTCATAAACCATTCTTAGCAATGAGTGTGCTACAACCACATAGCAATGACTGCAAGGTAATTGTAACTCATGACAAATGAGTTTTCCTGCAGGCGCCAGGAAACAAAAACATCACAGATGGCTTTCTGAATCAAATCAAGGTACAAGGGACCAAGTCTTAAATTGGGAAAACCGTGCATTTGATTTCAGTAGGAAACAATTGCAAATAAGTTAATCCCACTCTGTCAGTCCTCTATATTCATTACTGGAGCCTACCAACTAATAACAGAGCCTTGAGAAAGAGTACCAAAAACCCAGCATACAGTAATGCAACATGCAGCAGCAGACCACGTCCTATAACCATCCTCGGTGCCTCAGGATCATATTTCCTATGGGTTTTCCTCCCTTAAAATCCATCCAGTTGAAATCAGTCAATATATAAAACCAAGCTAATAATATCTTGTTTGAGCTAGAATTTAAAGAGAATGTTTGCATTCAAGTATATACATATTCTATAGTATGTAAAAAAAAAAAAAATGGCCAGAACTGATGTGATGTTCAGTATAGAAAAATAATTTTTACTTTACTAAAGTAATTAGCATTGAAAATCCCAAAGCAGGCTGAGCGTTTTTGGTTAGAGGTAAAATTCTACTCCTTTTTTTCCATACTCCAAGGGAAGATACCAGAGGTATCTTCCCACGAGGACTACAAAAGAGCATCAATTGGAAAACCACCCATATTGAATGTGTAGGCACATGGGGTGATGAAATACACACAGCATAAAGGTGCATCTAAGAATAGTATCAAAAACAAGGTGTTGCCCAACCTTGGCACACAGCGCACAGGTTGTTGAACACCTACTCCGTCCTGAGGCCACCAAGCAGCTGCTTGGCCAATACTTTATTTATGCCCTGCCCTCTCTTAATTCACACAAGTGTAATATCCTGCCCACCGTGCCACTCCCCAGCACCTCTCCAAAGCAAAGAAATCTTAGGCCAGGTAAGCTAACAAAAAACATAAAATGAGACATGAGAAGTTTCTTAGGGACCTAGGGTCATCAGATTTAGCAAATAAAAATGCAAGATGCCCAGCTAAATATGAATTCCAGATAAATAATAAATAATTTGTTTAGTACAAATACGTCCCATGCAATATCTGGGATATACTTAAAACTAAAAATTTACCTATTGTTTATTTGAAATTCAAATTTAACTGAATACCTGTATTTTATCCAACAACCCTTCTTAGGGTAAACATATTGTTAAGGTAAACCCATGATCTATTCCCCTTCTCTCCTGACCACAATCCTAATTTCCTTTGGGAAACATCCACCCCATTTTCAGCCATGTAGGGTGTCATGTGGGGTAATCAACCCTGAATTTATGCTGAACAATGAAATGCAATGAGCAGAGGAACACGAAATTTTGATGGGAAGAAACTATGGTATACAGTCCTAGGAGTGAGGAAGCCTGAGAGAAAGGAAGGTATGCCAGCTGCCTTAAACCAGCCCTTTCCTGCACCCCCTGGAAATGCCAGAGAAGCCAGGAAGAAAGGAATAGGTGGTGATAACTGAAGAGTGTGTGCTATGGCTACAGGAGGCCCCCAAATCAAGCTGGTCAAAGTTTGTATTAAACCAAACAGAGATATCCATGTTGTCCATGAAATCACAGCGGGGTTCACCTCCAAAACTCTCCAGGGTGGGTCTCCTTCCCTTCTCCTTATATTTGTAGCCTGAGAGGGTCCTATTATTTTTAAAGAAAGTTGACGCTTTCTAAAAAATTCTGAAGACATTAAAAACTTATTGGCCGGGCGCGGTGGCTCACGCCTGTAATCCCAGCACTTTGGGAGGCCGAGAAGGGGCAGATCACCAGAGGTCGGGAGCTCGCGACTAGCCTGATCAACATGGAGAAACCCCGTCTCTACTAAAAAAGCAAAATTAGCCAGCCATGGTAGCACATGTCTGTAATCCCAGCTACTCGGGAGGCTGAGGCAGAAAAATCGCTTGAACCTGGGAGGTGGGGGTTGCGGTGAGCCGAGATGGCGCCATTGCGCTGTAGCCTGGGCAACAAGAGCGAAACTCCGTCTCGAAAAAAAAAAAAAAAGCCAGGCGAGGTGGCTCACGCCTGTAATCCCAACACTTTGGGAGGTCGAGGTGGGCATACCACTAGGTCAGGCAATCGAGACCATCTTGGCTAACACGGTGAAACCCCGTCCCTATTAAAAATACAAAAAATTAGCTGGGCGTGGTGGCGGGCGCCTGTAGTCCCAGCTACTCGGGAGGCTGAGGCAGGAGAATGGTGTGGACCCGGGAGGCAGAGCTTGCGGTGGCCGAGATCACGCCACTGCACTCCAGCCTGGGCAACAGAGCGAGACTCCGTCTCAAAACAAATAAACAAACAAACAAAACTTATTAAGCCAGTTTGGGGCACTTTGTGAGCTGCATGCTTTGCAACAAGGAAACTCAAACAAATACTGCTCTAGGAAACAGCTGCCACTGAAGTCAAATTTTGGCTCTTGGTATTGTTTATTGCTTTGTATGACAGGCTAATTCTTGCCCCAGCAGTATCTTTTTCGGTATCGTGGAGCACATATATCCTTGTCCGCAGGATAGACTAGGTGAGCTTTTGAAGGTTAGGGAAAATGGATGGTTAACCTAGCTCAAGTCCAGCTCTTTCAGACTTTAGTACCAAGAAAGATTCTAATCCAATGGTACAAGTCTCTCAAGTCTCACAAATGATTCTTTTTATTTTTTTTATTTTATTTTATTTTATTTTATTTTATTTTATTTTATTTTTGAGACAGAGTTGCTCTAGCCTCTGTTGCCCAGGCTAGATAGAGTACAGTGGCATGATAACAGCTCACTACAGCCTCGACCTCCCAGGCTCATGTGATCTTCCCACCTCAGCCTCCTGAGTAGCTGGGACCACAGACACATACCACCCTGCCTGGCTTTAAAAAAAAAAATTGTAGAGATGGGTCTCCCTATGCTGCCCAGGCTAGTCTCGAACTCCTGGGCTCAAGCAATCTTACCATCGTGTCCTCCCAAAGTGATGGGATTACCAGGCATCAGCCACTGTGCCCATCTCATTCTTCTGGCAGTAATCTCTGCCAAGTATTTGAAGGAAAGGTTCAGAGAAAAAACATTTTTCTTTAATTGTGCAGCATGAGTTTAAGAGGAAAAAAAGTTATTTCCCAACTCCTACTGGAAAGACCTCAGACTCCCTATTAAAATAAATACTGTTGTTTATTTAAAAAGTTTCACTCCTTTCTCAGTCAAACTAAAATATTTGTCTTTGATCTTACAGAAGAGTCCCTCAGGCTCACAAAAGTACTTATATTGTATTTTCCACCTATTCATTTAGGATACTTATATACCCTTACAGAGAAACTCCTCAGAGATTATCTAAGAACTAGGTCAGTATTTCCTACGCTGGGGAATCTGCTAAGCGAAGCTAACCCCAACCAGGACTTGAGTGTGGCCTGTAAAAGACTTTCCCGCTAGACCCTGTGGTTTCTCCAACCTCACTCCTATGCTTTGCCATTTCGAAATCTGAGGAAAATAGTCTCTCCTGTTCTCCAAATACCAGTAACTTGTTACCCAAGTGAAGACCAAAACAAAACCATGAAGATATTCTTCTCTGTCACAACAATCTTTGATAAAAATATTGTTTCAAAGACAACTGGCACTAAATGAGTATTAAAAATCCCTGTAAGTTTTAAACTGTTGATGACACATATTAAAGGAATAAAACAAAACAAAAAATCCTTTCATATCAGCCAACCCATCTACTATGGAGTATCTGATCATGAAAGTGTATAACAATATGAAAACCATATATGCAAACATATAGGGAAAAACTTGAAGGGTATTATTACTGAGACAGGGTCATGCTCTGTCACCCAGGCTGGAGTGCAGTGGAGCAATCATGGCTCACTGCAACCTCGACTTCCATGACTCAAGCGATCCTCCCACCTCAGCCTCCCCGGTAGCTGGGACTACAGACACACACCCTGTGCCTAGCTAACTTTTTCATTTTTTGTACAGATGAGTTCTCACTATGTTGCCCAGAGTGGTCTCAAACTCCTGGGCTCAAGCAATCCTCGTGCCCCAGCTTCCCAAAGTGCTGGGATTACAGGTGTGAGCCACCACACCGGGCTAACTTCAAGGATATTAGAATAATAAAATCTTCGGTGCGTTTTTTTCTTCTGTAAAAAAATTCCAATTCCCTATAAATTGCTTTTGCAATAAGTAATATTATAATATTTAAGTGAACCATAATTATAAGAGTGTTAGTCCCAAAATAACTCATATAAAATTACAGTCTGTCATTTTGCTTTGGCCTCCAGCTCTAGCAATGAATAGGTAGGGATGAAGAAAAGGTTTTCTACCAAGGATAAAAGAAGAACAGCAACTTCTCTCGGACCAGTAGCCAAAGACAAAGATCTAAACTGTTTCCACTCTCCTAGCTGGCCACCTCATAGACAGGATATGGCTCTATTTGGGACAGATAATCAGAATTTCTTCTTGCCTTTCCTGCAGACCAGCTCAGTCCCGCTCAGCTCCCGTACCTTCTAGGCAGAAATAGTCTTGTCACTTCATGTGAGGCCCCAGTCACCTGCTTAAGCCCTTTTGCACTTATTGGGCAGGTAAACAAGAGTTTGCATATAAATCGGGGCACCTTAGCTCTAGGATCAATAGGAAGCAGAGTCACAATGCCTAAGGTAATGAGAACGGTTAATAACTCAGATGATTAAATCCTCCTTTTCCAGGATCATGGTGTAGACCAAGAGTACCTGCAGTCACGCCAGGAATGACGTCCATTCTTACCTCACCCATCTGTTTTTGCACAATTTGCATTTAGATGTAGCAAACTAAATTTCCTTTACTCATTCCTTCCTTGTTTTTAAGCTCTACTTAATTCTGACAAGGTTCACAATCTAATGATGGAAAGGACAGGCTTAATGGACAAAAGGGGATGTCAGCCTCCCAGAAACAAATATTCTTTTGTTGAGATCTCCCACACAAAATGTGGTCAGTATGTCAGCCTGGAAATGTTGACCTTTTCACAGTTGCCATTAATGGGTCAAGCCAGTGGGAGAAATGCCAGGCAAGAGCTGTCCCCACTCACCTGGGGTCAGAATAGAGGAAGAGGAATAAAGATTCACATAATTCTCACAGTCAAATTTCTCGACCTCCTACCAATATCATGGGGGCAGAAGCTAAGTTTAGATGAGGAAAATGACTTACTTTCCATTCTCTCAAAAGATCCACTATTATAAGAGTTTATGTTTCTAAAACCTCCTTACTTTAAAATAATTTTTTTAAGTTGTTACTCTGGGTGTAGAGAGAGGCCTTGCCTAAAATCCAAAATTGTCGGGTTCCTTGATTCTTAATGACATTAGCAAAATCAGTTCTGAAACACCACTCTCCAAGCAAAGTTTGGATCAAATTAACATTTCATCTCTCCTTCAGCCAGTTACTAAAAAAGGCATTTTCAGTCTTCACGTACAAACCCCAAATATAAGTGCCAATGGATATTCAATAACCATAAGCAAGCTCAGAATCACCACCTACCCTCTGGCATAACTACTTTCAGGTAAAGCTTACCAAAAAACAGCAATGCATCCTCCTTGCCTATCCCACAAAGAATGAAATTACACTCCCGCTGTATCTTCTCAGAGAGGGAAAAACATTTCACTCCCTATAGCCATTCTTGTCAAATGACCTGATGGGGTAGTGACTGGAGCACAAATCCAGATCCAAGATCAAGAGAGGCCATTAACACACACGAAGGGAGACATGAATTATCCCAACAAAATTAAGTAGGTCCACTCTGGGTACTGCAACTAGGGTGGTGATCCTGGGCTCCATGCTTGGTAGGGAAGAGCTGTGAGGCATGATACCTTAATAAAATTGAGAACTTTAAGCACTTTATTTATTTATTCATTTAGAGACAGGATCTCACTCTGTCACCCAAGCTGGAGTACAGCGGCTCACTGCAGCCTCAACTTCCCAGGCTCAAGTGATCCTCCCACCTTAGCTCCCCTGAGTAGCTGGGACTACAGGCGCCCACCACTATCCACAGCTAATTTTTTGCATGTTTTGTAGAGACAGAGTCTCACTATGTTGCCCAGGTTGGTCTCAAACTCCTGGGTTCAAGCGATCTGCCTGGATTCAGCCTCGCAAAGTACTGGGATTACGGGCGTGAGAGTACTTTTTAAAAAATAATTTTTACTTTTTAAAATTTATTTACTTATTTATTTTTATAGCCTTGAGGTCCCTCTGCATTGGTTGAGTTGCCCCAAGGCCACGTAGTTTCTAGCATAGCTCTGACTCTAAGGAAACAGGCAAGGTAGTTCCCACTTTACCAACGAGGAAACGTGCTTCCTGAAGTTATGTAAGCTCATTATGTGGCAGATCCATGATTCAAACCAGTACGTCTGATTACAAAGCTCATGAGTACTCTCTATGACTGCTCTCTGACATTGATGACCAAGCATCCAACCTGTCCATCCACACAACGCAAACAAAGCCATTAAGCCCAGATCCCTACCTTTAAAGCAGTAGAGGGAAACTGCTGTTGGCAACTGTAGAAGCCACTAAAGGAAGATCATTTTCCACTCAAAAATGGATGTAATTTTCAAAAAGGTGGAGACAACCCAAAAGTCCACCAACAAATGAATGGATAAACAAAATGTGGTATATCCATACAATGCAATACTATTAAGCCATAAAAAGGATGAAGTTCTGATGTATGCTACAACATAGAGGAGCCTTGAAAACATTATGCCAAGTGCAATAAGCCACTCATAAAAGACTACATATCATATGATTCAATTTACATACAATTTCCAGAATAAACAAAGCTACAGAGACATAAAGTGGATTAGTAATTTCTTAAGACTGGTGAAGATGAGAATGTGGAGGAGAGGGGCATGGCTAATAGCTATCTAGTTAGTTGGGGCTTCTCTTTTTGGTGATGAAAATGTTCTAAACCTGACTGTGATGATGGTTGTACATACCTGAATCTATTAAAAACTATTGAATTACACACTTAAAATGAGTGAATTATGTGCTGTGTAAATTATATATCAATGAAGCTGTTAAAAAATAAGTATGGCCAGGCACAGTGGCTCACGTCTGTAATCCCAGCACTTTGGGAGGCTGAGGTGGGACCATGGCTTGAGGCCAAGAGTTCAAGGACAGCCTGGGCAACATAGGAAGACCCCATCGCTACAAAAATAAAATAAGCCAGCCAGGCATGGTGACGCACACCTGTAGTCCTAGCTACTTAGGAGGCTGAGGTGGGAGGATCTCTTGAGCCCACGAGTTTGAGGTTATAGTGAGCTATGATTGTGCCAATGCATTACACTCTGGGTGACAAGTGAGAACTTGTCTCTAAAAAATAAAATATATATGCAAGTGTAATTGGTTAAGCAAATTAAAAGGAAACTTGGCCATTATCTCCTTTAAGTTCTTCATTTAAGGGTGAGGAAACCAAGTAAAAAGTCCAATATTAGGCAAGCGTCCTACCTACTAATCCCAGTACTCAACAATGTCCTTTGGGACCCAGCTCAGTGCTAGGTATAATGGTAGACCCCCAAAGAGTTTAAACCTAATCAGGCTTTTTGAAGCCAGGAACAATGAAATCCAACAGCCTGTAGACTGGGTTCAGGGGTGGAGCGGACACTAAGAGCTGTGTAGTCAGGCAGGAGGTGAGACCTAGAAGGAAATCCATGGCAGAATGAACTGATGGAGGGTCAGGGAAGAGGTGAGTGAGGGTGCTCCAGGGAAGGGGTACAAGCACTGCCAGGAGCTGTGGGTGGCAGCAAATGGGTTGCAAGGGAAGTGAGGCTCGATGAGCAGGGTCACACTGTCAGATTCTAGAGGTTTAGGAACCAGGCAGGAGATCAGCCCTGACAGGACAGGACACCAAGAAGAGTTCTGTAGCAGGAAAAGGGTGATGAGAGCCATCATGAAGGAAGATTAGCCTGGCTGTGGTGTGCAAAGGACTGAAGTCAGAGGCTAGTGTGCTGCAGTCTACAAATAAATGATCACATCACACAGTAGGGTGGAGGCAACAGGAATGGAGAAAGAGGAAGGAAAGATGAGAGGTCCAGAAAGGGAAAAATAATGAAGACCCAACCATGTCAAGACCGGTGAGAGGGAAAAGGAGAGCCAGGGTGGCTCTGGGCCCAGACTGCCCAAGTTTAAGTCCTTACTAGTGTGCGGCTTTGGTCAAGTTCCTTAAATGCCCTGTACATCAGTTTTCTGAGCAAAGTGGGGATAAAAATAGTGTTTCTGTCAGAGTTCTTGGCATAATTAAATGTGAACAGTGTGAGAACAATGCCTGGCACAAAGTAAGTGCTAGGTACACGTTTGTTAAATAAATACACGTAAATGCATATTAAGATGTCTGTGACCCAGCTTCTAAAGATAAGAGCAGTAAGGAAAAGCCTCATTATCTCCCACCAAAGTTTCCTTTTTCACTCATTTTTTCCCGTTTATTTATCCTAAGGTTCTGGGAAGAATAAAACATGTTCCCTGCCCTTGAGAATGGGCTTTCAAGGAGAAATAAATCAGAAAACAGAGCAATGCCTATTCCCTACCAAGGTCCATGCACAATAAATGGTTGAATGACATGCTTGGTGAGGATCCCAAAGAAGCAAGTGAAAGACCCTGGATCTGTCAGGCTGCTGTTGTGCAAGTCCACCTCTCCTGTGGAGCTCCTGTTTGCAAGGCAGCCAGTGACCCAAGGCCATGCTCAGCTGGCATTCGCCCTTTCACACGGATGTGCTTTCCAGACACTACCTCAGCACCAGCAACCACTGAGCCTCTTCCCTGCCCTGATTCTCAGTAGCTCACCCTCCAGACCCGGCCACGGTATATCCTCACCATGTCTGTCCCCTCACAACTTAAATCAAAGACTCTGAGGCCAAACCTTGAATTGACAATGCTAGCCAAAAAGCTCTGAGCAGGGATGGAAGACTAAAGAGGAGAGGAGGAATCCCTGCCTTTCTTGCATGGGAGGGAGAAACACATTCTGTGATCTTGACCAAAGAGCCCTGTATAATCAGAAATCAGCAGAAGGGGGCCCTGCTCTACCCTCTTCTTCATGTGGTTGTGACAATGTTCCTCTTCTCCTGGCTAGCTCACAGGAGTGCTGGGGATACAGTGCTCTGGGTCTCCATATTTAAAAGAAGTTTAAATTATCATACAAATGCATTGTATTTTTAGTAATTGGACTTGTTTGATCTCATATCTTTTGATAATTACTAAAAATCTCCCTTCAAAGTGATGAAAGATTCAAATGAAGCTAGAATTTAATTTATATTAGGTCTTTGAGATGAGGTTTAAGTAACATTACAGTCCCATTACTAGGAAAACGGGTAAATAAACTGTGTATAGCCATGAAATGGAGTAACGTATTAAGATCTCTAGCTGCTGTCATAGAACAAAATACTTTAAAGTGGTGGGTAAAAACGAAGTTAAGGTACAATATATAGAAGGAGAAGAAGAAGAAGAAGGAGGAGAAGGAGAAGGAGAAGGAGAAAGAGAAGGAGAAGAAGAAGAGGAAGGAGGACGAAGAGGAAGAGTAGGAGGAGAAGAGGAAGCGGAAGAGGGAGGAGGAGGAAGGAGAAAGGAGGAAGAAGGAAGAAGGAGAAGAAGAAAAACTTGAATCATTGGTTTCTACATGCATAAGTCTGAAGGACAGTCCCTGAACTGAGAAATGGGCTCTCCTTCTGGGGAGATGAGCAGGATTGGGGATAGAGGGTCAAGAAAGTCTATTGCTTTAGCTGAATTTCTTAAAGCAAGAATGCATTTATTTATGACTTGGGCAGTTTTTTAAAATAAAAAAAAGGCAATGTTGAATATATGACCATCTATGAGTAAAGTAAACCTGGTTTATAATTTTAAATTCTTCTTCCCTTTATTCTGGTCAAAAGGGAATTCATTTTCCCACTTTTCTGAGATCTGAAAAGATGATAACCTTATCAAATCTTGGGTCTGTGTGATCTTAAAGGACAAGTAAAGAATAAAAAAGTTCAAGTCAAAATTTTAAATGAAGATATTAACAATGAATAAGTAATTTAGAATGTGATGTTCCCAGGAGAATGAATTTTCCTGGATTAATCTGGCTAAACTTTCTTTGAAGTTTGTGGATGATGGCAACACCACTGAAAATGAACTTGAGGCTGTGTTTAAATACTTGCTACAACTAGCTTTTCTGACATCTCTGTACTCACTACTGACACAGTCAATCCACTTAATTAGTTTTGTTGATATCTCCAATTCCCCTATTTACTTTGTGTCCTGAAAAGTCCTTTGAAACCCAAACAGCCTACTCTACCTCTTCAGCTCCATTGGGAAAGGTTACGATCTTAGGATCATTTGAAAGGCAAGGAGGGGGTAGTAAATTTCCACCATCAAGTGGAATGTGGAAATAATCTGGGAATAGATGAATATATTGAATTAATACCAGGAAATTTTCCTTTCTTGGATCTTCATTGTTTTTGCTTGAAAAACTGATTTTTTAGAATTTATAGTCGGGCTAAGAATTAAATACAAAGAATAGAATATATTCTAAAGTAAAATATACATTATATGTATCCTTTATGCTAAGCACAGTACCAGTATGTGGCACACAGTATGTGCTCCATAAATATGTATTGGCTTATTGCATAGGAAAGAGTCACCAGAAAATCTAAATAATGTAGAAATTTAAAAGAAAAAAATCATTTATATTTCTTTCAGCAAAAGTTAAATGAATCCCTACTATGCATGCCATGCTTTGGGCCAGGCATTAGAGAAGTATTATGCACAAAAAATTAGCTGGGTGTGGTGGCAGGTGCCTGTAACCCCAGCTACTCGGGAGGCTGAGGCAGAATCACTTGAACCCAGGGGGCAGAGGTTGCAGTGAGCTGGGATCATGCCACTGCACTCCAGCCTGGGCGACAGAGCAAGACTGTCTCAAGTGAAAAAAAAAAAAAAAAAAAAAAAAGAGAGAAGTATTATGCAAGGCAGGTAAGATTTGGTTCTTGTCACTATGAGTTCATAGCATATAGAATAAAAATAAAGGACAAGTACTCTCTATCACAGCAAATAATCAAAGGTTGTCTATTATTTCTAAACTCAATTTCACATCAAACTTGCTATATTATTACATCTAATCTAAAAGCATCAATTTCTGCCTGTGACCACCCAGTCACATTTTGATTATTTTAACAGCATATTGAGTATGTTTTTTTTTTTTTGAGACAGAGTCTCGCTCTGTTGGCCAGGCTGGAGTGCAGTGGCATGATCTCGACTCACTGCAACCTCTACCTCCCAGGCTGAAGCAATTCTCCTGCCTCAGCCTCCCCAGTAGCTGGGATTACAGGGGTGTGCCACCATGCCCAGCTAATTTTTTTTTTGTATTTTTAGTAGAGACGGGGTTTCACCATGTTGGCCAGGCTGGTCTTGAACTCCTAACCTCAGGTAATCCACCCACCTCGGCCTCCCAAAGTGCTGGGATTATCAGCATGAGCCACCGTGCCCGGCCCATATTCAGTATTAACATTAATCTCAATAAATATTCCCTAGTACCAATATGTGCTAGGCATGAAGGACAATACAACACCAGTTCCATATTCTAAGAATTGGCAAGTTGGAGAAATGAAATAAACCCATTCATTTACAAACAAACCTTACACGACACTCTGATGGACAGTAGAAAAGATTAAGTGGCAAATTACCCCAATAGATCAAATTACTATGGGGATCTGGAGTAGGAGGAGATCCCTTCTAGTTGGTTGGTGTAATAAGGCATTAGACAGGAGATGGGGCTGGCTAAGTCTTAATAGACCAAGCATAGGGATGTAGGACATTCTAGGCAAGTGAGAAATGACACACTACTCCTAATCAAAAGTGCAAAGATGAGCTACTCTGTATGACATATGCAGTGGCAACCAGGCACGGTGGCTCACGCCTGTAATCCCAGCACTTTGGGAGGCTGAGGTGGTGGATCACCTGAGGTCAGGAGTTCAAGACCAGCCTGACCAATATGGTGAAACCCCGTCTCTACTAAATACAAAAAAATTAGCCAGGCGTGGTGCTGTATGCCTGTAATCACAGCTACTTGGGAGGCTGAGGCAGGAGAATGACTTGAACCCAGGAGGCAGAGGTTGCAGGAAGCCAAGATTGCACCATTGCACTCCAGCCTGGGCAACAAGAGCGAAACTTTGTCAAAAAAAGAAAGAAAAGAAAAGAAAAGAGGCATGCAGTGGCCGTGAGCATAAAAGGAGAGAAAACTAGGGAAAGAAGCACTTTAATCGTTTACGGAGCTTCCTTCAGGCCTGTTTATTAACATATTCCAAAAAAAATCACTGCTGTATGTACATATATGCCTTAAGATAAAGAGGAGCAACTGGAAAGAGATACAAGCCCCAAGTACAGTATACTTCCCTGACATTTGTGTTTTTAAAGAGTTCATTTAAAGGGCAATGGCATAATACTAGTATAATTCACATAATGCTAGCTCTGGGCTTTGGACTTTTAACCAAATGTTAAAAATGACTCCTTTTCTCTTGTCTCTGCGTGTGCTTCTCTGACTCGCTTGGCCTGTTTCCATTCTCTTTCTTTTTTCTCTCTCCATCCTTCTTAGTGTAAGTTAAAAAAAAAAAATCAATGCCGCAAGTTATGTTTAAATTCAGCCCACATGACATTTCCTTCGCATTTAATTGCTTCCATACAATTTATATCCGCTAGTCACGCTAGACCCCAGAGTATTAAACATGCTCTTTTACAAAGAAGCTCTTGTCCTGTAATAACCCCCATAATCAAAGTTCAGGAATTATGGGTAAGGCTCAGCCGGCCGATGGGGAAACAAACAGGTTTTTAAATTCATCCAAAGCAGGCTTCAGGCAGGAAGCAAATCAAAGCCGTCACTCTACCACCAGGTTTGAGAGCAAAAACACCGCAGAGGCTAGCTCAAACGAGAGATACTGGCATCTCTGCACATCCAGCAAATCTGATGCCAGATACTTTCTCTTTGGGCTGCCGTGAAGAACCACTAAACAATGCCACTTAAAGACACATGGTTACATTCTCTCTGCTTTCAAGGCAGCCCATTCCAAAAAGATCTAGCAATGGTCTACAAAGACTGCTCTTAAAATGCCTCTAAATGAATAAATCATTCTTCTTTGTTATTCAGAGTAGACTAAGACTAAAATTATCTTGGAAAAAAATATATATATACAGGGTCTCTTTCTGTTGCCCAGGCCAGAGTACGGTGGTGCAATCATAGTTCACTGCAACCCTGAATTCATAGGCTGAAGTGATCCCCCTTGCCTCAGCCTCCCAAGTAGCTGGGACTATAGCAGTGTGCACCACCACATTCTGTTAATTTTTAAAACTTTTTTATAGAGATGGGGTCTTGCTCTGTTGCTCAGGCCGGTCTCAAACTCCTGGCCTCAAGCCATTCTCCTGCCTCAGCCTCCCAAAGTTCTGGGATTATAAGTGTGAGCCACGACAACCTAAAGTTACCTCTTCTATTTTCCTATAGACAGCTTGGACAACATGTCTGGTCTTCTTTCATACTAATGGACAGCTACATTAGTATGTAGCTCTCAAGGTCTCTTATAAACTCATATTTCTGGGCACTTTTACAACTTATCCCATTATCTTCCCCACTTCTCAAGAAATCACCTCCCCAAAAGTTCACCTTTGAAAAAGTACAGAAGTTGGCTGGGTGCAGTGGCTCACGCCTGTAATCCCAGCACTTTGGGAGGCCGAGGTGGGTGGATCACGAGGTCAGGAGATCGAGACCATCCTGGCTAACACGGTGAAATCCCATCTCTACTAAAAAATACAAAAAAATACCCAGGCGTGGTGGTGGGCACTTGTAGTCCCAGCTACTTGGGAGGCTGAGGCAAGAGAACGTTGTGAACCTGGGAGGTGGAGCTTGCAGTGAGCCGAGATTGTGCCACTGCACTCCAGCCTGGGCTACACAGCGAGACTCCGTCTCAAAAAAAAAAAAAAAAAAAAGAAAGAAAGAAAGAAAGAAAGAAAGAAAAAGTACAGAAGTCATACAACTACACAGGGGCACTAACATGATTTCTTGGATTGCCCTTATTCACGTAGCCCACTTTTCACAAGAATTGTGCCTACTTTTCTTACAAAATCTCTTTAAGCAACATCTCTGGTCTTCCCCACTGTATTCAGATAAATGCCTCTCTACCAGTGTCAACAATTTTAAGAAACCTTTAATTTCACCCAATCTCCTCTGCTCAAAACCCATCCAGATCAAGAGCAAAACAATTGAAACTATTTATCAGATCCAGACAGTTGCATCTTAAAGAACTTTTTGAAAGTTTCTATGGCTTGCATCTCTGATGGTTTTCATAAACCAATGCTTTTGTCTATAGATAAAGGTTAGAACCAATATAGATTGGTTTTGTTTTTGTTTTTTTGAAACAGAGTTTCGCTCTGCCCCCAAAGCTGAAATGCAGTGCCCCAATCTTGGCTCACTGCAACCTCTGCCTCCCTGGTTCTAGTGAATCTCCTGCCTCAGCCTCCTGAGTAGCTGGGATAACAAGCATGTGCCACCACACCCAGCTAATTTTTGTATTTTTAGTAGAGACAGGGTTTCACCATGTTGGCCAGGCTGGTCTCAAACTCCTGGCCTCAAGTAATCCACCCACCTCGGCCTCCCAAAGTGCTGGTATTACAGGCATGAGCCACCGAGCCCGACCAGAATCAATACAGTTTGGATCAGAGATATCATGCTACTCTTAGAAACTGGCAGATAATAAATATATTATTTATAGCCAATAAACTACTTTTGGTCTATCATAATAAAAAAAACAATTCCTAAGCTATCACTAAAACATGATGTCATTTGTGGTTGCTTTATTTTGTATTTACTATACAGATGTATTCTTTATTGTGATGGCCTAGATCTGGACATATTCAGAGCCAAAATTATTTTACGTATCAAGTCACTGGCAAATCAAAGAAAAACCAAATTATTTAAACATTCATTTAGGAGCTCATATTTATATTTTGGAAATGAAACCTCATATTTTAAGGCATTCGATATTATTTATTATGCAGGGTCCTTTTATCTTGTTCCACAATATAACTTTTTGTTTTACTCTTGGCAGACTTTACTGTCACTGTACAAAACAGACATTGTTTTAAAAACCCATTTGTAATAAGTGTCAGTAAATATGATCTTTCGCTTCAGCTGAAGCAACTCTATGGCATCAGTTTACACCTCCACACTTACTTGGAAGTTTATAATGCTTGTTTTCAGCAGCTTTCACACCTAGACTCCATACGATATGTACCAGCCACCAAGATGTTTACCAGTCCTCAGAAGGGCCTTTCGAGAACTCTTAAAACTTAATTTGTTACTGACGCTTTGCTTAAAGGACAATGCACTTTAATTAGCCACACCACTGGCCCTTTATTCACACACATGAGGTAAGCTGGACATTCCAATGCATGTGCAACTGGGAAATTTGAGTCCTTTAATGGTTTTCAACAATTAACTAGGGCCGGCCAATTGTTAGGTTAAACAAAAAGCACTGTGGCAAAACTTGACTCACTTCACTACGGCTAATAATTACAAAAGGTTGTGCTGGTCCATCCCTCACTCTACTTACCTGCCAAAGTTTCAGGCAAAGTCTCAACAATTGGGATCTAACCTTTAAAATCATTTCTTTAATGTTGACACTCCAAATTGTCCATAATGACCCTACATTCTGCTCCTACTGTTAATAATCACCAACTACTTAATAGTTTATTAAAAAGTTAGCAACAGACAAATACAAAGAACAATGTTTCCACTGTGTACCATACGGATTACAGCTCTTGGACCTTTGCTTGAGAACACAGCTTTCCAAGGCCCAAAGCACAGCCCCTGTCATCTTCATACTTCAAATGCAGACATGCAAGATCAATAACTCAAGGTTAACTTTTCTTAGATGATAGATAAGATAGCTAAACTTTTTTAAAAGCCTAGGTAAAAAAGAGATGTTTTAAACATACCCTTGGCTACAGCTCAACTTTTAGGTAGCTGATCCTTTCTCCATTCCTGCCTTCTTTCCTTCAAGCTTTTCTACAATATAGCCTTATGGTTGGATTTTATGTTAAAATGTACGAATGTGGCCGGGCGTGGTGGCTCACACCTGTAATCCCAGCACTTTGGGAGGCCGAGGCAGGCAGATCACCTGAGGTTGGGAGTTCAAGACCAGCCTGATCAACAGGGAGAAACCCCGTCTCTACTAAAAATACAAAATTAGCCAGGCGTGGTGGCCCATGCCTGTAATCCCAGCTAACTGGGAGGCTGAGGCAGGAGAATTGCTTGAACCCAGGAGGCAGAGGTTGCGGTGAACTGAGATCGCATCAATGCACTCCAGCCTAGGCGACAAGCAAAACTCTGTCACACACACACACACACACACACGAAAGTACGAATACCCAAATATAAGTTGGATGATATAATTTTGTAAGAGAAATCCGGCCGGGCACGGTGGCTCACGCCTGTAATCCCAGCACTTTGGGAGGCCGAGGCGGGTGGATCACGAGGTCAGGAGATCGAGACCATCCTGGCTAACATGGTGAAACCCCGTCTCTACTAAAAATACAAAAAATTAGCCAGGCGTGGTTGCAAGCGCCTGTAGTACCAGCTATTCGGGAGGCTGAGGCAGGAGAATGGCCGGAACCCGGGAGGCGGAGCTTGCAGTGAGCCGAGATCGGGCCACTGCACTCCAGCCTGGGCGACAGAGTGAGACTCCGTCTCAAAAAAAAAAAAAAAAGAAATCCTTATTTGCCAAAAGTTGCATATGCATAGGGTTATATTTCACATAATACCTAAAACAAAGACCCAAAAAGTGGGGACGGTTGCACTAGAGAATGCATCTGCAGAAAACCTAAGTAATTTTATGAGCAGCACTCAAGTTTACTGCTTCTTTTATGATTCTTAATCCCGCCTACTAAATTCACATGTCTTTACAAATCCCAAATCTGTAACAAGGCCACCAAATGCTCCCAAATTAGCAAAATACAGAATAGCCTTTTAACTACAATACAAGCTTTAACTACAAAATGCAGCCAAACTCAAACCAGTTTGATATAATTAAACATGTTTTATTTACCTTATATTGTGAAAGGGCAAACTGGCCTGGCGAACTTACTTGCATTAATCTGAGTCCCCTTTGCCAGGTATCAAAATCAGTTCCAGTGAATGGAGAAACAAAGATAGGAAAGATAAACATTTATCTGAAACTACAGTTACATAATATTTGGAACCATAAATTTTTTACTGATACTCTCCAAACATAATCTGCTATTTTTATGGCTGTAATTTAGTTATGACGTGTGCCAGCAATAACAGTCCTGTGCACTACAAATTGTGACGAAGATTTTACCAAGCTAGGATTGCAGACTGTAATTTTCCTCACAGCAAGTAATGATCATATCAATTAGAGTCATGTTTTTACCCGAGTCTTATAACTTAGCTCAGTTAGTTATAAAACACTGATTTCGGACCCCATTTTAATAGGATGCTTAAACAAGCAAACGTGTGGTATACGGCAATAAAGTGAGAGACACTATAGGTTATATGGAAACTTGTGGGACTATGTGGGAGTGTATTCACACCTTATCTAATTGAGATCTTTATTTTCCTTATTTTTCTGTCTCTCAAAACTAAATTATCTGAATTATCATAAGAATTAGTACCTCAGGCCCTGTTATGACCTATCCTGGGAAAGAAAGTGTCCTCGTGGAAAAGTCATTCACTGGACATTTTTCAGTCCTTATCTTCCTTGACCTCTGAGAAACACACCACAGAGCTAACCATTCTTTCTTCTTGAAAGACTTTCTTCCCTGGCTTCCACGCACCACTCTCTGGATTTCCTCCTACCTCTCTTTCTCTTCTCTCTCCATCTCTTTACAGGGTCCATCAGTACTTCTTGTTTCTTCTCATTCTATCTGTAACCTCTCTAAGAAATCTCAACCACACCAGGATTTGAATAATTATACACATTCCACTACACCCCATTTTCCTCCCTTGGGCATCTTAAAGTCACTTCAAACTCAATATGTTAAATAATTTCTCCACTTCTTCCAAGGCTCCCAGTACGGCTTGCTACAATTAGAGGCGCCACCAGCCCTGACATTATACAGCCAGCAATCTGCAAATCTTCCTTTCCTCCTGCTTTACTCGCTGCCTTTATCCAATCCATCACCAAATCCTGTCAAATTTACCTGCTAATATCCCTTCAGTGATTAAAATGATCTCACTTCTTCTCTTTTCCAGCACCACTAAAGCAACTTTTCAGCAATTAAATCACTCTTATGAATACCTTCATTCCAGAGTGGCAGAATATTCCAGTCACTACCTGTGCTTCTGGAACTGTAATGAAAATTTCTATCCCTGTTTCTCCCCAGTATGGCTCACATCAGACAGTCCTCGAAAACCTGACCAGTTTTGGGCCAGCAGAGACGTCACTTTCTTGAACCAAAAAGTCAAATCCCAGTCTCTAGATCATGGTTACCCCGATAAGGCTTTTCACCCTGAGACATCCCATCAGGCATTGCATCCAGTTCTCCAGAATTTAATCCATGTCTGTACTCTACCCGGTCCTGAGGTTATGTGAGGCTCAACCAGTAACAGAGACTTCCCACAATGCAAAAACAAACTAATGCTGTTTTTATCAGTCAAGTCATATATACATATATGCATAATAAATCCTTGGAAGATAACACAAGTAACTGGGAACAGTAGTTACTTCTGAGGAGTAAACCTAGTGTGTGTCTTGGGGTTGCAGGGTGGTGGTGGCAGGGAGGTGGGCAGTACTTTTACTGTTCACTTCTTTTTTTACTTATTTTTTTGAGACAGAGTCTTGCTCTGTGGCCCAGCCTGGAATGCAGTGGCCTGATCTCAGCTCACTCCAACTTCCACCTCCCAGGTTCAAGCAATTCTCGTGTCTCAGCCTCCCAGGTAACTGGGATTACAGGTACACGCCACCATGCCCAACTAATTTTTGTATTTTTAGTAGATACGGGGTTTCACCATGTTGGCCAGGCTGCTCTTTTATTTTATTTATTTTTTTTTTTTTGAGACGGAGTCTCGATCTGTCGCCCAGGCTGGAGTGCAGTGGCGCGATCTCAGCTCACTACAAGCTCTGCCTCCCAGGTTCGCGCCATTCTCCTGCCTCGGCCTCCCGAGTCACTGGGACTACAGGTGCCCGCCACCACGCCTGGCTAATTTTTTGTATTTTTAGTAGAGATGGGGTTTCACCGTGTTAGCCAGGATGGTCTTGATCTCCTGACCTCGTGATCTGCCCGCCTCGGCCTCCCAAAGTGCTGGGATTACAGGTGTGAGCCACCACGCCTGGCCCCAGGCTGCTCTTAAACTCCTGACCTCAAGTGATCCACCTGCCTTGGCCTCCTAAAATGCTGGGATTACAGGTATGAGCCACTGCTCAGCCCCTACTTTTCACTTTATAACTTTCAGTTCTGTTTGGACTTTTTGGTAAGAGTATGTATTATTTTTATAACAAAAGCCAGCTTTTTAAAAACAAACCCCAAAATAAATGAAGTCAGTAAAAGTTACGTTTGTTCATTATAGTCACATTTACCATTTGCTTGGGTTTTCTCCTTTCTGATGGGTTATCACACACAGTTGCAGCCTCAACTATGATAGGTGCCCAGGTGCCCCTTTGAAAACCTAGGCTAAGAAGTGCTTTGCAAGTGCAAACTAGGAGAAAGATATTCAGTATTTTAATATCTGCAGAAAAGCCATCACAAATGAATATTTTTTTTTTAAATAAACAACCTAGCATGTGTATTTTTCTCCAGTCACCATGTTTTGACTCCTGAGTCTGTCACTGGCAATGCTTACCAGCAGACTAGTCACAAAAAAGAACAGAAATTGGATTTTTGTACAGTGTTCAGAATTGAGATGTGCCACAGCAAAATTTTAAAACAATGAGTTACTGTAGAAGCCACAAAGACATAAAATATATTATGTACTAGAAAACAGATTATATACAACCTTTGTGCCATAGATTTCCATTTTAAGACTGAACCTCTTAGAATGATTATTAAGTTAATGAAAGGTATGATTAATTGGTTGATGCAAAAATTATAGCTAGAAGGATGGATGGAAAAATAAAACGATAGGTAAGTAAATAGATGAATTGATTAAGAGATGGATGACAGACACATTAGATAGGTCGTTAAGAGAGATAAACAGATTACTGCTTCTCAAACTATCTGTGGTGAAGGACCGGGGTTTTATTTCCAATCTGTCAAGACCAGTATGTAGTCCTATGGTGGATGGCTTATACATAGCTCACACCACATGTGACTCACCACACAAGAGTGACACACCCAAACTACCCTGTTCCACAAGATAATTGCATTGGTCACCTACTTGGATGTCATAGCAATGCCATTTTGCCATAAAGTTTCTAAATACTCTCAACTTCTCTATCTAGCTCTTCATAGGCCAGTTATAATTCAACTGTACACTGGCATCAGTCCATGGACCATACTTTGAGTAGCACTAAGCTATATAATCAGTTACTTCCCAGCAGTATGCCATCAGTTCTTATTGGTTGGGCATCCACTCTAACTGGTTATTGAATTTGGTAGACCATGCATCAGCCTTGTATAAGAAGGATAAGCAGACTGATTGACAGATAGAACAGTGGATGACAGATAAATTAGATAACCGACTAGCTAGCTAACAAATTAGATGGGAACCGGAGAGCTGTTCTTTGGGCAAAGAATATTTCTGAATAAAGTGTTAACAATGGTACTTTCTAAATGGGGGATTCAGAGAAGATCAGAAGAATTTCTTTTCCACTTTCCTCCCTCCAACAGTGTTTGAGCATATAAAATTTTAATTAAAAAGAGAAAGAAACAATTAAATGTCCATCAGTAGGGGACATGATGTACATTTAAATTCCTAAGCAATGGAATACTATGTGGTCCTTAAAAAAAACAGAGGTTTATGTACAGAAGAGAAATGAACTCCAAGATATATTATACTAAGTGAAAAAAAAAGAAGGTGCAGAAGAGTGTGTACAGTACACTACCATTGTGTTGTGTTGACATGGTCTAGGTGGATATCTACATTGATACATGCATGCTTGTACTCACAAAGAGTTTCTCTGAAAAAACAAAAAAACTAGTGCTCTGGGGAGGGGGACAAGAGGACTGGAGGAGAGTGAAAGAAAGACTCTTCCCAGTAAATGCCTTTGTACTTATTTTAGGTTCTTGGTATTTAAATGTATTTATTACCTCTTTAAAAACTTTTTTTTTTAATTTAAAGAAGTCACCTGAAAACATGAACTTTCGAGTTTAGAAAATGCGTTCCTGAGAGGGAGGCCACTGGCTGCCCAGGCAGGGCATCCTCAGGGAACTGGGCCTAGGTGGGCCCTGGTGGGATGACTATGGTTCCAGAATCTCAGTTTTGTCTGTGTCTAGTTGATCAGCCTCAGAGGAACTGAGAAAGTACCGAAAACCACAAGAGAGTATTCTGGGAACAAGCAGACTCAAAAGCTATTCATTTACAAGCAGAAATGATAGATCCAGCAGGGGCGGTCCCAAGTCAAGGGTAGCCTGGTATCCCACTTACTTGGGAAGTAAAGACCACCCACAATTTTGGAACTGTACTTGCTAAATTGAATATAGGATGGAGCTATGAATGGAAAGATAAAAAGACCATAATTTCCAGACTCTTTTAAGTCAGCATAAAATGCTTAGTTCTCTAAACAACCAGGAAGATCTCAACATAGGTGACAATGGTGGGGTCTTACGCTACAGTCACAAAAAGCTAGGACTCGTGTATCTCAAAACTAAGGAGTGAGAAAGTTGACATTTACTAGCAAAAGGTCAATGAGCCCACCCTAGCTGAGGCTCCAGAACCTCAATGGGATGCATAATCATCTACCAACCAACACCTATCTTTTAATACAAGTCAGTACAAGCTCCTCTTAGTCTCAAAAACACACCCTCAGCATTTCTGCCTCTATACCTCTCTTCCCATCCTGTTTTTCCTGGAAGGCTTGTCTGCACACCTACCTATATCTTTGCCACTTTTTGAAGGTTCCATTTATGTCTAAGCACCTTTATGAGACTTCTCTGAACACCCAGCCTTCATTCATCTCCCTCTCCACTGCATTTAGTATCTGGAGCTCTGACATTAATCTTGCAGTCAAAGGGGCACAGATACAATGGAATGCCATTTCCAAGCATGGAAGACTCCTACGAATTCCAGGGTGCAAGTTTACAATGAAAATGGCTAAAAATAAATAATACAGGATTCCTTTCGAACACCTACTATGTGCCAGGCACTGTGCTCAAGTTAAGCAATGCCAAGCAAGACAAACATCGTTCTTCCCCTGATGGAGGTTACAGTGCAGTAAAAAAAGGAAAACCAAAACTAAACAAAACAAAAAAAAAACAGTAATATGAGAGTGGAGCAATGACTGAGGAAACAGAAGGGCCTATGGGAGGAGGAGCAGCAGCATCTAATCCAGAGTGGGAGCTGCAAGTTGGGGAAAAGTTCCTGCAGGATGTGGCATCTAAGCTGATATCTGAAGGTAATGGAGGAGTTAAGCAGGCAAAAAGCAGGGAAATAATGTTCCAGGCAAAGGAAACAGCTTGTGCCAAGTTCCTGAGGCCAGAAGGAGTACAGCCAATGGGAGAAACTGACAGACATTCTGTACAGCTGCAAATTTCAGACCTTTAGTCATATTATAAATGACTGACTTAGGACACACCTTACAAAGGCTTCCGGCAAACCAAGGTGGAAGGCAGCTGATCCAGGCTCTAGGACCACAGGTCGAAACCAGCTCTTTGGCCTGGTTTGTCTGTGTTCCCCTTCTCTCTCCAGATTCTGTCAGCTGCCTGCGGTGATAAAGCCAGCCACACATTTCTTCTTTTAGGACATACTCACGATGCTAACACAAACAGGAGTTCAATGCTTTTTTTTAATTTTTTTTATTTTTTATTTTTTTGAGGCAGAGTTTTGCTCTTGTTGCCCAGTCTGGAGTGCAATGGCATGATCTCGGCTCACTGCAACCTCTGCCTCCCGGATTCAAGCGATTCTCCTGCCTCGGCCTCCTGAGTAGCTGGAATTACAGGCAAGCGCCACCATGCCCGGCTAATTTTGTATTTTTAATAGAGACAGGGTTTCTCCATGTTGGTCAGGCTGGTTTCGAACTCCTGACCTCAGGTGATCTGCCTGCCTCAGCCTCCCAAAGTGCTGGGATTACAGGCGTGAGCCACCGCGCCCAGCCAAGTTCAAATGATTTCTAGTTGTAAATTAGCTGAACTGGCTAAAGATCTTTTAGATGGCACAAAGGCAAGGCCCTGGAAGATCATCGCCCCTTTCACCGTCTAAATCCCGAACAATAACAGGAATGAACTTGCAAAGGTGGTGTTTGTGCCAGGCACTGCGCTCAGCACTTTATAAATGTTTCTTCATTTCACTTCTTCTCCTAATAGCACTGAGCAAGTGAACATCATCTTTTCCTTTCTTATTTATTTTCTGCTATGCCTAGACGGAACATTAAATAAAAGCTAGAAGTCCAGGAAAGAGAGCATGCAAGTAAAGAATAAGCTGAAAGAAATCCATATGACCGCCGGGTGCAGTGGCTCACGCCTGTAATCCCAACACTTTGGGATGCCATGGTGGGCAGATCACCTGAGGTCAGGAGTTTGAGACCAGCCTGGCCAACATGGTGAAACTCTGTCTCTATTAAAAATACAAAAATTAGCCAGGCGAGGTGGCAGATGCCTATAATCCCAGCTAGTCGGGAGGCTGAGGCAGGAGAATCAGCTGAACCTGGGAGCAGGAGGCTGCCGTGAGCTGAGATGGCGCCATTGCACTCCAGCCTAGGCGACAAGAGTGAAACGCTATCTCAAAAAAAAAAAAAAAAAAAAATTCTGTAGAGACAGAATCTCGCTATGTTGCCCAGGCTTGTCTCAAACTCTTGGCCTCAAGCAATCCTCCCACCTCGGCCCCCCAAAGTGATAAGATTAGTGGTGTGAGTCACCTTGGTGGAAATCTTGATGAGAATAAAATATAAATAGACAATGGAGGTGTACTACCCATTTCTGGTATATTTGGGTTTTCTTCCATCATCTCTATCTCACCATCAATGACAGTTCCAAATAGCATAACCCAGACTCAGTTCAGAAGCAAACTCTAAAAATCCATCCACCACTCCACCACCACAGTTATGCGATCATCAAGGATACATAATTACAAGACCTAATTATGGGCCACACAATTGGCATGAGACAGCATGGCATAAGGACAGGAACACAGGTTTTGGAATCACAGAGTTCTAATCCCATCTCTGCCACTCACCTGTTATATGACCCCAGGACATTTATTTAACCTCACTGAGCCTCAGTTTACTTAACAGTAAAATGAGGTAATAATATATACCTGTTCATGGGATCACTGTGAGGGTTAAAAGAAATAATATACGTAAAAGCATCTAGGGTTATGAAAAAGTTCCATATGCATATAATTCTGTTGCTATCTCTCTGGGATGTGCTGACTCTCACTCTCTGCCTTGTCTGGCATACAGCAGGTAATCAACAAATGTCAATTACCTTTCCTGCTCATCTCCCCCTTCTCCATTTCCTCTTCCTCCCCTATCCCACACACAAAAACAGCTCAATTTGTAGTGACAATCTAGATTCCAAACAATAAAAACTAGACACTTCTCAGATGGAGTTGGGTATCCTCTGCCCAAAATGCTGAAGCAAAAGGGCACTTACAGTGAGCATTCCTATTTAGGTTTCTCTTAACCAGGAAAGTTGACTCTAACTCCTTATTTTAAACTTAAAACTGACTTTCAACTCCAGATCCAGGTTGTCCCTCAAAGCTACAGCTGTAATCCAGAGTCAAAAATCACCTGACCCCTATTGCCAAGGTTTCTGCTTCTGATTTTGGCTGGGTAAATAGGCTATGTGTGTTGGGAGAGAGAGAAGAGAAAGCAAGAACTAACTTGTACTGAACATCTCCTGTGCGCCAGATGCTTTAAATATGCTCATCTTTCAAACCACAATGCAACAGGTATCACTCTCTTCACATTACAGACAACTGAGTTAGCAGACAGTATTTTTTGAATGACAAAGGGCCCTTATGAAAACAGCTACATTATACTGTCATTCAAAGATAAACAGAAAAAACAAGCCAGAGTCAGAACAATTTTTAAGTAAATACGTTCAGATAAAAAAGGACTTGAAAAACTTACCTCCTACAAACCACTTCTTAAGAAGTTACTCAAGCATGTACTGCAGCAAAATGAGGGATAAACCAAAAAAATAGGAAGACACGGGAAAAGGAAACAGCACTTCCAGCCATGGAAAGAAGTTCCAGGATGACAGCTCTGTAGTGGGCTTAGTGAATAACCAGTTCAGAACGGCACAGAACGAGAAAGGAATCTCGGCATACAGCTTAGACAAAGAAGACTCGATAGGTTAGACAAGATTGAGAGCCTAGAAAACTTTTGAGATCATAATAATGGCAAATAATGCATGAACACATTAAAAGGCAATCAGAAATACTAGGGAAAAAATTTAAGAAAGTCATGGTCCAAATATGAAAAAACTAAAAGGTAACACAAATTTAAACAACTGATGAAGAGTGAGAAAACAAAAAATCCCATTTGACTTTGGGGCTAGATATCTCATCCTTTGATTGGCCCAGGAATCCTAAAACCAGACCCACAGTGCAAGTCTAAAATCCAATCCTGACACACAAGGCAATGAATCATTTCACAGAATTGTAGTCATGTAAATGTTGCCTATGGATTTTCTTTTTTTTTTTTTTTTTTGAGATGGAGTCTGGCTCTGTTGCCCAGGCTGGAGTGCAGTGGCGCGATCTCGGCTCACTGCAAGCTCCGCCTCCGGGGTTCACACCATTCTCCTGCCTCAGCCTCCTGAGTAGGACTACAGGCGCCCGCTGCCACGCCCGGCTAATTTTTTTTTTTTTTTTTTTTTTTGTATTTTTTAGTAGAGACGGGGTTTCACGGTGTTAGCCAGGATGATCTCCATCTCCTGACCTCGTGATCCGCCCGCCTCGGCCTCCCAAAGTGCTGGGATTACAGGCATGAGCCACTGCGCCCGGCCTTATGGATTTTCAACTTTAAGAATCATATACGAATAAGATGGTCAACTTTGGGGCAAAGCACAAATACAGGTTATGGGTTCAGGGCTTTGGCAATGTGGAAAGCAACATTGTCAAAAAGTGAACAGTAGAACTGGTAGCAATCCAAACATTACTGACATACAGCATAAGGAATCAAGAAATACTATCCAAAGTTGAAAAAGCCAGGTGTGGTGGCTCACACCTGTAATCCTAGTGCTTTAGGAAGCCGGTGGGAGGATTGCTTGAGGCCAGGAGTTTGAGACCAGCCTGGGCAGCATAGGAAACCCTGTCTCTACAAAAAAGTTAAATAAATTAGCCAAATATGGTGGTGCAAACCTATAGTCGTAGTTACTCAGGAAGCTGAGGTGGGAGGATCACTTGAGCCCAGGAATTTGAGGCTTCAGTGAGCTATGATTCCCACTGCACTCTAGCCTGGGTGACAGAGACAGACCCCATCTCAAAAAAAAAAAAAAAAAAAAAAAAAAAAAAAAAAAAAAAAAAAAAAAGATGATTATTTAAAAAAGGTGACCTAACAGACAAATTTAAAATATTATAAACATCAAACCTGGGAGAGAAAAAAGAAAACTAGCTTAAAGAGCTACATTCTCACTTTCATATCAGGTGCTAAAAGTTGATAAATCAAAACATGGTGGTAAAAGCACATTACTTAAGCTTAAGAAGGTAACAATCTAAGAATTAAATATGGGTACAGTTGAAAAAAATTAAAAGTTGCCCTCTGTGAGCCTTGAGGAGGTGAAGGAAACCATTGTTTTTCAACAAATGTCCTCCTGTATATTGGATTTGTTACCAAGTGCATGGATCACTTGGACAAAAATAATTTTCTGTCACACATTTGAGAAAAGGCAAAACACTAAAATTGTCACTAAAAATGAGACGTGGCAGCCAAATGTTATAGTCTGAATTGTATTTAAGAGGAGGATAAAATCTTTTTTCTTATAAAATCACGTTACTCAAATGAAAGATTTTTACAAGAATGTTTGCGAAAGAGTAAAGATGGGAAATTCTACTGAAGCTAGATAACTTTCTTCTTTATAATTCCCCATTTTCTGGTTTATGTATAGAAAGCATGTATTCTATTTATAATCAGAGACCTTTTAAAAATTTAATGTGATCAGTATTCAGTCAGTGTGCCAGGTTGCCCAACACCCCAGCCTGATTCATGAGATTGAGAGGACAGCAGGAATAATGAATGAACACAGTGGTTTTCAGAGGCTAGGTGTTTTAACATTCAATCTGCTTCACTGTTACTCTAATTTTTAAAAACTTTTTATTTAGAGATGGGGTGGGGGTGGTAGTGGCTGCAGGTGGGCACCACCATGCCCTAGTCATTGTTACTCTAAAGGAATATCTGAATACCACAGGACACCTGAACACCACAGGAAAGCTGTGAATGCTCAGGAAAGGTGCCTTCAGGAGGTTGCAGAAAGTGATTACATCATATACCTAGGAATAATCTTACCTGAGAAAATGACAAAAGGCTTTTTTAAAGCTTCTTAGATGTCCAGGCTCTGTTTCCCATTAAGTTCATTGTTTAGCTAAGGAAGTGACATGGGGGAAAGGTGTCGGTGGGGAAAAAGGAAAACTGTTGCCTAAGTAGACAGCAACAGATTAGAGGTCCAGTCCAGGGTCCACCATTAAATAACCACATGACTTTCCCAAATTCCTATCATCACCCTTCCGTGGCCTCAATTTTCTAGTCAAAAACTAAACTAAACAAAATTGACCCTTGTCATTCTAAAATCCTTTGATTTCCAACTTATAAAGCTCTCAACTCCCAACAGAGTCAAGAAAAAGATTCTTCTTCTGGCTGGGCATGGTAGCTCATGCCTGTAATCCAAGCACTTTGGGAGGCCAAGGCAGGAGAATCACTTGAGTACAGGAGTTTGAGACTAGCCTAGGCAACATAGTGAAACCCCATCTCTACCCCAGCCAAAAATAAAAAAATTAAAAAAAAAAATGTATCTGCTAGCCTCAGCCCTATTTCATAGATGGCAAGTAAAGTAATAAACAGACATAATGAAAAGTAACTCCAAGTGAGTCACCATCATTTTTCAAGCTTCTACTTAATCCACTGAAATACACTGCCTTTTGAGGCTGTGTAACAAAGTGTATGACATTTACCTAATTCCAACTTTAAACAAAACTCTACAAGAAATTCAGAGAACTCTTGGCAGATTGCTTATCCTTAAAGACAATAGTCACTGACAAATTCTTAACCTCTCTTAGTCACTTGGCCAAAATACTTCCAGGGATAGCATCAGAGCAGGCCAGCCTACTACTTACACATTTTTTTCAGCTGTCATTTTCATTGACTACCCAAAGTGAAATGAAGATGCACTCTGCTTTGGATTGGAGAGTGGTTGTGGTTGGGGGGATGGGCAGAGAGATCACAGCAACTTTCTCTAAATCCAAGGCTAACTTCCACTTTTGCCCTTGTTCACAGGCAGTTCTGAGCTACTCCAATCATTCAAAACACAATGTATAAAGGAATTTTTTTGTTTTGCTTTTGTTTCAGGGTCTTTTTCGTCTAGTTTTCCTCAGATATTAGGCAAGCCTAGCTCCTATTTCATATTTTTAATAATCACAGTTATACTGATCATATACCATACGTATGTGTGTATATATTCATAAACACAGTTTAGAAATCATGTAGGGCTGGGGCCAGGCGTGGTGGCTCACACCTGTAATTCCAGCACTTTGGGAGGCCGAGGCGGGCAGATCACGAGGTCAGGAGATAGAGACCATCCTGGCTAACATGTTGAAACCCCGTCTCTACTAAAAAAAATACAAAAAAGTAGCCGGGCTTGGTGGCGGGTGCCTGTAGTCCCAGCTACTCGGGAGGCTGAGGCAGGAGAATGGCGTGAACCCGGTAGGCGGAGCTTGCAGTGAGCCTAGATCGCGCCACTGCACTCCAGCCTGGGCGACAGAGCGAGACTCCATCTAAAAAAGAAAGAAAGAAAGAAAGAAAGAAATCATGTAGGGCTGGGCATGGTGGCTCAAGCCTGTAATCCCAGCACTTTAGGAGGCCGAGGCAGGCAGATCACTTGAGGTCAGGAGTTCAAGACCAGCCTGGCCAACATGGTGAAACCTCGTCTCTACTAAAAATACAAAAATTAGCCAGGCGTGGTGGTGGGTGCCTGTAATCCCAGCTACTCAGGAGGCTGAGGCAGAAGAATTGCTTGAACCCAGGGGGCGGAGGTTGCAGTGAGCCGAGATTGTGCCACTGCACTCCAGCGTGGGCGACAGAGTGAGACTTTGTCTCAAAAACAAAAACAAACAACAAACAACAACAACAAAAGTCATGTTATTACATCATATTCTTGACTCCACCAGCTACTTAGAAGTCAAAGGACTGAGCACATGTCCAAACTATCACTCAATAACCCAGAGAAGACCAGCTGTGGCATAAATGACCATCAAGTCTGTTTCAGAATCTCAGCATTACACCAATCTCAGAAACAACAAAAGAACTCCTTGGACAAGATATCAACAGCCTTGAGATGGGGAAGTAATAAGAATTGGTCACTGGTATGAATCAATGGGCTCACTATAGTAAACTTCATCCATCACTGTGTATTCATTCTTAGGGCTCTCTCATAGCAATCAGAGCATCAAATATTAGTGCCAAAGAAAGGCTTGATTAAACTTTTAAAATTGTACATAGTGTCTTCACTTTTGCACTAAGGCTACTCTACTAAAGAAATATGGGCTTTAAAATGAAGTCTAAGTCAAGTTCTTAGGAGAGGAGTTTCCCTCACTGGCAGTGCAGGCAATCCTGAAACAAGTGGTTAGGCTGGCACAACCTCCATCTTTGATAGCCTGACCCTATGACCTCAATGGAACATTTCAAGTTCCAGCCTGGTTTCTCCTGAGGAATGTAGTTATCTTAGGGTACCACAATTGAAACAACCTCCTCTAGTGTTTGAGAATATATTTTCCTGTGGGGTGTAATTTGAAAATTTCAACTAATGTAAAATTCATGACATCAAAAAGCTGGAACAATGTGAAAGGAAGAAGAGTGACAAAGCAGGCTTGTGATTTGATGGTATTTTAGGTTAACAAGTTTAATGTAATAAAACTCCTAACAATTTCCACACGATTGATTTGTCCAGCCCACAACTACTCCACCACACAGTTGCTAATAACATCACTGTGCTGTGTGGTCATTATGTCACCCAGCTGGGAGCACTATGGCCTACCAACCACTGTTCACTTTTCCAGCTTGCTTTTCCCAAGAAGATAGAAACTGCAGACCACCTACTTCACCAAAAGTCCCTCTGTTCCCCAAGCTTCACAGCTTTTCTCTGATTTATCTCGGTGTCACATCCCAAAGGGCCTGGCTCTGGACTATCTGACTTAGAGTGGCCAAGGAAGGGACTAAGGGTCTGTGCCCAAGAGTTGGCTTCAGTCCTGCAGATTCAAGGCAAAGTCACCTGTGTGTTTTATGGTGGATGAACTTCACCACTGCTTCTGATCCCTGCTTCTGATCCCTTACAATTCCAACACTCAGAGACTCACTCCCTGCTTCCAGCTCTCCATATCTGTGAAATAACCGTGGAAGGACACGCACCATCTCTCTCTTTCTCTCTCTCTCTCTCTCTCTCTCTCTCACACACACACACACACACACACGAACACACGCGCGCGTTGGGCACTGTGACTTGGTGCCTTCTTCGGCTCCAGGCTGACTTACTTGAGGAAGTACCTCTGGCCAGTGGCCGTGAAGGTCATCTCCCAGCCCGGGGGCAGTGGCAGCTCGTCGGTCACGTCGTAGGACTGCTGGCGGAGGTGCGCGTGCTGCTGCGCGGGGCTACCCGCAGCACCCGCGCCGGTGCCCAGCTGCAGGGACGCGGGCGACGAGTGCGAGCGGACATGCTGGGCACCCCCAGCCAGTCGAGGCCCCGGGTGGCCGCCCGACGAGTCGGTGCTGGACTGGCGCGAGTGCGAGCCCGAATCAGGCTCCTTAAAGAAAGACTCCGGCAGGATCTTCTTCCGCCACGAGCTAGGCTTCGGATTCATGACAGAGTTGAAGAGGGCTTCGAGGTCTGTGTCTAGGTCCTGCGTGACGTGGATCACTTGCTGCCCAGGCGGCGGGAGCGGAGGGGGCGCCGAGGCCGGATTCATCTTCTGCAAAAAGAAGGTCAGATCAGCCTTTTATTTAAAGTCGGAGGAAGTGGGTAAGAGGGTTACAGGGTGAGAGGGCGAGATGGTGGGAGAAAGAATAGAGGGAAAAGGAAACGAGGAGACAGATAATTGCCCGCCTGGAGATCCCAGACACTCAGCGGTAAGACCAGCAGGATGGGGGAGGGGTCCCTCCTGGCCTCGAGAATTATGCAACTTTCTTGAAGCAAAGAAGTTGCCTGGAGGAGGAGAAGATAGGGCGAGGGGTGGAGGGAATAACTGCACTCGGGGCTTGCTGAACCGCAGGATGGCAAAGGAAAGGTCGCACGATTCCAGGACAGGCAGCCCCCCGAAAGAAGTTCAGCCCGAGCCAACTCCACCACGTCTCGACTCCGGAAGCCCGAGGAGCCTGGAGCCCTGGAGTGGTGCCGGATGAGCGCGCGAGCTCCAGCGGGCACTACCTGGGCGGGCAGCGAAGCTGAGCCTGAGCGCGCGGCGGCCGCCGTCCCGCCCGAACTTGCCGTCGGGCCTGGGTCGCTCGGGTGAGTCCCGAGATTGCGGAGCTGGAGCCGAGGCTTGGCTGACAAATCCCGACCCGACTCTGTGCCTGGCAGTCTAAGGGCTTCGGCTCTCACATCCCCCGAGCTGGCCTAAGGCGCTAGTGCTGGGCGAAAAGGAGGCGCAGGAGAAGCAGACAGCGCGGCCGCAGCAGCTCCCGGACTGTCCCATAAACAAAGTTTGGAGCAAACTCCCACCCCCAGGAAAGAGGCGGGCCCGAAAGTTGAGCTGTTGAATTATGTATGACCTCCTAGTCCCTAGCCGGCCAGCCCCCGCTCGCCCCTCCTCTTCCTCCTCCTCCTCCTCCCACCTCGGCTCCAGAAAACCCTGGGCGTGATGGGTACTTTACTGGGTAAGAGGAGACGGGTGCCCCCCACCCACTCCTCCCGGCCGCGCGGACCTCTCCCGCTCAGACCTGCATCTGCATTCCTTTGAGTTTACCACGGACTTGGGGCGGGATCAAAGGGAAAGTGGCCTGAGCCTGTTTCATCAAGGGGTTGTGGACCGAAACCAAGGCCGGGGGTGGCGGAGGGCACGCGGATGAGGGGCTCAGGCCTAGGAAGGGCCGGTCCTGGACACCGCGCCCTCCCCTGCAGCCAGGCGCCGAGGCCTGCAGCACCCGGAGCGCCGCACTGACCCGCGATTCTGCCCGAAGGCCGGCCCGGGTGCGCCCCGGCGCGGGGAGACACCAACAAGGCCAGCTTTTCCACGAGAGGCTGCTTAGCTCTTGTGACCATATTTGGTCTGGCGAGGAGGCATCTTGGCTGCCTGGCTCTCAATTGTCTGCTAGAGCACAGACGGTGCCCAGAAAGTGCCTCTGTCACTGGAGATGCGGCTTCGCCAACGGGTGGGTTGTAAACAAACAACTTTCAAACCATTCATCAATCCTTAATTTCCTCTACGGGGGTGACTCAGGCCACTAGAGATTGAGAAGAAAAAGCTGGGTGTTGGAAGAGAAGAGCAATTGCACCCCCCTCCCCCGCAACATCCGTGAGGGTTGTGGGAGGATTGGAATGTCCCTGCCGCCCTCCGGGGAGCCTGGAGCCGGGATGGAACCCGAGCAGGTGGCTGGAAGTAGAGAGGGTGCGCCAGTGACCCGAAAAAAGCCACCCACCTTCCCACCAACTAGATCTGGGCGAGGGATGGAGACCCCCTGCCTCTAGCTAAGGGAAGAAGGTCAAGTCTGGCGAAACAGCTGCGGGAAGTAGGAGGAGGCCTTGCCCTTCAGAGCAGCTCAATTTCTTTTCTCTCTGGTTGCCTCTCCACTGAGGGGAAAGGGTGGGGGGAGATGGCGAGGTAAGCCAAATTCCAGGAAGCCCCTACTCCACCCCATTTGATTCAAATAGGAGTTTATTAAGTAAATCAAACGAGACAATGTAAAGCACTTCGCACAGCACCGGGCTGGTTACGTAAGTGTTTGTTAAATAAAAGAGAACTGTATGTTCTTCAAGTTCACGTATTGTGCCTTAATTTTTTTTTTTTTTTTTTTGAGTGACGTCTCCCTCTTGTCCCCCAGGCTTGAGTGCAATAGCTCCATCTCAGCTCACTGCAACCTCCGCCTCCCGGGTTCAAACGATTCTCCTGCCTCTGCCTCCCAAGTAGCTAGGATTAAGACGCCTGCCACCACGCCCAGCTAATTTTTGTATTTTTTAAAAGCAAAAATGGGGTTTCACCATGTTGGCCAGGCTGGTCTCAAATCCTGACTTCAGGTGATCCGCCCGCCTCAGGCTCCCAAAGTGCTGGGATTACAGGCATGAGCCACCGCGCCCAGCCTGCCTTAATATTTTTACAGGGTAAAATAAAGTCGAAGTTAAAATCTGGAGCTGCCTTGGAGGAGAAAAGTTTAAGGAAAAGACAAGGCCACTCATAGTTTTGCCTCGGAAAAGGTAGAATTTTGGGGCCACTCCCTGAATGGCTGCATCCATATCCAAAACAGAACCACCAAAGTGAGCCACTTCCCCTGTTATCTGTACTTGGAGGTGGCTCCAATTCCAGACTCCTCATAGACTGGAAGAAATTAGGGCCATCTTAGACTAAGGCAGGCATACACGTATCATCCTTTTTTTTTTTTTTTTGAGATGGAGTCTCACTCTATTGCCCAGGATGGAGTGCAGTGGCATGATCGCGGCTCACTGCAACCTCTGCCTCCCTGGTTCAAGCAATTATCCTGCCTCAGCCTCCCGAGTAGCTGGGATTCTGTGCAGCAAGTCCTCTGCCCATAGGACTGGCAAAAGGAAAGGGGAAACTAGCACAGGTCACTCCTTGGAAAGTAGAATCTTTGCAAGCTACTCTCAGAAGCCATCACAGTTGCAACAACAGGGGAAATAAGCTATCGAACAAGAGGAAGTGACTGGAACCTAATGATACTAATTCAGAAGTCACAAGGCTGACTTGATGATTAAAAGATGAAAACTTGAGGCCAGCCCTACTCTAGGAAAGTCCTCACTCCCGAAGAAAGGTGAGAATCAGGGTTGGAATTAGATGGGCAGTGAGAATCTGGGTTGGAACTGGATGGGCAAGGATGCAGTCTTCGTTTCTTTCCAAGCTTCAAGAAATAGATAGTGCAACAGATAAAGTAGATGTATGAAACGGAAATTGCCCTTAACACAGGATAACTGAAAAACTCCCAGTTCCCAAATAGCATATAAGATGTAATAGTGAATAATTCAAAAGATTTGCTGTTGTCCCAGCCATTCCAACAACAGCTTCAGATTAAATAACATTTACAGATGTCTTGTATGTATCAGGTACTGCCCGTAAGAGGCAGCACAGTGGATAAGTGTATAATTTCTGGAACAAAACAGCTGAGTCACTTCAGACAAGACATTTAAGCTCTCTATTCTTGGGTTTCCTCCTTTGTAAATTAGGGACAATAACAGTACCCACCCCACAGGATTCTAGGTGAAAACACATACACATTTTATTTGTTGATATTTGATTTAGAACACAATATTTGAAGCTGGCTCTATCTGCTACATTATGCAAGTAGCTTAGCATTCCTAAGTCACAGTTTACTCATTTACAAATTGGAAATAATATTGTGGTAGTCTCTCTGCTGCGTTGCTGCCTTTCAATGGCCCAGCCTCATGTTATTTATACCTTTACGTAGCCCCTTCCACTTAATCTGGACTGGGCCAGTGATTTGCCTTAACCAGGAAAATGTGGCAGTGAAGTTGTGCCACTTCCCTGCCTTTCCCATCCCATCCCCTAGGAAGGTATGGAAGCTTCCACTTTGTACTTTTAGGAGACCTGAGCCACTAAGTAAGAAGTCCAGTTACCCTGTTGGATAAACCACATGGAGAAGGAAAGGCCCTGAGATACTTGGAGAGAGGGAAAAGTCCAGCTGCCCAGCACCTGAGCTGAGCCCAGCCTCAGCCAACCCCACCGGCTGACTGCAAACACATCAGTGACCACCAGTAAGACCAGCAGAGCTGCACAGCCAAGCCCAGCCCAGATTGCAGAATTGTGAGCAAATAAAATGGATATTGCTTTAAGCCACAAAATATTGAAATGTTTTTTAAATGTAGAATGTGCATTCTAAGAATAAAAAGTTGCAAATAAAGTCTTTTTTTTTTTCTCAGACAGGGTTTCACTTTGTTGCCCAGGCTAGAGTGCAATGGCTTGATCTCAGCTCACTGCACCCTTCACCTCCCAGGTTCAAGTGATTCTTGTGCCTCAGCCTCCCGAGTAGTTGGGACTACAGACGTGCACCACCACGCCTGGCTAATTTTTGTATTTTTTTAGTAGAGGCAGGATTTCATCATGTTGGCCAGGCTGATCTTGAACTCCTGGTCTCAAGTGATCCGCCCACCTTGGCCTCCCAAAGTGCTAGGATTATAGGCTTGAGCCACCATGCCCGGCCACAAATAAAGTTTTTTTTTTTTTTTTTGAGACGGAGTCTTACTCTGTCACCTAGGCTGGAGTGCAGTGGCACAATATCAGCTCACCACAACCTCCACCTCCCGGGTTCAAGCGATTCTCCTGCCTCAGCCTCCTGAGTAGCTGGGATTACAGGCACCCACCACCACACCTGGCTAATTTTTGTATATTTAGTAGAGACGGGGTTTCACCATTTGGGCCAGGCTGGTCTTGAACTCCTGACCTTGTGATCCACCCGCCTCCACCTCCCAAAGTGCTGGGATTACAGGCGTGAGCCACCTCGCCCGGCCAAATAAAGCTCTTAACACAAAGCCTGCTTAACATAATAAAGCACTCAACAAATATGGCTGTTTTGTTTCATGGAGACCTAAAGATAAGGAAACTGGATCGATGAGTTAGAAAGTATTTTGTCCAAATATATACAATGAAACCATGTTAAAAAAAAACAAAAAACCCTGAGATTCAGCCCAGGGTTGTAACTCTAGAGCAGAGTGCATTCTCCAGACTGCATCCTGTGTGAGCCAGGAGTTGCTCCCTGGTATTGCCATTTTAAATCGTGTGATACTTTTTGTCTGACTATCTCATAAAGAAACTCCACAGCTTTTATAAGATAATCAGTTGAGAGCACACTCCTGCTGATAGATATGTAAATCTTTCCATTTGCAAACACTTTCCAACAAAGTCCATGCCTGCTTCTAAATCCTCCCCACAACACACTTCCTACTGAAGCTTCTCCTGAGTCATCCCTTTCTCTTCCCTCTGTTCACATCCAATCAGCGGCAAATGCTATTGATTCTTTCTTCTAGTGTCCCCCAAAATCCATGCTTCCCTTCCCACTCTCACGACAGGACCTTATCTCAAAATGCTTGAAGTGGTCTCCTAACTGGTTTCTCTGCCTCCAGTCTCTGTTTTCTGGTCTCCTTCTTTTATGATGTCATTACCCAGCTCAGAAGTTTTTTTTAACAACTGTTCACAAGTATATGAGTCAAAGCTATCAATCTGGCACTAAAGGTTTCCCAACACACTGCCATCTTCATAGCTTTCTGACCCTGGTTCTTACATGATCCAGTAATAAAGTATCTTTCTCCCACTTCAGCCAGGCTCTGACCCAAGCATATTTGGCCTAATTCGTTAATACACCTACCTGAACTTTGCTATTTGAATTCTGCTCAAAATTGTCCTCCAAACTCCATTGCCAGGCGTTCAGTAATCTCTCCCTTCTTCCTAAATTCTCCTTGTTCTTGTCTTTTTCACTCTTTCCACATGTAATCAAACATAACACTGCCTTACATTGTTTTGTCTTGTTTTTTCAGACAGAGTCTTACTCTGTCACCCAGGCTGGAGTGCAATGGCGCAATCTCAGCTCACTGCAACATCCGCCTCCCGGGTTCAAGCGATTCTCCTGTCTTAGCCTCTCAAGTAGCTGGGATTACAGGTGCCCGCCATCACGCCAGCTAATTTTTGTATTTTTAGTAGAGATGGGGTTTCACCATGTTGGCCAGGCTGATCTCAGGTGATCCACCCACCTCAGCCTCCCAAAGTGCTGGGATTACAGATGTGAGCCACCAGGCCCGGCATATATTGTATTGTAAAATTCGCCTCAGAAATCTCTTGCCTCCCCAACTGGACTGTAAATAGCTGCAGGGCTAGAAGCAGCTTAAATTTCTTTATGAGGTCAGGCGCAGTGGCTCACGTCTGTAATCCTAGCACTTTGGGAGGCCAAGGCAGGCAGATCACCTGAGGTCAGGAGTTTGAGACAAGCCTGGCCAACATGGTGAAACCCCGTTTCTACTAAAAATACAAAAATTAGCCATGCGTGGTGGCGCGTGCCTGTAATCCCAGCTACTCGGGAGGCTGAGGCAGGAGAATTGCTTGAACCCAGGAGGCGGAGGCTGCAGTGAGCCGAGATCATGCCATTGCACTCCAGCCTGTGCAACAGAGCGAGACTCCATCTTAAAAAAAAATTTTCTTATGAAACCGCTCCTAAGAAGGCCACAATTCCTTGTTGAGAGCATAGTGACCTTTAGATGATTTTGCCCATTCCTCTTTCAGCACCCATTAGTGTACTGTGCAGTTTGTTAGATAATTTCTCACCATTCACTACGATTTCAGCTACTTCTGGACTCAACTCTTTAACAAGATTGCAAGCTCTCTGAGAACAAGTCTAAGAGAACTTCACTTTCTTTTTGTTTCTCCCATGCCTAACAAAGTGTTCTCCATGCAGGAGTGTTCTGTACATGCCTAACCCAGTGGATTTTGCCCCTGCTATTCATCTGCCATTTTTGCCTCAGGAAAGCTTCAGCTGCTTCTCAGCCCTACCTCCGGGTTGCTGACTTGGTCTGAATGACTGATTTCAGCAAAGGTGTATGGTTAGAAACTTGGTGGGGTGGCTAAGTTAGAGGACTGTGGTCCCAGAAGCCCTTGGGGCAGAACCTGCCCTGACTTGCTGAACCAGTATGGAGAAAATTCCCAGAGCCAGGGTTGGGTCACCATTAGCAACTGAAGAGGAGCAAAACAGACAAGGACCTTGAATAGATAAAGGTTTGAATAATGAAGAGTCCAGAAAACTATTGAATAAGGTTCAACATGAGGATAAGAGTTGACCAGTTCCTTGACAAATCAAACGTGATACTTGTGTTTTCAGAATTTACCATATCCCAAGTGTTTAACACAGTGTCCAGCATATAGCAAATATGCAAATACCTAAATAAAAAATAATTGGTGCTGCCACTCATTTTTGCATTTACTCTTTTGTTGCCGTGTTTCACTTTGGTGTTCTTAATAAATGCATCACTGGCATGATGATAAGGAAGATAATTTTGATGATAATGATGATGGAAGGCACTATCTTTTTTTTTTTTTTTTGAGACGGAGTTTCGCTCCTGTTGCCCAGGCTGTAGTGCAATGGCGCCATCTCGGCTCACCGCAACCTCCACCTCCCGGGTTCAAACGATTCTCCTGCCTCAGCCTCCCGAGTAGCTGGGATTACAGGCATGCGCCATCATGCCTGGCTGATTTTGTATTTTAGTAGAGATGGGGTTTCTCTATGTTGGTCAGGCTGGTCTCGAACTCCTGATCTCAGGTGTGATCCACCCACCTTGGCTTCTCAAAGTGCTGGGATTATAGGAGTGAACCACCGCGCCCGGCCAGAAGGCACTATCTTTTGTCTGATGTTATCTGTTGCTTTAGTAATGCATTTGGGCTAGAGAAAAAAGGAATTTTTGATATTTAATCTTAACTTCAGTACCTTATGTAAGTTATTTATCCTTTAGTATTTTTGCTATCATTTTGGGGCAAGGGACTGGAGGAAATATTTTTAAATGGGAAATATTAAGTAATAGATATTTTCCTAGAAAATAAAAATACACTTTTGAAAAGGCTCAACAATATACAGTATGGTTTAGAAGTTAATGATCAGGGCATATTGCAGAGTTGCTCATTGCACCATGATCTATAATAACGGGAAATTAGAAATTTCCTTTCTTTCTTTTTTTTTTTTTTTTTGAGACAGAGTCTTGCTCTGTCACCAGGCTGGAGTGCAGTGGCGTCATCTTGGCTCACTGCAAACTCCGCCTCCCGGGTTCAAGCCATTCTCCTGCCTCAGCCTCCCAAGTAGCTGGGATTACAGGAGCCCACCATCATGCCCAGTTAATTTTTGTATTTTTGGTAGAGATGGGGGTTTCACCATTTTGGCCAGGATGTTCTCGATCTCCTGACCTCATGATCTGCCCGCCTCAGCCTCCCAAAGTGCTGGGATTACAGGCATGAGTTACTGCGCCCGGCTCAGAAATTTCCTAAATATTTAAGAAGAGAATGGTTAAGTATATCTAACAGCTTAACATATGCAATGAAGATTCTGATAGTTATTTGAAAGTGTTTATGAAGACAATGTGACAACCTGAAAAATGTTTTTAAGAATTTTTATAATTTTAATGAGAAAAATTACGAAACAAAGATCTGTGAATACTATCATTATAACTTTGTTCAAAAACATGGAAAAATGAATAAAAAGATGCTAAAATTATATTAAAAACTATGTAGAAATAAAAAGATAAATATTTCTCTTTGTGTGCTTATATCTGTATATATGTGTAACATGATAACACTGAATCATCACTCTCAGAAGTACAAACCATATTATTAGTATTATTTTGGGTGTGATGAGAGAACTAATTAGCAGTGTTTGGGGTGGGGGGAATTTCAAGGTGCTCAATATTATCCATCCATTCAACAAATACGGTACATATTTTTTTAATATCCATTGTGTTCAAGGGCAGAAGTGATCTTTCAAGCTGAGCTTGGAAGAGTTTGCCACCTGATTAAAACATTTATTGTTTGACAATTTCACTCAACTCCTCCCTTTACCCAAATAAGTCACAGATCTGGTTACACTAGCTGTTCAAGCCACTGCTCTTCCTTGTCTTATTTTTCTTGGTGACAAGAGTCAAGTATATATGGGCTCTACTATTATCTCTCTGTCTCAGCATTGTCCAGACACAAGTTAGGACACTTTTCATGCCTGGTCAAAAAAGTTAATTTGTGGTTTGGAGCCAAGGAGAAGAGAGCCCTCCAAACCAAAACAAGGTGGAGAGAGGACCTGAGTATAAGAAAGCCAGTGCCTGTGGGCACCAGTTCAATTCACACATGCTTAAAAATGGCTAAATTTTCTTTAAAAATATATATTTCTAGATAATCTTAGATAAGAGAGTAGATTAATTCTCATACAGCATCTGCCACACAATACATCCTAATTTGACCATATGATTGAAGACATCTCAATCTAGTTATGATCATTAAAAGCTGTTAGTATTTCAACTATGGCAATAATAATAAATCATATTTATATAATATTTTACAGACTACAAAACAACTTCACATGTACAGTCACACACGAATCTCATAGTAACCCTGTGAGAATGGGCAGATACACCTTACTAGAACTATTTTACAGATAAGAAAACCAAGGTTTAGAAAAGTTTATGTCTTGCCAAAGGCCATTGATTTATAACAAGAGCACCAGGACTCAACCCCTCCAGTATCTCTCCGGCTTTCAAATTATATTTCTTCTGTAGTTTCCTAACAGAATCAGACTCTTAATTACTTCCTCCTCTGTGAGCATACACTATTTTGTCTTTTCCTTTAAAGAGAGGGAAAGAGAGGCTGTTTTTAAAGGCATTTTTCCTCCACTGACTTACAGTATCATTTCACAAATGTTTTGTCATCTAATGGCCATACGATGTACAGAGGCTCCTAAAATGTATATCGAAGCTTAGTTGTCTCCTCCCTCTCATTAAATAAATAAAAACTTAAATGTGTTGGAGGTACTGAAAATTCAATCAAACCCTGATTATTGGAGCGCTTGTGTGTATTAAAGAATCCTTCTGTGATGTGAATCATTATTTCTAATTAATATGAAACATTGGGTCTCTACTTTTTAAGAGTTGTATTCCTAAAATTATTTTGTAAATTGTTTAGTTGGAACTTGATGCATTTTGTTATAGGAAAAAACAAATCTTACTAATGGGGCCGGGCGCAGTGGCTCACGCCTGTAATCCCAGCACTTTGGGAGGCTGAGGGGGGGTGGATCATGAGGTCAGGAGATTGAGATCATCCTGGCTAACATGGTGAAATCCCGTCTCTACTAAAAAATACAAAAAATTAGCAGGACGTGGTGGTGGGCACCTGTAGTCCCAGCTACTTGGGAGGCTGAGGCAGGAGAATGGCGTGAACCCAGGAGGTGGAGCTTGCAGTGAGCTCAGATCGTGCCACTGCATTCCAGCCTGGGCGACAGAGCAAGACTCCATCTCAAAAAAAAAAAAAAAAATTATGAAAAAAATCTTACTAATGATGTCTAGGCAACCCAGCATCCCACTATGCTCCAAATTCGTGGAAGCCCCAAGTCTCAATCTGTCCTGATACTCTGGTTGAGTCCTTCTAGACTTGGAGGTATCACATGAAGCTCTTAACAGCCAAACAATGTTAGGACTACATGGGCACTAACCCAGTGGCTGCACGTTGTAGTTCTACTGAGTCATCATCTCCCATTTTTTGTGAATGATTTTAGACAAGAGAAATTTCACAGTTCATTCTGTATATTTCCTCCTACCTGCCATCTGTTTCACCAGAGGGAAAAGAATCTGAAGATATTTGAAAAGAGAATTAAAACATCTTGATAAGATACCAAAGAAAAAGTGAATGAGAAGACCCTTGAGATCTACCTGTCACCTTCCTAAAAAATTCTGTAACTGCTGTCTGTGAAAGTGTCAGTCAAGGCTTATCCCTCGTATAGATTGTACAGCCTGGAGTTCAACACTAGAGATGATAATAATTCAGAGTCTGGTTAGTTGGCATTAAATCTATAAAAATAATACTGGTTAATGGCTTTTAGGGAAAGAAGCCTCTAGATTTTTAGGTATCCACTTCTCTCATAAGTGTAAAAGACTGCCTTTTTCCAATTAAATATGACAACTTGTATCTTTCAGCAAGGAAGGATGAAGTTCTTTGTCTAATCCTGATTTAAATACATTATCATGTGAAAAATCTCTCTCTTCTATCTGCCCTAAGGATAGATTTTTGGGGCTGTCAAGAGCTGACTCTTGGCCAGGCGTGTAATCTGAGCACTTTGGGAGGCTAAGGCGGGCAGATCACCTGAGGTCAGGAGTTTGAGACCAGCCTGGCCGACATGGTGAAACCCCGTCTCTACTAAAAATACAAAAAATTAGCCGGGCATGGTGGCGGGCGCCTGTAATCCCAGCTGCTTAGGAGGTTGAGGCAGGAGAATCACTTGGGCCTGGGAGGCAGTGGTTGCAGTAAGCCGAGATGGCGCCACTGCACTCCAGGCAGGGCAACAGAGCAAGATTGTGTCTCAAAAAAAACAACAAAAAACTGAGTCTTCATTGCTTCACATCACAACTCAAGGTCTAAAATTTGAAGTGTTGGATCCCATTCTTAGAAAAAAATAAGTAGTTACCAATGGGGAACGGGGGATCCCTTTTAATAAATTCTCTGACAACACTGAGGCAATAGTTACATTGATTTCTCCACATAAGCTCCCTCAGACACTCCACTCACCAAAAAGTCACCTTGGTTTCAAATTTTTTTTCATTAGTGTTTGAACACCCCACAAAAAGACTGCCATGAAGTCTCATTCTGTTTGGCTGGAAAGACAAGCATAATCTAGTGGTAAATTTCAACCTTGCTAATGAATCCTCCCTTTGACTTTCTGGTCAGCTTTGCTAAATGAGTAACTTTACAGCCTCCAACACAAGCCATTGGCGTGGGAGAGACTTGGCCTTTTTTACCCAAAATCACCAAAGGCCTTTGTACAGAGTCCAAGTTTTTACCTTTAGTCAGTCTTTTCTATTTCACCACTGCCAGGGGTTTTGTTTTTGTGGAACAAGAAATAAGAACCCCACATATACAAGGTTATACACATATACAAGAACCCCCACATATACAAGAACAATACACATATACAATATACCCCCACATATACAAGAACCCCACATCTTACAAGGGAACCTCCTTTGTGACCACATAATCTTACCAAGGAAAATCCCAAATGAGTTCCTGCACCAGTCCCATTACTCTGCAGCCTGGGCAGCAGTGGGTAGCTAGTCTGGGAACAAGAGTGCTCTTCTCTTTCTGTTATCACATACCCATCTGAACTCAAAAGGGCTTCACTTAAATAAGGAATTTCCATTCTTCTAGAAATGTCATTTCACTTGAACTTGCACTTCTATCGTTTAAAGAAGACAAACAAGGTCCCCAGTACTAGAGTCCAGTGGGAGGGAAAAGGAAAGGAAACATTAAAAGTAATCCAGGGAAACTCTGAAGGTAAACTTGCCCTTCTGAAAACAGACAAAGGTAGACCTCTGCTTCCCTGCTACAATTTCTAGAAAAAGCAAAACCATCCTGAAACCCCTCTGGAGAGTTCAATTACAGCAAACTGGCCAACAATGATATCTATATTTATACAGTAAATGTGTTTAATATCATGTTCAAACTACCAATCAAGAAAAAAAAATGAATAAAAATAGATGATTACCTGGAAAATCACTAGTAAGCGTGGCTTATGGGTCAGTTCAGATCCACCAGGAAGCAGATGCCAAGATAAGAGTCAGATGAGCAGAGATGTATTGGGGAAAATGCCTGCAAAAGTTAAAGAGGAGAAAGAAGGTGAGTAAGCTAGGAGAGTATTCAGATTGCAATGCACGTCTGTCAATAGTGAAGGAGGAGGGTAGGAAGGAGGGCTGGCCAGGAAAAGTCTCAGCCCCGACCAGGCCAGTGCTTCCAAGGCAACAGCTGACCCTTAGGGGCGTCCCGCGATGGGCAGCAATGGCTCAGCTCTAGCACCCAGCTGGGCTCAACCCTTGGTAGACAAGAAACCACGGCCTTCAGTGTGAACAGTGCAAGCAATTTTACAGGTGTGGCTGGTGAAGATGTCAGCTCACTGCTGTCCTCACAGTGACTCTATTGAAGAAAGTCCTAAGCATTTACCCACATGGTTTTTATCACAGTGCGTACAGACTGCATCACACAGGCTGACTTCTCCATTTTTCAGGGCGCAGTTCATCCAAGGTTGCTGTGGGCCTTTCCTCCTCAGGGGAATCTTAGAAGAGGGCGATTAATGAGACAAACCACAGCCCCTACCGCTGTAGTTGGTCTTGAGGCCATAACTGCTATTTATCCTCTTCCTCCTTCACTATCTACTCTAAGTTTTCCATATCCAGTGCTATCCCCTCTACAGGTGCTGATGTCCAACCTGGTGGCGGACCCCTGTAGTCCCAGCTACTCGGGAGGATGAGGCAGGAGAATGGCGTGAACCCGGGAGGCGGAGCTTGCAGTGAGCCGAGATCATGCCACCGCACTCCAGCCTGGGCGACAGAGCGAGACTCCGTCTCAAAAAAAAAAAAAAAGAAAAGAAAAGAAAAGAAAATGAGGCAAGAGGTGAAGTGACTTGTCCAGGGCCTGATGAGTAGACAGAAACAGATAAAAAAAAGAAGTCAATTCTCTTTTTTTACTCACTGCCCAAGAGCTTCCTCTCTCCAGTCACCGGACTCCTGCTGCAACAGGACCAGCTAAGGAATATCGATCCAGTCTGGGAAAAAAGTTATCACACTGCTTAGGCAGATACACATTCTGAAGAAAAGGAGAAAGTGCAAATCCTCTTGCAGGAGTCCTTTCAACTCAGTTTGTGGCTGGTTATGTAAATGAGGAGGCCGTGCAAGAGAATGGGGTCATGAGCTGCCTGGGGATTAAGCATGACAACGCCGTCTGTCCTGGGAAGAAATGATACTTTGCACTTGTATAATACCTTTCATCCATCCAGCAATAATAAATAAGACTTCGTACTTTCAGCCAAATATTGCAAAAACTTAACAAATATTTAACTCATGAATCCTCAGAACCACCAAGAAGGGAACACTTTTGAAAGGAAGAAAGAAAACAGCTTCATCCTCATGATCCACTGGGGAATCTAAGGTCAGAAGAAACGGGTCTACACCTGGCCTCTCAACACCGCTGGCAGGACTCCTGACAAGCAAGGACATTCCTGTGTATGAACACTGTCTAAGGTGACCTAGACACAGGATTTCGAAAAGAGCAGAGGCAAACCAGAAAAACCCCTGCTTGTACATTCAGCCCAGGGAATCTACGAAGCTTTCAAAAGAGGTTTGGTTCTGAGTCTATAAGGGTTCTTTGAAGCCTCTTCAAAAGTTTCTGCTGGCATATCCCCTAACAGAATGTTTTAAAACCATGTACTCCTTCACAAAATTTTCAGTTGACATCTAAAATATTACATCGTATGTTTGAATAATTGCAAAGGTTGTAATTTTCATGATGTTATTAATATAGATATTTTAAAATAAACTATTGCAATTTGCTTTGAAATATCCAATTGAATCTAAATCCAAGCGATTTGATGCCCACCACATCCATTTTAAAAGTCTACAAATGAGCTCTTTTTTAACAGTCAGATGTTTTTTCCCTAAGCTCCTATTTTTATTCTACTTCTACATATTTATCTTAATGTACTATATTATTATGCTTAAAGGTCTTATTATTCATTTTTTATATTATACTTCTCTGCATTAAAAATGTTTGTAATTTTTTTATTTCCTGTGTTATTATGAAGCTGATTTGTAATAACAAATAGGTCCAGCATGTAACTGCTCAACACAATCAAAGCCTATTTCTTTCTCACAGAATAGTCCTGGGTGAGGTCCCCAGGTAAGCAAAGTGCTCCCCACCACATAGTGATGAGGGGAACCTAATTCCTTTCATCTTATGGCTTCCCTGTCTCCTAGAAAAAGGGTTTAGCTTGTGGGCCTATTTTTGTGTGCTCTGGGAGCTAAGAATAGATTTACATCTTTAAAAGGCTACAAAAAAACAAAAAACAAACAAACAAACAAACAAAAAAACAACCAGTAGAATGTGCATCAGAGGCTTTATGTGGCCGCAAAGCCCAAAATAGTTACTGTCTGGCTTTTTACCAAAGTTCGCCAACCGCTTTCCTAGAGCCTCATTCTCAATTCGTGTAGCTGGTAGAAGGAGAAAAAGCAAAGAAAAGCACAGAAGATATTTCATGGGACCAGGCCTGGAAGTGACATACATGATTTCCACTCACAAGTTGTTGCCAGAACAATTACATGACTACATGTTACAGCAAGGATGATGGGGAAAAGTAGGCTACCTACGTACCCGAAGGAGGGTGGAACAAATTGTGGGAGCCAGGTAATAGTTTCTACCATGGCCAAGCCTCTAAAGAGTCAAAAACTTATTATTATTACAATTATTATTGGTGTAAAAATATCAAAGTGACCCACATACATGTTAAATTAATATAAATAACTTAAAAAGAAACATTTTATTAGAGATATAGTTCTTAATAAGATGAATGGGACTATTTTCAATTAGTTCATGTATCTCAACTTAGAGTACTAATTTTATGCCTACTTTTTATTTTTATAAATGTTTATATAAAAAATCTTTCTATAAAAAGATATATAAGAGGATGGATGGTAATGGAAGAAGTTTTTTCCTTTTTTTTTTTTTTTTTAAGAAATAGGGTCTCACTTGGTCACCCAAACTGGAGTACAGTGATACCATCACAGCTCATTCCAGCCTTGGACTCCTGGGCTCAAGCGATCCTCCCGCCTCAGCCTCTGAGGAGCTGGGACTACAGGCGCATGCTACCACATCCAGCTGTTTTTAGAACTTTTATTGTTAACTTTTCCTATCTACTTAATGAAAAAGAAAAAGTATGAATTGCTAAAAATGAAGTCTGGCAGCTGGCATATAATGTTACTTTGTGTTAATAGGAGTAAAAATAAATGTTTTAAAAGAAGAAATAGGCCAGGTACAGTGGCTCACGCCTGTAATCCCAGCACTTTGGGAGGCTGAGGTAGGATGATTACTTGAGCCCAGGAGTTTGAGGCCAGTCTGGGCAATATAGTGAGACCCTGTCTCTGTTTTTTAAAAAAAATAAAAATTAAAAATCAGTTAAAAGAAGAAATAAGTTGAGAATTGACTATCACTGGAAAAATATTCAATGACGTAATTTCATAGAAGTAGGTTTTAATTACTTTATTCAATGATGTGTACGTTATGTAAAAAAATCAGGTGAATTTTTAATCCATGAATTCTATCTTGTGTAGTAGAGAATGTAGTAACCTCAGAAAACATTCCATTTAAATTTAAAACTATTTTTATGTTACCCCCAATTTTAGAGGGATCATTCACACTGCATTCTACAAAAGGTGAATGACACTCGGAAAGGCATGTGAAAATTTGGTATGTGCTTGGTATGGATGCATCACTCAGCCCTGAATCAGCATCAGTATCTGGCACTGCATCTGCTGCTCAGAGACATTTTTTCCAGCTAATGGCCCCTCCTAGGTTTTGAGAATTTTGTTTTGAAAATAAGTGAAAACAAAAAGCAGACTCCATTTTTAGCATTTGAAGTGTTCTTTACTTTGCTGTCATGGGTCTCTCTCTCCAGAGTTATGCATTCTTTGACAATAACCAGAGAGGCCAGGGATGGGAGGAGCCAATACTTCAAATGGTCCCTTTGTTTCCCCCTCCCCTATTCCCCAGAGGTCTCAAGATTTTGGAGGTACCAAGGTAAGAGTCAAGACAGGTAAGGAGAAGATAGGCTGTTTTGCAATGGAAGGTGAAAATAAAGAATTTGGCTGGATATGATGGCTCATGTTTATAATCCCAGCGCACTTTGGAAGGCTGAGGTGAGAATATTGCTTAAGCCTAGGCAACATAGTAGAAGACCGGCCTAGGCAACATAGTAAGACCTCGTCTCTACAAAAAAAAAAAAATTAGCTGGGCATGGTAGGCGCAGGCCTGTAGTCCCAGCTACTGGGGAGGCTGAGGTGGAAGGATTGCTTGAGCTGAGGAAGCCAAGGCAGCAGTGAGCCATGATCATGCCACTGCACTTGAGCCTGGGTGACAGAGCAAGACACTGTCTCTCTCTCTCTGTCTCTGTCTCTCTCTCTCTCTCTGTCTGTCTTTCTCTATCTCTTTCTCTCTCACACACACACACGTAAAAATTGTAGGCCCAGGCATGGTGGCTCATGCCTGTAATCTCAGAACTTTGGGAGGCCGAGGCAGGCGGATCACGAGGTCCGGAGTTCGAGACCAGCCTGGCCAATATGGTGAAACCCCATCTCTACTAAACATACAAAAATTAGCCAGGCATGGTGGTGCGTGCCTGTAGTCCCAGCTACTTGGGAAGCTGGGGAAGAAGAATCACTTGAACCTGGGAGGCGGAGGTTGCAGTGAGCCGTGATCATACCACTGCACTCCATCTTGGGTGACAGAGAGAGATTCCATCTAAAAAAAAAAAAGAATTTGTATGAAACTTAAGGCTAGCCTTCAGAGAGAACAAGCCAAAATTGATTCTCTTAAGAATCTGTACTGATACACCTCCTTAGAAAGTTACTTAACTTAGCTTGAAGATTGTTCTTTTAGGGAGATTTCTGTATACTGTTCCTTTGGTTAAGCAAAAGAGGTGTTTAGCTAAGACCACACGTCCATGTTTTCTAGTCTAGCTCTTGGTGCTAGTTTTGACATTCAAAGCTCGCTGGGCCTTCTAACTCTTATATTCTATGGTTTAAACATTCTATGGTATGTTTGAATGTTTTTCTGAAGGTTAGAGAGAACCAATGGCATTTTTAAACAAAAGGGCTAAGTGGAAAAGCAGTGTTTCTGGAAGATAAATCCAACAAAATTGTGATGGAAAAAATGTGGGGAGACCAGTTGGTAAACTATCACAGCTGTCCTTGAGACGCTAGTCCGGGGTTTGGACTAAGATGGTAGAAGGAAACCAGAATCATATATCTTACTTCTTTTGATTTTCCCCTTTTTTCTTGTTAGAAGAACTCCAGTTTTATTTGGGTATCTACACATCAGGGAAGATGACACTATCCCTGGCTCAGGGCCATATCTTGATTAATCTAAGCCAATCATGACAACCCTATACTCCTTACCAGTGACTGATTGTTTTTAAAATGAGCATGTTTTGGCCAATGAGATGTGAGACGTCTGCTGAAGGACTTTAGGGAAATATTTCTTTATTCATATTACACATACAAGAGAAACTACTGTCTGCTTCATCTGAACATTGGAGTATCTAGGGTGATGCCTAGATCTCTGGCAGCCATTTTGTAACCAAGAGGGCAGCTGGCCTGAAGATGAAGATGAGTGAACAGAGAGACAGGAATGATCAGGGTCTTTGATCATGTTTTTCAGCCACCCAGCCTCCTGATTTTTGAACTTGTATCACCAGGAGAATAATGGTACCGAAGAAATTTGGACAGCCAGAAGAAAGAGCTTAGAGGAAGACAATGAAACTACCAGTGTTAAAAGTGTCTAGTGTGAGGAGCAGTGGTGTTTCTAGGTAAAATGGCCAGAACCTAATTAAAAACATGGAAGTGGAGTGAAGGAGTAATATTAGAACTCAAAATTTCTTTCTTTTTTTTTTTGAGATGGAGTCTTGCTCTGTTGCCCAGGCTGGAGTGCAGTGGCACGATCTCGGCTCACTGCAAGCTCTGCCTCCCAGGGGTCACGCCATTCTCCTGCCTCAGCCTCCCGAGTAGCTGAGACTACAGGCGTCCACCACCATGCCCAGCTAATTTTTTGTGTTTTTAGTAGAGATGAGGTTTCACCATGGTCTCGATCTCCTGACCTCGTGATCGGCCCGTCTCAGCTTCCCAAAGTGCTGGGATTACAGGCGTGAGCCACCGCGCCCAGCCTAGAACTCAAAATTTCAATGCAGAAGTTATTTGCAGAAACTGGTATCTACTGGTAAGGAATTATGGTGGAACATTGACCATGTCCTAATGTCCACACCTAATACCTCCAGGCGGAATCCAGCACCAGGGGGAAAAAATCACAAATTACCATCTGCTTAAAGAAAAAGGAGAGAGATGTCCTTGTCAACCTATTTTTAAGATAAAGATCTACTTACATTTCAGAACAGGAATTCTGATTTCCCCAAAAAGAGAAGGGAAAGAGACAAAAAAAATCTTCAGTATTGATTCTTTATCAGCAAAATTTAGTAAGAATCTTTCCAGATAATTTAAGGATTTTAGCATCTCTGGTTTTAAAGGGGAGTCCTCATCATCTCTTCAACAATATGAAAATCCAGTCTCATTTTTATTGAATCAGGGCAAAATCCTTGTCAGACTAGATTCTTTGTGTTTTTTTTGCGGAAAGAAGGAACAAGAAAAAAAATCCTTTAGGGTAGATGACCTGTCTGATGATGGTAAGCACAGCTTCAGTACATCAGGTTTTTTGCAGGGTGCTTTTACATACTGTTTCCAGTCCTTACAGCAACCCTGCCTGGCAGATATTGTTAGTTCAGATTTATGATGAGAAAAACAGAGGATTAGAGAGACTAAGTAATTTGCCCATGCGCACAGTTAGCTGGGATTCTAAACCGGGTCTGCCTATTTTCAAGGTACATGCCCTGCTTGCCACACACCACTGACTTTTTAAGGGAGACAATAAAGGGAGAGCAGGGAAAGCAATGGGATTGGCAGTGTGCATGCTTTTCAATAGTGAAAGTCAGCAAAAGAGTCAGAGAAGGAGCAACCAGAAAGATTATGTTAAATCCTGAAGTCTGTCACCACCATCCACCCTCCTCAGTCAACTAGATAACCTTGAGACTCTTTTTTTTTTTTTTAGACGGAGTTTCCCTCTTGTTACTCAGGCTGGAGCAATGGGGCGATCTTGGCTCACTGCAACGTCTGCCTCCCAGGTTCAAGCAATTCTCCTGCCTCAGCCTCTGGAGTAGCTGGCATTACAGGCATGCGCCACCACGCCCAGCTAATTTTGTATTTTTAGGAGAGACGGGGTGTCACCATGTTGGTCAGGCTGATCTTGAACTCCTTACCTCAGGTCATCCGCCCATCTCAGCCTCCCAAAGTGCTGGGATTACAGGAGTGAGCCACCGCACCCGGCTGAGACTCTTAAATGGAGAGGGCACAGTCCCTAGGCAACTTGATACTCCCCTACAGGAGCAATTTCATATTTGCTAAAAATGCTTTCCTCCCAAATACATTTATGAAAGAAACCACTGTATATACAAACAGCTCTGGCACGTAATATTAAAGTAGTGATCCCAAAATTCTGTTGTTGGCTCTATTGTCTTCCCATTATCCAGTGTCTTGGTCAAACTCATCCATTCCCATGACTTGGACTACCTTTCATACACTGACAAGCTCCAAATGTATATCTACAGAGCACTTTCCAGTATTAGACACCACTTAATGTCTCCTACGGTGTTCCCACAGGAACCTAAAACTCAATCTATCTAATGTATCACGCCTGTAATCCCAGCACTTTGGGAGGCCGAGACGGGTGGATCAACTGAGGTCAGCAGTTTGAGACCAGCCAGGCCAACATGGTGAAACCCCATCTCTACTAAAAATACAAAATCAACGCGGTGTCGTGACGCGTGCCTATAATCCCAGTTACTCGGGAGGCTGAGGCAGGAGAATCGCTTGAATCTGGGAAGCAGAGGTTGCAGTGAGACAAGATTGCACCACTGCTCTCCAGCCTGGGTGACACAGCGATCTCAGCTCACTGCTACCTCTGCCTCCCAAGTTGAAGCAATTCTCCTGCCTCAGCCTCCTAGTAGTTGGTACTACAGGTGCCTGCCACCACACCCAGCTAATTTTTGTATTTTTTTTTTTTTAGTGGAGACGGGGTTTCACCATGTTGGCCAGGCTGATCTCGAACTCCTGATCTCAGCTGATCCACCTGTTTTGGCCTCTCAAAGTGCGGGGATTACAGGCGGGGGCCACCACACCCAGCCAGTTGATGTTATATTCACAGTTGATGTTATATTCAACCTAACATCATTGGCAAATGTAATGGTGCATTTCTTGAGATAATGAGATGGATTTCTAATCTAGTCTAACTTTTCATCTCAACTATTTCAAAATTATCTTGAAGCTCTAATTCACAGAACACTTATACACAGTGATTATAATTACTGTGCAGCTAGAGTGGATGCTAATAGGAGGGTACCTAAGCAACAAATAGACAGAAGTGGCCAACTTATGTAAAGACAGGTTTGAGGCCATCCCTTAGAACTGTGGAGTCCCAAGTCAGCCTCCCTTCATCTGGAACACAAACTCCCCTGGCAGTTCTGCAGGCCCTTTTTCCATAATGGCCAGTAGTACATTCTGCTTAATTGTCATGTTCTGTTAATCACAGGAAGCAGTGAGTGGCAGACATTACTCACCATGCTCACTACCTACTCTGCAGGGACCACAGTCTATGCCATTAGATCCCACACTCTGGAGCCCTTTGATCCACAGCCTGAGGCAAGTCGCCAAGCCCTACCCTGCCACTGTGAAGGCTTACAGTATCAATTTCTTTATGTACCAGCTGCCAGTGACACACAAGTTTGGAATTTCTCCCTCATCTACCAAATTCTATCTCCGTTATCAGAAATGGATTTACAGATTTTTCATGAAACTAATAAATCTTAAACATCAGGACCCTCAATTCATGGGAACTTTCCAAGGTCCTGGAGGAATTATATTAACGTGTTCACAAGTATTTTTTTTTTTTTTTTTTTGATGGAGTTTCGCTCTTGTTGCCCAAGCTGGAGTGCAATGGTGCAGTGGCGTGATCTCGGCTCACTGCAACCTCCGCCTCCCAGTTCAAATGATTTTCCTGCCTCTGCCTCCCTAGTATCTGGGATTACAGGCATGCATCACCATGCCCGGCTAATTTTTTGTATTTTTAGTAGAAACGGGGTTTCACCATGTTAGCCAGGCTGGTCTTGAACTCCTGACCTCCGGTGATCTGCCCGCCTTGGCCTCCCAAAGTGCTGGGATTACAGGCATGAGCCACTGCGCCTGGCCCAAGGCCATATGTTTTTGTAAAATTTATAAAAGTAGAATATTTCAACTGCAATCAGTAAAGGTTGTTGTTTTCCTCTCTGACTTCTGTTGGGTTGGCGATGAGCATTTTGGAATACCAAGTTAAGGAAGAGTTAAGAATGGATACATATGTTTGAATTTAGTGAGATATATTTATGTGCTTTATAATTTCCACATCAGAAAATTAGGACAATACTGCCTACCTTTTAGGGTTATTTTGAGCATGATATAACAATATGGCAGCCAACATATTCACCAATGAATATGTCCTAACTTCCTGAAATTCTAGCCTCTTTTCTCTGTACTGTTCAGCCTTTCCAGATAAGTTGGCTCCCAGTAAAATAGTAAACACAAGAGGAATTTACCTAGTTTAGCTGGACTGATCCTAGCACAGTATAGATAAGTTAGATAAATATCATTATGCCCATGATTATCCCTGCCCTCAAAGCATCACCTCTGTTGGGAGTTCAGGGAAAGAGAACAGATGGAATGGTGGGAAAAAAAAAAAAAGTAAAATGCCAACACAGAAAGGTAAAACCAGGCCTTAATTCCTGAGAGGGAGCCAAAGGTTGGCAAAGAAAAGTGATGAGCTCCTAGGGATGATGATAAAAACCTCTCAGGTGGAATAATGATATACTTTTATGAGGAAATGGACAGACTTAACTGTCCTACACTGCCTTCCATCTGCAAGCCTGCCACTAGCATTTCCCAATTTTCCAGGGCTGATTTCTCAAGCTTTGATTGGAAGCCGATGGCGTCCTAGAGAGACAGGCAACATTTCTTTGCCCCAAGAAATTCAGAACTGTATTCTGACATCATGGTAAATCTCTGCTGGTCTCTCCTTCTACTTGTGTGAATGTGGGAAAGTTACTTAACACTTCCCTTTCCTCAGCTATTCAATAAGGTGATGACAATAACCTCCTCATAGATAAGGTGACCACACAATTTACTGTCCAAGAGAGGTACTTTTGAGAATGAAGGGGGCACTACTAATCATTATATTGTGACAGGTATAAATGGAGACTGTTCTGGCAAATCAAGATGTATGATTACCTTACATGTAGAGCTGTTGTGAATATCAAATGAGGGTATATATGTAAAATACTTATCTGGGGCCGGGCACAGTGGCTCATGCCTGTAATCCCAGCACTTTGGGAGGCCGAGGCAGGCAGATCACCTGAGGTCAGGAGTTCAAGACCAGCCTGGCCAACATGGCGAAACCCTGTCTCTACTCAAAATACAAAAATTAGCCCAGTGTGGTGGCAGGCACCTGTAATCTCAGCTACTTGGGAGGCTGAGGCAGAAGAATTGCTTGAACCCAGGAGGCGGAGGTTGCAGTGAGCCAACGTTGTGCCACTGCACTCCAGCCTGGGTGACAAAGTGAGACCCTGTCTCAAAAAAAACCAACCAACCAAACAAACAAACAAACAAAAAAACGTATTTGGGAGGCTGAGATGGGAGGATCACTTGAGGCCAGGAGTTTGAGACCAGCCTAGGCAACATAGAGAGACACCATTTCTAAAAAAAAAAAAATGAAAAAAGAATTAACCAGGCTTAATGCCATGCACCTGTAGTCCCAGCTACTCAGGAGGCTGGGGTAGGAGGATTGCTTGAGCCCAGGAGTTTGGGGCTGCAGTGAGCTATGACCATGCCACTTCACTCCAGCCTGAATGACAGAGCAAGGCCCTGTCTCTGAAATAAAAATTGACTCTTATTTTTCTTTTTAACATATGTATTATGTAATATTGGTGGCTGTATTATATAAAACCAGTTACATACTTACAAACATTTTGGTTGCTTTCAGTTTTATTTTTAGTGAAAGATGGATACATTTATCAAACAATGCTGCAAAGAACATACATCTGTAGTACCTTGTACATACATCTTGTACTTACAGCTTTCAATACAAGAAGTAGAATTGCTGGGTCAAAACAATTTGATACATCTAAATAAACTGCCATCCAAAGAGACTGAATGTGTGGTGTAAGAGTTTTCCCACATTTTCTCTAACTTCGGGTTGTCAATCAAGATCAACTTTTTAAATAAATACTCAGAAGTAGATGGCTGATTATATGTTATATTTTTCACTTTTTGAAGAACCTCCATGCTGTTTTCCACAGTGGCTGTACCATTTTACATTTCCACCAACAGTGAACAAGTGTTCCAATTTTACCACATCCTCACTAACACCTCTTATCTTTTGTCTTTTTGGTAACAGTCATTTCAACAGGAGTGAGGTGATACCTCATTGTGGTTTTGATTTATATTTTCCTGATGATTAGTGGAATTGAACATTTTTTAATATACCTATTGGCCATCTGTATGTCTTTATTTGGAGAAATGTATATTCAAATCCTTAGTCCATTTTAAAATCAGGTGTTAGTTTTTTTGCTGTTGAGTTGTGGGAGTTCTTTATTTCAGAAATTTTATCCAATAGAATTGACATCAGGATCTCAAAGAAATATTTGCACTCCTATGTTCATTGCAGCACTATTCATAATAGCCAAGATGTGGAAACAATTTAAATGTTCATCAATAGATGAATGGATAAGAAAATGTGGTGTATATACACAATAGAATATTATTCAGCTTTAAAACAGAAGGAAATCCTGAATATGTGACAACATAGATGAAACTTAAGGACATTATGCTAAGTAAAATAAGCCAGCCACAGAAGGACAAATATTGCATGATTCCACTTACAGGAAAAACCTAAAATAGTCAAATTTATAGAAGCAGAAGGAGGGGAAGAGAAAACAGGGAGTTGCTAAAGTTTCAGTTATGTGAGATGAATAAGTTCTAGAAAGCTGCTGTACAACATTGTGCCTATAGTTGACAATATGGTATTGCATACTTAAAAATCTGTTAAGAGGGTAGCTCTCATGTTAAATGTTCTTACTACAGTAAAATAAAAATTAAATTTAAATGTAAAAAAAGATCAACTTTCTGACTTGCTGTCAGGAAGTAAGTACCGTAGACTGATCCACCATCTTCCACCCTAACATTTAAGACCCCTGGGAGTCAGGTCTCTTAGTGATTAGTGGTTAAACAAAGACCAACCATCATTGGTATCTGCAGACTTCAGTCTGGCTTTGTAACTTTGGCTGCACCATAGAGACACTTATTAGTTTTAAGGTTAATTCCCCAGGATAGTGAAAACTGTCATCCCTAAAGTCAGATGTTTTTGAAGGCAGATAATAATAGTAAGTGAATGTATTAAATTGATAAAAGCAAAAAAAATGTATTGAGGTCTTTTGACTTTAAAATTGGCCATGGGAACCAAGGACTGCAAAGAATTTCTTTGTTAAGAGGCTGGTTTTTCTACTTTGGTGAAGTTGGAGTTGGTTGCTTTGAGTGCTCCAGAATGAACAAACCTCTCTGGTCTAGAAGAGAAGCATACTCCTCTACAAAAGCCTATTTTCCCCAGCTTGGACTGCATCATTCAACATACAATATCGAATAGACTGTAAATAAGCCTAAATTTCAAATGATTGCAATCTTAACCCTGTTATTAGTGTTTCTGTCTCTCTTCTCTTCACTACCAAGGTTTCAAAAAGTATAGTCTACTTTTACATTATCTGCCTCCTTACTTAGTCCTTATCCTTCAAGCTATTGTATTAAACTGCAGGGAGACAGAGATCTCCCCACCCTAGGTAGAAAGAGGATAATTTAGTATAAAAGTGGATTGAAGTAGATTTATTTGTCTGCAGAAACCGCCATGGAAAGCTGTAAGAAGCCACCTTCAGTCTTCCCAACTTGACTTTGGCCTTGAACCTCCTGTGGCTCTGGCAGGATGAAGCATGGACCCTGGGGGATGTGCAATAGGGTAAAATAGAAAAGACAAAAAGACAAAGATGGGGAAAGGAATTCCCAGGTGCCCATCTGGGGATAGCTCTATATTAGCTGAAATGCAATGAGCTGTTACTATGAAATGCTTTTCATTATCTTCTGCAAAGAGTGCGACTGCCAAGTATTATTTCTGAGTGCTTACATACATCTTTTCATTTCATCCTCACAACCACCCTATGAAAGGGATACTATTATTCTTTTGATTTTACAAGTGAGGAAAGTAAGGCTCAGAAAGGTCAATGAGTTTGTCCAAGGTCACATGGCTAGTAAATATTGAGGAATGATATTAATGTATCCCTATTAGTGAGATTGTTAGTTTTCATAATGGGTTTACACTTAAAGGCCTTTCTAGATTCCAGAGGTGTAACCACAGAATAACTTCTTGCAGTTGCCCTGCCTCACTTAGGATATTTAGGCTGGGTACAGGGGCTCATGCCTGTAATCCCAGCACTTTGGGAGGTCAAAGCGGATGGATCACTTGAGGTCAGGAATTCTATACCAGCCTGGCCAACATGGTGAAACCCCGTCTCTACTAAAAATACAAAAATTAGCTGGGCATGGTGGCATGCGCCTGTAATCCCAGCTACTCAGGAGGCTGAGGCAGGAGAATCTCTGGAACCTGGGAGGTGGAGGTTGCAGTGAGCTGAGATTGCACCACTGCACTTCAGCCTGGGCAATAGAACAAGATTCTGCCTTTAAAAAAAAAGAAAAAGAAAAAGAACAGGATAGATTTAGACAAGAGCCAGGGGTCTGGCAAAGAGTAGATAAGCGAGTGGAAAACCAATGGGAAGGGGGTGTGACAGCCAAGGGAGAAGCATGACAGCATGCAATGTCCAAGAGAGACGAGCTGGGGTGGAGATTATGGATGGCTCCTGTTACTGTAGTTTGAGTGGCACTGTGGGAGCAAGAGCCATTGACGACCTCCTCAAGGCTCTTCATTAGTTTATCTTCTTCACCCATTTCTTTAAAAAAAATTGCACTCCAGTTATTCATTGTTGTTTTGTTCATAATAGCAAAAGTTGAAAACACTTTAAACATCCATCACTAAGGAATTGTTTAAATAAGTTAAGTAAATGGTATATTACTATTTGTGTTTGAAAAATATGGGGGGTGTAGAAATAATAAAGGTATTTACTGGTACATGCATAGATTATCATTTTTTAACATTTTTTATTTAGAAAATATATATATATATAATCACATAAGTAGAGACAGGGTCTCGCTATGTTGCCCAGGGTGGTCTTGAGTTCCTGGGTTCAAATGCCCTTCCGCCTCAGCCTCCCAAAGTGTTAGGATTACAGGCGTCAGCCACCACGCCCAGCTGATCTTTGAAAAGATATAAATGATGATATCGCCTACAGGGAAGGGAAATGTATGGCTGGGACACGGGTGGGAAGGAAACTCTTTATAAATACCATTTCAAGATTCTAAAAATTGAACTATTCATTACTTTAAAAGTAGATAAAATAAAAACAAATCAGTGTGTCTGGTAGCACAAACCTTGACTCTCCTCTTCTCAGTCTATGTGATCCTTCTGATAGGTCTGTCTCATATCTCATTATTCTTTTTTTTTTTTTCCTTTTTGAGACAGTGTCTCACTCTGTCACCCAGGCTGGAGTGCCATGGGGCGATCCTGGCTCACTGCAGGCCCAACCTCCTGGGGTCAAGAAATCCTCCCACCTCAGCCACTCGAGTAGCTGGGACTATAGTTGTGTGCTATCACACCCAGCTAATTTTTGTATTTTTTGTAGAGACGGGGTTTCACCATGTTGCTCAGGCTGCTTTCGAACTCCTGGGCTCGAGCAATCCTCCCACCTCTGCCTTTCAAATTGTTGGGATTACAGGTGTGCTCCACTGTACCCAGCCTTCTTTCTTTTTTTATTCCCACCTACATTCTGATGGTGTCACCTTTCCAACTTCAGTTCAGATCTCTGCTTAAAAGACATTTTCCACTGATGGTCCCTTGAGCTCCACAAAATTAATATATTCAAATTTTAATTTATCATTTGCTCCCATCCCTATCTGTTTCATCATTTGTAGCCACTAATATACTTGAAATGTAATCATCTCCTCCATCAATTTACTGTTTCGCTATTCCCATATCCCCTTTTAGAGGACATGCTCTCTTATAATCCTGGGAGGAATTGCCTTACAAACCACTAATTTAGCTGTTCAACCAGAACTCTCAGGACAAAGAATGGGCACCTGATCGAAGATGGACTATTTAGAGTCTCTCTCCCGAGAGTTTGGAACTGAAACATAGAAGACCTGAGTTAGTCTCTGCTGGGTCCAAGAAAGCTGGGGCTGGGATAACTATAAGATCACCACGCCCAACAGAGAAAACCAGTCTGGAGAAAATGAGGCTGATGTGCTGAGAGAAGCAGAAATGACAGACCATATGCCATCACCCAGAACAGGTAGAATCCAGTTCCCTAGGGTTCAGTCTACTCTGGCTGAGGCCCAGTGAAACTTCTTGCTCTGGGCTCTGAGAGATACTCCTGTATCCTTCCTTAGCTAGCTTGATTAGGTTTCTGGTCACTGCAACCAAAACCTTCTTCAGGCTCTTCTCCTGGTAAATAGAGCCCTGGAAATCCAAGCCCAACATTTTGGAATCATTTTGTAATCCTCCCCTTTTACCACCAGTCATCACTAAGTCCAGATGATATTGCTTCTTGATTCATCAATTCCTCCTCATTAAAGTTCTCATTACTTCTCATGGACTTAACTGATCATTTTTCTTCACTCTCACTTCCTCTAGTACATACTCAACATCATTAGCAGAGTAGACGTTATCATTTTAAATTCCAGTTTGTAAATTTACTTCAAACTAAATGGCATATGTAATATAACATATGGTATTTGTTATATCATGGGACAAAATCAACTTGGGGTACATTTAAATGTTAAAATTATAGTGAATTTATTTGACAGACTGCTTAGTCCACAATGCAAAAAAATGCTATTGTCACTTCTTGCTTAAAGATCTTTTTTTGATCTCATGTTCCCTACATGATAAGGCTAAGTTTCTTTGCATGTTGTTTCAATTACCATGCCTTCAGCCACAAATAACAGAAAGCCCTATCTCAGATTGGCTTAAACAATAGGAAACATTTATTATCTCAAATAGCAAGAGGTTACCAAGTAGAGCACCTTTATGTTTGGCTGATGCAGTGCCCCACAATGACATAAATGACTCCAGTTTGTTCTATCTCTGCTCTACCATTCTTGGAGTATTCGAGCTTGGTTTTCAGGCTAGATCCATTCATGGTCACAACATAGTAGCCCTATTTCCAGGCATCACATCTCAGACATCAACATCAGTGGAAGAAAAGAGACTGACTATTCCTTAGGTATCCTTTAAGAGTGAAGAAACCAGCTAGGGATGGTGGCCAGTAGCTGAAGTCCAAGGCTATAAGGAGGCTGAGGCTGGAGGATCCCTTGAGGCCAGGAGTTCAAGGCTATGGTCATACCAATGAATACCTATGAATAGCCACTGCACTCCAGCCTGGGCAATACATACAGCAAGACACCATCTCTCTCTATATATATATAAATAATAGAGTGAAGAAATCTTTCCCAAAGACCTCCTAGGCAACTTTTCTCTATGTCTCATTGACTACACTGGGTTACACACACACACCTAAACCAATGCTAGGAAATGAAATAGATTATTATGATTGGTGTAGACTATCAGGATTTACCCCTGAGCTAGGAATAGGGTCATATTCCCTGAGGGATAGATAAATACTAAGCAGGCACTAAAAAGAGGCTGCCATGCATAGCATACAAGACAGCATAATCTAGCCCCTTCTCCATTCTCCTGGGGTCTCTTCTCTCATTGCTATCCACCCCGCTTCTGAACTATGGGAGTTCTGAGTACATCTGTTGCACATTTTATGGCTTTGCAAATGCTGTGTGTAGCTCTACAATGCCTTTCTTTGCTTTACCTATATACTCTGTCGTCCAACTACCTCACCCTAAGGTCAGTTACCTTTTGCCCTCAGGAATATGTTTGAAGGAGCCACAGACTGCAGGAACTGAAAATAAGCATTACTTTTATTGTTGCCTCTAGGCCCCAGGTTCACTACTGACAGTCTCCCCCAGGCCTTCCCTCTCATTGAGTTCTACCAGCAGCAATTATCTTACCCATATTACCTTTTACCTACTGCAATTTTAGAGCTTACCTACTTCAACTGCAATTTTAGAGCCTGGGTTCCCCTAGCAACTTGCCCCGCGTGCTTATCTGTAAGATAGCTGCATCATAGCCTCTAGAACTAACTGGAACTCACTACTGAGTTGCTCTCCTGGTGAATCCTGCCCTGACTCTGATCATTTCTTCATCCTGTAGCCAGAGCAATCTCTCATTTCTTCTTTAATAATGTTTTTAGTTTAAATCTATTTGAAAAGAGATGGCATGCCTGACATTCAACCTGTAATATTAGAGGCAAAAAGATTTTTTAAAAAGTGTACCATTAGGTATATCCAGACTTTTACAACCAATTACAGTAGCTAATAATATACCAGGTTCACATGTTAACTCATTTAATCCTTATAACAATCATATGAGAAAGGTACTATTTACTATCATTTCCATTTTGCAGATGATGATATTGAGTAATTCGCTCAAGATCACACAGCTAGGTAGTGCTGCTTTTAGGTGTGACCCAGTACGTTCTCACCTATGGTGGCCATGGGAAAGACAGCTTCCGCTAGAAGAAAGGAGAGGGAAAAGTAAAAAGGACTTTGTCTTGCAATTTGGGTACCAGCTCAGCCATGGTAAAATAAAGTACCACACAGACCCCTAAGGTCCCCAATTCCAGGCCTTAGCTCCTGGATGGCATTTGTAGATCTGCCCTAGGTCTGAAGGAAACCCACTGTCCTGAAGGGAGATACAAAGACCTGACAGGATTCACCTGCTTACTAAAGGGTCCTTGTGCCTTGAATAAACATCAGCAGTAGCCAGGCAGTTGTTGCCATGGACCTGGGGCTCATGGTGGTGGTGGACATGGGGAGAGACTTCTGCTTGAGGAAAAGAGAGACTTCTGCTTGAGGAAAGGAGAGGGAAGAATAAAAAGGTCATTTTCTTGCAATGTGGGTACCAGCTTAGCCACAGTAAAATAAAGTACTAAATAGATTCCTAAAGTTCCCAATTCCAGGTCCTAGCTTCCAGACAGCATATCTAGACCCACCCTGGGCCAGAAGGGAACCCACTGCCCTGAAGGGAAAGACGCAAGCCTGGCAGGATTCATCACCTCTTGACTAATGAGCCCTTAGGCCTTGAGTAAACATAAGCAATAGCCAGGCAATAATTGACACAGGCCTTGGGCGAGACCCAGTACTTTACTGGCTTTAGGTGTGATCCAGCACAGTCCCAGCAATGGTGGCCACAAGAGTGCTTGTGTCACCCCTCCCCCAACTCCAGGCAGCTCAGAATGGAGAGAGAGATTCTATTTGAGGGAAAGTAGGGAAGAGAATAGAAGACTGCCTGGTAATCCAGGGAATCCTCCCAGTTCTTATCTAAGACTACCAAGGCAGTACTTCTACAAGTCTGCAAGAGTCATGGCATTACTGGGATTGGGGTGCCTCCTAATGCATATATGGCTTCAGTGACCAAAGACTTAGATCACAACACTCAATTTCCTTTGAGTACTTGGAAAACATTCTCGAGAAATGTGAGTGCAAACAAGCCCACATTGTGAAGATTAGAATAAATACCTAACTCCTCAGTACCCAGACATTGATGAATATTCACAAGCATCAAGACCATCCAGAAAAACAGGACCTCACCAAATGAACTAAATAAGAAACCAGTAACCAATCCCAGAGTGACCGAGACATGCGACCTTTTAGAGACAGAATTCAAAATAGCTGTTTTGAGGAAGCTCAATGAACTTCAAGGTAACACAGAAAAGGAATTCAAAATCCTATTAGATAAGTTTAACAGAAATTGAAATAAATTTTAAAAATCAAGGAGAAATTCTGGAGCTGAAAAATTCAGTTGAGAAACTGAAGAATGCATCAGAGTCTCTCTACAGCAGAATGGCTTAAACAGAAGAAAGTATTAGTGAGCTTCAAGACAGGCTATTTGAAAATACATGGGCATGCTTGGAGTGGTGGCTCATGCCTATAATCCTAGCTCTTTGAGAGGCTGAGGTGGGTGGATCACTTGAGCTCAGGAGTTCAAGACTAGCCTCGGCAACATGGTGAAACCCCATCTCTCCAAAACCACAAAAATTAGTGGGGCATGGTGGTTTGCACCTGTAGTCCCAGCTACTTGGGAGGCTGAGGCAGGAAGATTGCTTGAGCCCAGGAGGTGGAGGTTGCAGTGAGCTGAGATCATGCCACTGCACTCCAACCTGGGTGACAGAGTGAGAACCTATCTCAAAAAAAAAAAAAAAAAAAAAGCAAAGAAGACAGAAAAAAAAAAAGAATAACCCAAATAAGACCATATCAAGACATTTAATAATCAAACTCCCAGAGGTCAAGGATAAAGAAAGGATCCTAAAAGCAGCAAAAGAAAAGAAACAAGTAACACATAAAGGAGTTCCAGTGGGAACCTTGCAGGCCGGGAAACAATGGCATGACATATTTAAAGTACTGAAAGAAAAAAATGTTTATCTTAGAAAACTATATCCTGTGGAAATATCCTTCAAACATGAAGGAGAAATAAAGACTTTCCCAGATAAATGAAAGCTGAGGGATTTTGTCAATAACAGATCTGTCCTATAAGAAATGCTAAAGGGAATTAATGAGCAATAAGAAATCATCTGAACATACAAAACTCACTGGTAATAGTGAGTACACAGACAAATACAGAATACTATAACACTACAATTGTGGTGTATAAACTACTCATATCTTGAGTAGGAATACTAAAGAGATGAACCTATCAAAAATAACAACTACAATAACTTTTAAGATATAGATAGTATAATAAGATAGAAACAGAAACCACAAGGAGTTAAAAGTAAGAGGCAGGGACGAAGTAAAAGTATAGTTTTTATTAGTTTTCCCTTGGCTTGTTAGTTTCTTTGTTTTTGCAATCAGAGTTAAGTTACCAGTTTTAAATAACGGGTTATAAGACATTATTTGCAAGCCTCATGGTAACCTTGAATTAAAAAACCCACAACAGATATGCAAAAAATAAAAAGCAAGAAATTAAAACATACTACCAGAGAAAATCATTTTCACAAAAAGGAAGACAGAAAAGAAGGAAGGAAGGGAGATAAAACCAAAAAACAACAAACTGGCAGGAGTAAGTCCCCACTTACCAACGATAACATTGACTGTAAATGAACTAAACTCTCCAATCAAAAGACATAGAGTGGCTGAATGGATATAAAAACAAGACCCAATTATCTGTTACCTACACAAAACACACTTTACCTATAAAGACACACATAGACTAAAAATAAAGGGATGGAAAAAGACATTCCATGAAAATGGAAATGAAAAAAAGCAGGAGTAGCTATACTTAGACAAAATAGATTTCAAGTCAAAAACTATAAAAATAGGCAAAGAAGGTCATTATATAATGATAAAGGCATCAATTCAGCAAGATAATACAACAATTATAAATATATACATGCACTCAACAATGGAGCATCCAGATATATAAAGCAAATATTATTAGAGCTAAAGATAGAGATAGATCCTAATATAATAATAGCTAGAGACTTTAGCACCCTGCTTTTAGCATTGCACAGATCATCCAGACAGCAAATCAACAAAGAAACATCAGACTTAATCTGCACTATACACCAAATGGACCTAGTAGATGTTTACAAAACATTTCATCCAATGGCTACAGAATTAACATTCTTCTCCTCAAGACATGGATCATTCTCAAGAACAGACCATTTATTAGGCTATGAAAACACTGCAATCATTTTAAGTATTTTCTCTGTTCACAATGGAATAAAACGAGAAATCAATAACATAAGGAACTTTGAAAACTATATAAACACATGGAAATTAAACAATGCTCCTGAATGACCAGTGAATCAATGAAGAAATCAAGAAACAACTTTAAAGATTTCTTGAAATTCTGGCATGGCATTGATTGAGAAAAAATTTAAAATTTAAAAATTTTTTTTTAAAAGAAAAAATTTCTTGAAACAAATAAAAATAAAAACACAACATACCAAAACCTATGGGATACAGCAAAAGCAGTAGTAAGAGGAAAGTTTATAGCAATAAATGCCTACATCAAGAAAGAGGAAAAACTTCAAATAAACAACTTAATGATGCATCTTAAAAAACCAGAAAGGCAAGAGCAAACCAAACCCAAAATTAGTAGAATAAATAATAAAGATCAGAGCAGAAATAAACAAAAATGAAATTTAAAAAACAATACAAAGGAACAATAAAATGAAAATTTCTTTTTTTTTTGAAAAGATAAAATCAACAAACCTTTAGCCAGACTAGGAAAAAAAGAAAGAAGACTCAGATAAATAAAATCAGAGATGAAAAAGGAGACATTATAACTGATACCACAGAAGTTCAAAAGATCATTAGAGACTACTATGAGCAACTATATGCCAATAAATTGGAAAACCTAGAAGAAATGAATAAATTCCTAGAAACACACAACCTACCAAGATGGAACCACAAAGAGATTCAAAACCTGAAGAGACCAAAACAATGAGATCAAAGCTATAATAAAAAGTATGCCAGCAAAAAAAAACCTGGGACTCTATGGCTTCGCTGCTAATTTTTACAAAACATTTAAAAAGAAGGCCGGGCGCGGTGGCTCATGTCTGTAATCCCAGCACTTTGGGAGGCCGAGGTGGGTGGATCACGAGGTCAGGAGATCGAGACCATCCTGGCCAACACGGTGAAACCCCGTCTCTACTAAAAATACAAAAAATTAGCCGGGCGTGGTGGCAGGCGCCTGTAGTCCCAGCTCCTCGGGAGGCTGAGGCAGGAGAATGGCGTGAACCTGGGAGGCAGAGCTTGCAGTGAGCCGAGATCACGCCACTGCACTCCAGCCTGGGTGACAGAGCGAGACTCCGTCTCAAAAAAAAAAATCATTTAAAAAGAAAAGCTAATACTAATGCTACTCACACTATTCCAAAAAATAGAGGAGGAGTGAATTCTTCCAAACTCATTCTATGAAGTCAGTATTACCCTGATACCAACACCAGACAAAGACACATTAAAAAAAAAAAGAGAGAAAGAAAAGGAAAAAGGAACAAAAAGAAAAAAGAACACTATAGGCCAATATCTCTGATGAACATTGATGCAAAAATCCTTAACAAAATACTAGCAAACTGAATTCAACAACACATTAAAAAATAATTCACCATGACCAAGTGGAATTTATCTCAAGGATGCAAGAATGATTCAACATATGCAAATCAAAGAATGTGATACATCATATCAACAGAAGATAAAAACCATCTGATCATTTCAATTAATCTTGAAATACTATTTGATAAAATTCAATATCCCTTCATGATGAAAACCCTCAACAAACTGGGTAATGTGTTGAGGAATATACCTCAACACGATAAAAGCCATATATGACAGACCCACAGTTAGTGTCACACTTAATGGGAAAAAACTGAAAGCCTTTCCTCTAAGATTGGGAATACAACAAGGATGCCCACTTTCACCACTGTTTGTTTGTTTGTTTGTTTGTTTGTTTGTTTGAGACGGAGTTTCATTCTTGTCGCCCAGGCTGGAGTGCAATGGTGCGATCTCAGCTCACTGCAACCTCTGCCTCTCAGGTTCAAGCGATTTTCCTGCCTCAGCCTCCCAAGTAGCTGGGATTACAGGTGCCGGCCACTGCACACAGCTAATTTTTGTATTTTTTAGTAGAGATGGGTTTTTACCATGTTGGCCAGGCTGGTCGTGAACTCCTGACCTCAGGTAATCCACCCACCTAGTCCTCCCAAAGTGCTGGGATTACAGGTGTAAGCCACCGTGCATGGCTCCACTTTCACCACTGTTATTCAACATACTACTGGAAGTTCTAGCTAGAGCAATCATAAAAGAGAAAAACATAAAGGGCATACAAATTGGAAAAGAAGAAGTCAAATTATCCTTGTTTGCAGATGATATGATCTTATATTTGGAAAAACCTAAAGACTCCCCCAAAAAACAATTAGAACTAATAAACAAATTTCATAAAGTTGCAGGATACAAAGCCAACATACAAAAATCAGTAGCATTTCTATATGCCAACAGCAAACAATCTGAAAAAGAAATCAAGATAATATCCCATGTACAATAACTATAAATAAAATTAGATACCTGGAAATAAGCTTAACGAAAGAAGTGGTGATCTATACCATGACAACTATAAAACATTGATGAAAAAAGTTGAAAAGGACACAAATAAATGGAAATATATTCCATGTTCATGGATTGGAAGAATCAGTATTGTTAATATGCCTACACTACGCAAAGCAATCTACAGATTTAATGAAAGCTTTATCAAAATACCAATGACATTCTTCACATAAACAGAAAAAAAAATCCTAAAATGTATATGGAACCACCAAAGACCTAGAATAGTCATAGCCATTTTGAGCAAAAAGAACAAAACTGGAGGAATCACATTACTTGACTTCAAATTATATCACAGAGCTATAGTAACTGAAACAGCAAGGTACTGGCATAAAACAGAAACACAGACCAATGGGACAGAATAGAGAACCCAGAATAGAGAACCCAGAAATCAATCTATACATCTACAGTGAATTCATTTTCAACAAAGGTACCAAGAACATACACTGGGGAAAGGACAGTCTCTTCAACAAATAATGATGGGAAAACTGGATATCCATCTGTGGAATAATAAAACTAGATTACTATCTCTTGATATACAAAATATCTTGTATTTTGTATATCTTGATATATAAAAATCAAATATAAATGGATTAAAGACTTAAATATAAGACCTGAAACTATAAAACAACTAAAAGAAAACATAGGAGAAACTCTCCAGAACATTGGTCTGGGCCAAGCAACCAAAGCAAAAATGGACAAATTGAATCAAATCAAGTTAAAAAGCTTTTGGACAGCAAAGGATATTATCAATGAAGTGAAAAGACAAAGCGAAGTGGGAGAAAATATTTGCACACCATCCATCTAACAAGGGATTAATAGGCTGGGCGCGGTGGCTCACGCCTATAATCCCAGCACTTTGGGAGGCCGAGGCAGGTGGATCACGAGGTCAGGGGTTCGAGACCAGCCTGACCAACATGGGGAAACCCCGTCTCTACTAAAAATACAAAAAAATTAGCTGGGCATGGTGGCAGGCGCCTGTAATCTCAGCTACTCAGGAGGCTGAGGAAGGAGAATTGCTTGAACCCGGGAGGCAGAGGTTGCAGTGAGCCGAGATCGCATCACTGCACTCCAGCCTGGGCGACAGAGCAAGAGCAAGAGCAAGACTCTGTCTCAAAAACAAAACAAACAAACAACAACAAAAAAACAAGGGATTAATAAATAGAAGATACATAACTCAATGGGGAAAAATAAAATAATAATCCAATTGAAATGGGCAAAATATCTAAACAGACATTTCTCAAAAGAAGACATACAAATGGCAAGCAGGTGCCTGAAAAGGTGTTCAACATTATTGATCATCAGAGAAATGCAAACCAAAACAAAATGGGATATCATCTGACCCCAGTTAAAGTGGCTTGTATCCAAAAGACAGGCAATAATGCAAGGATGCAGAGAAACGAGAACCCTCATACACTGTTGGTGAGAATGTAAATTAATACAGCAATTATGCAGAACAGTATGGTGGTGTCTCAAAAAACTAAAAAACTACCATATGATCCAGCAATCCCACTGCTAGGTATACACGCAAAATAAAGAAAATCATTATATCGAAGAGATGTCTGCACTCCATGTTCACTGCAGCACTATTCATAATAGCCAAGATTTGGAATCAACCTAAGTGTTCATCAGTAGATGAATGGATAGAGAAAATATGGTACACATACACAATAGAGTACTGTTCAGCCATAAAAAGAATAAGATCCTGTCATTTGCAACACAGATGGAATTGGAACACATTATGGTAAGTGAAGTAAGCCAGGCACAGAAGGACAAACTTTGCATGTTCTCAATCATTTGTGAAAGGTAAAAATTAAAACACTTGAATGCATGGAGATAGAGTGTAGAATGATGATTACCAGAGGCTGGGAAAGATAGTGAAGGTGGATGCAAGTGGGGATGGTTAATACATACAAAAATATAGGTAGATAGAAAGAATAAGATCTAGTATTTGACAGCACAACAGGGTGACTACAGCCAACAATAATTTATTGTACATTTTAAAATAAGAATATAATCTGAATGTTTATATCACAGAGAAATGATAAAAGCTTGAGGTGATGATACCCCATTTACCCTGATGGGATTATTGTTCATTGTATGCCTGTATGAAAATATTTCACCCACTTCATAAATATATGTACCTACTATGTACTCATAAAAATTAAAAATAAAAAAATTATTAAAGGGATGGGCGCAGTGGCTTACACCTGTAATCACAGCACTTTGGGAGGCCAAGGCAGGCGAATCACTTGAGGTCAGGAGTTTGAGATCAGCCTGGCCAACATGGTGAAACCCCATCTCTACTAAAAATACAAAAATTCTCTGGGCATGATGGCAGGCGCCTGTAATCCCAGGTACCTGGGAGGCTGGGGCAGGAGAATTGCTTGAACTCAGGAGGCAGAGGCTGCAGTGAGCCGAGATCATACCACTGCACTCCAGCCTGGGCGACAGAGCAAGGCTCCATCTCAAAAAAAAAAAAAACAAGAAAAGAAAAGAAAAAAATATATATATATATATTTAAAAAAGATCACACAGGAGGCCGGACGCAGTGGCTCATGCCTGTAATCCCAGCACTTTGGGAGGCCGAGGCGGGTGGATCATGAGGTCAGGAGATTGAGACTATCCTGGCTAACATGGTGAAATCCCGTCTCTACCAAAAAATACAAAAAATTAGCCGGGTGTGGTGGTGGGCGCCTGTAGTCCCAGCTACTCGGGAGGCTGAGGCAGGAGAATGGCGTGAACCCAGGAGGTGGAGCTTGCAGTGAGCCGAGATCACGCCACTGCACTCCAGCCTGGGCGACAGAGCGAGACTCTGTCTCAAAAAAAAAAAAAAAAAAAAAAATCACACAGATAGGAAGTGGCAGTGTCTTTAAGGAAACTGGTGTAGTGAAGAGATTTGGGCTTTGGACTCAAACAAATGCAGGCCGAATTTATCACCTTCCTCCAAATCTGTCCCTTTTCTGTGTTCCTCAACACAGAGACTGGCAACACCAAGCACTTAGATGCCCAAGGTTGTACCTGGAAAGACATGCTTGGCTCCTCCCTTTGCTTTGAGATTTCCTAAATGCTTAATATATGTGGGAACTACACTACAACCAACCTTTACAGGAATTCTCTTTTAGTTCTTATGATGACCTTACAAGGTAAGTACTAATAGTATCCCCATTTTGACCCCATTTTTACTCCCATCTTGCAAATTAGAAAAGTGATATTTAAAAAGGTTATAACAATGCCCTGTACAATATCACAAACAATTCAATGTCCAATGGTTCTGCTATCAGGAAACAACAGAGCAAAGATTCCTGGTGGTTACAGAATCTATTCTCATGATCATTGCTGCATACCAGTCCCTGAAGGTCTTTTGCTTCTGCTTCCCAAATACCTCAGCATTGACCTTGACTCAGGCTGCTATGGGTTCTCCCCTGTGGCAGCCTCTCAACGAGCATGGCGTTTTTGAATTCATTCTCCATCCCATAGTTAGAATGTGATCACATCACTCCCCTACTAAATCCTCACAGGCTTTACAATATCTGAACTACTCAGTCTTCAGTTTACCCCTCCCCAGTCACCTTGGGCACACTCCCACAACAGTTCCAGTCACCCTGAAAGCCTCCCAAAACATCAGGCTTAAGATTACTCTTCTGTCCATCCTCTAACATTTTCCCCTTCACCTGGCTAACTCCTAGCTCATTCCTGATGTCTTAGCACGGAGGTCACTTTTTCTAACAGCTTTCCTCAGTGCTACAAGTTGAGTTGATGGTGCTCCAGTAAGAACCACAGCACATGATAGATGTTTTAGTTTATTTTTATATTGCTATAAAGGAATACCTAAGGCTGGGGAATTTATAAATAAAAGAGGTTTAATTGGCTCACAATTCAACAGGCTGTACAAGCATGGCACCAACATCTGCTCAGCTTCTGGTGAGGGCCTCAGGAAGCTTATAATCATAGCAGAAGGTAAGTGGGAGCAGGCATGTCATGTGGCAAGAGTGGGAGCAAGAGAGAGGGGAAAGGTGCCACAGTCTTTTAAACAAACAGATCTCATGTAAAATACCAGAGTGAGAACTCACTCATCACCCAGGGGATGATGCTAAGCCATTCACGAGGGATCATGACAACTATAAAACATTGATGAAAAAAATTGAAAAGGACACAAATAAATGGAAATATATTCCATGTTCATGGACTGGAAGAATCAATATTGTTAATATGTCCACACTACCCAAAGCCCCATGATCCAACCTCCTCCCACCAGGTCCCACCACCAACACCGGAGATTACATTACAACATAAGATTTGGAAGGGACAAACATCCAAACTATACTATTCTGCCACTGCACCCCCAAATCTCATGTCCTTCTCACATTTCAAAATACAATCATGCCTTTGTAATAGTCCCCTAAAGTCTTAACTTGTTCCAGCCTTAACTCAAAAGTCCAAAAGTCCAAAGTCTCATCTGAAACTCAAGGCCAAGTTCCTTCTATCTATAAACCTGTAAAATAAAAAAACAAGTTATTGAATTCAAAGATACAGTGGTAGTACAGGCATTGGGTAAACATTCCTATTCCAAAAGGGAGGAGTTGGCCAAAGGAAAGGGGTAATAGGCCCATGCAGGTCTGGAACCCAGGAGGGCAGGCATTAAATCTTAAAGTTCCAACATAATCCTTGATTCCAAGTCCTGCATCCTGATGTGAAGGATAGGCTTCCAAGGCCTTGAGCAGCCTTGCCCACATGGCTTTGCAGGATGCAGCCCATGTGATTGCTCTCACAGGTTGGAGTTGAGTACTTGCATGTTTTCCAGGAAGAAGGTGCAAGCTGCCAGTGAATCTATCATTCTGGAATATGGAGGATGGTGGGTGATGTGGTTTGGCTCTGTGTCCCCACCCAAATCTCATCTTGAATTGTAATAATCCCCATGTGTCAAGGGCAGGCCTAGGTGAAGATAATTGAATCATGAGGGCAGTTCCCCCCATACTGTTCTCGTGATAGTGAGTGAGTTCTCACGAGATCTGATAGTTTTCTAAGGGGCTTCCTCCTTCACTTGGTTTTCACTTCTCTCACCTGCCACCATGTAAGACGTGCCTGTTTCACTTCTGCCATGATTGTAAGTTTCCTGAGGACTCCCCAGCCATGTTGAACTGTGAGTCAATTAAACCTCTTTCCTTTATAAATTACCCATTTTCAGGCATGTCTTTATTAGCAGTGTGAGAACAGACTAATACAGTGGGCCCCCACCAACAGCTCCATGAGGCAGTGCCCTGGTGGGGACACTGTGGTGGGGACTGGAATCCACATCTCCCCTAGGCATTGCCTTAGTAGAGTTTCTCTCTAGGGGCTCCACCCCTGTGGCAGGCTTCTGCCTGGACACCCAGGCTTTTCCATATATCCAGAATCTAGGAGGAAACCATCAAGCCTTCTTCACACTTGCATTCTGAGCACCTGCAGAATTAACACCACATGGAAACTGCCAAGACTTATGGATTATACCCTCTAGAACTGCAGCACAAGTTGTACCTGGGCCCCTTTGAGCCAAGGCTGGAGCCAGAACAGCCAGGATGTGGGGAGCAGTGTTCCTGAGGTTCCACAGAGCAGTGATGTCCTGGATCTGGCCCCTGAAACTATTATTTCCTCCTAAGCCTCTGAGCCTGTGATGGGAGGGACTTCCTAGAAGATCCCTGAAACACCTTTGAGGCCTTTTTCCCATTGTCTTGGCTGTTAGCACTTGGCTCCCATTTAGTCATGCTAATCTCTCTAGCAAGTGGTTATTCTGCAGCCTGCTTGTGTTTCTCTCCTGAAAGTGTTTTTCTTTCTCTGCCACATGGCAAGGCTACAAATTTTCCAAACTTTTACAGTCTGCTTCCCTTTTAAATGTAAGTTCCAACTTTAAGTCATTTCTTTGCTCCTGCATCTGATTGTGGGTGATTAGAAGCAGCCAGGGCACATCTTGAATGCTTTGTTGCTTAGAAATTTCTTCTGCCAGATATTCTAGGTCATCATTCTTTTTTTTTTTTTTTTTTGAGATGGAGTTTCGCTCTTGTTGCCCAGGCTGGAGTGCAATGGTGTGATCTTGGTTCACCGCAACCTCTGCCTCCCCAGTTCAAGTGATTCTCCTGCCTCAGCTTCCCAAGTAGCTGGGATTATAGGCATGTGTCACCATGCCCGGCTAATTTTGTATTTTTAGTAGAGATGGGGTTTCTCCATGTTGGTCAGGCTGGTCTTGAACTCCCAACCTCAGGTTATCTGCCTGCCTTGACCTCCCAAAGTGCTGGGATTACAGGCATGAGCCACCGTGCTCAGCCAGTCATCACTCTTAAGTTCAAACTCCCACAGACCCCTAGGGCATGAACACAATAAAGCCAAGCTCTTTGTTAGGGCATAACATGAGTAACCTGTACTGCAGTTCCCAACAGTTTCCCCATTTCCATCTGAGACCTGATCAGCCTGGACTTTACTGTCAATATCTCTATCAGCATTTTGGTCACAACCATTTAACCAGCCTTGAAGCAGTTCCAAACCTTCTCTCATCTTCCTGTCTTCTTCTGAGCCCTCCAAACTCTTCCAACCTCTGCCTGTGACCCAGTTCCAAAGCCATTTCTACATCTTCAAATATCTTTATAGCTACACCCCACTCATCAGTACCAATTTTCTGTATCAGTCCACTTTCGCATTACTATAAAGGTATACCAGAGACTGGGCAATTTATAAAGAACAGAGGTTTAACTGGCTCACGGTTCTGCTGACTATACAAGCGTAGCACCAACATCTATTCAGCTTCTGGTGAGGGCTTCAGGAACTTTTGGTTATGGCAGAAGGCAAAGTGGGAGCAGGCACATCACATGGTGACAGTGGAAGCAGTAGCTTATCTATTTACTTTTTAAAACTTCTTCACTTGGCTGAGCAAGGTGGCTTAGGCCTGTAATCCCAGCACTTTGGGAGGCTGAGGTGGGAAGACTGCTTGAGCCCAGGAGTTCAAGACCAGCCTTGGGCAACACAGTGAGATCCTATCCCTAATTAAAGAAAAAAAATTAATAAAAAAAAGAAAACCCCTCCACTAGACTGACAGGAAGGATCTATGTGCCTCATGATCCCATCCTCAAAGCCTAGCATGGTACCATTATAGTTATTCAGTGAGTACAGAAAGGGTGAATTAATCTTAGCTCCACTACTAATTAGTTATTTGCAAGTAGCTACTAAGCTCAATTTCAGAAACTGTAAAATAGGGTTATAAATTGGAGCAAATATGCAGACTGAGTACATACACTAGCCTGCCTTTCCTGCCCTAAATCCTGAAAAAGACAAAAAAATTAAATTAAATTAAATTAAATTAAATTGGAGCAATAACCAGGAAACTTAACTGACATAATATATTTAAAGTTCCTGGTACTCTAGAAGTATTATGCAAAATTGGTAACAATAGATAACACTGGGAATGGGATCACAGGCTGGGGGCCATGGGTGGAAGAGTCTAACTTTAGCATCCTTCATAACCCTTGGACACGTATGGGCTTCTAAAGAAAACCACATAAATTAAAAAAGAAAGCCGTGCCCAATACACACTGGGCATTTAACAAAGGTGAGTTTTCTTCGTAGGTAACAAGCCCAATACAACTGGTTAGCACCAACACCAGGACTGAAACACAGGACTCCAAGTCTTTGCAGTCTTTCTACGGAGCAGTGATTGTTTTGGATAAAATGACAGCCCAAGGTGCCATTGCAAGCTGCAGCTGCAATCGGTGCGGTAGGCCCAGAGTTTTTGTTCTTAATTTCATTTCATTTGGAGCTAAGAGGACTAATTTGATGATTTTCAATCTCTTCTCCCCTGTCCTGATTTTAAAAGCCTTTCTTTTTTTTTCTTTTCTTTTTTTAGGCATATGTAGTAACATTATAATTTAAATCTAATTTAATTTGGGAAACGATGATTCTTAAAAGAGAAAGTAAAGCATGTGAATAAACTTTGAAGTGTTCACCTTAGTTTGGGACCAAACTGCCTGGATCTTTGTGAAAATCGGTTTTGTATGTCAAGGAGGAGTTTAAGGCCTTTCCGATCACCTGTGTTCCCCTTTTCTGTGCAGCCATGTATCACGTGGAGTTGCTCCTAACCACACCTCACGTGCCCCTGAGCCCTATTTCCTAATTTCTTCTGGGCTGGACTTCCCATTCTCCACCGGCAGCTCCAGTATCCCAAACTTTCTAGTCCTGCTGATCCTCCCAGCAATGGGGTGGAAACTGGAGGGCAGTGTCTGGTCTGTTTTCTAAGAAACGTATGAATTCTATTATCTTTACAAATATAACATGATAAAATATTTTTTTCAATGTTTTTTATTTATCTTTTTATAAAATGAAACTCCTATGATCGATTAAGGAAGGCAGTTATGGCTGGGTGGTTCATGGGGTTTTTTGGAGTTTCTTTGGTTAGTTTTGCTTTCTTTTTTGTCTTTTTAACCGTAAGCTGTTTAAGTTGAAGCGCTCTCAGATGTTTGGGGGGAAACATCCTCTTAAAATGGGCCCTTGTGCTTGCCTTCTGGGGAGGCGGTCCTGAGCAGGGGAATCATAAGGCATTTGTGCATATGTTATACGCAGACTGCACCCACCCCTTCCCCCCAGCCTTTGCCTCTTGGGTTGTTGTGCTGCTTTCCCCTTACTTTGCTACATTTCTATAGTTAAGTTGGTTTTACTTGAATGATTCATGTTTAGGGGGAAAATGAAAATCTCCCTTAAAATTGGTTTCAACTCCTCCTGCAAATAAAATAAATGAAGTGGCAGATGTAACAAAAAAAAAAAAAAGACAGCCCAGGCAAGCAGCACCTTCAGCTGACTCCTTCCGTACTCTGTATTTGTCATCTGTGTACCTGTGATGAAAGGTGATTTGCTGGGCTGATGACAGCAGTCATCAGTCATATTTGTATTATAGAATGGAAAAGTTTGCCATATACTAGCAAGAATAAGCATATGATTCCTCTTGGTATGTATGAAATGTGCCCTACATTAAACAATGAACACTGTACAAACAATATGCAAGTGTTATGAATGTTGTCTGTCTCAGAATGGCAGGCTGGCTCAATGCAGAGATTCTGGGTTTTGGAGAAAAATTCTACAAATCTTGCTTTTAAATCCCAGTTCAGTCTTTACTAATTTGGTAACCTTAGGTAAGTTACTCAACCTCTCTAAGCCTTATTATTATTATTATTATTATTATTATTTTCAGATTCAACATGGTTGTAATAATATTATGGCAAAATTGTTTGGGAAGATTAAATGAGACCACGTATGTGAAGCATGTAGCAAATAGTAAGCACTAAGAAATAACAACTACTGTGATTCTTTGACTTTCAAAAAGCAGCTTTTCTTGACTTTACTCTTGAAACCAAAAAAAAAAGGAGTATCAGACACATCCTGATTGGCAAATGGATTTTTCCATCTATGAAATAACAAGTAGGATCAGTTCTCCTTTGACCATAGAGGCAAAAAATCAGTTTAAGAAATTTTAGTTTTGACTATTGCTTACCAGAATGACCACTGCATTTCTGAGACTGCAAGGCTGTTGATTCTGTTTTGTTGTGAGACTGGCCACAGGCCCACACAGTCTAGGCCTACTCGAATATCTGCCTGAGTTGCCTTTCCTGAAGTCAGTTCTGCCAGGAAGGTATCAGTTGTGGGGATTCTTTCTTTGGCACATAAAATTGGGGTTAAAGATGTAGAAAGTGTTAACATTTACTATGGAGTTAATTCCTTGCTTATCTTGTTACTCTCCACCCCACATACAGCCCACCCTAAGTCCAAATCTCCACGTCTTACTCTACAGAAAGAAGGCTGAATATAAAGTCTCCTACCAAAATAGATACTGAATGTACATGTCTTCTCATTATGGAGATTTTAGTCACTCTGAGGTTTCTCTCTTGAGAGTCGCCAGGATGTGAGCTGAAATGAGTCAATATAAGGCCTTGTGTTTGGGAGTCTCTGGTGTTGTAGAGGAGTGTGTCATAAAGTGGGAGCCTGGATTTCAGAGTCCATCTGGAGCACACATGTTGTTTACATCTATAATGACATAAAAGGTGATGAACAACCCAAAAGGGTTTTGCCAACAAACAGAAATATTTACCACACAACAGTTATGACGGCCAAAATATTAAAACCCAGTTAGAAATTAAATGAACACATTTACAAAGCTATTCTCAGGCACATTACTTTATCTTAGATTTCTTAGATTTGGGATTCTGGCACAGAAAATCTAATTTTTCAGAAAAAAAGTATTACATTAAGAATATCTCCTCCCCACCCTCATTTTGGTTTGGATGTTTATACCCTCCAAGTCTCATGTTGAAATGTGACCTCCAGTGTTGGAGGTGGGCCTCTTGGGAGGTGTTTGCGTCATGGGGGTGGATCCTTCATAAGAGGGTTGGTGCTGTCCTCGACATAATGAGTGAGTTCTCACTCTATGAGTTCACAAGAGATCTGGTTGTTTAAAACAAGCCTAGCAATTCCTCACTGTCTCTTTTGCTCCCTCTTTGCCATGTGACACATCAGCTCCCCTTCACCTTCTGCCATGATTGGAAGCTTCCTGAGTCCCCATCAGAAGCAGATGCTGGCGCATGCTTCTCATCCAGCCTGTGGAACCATGAGCCAAAATAAACCTCTTTACCTTATAAATCACCAAGCTTGAGTATTCCTTTATAGCAACACAAGAATGGACTGATAAACCTCTGAGATGGGCTTTCCTTCTGTCACCAAGGCTGGAGTGCAGTGGCATGATCATGGCTCATTGCAGCCTTGAACTTCTGAGCTCAAGCAATCCTCCCACCTCAGCCTCCCAAAATGCTGAGATCACAGGCATGAGCCACCATGCCTGGCCAAGAATATCTTTTTAAAAATGCTGATTAAAGATGGCTGATTGAACAAATGTGTTTACCCCCAAACCTCTATTAAATTAAAAATAAAAGGATTTTAACAAATTAAAAGGGGGAGAAAATAATGACAGCAACAAAATTTTAAGAGCTAAAAAATAGGATACTTTGCATATCACGTAACAAACTAAGAAGGCTAAATTCTAAATCAGCACAGGGGAAACCAAGAAGCAAGCCATTTCCCAGGGTAGGCTACCCCAAAAGCCTCCCTCCCAAATGCAGTTTAGTGACTGCTGCAGAAGATATAACAGAGGGTCTCTAAGCCAGAGCTAGGACACTAGGCACGATAAAGACTGGGAATATTATGCTGAAAGCAGACAGATTTGAAAAAAGGCTTATATAATGAAGCACTATTCTCAGTCCAAATTCAACCTCCAGAACAGAGGCAGCCAGCATAAGGAACCATTCTAGGAAGGAGAGGAGACATTTACCTTCTAGAAAACTTGCTCAGACCAAGAAAAAAGACCTAAAGACAAGGACATCCCCCTCCCATAGAAATGGCCCAGACTGATCATTCTAAAGACAAAAGGTAACAAGCTTCATCCATGGCACAGAGGTGCCCATTAGCTCTAAAATACAAGTGAAGGGCCAGAATTATCAGACATCTGAAAAAAGCCCCTACCAAAGAAGAGAGAGACAGAACACACAAAAGTTAAAAAAAAAAAAACAACAACAACAAACAACGAAAAACAAAACAAAACAAAAATTAGAGAGGAAACAAAGTCTTGAGAATATGCAGGGAAATAAAAGCTTTTAAAAAAGCTAATAATATCTTCAGAGAAGTAAAAAGATGTTATAAGAACAGGATGAAATAAAAAGAACAAAAAATAACTCTTAGAAATTTGAAATATAATAATGGAATTTTAAAACTTAGACAGTTTATATGATAAAGTTGAGAAACTAGGAAAATAAAGCTAAAAGACAAAGAAAAGGACAATAGGAAAGAAAAAACAATCAGAGGATCAGTCTACAAGGTACAATATTTCAATAAACAGGAGTTCCAGAAAGAAAGAGAACAGAAAAATTGATGGGGAGGAGCTCATAATAAATCAATAATTCAAGATTTCAAAAACCAAAGGATGTGAGCTGCCAGATTGATAGCGCCCCCAAAATACCTAGACAATGGATGAAAATAGACCATTGTGAAATGTCAGACCCTTAGAAATAGGAGAAAATCCAACAAGCTTTCAGAGGGAAAAAGCAGGTATCAAGACCAAGAATTCAAATGTCAGAAAACAATATGAGATAGTAATCATGAACTTGTAGTTGTACAAGAGACAAGATGCCATTTTCAGTTTCTACAAAATAAAGTGAAACAGTAGGTAGAACTTTAAAGTAACACTTAGGGGGAGAAACCCTGATTCCAAAACATATATCTGTTGGGCAGGAAATTGAAAGCAAATGCTCAGTGTTTTGGAGTTGGATTGCAAAATAGATTATAGCAGGGATTTCTTCTTAATCCTTATATATCAACAAAACCACAGTAAGAATAGCTAACCTGGACAACTAATCATTAAGCACTGAAAACATATATTAGCTTGTGCACTCCTCATGACAATTCCAACTGGCAAAAATAGTTATAATTTTCAAAATGAAGTTATGCTAATTAAGTAATTTTCTCAAAGTTTCATATAATTGGGTAAGAGGAGGAGCTAGAATTCAAACTCCAAAATCTGTTTATTTAACTACTATGCCACACAGCCCTGAAAAATAATGTTGCAGTGCGGTGGCTCATTTCTGTAATCCCAGCACTGTGGGAGGCCAAGGCGGGTGGATTGCTTGAGTCCAGGAGTTTGAGACCAGCCTGGGCAATATTTGAAACTCCGTCTCTACAAAAAATACAAAAATTAGCCAGGTGTGGTGGCATGTGCCTGTAGTCCCAGCTACTCAGGATAAGGGGCTGAGGCAGGAGGATTGCTTGTGCCTGGGAGGTGGAGGCTGCAGTGAGCTGAGATCACACAATATACCACTGCAGTCAAGCCTGGGTGACAGAGAGAGACTCTGTCTCAAAAGAAAAAATAAAAAAGAAAAAAAGAAAAAGAATGTTCACATGTAAATTTTTCGTGCACATTCTATAATGTTCACATTTAAATATTTGTAAACCTTAGTATTTCTACTAACACTGACTTCTTTTATTTTTTGAGACAGAATTTCACTCCTGTTGCCCAGGCTGGAGTGCAATGGCGTGATCTCGGCTCACCACAACCTCCGTCTCCTGGGTTCAAGAGATTCTCCTGCCTCAGCCTCCCGAGTAGCTGGGATTATAGGCATGCACCACCACGCCCGGCTAATTTTGTATTTTTAGTAGAGACAGGGTTTCTCCATGTTGATCAGGCTGGTCCCGAACTCCTGACCTCAGGTGATCCACCCGCCTCAGCCTCCCAAAGTGCTGAGATTACAGGAGGTTGGCCACCATGCCTGGCCAACACTGACTTCTTAGAGATAGCAGAAAAAGGTGTATCAGAACTCTATTTTATATCCTTATATTTTGAGCAAGAGGGAACAAGGAGAAAGAAGGGAGATCATCTTAATATTATTATAAAGTAAAACACTATTTTATGAACTTTTTAGAATAGAATATCTTGCTGAGCTGGCAGGACTTCTAGGAAACCTTTTAAGAAAAGGAAGGTCTCAGTGATACATATACAAAACAAAGCAGCAATATTTCAGTTTTAGCTGGACTACCACTCAATTGCTCCGTGGTATTAGTGCCAAAACTACAATAAGGTTTTGCGCAAGACTTTTATAAGTTGGTCTGACAGCCATTTTTATTTACACAAGCCACCCCCCAACCCCAATACTGAATTTTCCATATTAATGTGTTTCCATTGTTCTCAGATGGGCCTTCAGTAACTTTAGCCCTCTTCCAGATGTTTCCTGACATCAGCATCCAAGATGTGCTGGCCAGCTGTCTTTAAAATTGCGGGAACTCTGTGTTGTGTGCATTAGTTATGCAAATGGAAAAGCAAGGACAAGGAGCCAATGTAGAGGATAAAAAAGAACTAGGGGAGGGATTGGCCAGGCTTCACTAGCACATGCAGTGTAGGGAGAAAGCCAAGACAGCAAGCTGTCTTTGATCAAAGCCCCCAGCAAACTTCACCACCGCTCCCCATGCAGAGGGGTTAGTGTCCTCAGTTTCCAGGCCAGGCCTGGGTTTTTGGAAGCTTCCTCAGTCTGTTTTGGTGACTTAATAGGGACACATTGAATATTCACAGATTTATCAACTATCTAACCAGTTTCTCCTCTGCTTCCCTTTGTCAACTAAGAAATATCTTCACGAACAGGAGAACAATTCCCCAAAGTGTAGTCCTCATTAAATTAATAGATGTTTTATGAAAAAAAAGGCAGGGCAGTCACATGAGTTTAGGAAAACCTAGGTTTAACAAAATTAAGCAATTCCCTTTCCCAGAACACTCTGAGGGCCTCTGATATATTCATGTGCACTGTGAATATCAGAGGGAATCATTTCTCAGAGGACTCAGAGCCTACCTAAGGAAATGCTACACTAGAGGCAATGTAGGTTCTCAGCTCCAGTCACCCTTTCAGGAGGCAAACTGACTGCCAATTGAATATGTTTGCATGTCCCCAAACATATGTGTCTCTTACTGAACTTGCAATAGTCTCTACCGCCTGCTCAGGCTCCAGCTTCCCCTTTCTGGGGAAAATTTGGTCATACCAATTGGTATGGCCAACAGTATGGTATGGTCATACCAATTGGTATGGCCAACAGTATGGTATGGCCATACCAATACTGTTCTCCTAAACTAGAATTATGGTAATGGTCCTCTGCCTGATTCCTTTGTCCTAACCAGTGCCCTCTCTCGTCTAATCAATCCTGCAGTAAAGGGCTACTGCTTTGTCTTCCTAGCCTCAGGCCTGTACCCCAGCTCATGACTGGACATTTCTACTTGGTGCACTATAGAACACCGTACCTGGACATGTAAGTGACTGAGTTCATGTCTTCCTCACTCAACAGGCATTTTTCCCCAAACTCTCTATTTCTCTCAATAACGCAGACTCACTATGGTCTAAATATGACTGACAACATTTTTTTTCTTGTTGGTTTTTGTTTGTTTTGTTGGTTGGTTGGTTTTGTTTGCTTGCTGGTTTTTTAATTGTGGTAAAATATACCTAATATAACATTTATTATCTTAACCATTTTGAAGTGTACAGTTCAGTAGTACTAAGTACATTCACGTTGTACAACCAATCTTCAGATCTCTTTTCATCTTGCAAAACTGAAACTCTATGCCCATTAAACAACTCCCCATCTCCCCTCAACCCCCACTGCTGCCCTGCTTCTGGTAGCCACCATTCTACTTTCTCTTTCTATGAATTTGACCACTCTAGGTATCTCATATAAGTGGAACATACAGTATTTGTCTTTTTGTGACTGACTTACTTCACTTAATATGTCCTCAAGGTTCATCCATATTATAGTGTGTGTCAGAACTTTTTTCCTTTTTAAGGCAGAATAATATTCTAGCATATGCTATATTTTGTTTATCCATTTGTCTGTTGATGGACACTTAGGTTGATTTCATATCTTGACTATTGTGAATAGTGCTTCAGTGAACATGAAGGTGCAGATATCTTTATGAGATCCTGATTTCAATTCTTTTGGAAATATACCCAGAAGAAGGATTTCTGTATTATACTGTAGTTCTATTTTTAATTTGTTGAAGAATCTCCATACTGTTTTCCATAGCTGTAGTACCATTTTACATTCTCACCAACATCATACTAGTGTTCCAGTTTCTTCACAACCTCACCAATACTTATCTTTTTATTTGGTTTTATTTATATTTATATTTATATTTTATTTTTCTTGAGACACGGTCTCGCTCTGCCACCCACTGCAACCTCTGCCTCCCGGGCTCAAGCGATCCTCCCACCCCAGCCTCCTGAGTACTGGGACTATGGGCACGTGCCACCATGCCTGGATAATTTTTGTATTTTTTGTAGAGAGGGGGCTTTGCCATGTTGCCCAGGCTGGCCTCAAATTCCTGGGCTCAAGCAGTCTGCCTGCCTCGACTTCCCAAAGTGCTGGGATTACAGGTGTGGGCCATCATGTCTGGCCTTTTTTTTTTTTTTAAACAATAACCATCCTAATTGGTGTGACGTGTTAACTCATTGTGGTTTTGATTTGTATTAATATCTCCCTGTTGATTAGTAATTTTGGGTATCTTTTTATATACTTTGTTGGCTATTTGTATGTCTTCTTTAGAGAAATGTATGTTCAAATTATTTGCCCATTTTTAAATAAGGTTGTTTTGTGGTTGCTGTTATTATTTTACAAGGAACAGAGAACCATCCATGCTAGGTTAAGTAAAGAATTTTTCTTTGCTATGATTATAACAGCTGCATTTTTTGTTTGTTGTTTTTTTGGAAGGATACACAGTGGACTCACTCAAAGAACTAAGGACTCGGCCAGGAGCGGTGGCTCACGACCGTAATCCCAGCATTTTGGGAGGCTGAGGTGGGTGGATCACCTAAAGTTAGGAGTTTGAGACCAGCCTGATCAACTTGGTGAAATCCTGTCTCTACTAAAAATACAAAATTAGCCGGGTGTGGTGGAACATGCCTGTGATCCCAGCTACTCGAGAGGCTGAGGTGGGAGAACTGCTTGAACCTGGCAGGCGGAGGTTGCAGTGAGCTGAGATCATGCCATTGCACTCCAGCCTGGGCAACAAGAGCGAAACTCTATCTCAAAAAAGAAAAGAAAAGAAAAGAACTAAGGACAGTTGGGCCTTCAGGAGACCAGACCTGAGAAAGTTTAGGAACGGAATGAGGCTGGCTGCTCCCTCAGAGGTCACAAACCCTTCTAATTAGTTTTGTCATGGTGCATCTGCCCTATTTTTTTTCTCTTCTTCCCTCTGCTGATTCTCCTCACATAAGACTCCCAGTGGCCATCAAGGCCCCAACTGTACTGGACCTCTCAGTTGTAGTTCACACCATCATGTGGCAGTTTATTCCCATGTTTTCAGAACAAATTCCTCAGAGTGAAAAAATCTGACCAGTTCAGGTCATCTTTCTAGCTGGGCTATATAAGCATTGTATCGTTTTGGGTCAGGTGTTCACCCAGGTCCAACAAGACTTGGAGAAGGGCTTTCAGGCCACACAGTACAGAGCATGACCCTTTAGGACAGGCAGGGAGACATCATTGCAGTTAAGGGCTCTAGGTTGTGAATCACACTGCCTAGGATCAAATTCTGGTTTGCTATTTACCAGTTTTGTGATCTAAGGCAGATAACATCTGTTCTTTGGTTTTCTCATGTGTAAAATAAGTTTAATTATACTACTTATAGGATTATTGTGAAATTAGATAAATTGATACCTACAAAACACTTATAAAACATTATCATTATCCCCGCCTCCCCCCCCCCCCTTTTTTTTTTTTTTTGAGATTGAGTCTCGCTCTGTCGCCCAGGCTAGAATGCAGTGGCGTGATCTTGGCACACTACAACCTCCGCCTCCCAGGTTCAAGTGATTCTCCTGCCTCAGCCTCCTGAGTAGCTAGGATTATAGGTGCACGCCACCAGGCCTGGCTAATTTTTGAAATTTTAGTAGAGACGGGGTTTCACCTGTTGGTCAGGCTGGTCTGGAACTCCTGACCTCAAGTGATCCACCCACCTCAGCCTCCCAACGTGCTGGGATTACAGGCATGAGCCACTGCACCTGGCACGTTATCCCCTTTTAACAAAGGAAGAAATTGAAGCATAAAGAAGTTAAGTAACTTGTCCAAGTTCACATATGTAGTAAAGAGTAGAGCCAGCATATAAAGCCAGGTCACAGCCAAAATCTGCTCTCATAACCACTGTGCCAAACTGATTTACTCCCCAGTTTAGGAAGCTTTCAGTGATAAACTCCACCCAAATTGATTATATATTCATTTACGGGCACAGTTAGGAAAGAAGATGGGAAGGGGTGAAGAGGAGACAGAAGCGTAGGGTTTCACACACTTGCTAAAAAAAAAAAAAAAAAAGGGAGGCTGGATGTGGTTGCTTGTGCCTGTAATCCCAGCAGGTTGGGAGGCCAAGGTGGCTTGAGCCCAGAAGTTCAGGACCAGCCTGCTCACCACAGCGAGATCTTGTCTCTACAAAAGTAAAAGTTTAAAAAATTATTAAGTTGAATTAAAAAAGGAAAATTCAGGATCTTGATATAATAGTCAAAAGTATATGAAATCAGTAGTAAAATAATAAATAATTCTACTATTATTATTAACACAACTTGTCAGAAGTGATACAAACCAAGTAGATGCATTTGTTTTGTGAGGTACTAGGGGTACTAGAGCTTACTTTATTTTATAAAGAACAATCTAGCCAGCTTCTGGGCATATACAACCTGATCACTAGTTTCTCCATTTGGCAGAATTCTTCTCTTAGCCTCAGCAGCTGAACTTGCACCCAGATCACACCACTGTCCCTGCTTTTGCCCAGGTCACCAAAGGCCAACTTTAATAATCACTTCTGGTTTTCATCTCACCTATTTTATCAGCAGATTCAATTGCCCAGTCTCTCTTTCTTAAAACATTTTCTTCTCTTGGCTTCTGTGCATCACATTTTCCTGCCACATTTTCAAATGGCTCAGACCTATCAGCCAGGTCTTAGCTCAAGCTCTCTTTAGAAAGCCTTCTCTGACCACCCAATCTAAAGATGCTCCTTGGTTACTCTCTGTCATATTTACTTTATTTTCCTTAATATTTAGCATTCTCTGAAATCATCTTTTTTATTTATTGTTACTTACCTCTAGTTATCTGCCTTCCCAACCAATGTTAACTTCTTGAAATCAAAGACTGGCTGTTTCACTTATTATTGTATTCTACAAGTTTCTGACATGTAGTAAGGACTCAGTTTGTATTTCTTGATTGTATAAATGTCAAATGAAGTTTAAGTAATGGAAAGAAAGAAAAGTGAAGAAAGGCAAAATTTTAATTTTACATTTTAAAATTTAAAATTGGTAATGTGTATCTGTAGTCCAACCTACTTTTGAGGCTGAGGTGGGAGGATTGAGGCCAGGAGTTCGAGGCTGTAGTACACTATGACCACACCTGTGAATAGCCACTGTACTCCAGCCTGGGCAACAAAGCAAGACCCTATCCTTGCTATAAAATAAAATTTTATTTTAAGTATCTTTGCTATAAAATAAAATTATTGGGAACTAAAGGGAGGGAAGGGGTAAGAGAAAACACAAAAAATTATCATTTCTCTAAATCAGATTTTTTCTATAGCTGTGGCTCTCTCATGATCAGCCTACGATTTACCCAACATTCTCTTGTTCCTGAATTCTTCTTAGACAATTCCTGTGTTGTTATATATTGATCACACTTTTTCACTAAACTGGATGTTTTTAGTTGCTGACAAAAACTTATATCAAGAGGAAAAGTAAGTGCGACCTGCAAAATTAGGGTTGTGTAACCCATCTGCTTATTATTGAACCTTATGAATAGGAATTTTGAGGATTAGACATTAGTCAGTCTCAGGCCAAAACCAGGAGCTAATTCCTATGGAATAGTAACAATCTAAGCTTTCACACTACTCTAAACCACAACTGAAGTGCAAAGTAATTTATTGCTAAATATTACTCATTTTACTACTAGCAAGGGTGGAAAGTATTTTGAAACCAATTACACTTCAGGACAATATAAATGATATCTCATTTAATCCTCAAAATAACTGCAAGATATAGATATTATTATTATGACATTCGCAAAAGTGGAAACTGAGACTCAGTCAGTTACAACATTTGCTCAAGGGCATGCTGTAAATTAAGTAAGGTAAGATGTGTCTGATGCTCAAGGCTACACTTTTTCTCTCCACCCACACTGTCTCCCAAACATTTGGCTTCACATCTGCTGCGTATGAGAGTGACTATCCTGGTTAGCAGGGAATGTAGGTGGAGAGAAAAGGTAATACTCAGAAAAGAAAAGGGTCTAAAACTTATGATTTGCAGGTGAAGGTGGGGTTTGAGGAACTGAAGTCCAGAATATATTTTTCCATGCACTCAGTATTCATTTAAAAATATAATTAAGTTAAAATATTTGACTTTAAAAAAACATTTTCACACATAAACCGTTAGAAATTCAGGATTGTCTATGCCAATTCTGAAAAAAATAAAACCATGAATTCTCTTCCATAATAATGTACATCTTGAATTTTTATTTTATTTTATTAATTTATTTATTTTTTTTGTTTTTATTTTTTTGAGACGGCGTCTCGCTCTGTTGCCCAGGCTGGAGTGCAGTGGCACAATCTCAGCTCACTGCAACCTCTGCCTCCTGGGTTCAAGCGATTCTCCTGCCTCAGCCTCCCAAGTAGCTGGGATTACAGGTACCCGCCACCACGCCCGACTAATTTTTGTATTTTTAGTAGAGACAGAGTTTCGCCATGTTGGCCAGGCTGGTCTCGAACTCCTGACCTCAGGTGCTCCACCCGCCTCCACCTCCCAAAGTGCTGGAATTACAGGCATGAGCCACAGCGCCCGTCCTACGTCTTGAATTTTTAAATCTGTTTATTTAACTTATCTGAGCCAGTTATAAGGATCACAGTGATAGCAGCAGCAGAGGGGCATGGGCAGTAATGGAGGGAGCGGCTGTGGGAGTGACAGTGGCAGCGGTGTGACCCCTGTGGCACGCATCCCTGAGGCAGCGGACTTCGACTTTGTTGCCCAACCCTCGTGCAGTTGGGTGGGACTTGATCCCAGGCCCAGAGCCTCTGCTGCTCTGGACCCTGGCCCCACGTCGCTGCTTTTGCTGGCCACCACTGCGGGGAGGCTGCGGGGAGGAGATGATAGTCTCTGGAGCCTGCCCTGGGAGCCCCCCAGATCCCACCGCTCTGGCAGCCGCCGTGATGGGGCCAGGCCGAGTTGCCTGCTGGCAGAAGAGCAGTGCGGTCGGACGTGAAGGGGTGGGCAGAGAGGGAACCCAAGGCGGAGCTGGGCCTGGGGCGGTGTCACCTTCATGAAGCCAGCGGGAGCCGGGAGCAGGCAGCAGCCTGGACCTTTCGGGTGCGGCTGCAGCCACCCAAGACACCGCTGTGGACATGGACCCCTGCCTCCCTGTGCTTAGGGGCTGGGAGCAGGCAGGAGCCCCGCCCTCCTGGACCCAGCTGCAGACGCCGAGCTGCGACTGCAGAACCAGGCATCTCTGAACTCTCAGGGGCCCAGGAAGGCCACCCTTGCCCCGGTAGGCTCAGAGGGGTCTGCTCCCAGTGTCTAGCCTCTCCCCGCTCCCAGCGCCCCCTCGGATCTCAGAGCAAGGATGGGGCCAAGCCCGGGCGCTGTTGCAGCCTGGCTGGGTGTGCGCAGGCTCAGGGCACCGCTGAGACACCCGGCCCCTGTCATCTCTGCCCTCTCTGGACTTTGGGAACTAATGAACATGGGAGGGAGACCAGGGGGTGCTGAGGACAGCCTGGCGCTGGCCTGCAGGTGCCCCTTGGCAAGAACAGCCTGGGCACCATGAACAGCAGCAGGAAGCAGATAGGCTCCTGGGCAGAATGGGGTGGGTCCCCAGGAAACTCCTACCTTCAAGCCAAGGGGGGCCTGAAGCCTGGGGGCTGGGCTGCCAGTCCCACGGACCAGAGTGGGAACGTGTGGTGCTTTTCCCTGGGCCCATCCACGGCCACCCATGGACCAATCAGCACACACTTCCTACCCTCTGAGGCCCATTAAAAACCCCCAGAGTCAGTCAGACTCGGAAGAGAGGATGGAGAGAGGACAGGGAGACAAGGTGATGACCAGCTGCAGAGAGGAGCCGAGGAGATGGTGGGAGGACTAGCTGCAGAGAGGAGCTACCCTCTCTGCTGACAGCTGAAAACTCGTCGGGACACCCTGGCTATGGAAAGAAGCTGCCCACTGCAGGTCTCCTCTGAGCTATTCTGTTTCTCAATAAAGCTCCTCTTCGCCTTGCTCACCCTCTACTTGTCTGTGTGGAAGAACAAGAACTCGGGACCCACCAAATGGCAAGGCTAAAAGAGCTGTGACACAAACAGGGCTGAAACATGCCCCTTGTCCACCATGTTGTGGGTGAAGAGGAGAGAACACCTGCGGCCCTTCAGGGAGCCCAGACCTGGGAGCTCCCCAAGCCAGGGCTGTGACTCCCTCTTTGGGGGCCTGCAGTTGCAGGCATCTCCAAGCTTCTGGGTGTCAAGCTTCTGGGCGTCACTGCATTTTCCGGTGCCAGCTGGGGAAGTTGCTTGCAGTGTGCCTGGTCCAGCATAGCCTCACAGAGCGCTGGCACCCGTGCCAGCACTCGGAACTGCCTGCCCCCTGGCAGCAGCCGGCGTATTTGTGCGCAGTGGCCGGATCCCACGCTTGCTTACACATCCCTTGCCGCTCCACACCTGACTCAGTCTCCCTTAGAGGTGTGATCAAGGGCCAGTAGCATGAGCTGAGCACAGCCTGCCAGGCCGAGTGGGCGGAACAAGCCCAGAGGGCCTGAGAAAACTTGGGCAAAGGCACCACCAGCCAAAGAGATTTCCGGCCAGAAAAGCGACATCCCAATCCCAAAGATCCCAGAACAACAGTACTTCATACATATACCTCACATAGAGTTGGGATATAAGTACAACTTAGTACATGTGGATAAAGTGCTCTGCAGATATTAATTTCTCTTTCTAATACTTATGCTAATCACAAAAATAGTAAAAATATGAATAGCAAAGAGTGATGGGGATCTCAGAGGGGACTACAACATATTTAACTGGATAAAAAGTCTTGTTTGGTTTGGTTTGGGGTGGGGGTTAACTAGGGAGCCTCATCAACATTTATGGCATTGTCTTCCTAAGAAAATTGGTCTCAGGTTTGCCTACAATGAAAACATTGACAAAACATTGAACATGAATTCTCTATTCAGTGAAGAGAGAATTTACTATTCAGGGCTATTTGTTTTGAATTCAGAAATTGTTCTGCGCCTGGCGTGGTGGCTCATGCCTGTAATCCCAGCACTTTGGGAGGCCGAGATGGGTGGATCACTTGAGGGCAGGAGTTTGTGACCAGCCTGGCCAACATGGTAAAACCCTGTCTCTACTAAAAATTCAAAAATTAGCCAGGCATGGTGGCACACAGCTGTAATCCCAGCTACTCAGAAGGCTGGGCAGGAGAATTGCTGGAACCTGGAAGGCAGAGGGTGCAGTGAGCCGAGATCACACCACTGCACTACAGCCTGGGTGACAAAGGGAGACTCCATCTCAAAAAAAAATAATAAAATAAAATAAAGAAATTGTTCTGATGCTCTGTGGCCTACTTACCTTTTCAACTAAATCTACCCATACTTGATACTTGTCAAAGCCACAGAAAGATAAAAACAATCCTACAAAATTTGAAAACTACTCTGAATATACTGTGATTGAGGGATGGCCCAAAGGAAAATAAAAATATTCTTATCTGGTATTAGGGAAAAAAAAATTATATTTTAACATTTTCTCTTAGAATCATTTACTTATTGATTGTTGAGACCTGTTTTTTAATAGTAAACAAACAAAAAGTCATATTTTATTTTTTAAATTTAATTTCTAGATTTCTTAATACTCATATTATTTCATAAGTGGATGGATGGCTACTTGGGTGGCTCTAAATGTGTAGTTTAGGATATGTCCAGAAGAATTAACAAGTTTAGAAAATAAAAATTTTTATAAGGACAGATCTACAGAGAAATCATAAGAAAAAAAATGTGGGCATACAGTCACAAGAATCAAAAATTATGGGCCAAGCATAGCAGCTCATACCTCTAATCCTTGCACTTTGGGAAGCTGAGGTGGGCGGGTTACTTGAGCCCAGAGTTCGAGACCAGACTGGGCAACATAGGGTGAACCCTGTCTCTATAAAAAATAAAAAACTTAGGTGGCACATGCCTGTAGTCCCAGCTATCTGGGGGCTGACGTGGGAGGATTGCTTGAGCTGGGGAGGTTGAGGCTGCAGCGAGCTGAGATTGTGCGACTCCCCAGTGGGTGACAGACTGGCCTTGTCTGGTTAACATTTCTCCTAAAGGTAATTCTACTTTGCAATTATATGGTGCTTCTTTCCCGTTCGAAAGCAGTTTCACTTCTATTATCTCACTTTATAAGCTTCGAAGGCTAAAGTAATGAATACAATTTTAGGCTATCTTCAGCCTAAAAACAATGAAAAGTTAGCAAAACAAACAAACAAACAAAAAAGATTATGAACTAATGGTCTACAAAGACTATTTTCAAGGACAATTCTTTTGATTGTGCAGATTGATAAAGGAAGCAGGTCTCCTGAGTAATCATTACCTTCCGTCTCTGGTGGGTGTGTTGAACCACACCATCAGGAAAGCCACTAATTATCAGGAAGAGCAAAGCTGAACTGTTCCCCTAAGCTTCTTCGAGGTGCCAGAGCAAATCCAGAGGAGAAAATCCTGCAGTGGAGGGAAAAAGGATTTGTGTCTCTGAGAAAGTGAGATTTAAGATGTATGCCCTCTGGTGCCCAAGAAGTGAAGGACAAGGGTGATGATCCAACATAAGCAATTTGTGAATATGAAATATGTTGAAAGACTTTGAAAATTTCCTGATTAGGTGTAGGGTGGGTATAGTGAAGAAGGATATTCTTGGCTTAAGATATAGACATAAAAATTCATACATTTGGAAGGTCTCTCTTATGGAAATTCAGGAACAAGACTATGGTAGCTTGTTAGTATTCACATGTTTTCTACTACTCACAAGTAGTAAATACTTGTGAGTATTCATTCATGTTTTTCTCCTAGATTTTATATCACCATTAATAAAACAGGTATTATTATTATTCTAATTTTAGAAAAAAATAGAAATGATCATATCATCAAGGCTGATTTATACTGAAAAATAAGTGAACAAGGGAAATTATACAAAATTATATCCCTAAACAAATATATTATAAAATTGCTTACTCTTTTATAATAACTCAATGACATTACCAAGTTACCAGACCCCAGAGACTATTTTTTAAAGTCTATGTGACTATTAGAAAATTAAAGGGCCTTCCATAGTGTCCCATCTTCTCATTGTGACCTTACGTTCTTTTTTTCCCCATAATCACCACATCAAACTTGGAATTTTGTATCTCAAAGAAGCAGGATTGTTTTCTCAAGGAAGCAGATTAAGAAAAAAACTGAGGAAGAAAAGGAAACAGATAGTAGAAAGCAGGAGATCGTTACCAACCACTCATTCAGCCACATGCCATGAGGGCCACTAGTCTCTGTTCACACAGGCTCAACAGCTCACAGGGTCCTCTGCTATCTCACTTTGGTTCTTTTCATTTTAATTTTTTACCCAAAGTTTATTATGGTAAAATATATGTAACAAAATTTACTATCTTAATCATTTTTAAGTGCACAGCTGAGTGGCATTCAGTATATTCATATGGTTGTGCAAACATCACCAGCATCCATCTCCAGATCTCTTTTCATCTTGCAAAATTGAAACTCTATGCCCGTTAAACAACAACTCATTGCTCCCTTCCTGCTACCCCTGGCAACCATCATTCTACTTTCTGTCTCTATGATTTTGACTACTTTAAGTACTTCATAAAAGTGGGATCATATAGTATTTGTTGTTTTGTGACTGGCTTATTTCACTTAGCCTAATGTCCTCAAGGTTCATCCATGTTGTAGCATGCCTCAGAATTTTCTTTCTTCTTCTTCTTCATTTTTTTTTTCTTGTGGCAGGGTCTCATTCTGTTGCCCAGGCTGGAGTGCAGTGGTATGATCTCGGTTCAGTGCAACGTCTGCCTCCCAGGTTCAAGCGGTTCTCCTGCCTCAGCCTCCTGAGGAGCTGGGATTACTGGTGCTTGTCACCACGCCTGGCTAATTTTTGTATTTTTGGTAGAGATGGGATTTCACTATGTTGGCCAGGCTGGTCTTGAACTCCTGACCTCAAGTGATCTGCCTGACTTGGCCTCCCATAGGGCTGGGATTACAGATGTGAGGCACCATGCCTGGCCTGAATTTTCTTCCTTTTTAAGGCTGAATAATATTCTTTTTCTTTTTTTTTTTTTCTTTTTTGAGACCGAGTCTCACTCTGTTGCCCAGGCTGGGGTGCAGTGGCATCATCTTGGGGCTCACTGCAACCTCTGCCTCCCGAGTTCAAGTGATTCTTGGGCCTCAGCCTCCTGAGTAGCTGGGACTACAGGCGTCAGCCACCAAGCCCAGCTAATTTTTTTATTTTTAGTAGAGACAGGGTTTCACCACGTTGGTCAGGCTGATCTTGAACTCCTGACCTCAGGTGATCCACCTGCCTCGGCTTCCCAAAGTGCTGGGATTACAGGCGTGGCCACTGTGCCCAGCCTTAAGGCTGAACAATATTCTATTGTAAGTATATATCACATTTTGCTTTTTCATTCATCTGTCAATGGCCTCTTGGGTTGCTTCAATGTTTTAGCTATTGTAAGTAATGCTGTATGAACACGAGCATACAAATATCTTTGATACTTTGCTTTTAATTCTTCTGAGTATGGCACTGCTGGATCATATGGTAAATCTATTTTTAATTTTTTGAGAAACCACCATACTGCTTTCCACAGTGGTTATACCATTCTATATCCCCCAAACAGGCACAAAGATTCTATTTTCTCCACATACCCTGCAAACACATTTTATTTTCTATTGCTTTGATAGTAGCCATCCTAAGGGTGTCCAGGTGGCTCTCACTATAGTTTTGACTTGCATTTCCATAATGATTAGTAAGGCTGAGCATCTTTGCATGTGCTGATTGGCCATTTGTATATCTTCTTGGAGAAGTATCAAATATCTATTCAAGTCCTTCACCCATTTTTGAATTGAGCTGTTTGTATTTTTGTTGTTGAGTTTTAGGAGTTCTCCATATATTCTGGATACTAATCCCTTATCAGATATATGACGTGTAAATATATTCTCAAATTCTGTAGGCTGTCTTTCTATTCTGTTGATAGTGTCTTTTGATATAAAATTTTTAAATTTTCATGAAGTCCAATTTGTCTGTTTTTTTCTTTTGTTGCCTGTGCCTTTGGTGTCATCACACAAAATCACTGCCTAATCCCATGTCGTGAAGTTTTTGCCTTATGTTTTCTTCTAAGAGTTTTATAGTTTTAGGGCTTACATTTAGGCCATGGATCTACTTTGAGCTAAATTATGCGTATGGTATTAGGTAAAGGTAAAAGTTCATTATTTTGCATGTAAATATCTAGTTTTCTCAGCACCATTTGTTGAAAAGACTGTCCTTTTCTTATTGAATAATCATGGTTCCCTTACCAAAAATCATTTGACCATATATTTGAAGATTTATTTCTGGATTCTCTATTGTATTCATTGGTCTTTATGTGTGGTCTTTATGCCACTACCACACTGTCTTAATTACTATTACCTATTATAAATTTTTAAATCAGTAAGTGTGAGTCCTCCAGCTTTGTTCTTCTCTTTTAGGATTATTTTGACTATTTAGAGTTCCTTGAAATTTCATATGAATATTAAGATTTGTTTTCCTATTTTTGCAAAAAAAAAACCTACTTGTTTGATAGGAACCACACTAAATCTGTAGATCACTTTGGGTAGTGTTGAAATCTTAACAATATTAAGTCTTCCAATCCGTGAACATGAAATAGCTCTCCATTTATTTATGTCTTCTTTAATTTCTCTCAGATATATTTTGTACTTTACAGTACATAGATTTTTTACATCCTTGGTAAAGTTAATTCCTAGGTACTTTATTATTTTTGATGCTATTATAAATGGAATTGTTTTCTTAAGTTTTTTCAGATTGTTTATTGTTTGTGTATATAAATGCGACTGATTTTTGTGTGTTGACTTTGTATCCTGCTATTTTGCTGAATTTATTAATTGTAACTTTTTTGTGTGTGGAATCTTCAGGGTTTTCTACATATGAGATCATGTCATCTGCAAACAGGGATATTTTACTTCTTTTTTTCCATTTTAGATGCCTTTCATTTCTTTTTCTTGTCTCATTGCTATGTCTAGCATTTCCAATGCTATACGGTGAAAGTGGAAATTTTTTTCTTGTTTCTGATCTTAGAGAAAAAGCTTTCAGTCTTTCACCATTAAGTATGATGTTTGCTGTGGGTTATTCACAGACAGCTTTTGTTATGTTGAGTTAGTTTCCTTCTATTCAGAGTTTACTGAGCATTTTTACCATGAAAGGATGTTGAATTTTGTCAAATGCTTTTTCTGCACCACTTGGGATGATCATGTGGCTTTCTCCCTTCATTCTGTTAATGTGGTGTATTACATTGATCAGTTTTCATAGATTGAATCATCCTTGCATTCCAGGAATAAACCTCACTTAGCCATAGCGTATAATCTTTTAAATATGCTGTTGCACTTAGTTTACTCATATTTTGTTCAGAATATTTTTGCATCAATGTTCATAAGGGATATTGGTCTATTAGTTTTCTTTTCTTGTAGAGTCTTTGTCTGGCTTTGGTATCAGGGTAATGCTGGCCTAATAGACTGGGTTAGGGTGTAATCTCTTCAATTTTTTTGGAAAAGTTTGAGAAGGATTGGTGTTAGTTCTTTAAATGTTTGGTATAATTCACTGGTAAAACCATCAGATCCAGGGCTTTTCTTTTCTTTTAAGAGATGGGGTTTCTTATGTTGCCCAGGCTGGTCTTGAACTCCTGGGCTCAAACGATCCTGTCACTGCAGCTTCCTGAGTAGGTGAGACTACAGTTGCATGCCACTGTGCAGGGATTTTATTTCATGGGATATTTTAAATCACTGTCTTTTATAAGAGATTCAACTTTCTTGTTAGCTACAGGTTTATTCAGATTTTCTATTTCTTTGTGGCTTAGTCTTGATAGGTTGTGTGTTTTTAGAAATTTGTCTATTTCATCTAGGTTATCCAATTTGTTGAAGTACAATTGCTCTCTTAAAATCCTTTTTATTTCTGTAGATTTGGTAATAATGTCCCCACTTTAATTTCTGATTTTAATAATTTGAGTCTTCTTTTTCTTTAGTCCATTTAGCTAAAGGCTTGTCAATTTTGTTGATCTTTTGGAAGAACCATCTTCAGATTTCTCTATTATTCTTCTATTATTTTCCTCTATTCTTCTTCTATTCTCTATTTCATTTATCTCTGCTCTAATCTTTATTATTTTATTCCTCCTACTAGCTTTGGGTTTAGTTTCTTTTACTTTTTCTAGTTTCTTAAGTTTTAAGTTTAGGTTGTTGATTTAAGACATTTATTGTTTTTTTAATGTAAGCTATTTAATGTAAATTTTGAATTTATTATAAATATTCCCCTTTGCATTACTTTCTCTGTGTTCCATAAGTTTGGGTATCATGTGTGTTCATTTTCATTTGTCTCTAGGTACATTGTAATTTCCATTATGATTTCTTTTATTAATTTGTTATTTAAGAGTGTGTTGGTTAATTTCCAGAAATTTGTGAATTTTCCAAATACTTAGGGAGTTTTTGATCATCATTTCTTCAAATATTCTCTCTTCCCCTTTCTCTCTCTGTTCACCTTCTGGAATTCCCTCAAGGCATATGTTGATCTGCTTGATGGTACCCTACAGGTCCCTTAGGCTCTGTTCACGTTCCTCCAGTCTTTTTTCTGTTCCTCAGACTTGATAATTTTCATTGTCCTATCAAGTTTGCTGATTCTTCTGCTTGCTCAAATTTGCCTTTGAATTTCTTAAAATTTTCACTTCGACTACTGTAATCTTCAGCTCCAGAATTTATTTTTGCTTTCTTTTTAGGTTTTCTATTTCTTTATTGATATTTACATTTTCTTCACATATTGTTTTATTGACTTTCACCACATCCTCCTTTAGTTCTTTTAGCATCTTTAAGACAGTTGTTTGAAAGTCCTTGTCTATTACAACCATTTTTAGGTCTCTTTTAGGGACAATTTCTTGTTATTTTTTTTCCCCCTTTAACCAAGCCATACATTTCCGTTTCTTTGCATGCCTTGTGAATTTTTTGTTGGAAATTGGATATTTGAATCTAATAATGTGGTAACTCTGAAAATCAGTGTCCTTTCTTTTGGTTTGCTGGTTTTCTTTTCTTTTCTTTTTTTTTTTTTTTTTTTTGAGACAGAGTTTTGCTCCTGTTGCCCAGGCTGGAGTTCAATGGCACGATCTCGGCTCACCACAACCTCTGCCTCCCAGGTTCAAGTGATTCTCCTGCCTCAGCCTCCCAGGTAGCTGGGATTACAGGCATGTGCCACCACACCTGAATAATTTTGTATTTTTAGTAGAGACGGGGTTTCTCCGTGTTGGTCAGGCTGGTCTTAAACTCCCGACCTCAGGTGATCTGCCTGCCTCAGCCTCCCAAAGTGCAGGGATTACAGGTGTGAGCCACCTCACCCAGCTGGTTTGCTGGTTTTCTGTTTTTGTTGTTGTTGTTGTAGGCTGTCTTTGTGGTGTGGATCAGCCAGAAGTATAAAGTTAAGATCCTTTCATATATTTTTTGAGCCTTTGCCTTTCCCTGGGTATACATGATGATTTTCCAACTCCAATCACATACATGTGGTTCATTTTTAATGCTCTAGTCTTCAATATCTAGTTCCTAAAAGGGGGAAAATGTAGGAAGGGAAAAAGGTGTTTGCCCTTTATATTCCCTGAGAGTCATTTCATCCAGAGATGGAGGGACTCGCAACAATGGGGTAAAGTGCAACAACAAAACCTGCTGCTTCTTTGCACCTTTGTGATGAGAAGCAGCAATCAGCAATGAGAGCATAGATCCTAAATATTTGGAGGCCAGGGTCCTTTTCAGCTACCCTAGCTCCCACAGGCTGTGTACAGGTTGCTCCAGGAGCATGTGCACAGCTGCCTGACATGTGGCTGAAGGGTGGTTAGCTGCTACTGTGATTACAGCTGAAATTGATGAAAATTAACCACAATTATTGCTCAAGCCCTGGAAGTTATAAGCCTTCAACAGACTCCACAGTTCCAAAATACTTACATTAGACAGATTCTACTGGTAAAATTATTATCTAGGTGGGAAGATAGGTTCCTCTTTTTCCTCCTCTGCCATCTTCTAGGAATTCTCTCTGGGGCTCCTTATTTTCAAAAACTTTTTATAGTGAAAAATTTCAAACCTAAACAAAAGTAAAGAGAATGATATAATGAATCCCTGTGCACTCATCACACAGCTTCAACAATTACCAACTACCTGCTCCTTCACCTGAATTTCAGCCTGTAATTTCTTGCCCATCTCTTTCCTGACAATTCGTGGCTTCAAATGATGTGATTTTCTGCCTTCTCTCCAGCTCCAAGAATCAATGTGATCCCCCCTAATATTTGACTAAATTAACAGGCTCTCTTTTTAATATTCCTAACTTGAATAATTTTTATACCGTCCACCCTACCCCCCAGACTCCTTAAAAAAAAAAAAAGGCAGTTTTTAATCCTTTCCAATGGTTTGAGAATCTGATGAAAGCCATGGACCATAACCCTAGAAAAAAAGGTGCACACACCATTTTATATGTGATTTCAGAAGGTTCATTGACACCTTGAAACCTTCCAAAGACCCTATGTTAAGAACCCCTTCTAAAAGGTAGATTCTCCCATTTCCTAGGCCATACCTGGTCCTTGTAGCCATGTTTCTCTTTCACATTTACATAGAAATGTAAGACTGGGAGAGCATCCAGTTCCATCACTTTTTTGTTGTTCTGTTGAGGCAATCAGACATGAAGGGCAATTTTATTTGTTTTTGTTCTTTTCATGAAGGCATTTTGAATTAATTGTCCAATTAATTCCAATTCCACATGAAGGAAACATGCCTGTTCCAAATCCTGGAGAGTCAGCAACAGAATCAGAGGTCCTGCCAACATTTTTCATACTAACCTCATGCTACCTCTGAATATTTTTCTGCTCCTTTGAAATGAATTAATGCTAACTCCAAAATATTCTGAAAACCCACTCTAAAAATACCTGCTTCAGCACATTTTCTTCTTTCTCCTCTCTTCTCTTTACTCACACAGCATTGGATTTACATGAAATGCAAGGAAGAAAAGTACTAAGGGAGTCAAAAGACAAATTGGAATGAAGTGAACAATTAATTTAAAACATCCTTTAACAAGTATATTTTAAACTACAAAGGTGTTCGTGATTCCTTGACAGGGTTCAATTTAGGTTTTGCTCTGCTACTTGCTCATTCACGGAAAATCTCTGGGATGGACCCATCAACTAGCATAGAAGGTTGGTTGAGTACTCTAGCACTGTTCCCTGCAACATTCTCCCCAGTTCTTCTAATGCTGAACCTCAGCTCTGGCTCTACATCACAGTCACCTGTGAAGCTTTTAAAGTTGAGAAAAAAGACAGGCTCAGGTGAGCCCAATTCAGGTTTACTTACTTTGGGTCCAGGCTCTAGGTGTGCAGGCCAGGCTCTGGGTGTGCAAGCCAGGGATGAGAACCCTGGTCTAATGCTATATGCAAGGAATTAATATTGTTAGTAATGGTGGAGGCCTGGGAGAATACTAAAATTGTTTTATAGCTTATAGCTCAGCAAGAAAGATATATTTAGTCTTTAAAAAAAAACAGGAAAATTTCAGAAGGAAAATTTTGAAGGAACTTTACACGTAAACCACTGTGGGGTAATATTTTTAAAATGCTATTTTTCTCTACCATTTAATTCCTAATGTGGCATAAACTTTTCGGCTCAGTTGGGATATGCTGACACATTATATGTACACACATTTGTATCTTATTTATTTGTATTATATAAATAATAAATAAACTTTTTTTAATGTATAGAAGAGTACAAAGTAAAAAGTAAAAATCTTGGCCACCCTCCCTGGCCCCATCTCAGAGGAAACCCTATTAAGAATTTCTTATGTATCCTTCTAGAAACTGGCTACCCACATCAAAAGTATATATATAATGTTAATATGTATTTATTACATTTATTTATTAGCTCAGGACTCAAAGGGGCTTGGAAATTATCATGACAGTAGATTTCTTTTACTTTCATCCTACCTATGGTGCAACAGGAAGTCTAGACTTTTACTAGGTTTCCCTCACAAGTAACTTTAGGACTCCTTGAGAACATTTAACTTTCCCACAGGATCATGATGGTTAGCTCCCAGGGGCGAGCCTCCAAGCAAATAACCTCCTGCAACCTCAGGACTGGCTTCTCAGCATATCAGAAGGTTCAGGCCTGATCCTGAACCCTCTCTGCCTAACTCCCATGGCAGGGTCCAGTTCTCCTTCCTCTTACAGGTGGCACCTGAGCCTGTTTTTCTTTTTTTTTTTTTTTTGAGATGGAGTTTCACTCTGGTTGCCCAGGCTGGAGTGCAATGGTGTGATCTCAGCTCACTGCAACCTCCGCCTCTCAGGTTCAAGCGATTCTCCTGTCTCAGCCTCCCGAGTAGCTGGAATTATAGGTATGTGCCACCAAGCCCAGCTAACATTGTATTTTTAGTAGAGATGGGGTTTTTCCATGTTGGTCAGGCTGGTCTCGAACTCCTGACCTCAGGTGATCCTCCTGCCTCAGCCTCCCAAAGTGCTGGGATTAGAGGCGTAAGCAACTGTGCCCGGCCAGGGTTCTTCAGGTTTTTTGTATTAAAATAAATTTTTTTGAGACAGGAGTCTTTCTATGTTGCCCAGGCTAGAGTGCAGTGGCTTTTCTCAGGCCTGATCATAGATCACAACAATCTTGAACTCTTGGGTTCAAGCATTGCTCCTGCTTCAGCCTCTTGAGTAGCAAAAGGATTACTCTGATGTAACGGTATTTGCATGCCATGGCATGCACTTCTGGGTTCTTCAGTTTTAGAATAAAGGTCTCCTTATTCTGTGGTTGTAAGGGCCTCCCATGGCCCAGTATGGGTCATATCCAGCCAAATCCAGGCCAGCTCTCTAAAGTTTAAGGTGATAATCTGGCCTGCACACCTTTCCTGGGGTCTTCAGACTTGCTCTTATTCTCCTATAAACAATCCCTTAATTAACAGCAGATATCACATGCACCTAAGAACAAGTGAAATTGTACTGGGATAGTGCAGCCTAACCACAAGGGAACTGTAATCTGAAAAAATGCAAGTCTTTTACCACAGTGACCATTTTCATATTACCAGTCAGAATAAGATTGCTCTTCAACTAAACCAGCTCCATCTCAGAAATGATGCCTGAGATTTGACTCATAATTACATAGAAGTGGGGCACAGAGCAAAGTGGGTGGGGATTTTGAGGCAACAATATTTGACACTAGTTGATTATCATTGAAACTAAGTGACGTGTACCTGAGAGTTCATTATATTATTCTATGTATTTTTGTATAAGTTTGAGATATTCTACAGTTAAAAACAAAACAACATCTCTGCAAAGGCTTTACTCTTTGGCTGGGCACAGTAGCTCATGCCTGTAATCCCAGTGCTTTGGAAGGCCCAGGTGGGGGGATCACTTGAGACCAGGAGTTCGACAGCAGCCTGGGCAGCATAGCAAGCCCTCATCTCTACAAAAAGTTAAAAAATTAGCCAGGCATGGTGGCACATGCCTGTAGTCCTAGCTTCTCGGGAGGCTGTGGTGGGAGGATCACTTGAGCCATGAGTTTGAGGCTACAGTGAGATATGATCACACCACTGTACTCTAGCCTGGGCAACACAGCATGACCCTGTCTAAAAAAATAAAAAGGCTTTATCCTTGATGTTTGCATCACTAAAAGATTCCTCTTTGTGGTTTTCTGGAATAAAGGAACTTGCAGCCCTGTGGGTGAATTTAGTCTCTACTCTTGTAACAAGCTTCTTTCCTTCCTCCACATGTGATAACTGAGATTTTTAGGGCCAATATTTACTCAAAGTTCACATTCTAGCTACTGAGTTCTTCCTCACAAGCACTCGCTTCAAGGGAACTTCTCATAATCAGCCCTGGGATTACGGCAACCTAAAGGTCTTGTTCTCCTTTCAATGTTTCTACAGATGTGTGCCATCTTGCATTTCTAGATGGTAAATTAAATTCTGCCTATGCTATTTTATGCCTCTTTTTTCTTTTTTAAAAATGATTTTACTAGTACAATTGGAGGAAAAGGAGTCTGGTGAGGGTGGCTTGGAGAATAACTGGTTGGTCACCAGGACGGGATAGCACCTCTGGTTCTAGTGAGATTTATGGAAGGGGCTTTGTTCTGGAATGTGGTACTCAGCTTTATTAACTCAGAAACTTAAATGTTAGCACACACAGACACAATGGGACTCTAAGGGCTGATGAATGCCAATTAATTAACTTGCAATGGGAAACATAACGTAGCAAGCCTCAAATCCAAGTTTGCTGGTTAGCACATTTTCTGTCTATGGGAAACTTAAGAAGCCAAATTATAACCAGAAGGGTAGTTGGTGACAGCCAGTTCTACAACAGTGAGTTTTCAACTAGGGAGGGTTGCCCTTCTCTGGGGGATAGGCAGAAGGAAGGGGACTTTTTTTTTTTTTGAAACAGAGTCTTGCTCTGTCGCCCAGGCTGGAGTGCAGTGGCGCGATCTTGGCTCACTGCAACCTCTGCCTTCCAGGTTTAAGAGATTCTCCTGGGCCGGGCGCGGTGGCTCACGCCTGTAATCCCAGCACTTTGGGAGGCCAAGGCGGGTGGATCATGAGGTCAGGAGATCGAGACCATCCTGGCTAACAAGGTGAAACCCCGTCTCTACTAAAAATACAAAAAATTAGCCGGGCGCGGTGGCGGGCGCCTGTAGTCCCAGCTACTCGGGAGGCTGAGGCAGGAGAATGGCGTGAACCCGGGAAGCGGAGCTTGCAGTGAGCCGAGATTGCGCCACTGCAGTCCGCAGTCCCGCCTGGGCGACAGAGCGAGACTCCGTCTCAAAAAAAAAAAAAAAAAAAAAAAAAAAAGAGATTCTCCTGCCTCAGCCTCCTGAGTAGCTGGGACTACAGGCGCATGCCACACCAGCACACCTGGCTAATTTTTGTGTTTTTAGTAGAGATGGGGTTTCACCATGTTGGTCAGGCTCGTCTCGAACCCCTGACCTCGTGATCTGCCCACCTCAGCCTCCCAAAATGCTGGAATTACAGGTGTGAGCCACCGCACCCAGCCTGGAAGGGGATTTTAGGGGAGTGTGTGTGTGTGTGTGTGTGTGTGTGTGTGTGTGGTATTTTTCTTTTAGCATATATAATTAGAAAAGGCATATCCAATGTTATAATTCAACAATATTTGGGGGGGAAATTTAAAACTCTTGCGTTCATAACAAAAATTGTAAAAAATAAACCTTAACAAAATGTTCCTGGCTGGTGACTCAGCTGGGGGCAGGGGGCAGGGTGGGAATCTACAAATCAAACTCTCTCTGGAGAATCTAAGATTTTTCATTTTTCAAAATGAAGCAAGAAAACATTGTTTACTGAGGCACTAAACAAAAGCCATACGTGGGGCAACTTAAGTTTGCAGGATCCAAATCAATTTTCCGTTCTCAAGTTCTTCTCACTAAACAGTGTTATGATTAATCTAATCATGCTTAGTTTTTTAGTAGTCATTAACTGTGGGAATTGATGTAGAAATCTGGGTTACTTATAAAGTATGTACTTTATAGTACTGTACTATGTACTATAAAGTAGTGCTACAGTTTTGTGACCAAATTCTGCAGCCAGCCAAAACCACTGTATGGGTAAAGCAGACATTGATAGTCTCAGCATTGATTTATCTCCCTTCTTCCTTTCTAAAAGATCCCACTTTCATTTGGGGATTGCTGTGTTTCCTGGGAAGAGGACTCTACTCCTACTATATTCCAACCTCTTAAATGCAGCAATTGGTTGGTAACCTAAACCAGTCCAATCAAAGTGAATCTGAAAGACTTTTCTTATGATGTTAATGACAAAGACGGGCTCATTTTCCTGGTGCCTTTAGTAGCCACCTATGGCCACAAGAAGAGTCTAAATTAGGAGAAAGAAAACGAAGACAGGAAAGCGAAGCAGAGAGATACTGGGGCATTGGGGCCATCTCTAGGCCACTGGATCATGTTTGCCTGAACCAATACTACCTCTGGACTTGACAGTTATTTGTACCAACAAACTCTTTTTTAATTGTTCCAGCTATTTTTAGTTGTAATTGAAAGCACGTGGGTGGATCAGGGTTCTGCTGAATCTGGACTGTTTGATTTTCTTGTTCTTCGACCGGCTTGAATATCAGTCATTGAAGCAAGTCATAGAGAAATGGCTGTAGTAAAACTGTCATGTTCTTAATTTTTGCTGTACATCAGAATCACGTGGAGAGCTTTAACAGATGCCACGCCAGTTAAACCAGAATCTATAAAGTTGGGACTCAGGAATCAGAATTTTAAAAAATTCTCAAGTAATTCCAGTGAGCAGCCTCGGCTGAGAACCACTGGTCTAAGTATCTTGTTCTGTCCATTCAGTGGGGTCTGCAGACAACATGTCCTAAATATGTCTTTCCATTAAAGAAAAAAAAAAAGCTGACATGTAACTTGTGAGGTTAATGCAAACCATACTGATGTGACAGAAAAGCAAAATGTGTGCAAATTTTGTACTCTATTCCATATTATAATCCTTTCTCTCTCGCTCCCTTTCACCCTTCAACATTTAATAGAAACTTACCATGTACCAGACACAGTGACAGATCTGGAATACAGAGGAAAACAAGAAAAACGCAGTTGTTATAGTCCACAAAAAATAGAAAATTAACCTAGTAATTACAGCAAAATCTAATGCACCTATGATAAGGCAGCATGGAGCACTATGTGCACAGAGCACGGACTCCTAACCTCCTGGAGCAAAGGAAGTTTAAGCTGAAACCAGAAGAATGCATGAGTTAACTTGGTAGATGATGGAGGAAGGTCCAGATGGCAGAAGCTTTGAGTTCAATGTCACAGAAGTGAGGGAACTAAAAGAACATAGTAGGGGAGGGGAGAATACTAGAGAAATGAGGCTGGACCTCATCAACATGGTAAAAAACCCCATCTCTACTAAAAATATAAAAATTAGCTGGGCGTGGTGGTGGGTGCCTGTAATCCCAGCTACTCAGGAGACTGAGACAGGAGAATTGCTTGAACCCAAGAGGCAGAGGTTGCAGTGAGCCGAGATCGTGATCGTGCCATTGCACTCCAGCCTGGGGGACAAAGCAAGATTCCATCTCAAAAAAAAAAAAAAAAAAAAAAAAGAAGAAATGAGGCTGGAGATAAAGGCAGGAGCCAGATTATGAAAGACTTTATAGGTCATATTAGAAGTTTGGATCTTATCAAAAAGGCAATGTAAATCAACTGAAGAGTTTTCAGCATTCAAAGAACGTGATTTCTATGTTTGGAAGACAATTGTGACTCGGGGCAAGGAATGGGAATGCATTGTGGGGTATGGGGGGTTTGACAAGAGAAAATCAGGGAGACCAGTTAACTGCAGGCAGATACACTAGCTCTGGCAAGAGATAATGGTGGACCAATGAGCATGGGGGCAATGGATAGAAGTGAACGAATTCAAGATGTATTTAGGAAGGTAGATTTGATAGGACTTGGTAATTGACCAGCTGTGGTTAAGAAGCCAGAGAGAAGCCAAGAGTGACACATGTCTCTGGTTTGAGCGAGTGTTTGGATGGTGATGCCATTTCATGAATAGAAAACACTGGAAGAAGAGTAAGTTTGTAAGAGAGGATGAATTTTGAGTATGAAGTACCTGTTAGACATTAAGTGTAGACATGTGGTAGGTACATGTGTCTCAAATTCAGGAGAGCAATATGGGCTAAACATCTATAGTTGATAGTTATCAGCAAACTGATGTTAATTAAAGCCTAGGGAATAAACCAAATTACCTAGTAAAATGTGTGGAGAAAAATGGCTTAGGATAAAGCTCTGGGGAACACTTATAACTAAGAGGAGCATAGAAAAGAGTCCTGCAAAAAGAGTAATAATGCAGTGCTAGAGATGTAGCATGTAAAACAGAAGAGTGACAAAAAAGAAAATAAGAAAACAAAGGATGGAGATAGGTATATTAAAATGAGGATTGAAAAGTATGCATTAGATTTAGCAACACGGAAGTTCCTGGAAATGTTATCAAGATGGGTTTGGGAAGGCAGGTAAATTTTTTCAAGGAGTTACTGAAATGGAGACAAGAGAGGGTGTATGGTAACTGAACAGGGATGTGGGTCAAGAGATATTGAGATGAAATAGACTTGAAAATGCTTACTTTCTAACATAAGATATCAGGAAGACGAATAAGTAAAAGTCACAAAAGTGTCAGAAAAGAATGGGATCCAGAAATGTGAGGAATGCCTCTTCTACTGGAATGGGAAGAGGAAGAGGACTATTAGTGCAGGGAACAGGGAGAATTGTATATTTGGTGGTCAGAAGAAGGGAGACAATTCCTGTCTGGTCACCTCTCTTTGTTCTGTAAAGAAGGGAGGAGTCAATCTACCAAGAATGAGAGGGGGTGCCGGGTGGATTGGAGGTTTAAGAGGAGTGGAGAAGTTTTGGAATAGCTGTTGAAAATGGGAGACAGCTAACTAGGGAAACAGTAAGACAGCCAGTCAGTGTTAAGGGTTTAATTGAGATTGATGACAACGAATGTATAAACTTGATCATCTGTGTGGTTTTGCTCATGTTCTCCTGTGGAGCTCAGTAGCCCATGCACAGAGTATATTGTACGTACTATCCGCTCATCACTCTTATTTACTCATTCGCTTGTTCATTAATTTAACTACTTTGTGCCAGGTACTATTCTAGGCACTGTTTCATTTGATGATTAATATTTTATCTTCTTTTTCTTTGATACAGGGTCTCACTCTGTCACCCAGGCTGGAATGCAGTGGCACAATCACTGCTTACTGCAGTCTCAACCTCCTGGGCTCAAGAGATCCTCCACCTCAGCCTGCCAAGTAGCTGGTACTACAGGCACATGCCACCACACCTGGCTAATTTTTGATTTTTTGTAGAGATGGGGGCTCACTGTTGCCCAGGCTGGTCTCCAACTCCTGGCCTCAAACAATCCTCCTGCCTCGGCCTCCCAAAGCACTGGGATTACAGGCATGAGCCCTCATGCCCAACTTTTTTTAAAAATCATATTTCTACAAGCAGACCACAATATATTAATACTGAAAGAATTACAGTGAAACCACCAGATTATTGAGTTTTACAGAGACAAGAATTTACAGGTATGATAAAGTACAGAAAGCAAATAATAGGACATTAAAAGAAAAATGCTCTTTAAAGTTGTATATTTTGAATCTTGTCTCCCTAATCACACTGTGAGATCTTAACTATGAGTTTGTTGCAGCCAATGTATGTTTATCCTAAAAAAAAAAGCCTAACTTGTAGATAATGACAATTTGTGGAGCTGTTTTACAAAAATTCCATTTTGTATAATAAAGTATGCAATTTTGCAAAATTAATGTAATTGTATTGTTACACTCTACACCATGTAGGGTTAGACCCTAAAACTGTAACCTAAGCAGAGAATGATTTTTTTGGAAATGCATTAGGTACTCTGCAGAATTAAGGGACAGACCTAAGACCTGGTCCATAAAGGACAGGAACAGGAGCAGATTCACGAGGCTATGTATCAGGCCATCAAACATCTGGCCAGGCCACTAAAATGAATTTGTGTCAACCATTCTCTTTAAGTCTGAGGGTTTCAGAGTTCCAGGAGAGACTTACAGTCTCAGTGTGGATAGCAGGGAGCATGGTCCCATGTCTGACAGTCCCATCTAACTATAGCCAATTGGGAAGAGCATATTTCACAATGTAAATTGGGGTATAATCAAAACAGCAAAATGATCAGTAAAAATAGCACCTTCTTGATGCCCTTAGTGACAACTAATGTCTCCTCTCTTATAAATGCAGAGCTCCTTATTTGTTGTAGCTCTTCATCTGCCTAACACACTCTAACTGAACTGATGATGTTTATGTACCTTTCCATTTCCTCCAGTAGCTTATAAGCTTTGGAAGGCAGTGGCTGAAGCAGCTTCATAATCTGGGGAGCAGTGTCCTAAAGATCTCCCAATGTGGCTATTTCAAAATTTGTTTAGAATATTCTGAGGCATGAACTTATGGAAAAGCAAATGCCCTTTTCTCTATTCCACTATAGACAAAGAAATTTTTAATAGTTTTTACCTTTCTAATTTGAAAAACACAAGATGACTATAGGAAGACATAAATACTCAGTTGCTTTCCTATCTTTTCTAAATCTGCCAAATGCCCACAACATCTCTCACTTTAGTAGAAAATCTATTAAGTTAAAATTTCAAAGGATATACAGTTGTCCCTTGGTATCCACAGGGGATTGGTCCTAAGACTCCTGAGGATACAAAAATCTGTGGATGTTCAAGTCCCTTACATAAAATGGTGTAGTACAGAAAGTCCCCAACTTTTGATTGTTCAACTTGCAATTTTTTGACTTTAGGATGGTGATACACGCATTCAATATGCTCTTTATGACAGGACTACATCTGGATAAACCCATCGTAAACAGAAAATATCGAAAGGTAAATCCATCATAAGACAAGGAGCATCATGTTTGCATATAACCTATGCACATCCTTCCCTATACTTGAAGTCATTTCTAGACTACTTGTAATACCTAATGTAAATGACATGTAAATAGTTGTTATACTACATTTTAAATTTTTTTGTATTATTCTTATTGTTATTTTTGTATTTCTGAATACCTTTGATCTGTGGTTGATCGAATACATAGATGTGGAACCTGAGATATGGAGACTGACTGTAATACTGGTCCAATTTTCTTTAGAGCTGATTTTAGCTAAGTCTCTTCGATAGTTCATCTAACTTCCTAGCTGGTATAACTTTTGAATCAGGCTAAAAATAAAACACAATCCACTGGAAAATAACTCTTCTAATAACTGGCTAAGAAGAAATTGCTCTCAGACTCTTCCAACTTGTATCTGGGAAGATTTTTTTTTTTTTTTTTTAATGGAGTTTTGCTCTTGCTGCCCAGGCTGGAGTGCAATGGCGCGATCTCGGCTCACTGCAATCTCCGCCTCCTGGGTTCAAACAATTCTCCTGCCTCAGCTTCCTGAGTAGCTGGGATTACAGGCGCCCACCACCATGCCCGGCTAATTTTTTGTATCTTCAGTAGGGACAGGGTTTCACTATTTGGCCAGGCTGGTCTTGAACTCCTGGCCTCAAGTGATCCGCCTGCCTCGGCCTTCCTAAGTGCTGGGATTAGAAGTGTGAGCCACCATTCTGGGAAGACAATTCTAAAAAGCCATAATTATAGAAAATATGTTACTAAATCAGTTAGTTCTTTTATGAACATAAAATACACTGCAATGGATTATAATCCACAGTAAGACCAAGAATAAGGCTTGTTAAAATACTGTGAAAAGGAGTATCCATAGAATGGAATATTATTCAGTCATAAAGTGCATGAAATACTGATACATGCTAGAACATGGATGAACCTTGAAAACATTATGTTAAGTGAAAGAAGCCAGACACAAAAGGCCACATATTATATAATTCCACTTATATGAAATATCCAGAATAGGCAAATCTACAGAAAGTAGATTAGTGGTTGCTAGAAGAAGGGAAAATGAAGAGTGATTGCTAATAATTACAGGTTTCTTTTGGGTATGATAAAAATGTTCTGTAATCAGATAGTGGTAATGGTTGCACAATTTTGTGAACATCCTAAAGCCACTGAATTGTACATTTTGAAAGGGTAAATTTTATGTGAATTTTATCTCAATAAAAAATAAATTTTAAAAAGAAAGGGAGGAGGCTTAATGAGAGGTTTGGCATGAAAATAAATTGTTTTAAGGGCCCAAGAAAGGCATGGAATTTAGTATTTATCCCTTGGTAAAAACAAAGAGTAGATGAAACAAGCATAGAAAAGAATACCCAATAATTATATTCTTGAAAGCCTAAACATAAAAAAAAGGTTTTAATTACATTGCTCATACCAAGAGATAAATAATTTTTGCCTTTTTGAAAAGTACATGGGGACTTGCTCATTTTTCCCCCCAAATACTAAAAAAAAAAAAAAATGCCTGTAGCTTTTCTTAAGCTCTTCTTTTAGTCTATGAATTGTGCCAAGTCTCAGCTGCAAATCAAGCCATTTTATTATGGTGCAGCACTTAAACTCACTTGAGCTTTGTAAGAATTTTTTATTTATTTGGAATGAAAGAATATGGTTTTCAGACCATGCCAGGAAATCATATCCTAACCATCTATACTTGCTCCAATGAAACTCAGACTTCCCTGGATTTTCTTTTCCTCATTCTCTGAATTTTAATCTGTGTGCTTTTAGTCTTCGAGTTAACTGAGAAGCCTTTTCGTTCTGTGAACTAAGCACATTCCTTCAAAACCACAGGCATCCACTTCTCATTGGACTTATGACAATCACAACATTGGCACACAGGTAAAAAATAACTTGATTTGCTTTTCCCATCACACCTCTGGTTACCTCAGGGGACCCCACTTCAATGGAAAAAGAGTAAGGATAATTTCTGTCAAAGTATTCCTCAGTATTCTATAATGATTTCACCTTTCCTCTGCACACTTCCACAGCTGTAGCCATTGAATCATGTTAGATTTCTGCCTTCCAGAAGAAGGCAGAGTTTCAAGGAAAAGCAATTCTAGTAGACACCAGACCAGAGGAACTTCCCTTCTTCAGAATAACTCCCTCAGGAGATTCCTTTCTGCAGCCTAATGAGCTTATGGATTAAACTATTTTAGAGGATGGAACAGCCTAAGAGCATTCTAAATTCTGAGACTAGAACTTTATCCTTTGTTCAACACACAATATGGGTCACTCTAAGTACCTACTATTAACAAAACTGAATCTGTACCATGTAAAAAAGCCAGAAAAGATTTCAAAATGTGCTTTGTTATCAATATAATGCCATGCATAAGTGGGTAGTTTATAGCTTAGTGTAACAGAGCAGAGTAAAAAAAATTTTAAAAGTTAAAAGGCCTCATATGGTTGGTGAGATAAGGCACAAATCTTTTTTGTGTTATTTCCCTTTTTGGCTGCTGGGCAGACTCTTCTGCAACAGAGGATATGATAACTGCAAGAGAAGAAAATGAAAAGTGTAGTCTTTGCAACTAAAAAATGTCAACTTAGGCTCAAGCACAATAAAAAAACACAGTCTCTCACTCTGGTGGTCATATAATTGGTAATATTTCTAATGATAACAAACATAATTTACATTATAATTATAAAAAGTTCATCTTATTCAAAAGTTGCTTGGGTTTAGAATGGCAACAACTCAAGTAAAAGCCCAGTTTTAGAGCACATTAACATAGATATTTGTATTATTGATACTGCCTTTTAACCCACTAAGGATATGAAATTACTTTTTCTATATTCGCCCATTATGGTATGTCAAAACTTTTGGACTCATGGCTGTTGTGCATACTTAAGTTATAGATGGAGTTCCTGGGTAGAGAGGAGCTGTAAAAATCTAGAACAAAGAGCCATTACTACTCTGTGATCAAATCATTAAATACACATTTTAGTGCCATATAGTATTTTTTCTCATCTTTATATAATTTTTTGAAAGCTGAAAAATAATGGGCTTATTCTGCTTTTATAATTCAAACATTACTTTCAAAATGTATAAAGCTTACTGAACTAACCACGTTAATGGTGGAGTTAGGTTCATTTGTTCTAAGAAAAGTATTTGAGTTTGAATATAACAGTCATGATGGTTTTAAAAGTGAACATATTTAAGTTAGAGGCAATGTAGTATCATAACATTTCCACCAAAATATTTTCTACTGTTGGTGGAAGAAAGATGTGAGAGTAATCTATGATTATGGAAACTCTGGAAAAGAAGATACTTAATCAAATTCATATAAGTACAGAGAAGACTGAGTAAGTTATAGCAGGAGGACTTTAATATAGCAGCTGACAGAACTTCCTGATCATAAGGGATGTGAAAAACTTCAAAGAAATACTGTTTCCATTTGAGATGAAAAACAACACAAACAATTCTCCATTTAGAAGTAATATTACCTAGAAAAGGAGAAACGGCTTAATGTCTTAAGATTCCCATGTTTTTTTCACTAACATGGAGAAAAAAATGACAGAAAAAGGAAACTCTAGAGCGCTCTATATATAAAACCCTCAGCCTGTTTACCTGAGTCCTTTGGGGACTGAGTAGTTTTGAACAGCTGAGTTTTCTGGTAAACTATGTGTTTATCATTCTAAGAATTAAGTTTGGATAAAAATATCTACTAAAAATATATTTAAATTCCCTGATCTTTTTTCTTTCCTTTAATATTTTTTCCTAAATGTTATGAAAGTTATTCAAACTTACTATAGAAATTAAAAAAGAAAAGAAACAGCCATAATTCCGCCACCCAGAAACAACCAGTTGGCATTTTTTTCCCAGTTTCTTTAACAGAGTATACAGGACATAATTCAAGGCTGTAAAATAATGAGATCCTCAGTCTACAAAACTATTTCAATAATGGTAAACATTTATTGAGTTCTTTGTAAAGCCTGGTACTATGTTAAACATTCTATATACATGGTCTCATATAGTCCTTACGAGTCAATGTGGTAGGTAATCCTATATTCCTATTTTAGAGATGAACAAAAAAAAAGGCTTTGAGAATTTATCAAGGACCCATAATAATCCACAGAACCTAAATTCAAATCCTTTTGTCCAACTCCGAAGACTTATCTCTTAACCACTTCATAAGATTAAAACGCTGAAGGGGCACATACTGTTATGAATTTTAATGGCTCCTACACATGCATCCTTTATATATACCCTTCATGATTTTTCAAACCATGTCAGATTCTCATTTTTCAATTCTCAAGATACAGCATCTTCTTATAGCATCTTCACCACCTTTCCCGTTTACTGTCTTAAATGTGCCCAATCTCGGAAATATCAATAACAAAACAAGCTTGTTGACATTTTGTGAAACATTTAAGGAGACTTCCAAGGAATGTAACATATGTAGACTTTGTGACACATATATTGGCATGTGGTCACAGCTCTGTTCTGAGATGAGATGTTACTATTTTGGCTTTGAGACATGAAGGATATGACATTTAAGTCTAAACATGCACCAGCCAATCGTGAAAAGTCAGCATACTCATAATCCAAAAAGCTTCAATAGAAATTTAGATAGTTATAGAAGGTGCATTACTCAGAGTCAAGAAACCTGGGTCATACTGGAGAGAACAGTGACTACCTCTAAAGAAAATTATGTTCATATACAAGCTACAACAAATATCAAATGTTATATAAAACAAACAATGCAGGGGAATCCACAAGGATGTGGAATGTTTGAGCAAAAAAAAGGAAGAGGCTTATTCAATGGCTTGTACTAAAAGATAAGCCCCAGATTCTAAAAGAAGGTAGGCAAACTGCTCCCAACTCACCCTGGTCTCAAAAGGTGAAGAAGGTAGAACATCACAGAAGGAATAATGGAGTACAGTGAAAGGAGGCCAAGGCAGGTTGATAAAAATTAAAAAAGGATTAGCACATGCTTTCTTGTTTTAATTGGGGTAAGAACAGTGGACAAAGAGTTGGAGATAGGTTGTTCTGAGGAGACAAAGGGCTATTGTTTCATCTTGGCTGGGATCAGCCATGTTTACCTTCCATCGAAGGTGGACAAATAAAAACCCTTACAGAGGTATTTTTTATCATATGTTTTGCAGGCATGTTGCTTTTAAACCCAATGACATATGCTACTATTTCACGTAATAAAGTTTCTTTTTGTTTGTGAGGTTGTATATGAGAGCTTCATTAATCAAGTTGCCACTATAATTAAAAATTATTTCTGATTATAGTTTGCTGACATCTAATAATATAGTTGTTTCACAACGGCAGAATATATACCTACAGGAAAAGGGTGGCCCAGATGCCTGCAGGGACCAATGGGTAACCATCTCAAGTATGTTTTTCTTCCACTAGCCTATTCCCTGCTAGGCTCTCTCTTCTCTAAAGAGATTGCAACATGGTATCACTCTGATATGAAAATCCCTAATTCTTACGAAGCAAAGTATTGACAAAGTCTAGAGCGCAGTTTAGAGTTTGATTGCTTCTACAGCCCTTTCTAGATTATTCCATGAAGACTCTCAGGATAAGGTCTTGGACACATAGTTAAGACTGAACCCTCATTTCCACCCTTCCATACAATTCTTCTCCCTAAGCTGACCTCAGTATCTCTGCACTCTCTCAGGCTGACCTGACAAATCAGCACCTGAGTTTTTCAGACCAAAAGCTTTTGGTTCCCTACTAAAAAATAAAACAAAACATAAATCAAGTTATGTTTTGAGAAGGGATAGTTGCCTATAATGTAATAAACATGGCCTTCCTTCCCTCATCATAGTTTATTCAAATTATAAAAAGTGACTATAATTTGTATCCAGGACAATCAAGAATTGATTATATTTCTCTGCATCCATTATTTGTAAATGTAAATGACAGAGTGTCTCCTAGATGCTTTGGGTATGGTGGAAGAATTAGTCCTTGATAAAATACAATATACGACCACACAAATTTGAGTACTATTTAAGCCAATTAATTAACCATGATCACTCAAACTTAGGCAATATGATACTTATCATCTTCATATACAAAGAAAAATGAATAAACTGCCTATAACAATATAGCATTAAAAATCCTATTGATGTTCAATATTCTGTGGCTATTAACACTGTGGGGTGTTTTTAAAAGTCAAAAATACTGAACTGTTTAGAAAATTCTGCATAGTAGTAGTATTACATTGTGAATTTTATTTTCAAATTTGATCAATAAAGATGAAAATAATAAAATTAAGCAGTCAAAAGAAGTAGCAAAAACAAGATAGTCATTCATATATACAGAACATATAGATTCATTTCTAGTTGATTCAATCCTATTTATGTATTTAAAATACAAAATAATGGCCATCTGGCTAGTTCCAACGGTAGAGCATGAGACTCTTAAAATACAAAATACATCTTAATGTGTCAAGAAGACCACAGTTAGCACCAGGAAAGGAACTTTACTTTAGCTTCTGATTACTTTTTTATTTTTATTTTTACTTTATTATTATTATTATTATTTTTGAGATGGAGTCTCACTCTGTCACCCAGGCTGGAGTGCAGTGGCACAATCTCAGCTCACTGCAACCTCCACCTCCCAGGTTCAAGCGATTCTCCTGCCTCAGCCTCCTGAGTAGCTGGGACTCTGATAGATGCGTGCCACCACACCTGGCTAATTTTTTATATTTTTAGTAGAGATGGGGTTTCACCATGTTAGCCAGGAAGGTCTCAATCTCCTGACCTCATGATTTGCCCACCTCGGCCTCCCAAAGTGCTGGGATAACTGGCATGAGCCACTGCACCCAGCTTAGCTTCTGATTATGACCTCAGTATCTTGGAATAGATACTGAGGAATACTATGTATTTATCATCATGAATTAATAAAAAATTAATTTTGAAAAGTAATTGCTGTATATCATCAATTCATAAGTGATTCAAATGAATTAAAACCTTAAAACTGGTACTACTTGATGTTGCGAACAACTCTCCTACAGTGATTTGTCTTCATCTCTTCCAATGCTTGTTCCAGTTGTTGAACCAAATGGAGCAGGGTGGCTGGGTCTGTCTGCAGAACTTTGGTGTTGTGATCTCCATTTTGATTAAGGTGTAGCTTTATAGTCACTGCTGGTTTAATCTGTTGCCTGAGACTTCTACTTGCAAGCTTGATTTTAAATGAAATAAGAGCACAGTAACTATTTAATAACCATGCTGAATACATAATATTTATAATTATCTTAAACCATACACAAAAATTAAGTTTCAGATGAATTACAGACTTCAAAATGAAAAGTAAACTTTAAAACCTTTGAAAAGAAAATAATGAGAATATATACCAATTTTATGGTATAGAAGATTTCTTAAACATGATATAAAAGGCTCAAACCATAAAGACAAAACTGGTAAAATTTAACTACATTAAAACTCAATTTTCTTCAAAGGATACCTAAAGATGGTGAAAAAACAAGTCATAAACCGAGAGAAGGGATTTTGCAACAGACATATAACCAAAAAAAGATTAGTATCCAGAATGTGTGAACTCCTCTGATTTAATAAGAAAAAAACCTCAAAACCCAAGATAAAAATATACAGAAGGTCTAAATAAGCATTTTACAGAAGACAAATGAATATAGAAAAATATGTTCAACTTTATTAAACATCAGGATAATAGCCAGTAAAACTACATGAAATACCATTTTACAAATATCAGACTAGCAAAAATTAAAAACCTGTTCATACCAAGCATTGCAAGTGGCAGTAATGGGAACTCTCACCCACTCCTGGTAAGCGATGAGAAAATCACTTTGGAAAACAATGTGCATTACCAGCAACTCCACCACTAGGCATATACCTTAACCTCTTATATACATTTATTCATGATAGTATGTTTCCAAGAACCAAAAATTAGAAATACATCAAATATTCATTAACAGAATAGATAAACCAAGAATAATCACACAATGAATTGCTTACTAAATGGCAGAGAAAAGAAATGAACTACAGCAACATGGGTTATCATAGAAGAAATGAAAATGTTGAAAAAAAGCAAGTCACAGAATATGTTCAAGTTTAAAAAATATACAGTTTGGTGACAAAATTTATGTTTAAAAAAACTATAAAGAAAAGATTAGGGGCTAGGCACGGTGGCTCACGCCTGTAATCTCAGCACTTTTGGGGGCTGAGATGGGTGGATCACAAGGTCAGGAGCTTGAGACCAGCCCGGCCAACATAGTGAAACCCTGTCTCTACTAAAAATACAAAAATTAGCTGGCATGGTGGCACGCGCCTGTAGTCCCAGCTACTTGGGAGGCTGAGGCAGGAAAACTGCTTGAACCTGGGAGGCAGAAGTTGTGGTGAGCCAAGATCGTGCCATTGCACTCCAGCCTGGGCAACAGAGTGAGACTCTATCTCAAAAAAAAAAAAAAAAGAAAAAGAAAAAGAAAAAGAAAAGATTCACAGAAAATTCAGGATAACGGTTTCCTTCAGGTGGCTGGGAGATGGTTACAATTGGGTACAGGTTCTTCAAAAGTACTGGTTTTATTTGTTAAGCTTGGTGGTGGGTGTACTGGTATTTGTTTTATCATTATTCTTTAAACTGGGTATCTATAACCTTTCATTTGTATAATATGTTCCAAAATTTAAAAAATAAGTAATACTGACATATTTTTAAAAGAAGAAAACACAAAACTATAAACAATGACCAACTTCAAGGTCCTTTCAATCTTTAGATTCTCCATTAAAAGGAACCAGGACTATCCAAAGCAATAGCTGACTTGAAGTCTAGGAGAGAAACTGTACAAGATGAGCCTGAAACATCTTGTTATAGGAGAAAGCAAAAAAGTTATCAAAAATAGTGGAGTCATGTCAAGAAGACTAGATTCCAACTTGAAGGGATTTTCAAGTGAGTAACAAATCTAAACCTGAGATTTCAGGATTAATTTAATTCTGTAAAATAGAATATTCTGACTAATAACTTCTTCCAAATAATTATAGGTAACCTGGGCTTCCAAAAGAACCCAAGATACTGATCCAAGGCTGAAATTTAATGTCCCCAACTAATTTGCAAACAATAAGTCAATCCCTTTGGGTGAGCTGGTCCCCAAACATAAAATAGGTACTTGCAGGCTAAAGTACCAGTTTAAGATCATCTCTGTAGTACAAATAACTATAGATGACACATATGCAAATTATATATATGATAATTGAAAACAGTACTTATTTATTCAATTATGCTCTGTTTATATTTGTTTTTCCTCTACACTGACAGAGAGAGACTGCACCGACAGACAGGGACTGAGTGTATTTGCTGTGTAATTAAGCCATGACTTTTTTGTTGAAAGACTTAAAGCCACTATCCTCCAATTTTTAGACAACGTATCTAAATTAAATACCTATACAAATATCTATACTATTCTTTAACAGTTCTAGAAAAGAGATTACATAACATCCCTAACAAACATCTAGTAAGACATTTTTCTCAGAAAGAAGTTGAATGACAGTACTACAGGACAAAGAACAGTAGCCCACAAAGTTCTTGATATGGACTTATTTTTTATTGGGGATGAGATTCTGTCCTCCTCCCTGTAAATATAACAACAATAAAAGCAACTTTAAAATAAAATGTCTTATGTCAATGCAAATTAGAAAAAAGAAAAAGAAAAAAATGTTTACTCTGAAGGGCCATATCTCAAGGCACTGAAAAGGGTATTCTGGCAAAAAACATCAAGTAGGAAACAGGATACATAAATTATGTTTCATGTAGCTACAGTTCCTAAAAGAATTCAGTTCTCTATTTAGCCTCAGAGCAAACAATATGTGGGCAAGACAGGAAAAGAATGCTTTGAAGTAGTTGTAAATGGACCAGTCCTAAAAGGAACATCCTCCTGCATCAGTCTGATGGTGGTACATTCAGTTACTAATGCTATTAACAAGGACATCAATTGTGTTGGCAATTTATTAAGTCTGGGGAAATGTTCCTACTAGACACTAAGCTATGATGATTAATTTGATTCCCATAAACAACTGCATAATAATTAGGTGGTAATTGTCCATCACTACCAGTCTCCATGAGACAAGTCAGTTACTTAAACATGAAAGGCGCCATATGTAGTTACAAGTTTCCTAGCCATTTAGCTAGTCTTATCTGATATGCATTTCTCTATGAGCAGAAGAATCCACTCCAGTTAAAATCCTATGCAATGGTTTCAGCAAATAAGCTGAGGAACTCAATGAGCTCTGAGTAGCTTTTCTAGCCCTTAAATGCACTTCTCCATAAGTGGCAACATTCATTCAGTATACCCTCAACCTTAAACTGTACTAGTCCTAGCAATAGCGCAGTGATTCAAACTCACTTCAGTGGGTAAATGAGCCCTCGAGTTTAATTTTAGAAAATTCAACTTCTTAATTTTAACTTTCAAAAATGTCTTCATAATGGACAAACTCAAAGCAAATCAATAAAGCCAAAAAAAGAACTGTTAAAGCCTACTGGACCCCAAAAGTCAGGGGACATTCGCACACAAGAGAGACGTAAAGATCTACAAGATAAATTACCTCTGAGCCACATACATGACCATCCCCACATCTCCACCGGGTTATTATTAAAGGACCTAAGTATAAAGGCTTATCCACAGTCATTTCCCCAATGAACCCTACAAGACTTGCTGCTTATGATGTCCCCCAGACCATGAACTGTGTTTTGTTCTTTGCCGTATCTACAGCACCTGGCACATGTTAGGGGTACAAGAAATATATGATAAATAATTTAAGAAGTCACTTAACTCCCCCTGCCACCCACTCTTTCTGTTCAGCACTGATTCATGCCTATTATATGCCAGGTATTGTGCTGGGCACATGGTAATGAACAAGACACAATACTTGCCCTCCTGGAGCCTACAGTCTGGTTTATACCATATCCTGCGTTCATGCCTATTAAAACACTCATCACACTTGATTATAATTGCTGATTTCTAATTAAATTTTATTTTTTGGTCTCCCTCTTACTGTAAGACTGTGAGAACTTAAAGGCAGCACTGCTATGTCCACAAGGCCTAGCATGCACTAGATATTCAATAAATGGTTTGATAACTGAATAGATATAGAAACAAGGATGGATTAATGGGACATAAGAAATTATCTTTTTTATTGTTTATCTGCATGTACCTGAAGATGCTCATGACAATGGAATATTCTCTCTCTATGCCACCCACTCTATCCCAAATGTAAAATTTGAAGATACAGTAAGACAGGTACATCTTTCTTCTGTCCAAATCCTAAGCCTTTTGTCTTAACTCTTACTCTCCTGATGATCCCTTTATTCTTAAATGTTGCTCTTACTTTCAGTGACATTGTGTTGTGTTAGTGGTTGTTTTTCCTGAAACCACTCTTACTCTAATTACTGGCTTTTATTTCTATTAGCCATGACCAACCAATGAGATCCAGTTCAGATGTCAGAGAAATCATTCTCATTTGTGATTTGAACTAATCTGGCATCCAAGTGTTAGGCCCACATCCTCACCTACTGTGGAGATTGCAACTTATATAAGCTGTCATCACCTTAAATTCAATCTATCTTGAACTGATTAATGCCATGAGGGAGCATGGCTGTAGTGCTGCCTGACTTCTAATTTTTCAAAAATTGCTAAAAATTATAATTTTGGTGTGAAATTTCCTACTTTTTTTTTCAAACCATAGAAGGGAAGTGGTCAGACTGTGGATACCTTTTTAAGAAACTGACTTGCAGATGGACTAGATGAAGGGCAAGGAGAGGAGTCAAGGAAGAGGCCAAAAATACTTGGCCTGTGTGATTCAAAGAATGTACGTACTATCTGAGATGGGAGAGGCTATGGTAGGAGTAGTTTCAGTAGAGAGGGGGTGTATTAGTCCTTTCTCACACTGTTATGAAGAAATAACCGAGACTGGGTAATTTATAAAGAAAAGGCCGGGTACGGTGGCTTACGCCTGTAATCCCAGCACTTTGGGAGGCCAAGGCGGGCAGATCACAAGATCAGGAGATCGAGACCATTCTGGCTAACAGGGTGAAACCCTGTCTCTACTAAAAATACAAAAAAAAAAAAAAAAAATTAGCCAGGTGTGCTGGCACACGCCTGTAATCCCAGCTACTCAGGAGGCTGAGGCAGGAGAATGGCATGACCCTGGGAGGCGGAGCTTGCAGTGAGCCGAGATTGCACCACTGCACTCCAGCCTGGCTACACAGCGAGACTCTGTCTCAAAAAATAAAAAAATGAAAGAAAGAAAAGAAGTTTAATTGACTCACAGTTCCACATGGCTGGGGAGGCTTCAGGAAACTTAGAATCATGACAGAAGGCACCTCTTCACAGGGCGGCAGGAGAGAGAATGAACGCCAGATGAAGGAGGAAGCCCCTTATAAAACTATCAGATCTTGTGAGAACTCACTATCACAAGAACAGCATGGGGAAAACTGCTCCTATGACTCAATTATCTCCACCTGGTCCCACCCTTGACAAGAGGGATTATTACAATTCAAGATGAGATTTGGGTGGGGACATAGAACCAAACCGTATCAGTGGGTAAGAAAGGTGGGATTCAGTTTGGAACATATTGCCTTTGAATGCTTATCAAATTACCAAAGTGGAGATGTCAAATAGGCTTCCACTGTATGATTCTGAAGTTTAGAGGACAGTTCTAGGCTAAAGATATAAATTTGAGAATCCCAAGAATATGGGGATTATTTAAGACTTCAAATTGGATGAAACCAGCTTGAGAATGTAAGTGGAGAAGTTATGAAGACTCAGAACTGACCTTTGGGGCATCCCAATGTTTAAAGGGCAATTAGATAGAATCAGCAAAGGAGACTGAGAAAGAGGAGCCTGTGAAGTTGAATGAGAATCACAGGAAGTTATTTCCCAGAAGGCAACTAAAGAAAGTATTCCAAGTAGGAAGGCGTGACTGTGACAAATGCTGTCAATAAACAGAATGGCATAAAAACTAAAAAGCCATGACCTTGAGTAAGTTACGAGAGTAGAGTGAAGATTATAAAGCCTGATTAGGAAGAGTTTAAGAGATGACGGGAAGAGAGAATATACAAACAGAGAGACAACTCTTTCAAGAAGTCTTAGTATAGGCTGGGCGTGCTGGCTCATGCCTGTAATCCCAGCACTTGGGGAGGCTGAGGCAGGTGGATCACTTCAGGTCAGGAGTTCGAGACCAGCCTGGCCAACGTGGTGAAACCCTGTCTCTACTAAAAATACAAAAATTAGCTAGGCATGGTGGCACATGCCTGGAATCCCACTGTAATCCCAATTACTCAGGAGGCTGAGGCAGGAGAATCACTTGAACCCGGGAGGCGGAGCTTGCAGTAAGCTGAGATCGCGCCACTGCACTCCAGTCTGGGCGACTGAGCAAGACTCCATCTCAAAAAAAAAAAAAAAAAAAAAAAAGGCTTAGTATAGAAAGGAGCAAAATAATGGAGCAGCAGTAGGAGGAGTACATGGAGTCAAGACTGGGTTTCTGACTGTGCACAGAAGGGAATAATCGATTCAGTAGAGGCAAACAAAGTATGATGCAGGTAAGAGAGGGAATAATTGCTAGAACTATGTCCTCATGGGGGGAAATGGGGATGGATTGAGGTATACAAGGGAAAAGGCTGCCTGTAGATAAGAGCATGGGTACTTCATCAAGAGGAACAGGAGAGAAGACAAGTGGAGCAAGTGGGTCCTCATACAGGCTGAAAGATGTGGTTGACAGGTACATGTGGGAGTTCTTTCCGATTGCTTCTCTTTTCTTAGTCAAGCTGGAAGCAAGGTCAACACCTAAGCATGTGGAGCATAGAGATGTTGAGGCTTTGAAGAAAGAGAATATATAAGACATGCATGGTCCCTGCTATCCCAGTGTTTACAGTTTAGTAAAACAAAAAACAAAAAACCAAAAAACCAGCTACATATAAGTGAGATGACTTGCCAAAAGAGGAAGCACAGGTGCCACGAAAAGAAAACACAAATGCCACCAAAATTTAACTGTGTCTAGTGGCAGGAGGCATTTCTCCCAAAGGGAGACATCATTTAGAGCACAGATCAGCAAACCCTTTCTATAAAGAACGAGATAATATTTTAGGCTTTACAGACCATACAGTTTCTGGCACAACTACTCAACTCTGCCCTTGTACTTTGAAAGCAGCCATAAATAATACATAACAAAGGAGCGTGACTGTGTCCCAATAAAACTTTATTTACAGAAATAGGTAGCAAGCCAGATTTGGCCCACAGGCCATAGTTTTTTGAGCCCTGATTTAAACGGAGACTTACAAGGATAAGAAAGAGTCGAGTCAAGAGGTAGCAGCAAAGCAGAAAACGCATTTCACATAGAGGAAAAATAATGTGTAAGGCCTGATGCTCTTAATATTTTGAATTCCCACTTTCATTCTCTGCCCAAGGGTGCTAGACTAACTTTCCTACATGATTGTTTTTTAATGTTACTGTCTCTCTCTCTTTTTTTTTTTTTTGAGACGAAGTCTCCCTCTGTTGCCCAGGCTGGAGTGCAGTGGCACAATCTCGGCTCACTGCAACCTCGACCTCCCGGGTTCAAGCGATTCTCCTGCCTCAGCCTCCCAAGTAGCTGGGACTACAGGCATATGCCACCATGCCCAGCTAATTTTTGTATTTTTGGTAAAGACAGGTTGGCCAGGCCGGTCTCGAACTCCTGACCTCAAGCTATCCGCCTGCCTTGGCCTCTCAAAGTGCTGAGCCACCGTGCATGGCCTTAATGTTACTCCCCTATCCAAATATCTACAAGGGCTTCCTATTATCTGCTATTTCAGGTCTAAACCCCTCTAACCAAATTTCTATAACCTATCTGGACATTACCTCCATTTGAATCAGAAGAAGCCACTACAACAGTGGTTTCCAAACTGTATTGCACATTAGAATTACCTGGGTGAAAAGAAGCTTTAAAAAATCCTGATGCTCAGGCTGAACTCTATACCAATAAATCAGAATCTCTGGGTATAACACACAAACATCAGAATTTCTGTAAAGCTCCCCAGGTTATTCCAACATGAAGTCAAATTTGAGAACAAGTGCACTATAATACATATTCATATGCTCATTTGCATATCCATGTGGGCTTTTACAACATATTCTGCCTTCTCTACTAAGAATATTTACCCTAATTTTCTCTATTCATTCATCCTTCTGAAATTTCATTTCCTTTTGCTGGAAGCTTTCTTGGATCACGCCAGCACATACACACAACTACACGTGTTGTTGTTGTTGTTGTTGTTTTTGTTTTAAACAGTTGTCATCTTCATTCATATAATTATATTCTTTATTCCCCATCAAGAACCTTATTTTATAACTACCTTTAATTACTAGTTATTTTGAGAATGCCTAATATCCCTAACCAAGGTGATACGATCTTTTCCAGCTGAGAAAGTATCTTACACTTCTTTTGTGTCTCAAAGCATTTAGCACAGCTCTAATCAGCAAATAGATGGCATTCAATACACATCTACTAACTCATCTCTCTCTGCTTAATAAAGGATTATAAGCAATGGTCTGAATACACCCTTTCGTTTCTGTGACTTTAAAATCAACTGAAAGATGAATCTCACAAAAAGAATATTGTGAGAGAAGCCAGGTACAAAAGAATATTTACTGAGTCATTCCATATATACAAAGTTAAAAGACAGGTAAATGTAATTTGTGTTAAAAGTCAGGATGCTGGTTACCTTTAGAAAGGAGTGAAGGGGCAGTAATTAGGAGGCAAGGAGGATGCTTCTGGGGTGTGAGTCACAGTTAAATGCACCATGTGATAATTCATTGAGCGGTACATTGACCTGTGCACTTTTCTACATCTGTTAAATTTAAACAGAAAAGTTTTTAAACATCTAGGCACCAACCTAAAAAATCTATATAACCATCTCCTTTTCGAAAATAACCAATTTCTTACAAACTTTGCAAATTAAACTGATTTGAACACACTGAAAATAAAAGAAAATGAATGATTTGTGAAATGGCTTAAAAATGAACATTAAAAAAACAAAGTTTCAAACCGCATCTTAGTTAAGGTGGTAAAGAATACAATAAACAGGACACAAACCTAAAATAATTCTTATATTCTATGTTAAGTTAATTTTAAAAATGCTATACCTGTACATCTAGTCGCCATTCAAGGTTATGATAACTGGGAAGGCTTGGTGCCAATTCACTCAGAATCGTTCTGATCTCTTTTCTGTTGTCCAGATAAAGCTGAAGCAACAATTTGTTTAATTCTTCAGAGAATCCCAGAACAAAAACAGAGTCTTGGAAATCCAGTTCAGAAATCTAAGTGAATTGAGTTTAAAAGAACATCAAAATTTATCTTTGTCTAGCTAAAATAATTGAAATACACAAAAGAATATGATATCCTCTAATTTATTCTGTCTAGTAAAAGAAACAGCATTCCTTAACCACTGACCACCATTCCAAAATCTGTGTTACCAATACATAAAAGTACTTTACTAAAGTATAAAATGGAAAAAATTGTTAAGATGCCCAGTTTCCCTTCCTGTCCTTCATCAAGCCAGATACTGCTGATACGCAAACAAAATACTGATACAGTCTCCCTCCTCTTATGTATCTTCTTAAGATACATATATGGTTTAACAACATGCAGAATTAGAGGTACTTCTATACTAGCTATTTATACTAGCAAGAGGTATTCATATCAGCAGATGATATGATTTTTATTTTTTAGGTATGTCTTCAAAAAATCAATTATAAACCATTAACAACATTATTAAAACACACAGGTACCTGCCAGGACTATGATGTAGAGTACACCAGACCGTTCTTAAGAATCCAGCCAACACAAAACAGTCCAGAAAATCCCTTACCATGAGCTTTGAGCTCTCAGTGAGGAGATACGTTAATCCTTCCACACCATGCTGGACAGTGTCACTACTCACATTGAGTTTTCCTGAGAAAGAAAAGTAAAAACGAGCAAATAAATTACTACTGTAGTATTTATCTTGTTCATATTTGTATTTAAAAATAAACACTATTCATTATTACATGTTTTCAAACACTGCATGAAAAACAGTAAGTTGGCCAGAGGCTCCTGCTCCTTGTCATTCCACTCCCAGCCAAATGCCTTTGGTATTTCCCACCAAGTAACCTTAACAAAATGCAGAACTGTGGAGACTAGTATCAGGTGCGTAGCCCTTCTCTTGAATACGTAGCTCCTTCAAGTCTGGCAGAAGAGGAACTCGACAGGGATTGACTTAATCCCAGAGACTGCCTCTTACCCAGGGGTAAAACAACACTTTTTTTTTTTTTTTTAGCAAAAGCGGATATCTGAACAACTAATAATGATAACCAAATACTTGCAATTTACAGTTGACCCAGCTATTCCACAGACTTTGGTATATTTATACAAAACACTTTTCAGTATTTCTGAAAGTAAGGTGGTATTATGTACATTTTACCATGAGAAAACTGATTTAATAGAAGCTTTAACAATCTCACAGCTACTTAAGGGACGGGCAGGATTTGCACCCTGACTGAAGAGCTCTGCTGGTTTTATTCTACTACAATCGGAACAAGACCCTAGGACTCGCAATAATCCGTTTCTCTCCCGGGAGACAGGGAATGGCTCGCAACCGCCCTAGAAGCCTGCGGAGCCTTCCCCTTTCCCTTCTTACTGGCGGCGCCTTCGTAGATTTTTGGGTTTGCGCCGCGTCTCAGGAATTCCACAGCAATCCGCCCAAACTCGGCGACCACTGCAATGAAAGTCAGAAGGCTGTTGAGTGCCAGGCGCTGCCTTTGACCTCCTCCCCAGCCCACAGAACACCGCCCCCACGCCCGCTGACCCGCGCTGTCCACTTGAGGCAGGAAGGCCAGGTGTTCCTTATGCTCCTCGGACAATTCCAGCAGCATCTTCACTGTCCTACGATTTCACCCGGCAGCGCCGACCCCGCCTTCGCCACTTCCGGCGCCCGTGTCCCGGCGCCTAGAGGCTCCGGCGTCGCAGCGTCCGGAGCTTTGGGTTCCGGCCTACGAACTAACGCGTTACACTCGGACGTTCCCTGCAGCGCAGGCTGAGGTCAGAACATTGAAATCATCCCGCAAAGATGCAGTGAGCGCCTGCTGGGTGCAAGGTGCTAGGCTCTATGGGAGATGAAAAGGTGTTTCAAATCCGACACGCCCCCTCGTGGAGCATACATTAATAATATCAATAGTTCACATTTGTTAAGCACTAACCGTGTCAGGAAGTGTTCTTACATTTATTAAATACATTTGGAGTTCAGAAGAACCCTATGAGGTAGGTTCCATTATAATTTCCATTAGAGATAAGGAAACTGATAGACAAGTCCAGCAACTGACACTTTTATAAAGCTAATAGTTTCCAGAGCTTCTATGTTATCTTAAATGTATCTCAGTTAATATCCTCAACAAACATGGCTTTGTTTTTACAGATAAGACACAAAGCTCCAGAGATTATGTGACAAAGCCTGTGACAGAGTTAGATGGAGAGGGTTGGATCCCTCACTTACCTGCTGCAAAGCCCATCCTTCTACATAACAGCCTGAAAGCTGAAAGCTTCTGACAAGTTTTATGAGTGATTATAAATTAGGATAAAGATAATGATGACAATGACCGATGCTTACAGGATTCAGAGCAATGTTTTTGTTTGTTTGTTTTGTTTTGTTTTGTTTTTTACATGGAGTCTCGCTCTGTCGCCCGGCTCACTGCAACCTCTGCCTCCCGGGTTCAAGCGATTCTCCTGCCTCAGCCTCCCGAGTAGCTGGTATTACAAGCGCCCACCACCATGCCTGGCTAATGTTTGTATTTTTAGTAGAGACGGGTTTTCACCATGTTGGCCAGGCTGGTCTTGAACTCCTGACCTCAAGTCATCCAGCCAACTTGGCCTCCCAAAGTGCTGGGATTACAAGCATGAACCACCACACCTGGCCCAGAGCAATGCCTTTTAAAAAGTATTTAGCGCCTGTGATAATTTAGTTCCTTTTCCAACTCTCTTCTCACCTGCTGTGGTTCAAATATCAGAGATGATAAAGTTGCTAATTGATAGGAATATGATTCTTCAAATCTTAACCCCTTGAAAATGGAGGGTGTGGAGGAAGAGAGGGGAAGGGAAGAAGACTCTTCATATCTGTCTTTTCTATCTAAGGCTTGAGACAACTCTATATTCTGAGTCTCCCAGGCAGACTAAAAATTGGAAGAGTTTTTCAATTCACTTCTCTGTGTCTACTTTGTCCTTCACATCTGACTGAAATTGTTTCTTCCACTGGGACACAGAAAGACAGGTCCTTGAACTTATTAGTTAGTTCTTGAAGTAGCATTTGCAGAGAGAACACAACTTTTACTTAGACTGTGAATTGCAGATTAGCAAAAATTGCATCATTTCCTGAAGTTGCCTTTATTCACACATTATTGAGAAAACATCCATTATTAAAGAATAATTTTCAGAAAAGGTAAAATCATGATTCTTCTACAAGTGTACAATGAACACATGTCAAAAAATGTATTGAACTAGTTAATTAATGAGAGAATTACAGCATTCTGTAATTAATGAGAGATTACAGTAAAAACCAGTTTCAACTGATTCAAAAGAGGTATTCAAGAACTGTACATATATAGGGAGTAGGAATGCTGAAATGAATTTGCAAATAGACACAATATTATGCCAATATGAAATGGCCTTTCTTGTCTGTAATCTCAGGGAATGAAGTGAGGACAGGCGAGGTGAAGGTGAGACTAGGGAGTAGCACAATAGGCTGTCTAAAAAAGGTGGTCAAGGAACCAAGTTAGGCCAGGTATGGTGGCTGATGCCTGTAAACCCAGCACTTTGGAAGGCCAAGGCGGGAGGATCACTTGAGGCCAGAAATTCAAGTCTAGCCTGACCAACATGGTAAAACCCCATCTCTACTAAAAATACAAAAATTAGCAAAGCTTGGTGGCATGTACCTGTGGTCCCAGCTACTTGGTAGCCCAAGGCATGAAAATTGCTTGAACCTGCGAGGCAGAGGTTGCAGTGAGCAAGATTTGAGTCACTGCACTCCAGCCTGGGTGACAGAGTCAGACACTGTCAAAAAAAAAAAAAAGAAAGAAACCAAGTTATATCCAAGAAAAACCAGCCTGGGAGTTAAAACACCCCAGGATAATTTATAGAGTGACTTCTGTTGCCATAAGTGATATAATTGTTTAGAAAAAATTACCTGAGTGAAAATTCAAAACTCTAGATTCCAGATCTGGCTCTGACACTACCTGTATGACTTCTAATAAGTTGTTTTTATGTTATAACCATAGCCTCTTCGTCTGTAAAACTGGCATTTTAATACTGCCCTTCTGTGCCATGCAGGGCTGTTATGATGCTCAGATGAACTAATAAATTCACATTAAAAATTGATTTTGATGATCAAATGAAACAATAAATTAGAATTAAGCAAACAGCAGCATTTACATTTTATAGGAGCAGATTTTATGCTCCTATAAATTCACAAATAATCATCTTAAAAGCCATTCATTTAATTTAACAAACTTTATTAAGCAATTCCTTAAAGGTTCAAAGATATGCTATGCTTTGGCAATTTGTAGATGAATAAAACAATGTCCTTGCCCTCTAGGAGGTGTCAGAAAAGTGAGGGAGAAAGATAATGAAGTAATTTCCATACAGTGTGATGAGTAGCAATACTTGGAGAATGAACAAAATGAGAAGGAAGCATAGGGAATGTACATTAACTCTAATTTAAAAGAATCAGGCTGAGAATAAATGTCCCAGCATATCCTGTGCATGTTAATACTAATGCTCTACAATTAGATTTACATTATAAATATATACAGTCTTAATGTCACTTCATGCTATCTTACTTCCAGGGTGAATGTGAACAAATAATAAATACTCAGTATTTTTTTCAATTGATGCTGGTAGAGAACAAGGCTTCATATCAATCATCCCCTCACATTCTCTCTGCATCTTTCTATCCCCCTCCAGCTCATACGTCTTTCTTTTCTCTTATATTTTCCCATTTATTTTCTCCTTCTTAGGTATTCTAGCCCAGAATCCTTGCACAGGATATTTCCTTAGCTGTGTTTCAATGACACATAAAATATTATCACCCCCTGCAAGGAATTACAGCTCAATTCACTATACTGTCAAGAGGACAATAACGTGGTGACAAGCCTCACTCACACCAGCCACCTTCTCATGACTCTAAAGCTGGCACCAAATGCATGAATTAGCTCCTGACATTTTAAAAAATTATTTTAATTCATTAAAAAAATGTATTATAAATGCAAACAGAAAAGGGTACAGATTTTTTAAATACTCATTGTTGAATCTTCTCAAATTAAACACACCTATTACTCCAGAACAAGAAATAGAATGTTACAACACCCCAGAATTTCTGCTGTGCCTCCTGCCAGTCACTATCATCTCTTGTTTTCTCTATAGTGAACTAATACCTATACACATGCTGCCTTACAACATCCCTGTAGAATCATCTATGTGTGTGAATGCGTGTGTGAGTGTCTGCACGTGCATGTGTGTGTGTTTGTATTAACCTTTGTGCCCCAACCCAGCAATATCTAATTGGGAACTCAAAGGCATTTTTTAGAATGAGCCTTAGATTTTAGGCGCCTCTGACTATTTTACCAAAATCTATCTTATAATCATCTTAGTAAATTGCCTCTAAAATATAAAATATTTAGAAAAAAACTTTAACAGACGATTTGCAAGACCTATACACTAAAATTTACAAAACTTTGCTGAGAGGAATTAAGACTTGAATAAATGGAAATGTATACCACCGATACAGAAATATACGTCATGGATTATAAGATTTAATATTATTAAAATGTCAGTTGTGCCCTATCAGAAGAATCCCAACAGGGTTTTTTTTTGTTTTTGTTTTTTGTTTTTTGTTTTTTTTTTTAGCAGTTGCAAGATTTAGTAGAGTGAAAACAGAGCTCCCATACAAAGGGAGGGGACCCAAAGAGGGTAGCCATTGCCAGCTCGAATGTCTGGGTTTATATCCTGATCATTGTCCCTCCCGTTGTGCTCTTAGGCAATAGATGATTGGCTATTTCTTTACCTCCTGTTTTTGCCTAATTAGTATTTTAGTGAGCTCTCTTTACTATCTGACTGGTCAGGTGTGAGCTAAGTTGCAAGCCCCGTGTTTAAAGGTGGAAGTGGTCACCTTCCCAGCTAGGCTTAGGGATTCGTAGTTGGCCTAGGAAATCCAGCTAGTCCTGTCTCTTAGTCCCCCCTCTCAACAGGAAAACTCAAGTGCTGTTGGGGAGGTTGGCCAACGACCGCTCTAACTGCTTCCTGCTGAATTGGGGCATAGTAGGGGTTGTGCAGTTGAGATTTCCTTGGGAGGGTTGCCTTTGATGTCATTAACATTGGAGCACAGGCTAGCAGGCCAGTCCAGGGGTCTGCGGTAGATTTTAGTCATGGACTGCATCTGGGGCTCCATTTGAAGAACTATTTGTAGCTTTACAGCTTCAATTCTGGAAGAGACAAACTTAACAAGGAGGTTAAAGATACAGGGATTGAAATGTGTGGACTGCAGTGCACGGGATTATTTCTTTGGCACACTTCACAGGCCCTGACTATCTGCTTGATAGTTTTGAAAAGGCCTGGTCCCATAAATAATGATTTGGCCATCTGATGGGTGCTATCAATGCCTAAGTGAAAGGTTTGGTGAAGGGTTTTAAGTAATTTCCGTTGGCTAGCTGCAGGCTAAAGTATTTTCCCTTCTTCGGTGGCTAGCCATCCTGAGGGGAGGAAACTATGTGCTCTTGAGGTTCCCCATTCTATTTCTCCTGCTGAGTACTGGGGCTTGGTTTCCTGGAGGGTATTACCCCATACTAGGGGTCCTTCTATAAGCATTTTTAATGGAGGGTCCTGCCTTGCAGCTCTTTTGGCTTCAATATCCGCTTGGTGGTTCCATTCTGTTTCCCTTTCCTTTTCTTTCTGATGACCCTGGCAGTGTAAGACTGTCACCTCTTTAGGTTTCTGTACAGCCAATGATAATCTCTTAATGGCTTCCTGATGTTTGATAGGTGTTGCCTCAGAAGTTAGGAATTCCCTTTCTCTCCATATTGCTGCATGGGCATGGAGGACTAGGCAAGCCCCTAGTCTTAAGTGTCTGTATATATATTTACCCTTTTTTCTTCTCCTAATTCTAGTGCCCGAGTGAGGGCTATTAGTTCTGCCAGCTGAGCACTAGTTCCCGGAGTGAGGGGATTACTTTCAAGTATTCCATTATCACTGACCACTGCATACCCCACTTTTCAAAGTCCTTTTTCTACAAAGGAACTTCCATCAGTATACAAGTTGAGGTCGGGATCTGCCAAGGGAACCTCTAAAAGGTCCCCTTGAGCGGCATAGGTTTGAGCAATTACTTGTTGACAGTTATATTCTATCTTTTCTTCATTGTCTGGAAGAAATGTGGCTGGGTTAAGAGTTGCACAAGTGTGCAGTCGCAGCACTGGCCTTTCAAGTAATAGAGCCCGATATTTAAGCAAACAGTTGTCTGACAGCCACAAGTCTCCTTTAGCAGTGAGTATGCTGTTCACATCATGAGATGTCCACACAGTAAGATCTCTTCCCTGTATTATTTTAACTGCTTCAGATGCTAAGACTGCTACTGCCACCACTACCAGTAAACAATGAGGCCAACCCTTTGCCAGTGCATCAATTTCCTTACTCAGGTATGCCACAGGTTGCAGGCTTGTCCCTCGTACCTGTGTAAGGACTCCTAGAGCTATTCCTGTTTTTTCTGTGACATATAAAGAAAAGTCTTGCCCCGTTGGCAAGCTTAACATTGGGGATTGGGTTAGGGCCTTCTTTAGTGCCTGGAAAGCCACTTCTGCTTCAGGTGTCCATCTTACCAAACGGGTATTGGCTTTCTGAGTTTCCTTAATTAGTGTATATAACGGTCTGGCTATTTCGCCATACCTGGGAATCCATATTCGGCAGAAACCTGTTATGCCAAGGAACCCTCTTAGTTGCTTTAGGGTTTTGGGATGAGGATAAGCCAGTATAGGCTGGATATGTTCCTCACTGAGGGCCCTGGTACCTTTGGATAATTTTAGCCCTAAGTATTTAACCTGCTGTGAGCAGAGCTGAGCCTTTGGTTTGGAAATCTTGTAGCCACAGGTAGCGAGGAAATTTAAGAGTGCTTGGGTGGCTTGATGGCACAAGGTTTCTGAATGGGTGGCTAAAAGTAAATCATCCATGTACTGAAGGACAAGAGTGTCCAGGTATGAGAATTGGCTCAAGTCTTGGGCTAACCCAACAGGCTTTTAAAATAGAGAATGACAAGTTTATTTTAAATTTTATATGGAAATGCAAAGGACTAAAAATAGCCAAAACAAACTTGAAAAACAATAACAAAGTTGGAGGATACATATTACCTGATTTCAAGGCTAATTAAGACATAGTAATTAAGACAGTGTAGTATTAGTATAAGGACAAGTAAATAAATCAATGGAACAAAATAGAAAGTCTGGAAATAGATCTGTACCTATATTGCCAATTGATTTTCAGCAGAGATGCTAAGCAGAGATTCAGCAGAGATTTTCAGCAGAGATGCTAAGGTAATTCAGTGAGGAAAAGGAAAGTCTTTTCAAAAATTAATCCCAACCCTTACCACACATCATTCACACAAATTTGAGATAGATTATAAACCTAACATAAAATTATTGAACTTCTAGAAGAAAATATAAGAGAATATCTTCATTACATTTGAGTAGGCAGAGTTCTTTTTTTTAAGATAAGAGTCTCACTCTGTTGCCCAGGCTGGAGTGTAGGGGCACTATCTTGGGTCACTGCAACCTCTGCCTCCTGGTTCCAAGCGGTTCTCCTGCCTCAGCCTCCTGAGAAGCTGGGATTACAGGCATGCGCCACCATGCCTGGCTAATTTTTGTATTTTTAGTAGAGACAGGTTTTCATCATGTTGGCAGGCTGGTATCAAACTCCCGACCTCAAGTGATCCGCTCACCTCAGGCTTCCAAAGTGCTGGGATTACAGGCATAAGCTACCACATCAGGCCAGGCAGAGTTCTTACAGAGGAAATAAAAAGCATGAACCATAAAAGAAAAAAATGATAACTTCTACTTCATCAAAGTTAAAACATTTTTGTTTGTCAAAAAACATTATTAATAAAATGAAAAGGTGATCCCACAGACTGGGAAAAATATGCACCATATATCTATATCTATATATATCTGATGAAGAACTTGTATCATAAATACAAAAACTCCAACAAGCCAATAATTAAAAGATAACCCAATTTTTTAAATAGGCAGAAATTTGCATTGATACTTCACAAAAGATACACAAATGGCCAATAAACACATGAAAAGGCATCCAGCATTATAGTCATCAGGAAAATGCAAATTAAACCACAATGATAGGCCATTTCAAACCCCCTAGAATGACTTAAAGGTAAAAAACACTGATGACACCAAGTGTGTGAAGCCACCAGAACTCTTGTACATTGCTAGTCAAAGTGTTAAAAATCATAAAGCCACTTTGGAGAACTCTTAGGTAGTTTCTCATAATGTTAAATGTACATTCACCCTATTATCCAACAATTCTACTCCTAGATACTTACCCAAAAGAAATGAAAGCATGTCCAGAAAAATACTTTTTACAATAATGTTCATAGAGCTTTTTTCATAATATGTCAAAACTGGAGGCAACCCAAACATCCATACAGTCCATACACCATGCATTATGGTGCAACCATATAATCGAATACTATTTAGTAATAAAAAGGAATGTATGGCTGGGTATGGTGGCTCATGCCTGTAATTCCAGCACTTTGGGAGGCCAAGGGAGGTGGATCAGTTGAGGTCAGGAGTTCGAGACCAGCCTGGCCAACATGGTGAAACCCTGTCTCTACTAAAAATACAAAAATTAGTTGGGTGTGGTGACATATGCTTGTAATCCCAGCTACTCAGGGTGTGGGGACACACCCTTGTAATCCCACCTACTCAGGAGGCTGAGGCCAGAGAATTGCTTAAACCTGGGAGGTGGAGGTTACAGTGAGCTGAGATCGTGTTGCTGCACTCCAGCCTGGATGACAGAGTAACACTCTGTCTCAAAAAAAAAAAAAAAAAAAAAGAAAAAAAGAAAAAAAGGAATGTACTACTGATATGTGCAGTAATGCAAATGATTCTTAAAACATTAGGTTGAGCAAAATAACCCAGACACAAAAGTGAACAACTGCATGATACCAGTGATTTGAAAATCTCATCTACGGAGCTAGAAATCAGAATAGCAGTTACCTAAAGAAGTTGGGATTGACTTAGGAGCTTGAAGCAACTTCCTGGGGTAACAAAAATGTTCTATGTTTTGACTGGGATATTTTTCAAACCCATTGAATCTTACATTTAAGATTCATGCAATTCACTGCATGTAAATTTTAACTCAATTTAAAAAATTAATTGGAAACAATGTTTTAGCAGTTCAAAAGATGTCTGAGATCAGCTTTAGACCTGGATGGTATTTGTTAACTTTCTTAAGAACTTTCCTTAAATATAATTTAAAAATTTTATTTATTTTTAAATATGTTCTACATTCATATGGCTTAAAAAACCAAAACACATTTTTTTAGGAAAAAAAAAGAAAAACAAACAAAGGAACTGTAAAAATTCCCACTTCCTTGTTTTCCATTGTCTCAGCTCCCCTACCCTGTGGACAACTACTATTCTAAGTTTCTTCTGAATTCTTCCTCATATTCTTTATGCAAAAATAGCACTAAAGTTTCACTTAGTGTGATGAAGTCTGAGAAAACATGGTGTTAAATATCCTATTAAAAGTTATGTGGCATTATAACTGTTACTAGAGATGATAACATTAGAACTGTTATTAGAAATGTTAACATTAGAACTGGACATTCTGTTTGATCAGGTCTTTGTCCAAACTGAAGTTGTCATGACTTTTCAAAGCACAGTTTCTAGAGAGTTTTCACACGCTGTCAGACCTCCTCGGGTAGTCAAGTTAGAAATGCTCTTTTTGGCCAGGACTCTTGCTATTTCTAACTGCTGAAGCCATCGTTTCTCTTTAAAGGCACTGCAAGAAAACAAGATATAATTTGTAAGGAGGTCTGATCTTGTCTGCATACATAGCTGAAAAAGGATGGAAATCTTCAGGTTGATTTTGTAGCTAGGGCTAGTTTGTCTTGTCACATAGGTAGATGTGAAATAGAAACAGTAATCTTTCTAAAACAAGTTCCCTGTGATGCAGTGGGAATGATATTTTCTCAAGGCAATACTAAAAACTTAGAATCCACAACTAGAAACAGAAAGCCACTCAATATCATGTAGAATTCTCTGGGTTGAAACTTTTTCTCTCTCCTCTCTAGATATTCCTATACATCACATATTCCCTGGCCTCCTCTTTTCTCCACTTTCTACCCCTACGAACACACATGAGGATTTTTTAATTGAAAAGATATTAGGTATTTTGATAGTCTTTAACTAAAATGCAAAGGAACTTAATGTTTTATGATAGTTATTCTCTGGCTATATACTAATAAAGACTTGCAAATTTGAATACGATTACTCTTTGTAGGATGCAAATGTGATTTAATACAGAGGTGTTTTACATCACCTTAAATGTTGGGGTCCTCCAAGATTCTATCTTTGGTCCTCCTCTCTTTCTACACCCTCATCCTAGGAGTCCTCATTTACTCACTGTTTAAATTCTTTTATCCATGACTCCTTGACCTTTCTCAAAAGTGGCATATCTCCAATTAACAAATAAAAATATTCATCCCATAGACACTTCTAATTTAACATATCTTTATCTTCTTCCTAAACTTGTCCCACTTCTGTTTCCTTGTTCTAACACTTCGATTTTGCTATCCTCACCATCTCCAAAGCTAGAAACGAAACTAAATTCCTTCTTTCTCTATTTCCACACCCAGTCAGTGACCAAATTTTGTGGATTATTCCCCAGAAATATCTCTTGTATTTGGCCTTTTCTCTTTTCCCTAACTACTGTTGTTCTAGTCCAGGTCTTTATTTTCTCTTATTTCTCTTTTTGCAGCTTCCTACCTTTACTATAGTCTTTCCACATCTTTCCAACGAGTCTTCCATACATCTCTATCAGATTTGTCTTCAAAAACAAACAAAAACTGATTATGGAACTTACTTCATGAAAAAGAACTTCTATGAGCTTCCCACCTACCTCCTACCCCATGGAAGGGGGAATAAGAAGCAAACTCTTCACTTGGTCACACAAGATGCTTCTTAGTGTAGATGCAGTCTACTTTGCCAGTCTTATCTCCAGCCAGTTCTTCCTTATTGCCTAGGATGACTTTTGCAAATCCACGTACCTTCCTGAAAATTCAATTTCTTGCTTGCTCTTTCACAAAAGTGCCTTTGACCATGTTACTAGCTCTGCCTGGATCCTTTACCTCACCTCTGCCCATGTTGTCTGGCAAAGTCTGGTATTTCTAAAAGGCTTTCACTCAATCTATTAGGAGTAACCCTGTATAAAAGTACCATAGTGTTTCCAACATTTGAACCAGGTCTATGTCTGCCTGATTCAACTTCTTTGTTCTAGATTAACTTCTTGCTTTACCTCAATGGCTGTGTCTTTCTGTGCCCTCTAAACTGAGTTAACCCATCCATGCAGCCCATAAAATTAGGTGTTAAGTCTTAAAGAAATCATTCAGGCACTTTCAGCCTTTCCCTGTATCCCACCAGACTTAGTTTGAAGTCCTCTCCTGTTCTGATGCATATCCTTGCTCTTCCTAGGCTCAGAGCCTATCCTGATTCTCTCCCTGGCATTTGAAACCTGGCTTTTCTGCATTCATTCAAAAACTGTTTACCTTAAGAAAAAGATGCGTATTGAGCACTTACTCTATGGCAAGCACTATTCTATGTGCTGGAGATACAAAAGGTGATTAAAACATACAAGATATGCCTTTTTAAATAAAGAATAAAAACAAAGAGCTGTACTTGTATCCAGAGTACAAGAGCCCAGCAAAGCTCATAACATTTGAGATTATCATCTATTCTCAGTCCACTCAAACTCTCAGCCTTCTGGATCAATCCCTTACATTTGAATCTTTACTTAACTGGACTCCCAGGTCACATAAACCTCTCTGGAATTGGACAATGAGCAATAAGGAAAGCTATTTTCTAGACACACCTTACAGATATTCTTTGACCTGTGTAAAGCCTACTGACGTCTAGGCTGAGGAATGAGACTCTATGTGACCTTCTGGCCTCAGTGACTGTCTACACCAGCCACATTTACTCACCAACCCAAACCCACATTAGCGCTTGATCTGTGTTAACTGCATAATGCCATCTTGGAGTCAACCCTGAGAGGTTTAGTTTTATGAATCTAAAGGTAGGAGTTCCTGAATGACATGTGGTCCAACAAGTACTTTCACATGATGCCAGATGACTTGTCTGCTTTGGGAGACTCCCCTTTCTGTAAAACAGGAACATCTGATGGTCACTTTACCCACCTGATCCCTGGGTCAGCATCATGAAGGATTACATTAGGTTCTTCCCCATTTCCTGGCTATGACACTAGCTTGGTGATGGTGCATGTAGCCATCAAGATAGCGTCCATCCATTCCTCATGTTTGTGTCTTTGTGGTACAAGAGCTGCACTGGTCATTTAGAGGGGTGCTCAGACCACCTGACTGCCTGCCTTGACTGTCTACTTCAGGTAGATGTAAGTGCTTTTGTGACTTCTATGGGGAACTTGAACTCGATCAAGAAGACTGCAGGGTCATGAGATTGTAGATCTCTCCTTCCCTTCCACAGCCCACCAACAAAGGAAGGTGGAACAGATCCTGGGAAAGATTCAGTGGAAAGGGGGCAGAAATGGATGGGAAGTGGAGGGTGTGAATACAGGAAAGAGAAAAATATTGAGAAAAGAGAAATGGAAAGAGGATTTGCTAGGAGTAACACTGCCAGAGTAAATGTGCGGTCAGACTGACCACCACTCCCCCTATGGGTCTCCCTTCTGCATTAATCCCTTCCTTCCTTTCCCTTCCTTCCTTCCCTCCCTCCCTCCCTCCCTCCCTTCCTTCCTCCCTCCCTCCCTCCTCTCCTCCCTTCCTCCCTTCCTCTCTCTTTCTTTCTTTCCTTCCTTCTTTCTTTCTTTTTCTTTCCTTCCTTCCTTCTTTCTTCCTCTCTTTCTCTCTTTCCTTCCTTCCTTATTTTCTTTCCTTCTTTCCTCTCTCTCTTTCCTTCACAGAATAACACTTTAACAAAATGTTTTCTCTAGAAATTTCTTTCTTGACCTTGAAATTGCCACTCATTAATAATTCCAATCCTTATGAAATGTAGCTACAAAAAAAAAAGCACACTGGTAGTCTCTTTTAAAAAGTGTTTTGAAATGTTTACTAAAGCTAAACATAAATTTATCCTATGACCCGGCAATTCTATTCCTTGGTATAGAGTCAAGAGAAGTGAACGCAGATGTCCACCAAAACTCATATGCAAGAACAATCATGCATTTTTATTCAAAGTAGCCCCTAAATTAGAAACAATTTAAATGTCCATCAGTAGGAAAATAGATAAATAAATTAGGATATGGAATACTGCATACAAATGGAATGCTACATAGAAATAAGAACAATCAATACATGCAAAAACACTGATGAATCTTATAGGCAATGTGTTGAACAAAAAAAGCAAAATATCAAAGGTATATGCCATATGTGCCCTTTATATGAAGTTCAAGAACAGGCTAAAGTAATCTTCGGTGATAGAGATGAGAATAATAGTTACATCCGGGAAGGATCATGACTGGCAAGGGGCATGAAGGAAATTTTGGGGGGTGCTGGAAATAGTTTGCATCTGATCTGAGTAGTGCTTGTATGAAAACATAAAAATTCAACAAGCCATATATGTGAGATTAGTGGTCCTTATGGATTTTACTATATATTTCATAACTCATTTCCTCCCCAAGAAAGCACTGTATACAACAACAGACACTGTCAGCTTTTCTTATCTAAAACCACACACACACACATGCACACACACACACACACACACCTTAAAAACAGATGCTTTTTCATGCACATTTCCATTCTGCTGGGCACAGCACTGGGCTATAGTAAACACTTACTGAATGTTTGAAAAATAAACTCATTTTTAGCATGTATCTGTTGATAAAACAAATCAATATTTCCTTTCTTGTTTACAGCCTTATTTTAAGAGGGACTATGTAGTTTTTTCAATTAATAATTTTCCTAGTATATTTCTAGAATTTTTGGTGATCTCTTTTTATACATTCTAGTCAGAGATATCTCACAAATTACAAAGATTGAGACTATTAAGCTATTAAGTGTCTTCCTCTATTGTCAACCTCACTCTGTTGGATATTGAATTTTGAGTTTTACAGCCCAAATTACTCTCACCACAAGGTGGCAACAACCTAACTGAAATAAAGTTGAGCTGAGCTAAAGACCAGTACAGAAAAGCAAGTAGAACAATCTAGCCTTGTTTTTTCTTTACTTCTCATTATATTGAGTAAAGGGAAAAGTCGCTTGTAAATCTATATTTCTAACTGTAAAATTTGCATCAAATAATACCTCATAAGTAATGGATGGGATCTGAGCTCTAATCAGAGAGTTGTGTACCTTAAACATCTAATTCCGATACACTTTCTTATCTCTTTAGATGTGCTAAGGATTACCTTTTAACTCACTGTAAATATTAATGTCAATTCTAGCACCCTGTCCAATACAGATCTCACCCCATATGTGTATCTTGCCTAGTCAGTCAATTCAAGTCTTTAATCATTCAATTTGTCATTAATGTGTTCCTTTCTTTCTTCCCATTTTCATTACCATTTAGTTTTCTATGACACTTTTTATGTCTCCCTCCCATATTTCAGTTTTCTCTCTTTCCCCTCTAATTACAATTAATGTTTTATTAGCTTTAGAAGAAGAAGAGGAAGACAAAGAAGTGGAAGAGGAGGAAAAAGAAGAAGCATTAGCAGGCTAGGCACAGTGGTTCATGCCTGTAATCCCAGCACTTTGGGAGGCCAAGGTGGGAGGATCGCTTGAGCCCAGGAGTTTGAGACCAACCTGGGCAACATGGTGAGTCCTCATCTCTACAGAAAAAAAAAATCAATCAGATATAGTGGCATGTGCCTGTAGTCCCAGCTACTTGGAAGGCTGAGATGGGAGAATTGCTTGAGCCTAGGAATTCAAGAATGCAATGAGCTGTGATAGCACCACTGCACTCCAGCCTGAGCAACAGAACGAGACCCTGTCTCAAACAAAAAGAAAAAAGAAAAGCAGCAGCAGCAGCAGCAGCAGCAGCAGCAGCAGCAGCAGCAGCAGCAGCAGCAGCAGCAGCAAGGGACCTTGAGAATTGATACAATTCTTTCTACTGTGTTTCTTTCCCTCCTGAAAGTTTGAGGAGTAAAGTACTGCACAGATTGGATTGGCCAATAATATTAATTCATTTTGTCCTAGTGATGAGGCTAAGATGAGGTCCTTGAAGCTGGGTATTGATGCACTGGAACAACTTGTATTACTTTCAGTGGCATAGTAGGGCATTATGGACCATTCCTTATCCTGGACCTGCCTTATAAAAGCTTTGCTGTTTGTATGTTTAAGGGGAGAACATTACCTTGCCACAGCTAAGCAGTAGATTGCGTTCTCCCATGGAGTCTTCCCACTGTGCTCTAAGAAAGATGAGAAGGAGGACTTCAGTAAAAAGTCAGCACTGGGTGTTGCATAGAAAAACGATGGATGTGAATATCCCACTCTTGAAACTGGAGGGAGGGGGACTTGGGGAAGATATGTGTTTTTTATGAGCTTTTCTTTTTTCCTAGCTGTGGCAGTAATTTTTTTCTGATTTTGTTGTTGATGTTTTTGTAATTCAGAGAATGAACTTGCATTCACCAGTGGATGAAATTTGAGGGCTTGTTTTCTTGTGTCCGGCTGTGAAATTGCCAAAGGATTGACAGGTTTGCTGCTTGCAGTTTGTTTGCTGAGAGATGGTAGCTTGAGCACGATGCTTTGTGAGTCGCTGTTCCCAGCCTTATGCCAGCTCTTGGAGGTCATTTTTGGTTTGGTGAAACCATCCACCATCACAGTGTCTCCAACTTTTGCCCCAAAGACCCTTGCTCCACAAAACTGGCTTTTATGAAGACTGTGACTCTGAGCTCTGAGGATCCATTGTTTTATTTTAATATAAATCCTCATTGGGACTGAAATTTTTGGAAAAGAAACTGTGGACCACATTTTACTGAGCAAATATAATACACAGTCTTTATGCTTGTGTTTGAACACAATGGTCAGGGGAGTTTGTCCTGCTGCATTTTTGCATTCCAGGCACAGCACACTGTAGTTGACAAAGGCCTTCAGAATCAACAGTTGGCCTGCTTCTGCGGCTGCATGAATGGGGCATTTAGAGACATCTGCATGAAGGGCTTCATGGCACCATGCTCGATAGGGGTGAACACCGACTGCCTCGTGGGGCCGCGCACCCTGCTTCAGGGCCCATTCAGTGAGTTCAATGTACCCACAAAAAGCAGCAATGTACAGGGCTACCCTTTTCTGATACCTAAATGAGTGAAACAAGTGGGGAGGGGGTGTTTAGAAAATCAGCAAACAGACAAATGTAGTTACACTAAATGCTCATGAAATATTCTAGTTGAATGTTTATTTCTTCTTAACTTTTACCTTAAAATATTTTTAGAAAAGGCATATAGTGACATACAGGTTAAACTGCACAAGTCCTGCTTATACACATTATCCTACTATGCACGTGTAAATAGTTTCCTTGAAGTGGTCATCTTTCTTATAAAAATTAAATCCTCGAAAAATATCATGCATGGGGAAATACAAGGAGCTTTTAAGTCTGATCATGTACATTCTCTGAGCTATTAGATTTTATTTAAAGATGAAGTCAAGTATAGATGGTCAAGCACATGAACACTAGAGTTAAATTGTTACAATTCAATACCCAGTTCTGCCCTTGCTATTTGTGTGACATGGGGCAGGTTTTCTTCCTCCATCCCCCCTCCCCAGACAGAGTCTTGCTCTGTTGCTCAGGCTGGAGTGCAGTGATGCAATCTTGGCTCACTGCAACCTCCACCTCCCGAGTTGAAGCAATTATCCTGCCTCAGCCTCCTCAGTAGTTGGGATTACAGGTGCGAGCCACCACACCTGGCTAATTTTTGTATTTTTTGTAGAAACAGGAATTTCGCTACGTTGGCCACGCTGGTGTCGAACTCCTGACCTCAAGTGATCTGCCCACCTTGGCCTCCCAAAGTAATGGGATTACAGGTGTGAACCACTGTGCCCAGCCAACATGGGGCAGGTTTTCTGATCTTAGTTTCCTCATGTGTAAAATAAGATTAAAAAGTGTCCGCCTCATCAAATTGTTACAAGCATAAAATGAGGTAATAAATATAACACAGTGTCTGCCGTAAAGTATTAAATAAATATACACTATTAAAAGTAACAAAGCAACACAGCTATTTCTTTGGATGCAGAACATGGAAAAAGAAATATCACTACCCCACAATAGAAATTAGTATAAAATATTAGAATATTTTATAAAATTGTAAAATCTGCTCTTCTAATCCATCACTTCACAGAGCCTCAGACCTCCTGGTGTGTTGGCTTCTGCAAAACATGATTAAATCACCCATGAGGGGGCACTTTTCTAAAGTACTATTAAACCTACAGATTAGTGCAATTTATGTATTTGAGAAGCTGATGGCTGTATTAACACATTAAAATGACCGCCTGCCTCTCTGAACCAACCCTCCTCCTGCCCCAGCTATACCCGTTACACTTTATGTATAGCAAAAGTGTGAATGCTGGTAATAAATGCAGTTTGAAAAATTACATGTGAGCTTAGGAAGACGTGGCCAATGTTTTCAGCCAATTAACAAGTGTTTTCTTAAAGAATAACTGAATGTGAAATTGGCAAGATACAGACGTCCTTTGACTTATTATAGAGTTACGTCTTGATAAAAACCATCATACGCTGAAAGTATCATAAGTCTAAAATGCATTTAATACACCTAATCTACTGAACATCAAATCTTAGTCTAGCCTACCTTAATTAGCATACAGTTGGGCAAAATCATCTAACACAAAGCCTATATTATAATGTACTGTTGAATATATCCTATAATTTATTGAATGCTGTACTGAAAATGAAAAAGAATTGTTTTATGGGCACTGGAAGTTTGGTTTCTACTGAATTAATATCACTTTTACACCATTGTAAGTTGAAAAATCTAAGTTGAACCATCATAAGTTGTGGACTGTCTGTATTTATTCTGATAGTCTTTAAAAATGTTGCTGAAAGTCTCATATCTAAACCAAATCGAAGTCACCCATTTAATCACCATTTAATGACCTTTGAACAACATGAGTTTGAACTGTCAGGGTTCAGTTTGGGGATTTTCTTCCACCTCTGCCACACCTGAGACAGCAAGACAAACCCCTTCTCCTCTTTCTCCCCCTCAGCCTTATTCAACCTGAAGATTGAAGACCTTTATAATGATCCACATCCACTTAATGACTAGGAAATATATTTTCTTTTCCTTATGATTTTCTTAATATTTTCTTTTCTGTAGCTTACTTTATTGTAAGAATATGGTATATAATACATATACACAACGTGTTAATTGACTGTGTTATCAGTAAGGCTTCTGGTCAATGGTAGGCTATTAGTAGCTAAGTTTTGGGGAAGTCAAAAGTTATATGGGAATTTTCAACTGTATGGGGAGTTGGCATCCCTAACCCCTGCATTGTTCAAAGGTTAATTGTAGTTAGTATTTCCTGAGGAAAGTCTACCTGAATCGCAAGACTATCAGTCCTGATGGCATCCCTGCTGTTTTGTTCCAACAAATATGTCAATAATAATATTTGGTTGAGACATACTAAGTGGAACTGGCATAGAGCAGCACCCCAGCTGTAGAGTGAGTGAATTGCAGGCTCAAGGTATGATGGAAGTTTAGTAAAAATCACAGCACTTGCTAAGTTAATTTAAAATTAATTTCTCATACTTGAGTACTGGTCCTTCTTTTGATAAGTAGCGTTGGACTTTAAGTTTTTGTCCAAGGAGACAACCCATCAGAAATTCCTTCCATCCATCCCAGACATCCAAGCGAAGTGTTGTGCCTGTGGATCAAGAGAGGTGGTTTATGGTTCCAGTCCAGCAGTGTGGTTTGACAATCCATAAAACTTCTAATGGTAGCTTTCCCCAAACAGAGGCTTAGCTAGATGCAAAATGAAAAATAACCTTGGAACAAGGAGACAGGGATGGTATTTTTAGCATAGGCCATTATTGGCTTGGAAAAGCTGTTTGGCATCTGTGTATTACCATTTTCTCATCTGCTCAATGATGGCGTATAGCACTGAAGTATTTTTTTGCAGCTATCTTAAAACAGTCTTGTGGAGATTGACTCAATGCTGCTGTATATATTACCATGTAAACTGAAGCCATTATATTGGAAGAGGAAACTAAGGAACCTGTGGCAGGACAAACAGTCTTCTGGGGCCTTTAGCTTATGAGTGGGCTGTGAGGGAGTGGAAAGATGCTCACCAGCTAATTTGCTTGTTCTATCCTTTATGAAACAGGAGCTGTTCTCCGTTACAAACATTAAAGTAATTCACTGCTGCTGGAGAACTTATCACTTGCTTCTCCAAAGTCTACCCTTTCTGTGATACCACATTCCTTTTATCCTTCAGGCTGGTGTTTCCCAGGGATCTTTCCTCAGCCTTCCGTTCTTCTCAATTTACGCAAGTTCCCTGGGGATTAAACCCAGCCTTCTCCCTATGTGAACCAACCTAGCTCACTTACCTCTCTTCACTCTGCTTCATTCATTTATTATGGCCACCTTGACCTTTCACCTGTCCTCACACCAAGTCTACTCCCATCTCAGGACCTAATGACTTACAATTTTTTGATTGAAAGGATCTTCATCAGATTTTCACAGGACTGTGTCCTTTTTATTCAGTTTTCACTTCAACCATAGCTAAAGCAATCTCTGCCATCACTACCTCCTCACCTTCATTACTTTGTATCCCATGACTTTATTTTAACTTGTTTATTGCCCCTGTCATCAGTATTTGAAATCATTTTATTTGCTTGAAGATTTTTTTTTCATGCTCCCATTAAGAAGAAAATTCCTTCACGACTTGCCGTATAGCCTGACACTTGGTAGGTGCTCACTAAATACTTGATAGCTGATTAATTGTCAATCTTAGTGGCGATGATAGCTTCATTGACCACCCAGGTGTCACTCATTCCCAAGTCCCAATCTCCAGCCCAGCCTCTGCTCCAGCTCCAGACTCCCCCTGCTGGCGATATTACCAAAGAAGGGATTGCACTACAACCCCATCATTCTAAAAGACCACTCATTATCTTTCACCCAACCTGCTTTTTCTCCTGCATTTTTTTTTCTCAGTGAGTGGTACATCTATTTTGCTACCTAAGCCATATATTAGAGAGTTTTCCTCCATCCTTCCTTTTTTTTTTTTTTTTTTTAGACGGAGTCTTTCTCTGTCACCCAGGCTGGGGTGCAGTGGCACAATCTTGGCTCACTGCAACCTCTGCCTCCCAGGCTCAAGTGATTCTCCTGCCTCACCCTCTCAAGTAGCTGGATTACAGGCCACCATGCTCAGCTAAATTTTTTTGTATGTTTAGTAGAGAAGGGGTTTCACCATGTTGGTCAGGCTAATCTCGAACTCCTAACTTCAAACGATCCATCCGCCTTGGCCTCCCACAGTGCTGGAATTACAGGTGTGAGCCATTGCGCCCGGCATCCTTCTCATTTTTTCATGTCCTACATCTAAACGGTTGCTTAGGCCTGACAGGTTTACCTGATCAATATTGAAGAACTCTGTTTCCTTGCCTCCATCTCAACCAGTCCTGCCCTATTTCAGGCCTAGGTAATCTTTCACCTAAATCTACTTTGAGAAGCTCCCAGCAGCCTTCCCTTCTTTATTCAGGTCTCTGCTCAATGTTGTCTTCTTTTCTGACCAGCTATCTAAATAGCCTCCCATCAGTTTACTGCATCATTCTTTATTCCATTATCCTGCCTTCTTTTACTTCGTAGCTCTTAACCTCTGCTTAAAATGAGATATTTTTCTGTTTGCTTGATGGTGTTTGCCTCCTCCACTGAGATCCAAGCTTCAGGAGGGTGGGGACACTGCCACTGTGCCTGCTTTCCACAGTGGTCCCTGGCTTATGGTGGACACTCAGTAAGTATTTGTTGAATGAAGTTCTGCTGGACTCCCAAACTTCTTCTGGCCATGCTCTGCCCTCCTAACCGAGCAGGTTGGCCTGCACTTCCCTGTGCACACCAGGCTGTTTCTGGCCTTGGTGGTGTCTAAACTGTGCTTATCTTTGTTGGCTGAGATTTCAGAACACCAGTAATCTTAGAATCACAGAAAGGTGAAGATAGATCTTAAAAGACCAGCCCACTCAGCAGCCCCCTTTTATAGACTAGGAAGCTGAGGTTCAGAGACACATGAATTGCCTGAGGCTTCTCAGCCAGCTGGGAATTTCCAGAATTCCCTGGAATGTGTCTTTAGGATTCTTTCTAATTCCTAGAGAGTCTCCCCCTTTCAGTTGCCTTTCTCTTTCTTTCCTTTCTGCTTCCCCTCTCTTTTCCTTCTTGCCTCCTCTGTACACGAACACGACAAAGGATATCTCCCTGCCAGTCCCTCCCTTATTGGACATTCTATGTTATAACCTGTAATCTTGAAATGGGGCTCTTCCTCTGTTACTCCTTACTCTGGTTTGGATTTCTTGACCTTGGACTTGCTATTCTTTGTGAGTTGATTCCTATTTGCATACTTGTTTACTCACAGGCCTGACCTGCGTTACTACCCTCATCCCCCTCACCTGCCTCGATCCTCATAACTCGGGCCTCAGCTAGAAGAGTTTACTCTCCTTGCTGGAGAATTCTGGAATTATTCTGTAGACATAAAGTAGTGGTCCTGCAGCTATTCTGTAGAAATACCTTGATAAACATTTTCCAAAATACGGACCATACTTGCTACACTAGGTTAATTTTCTCTAAAGCTTCATGCTGCACTTAAACTTTCTCATAAAATGTTTAATTCTCATGCACTGGAAACAAAGGACTTTAAACACTGCTCCAAGTGCATTTATTTTATCTCCTGCTGAAATGATCTATGTTTTTAGTTTATTGTGAAAATCACTCCCAAATGAGCAGTAGAAAGCTTTAGCCTGGCCCCATACCGCAGCCTCCTTAGTCCTCCACAGCCGAGGCTACACAGTCTCCATTTGAAGGACCAGCCAGCCCCAGGTCCAGAGAACAACCTTAATTCCCGTAGGAGGGAATTTATTAAGATTTAGGCCAGGGTCCCAGTGCAGTGGCTCACACCTGTATTCCCAGCACTTTGGGTGGGAGGATTGCTTGAGGCCAGGAGTTTACCAGCCTGAGCAACACAGCGAGACCCCATCTCTACAAAAACTGAAAAAGATGTAGGTCAGTAACTCAGAGGGTTGGTAGGAAGTCAGTGTTCCTGTTCATCCTGGTCAGATATTCTAGTCACTTCTGTTCCTCCTGAGCAAGTCCCCACTTTGTGCCCTATATTGTGAATCCCAATATTCTACCCCACTTTTTGGGTTTAAGACTAAGATTTCATTTCTGAATTTCCTACTCTAAATCCTAATCTCTGGGGTTAGATTTCTGTCACGTTGTCAGAGCCTCGATGTCAACATCAGCTTATCTAGTTTCCTGCCTCTTTTGTCATTCATTCATTCATTCATTCACTACCTTGGTGCTGTGGTTCACTCACAAGGTCCCTGATGGATCTCCCTGAGGATCACCCTCTGCCTTCCTCGGCCTTACCGACTGACAGCTGCAGACTGACCTGCCTATTCCAGGCCTTCCACCAGAAGGACTTATATGAGGCTAACCTTCCCCTGCTGGATGTCTATAGATGGGATTTTCCTGGCCTACCTGTTCTCCAGATGATTGCCTATCCTCAGAGTCTCAGCTCTCTCTAGCCCTCCTGCCTACTGCTGAATGAGACCTGATTCTGAAAACTACAGAGAGGACCGTACGATTTAAATCTCCTTAACATTGGTGGGGCACCTCCATCAGGCCCTGTATTTTATTTCATTTTAATTCCCTGTCTAGTAGCAAATATTACGGGTGTTATAACCATCAGTTCAGTTCCTTGCAATGAAACAGTCCTGATAATGCTCAGCTTTTGAATATCCAGAGAATTTCTAAGCAAGTCAGCCAGCACTGTTTATTAGATTTTCCTTTCACCCCTGTTGCTTTGTAATGCCCTCTTTGTCAGATGTTAAATTCCTTCATAAGCCTAGGAATTCTGTTGGGAAATAGAAATTTACTTGAAAAACGCTATATTGCTCCAGAAAATACAACTAAAACCTATTACTGAAGAGAGAGGAAAACTAATAAGCTTTAGGGCCCCTCACTACCTTCTATAGAGCCTGCTAATTTTCTTGTCTTAGTTTTGGATTTTTAAAAAGAGGGCCCACAAAATTGTATTAACTTTACAAAACCTGGATCTGTCCATTCTGTGCTTGCAAACGTATCTACTATGCCTAGGCCACACAGGACAGCAGATGGGAGCAACAGTGCCTATTTAGGCAATCATCTTCAACCTTGCCACATGTGGCCCCTGACTCCCAAGTTTCTGGATTCCTCGTTCATACCCCGGGAGTCAACACATGCCTATCTGATTTGGACTTTTTCTTCCTGAATATGGAAATTGTTTCTCTGGTTTGAGCTTCCTGTGATGGAAGAAACAAAATAAAACATTGATTAGAACTTAAAGGCCATCAATAAAAGCATACTGGTTTGGCAGTATAAATTGTTGGAAAGAACCCAGTCCTGGGTGTATGATTATCATTTATTAGCAGTGTAATCTTGATCAGATCACTTAACTTCTCTGAACTTCAGTTTTCTCATCAATAAAAGGAATTAAAATAGCACCATAGGTCTCCATGAGCCTAAAGGTTAGTAAAAGGACCCTGGAGCCAGCTCAGATTTCAGGATCTGAGCTGACACAACCCTGCTCCTGGAATGGTTTCTCAGGTGCAATGTGCCCAGGCAGCCATGAATATATCCTATGAGGTGTTTATAGTGAAGAGTACCAATTGGTATCATCTGTAAAGAAAGGCATTAATTCATTCACTCATTTGTTTAGGTACTCCTTGTTTCAGAAAGGATGAATGCCAGTTTATGAATATATGTGAAATAAAAACAGAATAACAAGCAGATAAGCATGTGGATCAGAAAGAGGAAAGCAAAAGCCAGGGCAGTGATTTCAGAGCTAGAAGCAGGTCTAAAATGAGCATCTGGTACCATACAGGTTGACGTAAGACTAGGTGTGTGTGTGCGTGTGTGTGTGTGTGCATGTATATGTATGTATTGGACCTGTGTGATATGTCACTAAGCCTCAAGTCACAAAATCACACATATTAAGATATACTTATCATGATAGATTTATGATAAGTTAGTCATTAGATATTCTACCACCAGAATTCCCTTATCCCTTCATTACTCATCTTCTTCTTAATCCCTAAAATCTTTCTTTCTCCATCTCCTTTATTAAAGCTGCTCTCTCTAAGCCCACCAAAGACCTTTAAAGCAAATCCAAAGCTTTTTTATCTCAGAATTGTCTTTGGACTTTTACCAGCATCTTGAAAACAGTCTCATCATCTGTTACAATACAAAGTTCCAGTTCTCCTCCTGACTCTGACAGCTTTCCATGTCTCATTTTTTGACTCTTCCGTGTGCTTGCCTTGACCTCAGCATGTCCTGAGTGCCAGCCATTGGCCCTTAAGACATTCCTCTCTATATTTACTCTCTGAGGAATGTACCCCTCATAGGGCTTGGTCTCCACCTACATGGGCAGGATCAGTATCTGCTAACCCAAACCATCACTCAAGCACTAGCACCATGTTTGCAGTAAAGGGAAATTAGAAGACTTCAGTTGTACTTACAGCTTTGCCACTAACTGACCAGCTGAGTAACTTTTTTAAAAAAAAGTACTCTCTGAGTTTCCTCATATCTAAAGCTTAAAACCCAGAAAATAGCTCCTTTCCTCAATTTCCCCACCACTGTCCTAGTGTGAGAGCTTTGATTCTTTCCTCTACTTAAATGTGATCTAGGGCCAGGTGCAGTAGCTCACTCCTGTAATCCCAGCACTTTGGGAGGCCAAGGTGGGTGGATCACTTGAGGTCAGGAGTTTGAGACCAGCCTGGCCAACATGGTGAAACCCTGTCTCTATAAAAAATACACACACACACACACACACAAATTAGCCAGGCATGGTGGGATGCACCTGTAGTCCCAGCTACTCAGGAGGCTGAGGTGAGAGAATCACTCAAATCCAGGAGGCAGCGGTTGCAGTAAGCTGAGGTTGTGCCACTGCATTCCAGCCTGGGTGATGGAGTGAGACCCTGTCTCAAAAAAAAAAAAGTGATCTAGCATGATGTTCTGTCCTGTTCTGCCTTCTGTGTTTCACAGATTTGTCTCTTCCACTGCTAATGGACCTAATTAATACTGGGATTATCAAACATGCCAGTTAGTGTATCACCCTGCCTGCAGGCTTTCCTCACTCCTTTCTATATTTCATATTGCTTGCTACCAGATTAAACCTCTCCTAAAACACTCCTGTTCTAGGCCGGGTGTGGTGGCTCACGCCTGTAATCCCAGCACTTTGGGAGGCCAAGGCGGGCAGATCAGAAGATCAGGAGATGGAGACCATCCTGGCCAACAGGGTGAAACCCCGTCTCTACTAAAATACAAAACATTAGCTGGGAGTGGTGGCGCGTGCCTGTAGTCCCAGCTACTCAGGAGGCTGAGGCAGGGGAATCGCTTGAACCTGGGAGGCGGAGGTCGCAGTAAGCTGAGGTCGTGCCACTGCACTCTAACCTGGCAACAGGCAAGACTGTGACTCAAAAACAAACAACAACAACAACAACAACAACAAAAAAACACTCCTGTTCCAGAAGGTGCATGGCTCTAGCTGCAGCCACAGCAAGGCTGAGCTCTGTTCCCTCACCTTAAGACCCTCCTCCTTCTGCCCTTGGCTGTGTTTCCCAGTGCTCTCAGCAAGGTTCCTCCGCTCTGCAGAACAGTCTCCTGCTTTCTGTCCCTCCCTGGAATGTCTTCCCTTCCTCCTCTCAGATGATCCATGGTTCCCACATCTGTGTGTGCTCCAGCCCCACTTTCTCCAGAATGCCTTCCCTACATGCCTTCAGCCTGCATTGAGCTGATTTACTGGATTTTAACTGAGTGTGTATACATGTCTCATTTCTATCACTTTACTGTAAACACCCAGAGTGCAGAGGCAGCTTTGCAAATGTTTGTATGAGCTAGTATGTACAGTGATTAATTGAGCTACTTAAATCTTTGATTTTCAACCTGGACATGACTGCTTCTCCAAACTCTTCTGATTTTCCACTGCCTGTGGAAAAGGGGCCAAGGTTCAACTCCTGATAGCAGCAGGGATGATTCATTGGCTAGAAAGAGAGGTCCTGTAAGAGAAGCTGATCAAGGACTCTTTTTACCTTCTAGTTTTAAAAAAGGTGAGCTGGCTGCTTGAGGAATACTAGTTATGCTTTAGGTAAAGGTATGAAGCATATGAAGCAGGCCAAATGGCCCTTCCTCCCTTCCCTTTGAGGTTCTTCTTTCCTTGCCTCTCCTCTGATGCTCTGTGTCCTCATGGTGGCCAAAACAGCCTACTCAGGTCATGCTTAGACCCTTAACCTTATATCTGAACACCCTCATTTCCTAAAGTTCCTACTCCCAGAGGGTCATTTTAAGGAGTAGGTATGTTGTCCTTGACACATGCTGAGCAAGTCATTTAATCATTAAGATGATTTGCTTTTTTTCAAGTCTGTAAAAGTTGGGGTTGGGTCAATTCAAATTATCTTCCAGCTTAAAACGTCACATTATAATCTGAACAGTATAAGCCTGAAGAATAGTCAACCAGAGTTTTTCCTAGTTTTGTTTCATCCTTTGGTACTTCATTAAATAACTAAATTATCAGTTAGTTGGGGACAAATGCCACTGTGTGCCCTTCCTTATGTGAGCCCCCATCATGTTCTAGGCAGGGTTCAGCCTCCAGCAAGCGTGCAGAGCAGGTATGTGCACTATAGCAAAGTACTCTGAGGAGAAATTGTAGAACTTCACTTCCCCTGATCAAAAACAAGGAAAAAAATTATGTCAAAGTTTTGAGAGCCTTAATTTAAAATAATAGGAAAGAATAATGCTAAGCAAATACTACAGTCAGGAGAAGTATCAATAAATGCAAATTTAGCAGTTATATAAAGCAAAACTACTTAACTAAGGATACCTACAAAGCCCTATGTATATGTTGGGAGAACTCAAATTTCATTGCAATGTTACAACACAATGTTACCTAAGGTTGTGCTGATTGTCAGCAAGGATTCATTTACTTCAAGTAATTTCTATAAGGTTCTAACCATTTTTAAAAAGTGTGAAATGTTTCATGAACTTGTGTGTCATCGTCAGGTAGGGGCCATGTTAATCATCTCTGTATCGTCAAATCATTTTTTAGTATGCTTAAAACAAATCTGACAGCCTTTTTTGTTTGTCTTATTGATGTTTGGCTACTGCAGACGTGACCTGGAAGTACAGATTTTTTTTTTTTTTTTTCGAGACAGGGTCTTGCTGTCACCCAGGCTGGAGTGCAGTGGTGTGATCATAGCTCACTGTAGCCTTAACCTCTTGGCCCAAGTGATCCTCCTACCTCAGCCTCCCAAGCAGCTGGGCACCACCACATCCTGCTATTGTTTTTGTTTTTTGTTTTTTGTACAGATGAGCATCTCACTATGTTGCCTAGGCTGGTCTTGAACTACTGAGCTCAAGTGATCCCCCCTCTCTTGGCCTCCAAAAGTGCTAGCATTAGAGGTATGAATCACTAGTCACTATGCCCAGCCAAGGTATAGTATTTAGAGAGAGGTTGTAATTTCTATAACAGATAAACACTATTCCACTAATGCAGATTTTCAGCCAGTATAGCATTGGCGTCACATTGTTAAAAAGATTATTTTAATATAATCAGCAACATTTTAAGATGAAATTGCCCAAAGCAGGGTTCAGAATAGCATGTATCATATGCTACCTTGCATTAAAAACGGGAAAAAGAATATGTACTTGAACTTGCATTTATACATGCTTGAAGTACATTTTGAAAGAGAAGAGATGAAGTGGCCTGAGTTTTGCTCTTCCACCCTGAGGATATTAATGAATCTGCTTTGAGAACAAGACTTGACAGGGCTATGAGACCCTCCTTATTTCTTAGTCTGTAGACCCAGACCCAAGAATGAAATGTTGATAATTCATATCCATACTGAACTTACAGAGGTTTCCATTTAGAAATAATGCCTCCATTTGTTCAGATTTAATTTGGAAATGGTTTTGATTGTAAATCTTCAAAACAATAATGGTTGCCTGTGAGGAGGGAACTAAGTGCTTGTAAGGCCAGGAGAGGGAGGGCAACTTACCACTACACATCCTTTTCACTTCTGATATTTAAACTATGTAAATGTGTTAACTGTTTTAAAGTGAATATGTAAATAAAGTTAACAGATTGTATATGAAAATCTAGATTTCTATTTTCTCTTGAAAAGCTGCAAAATCTGGTATCAAAGGACCCTAGTGCCAAATGGTAGCTGATATCAAATATACTGGGCAGTACCAATATCAGTCTGGTAGTCCTTGAGGGTGTTGCAATCATACATCTCCAGGCCCCTTGGGGTTCGGAGACAGTAGACACTCACGGGGAGGCCACATCTCAGAGTTACCAGTGTTCTCAGATCAGACACTGTTTTATCAAGAAGGGAAATGCTCTCCATTACTGGCATTGTGTCTTGAGTTACAGCATTGAACACGTATAGAGTAGGCTTGTCTTCTTCCTAAAGGGAAAGAAAAGGAGGGAACTTATTGTCTGGAGGTTCAGATGAGGGCCAAGCATTTCAGAGGGTAGCTTTGAGCACCTCTAGCTCCACGACATGGGTGTTAATGTGAAAGCAATAGTCAGTTGAGTTCTCTGCCTTCTGGTCTGAGTCTAGCTCTTATGTCCTGAGATATTAACAGGTCCCCCTGTTTGAGTGAAGTGAAAAAGACTTGGCAAGGCTTTGAGACCCTTTGACTTCTTAGTCTACAGACCCAGATACATAAGAGTGTTGATAATTTATATCCATCCTGTGCTTATGGAGGTGTTAGTTTAGAAAACATTCCTCTGTTGTGCAGTACTTTAATTTGGAATACTGTGGATTTGAAATCTTCAGTCAATTATTATTATTTTTTTTCTGAGAGGTTATTCCTGGCAAGTGGAACTGAGTTGAGAGTGGGAGGGAGTGTTTGCTTATCATTTTGTGCTTTTCATTGTCCGTATGGTTTGACTTTTTTAAAAGCCAAATATATTTACTTTTATTATTTATCTTTCTTGTCTGTCTTCCTTTTTTTTTTTTTTTTGTCTCACTATGATGCCCAGGCTGGTCTCAAACTCCTGGGCTCAAGCGATCTTCCTACCTTGGCCTCCCATAGTGTTGGGATTACAGGCGCGAGCCACTGCACCTGGCCTACTTTTACTGTTTAAAAAGGGAAATACCAAACATAGGTTTAGAAAAGTTTCTTTTGTTTCTTTCATTTTGTAATCTAAGTAGGAAAGCAAGTAGAATTGAGATATCCAAAGCAGAGTTAAGATGGAAAGTTTGAGGAAAATATTAATACTTCTGTTAACAACAGTTTAAACAAGCCAAACCAAAACTCAAAATACAGCGAATAGGAAAAATGGGAAGCAAGTGGGGAGGAAAAGATTATTATCATTTCCACTTTTCTCATGAAAAATGAAACTGACTTTACTTCCTCTTTAGCAGATTCAGGACAATAATATTTTTCTGCAACGGCCTGTTGTTGGGTTGGCAGATGTCAGTGCATGGCACCATCACGGAATGCCCATGAATGCGGGACTCTCTCAGAACCTGGTATCTGGCCTTCAGGTTCTTCAGGGGGCTCCAACCTGTCAATGCTGTCTTGCCCCTCCTTTGTTTCCTTCCTCTATTTCTTCCATCAGAATCCCTCTCTGGTTCCTCCAGGGCCCCCCCAGTCCTGCAGACTTATAATAAATTAAATGCTCCTCTCCCACATAACACATTGCAGTAATATGGTCAACATGCAGACCTTTTTCAAAAAGCCTTTGAGGAGTGATGTTACTGATGAAATTTAAGGCTGCAGTACTTTGATCTAGGGCCCATTTCAGTGACTGAAGTGATTAGGAACAGTTTCAGTCCCTCTGTGGCTGTGCATGAAGCCAGATCAGCAAGCTGAGCTGCCCACTGAGCCTAAAGTGCTTAGAACAATTTTTCATGATAGTTTCTCATAAACACATGCAATACAAATTTAAAGGACATAGGATTGACTCTTTCACTTTTGCCACGCCGTGCTTTCCTATGGTTCCATAAGGGAAGTATCTGTTCAAGCTAATGTAGATAATATTTACGGGCAGGCAGAAATTCCTATGAAAACTGAATAAAAAGATAGTGGGAAAGAGAGAAAAATTATATTTTATGTAATAGCTCTTTTTTATTTCTTTAAAAATTCCTAATTTATATTTAGAATTAAATGCAAATAACAAATTAAATGCAAACAAATGACAAAATAAATCCAAATAGAATAACATGCAAACAAAATAACAGAGTCCCAAGTCACTCTTTAAAAAAAAAATTTTTTTTTAGAGTCTAGGGCTCACTATGTTGCCCAGGCTGGTCTTGAACTTCTGGGCTCAAGCAGTCTCCCACCTCCTGAGTAGCTGGGGAAAGAATTCTCCTCCATTCCCAGCTCTCAAGTCACTCTTAAGTTAACTAGGTGTGTGAGGTTAGATAAGTTAAAAAGAAGCTTCTCAGAATATGAATAATCGTATACTTATATCTATAAAGATAAGCATGTATAACTTAGTATACATATAACTGACTCTGGAACAAGTAATAAGGGAGAACTGCAAAATATCTGGCAATTTTTTTGAGATAGGGTCTCACTCTGTTGCCCAGGCTGAAGTACAGTGGCACTATCAGAGCTCACAGTAACCTCAAACTCCTAGACTCAAGCAATCCTCCCACCTCAGCCTCCCAAGTACAGGCACTCACCACCAAACCCAGCTACATTTTAAATTCTTATTTGTAGAGACAGGGCCTAGCTATGTTGTCCAGGCTGGTCTGGACCCCCTGGCCTCAAGCAATCCATCCACCTCAGCCTCCCAAAGTATTGGGATTACAGGAGTGAGCTTCTGTGCCCAGCTGATCTGACAATCTTTAGATGAAAATAAAAAGTGCAAGGAAGAAAATATTACTAATTATTAATGAAGCCAGGTTCTTAAGTCTCAAGAAAATTAACACCTACTGAGTCTGTTCATTTTTTTTTTAAGCGCTCAGGAACTTTTTATCACATAAATAAATAATAAATGTTGAATGACATCCCAGGCCTTTTTAATCAATAATGTATCTGGATAATAGTTCTCATTGCACTTTTTAACTCTACATACTCACCTTTGTATAAACCTTGTTTTTATGGGAAAACCCATTTTGAGTTCTAGTGAGGCACATTAGTTGTCGATATTTTCTAATTTGGTTGTATGACGAGGGAGTAGGTAGATGCCAATTAATAGCAACTTGCTAATCCACCTTATCCACATAAGAGAAGGCATCTCTACCTCTCTGTCTATATGATACTCCTCCCCAAGTATTCTGAATCACAGAAGGCTGGTCAGTCACAACCAACGAAGTCAGACGCTATTAAATAATAATACCACACACAAATCATTGTTGGACATGTACAAAATTAGACTTTTTCCTTTATAAACAAACTGAGATGCAAACAAACCAACCCAAGAGATATACACAAAGTATCTTACTTTTCAATAAAAACAAATACGTTCTATCTCATGAGAATAATTCCATGCTTACCTTCAAAAAACAAATGCAAACTTACTGTAAATTCATACATGTACTTTAACAATAAGAAAGGAAAAGCTAAACAGAACTGACTGAAAGAAAACAAGTTAATGAAAGTTTTGAATGTACTGCTGTATTTTTTCTCAAGTTCTGCTTTTTTATATTTTGCTGTTTTGGAGTTACAGCACTAAGTAAGCAGAAGCTTGCTGAACTATTCCAGAGTGAACAAAAGGGGAAGTAATATTTGTTTTTGTTGAACCAAATGAATTCCAGTGAGATGTCTCCATAAACTTCTCCTCTTGTGTGGTAGTCATTCTGGAGAGATTATCCATGGAGTCTTGGACACTGAATTGGAACACCTTTCTTCACCAGATTCTTTTCATACCTTTTGTTATGACTCATCTTAGAAAAGAGGGCCATTTTTAAGAAACATGCTTTCATGTGTAAATTTTAAAGAAACATGTTTATACATGTTTTTGTGTATAAAAATGCATAAATGTAAAACCACATATATTGGATTTTGGTGTTTATACATTAACAGTACCTCTCGAAAGCTAAAATGTTTATCATTTTGAATCAAATTTAGACTTGTCAAGATAGTACAAACTTCTCTAACTTATCTGATAAACATCTACTCAATGGTACTACAGTTAACTCAATCTCTCAGCATAAAACAACTTTTCACAACATTCCAGGGATGTCAGGAGGGATTAACTATGTTTTGACCCCAGCACTTGGTTGGTACAAGTCTGGTTATAGAAGGAGGCAGGGAAACCAGAAGGAGTCCTAGGGAGGCTGAGCCCATTTCACGCTCTGAAAAGCACAACCTGCTGGATAGTTGCCCCCTTTGCAGTAGAGCATGGACATGTGACAGGGTGCTCCCAATCAGACCTACCTATCCACCCCAACTTTGAATTACGAGCCAATAAGGCAGAGAAGCAACAGACACAGGAAAGTCTCTAGGCAATGGCATTTCTGAAGTTGCCGGCCTGGCAGCAGGGCTGGCAGCATGTCCAGTGCCTGTTTTGAGGGCTCAGTGTTGCCTGTAGTGGTGACCTTCCCAGATTAGTTCTGGGGCGTGCTTTAGATGTTGTTTCTGGCTGCATAATCTCTAAGACTGATTCTCCAATCTTCCGAAAACTACTCAATAGCTTTTCAATACTTATTTTCTGCTTAAATTATCTAGACTTTGTTTCTGCTGCTTCCAACTAAGAACCATGATGTTGGTCAGGGGAAAAGCCAAGAATACTGGGGAGTGCTTTGCCCTAAGAGTAGAGAAAAATGGGATATGCCACAGTAAGGGAGAGAATGGATCCCTGAAATGCATCTCAGTACCTTGCTATGAATTGCAGACAATCATATACCATCTTGTTAATTTCCATACTTTACCTCTCAAACCTTTATCAATTCATTTATTTAATACCTATTTATGTACAGCCTACTATATATCTTATCTAGTACTATTCTAAGCACTGGGTGAAAACAGTGGACAAAACTTAAGCAATCGTTTCCATGATAACACAGGTTAAAATGAAGGGGGCAAAAGTGATAGTGCCTCTGCATGTTGTACAAAAACATACACTTTTGCAGTGCCTCATGCTATGGTTTATAGGAACACAGTGAACCGCAACACCATCAGCAATAAATCGTCAGGACTGGCTCCTGTATTAATAGAAATTGGAGGTATATACCATAGAAAATATTGATTATGGCTTCCGTAAGAGTTCTTTTCCAAAGAAGGAAAAGTTAATACAATGTTCTTTATTATTATTATTATTATTTATTACATTTTAAGTTCTAGGGTACATGTGCACAACGTGCAGGTTTGTTACATATGTATACATGTGCCATGTTGGTGTGCTGCACCCATTAACTCGTCATTTACATTAGGTATATCTCCTAATGCTGTCCTTCCCCCTTCCCCCAACCCCACGACAGGCCGCAGTGTGTGATGTTCCCCACCCTGTGTCCAAGTGTTCTCATTGTTCAGTTCCTACCTATGAGTGAGAACATGTGGTGTTTGGTTTTCTATCCTTGCCATAGTTTGCTGAGAATGATGGTTTCCAGCTTCATCCATGTCCCTACAAAGGACATGAACTCATCCTTTTTTATGGCAGCATAGTATTCCATGGTGTATATGTGCCACATTTTCTTAATCCAGTCTATCACTGATGGACATTTGGGTTGGTTCCAAGTCTTTACTGTTGTGAATAGTGCTGCAATAAACATACATGTGCATGTGTCTTTATAGCAGCATGATTGATAATCCTTTGTATATATACCCAGTAAAGAGATGGCTGGGTCAAATGGTATTTCCAGTTCTAGATCCTTGAGGAATCTCCATACTGTCTTCCACAATGATTGAACTAGTTTACAGTCCCACCAACAGTGTAAAAGTGTTCTTATTTCTCCACATCCTCTCCAGCACCTGTTGTTTCCTGACTTTTTAATGATCACCGTTCTAACTGGTGTGAGATGGTATCTCATTGTGGTTTTGATTTGCATTTCTCTGATGGCCAGTGATGATGAGCTTTTATTTATTTATTTATTTATTTATTTTTTGAGACAGAGTCTCGCTTTTTCGCCCAGGCCAGAGTGCAGTGGTGCTATCTCGGCTCACTGCAAGCTCCACCTCCTGAGTTCACACCATTCTCCTGCCTCAGCCTCCCCGGTAGCTGGGACTACAGGCACCCGCCAACGCGCCCGGCTAATTTTTTGTACTTTTAGTAGAAACGGGGTTTCACTGTGTTAGCCAGGATGGTCTCGAGCTCCTGACCTCATGATCTACCCACCTCGACCTCCCAAAGTGCTGGGATTACAGGCGTGAGCCACCGCTCCCAGCCTGATGAGCATTTTTTCATGTGTCTTTTGGCTGCATAAATGTCTTCTTTTGAGAAGCATCTGTTCATGTCCTTTGCCCACTTTTTGATGGGGTTGTTTGATTTTTTCTTGCAAATTTGTTTAAGTTCTTTGTAGATTCTGGATATTAGCCATTTGTCAGATGGGTAGATTGTAAAAATTTTCTCCAATTCTGTAGGTTGCCTCTTCACTCTGATGGTAGTTTCTTTTGCTGTGCAGAAACTCTTTGGTTTAATTAGATCCCATTTATCAATTTTGGCTTTTGTTGCCATTGCTTTTGGTGTTTTAGTCATGAAGTCCTTGCCCATGCCTATGTCCCGAATGGTATTGCCTAGGTTTTCTTCTAGTGTTTTTATGGTTTTAGGTCTAACATTTAAGTCTTTAATCCATCTTGAATTAATTTTTGTATAAGGTGTAAGGAAGTTTCAACTTTCTACTTTGGCTAGCCAGTTTTCCCAGCACCATTTATTAAATAGGGAATGCTTTCCCCATTTCTTGTTTTTGTCAGGTTTGTCAAAGATCAGATGGTTGTCAATGTGTGATATTATTTCTGAGGGCTCTGTCTTGTTCCATTGGTCTATATATCTGTTTTTGTACCAGTACCATGCTGTTTTGGTTACTTTAGCCTTATAGTATAGTTTGAAGTCAGGTAGCATGATGCCTCCAGCTTTGTTCTTTTGGCTTAGGATCATCTTGGCAATGCGGGCTCTTTTTTGGTTCCATATGAACTTTAAACTAGTTTTTTCCAATTCTGTGAAGAAAGTCACTGGTAGCTTGATTGGGATGGCATTGAATCTATAAATTACCTTGGGCTGTATGGCCATTTTCACAATATTGATTCTTCCTATCCATGAGCATGGAATGTTCTTCCATTTGTTTGTGTCCTCTTTTATTTCGTTGAGCAGTGGTTTGTAGTTCTCCTTGAAGAGGTCCTTCACATCCCTTGTAAGTTGGATTCCTAGGTATTTTATTCTCTTTGTAGCAATTGTGAATGGGAATTCACTCATGATTTGGCTCTCTGTCTGTTATAGGTGTATAGGAATACTCGTGATTTTTGCACATTGATTTTGTATCCTGAGACTTTGCTGAAGTTGCTTATTAGCTTAAGGAGATTTTGGGCTGAGACAATGGGGTTTTCTAAATATACAATCATGTCATCTGCAAACAGGGACAATTTGACTTCCTCTTTTCCTAATTGAATACCCTTTATTTCTTTCTCTTGCCTGATTGCCCTGGCCAGAACTTCCAACACTATGTTGAATAGGAGTGGTGAGAATACAATGTTCTTTTCCCACTATTCTTGTATTACCCTTATTTCCATTTCTTTTCCAAATGTGTCTATATTACCATTAAAAGAAAAGCGTAATATACAGGGAAGCTGGAAAAAGCATTGTCTAAAGAATGTATTTAACAGTAGATAATCTCTGTATTTATCCAGTGTCTTTCTCTGTTTTTCACACAAGCAGAACCTTGTAAGCACACAAAAATATGAGCACAATAAAGAAGCCAACTATTTTGGATTTATTTCATGAGACATAATATCTACTTGTATCTTTTTAGAAAGAAAAACCACTTACTTGCCAAGTTTTTGAACTTTACAAAAGTTTTGGGTTCACATTATGATATTTCTAAGTTGTACCAAAATTTAGATATGCTAAAGAGACACACTTCAGGGATTCATTCCCTCCCTTACTGTGGCATCTTCCATCTCTCTCAAGGCAAACTAACTTTCACAAAGTAACATGATTAAACATAGTTAAGTAGGGAAGGTACTACTTAAATGTGTATATATTTAATTATTCAGTAAAGCAACTAACATGACTTGGAAATCAGCCTTGGTAACCTGAGATAGATCAAGCATGATAGAGCTGATATGACTGCATTCTTTGAGGCCTGGGATATTCTCTAAATGTGATTCTACCTGACAGCATGAAGAGTACCGTTAGTAAAATTTTAGGGAACTTGAGAGTTTTTAATTAAACTCTGTGTGTTGTCCAGTCCTGTGACTTCTGCCCTGGCTCTCTTGAATAAACTCCTCTTTTTTTTTTTTGAGACAGGGTCTCACTCTCTTGCACAGGCTGGGTTCAATTGATCCTCCCGCCTCAGCCTCACAAGTAGCTGGGATTATAGATGTGCACCACCACACCCGGAAAATTTTTAAAATATTTTTGTAGAGATGGGGTCTCACCATCTTGCTCAGGTTGGTTTCACTGAATAACCTCTTTTACCCCTACTTTTTATTTATAGAATTAGCAGTTTAAAACTTCAGGTAAAAGAGTTCAGCGTGAAGCTTGCATCACTGTGATATATGATGCTTTATTGGCAGAATTTAGGAAATGTTTTTGTAAGTAAAACTGTGAACATAGGTTGCATCTGGGGAGGGAAACTGGGGGCCAGAGAAGGGAGAGTTTTTTCTTTTTCTTTTCTTTTCTTTTTCTTTTTTTGAGACAGAGTCTCACTCTATCACCTAGGCTGGAGTACAGTGGGGTGATCTCGGCTCACTGTAACCTCCACCTCCAGGGTTCAAGTGATTCTTTTCCTCAGCCTCCTGAGTAGATGGGATTACAGGTGTGCCCACCACACCCAGCTAATTTTTGTATTTTTATTGGAGATGGGGCTTCACCATGTTGGCCAGACTGGTCTTGAACTCCCAACCTCAGGTGATCCTCCCACCTCAGCCTCCTAAAGTGCTGGGTTACAGGTGTGAGCCACCACACCTGGCCAGGATACTTTTTACTGTGTATCTTTTTGTTCCTTTTGAATTGAGAACCATGTGAACATACTACCTAGTCAAAAATAAATTTTAAAATGTTATATAATAAAAATAAAATCAGTCCTTAGTTAAATAAAAGTATCCTATCCATACTGTTAAAAACCTTGTCTACATCCCTGAAAAGCCGTCAGATTCTTCCAGTCAGCTCAAATGTTAGTATTGAACTTACACTACCATCTCTAAGCAAGCAAACAATAAAAAGTCTTGAACCTTATGATTGGTATTACAGACTTCTGGGAAATTTTAGAGAGTTGATCCTGTACGGCACCAAAAACCTAGTATGGAAATATATTTAAATATGTAAAGAGAAGACATTAAGAAGTGGCTGGAATTTGGTCTGCTTTGAAATGTAATGTTATACTTCCATTTTCTGAGTAAAAGAGGCAGAAAATAAAACATTAAAAACGTATGTAAATATGGTCTTTTGTTTACATAAATGGGATGATTCAATGATCATTATTCTGTGACTTGTCTTTCCTACTTAATAATAAATATTGAAGAATATTCTTTTTTTTTTTTTTTCCGAGATGGGGTCTCACTCTGTTGCCCAGGCTGGAGTGCAGTGGCTCGAGCTCAGCTCACTGCAACCTCCCCCTCCTGGGTTCAAGTGATTCTCCTGCCTCAGCCTAATGAGTAGCTGGGACTACAGGCTCATGCCATCACGCGCAGCTAATTTTTGTGTTTTTAGTAGAGATGGGGTTTCACCATGTTGGCCAGGATGGTCTCTATCTCCTGACCTCATGATCTTCCCACCCAGGTGTGAGCCACTGCACCCAGCCCAGAGTATTCCTTTTAAACATCCATTTAGTCAAGTACTAACATATATTAAAAGAAAGAGTTAACTTTGACTACCATAATTTTTTAAAATGTTAAATATGAGAAACTTGGGGCACCATTTAGCGGAGAATGTATACTTTCCTAAGTTTCCTAAAGTTCATATTTTTATATACGGTAAAGCACTAACACAGGATAATACTTCTACCCTAGAGCAGCAGCATTTAAATTCTTTGGATCACCCGTTCCTTAAAAAAATTGTTGACCATAAAGGATCTTAGACTCAGAAAATCTCCAGGCACATTAATTTTGTTTATATTACAATTTTAGGGTTTTTTAAGGTTCTTAAAGCCCAACCGTGCATCTTAAGCACCATTGATTAAGGACCCTCTATAAATGAAAAAATATCTTTATTGCCTGTACACCTAATTGGAATGGCTACTTTGGCTGGATTTGGATGTAGAAAATTCCCTTTCATTCTTATTGTTACTGAGAATTTCTTCTCCTTCCTCATTCCACTGCCAGTAATCACTGTGGCCCCACCAAAGTGATCTAATGCTCTTCTTCCCACATCAAAATTCCAGATCTGCCCCTTGGCTTTGTTTTCATATCGGTTCTGAGATGACAGGACTGGGCAGGCAATAAAGGGTGTGGGGAGGCAAGAGGAAGAAGAGTAAAGAGGGGGCAACTTTATCCCTTCTCCATGTCTTACTTCCCCTTACAGCACAAAGCATGCGTAAGACCTGTTATACAAATGGAAGTGAGGAGAAGGCAAAAAGAGACAATTTCTTTTTAAGTTATGGAATTACTTTGGTTGACTTATCCCCAACTTTATTCAAAATGAGATAGATATCTTAGACGAATATTATCCTGACCATCATACCTTAACAAAGCATTTGAGAGTTGAACAGAAAGATATTCCAACATCAGCAAGACTCCAACTGTCCTTTAGAGCAGCTCCAGCATACATTAACTCCAGATACCGCCTGCCTTGTTTGTCTTCAGAGAGAGGAATGTGGAAATAATCCTTAAAAATCAATAGCATATTATGAAAACAGTACATCCTTACGTTACTAGACCAGAAATGTACTCTCTTTCCCTTTACATTTTTTTCCTCTGGGCATTATAATTGTTTGGGACAAAGGGAAGAAGTATTAAATAGGGGTTCTTAACTTAGAGAACTTCCAAAACATTTATGGGTAGAATTTAGATGGGAAGAAACTACATCTTTATTTTATTAACTCTAAATGAAATTGAGATTTTCTTTCAACTATACATGTAGGCAGCAAATTAAAGTAGGAGTAGTCGCTGTACCTGTGACTGACACCAATAGAAGTCACAGATGTTTTCATATCACATTATAGTTGTTGCAAATATTTCAAAATATTATTTCTACTGATCTGTATTTTGAAAATAATAGTTATTAGATGAGCTGCTAGAACTTGTTAGTTAATGTGTTAATTAGGAAGTCCACATGTCACTATATCATACATTTGCTTTTTAATATTGGAAAATGTATTTCAATATAACAAATTTCATTTCTATCATATCTGTTTTATTTTATGCATTTAAAGACATTCTGAGAAGCAGTCTATAGACATCACCAGACTTCCAAAGGGGTTAATAAAACATAGAGGTTAAGATCCCTTGTGTTACAAGATTTAGATTTCAATCATCATAATAATCTACTGAATATCATGTAACTATGGTTCAGTAAATGCCGCTTAGCAAATAGGAATGACCATCTCCAAGTTAAATATTTGATGATCAGAAACTAAATATTTTGCTTAATTTTTTATTTTAGAGTGAACATTTATATGAAATTTATAAGGAAGATACTATACCCAAGTTATTTCTTATTCTGGCTCTGTGATCCTAGGTAAGATAGTCAACCTCTCAGAGCTTCAGTTTTTTCTGAATGCAAAATGAAGCCATAGCTCACAAGTTCTCTAAAGTCCTCTCTGCTTCCAAAATCTTCTGTTCTTTGTAGTTGTTTGCTCACCAAATAAGACATTTATCTGATGACTGGCATGTCCCACGTATATAGCCTGAAGTTGGTGTCTTGCTTTGGTCCTTTTATGAAGAATTGCAATAATATTATCTGGCCTATGCACAACCCACACATTCCCTAAAAAGAAGTCAGACTTTTTTTTTTTCTTGATAATTGACTGGCTCTTTTTGCTTTCTTGTCCAACACTACCAGAGTTACTATCTTCTTATAAATCTATTGTGTAAGCAAATAATAGTATTTTCAAATAGTTTTCGTTCCCTGTTTGCTGAAAATGTACCCAATAGCATCTCTACCCTTTGTACATTTTTAAATGCACTGCATTGTTAAAATTAATATACATTTTGGTGGTTTGGGAACGAAGTACATACCTTTATCATCAGCTTGACAACCTCCACAGTTTCATCTGCTGAAACATCAAACGGTTCAAAAGATCCTTCAAAGGCGATGAAAATCCTCATTGTACAATTACCTTTTCAAACAAAAAATATCCAACTTTTTCAAAGATTCTCCTGGATGGCTAGAAAAATTCCGGTTCACAATTAAGGACAAAAATGATAGCCAGAGGCAGCTGTCACTGTCTAGCCTCAAAGGTAAGTTGTAGAATGTGAAGAGCCTAGTCCCACAGTGCCACAGTATCAGGCAACACAGACACCAGCTACTTTGGAGGAAATATTTATCTGCGGAAGGCAGTAGTCAATAGCCACCTTATTCCTATATTACGGAAACCAGCAAACTTGACAATGGTTGAGGCAAGTATGGACAAGCTTCAAGCATGTGATACAAAAATGCTACTCATAAATTACACTTTTGTGATGTGGTCCCCATCAACTGACTCCTGAATTCTTATTTACATAAGTACAGCTGATTGAAGAACCCTTAAAAATAGATATTTGATTGGGATGCACTAGCACAGGGTGAAGCAAAACAAGAGTTGATTTTATTGAATGTGATAATCCTGAAAGTTCTCTGTAAATAACTCTTGAGCTGAAACATTCTGGTTTCCATAACAACTTTGTGTACTTGTTCTCTGGCAGTATTTATAATCCTGCCACAGGGTACAGAACAATACCCACTTGCACCAGGGAGATGAATGTGTAGGCAAATCATTCTGTGGCTTTCTTTTCTGATTTCTGTGTCATAGAATCTGCTGAGTAGCAACACAATATAGTTGGTATTTTCTTTAATCCTTGCCTTTATGTTATTTAGAACAATTTCCCATTGTTATCTCCTTCAACCCCCACTTAGTGTTGGTGGAAAATATTTCAAACCCGCTCAATAAGCGAGCAAATAAGCTGAACATGGTGGCACATGCCTGCTATCCCACCTACTCAGGAGGCTGAGATGGGAGGATAGTTTGAGCCCAGAAGTTTGGGGGTGTAATACGTTGTGATTGCACCTGCGAATAGCCACTGCTTTGCAGCCCAGGGAACATAGCAAGAATCTGTCTCTTCAACATAATAGAAGAAAATACTCCATTTATAAAAGGAAAGATAATGTATTAAGAATAAACTTGGCTGGGTGCGGTGGCTCACGCCTGTAATCCCAGCACTTTGGGAGGCCAAGTTGGGCAGATCACTTGAGGTCAGGAGTTCGAGACCAGCCTGGCCAACATGGTGAAACCTTGTCTCTACTAAAAATACAAAAATTAGCCAGGTGTGGTGGCACATGCCTGTAATCCCAGCTACTCTGGTGGCTGAGGCACAAGAATCACTTGAACCCTGGAGGCAGAGGTTGCAGTGAGCTGAGATCACACCACTGCACTCCAGCCTGGGCAACAGAGTGAGACTCTGTCTCAAAAAAAAAAAAAAAAAAAAAGAAAGAAAGAAAGAGAAAGAAAGAAAGAAAGAAAGAAAGAAAGAAAGAAAGAAAGAAAGAAAGATCTTAACAAGAAATGTGTAAGAGCCGTATAACATAAACATAAAATACAATCAATAAACATAAAAAAGGGCTGAACAAGTGGCAGGTATATCATAACCTTGGATGGAAGGTTCAAAATTATTTAAAGTCATCAATTCTTCCTAAATTTATCTATAAATTAATATTATCTCAATAAAAATACAAGCAAGATTTTTTTTGTTTATGTAAGCAAGATGGTTCTAAAATTCATGTAGAGAAAACAGGCAAGGATAGCTGGAAAAACTCTGGAAAAGAAGAGTAATGAGGGGGCAGTCACCTACTAGATGTTAGAATTTAATATAAGGCTACAGTAATTAAAACAGGATGGTACAGGCACATGAAGAGTCAGAAAAATCAATGTAAAAATAGAAAGCATAGAAATGGATTCAAATACATAAAAGAATTTAGTGTATGGTAAAAGTGACATCTAACTAATCAGTGGAGGTGGAGTGGGAAAATAAGATAAATTATTAATAGTGTTGGATTAACCAGGTAGTCACCTGAAAAAAACACTGGAGACTTACTTTTTACCTTACAGCAGGAGAAATTAAAAATGACTCTAAAACGAGTTTAAAAATTTAAATGGGAAAAATTGAATCATGAAAACTTTAGTCTTCTTACATTTCATGAGATTTTTCAATCATCTTGAGTAATAAGACCTTTCTAACTGTGACAAAAATTCCTAAAGCTGTCAAAGAAAACATTGATCAATTCAACTTTTTTTTAAAAAAAATCTACATGGAAAAGTAATTTGATATAAAGCCAGGGATAAATAAAGTTAGAAAAATATCTGCAGCTGGGCATGGTGGCTCACACCTGTAATCCCAGCACTTTGGGAGGCTGAGGTGGGCGGATCACAAGGTCAAGAGATAGAGACAATCCTGGCCAACATGGTGAAACCCTGTCTCTACTAAAAATGACAAAAATTAGCCGGGCACGGTGGCGGGCGCCTGTAGTCCCAGCTACTTGGAAGGCTGAGGCAGGAGAATCACTTAAACCCGGGAGGTGGAGGTTGCAGTGAGCCGAGATCACACCACTGCACTCCAGCCCGGTGACACAGCGAGACTCTGTGTCAAACAAAAAAAAAAGAAAAAAGAAAAAGAAAAATACCTGCAATTCTTGGTAGAGATAAAAGGTGCGTTTAATATATAAAGAGCACCCACAAACATTTTAAGGACATGATGCCATTTTTTACCAGGAAATTGGAAAAGATCCAAAAGTTTGATTACACATTCTTGCTGAGTTTGTTCCAATGATACTTTGCCATAGGGAATGTGATTTGGTACAACCCTGTATAAAGGAAAATTTGGAAATATATATTAAAATTACTAATGCACATATTCTTTGACCCAACGATTTAATTTCTAGAACTTTATTTTTACAAATATTTATATGCTTATTTGCAAAATGATATAGGTGTAACATTATTCATTGCAGAGTTGTTTGTAATAGCAAAAGATTAGAAACACCTTTCATGTCCATCAATAGGGAACTGATTAAACAAATTATTTTTCATTCATACAAGACTATACAGCTATTGAAAAGAACAAAGAAGTTTTTTCTGTACCACTATTTAAAAATCTTTAAGGTATATCATTTTGTGAAAAAAGCAAGGTATAAAATACAGTGTGCAGTACATTGCCATTTGTGGAAAAAAAGGGAAAAATCATATCTATATCTATATATATGGATATAAATCTGTTTTGTGCATATACCTCAAAATCTCTGGAAATACATTCAGAAAACTGGAAAATTTGGCGCCTGTGGGGAGGAGACTTAAGCGTCAAGGGTGAGGACAATATTTTTCATCGCATTATATTTTTCTTTTAAATAGATTTTATTTTTATTTTTATTTTATTTTTTAGAGTAGTGTTAGGTTCACAGCAAAATTGGGTGGAAAGTACAGAGAGTTCCCATATGCTCCCTCCCTCCACATATGACAGTATTCTTCACTATCAAAATCCTGAACCAGAATGGTTCATTTTTTTACAAATGGTGAACATAGATTGATACATCATTATCACCCAAAGTCTGTAGTTTACACTAGGGTGTTGTACAGCACTCTTGGTGCTGTATATTTTATGGGCTTTGACAAATGCATAATGACCTGTATCCACCATTATAGTATCAGAGAGGGTAGTTTCACTGCCCTAAAAATCCTCTGTGTTCTGTTTATTCATCCCCCATTTCCTTCACCTGTCCCCCAATCCTGGCAATGAAGAACATCTTGGTTGCTTCCAAGTTTTGGAAATTATAAATAAAACTGGCATAAATATCTGTATACAGGTTTTTGTTTGGATATAAGTTTCAACTCCTTTGAAGAAACACCAAGGATCATGACTGGGGGATCATACGGTAAGAGTATGTTTAGTTTTGTAAGAAACTGCCAAACTGTCTTCTGGAGTGACTATACCATTTTGCATTACCACCAGTAATGAATGAGAGTTCAGTTCCTGTTTCTCCACATCCTCACCAGGGCTTAATACAGTGTTTGTTATTATCTTTTTATTCTTTTTAAATTTTGAACCATGTGAATGCATTAAATGAAATAAAATGAAAAAAAAAATAAAGAGTCCAACTTACAGCCCTTCCAAGAAGCCTTCTTGATGTCACCAGGGAAGTTGACTTGTTTTCTCTATTCCCCTGCTGCATCATACATTCTTTAACTACAGGATCTTTTATACTGCATCAATTTATTGTGTCAGTGACAGCCTCCTCCACTAGACTGTGAGCTTCCTGATGGTGGGGCAGTGTCTTATTCTCCTTTGTATCCCCAGTGGCCTAGCCCAGAGCCTCACAATGAATGAATAGACAAGCTAGATTAATATCATTAAAAATTGCCTTGTAACAATAAAATGACAGGTAGACTTGAAAAACTCATAGCAGTTTAGAGACAGCTTAAAATGATAAGGATTACACTTGATTCTCTCAGTTGCAATTTAGGAACAGCTTTCCTTAGCATCTAGAGGCCCTTTTTGAGTTATTTTTCTTTTTCCAAGAGTGGTAAAACTAAGTTAGTTAGCCTACTGGGGACCTCCTACATGCAATGGAACATGCTAGGTCTTTGGAAGATTTGGTCCTAGATATGATCTTAAGGGATTTGCTATGAGTAGGAAAGATGACAGATGTCCAAAACACCTGGACCAGGGACTGTATTATAGGATGAAGTATAAGAAAGGTGTGAATAAAACAGAAGGTATGGAGGTGAAGACACACTTGATCTGAGATAAGATATATTGTTAATTCATTTATTCATTCAATACATGCACACTGTAGGAAAGTTGTGGTATCCTTCTTCATCCATCATAAGGGTCATGGCCAACACTCCTATAACAAAGACAGATTAATAAGAGAAAAGCATAGCAAATGTATTTAATCAAAGTTTTAGTGACATGGGGAACTTCAGAAATGAAGATTCAAAGACCCAGGGAAAACTGACCATTTTAATGCTTAGATTTGATGAAGAATGAACAGCCATGTAGAAATGAAATTGGACAAAGGGGTATAATCTAATGGTAATTGACTGAGGGGGAAAACTCAGCAAGGCCTGTCTGTTCATAGTCTTCTTGGCCTGTCTGTGTAGCACCCCTTCCTCCCAGGTATAGGACAGGACCCCTCTGGAATGAGGGTCTTTAAGGGAGAAAGGAGAGAGTCACCTTTCTAGATTTTTTAGCTTACATTAGAGATGAGGAGTTCTAGTTTTTATGTCCTGCCTTGGAGAAGAGGAATTCTGGTTTCTTTGACTCCCTTCAGGGGAGGAGGAAGTGTGGGAAACCAGAGGGCAGGAGAAGGTCGAGAGAGACTTTGCTTCTGAGGCTGCTTCTGAGGCCTTCCAGTTTTCTTTAGTTCAAAGTACTCAGTACGCCAAAGTGACATACTTTTGAGTATCATTTTCTAAGCTGAACAGCACTGAGCCCCTAATACGTGTCAGGCACTGTTCTGTGCTGGATTATTGCAGTGAACAAGACATGGAGCTTCCAGTGTAGTGTGTATATGTGTGTATGTGTCTTTGGGGTGGAGAGGAGAGTAAGACTAGGTAGGGAATCGGGGGAGGGCAAATACAATAATTAAGTAACTGATAAATAAGGAAGCTCTGTTTAAAGAGAATGGTCAAATAGTAGGGCTAAACATGGAAAAAGTAAATAATACAAAATAAATGTAATGAATTAGGAAAGGAATTGCTTACTGGGAATAACAGTAGGGAATAATTAGATTTAATGCAGGGAAAACAAATAAATAGCAAGATGACACATAACAAGAGAGAAAGAGAAGGAAAAATAGTGTTACAAGAAGATCTGGATGCACATGAAAAGAAACAGCCATGCCACAACTAGTGACTAATATTTTAGTCCACTGTCCTCTTCTACATTTCAAAAATGGAAATCAGTTTCTTGATTCTTATTTCTGAGTTTAAAGCGTAGCATTCTACCTATTATAGTTTAACTCTTTAGGTTCCTTTAAAAAGCTTTGTCAAATTGTCCTTGTTTGCAGATGACATGATTGTATATTTAGAAAACCCCATCATCTCAGACCAAAATCTCCTTAAGCTGATAAGCAACTTCAGCAAAGTCTCAGGATACAAAATCAATGTGCAAAAATCACAAGCATTCCTATACACCAATAATAGACGAACAGCCAAATCATGAGGAAACTCCCATTCACAACTGCTATTTAAAATACCTAGGAATACCACTTACAAGGGGTGTGAAGGACCTCTTCAAAGAGAACTACAAACCACTGTTCAAGGAAATAAGAGCGGATGCAAACAAATGGAAAAACATTCCATGATCATGGATAGGAAGAATCAATATCATGAAAATGGCCATACTGCCCAAAGTAATTTATAGATTCAATGTTATTCCCATCAAGTTTCCATTGACTTTCTTCACAGAATTAGAAAAAACTACTTTAAATTTCATATGGAACCAAAAAAGAGCCAGTATAGCCAAGACAATCCTAAGCAAAAAGAACAAAGCTGCAGGCATCACACTACCTGACTTCAAACTATACTACAAGGCTACAGTAACCAAAACAGCATGGTACTGGTACCAAAACAGATATATAGACCAATGGAACAGAACAGAGGCCTTAGAAATAACACATCTACAACCATCTGATCTTTGACAAATCGACAAAAACAAGCAATGAGCGAAAGGATTCCCTATTTAATAAATGGTGTTGGGAAAACTGTCTAGCCATATGTGGAAAACTGAAACTGGACCCTTCCCTTACACCTTATACAAAAATTAACTCAAGATGGATTAAAGACTTAAACGTAGCACCTAAAATCATAAAAACACTAGAAGAAAACCTAGGCAATACCATTCAGGACATAGACATGGGCAAAGACTTTATGACTAAAACACCAAAAGCAATGGCAACAAAAGCCAAAATTGACAAATGGGATCTAATTAAACCAAAGAGCTTCTGCACAGCAAAAGAAAATATCATCAGAGTGAACAGGCAACCTACAGAATGGGAGAAAATTTTTGCAATCTATCCATCTGATGAAGGGCTAATATCCAGAATCTACAAGGAACTTAAACAAATTTACAAGAAAAAAACAAACAACCCCATCACAAAGCGGGCAAAGGATATGAACAGACACTTCTCAAAAGAAGACATTTATGTGGCCAACAAACATATGAAAAAAAGCTCATCACTGATCATTAAAGAAATGCAAATCAAAACCACAATAAGTTACTGTCTCATGACAGTTAGAATGGTGATCATTAAAAAGTCAGGAAGCAGCAGATGCTGGAGAGGATGTGAAGAAATAGGAACTCTTTTATACTGTTGGTGGGAGTGTAAATTAGTTCAACCATTGTGGAAGACAGTGTGGCAATTTTTCAAGGATCTAGAACCAGAAATACCATTTGACCCAGCAATTCCATTACTGGGTATATACCCAAAGGGTTATAAATCATTCTACTATAAAGACACATGCACACATATGTTTATTGCAGCACTATTCACAATAGCAAGACTTGGAACCAACCCAAATGCCCATCAATGATAGACTGGATTAAGAAAATGTGGCACATATACACCATGGAATACAATGCAGCCATAAAAAAGGATGAGTTCATGTCCTTTGCAGGGAAATGGATGAAGCTGGAAACCATCATTCTCAGCAAACTAACACAGGAACAGAAAACCCAACACTGCATGTTCTCACTCATAAGTGGGAGTTGAACAATGAGAACACATGGACACAGGGAGGGGAACATTAGGAGATAGCTGGGGGAGGGATAGCACTAGGAGAAATACCTAATGCAGATGATGGGTTGATGGGTGCAGCAAACCACCATGGCACGTGTATACCTATGTAACAAACCTGCACATTCTGCACATGTATCCCAGAACTTAAAGTATGTATATATATAAAGCTTTGAAATAATTACATGCTTATATTGATTTTAAAATATTTTCTGATTTATGACATATTGATACATGGCATACATGTTATTGATATGTACAGAATAACAAGAAGAATTTTATGTTACATGGTAAATAGTATTGTAAATCAATGCTGAATGATTGGTGGTCCTTTATGATACTATTTACCTTAGAAGTATCTGCTTTGGTATTAAAATGTCAATGCTAATGTGTTGAGAAAGAATTGATAGTATCTATTTTTAATATCTAACTATGCTTTTATTATTGTGACTTTTAAAATTTGTCATTGAGTTTTGTTCTTTCTTTCCATCTAAGAAAGCATAAATATGCATTCGAATCATCTGGTGATCCTTTTTATATGTTGTTTCTCACTGAGAAGTTCTAGAGTGGGACCTGGGATTTTCAATTTAATAAACTCCCTGGACCATACTTTGTTTTTTTGTTTGTTTGTTTTTGTTGTTGTTGTTGTTTTTTGAGATGAAGTCTCGCTCTGTCGCACAGGCTGGAGTACAGTGGGACCATCTCAGCTTACTGCAACCTCCACCTCCTGGGTTCAAACAATTCTCCTGCCTCAGCCTCCCAAGTAGCTGGGAACGCAGATGCACACCACCATGCCTGGCTAATTTCTGTATTTTTAGTAGAGATGGAGTTTTGCCATGTTGGCCAGGCCGGTCTTGAATTCCTGAACTCAAGTGATCCGCCTGCTTTGGCTTCCCGAAGTGCTGGGGTTGCAGGCTTGAGCCACCGTGCCCGGCCTCCCTGGACCGTACTTTGAATAGCAAGGAACTAGAAGTTATATGGAGCTTTTAAAAAAAAGTAATTGTAAAGAGAAAGAATTTTTGTCCCAGCTGCCTCCCAATTTAATACAAAGAAAAGCAAAAGAATATTGTCCTTTAAAATTCACCTAAAAATAGTTTCACAAAACAGTGGTTTTAATCTTGCATTATTTGGTTATTACTATTATTTGATATACCTAGTGTCTTTAATTGGATCATCTAAACACATGGCAAATGCAATTGAACAGTTCCCTCATGTCTTTATTTTTGGAAGTGAAAAAACTAGGGGCAGATGCATCTCATTAAATTGCTAAGATCAATAAAGACTTAACTATAACCAAGATGGAAGCTGGGAGAATTTCCAGACATTAGAGCTCATCACTAGATGCAAAGACTCTTTCAAGGAAGTGAAATTGTGCAATTGATAGCCAGAATAAACTCATGCTTGATATAGGAAATAACAAGCAGTAAACAGGAAAGAAATCTACAATTAGGAAAATAAGCAGTATTTAGGAAAATAGCAGTTATAAAACAGTTTATTGTCAACTAAAATCGAACAAACAGTAGGCTAATTGAAGTACTATGTATCATTGTGTTAGTTGGAATGTTTTATATCAATACAGGACTTGTAAATTAAATTATAACTTTAACCACAGTCCCATTTAGTAGAATGAAACACATCATGCTTAGCAGTCTCCTTTCTGCTATCCCATCCCCTATCTTGTGTTTAAATTGTAGAGAAAGCTCTTAAATATTCATCGAAGCCCCACAGATAAGGACGGTGCCTTCTCCGATCTTCTGTGTTCTCATTTTTGTTTAGTATTCCCCATTCTGTGGATTTTCCTTCCCTGCCTTAAGAATGTGTTTAGTCATGCAGTCTGCAGAAGAGTGTTGGGGTCAGGGGTGAGAACTGATCAAATATGAGGTGGCAATAGCTGACAATTAAATCTTTGATGTCTTTCTTTTTTCTGGATCCAAAGAAAAGAATTAATGTAGGCATTTCAGATACCGTTGTAAGGGTTCCGTGTGGAAAAAACTGTGAGGCAGGAACCAAGGATTCTCAAAACCTGCTTGACATATGCTAAAGGCTAGCTTTAAATATATTTTATTTAGTATAGTAGTTTTATTTGAAAGGTGCAAAGGAGGCTTCCTGTAAATTATCAAGCAGTTTTCCTACCTCAGCCTCTCAAAGTGATGGGATTATAGGCATGAGACACTGCACTTAATCCCAGTGTACAGATCTTTTATTACCTCCTTGGTTAAATTCTTTTCTAAGTATTTTATTCTTTTTGATACTATAATAAATTGAATTATTTTTAAATTTTTTTCTTGGATAGTTTATTGTTAATGTATACAAATCCTACCAAACGTTTAAATGTTCATGTTGTATTCTGCAACTTTACTGAATTCATTTATTAGTTCTAACAGTTTCTTGATGTAGTTTTTAGAGTTTTCTATATGTAAGATCATATCATCTGCAAACAAAGACAATTTTACTTCGTCCCTTCCAATTTGTATGTCTTAGATTTCATTTTGTTGCCTAGTTATTCTGACTAGGACTTCCAGTATTATATATTGAAAATAATTGGTGAGAGTGGGTGTATTAGTCGGTTTACGTGCTGCTGATAAAGACATACCTGAGACTGGGAAGAAAAAGAAGTTTAATTGGACTTACAGTTCCGTATGGCTGGGTAGGCCTCAGAATCATGGAGGGAGGCAAAAGACACTTCTTACATGGCAGTGGCAAGAGAAAAATGGGAAAGATACAAAAGCAGAAATCCCTGATAAAACCATCAGATTTCACGAGACTTATTTACTGTCTTGAGAGCAGTATGGGGAAACTGCCCCCATTATTCAAATTGTCTCCCATCGGGTCCCTCCCACAACATGTGGCAATTATGGGAGTACAATTCAAGATGAGATTTGGGTGGGGACACAGAGCCAAACCGTATCAGTGGGCATCCTTGTCTTGTTCTTGTTTTAGAGGAAAAGCTTTCGGTTTTTCACCCTTGAGTTTGATGTTGCTGTGGGCTGGCCATATATGATCTTTATATTGTATTGAGGTATATTACTTCTATACCTAATTTGTCAAGAGTGGATTTTTTAATCACAAAAGGATATTGAATTTTGTTAAATGCTTTTTTCTGTATCAATTGGGATGATCATATGATTTTTGTCCTTCATTCTTTTTTTATTCTATTTTTTTTATGGTTTTCTTTTTTATTTTATTATTATTATACTTTAAGTTTTAGGGTACATGTGCACATTGTGCAGGTTTGTTACATATGTATACATGTGCCATGTTAGTGTGCTGCACCCATTAACTCGTCATTTAGCATTAGGTATATCTCCTAATGCTATCCCTCCCCCCTCCCCCCACCCCACAATAGTCCCCGGTGTGTGATGTTCCCCTTCCTGTGTCCATGTGTTCTCATTGTTCAATTCCCACCTATGAGTGAGAACATGTGGTGTTTGGTTTTTTGTCCTTGCGACAGTTTGCTGAGATTGATGGTTTCCAGCTTCATCGATGTCACTACAAAGGACACGAACTCATCCTTTTTTATGGCTGCATAGTATTCCATGGTGTATATGTGCCACATTTTCTTAATCCAGTCTATCATTGTTGGACATTTGGGTTGGTTCCAAGTCTTTGCTATTGTGAATAGTGCCGCAATAAACATATGTGTGCATGTGTCTTTATAGCAGCATGATTTATAATCCTTTGGGTATATACCCAGTAATGGGATGGCTGGGTCAAATGGTATTTCTAGATCTAGATCCCTGAAGAATTGCCACACTGACTTCCACAATGGTTGAACTAGTTTACAGTCCCACCAACAGTGTAAAAGTGTTCCTATTTCTCCACATCCTCTCCAGCACCTGTTGTTTCCTGACTTTTTAATGATCACCATTCTAGCTGGTGTGAGATGGTATCTCACTGTGGTTTTGATGTGCATTTCTCTGACGGCCAGTGATGGTGAGCATTTTTTCATGTGTTTTTTGGCTGCATAAATGTCTTCTTTTGAGAAGTGTCTGTTCATATCCTTTGCCCACTTTGTGATGGGGTTGTTGGTTTTTTTCTTGTAAATTTGTTTGAGTTCATTGTAGATTCTGGATATTAGCCCTTTGTCAGATGAGTAGATTGCGAAAATTTTCTCCCATTCTGTAGGTTTCCTGTTCACTCTGATGATGGTTTCTTTTGCTGTGCAGAAGCTCTTTAGTTTAATTAGATCCCATTTGTCAATTTTGGCTTTTGTTGCCATTTGTTTTGGTGTTTTAGACATGAAGTCCTTGCCCATGCCTATGTCCTGAATGGTATTGCCTAGGTTTTCTTCTAGGGTTTTTATGGTTTTAGGTCTAACATTTAAGTCTTTAATCCATCTTGAATTAATTTTTGTGTAAGATGTAAGGAAGGGATCCAGTTTCGGCTTTCTACACATGGCTAGCCAGTTTTCCCAGCACCATTTATTAAATAGGGAATCCTTTCCCCATTGCTTGTTTTTGTCAGGTTTGCCAAAGATCAGACAGTTGTAGATATGCAGCATTATTTCTGAGGGCTCTGTTCTGTTCCATTGGTCTATATCTCTGTTTTGGTACCAGTACCATGCTGTTTTGATTACTCTGGCCAGGGCAATCAGGCAGGAGAAGGAAATAAAGGGCATTCAATTAGGAAAAGAGGAAGTCAAATTGTCCCTATTTGCAGATGACATGATTGTATATCTAGAAAACCCCATCGTCTCAGCCCAAAATCTCCTTAAGCTGATAAGCAACTTCAGCAAAGTCTCAGGATACAAAATCAATGTGCAAAAATCACAAGCATTCTTATACACCAATAACAGACAAACAGAGAGCCAAATCATGAGTGAACTCCCATTCACAATTGCTTCAAAGAGAATAAAATACCTAGGAATCCAACTTACAAGGGATGTGAAGGACCTCTTCAAGGAGAACTACAAACCACTGCTCAATGAAATAAAAGAGGATACAAACAAATGGAAGAACATTCCATGCTCATGAGTAGGAAGAAGCAATATCGTGAAAATGGCCATACTGCCCAAGGTAATTTATAGATTCAATGCCATCCCCATCAAGCTACCAATGACTTTCTTCACAGAATTGGAAAAAACTAGTTTAAAGTTCATATGGAACCAAAAAAGAGCCTGCATTGCCAAGTCAATCCTAAGCCAAAAGAACAAAGCTAGAGGCATCACGCTACCTGCCTTCATTCTTTTAATGTAGTGTATCACATTTATTGACTTGCATATATTGAATCATCCTTGCATCTCCGGGATAAATCCCACTTGATTGTGGTGTATGGTTCTTTTAATATGCTGTTGAATTTGGTTTGCTAGTATTTTGTTGAGGATTTTTGCATCCGTGTTAATCAGGAATATTGTTCTGTAATTTTCTTTTCTTGTAATGTCTTTCTCTGGCTTTGATATCAAGGTGAGACTGGCCTCATAAAATAAGTTTGGAAGTATTCCCTGCCTTTCTATTTTTTGGAAAAGTTTGAGAAGGATTGATATTTATTCTTCTTTAAATGTCTGGTAGAATTCACCAGTGAAGTCAGGTCCTCGGCTTTTCTTTGATGGGATTTTTTTCTTATTTGTGCAAATGTATAGGGTACATGAGCTATTTTATTACATGTATGTAATGTGCAGTGATGAAGTCAGGGTATTCAGGGTGTCTGTCACCAAAATATGATACATTTTTGTTAAGTATAGTCATCCTACTCTGCAATCAAACATTGAATTTATTTCTTCTATCTTACCATATGTTTGTACTCTTTAACCCACTTCTCTTTAACCTCCTCCTTTCCTACTCTACTCATCCTTCCCAGTCTCTTTGATCTGGTTTTACACTCTCCCTCCATGTGTCCAGATATTTCACCTCCTTCATATAAGTGAGAACTTGCGATATTTGTTCTTCTGTGCCTGGCTTATTTCACTTAAGATAATGACTTCCTGTTTCATCCACTTTGTTACAAATGATATGATTTCATTCTTTTGAATGGCTGAATAGTATTCCACTGTGTATACATATTTTCTTTATCCATTCATCCATTGTTGGGCACTTAGGTTGATTCCATATCTTTGGTATTGTGAATAGTGTTACAATAAACATACAAGTTCAGGTATCCCTTTGTTATAATGATATATTTTCCTTTGGGTCGATACTCAGCAGTGAAATTGCTGGATCAAACATTTAGTTTTTTTGAGAAATCTCCATACTGTTTTCTATAGTGGCTATACAAGTTTACATTCTCACCAAGAGTATATAAGAGTTCCCTTTTCTCCACATGCCCACTAACAATTGTTATTTTTTGTCTTTTTAACAATTGCCATTCTGACTGAGGTAAGATGATATCTCATTGTGGTTTTGATTTTCATTTCCCTGATGATTAGTGGTGTTGAGCATTTTTTTCATAAACCTTTTGGCTATTTTTATGTCTTCTTTTGAGAAGTATCTATTTGTGTCTCTTGCTCACTGTTTAACTGAGTTATTTGTTTCTTTCTTTTTTTCCTATTGAGTTCCTTGTATATTCTGGATATTAGTCCCCTGTTGGACAGTTTGCAAATACTTTCTCCCATTCAACAGGTTGTCTCTTCATTCTGTTGATTATTTCTTTTGCTGTGCAGTGGCTTTCTAGTTTAATTAAGTCATGAGAGATTTATGATTACTGATTCAATCTCCTTCCTCGTTATTGGTCTGTTTAGATTTTCTGTTTCTTCGTGATTCAGTCTTGGTAGGTTGTATATTTCTAGGAATTTATGCATTGCTTCTAGGTTATACAATTTGTTGACTTATAATTGTTCATAGTATTCTATTAGGCTGCTTTGTATTTCTGTGGTATCAGTTATAATCTCTTCTCTTTCATGTCTGATTTTATCTTTCTTTTTTTCTTAGTCTAGCTAAGGTTTGTCAATTTTGTTATTTTTTCAGAAAAAAAATCTCTGAGTTTCATTGATCTTTTCTATTGCTTTTCTAGTGTCTATTTGATTTATTTTTGTTCTGATCTTTGTTATTTCTTTGTTTTTAATAACATTGGGCTTTGTTCTTTTTCTAGTTCCTTGAGGTGTAATGTTAGGTTGTTTATTTGAGATCTTTATGTTTTCTTTATGTAGGTGTTTATCACTATAAAATTTACTTTTAGATTTTCTTTTGCTGCATTCCATGTGTTTTAGTATGTTGTGTTTCCATTTTTAGTTATCTTAAGATGTCTCCTTATTTTCCTTTTGATTGATTTTTTTGACCCATTGCTTGTTCAGGAGTATGTTGTTTAATTTTCACAAGTTTTCCTCCTCACTGATTTCTAATTTCGTGCCATTGTGTCAAGAAAAGATACTTGGTATGATTTCAATCCGTGGCCTAACATGATCAATTGTGGAGAATGTTCCATGTGTACTTAAGAAGAATGTATATTCTGTTGCTGTTGGATAAAATGCTCTATATATGTGCGTTAGGTCCAGTTGGCCAAAGTGTAGTCCAAATCTACTATTTCCTTATTGATTTTTGGTCTGGATGATCTATCCATTGTTGAAAGTGGGGTATTGAAGTCTCCTCTTGTTGTTCTATTACTGTTTCTCACCTGGGAACATATATTTACAATTCTTATAGCTTCTTTTTTTTTTTCTTTTTCTTTTTCTTTTATTCTTTTTTTTTTTTTTTTTTTTTTTTGGGACAAAGTCTCTGTCTCCCAGGCTGGAGAGCAGTGGTACAGTCTCAGCTCACTGCAACCTCCGCCTCCCGGGTTCAAGCAGTTCTCCTGCCTTAGCCTCCTGAGTAGCTGGGACTACAGATGCACGCTACCTCACTGGGCTAATTTTTGTATTTTTGGTAGAGACGGGGTTTCACCATGTTGGTCAAGCTTATCTCAAACTCCTGACCTCAAGTGATCTGCCCACCTCGGCCTCCCAAAGTGCTGGGATTACAGGCGTGAGCCACCGCGCCCGGCCTCTTACAGCCTCTTAATGAATTGACTTTTTTTTTTTAAACATTATATAATGCTTATTTGTTTCTTTTTATGGCTTTTCACTTAAAGTTTATTTTGTGTGATACAAGAGTAGCAATCCCTGCTCTTTTTCTGTTTTTTATTTGCATGGAATATCTTTTTCCATCTCCACACTTTAAGCCTGTGTATGTCCCTAAAGCTGATGTGAGTTTATTATAGGGAGCATGTAACTGGGTCTGTTTTTTTTAAAATCCATTCAGCTACTCTATGTCTTGATTGGAGAATTAAATCCATTTCCCATTCAGAGTAATTATTGATAGGTAAGGACTTACTATTGCCATTTTGATAATTGTTTTCGGCTATGGGTCTCATGGACAGTGTTCCACATGGCTGGGAGAGACATGAGCTCACTCACTAAGCTCTCACTTTTCCTGTGGGTGAAATCGCTGGCCAAGGGAGGTCTCTCTTGGCACTGAGCTCTGCCACCTAGTGGAGGCAGTGATGCAGGAAAAGCAAAACTATTCTTAGCCACTTCAATTTATCTGTTATGAAAATTTTTATTTTTTATTTTATTTTTGAGACAGAGTCTTGCTGTGTCCCCCAGGCTGGAGTGCAGTGGTACTATCTTGGCCCACTGAAACTTCTGCCTCCTGGGTTCAAGCGATTCTCCTGCCTCAGCCTTCTGAACAGCTGGGATTACAGGTGTGCGTCACTACACCCAGTTAATATTTTTGTGTTTTTAGTAGAGACAGGGTTTCACCATGTTGGCCAGTCTGGTCTCAAATTCCTGGCCTCAAAAAACTTCAACAGTTTGCTGGAACTTCTCCACTGGACTCCTGGACTTCCACAAAAGTACTCTCATCTGGAGGTAGTTTTCAAAATGGATGCTTCTGCAGGGCAATGACAGTAAAGAGCTCCTATTTCACCATCTTGCTGATGTCACTTATTCCATCTCATTTTGAATTTGCCATTTAAAATACCTTTTATTTGCTTCTTCCCATCTCTCCTTTTCTGCTTTATATTGCATATTGTTTTCTTTATTCCTTTATTCCCTTTTTATGTCTACTGGTTTGGAAATCATACTCAATATCTTTGGTCTCCATACTTTTTTTTGCATCTCTTTTTTCTGGGTTTGATTTTCATTTTTCTAAAGATATTCTTTACAAGTTCTGTTAGTAGAAGTCTGTTAGTGGTAAAAGCTGATTTTCCCTAAAAATGTCTTTATTTTGCCCTCACTCTTAAATGACAGCTTAACTAGGCATATAATTCTAAACTGACAGTTGTAACTATTTTATTTTAGCATTTGAAGATATTATTTAACTCACTTTTAGTTTCTTTTGTAGCTACTAAGAAGTCTGGGCCGGGTGCGGTGGCTCAGGCCTGTAATCCAAGCACTTTGGGAGGCTGAGGCAGGAGGATCACGAGGTCAGGAGATCGAGACCATCCTGGCTAACACGGTGAAACCCCGTCTCTACTAAAAATACAAAAAATTAGCCGGGCATGGTGGCGGGTGCCTGTAGTCCCAGCTACTCGGGAGGCTGAGGCAGGAGAATGGCATGAAGCCGGGAGGCGGAGCTTGCAGTGAGCCGAGATCGCACCACCGCACTCCAGCCTGGGCGACAGAGCAAGACTCCATCTCGGGAAAAAAAAAAAACAACTCAGCTATCAGCTGTCACTCCTTTGTAAGTATTTTATCTTTTTTTGTTTGTTTAAAACGTTTTATTTTTCTTTGATCCTCTTTAAATTTTATTACAATGTGCCTAAATATGAATTTATTTTGTGTTTCTTTAGGGTATATTCCTTGGATTGAATTGCTATGTCATAGAAAATTTTCTTTTTCACCCTCCCTAGACAATTTCAAATTGTTTGCTAATGTGATTATGTCAGTTCACACCCCAATGACTTCTTCCATCTTTATATTGCATTATGTCATATGACTTTTTGCATGCTTATTTTGTAATTCCTTTGTTAGCAAACAGAGGAAAACTGGTTCTCAGTGTGCAAAGGAAAAGTTGAATTTGCATGTTGGTCATCTCAGATATACAGAGAAGTAACTCATCCCACATAAAACAATGACTAGATCATTTTTAAGGCATTGAACATTAAGCACACCTCTTTTTGCCTGATCTTTCTCAACTCCTTGAAAATAAATTGGATAAACTTTGTTGAAAAACCCTCTGACTGATATGTATCGCCTTAGGTTCTGAACTTTTCACTTTTTATCTTACTTAATGAACCCATTCATTAATTTGGAACTTGGCAAAGAAATTAGAATCTTTTAGAATCTTTGGCTAAAAGTTCCCTGATGCTATTTGTAGAAATTCTGTTTGGTACTTTTCAAAATTGCTTATTTCATACACATATAAATTCTTTATGGATCTTATTCTTTCTTTTAATAGTAATAATTTTATTTTGTTTTCAAAATGAAAATACCTTTTTTCTGATTCTAAAATTACTTTTTTTCTGTTTCTAAATATGATAATATATAGAATTGTTTAAGGTTTCTGATTAATCTCTGTGCTTAAGGAGACAGCCTGCATTCTTTCTGGTATTTAGGGAGAACTATTTCTAAGCCATTTCAGACAATTACATAATTGGGTATCTGTCTTTTTTTGTTGTTGTTGCCTTACAATATTTTGGAAGCAGGAGATTCTACAATTACTTTTACGTGCTATCTGTTTGTACTTTTTAGGAAGGTTTAAAAAAAAAACCTGTTAGATACAACACCCTAAAAGCACATTTTGATTTTTAAAAAGATAATTAGTGGTATATTAGTATCACGTGCCTTATTAACCCTTCATGTTCTTGAAAATTGTAATTATGATATCTGTCAATCTTACTGTCTAATCTGCTTTAGAAAGATTAATACATTTTTCCAATATATTTTTTTCCAATTTACCTTTTTCAGCACAGGTTGGGAGAGTAAATGTTTTTGCAGAGTGTAGCCTAAATGCAGTACAAATGACACATTACCTTGTTCATAGTTGAGAGAACTATACCTATTGTTATCTGAAGAGCAGGTTGAAACCAGAAGTAAAATATTCTGTACTCAAGGTGCCTTTAAGGAATAAGCAAAGCTCTTTGTCTGAGCGTGGTGACTCATGCCTGTAATCCTAGCACTTTGGGAGACCGAGGCAAGAAGATCCTTTGAGGCCAGGAGTTTGAGACCTGCCTGGGCAACATAGCCAGACTGTAAGGCTAAAAAAAATAAAAAAATTAGCCAGGCCTGGTGGCACATGCCTGTAATCCTAGCTACTCCAGAGGTTGAGGTGGGAGGATTACTTGAGCCCAGGAGTTCTGGACTGCAGTGAGACATGATCTCACCACTGCACTCCAGCCTGGGCAACAGAGTGAGACCTTGTCTCTAAAATAAATAAAAATAAAACAACAAAACCCAAAGCTCCTCTCTGTGGACTTAATTTTTTTTTTTTTTTTTGGAGATGGAATCTTGCTCTGTTGCCTATGCCCGAGTGCAGTGGTGGGATCTCAGCTCACTGTAACCTCTGCCTCCCATGTTCAAGCGATTCTCCTGCCTCAGCTTCCCAAGTAGCTGGGATTACAGGTGTGCACCACAATGCCCGGCTAATTTTGTATTTTTAGTAGAGACGAGGTTTCACCATGTTGGCCAGTGTGGTCTTGAACTCCTGACCTCAAGTGATCCGCCTGACTTGGCCTCCCAAAGTGCTGGGATTACAGGCATGAGCCACCGCACCCGGCCTAAAAAAATTTATTTTGATGTTATGCAAGAAATCTGATTTAATATACCAATTTGGGATAATTTAATGAAAAAAATGCTTATAGAGATATTATAAATGTGTTTATACTAATTAGTCTTCTTAGTAATATTCCCAATGCTGACTTTTATTTATGACTTTCTTAAAGGCAGAATTGTGATTTAAGTATTGAATGTCTTTGCAACCAATGAAAAGTTAAGACTACATAGAATACTCATAGGATACACAGAAGAGGAAAGTACCTTTGATAGCTTTTATTTAATTTTTTAAAATTTGATCTTAAATTTCTTGTATTTGAATTTTATTTGAGTAGGTAATATTTGCAAGGTTCAAAATTCAAAAGGCACAAAAGGATACACAATAAGGAAAGAGTCTTTTCCCCATTGCTGTGTCCCACCTACTCAGGGCTCTCCAAGCAATCAAAGTGACAAGTTACATCCAATGGTATTCTACTAATACTCTGTGTGATAGCCTCCTCGCCACCATTTTTAAAAGATGATGTTGAAGGAGTTGAAGCCTGTAAAGGCCTTATTAAGGGTGCCTTATTATTTGAAGCAGAAGTAGTGCCTGATTCTATGTCTCCTGACATTTCTTTCAGGACTCTGTAATATTTGCCTAAGTCACACTGCTTTTGTAAGGTGGCGAGTTGGCAATGATTAATCAATGTGGATGGTACAATCCGGTAATTTAAGTTTCGACTGGTTTAAGATTGAGACAACCAGAAAGGAAGGCTTATCAGAAGGGCGGCAGGGGAGGAGATTTTTGGTTCATCAAAAGGAGGCAAGGGTTTTAAAAGGCTGACCTAGGGCCTGAATCACATGGTTTGACTTTTGCTAAGCCCCGGGGATGGCGCGTGTCAGGCCCAGAGTGCTGATGCCAGCGTGGATCCGAGCCAGGCCTCAGGGGACTGGCGTTCAGACCTCGGGCCGCTCGCATCTCTAACAATTTGAGCCCTACTTTAAGGTGTGGCCACGGTCCCCACCCACTCTGATCTCAGACTGGGCACGGTACGGAAGGCGGGCGGATGAGGCCTCGCCCTCGCCTCTTTAGTAGGTCGGGTGAGTGTAGTGTGCAGGGAAGAGACGCGTCAGCGCCAGGGCCAGGCCCGCCCGGGGGCAGCCCGGCAGCCGAATCTTGGGCTACTCTGTCCCAACAGCCGGAGCAGATCAGACCGACCGGCCCTGCCCGCTCGGTCCCGCGCCCTCCAGACCCTACGGTCTCCGTTTCTAGGGGCACATGGTTAGCGGCAGGCGCCCACAGCCAATCCACTTTGCCAGCCTGCCCCTTCCTCTGCCAAGAGCAGCTTCTTCAGCCGCGCTCCAGTTCCGCAGACGCCTGCCCCACCCTGCTCTTCCCTTCCAGGGAAGACGGATCACGCGGCCAAGAACGAGACTCGCAAACTGGGCATTTCTCCGAGCCGGGCTAGAGCAAGTAGCGAGACTCCGCGTGAGAGTGGGAAAGAGCCTTAACAGGCAACCATGTTGCCCAGTGGGTTTTCTGTGCCTTTGGGTGCGGACCAATGAGGCGCGTGGGGCGGGACTTCCGCTTCGCCTAGGTGTTGTCGTCCCTGCTAGTACTCCGGGCTGTGGGGGTCGGTGCGGATATTCAGTCATGAAATCAGGGTAGGGACTTCTCCCGCAGCGACGCGGCTGGCAAGACTGTTTGTGTTGCGGGGGCCGGACTTCAAGGTAAGACCCTGTCCGGCTTCGCGGCAGCCGGGCAGCTCGTTATCGAGCGGCCCAGAGAACATACCCCGCTTGTTGGCCCTCGAGCTCGGAGTCGGCCCTGCTGCTGAGGTCTTTGCTGCTCCTCTAGAGCTGGGTGAGAAGTCAATTAGGCTTTTTGCAAAAGGAATAAAATAGCCTTGCCCTCGGGGGACCGAGTCTCCCCTGCACTCTCATTCCGCGAGTTTGTGTGTGTCCAAAGTTGAGTTACCGGTTTTGCTTCTCTCATTCCCTTCTTGAGGCTGCAAGAGCCTGCCTGGAAAACATGTTTGGAAGGCTTTTCTTGGTCAAGTACCTGCCGCAACGTCCTCGGGCACATCGCTTGACTTTAGTTGAGGGGGCTGTTTTGTCTCTGAATAGAAGGAGGGCAGTCACTTCCTCTCTTTTACCCCCACCCCCTTTTTCTTTCCCTGGAAGCTCAGATTGCAGGTTTGGGACTTAACCCCTGCTAGGGCCAGATACTACGGTCAGTCAGCAGCTCTGCCTGTATGCTTGACTTGACTTGACTTGCACTTATTAAATAACTTTGTCCCAGAGAGAAAGAGAGAGTGGGCAGACATCGAAGCCAAACAGCAGTATCCCGGAAGCACTCATGCAACTTTGGTGGCGGCCACTCAGTTTTCTCTGCCAGTGTCTGGTAAATTCCTCTATTTTGTCCTAATCTGACAATAGTAAATAGTAAATTTCCAAAACTGTCGTTTCATCATCAGTTTCAGCACCGTGGGCAGCTGCTCGGGTCCTCTCTTGTTGCCCCAAACCTGCCCGGCTATTACTGTTCGTCAGTGATGCAGCAGAAACAGTGAAAACTGATGCATTCCTTTCAACAATGATGTGTTTGTTCTCCAAGGAGAACATCTGCAGTTTTTGATACAATATAAATAAGTAAGGTGGCTGTGCCTCCAAAGAGTTCTTCTGGAGAAACAGATCAATTCAAGATTTAAGGTAGGGCTTTCAAGAGTTTATGCTATTTAAGCACAGTTTTTTAATGGGTGGACATTAGCTCCATCTCGAAGTAACAAAACTGGACAGTGATAGCAATTAAAAAGAACTTTAAACAGGAGGTAAGAAGTGTAGTGCAGTGCTGTAGTGCAGGAAGTGTAGTGCAGTGCTGTAGTGCAGGGCCCATAAGGATTCATTAATAGATTTTAGAATCAATTTAGTACATTGACATAAGCTTTATAAAGAAAGAAAAAATACCAGAGGACATTGTATGGAATAAAAGTAAATATTATGGCAAGAAGCTTTTGTTTCAGTTTTTAACAGTATGTGTGTGTCAAGAGGAAGATGGAAATGTAAAGTGTATTATGGATTATGGCAAAAACAAATGTTTCAAAATACTAAATTCCAAATTTGGGAGTCAAGCTGGGTTCAGCTCTGCCATTTACTAATTCTGTGACATTTTCCGTAAATAAGAAATGAGTTGTTATGAGGATTAAATGAAACAAAATTTGTCTATTACATAATTTTTTTTTGTTTTGTTGGAAACTGTTGGAGAGAGGCACAGTTATTTTTCTCTATGTAGGGAATGAGAACTGTTTTATTAGTTTTTTTTTTTTTAACCTCTGCCTTTGTTTGAAGCTAGGCAGCTTGACATCTTGTCTCTATGTGTAATGCAAATCATAGACAGAATCTTGGTTTGAGAGGTATAATACTGAAGGGTTTGGGATAAGTTCTCATCTATGCTTGTATAAAGCTAATTTTCTCAATAATTTTGGAGGGGCATAAATTGTTGCTAGCATTCAGCTTTCTTCCCTTGATATTTTTCTGCATTCCAGAATAACGTAGATTTATCAGAACTTTTACAGGCACTAACTTTAGCTAAGTGAGGGTAGGCCTGAGGGTATGACTAAAGGGATAGATTTATGTCTTTGAGTTAAGTTGGCTAGGAAGGCATTTTATGCCTTATAGTTCTTGCCATAAGAGATGTATGAAATGAAATAGTTTGGTCAACTATCATGGTATGTTTTGCTTACTTCATGTAGGTGTGACCTAGAAATGGTTGGCATTTAAATAACAATATTTTTAAATCTGGGAATTGATGTTTAGCAGGAGGCAAATGAGTTTCAGTCAAAACAGTGTTTTGCACCATTTGTCATGTTTACCATATGGCATTGCATATGATAGTTTCACATGACATAAAAAGGGGAAGAAAGTTGGTAAGCATTGTTACTTTTCCCAAAAGAGGAAACAAAATTAGAAGCGAATTCCTTTTAATAAAGCATACTGGTGAGTCATTGTTCAAAAATGTATGTATTCTATAGATATTTATTGAGCATATATAAAAGTAAAATATTAAACTTTTATGAATCTTTTACATTACACAAAAGTTGATTTGGGAACAACACAGCATATGATTGGTATTGTCAAAGTTTATATAGCATAGTATATCAACAACAACAAAACAGTAATGTAGCTAATATTGATTGGTTAATATGAGCCAAATACAATTCTAAGTGCTTTATAATATCTCAGGTGGTTCTTACAGTCATTGATGTGGTAGATAGTAAGTTGTTTCCTTTTTATTTTTTTTTGGGACAGGGTCTTGCTCTGTTGCCCAGGCTGGAGCAATTATGGCTCACTGCACCCTCGACCTCCCGTGCTCAAGGGATCCTCCTATCTTAGCCCGACAAGTAGCTGGGACTACAGTCATAAACCCCCATGCCTGGCTAATTAAATTTTTTTTTTTTTTTTGTAGAGACAAGGTCTCATTATGTTGCTCAGTCTGGTATGAAACTTTAGGGTTCAAGTCATCCACCTGCTTCAGCCTTCCAAAATGCTGGGATTACAGGTGTGATACATCATGCCTGTCTTATCCCCATTTTCTAAGTGGGAAGTGGGGGAATTAAGGCATCACAGATACATAACTTCTGAGTTCACACAAGTAGCTGGTGGAGTAGCTGGAATTTGATCACAGGTATTCTGACTACAGAACGTCTGTCTCTTTTGTGTCTTATTTCATTAAAAAATATGGAATGCTGTGGGGCTATTGTGGATTCGTACTTGCTGGTGACCTTGGGGAAGCTCCTCCTCAATTTCCTTAACTCCTTCCTTACTTGTTTTTGTGGGGATTCAGATAATTTGTGAAGCAATCAGATGGCGTATATGTTTAGTAAATTATATGCCTTAGCCTTTTTTTTTTTTTCATTGAGGATGAGGTCATTTGAAAGATTGTTAGCAGTTGAAGGAGGGTGGAAAAAAAAAAGTTCCACATAAGGACACTGCCCAAGCAAAGGTATAGAGATAGGAAAAGCAGAATACATTTGGTAAGGATATATGTTTAAGGACCAGACTGGTAAAGATAGATGGATACAGATTATGGAGATTCTTAAATGTCAGACTAAAGATTTTATATATGATTTTTAGTTAAGAAGAAACTCTCTTTATGGATAATAATTTGTGAACAGGTCCAATGGAAGAGTGGAAGCCTAGAAGTAGGAATACCATGCAATTTAATTATAGTAGTTGAGGCAAGAAGTGATGATCGTAGTGAAGGTATAGATTTGAAAGATGTTGACATTATAATGACATTGACACTGGGAACTGACCAGAGTATAGGCCTAGGACAAATTTTTGGGAGGATAGTGATGTTATTAACAGAAATAAGGATATTATCATGAAGAACAGGTTTTGGTGGAAGGAGATTTAGGAGGAGAGAGGATGATAGGGAGTTTACTTTTGGAGCTGAGGAGTTGTTCAGACGTTTGGAAATGTAGAATGAAAACTGGAAGTTCTGTGTATTCTATGAAAAGGGAAGAGAACAAATGCTTACATTGTAAGGAAATGACCTAAAAGTAACCACTCCTCTGTGGGTCAGAGTTTCACAAGAGGGATGTGACTCCTTAAATTACTCACAAGTACAGATTTCTCAATGAAGATGCACCCATTATTTTTCCCTTTAGTGTATTTTGATTCGTGTCCTGGGAGATCAGGAGGTAAGGTAGTGGGGAGGAAAAACTTTTAGACCTAGCAAGGCTCCCATTTATTCAAAAAATAGCTAGTAAATTGGAGGCTAGGGATTCTCACCGTAAGAATTTTGAGAGTCTGATTTTTGTGTGGTACCAGGCATTTATAAACATATGTTGAATGCTGAATTGTTGAACATTTGAACATCTCCAGATTTGTTATTTTTATTATCCTGTCTTTGTTACCTTGAATTGGTTAATAGCAAAACCTTTAGAATCAGAGACTCTGTGTGCTTGTTATGGGGGGCAACAATGAAAGTCAGGGTGCAGCTAATGAGATTGTATTTTACTTATAGCCAGGATTGTGGAAGAAGACACTCAAAGGATAAGAGGCTTACCATTTTTCCCATTCTGTAAAACCATGTTGATGACAATACCAATTCTGAGAGTTGTTTTGAAATACTGAGTTAATATATGAAAAGGGTCTGGTACATGATAGATAGTAATTGAGATGTTTTTGTTACCAGTATTATTATCTTCACAAGTGGGGGGCAAACACAGAGATCCCAGAACCTATTATAAGAAAAAAAGGAAAACATCTGGAGACCCTTTGTACTTGAAAAAGGGCTCAGGACTAAGTCATAGAAGGACTGTAGGTTTCCTTTCTTGGAAGGTTTTCTAGGGTTTGGTACAATTGGGTAGAGCATGATGTTGAATTAAGTAGTAAAATATATCCATCTCAACTATTTTCAGTTTCCTGTCAAGTTCTCAGTAAACCAACAGAAAAATGTTGTTGAGCATGAGAAGAAGGTTTACTTTTCTTGTCATACCATTTTTGGAAACATTACTTGGATCCTACTACTTAGGGGTTTTTCTGTAGCATTTATTCACTCAAATATTTGTTGAGTACCTTCTTTGTCAGGCACTGTTCTAAAGAGAAAAATCCTTGCCTGCATGGAGCTTATCTGCTAATGGGAGAAATAAGGTGCATTTTCATAATAGACGGTAATTAGATTTTTCTCGTACTATGTATTTGTACCTATTTAAGCAGATGGTAATAATGAATACTATACCAGATTGTAACTAATTTTGCAGAGCATTTGAAGGAAGGGACCATGTCTTTCTTATTCGCATTTGTCTCTCCCTTTTCCCCTTCCTCCCAGTGGAATGGCTTAGATGTGTTTAATGCTCAACAAACGTAGGTACTCATCAAATGTTTATTACAGGGAGAAGGTGTTAAGGCAGAGGCTACATCTTAAAGATTAAAGGAGTCAGTTAAATGTGGCATGTATTAAGGACCCATATACCCCCTAGATTGAGGGTGAGAAGAAGAGAATCCGGCTGGGCACTGTGGCTCATGTCTGTAATCCCAGCACTTTGGGAGGCTGAGGTGGGCAGATCACTTGAGACCAGAGTTCGAGGCCAGCCTGGGCAACATGGTAAAACCCCATTTGTACTAAAATACAGAAATTAGCCAGATGTGGTGGCGTGCTCATGTAATCCCAGTTACTTGAGAGGCTGAGGCAGGAGAATTGCTTGTACCTGGGAGGCGGAGGTTGCAGTGAGCCAAGACCGCGGCACTGTACTCCAGCCTGGGTGACAGAGCGTGACTCTGTCTCAAAAAAATAAAATAAGATAAAAATAAAAAGAGAATCCCCTGGCTTATCTATGAGGTTGGAATAGGAATAAAGTTATATTGTAGCTGAAAGCATCAACATTATGGGAGTCTGGGTGTCACCCAACATTCCCACTAATTAGCTGGGTGATTTTGCATAAATATCTTAACCTCTCAGTTCATTTCCTCACCTGTAAATGAAGTAGTTGGAATTGTCCAGTTAAAATCTGTTTTTACGACTTCTTGTAAAATATCTCTTGCACTAATGTTTCACTTCACTAACGTAGATAATATAGAGCCAAGCATGAGCTTCCATTGAATAAGCATCAAGCTAAATATATACTCTTAGTTAATAAACTAATGTTTAAGAAAAGATGTCTACAAAATTTGTTGATGCTATTTACCGGTAAGATTACATTGTAATTTTTTAAAATAGAGCAAAATATTACCTAATATATAGTTTCCCCCATTGCCATTATGTAAAGGAAAAATAAGCCATAGTATTTTAGACCTTAATAATGGATCATAATACTCACTTTCATACTTTAATTTATACAACAGTCACTTGCCTCTGATATTGTGCTAGATGCTAGGTATTGTATACAGAATTAGAAAATGTATAGCTCCTAACTTTAAGGAGCTTAAGGAATAATGGGAGTGACAGACCATTTAGTTGTGTTGCATTTTGGTGGCATAGAGAAGCATATAATGAGAGTCTGGGAGAAGAGAAAGTGCTCATGGTTACAGAGAAAAAGACTGGAGGAATGGCAAGGGACTAAGCTAAATATACAGAGACGAGCCAGTTTATGAAGAACTTTGTGCTAAACCACAGTTTAGTTCTGAGCTGTATTCTGAAAACTGCTTAATCTGTTAAGGAATTTTATGCAGGCAGTAACATAATCAGGCATTTTTATATCTACCTTTATATTCCTTTTAAGAGAAGGTGTTCCCTGAGGAAGGTATTTGTTATTTCTAGTTGTTTCAACGATGTAGATCTTCCTGAGGAAATCAGTCTTTTTAACTTTGAAATAAAGTCTGAGGAACATTGTCAATTTTGTGGTTATAGAGTTAATAATTATTAAATATTAATAATTATGAAATATTCAGACATTAAAACATTTAAATGTTTATTGCCACATTAATGTAAACTGAAAAGAAAACTGAAATTTTGGGATGTTTTGCGCTTTGATGTAAGAGAGCTCTTGGTCAGCTACAAGAATTTGGCTTAGAATCATTTTTAAGGAGTTAGAAATACGTTGACCTTGAATTGATTGAAAGTGAATGTAGTTCAGGCTCAGTTTCTTTCTTTCTTTTTTTTTTGTTTTTTTAAAGAGACCGTCTTTTTCTGTCACCTGGTATGGTCTCAAACTCCTGGCCCCAAGCAATCCTCCCTCCTCAGCTTCCCAAAGTGCTGGGATTACAGGCGTGAGTCACCACTCCCTGCCCGGGCTCTGTTTCTAATGATAGAAATATCCAGGTAAACTTTATAGAGGGAATGAATTTCCACCGGGAAATAATCCTAGTGAGGAGCTGGTGATAAATGAATATTTCTGAATGAAGTCATGAGGGAGAAACATCTACTTTATTTAGATGTGAAACACCTCATTAAATGTTGAAGAATACTTTATTTGCATACTTACTATGTTTGTCATTTACTCTTTTGACCCTCAAAGAGGAAGAGCTGCTTATAATTTCCACATTTATCCAACATGGATTATAAATGTTAATTGCTTTTTTTGGAAAAAAAATTGAGGTAAAAATTCACGTAATTAACCATTTTAAAGCAATAGTTCAGTGGCATTTAGTACCTTTGCAGTGTTGTGCAACCATCACTTCTGTCTAGTTTCAAAACATTTTTATCACTTTGAAGTAAAATCTCATACCTATTAAGCAGTCATTCCCTGATGCCCCTAGCTCATGGCAACCACATCTGTTTTCTGTTTTTATGGATTTACTTATTCTGGATATTTTATATAAATTGAATTTTCAATATTTGAGTTTTTATCCCTGGCTTCTTTCACTTAGCAAAATGTTTTCAAGGTTTACCCACATGTAGCATATATCAGTACTTCTTTCCTTTTCATAGCAGAAGAATATTCCTTTCCATGTCAGAAGAATATTCCTTTCCATGTCTATATATCAGTTTGTTTATCCATTTATCCATCGATGGATATTTGGGTTGTTTCCACCTTTTAGTTATTATGAATATGTTGCTGTGAATATTTGTGTCCAAGGATTTATTTGAGAACCTGTTTTCACTTTTTCGGGTATATACCAAGAATGGAATGCTGGGTCTTATGGTAATTTTGTTTAGCTTTTTGAGGACCTGCCAAACTGCTTTCCACAGTAGCTAAACCATTTTACATTCCCACTGGCAATGTGTGAGGGTTCCAATTTCCCTACATCCTTGCCTACACTTATTTTCTGTTTTTAAGAAATTATAATTGCCATCCTTATGGGTATGAAGTGGTATCTCACTGTGGTTTTGATTTGCGTTTCCCAGATTACTAATGATTTTAAGCATCTTTTCATGTGCTTGTTGGCCATGTGTGTATCTGCTTTAGAGAAATGTCTATTCAAGTTCTTTGCCCTTTTAAAAAACTACATTGTTGGTGTTTTTGTATTGAGTTGTGTTTTTATATACTCCAGATACTAGACTGTTCATTATCAAATATATAATGTGCAAATGTTTTCTTCCATTATGTGGATTTTTTTTTTCAATTTTTTGATAATGTCCTTTGATAGATAAATGTTTTGAATTTTGATGAAGTCCATTTTATTTATTTGACCCATGCTTTTGGTGTCATATCAAGAATCCATTTCCAAATCCCAGGCCATGAAGATTAACCCTATGTTTTCTTCCAAGAGTTTTATAATTTTACTCCTTATATTTAGGTCACTGATTCATTTTGTGTTAATTGTTGTATATGGTATAAATTCCAACTTCATTGTCTTGCATGTGAATAGTTGTCCCGGCACCACTTGTTGAAGACACTGTTCTTTTGCCATTGAATGGTCTTTGGCATCTTTAAAATCAATTGGCTATAGATGTATCAGTTTATTTTTGGATGCTCAATTCTACTCCTTTGGTCTATATATCTATCACTATGCCAGTGCCATGTTGTTTTGATTACTGTAGCTTTGTGGTAAGGTTTTGAAATTGGGAAATGTGAGTTCTCCAGCTTTGTTCTTCTTTTTAAAAATTGTTTGGCCTGTTTAGGGCCCCTTGCAATTCCATATGAATTTGAGAATCAGCTTTTCCATTTCTGCATAAAAGGCCATAGAAATTTTGATAGGTAATATATTGAATCTGTAGATTGCTTTGGGTAGTATTGCCATCTTAATAATGTTAAGTCTTTGAGTACCTGGATGTGTGTTTGATATCCTTCAGCATTGTTTTTGTGTTTTATAGTTTTCGGTGTACAAGTCTCTCACCTCCTTTGTTATATTTATTCCTGGGTATTGTATTCATTTGGATACTATTATACATGGAAGTTTTTCTTAATTTAATTTTTGGATAGTTCATTGCTGGTATGTAGAAACACAATGGATTTTGTGTGTAACATTTATTGCCTTTAACAGTCATTTACTTTCTTTTTTCCATGTGCAAGCTGAATCACGTGGGTAAATAAGAAAGTGGAAAGTGGAACACTAAAGAACTTGATCTGTAAGATGTCTGATTTCCCTGAATGTGAAAACTATGAAATATGTTTTTAGCATAGTGTTGAACTATTATCTTACTATACTTGGGCTATTCCATTTCTGGTATCACGTTACATATATTTGGTCATTATTAAAGAAGGTAGATCATTTCATTTTCTTTAGGTTTGGAGAGAAGTGTCAATACGTAATTCATTTTCAAAGTTACAATTATTTTGCAACTTAATTTTGATGTTACACAGAAAGCCTCAGGGATAAACCATATTTATCGCAGAGTCTGGTACAGAGATCCATGAATAATAAAGATAAAATTAGAACAGAAGCTAATTTGAATATGTAAATTACCATTAATATACATTAGTTTTTCTGTTTTTTCTTGAAGTTTCCAAATAGCCTTAAAATTTCATTATGAATAGAAATGTGAACAATTTCAACCTCATAAGTAATTAAAGAAATGCAAATTTATGCAATACTTGGATGATTTGGGAAGGGCAGTATTTCATGACACAGACTTTTAATTGAATCCTAGCTTCACTATTTAAGAGGTAAGTATTACTGGGCAAGTAACTGAACACTTAAAACACTTAAAAATAAGAGGAAATATTTATAAAGTGCTTGCTGTGTGTTAGGCACTGTTTTAAGCACTTTATGCTGTTGATCTAAGTTTTTATTCCTATATTTATGGAAAGACAGTGGAACCTACTATAGAGTTGTGAGGATTAAAATAAATAATGTATATTAAGGACTTAGCCAGATATGTAGTAAGCATTTGATAAATATTAGCTATTTTTGTCATTTATAATTTCACCTAACACCAACAAAAGACCAAAAAAGGAGAATCGATACAATGAAATGCACATTTATTTGGAAATATAAATAGGAATGTTCTTTTCTGGAAAGCAATTGGGCAATATGTATGAAGTCTTAAAATGTTTCTTTGGTGTAGTGATTCCATGTCAAGGAATCTATCCCAAGAAGATAATCAGAAGTATGGAAAGATTTATATTCATTGGAAAATTATTTGTAATAGTAAGAGTTCAATTCAATGTTGTACAGCAAGAAAATAGACAAAGTCATGTGTCAGCCATATAAAGCAGTACAAAGTAGCTGTTAACATAGTGGTTATGAAGAGTTTGAACAACAAGGGAAAATCTTTGTTATAATTTCAAGTAAAAAAGCATACAAATCATAATACAATATGATACAAGTGATTACTTTGAACTTTGGAAGACATTATATTATTAAAATAAAATAACATGTTAAAATTTTGAAGTAGCTACGGAGTTAAAGTTGTAAAAACAATACAAAGACCTTTATGTTTTTTGTTATTTGAGAGAAAGTTGTTTCTCTGATGCTGTATATTCCTATAAACAACAATATTCTCTTTAAAGAAATGGCTGATTTCAGGGCTGGGGCAGGAAAAGTACAAGGCAGGACTGGAAAATCTTGTGCCAGAAAACAAGGAGGTGCTCAAGAATGTTGGGAACATATCAAAAAGACACAAAAGCTAGCTTGAATAAGCCTCCATTGGCCAAACAATTGGACATCAAAATGATAATACAATAGCAGATTATAACCCATTGAATAAAACAGTAATCTGTGATTCCACACTGATATAAATAAGTAAATGAATAAATTAGAATGTTGCCAAGAAATGTGATAATTACCGTGGTAGGCAGAATAATGACTGCCCAAAGATGTCCATATCATAATACTTGGAATCTGTGAATATGTTACCTTGTATGAGAAAAGGAACTTTGCAGATGTGATTAAGGACCTCGGGTTGGGAAGATTATCTGTGTGGGCCCAGTGTAATCACAAGTGTCCTTAAAAATGGAAGAGGGAGGCAGAAGAGGAGTTTGGAATAATGTGCTATAAGAAGGAATTAATCTGCCATTGCTGGCTTTGAAGATGGAAGAAGAGGCTACAAGCCAAGGATGTTGGCAGCCTCTAGAAGCTGATAAGTATAACAATCAAATTGTTGTATAATGTAAAACATTTTCATTTAAAAACATACATGAATAATATCCTAGACTAGAAAAAATATATGGTTTTTTTTTGTGAAAGGAAATGACCTCTGTCCTAGTTTTCCTTTGGGGCTTTTTTTTTTTAAAGATATACACACAAATATAGTTAGGTAGATTGATAAACACATACAGGATTATATGATTATGTCTAGTTAATGTCCATTTGTAAGTATGTCTGTATCAAAAAGCTCCAAAAGAACTAGGTCAGAGGTCATCCTCTTTTTTTTTTTTTTAATTTAACTTATTTTAAGTTCAGGAGTACATGTGCAGGTTTGTTATATAGGTAAACTTGTGTCATGGGAGTTTGCTGACTAGATTATTTCATCACCCACGTATTAAGCCTAGTACCTGTTAGTTATTTTTCCTGATTTTTTTTTTTTTTTTAAGATACAAAGTCTTTCCGTGTTGCTCAGGCTGGAGTGCACTGGCGATCATAGCTCACTGCAGCCTCAAATCCTGGGCTCAAGCAATCCTTCTGCCTTAGCCTTCTCAGTAGCTGGGACTATAGGTGCATGCCACCACACCTGGCTAATTTTTGTATTTTTTGTAGAGACAGAGTCTAGCTATGTTGCCCAGGCTCCAGCAACCCTTTTTTTTTTTTAAGGCTTAGTCTTGCTCTGTTGCCCAGGCTGGAGTGCAGTGGCACATTCTCTGCTCACTGTAACCTCTGCCTCCTGGGCTCAAGTGATTCAGCCTCCTAAGTAGCCGGGATTACAGGCACCACCACGCCTGGCTAATTTTTGTATTTTTAGTAGAGACAGGGTTTCACCATGTTGTCCAGGCTGGTCTCAAACTCCTGACCTCAGGTGATCCGCCTGCCTCGGCCTCCCGGAGTGTTGGGATTACAGGTATGAGCCACCATGCCCCGCCTCCAGCAACCCTCTTGATGCAGATGTTGTACATTCCAGGCCTGGTGCCTGCAGCTGTGCCCTGACTGCCTCTGCACACCTACCCATCAGCACCCCAGTGGGCTGTTTATTGTTTACCGGGCAACCTTGGACCAGCTCTGGTCTGGTCAACCCAGTGAGATTCTCTGTTACCTGGTGTGCTGCAACCACACCTGCTCCAGTGAAAACTGAATTTCAGCCTCAGGCTCTCTTCCAAGTTTGTCCCTTTGTAATGTCTCCCTCAGTGTTACTCTCTTATAGTTTAATAATTCCTTTTCTCTAAAAAATTGAAAACAGCTTTACTGACTTATAATTCACATACAATAAACTACATAAAAGTGTATACTTTGATAAGTTCTGATATATTTATATAATCATGAAACCACCTATATAATGAAGTTAATGAACATATTCATCACTCTTAGAAGTTTCCTGATGCCCTTTTGGAATCCCTCTCTCCTGCCCCTCCCTACCCCTCTTTGTATCTTTATATTTACTGTCCTATCATAGCTTAATAATCATTTATATTGAATACCTTTTGTTTAACTTACTGAATAGTTTCTCCTGTTTGAATCTCTACTGGTACACAATTGGTGTCTGGAGTGGCTCCAGCAGATAGATCTGAAATTCTGAGATTTTGGCATTTGGGTGGTTATGCCTTTGGGCCTGAGCGCAGTGCTGAGCTCCTTGTCAGAGGGAAATGGAATGCTGGTAATCCATGGCATCACAATTAATTAAGCTATCACCTGTGGTTGATTATAATGTGTTGCTAATGAATGCAGATGCCTCAGAGCCCAAGTGGCTGCTACATTTGACCTTTATGGCAATAATAACTGTAAGGACTATAGTGTAGGATAGAGTCTTTTGAGTATAATTAAAGGCTTACAGACAGAAAATGACTGCTCAGATTTGTTAACTCTGCTCAAGATCTGCCCTTTCTCTTTTTTGATCATATATTTTACTTCAAATCATTTCATCTCCTCCAAATTATGAATAAACTTGTGAATTAAAAGACTTGTTGCTTGCTCATTTAAGAAATATTTTGCTGTGTAAAAGTAATGCACACTTAGAAAACTTGAGCAAGTAGAACAGATTTCTCTTAATATTTTCGTGTATTTTCTTCTAGTCTCCTGTATATATTATGCAAAATGAAATAGTCTAGGGAGTTTTAGTTTTTTATTATGAAACATGCAGATAAATATAAAGAAGAATAAAAACCGCAGAGTCCCACCATCCAGAGCTTACATGATTCAGCAAATTAATTTATTATTTCATAGTATTTATGTTTCGTTTTGAGATAGGGTCTTGCTCTGTCACCCAGGCTGGAGTGCAGAGGTGCAATCTTGTCTCACTGCAACTTCTGCTTCCTGGGCTCAAACGATCCTCATGCCTCAGCCTCCTGAGTAGCTGGGACTACTTGTGCATGCCACTATGCCTAGCTAATTTTTGTATTTTTATGTAGAGACAGAGTTTTGCCATCTTGGCCAGGGTGGTCTTGAACTCCTGGGCTCAAGCAGTCCACCTACCTTAGCTTCCCAGAGTGCTGGGATTACAGGCATTAGCCACCATGCCTAGCCATATTTATATATTTTTAAATATTAACGTACAGTTGGCCCTCTGTATCCATGGCTCTGTATCTGTGGATTCAACCAGTATTCAAAATATTCAGGAAAAAAAATGGATGGTTGCATCTGTACTAAACATGTTAAACAATATGGTATAACAACTATTTACATAGCATTTACACTGTATTCAGTATTATAACTAATCTAGAGATGATTTAAAGTATATAGAAGGAGGTGCGTAGGTTATATGCAAATAGTATACCATCTGTGGTAAGGAACTTGACCATCCATAGATTTTAGTATGAGCGGGCAGTCCTGGCACCAGTCTCTCACAGACACCGAGGATGACTGTATATATAAACTATATATAAACTTTTAACATTTTTAATGTTACGGTCTTAAATTTTTTTTTTGAGCATAGAGGCTCTGCAGAAGATATCAAGAGAGGCTATGTAGGCATTCAGTCTATAAATATTAATATTAAACACCTAATACATTATAGGCACTCTTTAGGTACTTGTGATACATCCATAAAATAAAGATTCCTGTCTTTGAGGAGCATATGTTTTTGTGGCAAAGCTGAACACTAAACAATAAACATAACAAGTATTATAGTGTGATAGAAAGTCATATTATAATAAAAAAAGGAAAGATGATTATAAGAAGAGTGAGGCATGATAGGTGCATAGGCAGGCTGCAAACACTTGTCAAGGGAGAGTGTGGTGTCCAGAAAAGACCAAGAACAGGGCTGTGGGTGATGTTTTAAATAAACAGTTGTTATAGGCTGAGTGTGGTGGCTCATGCCTGTTATCCTAGCATTTTGGGAGGCCAAGGTGGGAGGATCGCTTGAGGCCAAGAGTTCAAGACCAGCCTGGGCAGCAAGGCAAGACCCTATCTCTCTATTTTTTTTTTTTTTTTAAAGAAACAGTTGTTATAATCAATGGGAATGCTGTAACTTGATCTGGTGCTCCACCATTAACATGGTAAGCCATGTTAAGTTTCATGTTTAACACCTGAACTAAGTGCGAGTCATTGGACTTCTCAGCTTTTTGTTCAGAAATTGCAAAAATTAAAGGAGTAATTAGGATGAGGGAACTGGTTCATTTAGTCAGTCAGTTAGACTCTAGCACTTAAACATAGAAATTGAATCCCCTAAAATAGGGAAAATGGAATGACAGTGCAAGTTACTATTTTCCTGTGTTGTTTTTGTTTTATTTTACAATGTTGTTTTGATGATTAGAAGGAAAAACATTCATGTCAGATGCTTAACACAGTGCCTAGCACAAAATTAAGTTTTCTATCAATGTTGGCTACAGTGATGGTGACATTTATGTGAGGAATCATGAAAATAAAACATTCTGGTTTGGGAGATAGATGACATTAATACCTTCAAGTACACTGTGCATGATATTTGATATTTTGATAATCAAGAAAACCAGAATTTTCTACCATCTTTCCCTAGTGTTTAATATTCTGCTATTCATGAAAGCAATTTCATTGTCAATTGTCTTTTTCTTGTTTGCTGTGTGGCTTATTGCTAGGGTTGGCAGCCTATGGTACTGGTGACAACAGTGGTATTTGAAAGAATTATGAAGTCTGTTTTTCTTAGCACTCCTATCACTCTCTCTCTCTCTTTTTTTTTCTTCTCTAGTTTGACCCTCTACCCACTGCCTATTGACTTGCAAGAAGTTTATGAATAATGACTTGGTACGCCACTTACCAATCTTTGGTTCAAAACAGTGCTTTCCAAATTTGACTTAATTATATGGATTCAATAGGGAACTTTTTTAAAAGTCAAATTATAGGTTTTCTGTCTGCATCTCAAGGGGAGGGGCCTGGGAACATTTATTTTTGTCACAGGCGCTGAGAGATTTGTGATATACTGAACTAAAAATGTATTTTCCATTTATAAGAATCACCTGGAGTACATGTTAATACTGTGAATAGTATAGATGACCGGATCACATCTCATATATACTGAGTGAGAAACTATAACTTTGGGATTGAGAACAATTGGTATGAAGGCCCTGAGATTGGAAAGAATTTGATATTTTGGAAAAACCTATTTCTTTTTGAGATGGAGTCTTGCTTTGCCACCCAGGCTGGTGTGCAGTGGCTATCTTGGCTCACTGCAACCTCTTCCTCCCAGGTTCAAGCGATTCTCCTGCCTCAGCCTCCCAAGTAGCTGGGATTACAGACGTGAGCCACCAGGCTCAGCTAATTTTTGTATTTTTAGTAGAGACAGAGTTTTATCATGTTGGCCAGGCTGGTCTCGAACTCCTGACCTCGGGCGATCCTCCTGCCTCGGCCTCCCAAAGTGTTGGGATTACAGGTGTGAGCCACTGCGCCCGGCCAGAAAAACCTGTTTTTTCTTAATCTATTAAAAGTAAAAAATTGATCATTTTGTTTCATTTGTTGAAAAATAAAATTGTAAAACATTTATTGCATAGGTGAAAAAATTTTGCTTTGGTTGATTGTGGTAGTTAAAAATCTTAGATTATGCTTGCTTTTACTTTGGAAGGCTTTATGTTAGAGGAATTTGCTGGGCAAACTTCTGCTTTCTTGCAAAAAATATTGGACATCTTATTTTTGCTTAAAAAGAGAAGCCCTATTATTGTTGTTTTTGTTTTGTTTTGGTTTCTGATGTAACACTTTTGCTTATGACAACTTCTGATCCAGTGTTTTTAAAAGCGTTAAAAAACTATGGAGATTTAAATATAGTATGTGATATGGTTTGGCTGTGTTCCCACCCAAATCACATTTCGAATTATAGCTCCTATAAACCCCATGTGTTGTGGGAGGGACGTGGTGGGAGGTAATTGAATCATGGGGGTGGTTTTTTCTGTGCTGTTCTCGTGATAGTGAGTAAGTCTCATGTGAACTGATGGTTTTATAAAAGGGAAGTTCTCCTGCACATGCTCTCTTGCTTGCTGCCATGTAAGACATGCCTTTGCTTCTCCTTTGCCTTCTGCCATGATTCTGAGGCCTCTCCAGCCATGTAGAGCTGTCAGTCCATTAAACCTCTTTTTCTTTATAAATTACCCAGTCTTGAGTATTTCATCATAGCAGTATGAAAATGGACTAACATAGTAAATTGGTACCAGTGGAGTGGGTACTGCTATTAAGATACCAGAAAACTTAGTTTAAAAGGGAAGTGACTTTGGAACTGGATAACAGGCAGAGGTTGGAACAGTTTGGAGGGCTCAGAAGAAGACAGGAAAATGTGGGAAAATGTGGAGCTTCCTAAAGACTTGTTGAATGGTTTTGACCAAAATGCTGATAGTCATATGGACAATGAAGTTCAGGCTGAAGTGGTCTCAGAAGGAGATGAGGAACTTATTGGGAACTGGTGAAAAGGTGATTCTTGATATGCTTTAGCAAACAGACTGGTGGCATTTTGTCCCTGCCCTAGAGATTTGTGGAACTTTTAACTTGAGAGAGATGATTTAGGGTATCTGGCGGAAGAAATTTCTAAGCAGTAAACTGTTCAAGAGGTGATTTGAGTACTCTTAAAAGCATTCAGTTTTATTCATTCACAAAAATACGGTTTGGAATTGGAACTTATGTTTAAGGGAAGCAGAGCATAAAAGTTCAGAAAACTTGCAGCCTGATGATGCAATAGAAAAGAAAAACCCATTTTCTGAGGAGACATTCAAGCCAGCTGTAGAAATTTGCTTAAGTAACGAGGAGCCAAATGTTAATTGCCAAGAAAATAGGGAAAATGTCTCCAGGGCATGTCAGAGGTCTTCATGGCAGCCCCTCCTATCACACGCCCAGAGGCCTAGGAGGAAAAAATGGCTTGCTGGGCTGGGCCCAGGGCCTTGCTGCTTTGTGAAGTCTTGGGACTTGGTGTCCTGGGTCCTAGCTGTGGCTAAAAGGGACCAAGGTACAGTTTGGGTCCTGGCTTCAGAGGGTGCAAACCCCAAGCATTGACAGCTTCCACGTGGTGTTGAGCTGCAAGGTGCACAGAAGTCCAGAACTGAGGTTTGGGAATCTTCATTTAGAATTCAGAGAATGTATGGAAATGCCTGGATGTCCAGACAGAAGTTTGCTGCGGGGGTGAAGCCCTCAGGGAGAACCTTTGCTAGGGCAGTGTGGAAGGGAAATACAGTGTTGGAGCCCCCACACAGAGTCCCTACTGGGGACTGCCTAGTGGAGCTGTGAGAAGCAGGCCACTGTTCTCCAGACTCCAGAATGGTAGATCCACCAATGGCTTGCACCACATGCCTGGAAAAGCTTTACACTCTCAATGCCAGCCCATGAAAGCAACCAGGAAGGGAGCTGTACCCTGCAAAGCTACAGGAGCAGAACTGCCCAAGTCTGCGGGAGCCCACCTCTTCCTCAGCATGAGCTGGATATGAGACATGGAGTCAAAGGAGATCATTTTGGAGCATTAAGATTTGATTGCTCTGCTGTAAAATTTCAGTCTGCATGGACTCTGTACCCCCCTTGTTTCTGCCAGTTTCTCCCGTTTGGAATGGGTGTATTTGACCAATGCCTGTCCCCTCATTGTATCTAGGAAATAATTAACTTGCTTTTGATTTTACAGGCTCATAGGCGGAACGGACTTACCTTGTTTCAGATGAGACTTTGGATGTGGACTTTTGAGTTAATGCTGAAATGAATTAAGACTTTGGGGGACTGTTGGGAAGGCATGATTGGTTTTGAAATATGAGGACATGAGATTTGGGAGGGTCCAGGGGCAGGTATTTCTTCATAGCAGTATGAAAATGGACTAATACAGTATGTGTTAGAAATTCTAGTTGCCAGAATTCCTGGAAATCTTGATGCTTTTTAAGGAACACTAGGAAGTTATTGATATATTTAGGTGGTGTGTGAGCTGAGAACACTATTTTGGAGGAAATTTTATAGTGCCATATATATGTTATAAACATATGTGACCATAATCACATTTGTAGGAAAAATAACCTATTAAATGATGTGTGACTGGCTATTATAAATTTTCCACTAAAATAGTTAATTAATTGTTCGCTGATTTTTTTCTGTTAGTGCTTGGTACAGTATATATTCTTCTGATGCTTATTGTAGTATAAGGTACATTTCTTGAAAAAAACAAATTGAAATTACTCTGCCTATTCTGTTCGCAAATTAGGAAAAGATAACAATTCTTTTAGTAGTGGAATATTTTGGTCCAGTTCTTGAGATGCCAGTGAAGGTCAAGAATGTAGCTTCAGAACCAGTGGAATCTGAGCTTACTTGGTGGATTTCTTATGGAGATGGCTGGCTGTTTCATGAGTGTTATTTGGCAGTGAAGCAGTTGGTATCACACTGTTGACTCATCTTCAGAATTAAAATTTATTTGGAAGTGAATTTCCTGAAAGTAATACTGGTCTTAAAAATTCATTGTCACAGATTTAAATGTGAAGTTAGGATTTACTGTGATGCTTGGGAAATTTTCAAATTTTTCAGTGACCAGCATTAGACAAGTAACTGTCATTTATCCTCCAAAACCATACAGATAATCATGTGTACCAGCCAGTTTGCTCATTTTCTCAAAAATGAGGCCAAGAGAAAACTCAGCCAAACCAACAATTGGTTTTTAAAAAAAATCTATGAAATTAACAAATCTTTCATTATAGTGACTAAAGAAAACAAGAGAGGAGACTCAACTAAAATCAGAAATGAAAGAGGGGACACAACTACCAATTTTATAGAAATAAAAAGGATTGTAAAAGTACTATAAACAATTTTATGCCAAGAAATTGGATAACCTAGATGAAATGGATGAATACCTGGAAAGACACAACCTCCCAACACTGAATCATGAAAAAATAGAAAGCTTGCACAGACCTATGGGAGATTGAAGCAATAATCAAAAACATTCCAAGAAAGAAAAGCCTGGGATCAGATGGCTTCATTGGTGAATTCTACCAAATATTTAAGGAAGAATCAACATCAATTTTTCTCAAACTCTTCCCAAAAAACTGATAAAGAGGGAACACCTCCTAACTTATTCTAAGGGGCCAAAATTACCCTGGTACCAAAGTCAGACAAGGATACTAAAAAAAGAAAGAAAAGAAAACTACATAACTTATCGTTCTCTCTCTCTCTCTTTTTTTTTTTTTTTTTTTGAGATGGAGCCTCACTCTGTTGCCTAGGCTGGAGTGCAATGGTGTGATCTTGGCTCACTGCAACCTCTGCCTCCCAGGTTTAAGAGATTCTCCTGCCTCAGCCTCCCGAGTAGCTGGGATTACAGGTGCCTGTCACCACACCCAGCTAATTTTTGTATTTTTAGTAGAGGCAGGGTTTCACCATTTTGGCCAGGCAGGCCATTATCTCTTATGACTGCTGATGTAAAAATCCTCAACAAAATGCTAGCAAACTGAATTCAGCAGCACGTTAAAAGCATTATACACATGACCAAGTTGGACTTATTCTTGGAATGCAAGGATGGTTCTACATGTGAAAAGTGTTATAGTCAATGTAATGTACCACATTAAGAGAATAAAAACACATAATCACTTCAATAGATGCAGAAAAAGCATTTCACAGAATTTAACACTCTTTCATGATAAAACACCCAACAAACTGAAAATAGAAGGAGACTACCTCAGAATAAAGGCCATGTGTAAAAAACCGACAACTAATATAATTGGTCATAAAAGACTGAAAGCTTTTCCTCTAAGATCAGGAACAAGACAAGGATTCCTGCCTTTGCCATTTCTATTTATCTTGGCACCAGAAGTCCTAGCCAGAGCAATTAGGCAAGAAAGAGAAATGAAAGGCATCAAAATTAGAAAGGAATAAGTAAGATTACCATTGTAAGCAGATGATATGACCTTACATGTAGGCAATCTAAGATTCCACAAAAGAAAAAATATCTGATAGAACTATTAATAATAAATGAATTCAGCAAAGTTGCAGGATACAAAATCACACACAAAAATCAGTTGCATTCCTATAAAGTAACAGCGAACTATCCAAAAAGGAAATTAAGAAAACAATTCCATTTACAATATCAACAAAAATAAAATAGTAATAAATTAAACCAAGGAGGTGGAAGAATTGTACACTGAAAATTGTAAGACTTTGCTGAAATAAAGAGGACATAAATAAATGAATAGACATTCCATGTTTATGGATTGATAGACTTAATACTGTTAAGATGTCAGTACTACCCAAAGAAATCTATGGATTCAATGTAATATTATCAAAATCGCAATAACCTTCTTGCAGAAATAGGAAAATCTATCCTAAACCATATATGGAATCTCAAGGGACCCCAAATAGCCAAAACAAAGTTGTAGGTCGTATACTTCCTGATTTCAAAACTTAACTACAAAATTCCAGTAATTAAAATAGTGTGGTACTGGTGTAAAGATAGACATATAGAGCAATGGAATAGAATAAAGAGCTCAGGAATAAAGCCTCACATACATGCTCAAATAACTTTTGACAGAAGTCCTCCTATGGTTTGGAAATGGTTTGTCTGGCCCCACCAAGTCTCATATTGATATTTGATCCCCAGTATTGGAGGTAGGGTCTGATGGGAGCTATTTGGATTATGGGGGTAGATCCCTCATGAATGGCTTGATGCCGTTCTCATGGGAATGACTGAAATTTCACTCTTAGTTCTTTTGAGAACTGGTGATTGAAAAGAACTTGGCACTTTCTTCCCTCTCTCTCACTTGCTGCTCTTGCTGTGTGATGGGCTCCCTTTTGCCTTCTGCCATGAATGGAAGCAGCTTGAGGTCCTCACCAGATATAGATGTTGGTACCATCCTTCTTGTACAGCTTACAGAACTGTGGGCCAAATAAACCTCTTTTCTTTATAAATTACCCAGCTTCAGATATTCCTTTATAGCGACACAAATGGACTAAGGTGTCAAGATCATTTGATAGAGAAAGGCATTGTACACAGTCTCTTCTACAAATGGTGTGTTGGGAAAACTGAATATCTGTATGTAAAAGAATGAATTTGACCTTTACCTTATACCATATGCAACAGTTAACTCAAAATTGATCAGAGATCTAAACATAAGAGCTACTATGTAAAACTCTTAGAGGAAAACATAAAGAAAGCTTCACAACATTGGAATTGTCAATAATTTCTTGGGCAGGACACCAAAAGCACAGGCAAGAAAAGAAAAAAATAGATGTTTGACTTCATGAAAATTAAAACTTCTTGTGCATTGAAGGACAGTACCAACAGGGTGAAAAAAATGAGAGAAAATACTTTTCAATCATATATTTTATAAGGAATTGCTGTCTAGAATATATAGAGAATTTAAAAAATTTTTTTATTTCCATAGGTTTTTGGGGAACAGGTGGTATTTGGTTACATGAGTAAGTTCTTTAGTGGTGATTTGTGAGATTTTGGTGCATCCATCACCTGAGCAGTATACACCTTCACCCCCTCCTACCCTTTCCCCTGAGTCCCTAAAGTCCATTGTATCATTCTTATACCGTTGCATTCTCGTAGCTTAGCTCCCACTAACGAGTGAGAACATACGATGTTTGGTTTTCCATTCCTGAGTTACTTCACTAGGAATAATAGTTTCCAGTTCTATCTAGGTTGCTGCAAATGCCATTAATTAATTCATTTTTATGGCTGCGTAGTATTCCATTGTGTGTGTGTGTGTGTGTGTGTGTGTGTGTGTTTGTGTGTGTGTGTGTGTATGTGTGTACCACAATTTCTTTATCCAGTAGTTGATTGATGGGCATTTGGGCTGGTTCCATATTTTTGCAATTGTGAATTGTGTTGTTATAAACGTGTGTGCAAATATCTTTTTTTTATGACTTTTCTCCTGGGTTGGGATTGCTGGATCCCCAGTAGTGGGATTGCTGGATCCCCAGTACTGGGATTGCTGGATTCCCAGTACTGGGATTGCTGGATTCCCAGTACTGGGATTGCTGGATCAAATGGTAGTTCTACTTTTGGTTCTTTAAGGAATCTCCACATTGTTTTCCATAGTGGTTGTACTAGTTTACATTCCTGCCAGCAGTGTAGAAGTGTTCCCTTTCACCACATCCATGCCAACCTCCATTTTTTAAAATTTTTTTGATAATGGCCATTCTTGCAGGAGTAAGGTGGTATTGCATAGTGGTTTTGATTTGCATTTCTCTGATCACTAGTGATGTTGAGCATTTCTTATTTTGTTTGTTGGCTATTTGTGTATCTTCTTTTGAGAATTGCCTATTCATGTCCTTAGCCCACTTTTTGATGGGATTGTTAACTCAGTGGCAAAAAACCAAGCAACCCAATTAAAAAATGAACATAGGAGCTGAATAGACATTTTTCCAAAGAAGACATACAAATGGCCAAAAAGTACATGAAAAGATGCTCAACATCACTAATCATTGGGGAAGTGCAAGTCAAGACCACAATGAGATACCACTTTACATGTATTTTAGTATGGCTATATGTATATATATATATTGTATATATATGTCTATCATAAAATAGATTTAAAGTGGTATCTCATTCTGGTCTTGAAGGAAAACAACATAAAATAGCAAATGTTGGCAAGGATGTGAAGAAATAGTAACTGTTTGTGCATTATTTGTGGGAAAGTAAAATGGTGCAGCCACTTTGGAAAATGGTATGGCAGTTCTTTAAAAAAAAAAAATCAAACGTAGAATTACCATATGATCCAGCAATACTTCTGGGTATATGCCACAAATAATTTAAAGCAGGAACTCAGTTATTTTTTTCACAATAGCTAAAAGATCTAAGCAACCCAAGTGTCAATTGAGAGATGAATGGATCAGTAACATGGGGTATGTACATATAATGGAATATTACTCAGCCTGCTAAGGAAGGAAATTTTCACATGTGGTACAACACTTCAAGATATCATGCTAAGTGAAATAAGCTAGTCACAAAAGGACAAATATTGTATGATTCCACTTATATTAGGTAGTTAGAGTAGTTGAATTTATAGAAACAGAAAATAAAATTGTGCTTGCCAATGGCCAGGGGATGGGGCATGGGTAATTAATGTGTACCAGGTTTCAGTTTGGGAAGATGAGAAAATTCTAGGGATGGATTGTGGTAATATTTGCACAACAATGTGAATATAGTTAATGTTACTGAACTGTATACTTTAAAATTTTTTATATGGTAAATTTTATGTCTGTATGCCACATTAAGAAAAGAGGCTGAAGGCCTTCTGAAAAGATCACTGAAGAGTTAAAATAATTTTTCATGCATTTAGTAAACTTTTTATTATATAAATTCTCAAACATATAGAAAAGCAGAGAAATAGTGTAATGAATCTCAATGTAATCTTCACCTAGATTTATAGTGTGTTTTTTTCTGAAGTGCTTTAAATGACAGATATCATGACATTTCTTTCCTAAGTACTTTACTATAATAGATAGCTCCCCAAATAAGGACTTTTTCATACAGCTATTGTATTAGTCCTTTTTCACACTGCTGATAAAGACACCTGAGACTGGGCAATTTTCAAAAGAAAGAGGTTTAATGGACTTACAGTTCCACATCACTGGAGAGGCCTCACAATCATGGCAGAGGGTGAAAGGCACGTCTCACATGGTGGCAGACAAGAGAAGAGAGCTTGTGCAGGGCAACTCTCCTTTATAAATCCATCAGATCTCATGAGACTTATTCATTATCACGAGAATAACATGGGGAAGACCTGCCTCCATGATTGAATTACCTCCTGCCGGGTCCCTCCCACAACACATGGGAATTCAAGATGAGATTTGGGTGAGGACACAGCCAAACCATGTCATTCTGCCCTGGCCCCTCCCAAATCTCATGTCCTCATATTTCAAAACCAATCATGCCTTCCAAAAGTCCCCCAAAGTCTTAATTCATTTCAGCATTAACTCAAAAGTCCACATTCCAATGTCTCATCTGAGACAAGGCAAGTTCCTTCTGCCTATGTGCCTGTAAAATCAAAAGCCAATCAGTCACTTCCTAGATACAATGGGGGTACAGGCATTGTGTAAATACAGCTGTTCCAAGTGGGAGAAATTGGCCAAATCAAAAGGGCTACAGGCCCCATGCAAGTCCAAAATCCAGCGGGGCAGTCAAATCTTAAAGCTCCAAAATGATCTCCTTTGACTCCTTGTCTCACATCCAGGTCACGCTGATGCAAGAGGTAGGTTCCTATGGTCTTGGGCAGCTCCTCCCTGGTGGCTTTACAGTGTACAGCCTTCCTCTTGGCTGCTTTCATGGGCTGGCGTTGAGTGTCTACGGCTTTTCCAGGTGCACGGTGCAAGTTGTTGGTGGATCTACTATTCTGGCGTCTGGTGGACAGTGGTCCTCTTCTCACAGCTCCACCAGGTGGTGCCTCAGTAGGGACTCTGTGTGGGGGCTCCAACCCCATATTTCTCTTCCACACTGCCCTAGCAAAGGTTCTCCATGAGGGCTCTGCCCCTGCAGCAAACTTTTGACTGGGGATCCAGGCATTTCCATACAGATTCTGTAATCCAGGCAGAGGTTCCCAAGCCTCAATTCTTGACTTCTGTGCACCTGCAGGCTCAATACCACGTGGAAACTGCCAAGGCTTGGGGCTTGCATCCTCTGAAGCCAGGGCCCAAACTGTACCTTGGCTCTGTTTAGCCACGGCTGGGATGCAGGGCACCAAGTCCCAAGACTTCACAAAGCAGCAAGGCCCTGGGCCCAGCCCAGCAAGCCATTTTTTCCTCCTAGGCCTCTGGGCCTGTGATGGGAGAGGCTGCCATGACAACCTCTGACATGCCCTGGAGACATTTTCCCTATTTTCTTGGCAATTAACATTTGGCTCCTCGTTACTTAAGCAAATTTCTACAGCTGGCTTGAATGTCTCCTCAGAAAATGGGTTTTTCTTTTCTATTGCATCATCAGGCTGCAAGTTTTCTGAACTTTTATGCTCTGCTTCCCTTAAACATAAGTTCCAATTCCAAACCGTATTTTTGTGAATGAATAAAACTGAATGCTTTTAAGAGTACTCAAATCACCTCTTGAACAGTTTACTGCTTAGAAATTTCTTCCGCCAGATACCCTAAATCATCTCTCTCAAGTTAAAAGTTCCACAAATCTCTAGGGCAGGGACAAAATGCCACCAGTCTGTTTGCTAAAGCATATCAAGAATCACCTTTTCACCAGTTCCCAATAAGTTCCTCATCTCCTTCTGAGACCACTTCAGCCTGAACTTCATTGTCCATATGACTATCAGCATTTTGGTCAAAACCATTCAACAAGTCTTTAGGAAGCTCCACATTTTCCCACATTTTCCTGTCTTCTTCTGAGCCCTCCAAACTGTTCCAACCTCTGCCTGTTATCCAGTTCCAAAGTCACTTCCCTTTTAAACTAAGTTTTCTGGTATCTTAATAGCAGTACCCACTCCACTGGTACCAATTTACTATGTTAGTCCATTTTCATACTGCTATGATGAAATACTCAAGACTGGGTAATTTATAAAGAAAAAGAGGTTTAATGGACTGACAGCTCTACATGGCTGGAGAGGCCTCAGAATCATGGCAGAAGGCAAAGGAGAAGCAAAGGCATGTCTTACATGGCAGCAAGCAAGAGAGCATGTGCAGGAGAACTTCCCTTTTATAAAACCATCAGTTCACATGAGACTTACTCACTCTCATGAGAATAGCATGGGAAAGACCTGCCCCCATGATTCAATTAACCTCCCACGAGGTTTCTCCCACAACACCTGGGAATTCAAGATGTGGTTTGGTTGGGGATGCAGCCAAACCCATACCAGCCATAATACTATCATCATAGCTAAGGATTTTTTTAAAGGATATCTAATATCTGGGCCATATTTCCGTTGTCTCCATTATTCCGAAAATGTATTTTTATTGTTGGTTTAATGGAACTGTATGTTGCATTTGTCTTTACTGTTTCTCATCTCTTTTGATGTGTAACAATTTCATGCCATTTCCTCATTCTGTCCTCTTGTACTGTCTCTGTTTATTGTGTTGAATTTTGTAGAAATTGGGGCATTACCCTCAAGCAAGACACCCATCTTGTGGTATCTTATTTATTTTTTTTCATTCCAGAAAATTCTTGTAAACTTGAAGTGAGAGCTAAAGGCTTGTTAGAACTGGTTTAAAACAGTTTCGCAAGAATACATCTTAAGTGTTATAATACAGACTGAACAGAAAGTAAAATTAGAATTTGACAGTTGGAAAAATCTTTAGAGTGACGAAGCTGATTTCAGTTAAAATGTCTGTTAATAACTAGTAGAATTATGTCAAATGGTAGGCCAAATTAGATGTGATCAAAGATCGTGGTAGTGTACACATCTCTAGAAGCCTTTTTGGTAGTTCTCAAGAGTTTCTTGTATATTCTCTACTTTGAACTTTCTTCCTTTGAAGAAGTGTGACTTTTTTTATTATAGGCATACTCAAAATGAATACAGAGTTATATTCTGTCTTTGGTAATATGAGTGGGAGGACGAGGGGCACAAGGAGGAGGAAAAGGATAAAGGGTAGATGTTTGTTATCAGCAAGATTTTACTAGATTTTTTTCTATGTTTTCTCTGTTTCCCAGAATGGTTCTAAAATATCCTCAGGATGGATGTATTCTATTTGCTGGGGGATAAGAGTCTCGACAAACAGTACTTTACTGTGGTCCATGCAGAGACTCCAACAGTTGAATAAGTTCAAGCATGAGAGGCCAGTAAGAATTGTAATGGGGAAGAAAGATACCACACTCACTGTCCACCTGCGTGGTCAGGGGTTCTGATTGGTATCCACACTCTCAATAACTGATGGGCTATTATCTGGTACCAGGTTCACTAGCTTGGTAGGAGGTAGGAGGATAGAGACTGGGAGCACAACATATCAACATAAAATGCATCTTCACTGAGAAGCCTTACATTCATTCAGATAAACCTTTCATACCTACCAAAGAGTATACTGGATTGTAACCAGTGAGATAAATATATGGATGTGTATCACCTCAGCATACAAAAGTGTCACATATGAAAGGAACCACTTCTTTTAATAGTCCGTGAGTAGCTCCAGCTTCGCTCAAGCATCATGCTTTCTTTCAAGAAACAGACACTGTAGGGAATCAGAGACTTTTTTTGTTTATGTTTTTGTAATAAGCTTTTTTAGTTAACTTACAGTCTTTTCAGTTTAAATACTTTTCACCAATCAGGAGTCATTTTTACCATAAATAATATTGCCTAGTAATACAGCTGACAGCCTGCATTTATTTTAATCCAGTTGATTAAGTGCTAGAAGATGATATCAGAGAATTTAAGCTTGCTAACCTTTTTCCTCAGGAGGCTTCCTGGAAAAGGGCAGATTTAAGTGAAAACAACAAAACAAAACCTAGCAGCAACAACAAAAAACCTATGTGCTTATTTGAGAACATGTTAATAAGTGTGGATCTTTTTCACAGAAACTTTGTGTAGTTGAACATACACAAAATTTTGCATACAATTTAATAAGATTTGTAGTTTTCCCCCAAATTCTCTTTTGAAGATAGAAGAGAGTGTATTTTAGTTCCTGGGTAACATGTGAATGAAGATATAATGCCAGCAAGGTGATTGCTGGAAACAGTGAGCTGATTGATCAGAGCAAGGGTGAGTGGTAGAGTATGAGAAAGTAAAATTGTTTAGGTTGAGCAGATTCTTTTTTTTATTTTTATTTTTTGAGACAGAGTCCTGCTCTGTTGCTCAGGCTGGAGTGCAGTGGCATGACCTCGGCTCACTGCAACCTCTGCCTCCCGGGTTCAAGTGATTCTCGTGCCTCAGCCTCCTGAGTAGCTGGGATTGCAGCTACTCAGCTACAGAAATTACCGTGCCTGGCTAATTTTTGTATTTTTAGTAGAGACGGGGTTTCCCCATGTTGGCCAGGCTAGTCTGGAACTCCTGACCTCAGGTGATCCACCTGCCTCGGCCTCCCAAAGTGTTAGGATTACAGGTGTGAGCTGCTACACTCGGCCTGGGCAGATTCTTAAATGTGAAAATTTTAGACCCTCTTGCGCCTTCTCCAACATTTACTTCTGTTGACCAATGCCTTACTTCCCCCCACATTCATTTTAAAGTTCTTTTCTCTCTTGACTTTTGTGAAATCAGTCTCTCTCTCTTTTTTCTTTTTCCACCTGTCTTTGAAACTTAGATATCCCTCAGAGTTTTTTAGTCCTCTTTTCTTTTTGATTTTCACTTTTACATTAAGAGCACTTCAATTATTCCTATCTGCTGATGATTCCTAAGTCTCTTTTTGCCTTGTGTGGAGCTCGAGATCTTTATTTATTGTTGCCTGTGTACATGTCCACCAGACTGTTCCACAAATACTAAGTTCAGAAATTCTCAAATTGTACTTACTTTCTCACTGTGGTCTTCCTTCTATGTTTCCTGTTTCATCTGTTGGCATCCCTATCCAAAGTCCTTTCTTTCTATATTCCATTGCTATGTTAAGCCCTTCTGTGCATAATTGTATTTATTCTACAGAGTTGTCTTATAGGTCCTATGGTCCTTCTTTTAGAGATAAAGCAATTTTTGTAGTTTAAATATTTACCTCCAAATTACACTATTAGTATGGGACAGTGCTGGGATATAAACCCATATGTATAAATTCCATATTTTTTACTGCAATTATTATAATGCCAGCCACTTTTATCACTTTAAAAAATATTAAGGGTTTACCTATAGGTGTAATTAAAGGAATATTTATTGCAGTGTTTTTCTAAAAAGAAAAATTCCAACAGTAAGAATTTCTGTTCAGCCCATTAAAGAATATTCATAAGGAATGCCATATGGCCATTTATACATCATATTTTTGACCAGTAGTTTTTATTTTGTATAAACAAATTACGTATGGAAACCCAATGTGTGAAATAGATTAAGAAAAAATAATGCTTGAAAGGGAGGGACGCTCCACAGTATTTCATGGACAGCTATCTGCAATGGTTTTTGAGGAGAGTTAGGAAAATATTCATAATACCTTAAGTGAAAAAAATACAATTAGTAAAACAGTATGCACAGTGTGCCCCCAATTTTGCTAAAAACGTATTTGAATGTGCAGTTCGCCCTCCGTATCCATGGGTTCTACATCCATGGATTCAATCAACTGCAGAGTGAAAATATTTGGGGAAAAAAGTGACTATACTGAACATGTACAGACTATTTTTCTTGTCATTATTCTTGAAACAATACAGCATAACCACTATTTACATAGCATTTACATTGTATTAGATATAAGCAATCTAGAGATGTTTTAAAGTATTTGGGTGGACATGTGTAGATTATATACAAATACTACATGATTTTACATAAGGAACTTAAGCATCTTCAGATTCTGGTATCCGCAGGGAGTCCTGGAACTGATCCCCCATGGATACCAAGGGACAACTCTATACATTGCTAAAAGACTAGGAAGTTATACATCAAAGTATGAGCACTAGTTGTTCCTTAATTTGAGGATTATTTATAATTTTCATTTTCCCCACATTTTCCACAATGAGCAAGAATTAGTTTCGTAAATAGAGACTATAAAGCAAAACTCCTGAACATTATTTAAAAAAGGCAATAAATGCAAAAAACCCTCAAAACATGCTACATGTCATTGAATACACACAATATACACACATACACTGTCATATACGAAGTAAAAGGAAACTGGTGACTGTTGATCCATGAGCATTGGCTTTTGAAGCCCTTGAATACATGTGTAGGCAAGAAGCTGTACTTTACTCTTCGAACATCAACCTTGGATGGATATTGATGCTGTTTTCAGTAGGGGTTTAGAATGTGGACTTTGGAAACTGACTGTTAGGTTTGAATCCTGGCTCTGCTATTATTTGTTGTTTTATCTTGGGCAAGTTGCTTAACAGTTCTTAAGTCTTCCCCATTTGTGAAATGATACCTACCTTACAGGGAGGTTAGGATTAAGTGAGTTAACTCAATAACATGCTTACAGCAATGCCTGGCACTTAGTAAGAGATCAGTATTAGTTGTTTTGGTTATTATTCCAATCTTTTATTTTCCCTCCAAACTCTGTCTCCCTTTCCCTTCCCCAAAGTTAGCTGGAAATTTAGATGGAAAGTCATAGTTTTTATTCAGATTCAGTTTCCCAAAGAGGTCACTGGTCAATTAGGTACATACTTCTTCTTCCTACTAAAATTTAATAACAACTATACCTTATTTTGTAAATATTTGTGTGCTTTTATGGTATGATTTCTAACCAGAAATTGTCCACATTCAGTGATTCACTAGGAGCATTTACAAGACTCAGCACATGGTTGTACTTATGGCTGTGATTTATTACAGCAAAAGGATACAAAACAAAATCAGTGAGAAGAAAAGGCACATGGGGTAAAGTCCAGAGTAAATCAGTGTAAGCGTCTAAGGGTCCTTTCCCAGTGGAGTTACATGGGATGCGTCTAATTCCTCAAGCAAGTTGTGACAACACATGTAAAATGTTTACCAGGGAAGCTCATTAGAGACTCAGTGCCCAGGGTTTATATTAGGGGTTGTTAATATAGACACTCTCTGTCTAGCATGCACCAAAATTCTAGATCCTAGAAGGAAAACAGGTATTCAGCACAAACCACATTTTTTGTAAAGTGTAGGCACACTGAGCTGTTCTTACTAGGAAATAGTGGGAACTGTCCTGAAATCTAAATTTCCAGATGCCAGCGAGGGGCCAACCTTGCAAGCAGACCTTTCTAGGGATAGCAATCTCAGGCCTGCTGTGTTAACTCTTTTCTGTACCATGGTATGTTATGAAATGTATTTTACTTAAGAAACGAATGTCAACAAATCTAGACATTTAAAAAAAGCTTTATTGAGATACAATTCTCACATTATAAAATTCAACCAATTAAAGTGTACAATGCAGTGATTTTTAGTATATTTATAGAGTTGTGCAACCATCACCAGAGTCTAATTTTAGAACATTTTCACCATCTCCCCTCCAAAACCCTTACTCATTAGCAGTCATTTCTCATTCCCACCTTTCCCCTCCCTCAAGCTTTCCCCCCACGCCCTGCCAATCCCTAGGCAACCACTAATTTACTTTTTGTCGTTAAGGAACAAATCTATACTTTAGCATGTTTTCATTTTTATTTCATCTCTGATATTAGTGGCTTTGTAAATGGTACCTTAAAAATTATTCACAGGTATTTTACTTCCAGTGTGTGAGTCAGAGATTCAGAGTTTGAGTCTATATGGCAGCTTCTATATCTAGAGCACTTATCCACACTAATCATCATCAAAACGGATATTACATGAGTTTGGGATATTTAATGAAATAATTCATTATAAAAGCCCTTGTTTTTGTAATGTTCGTTCTCACTTGTTTAAGAGTATATAATACAATTGATTGAGGCTTACCAATGATAATTTTTATATTTATGGGTTGACATTTAGTCTTTTCACGGTATCTTTTTGCTAAAAGAGAGAAAGGGACTCATAGTGAACAGGATGAAGTTGGGAGAGGTAGTTATGCTGTTGCCATTCAGACGTAGAGAGGGGAAAAAAGCATAGATTGTTAGGAGGTAATGGACAAAAAGTATTCCTTTATTATAAGTGGCTGTTAATTTTTTGGCATTCTCTGATGTTGGTACAATATACAATAGCAAATGAAAAGTAAATTTACATGTGAATTTATATTGAACCAGAAGTAAAAATTTTTTAAGTTGTAGAAAATTTTCAATTTTAAAGCAAAGATGCTTGTGTGTATGTTTTTAACCATTATTTTGGTTGAAATCTAGTTTCTCTGAAATTTGGGTTAGTAAGACAAGCTGTACTATAAACTGAGCACTGTGGGAGGATGTTTGTTTTGTGATTAAAACAGAACTTTGTCATCATGAGTTACATAGGTATTGACTAAACATGGGTGTTTACCTAAATGTCCAAATCTGTGTAAGTTCTTATGCTTTTGAAATAAAAGCTTTACTTTTAATGTTAATACATGTTTATAATTAAAAGGGATATTTTTGGACATTGGGAATTAATATATCAAATGATCTATTCCCTGGGACAAAGCACCAGCTCTCAGTTACTCACATCCTTGTCTTCCAGGTGATTTTACAACGAGATGCTGCTCTCCATAGGGATGCTCATGCTGTCAGCCACACAAGTCTACACCATCTTGACTGTCCAGCTCTTTGCATTCTTAAACCTACTGCCTGTAGAAGCAGACATTTTAGCAGTAAGTACAGTAAAATTTATTCATGTCTAGAAACATCCCTTAAAGAAAAGCTTAAAAAAAGCCTGGAATGATATTTATAAGACATTGTTATAAGACATTTTTATCTAAAAACATACCCCAACACATATACACAGTTACTTGACATTGAGGTACCTTATTCATTTGTTTATTTATTTTTTGAGACGGAATTTCATTCTCGTTGCCCAGGCTGGAGTACATTGTTGCGGTCCTGGCTCACTGAAACCTCCACCTCCCGGGTTCAAGCAGTTCTCCTGACTCACCCTCCTGAGTAGCTGGAATTACAGGCGTGTGCCACCATGCCCGACTAATTTTTTTGTATTTTTAATAGAGACAGGGTTTCACCATGTTGGCCAGGCTGGTCTTGAACTCCTGAACCTAAGGTGATCTTCCCGCCTTGGCCTCCCAAAGTGTTGGGATTACAGGTGTGAGCCACCACGCCCAGCCCCTTATTCATTTTCTATTGCTTCATATCTAATGTAAGATCTCATGAACAATCAGTACCTGATAAATAATGTTGCTCATGAGGGTATGTGTGCACATGTGGGTGCTTTGCACACATACCTACCTGCTGTGTGCTTACATAGAATTTTACTGTTTTTCTTGGTACCTAGTACATCTCTTAATGACTGTAAGATCTCAGTAGTATCTCTATTGATAATAATATTTAAGAAATTCTATAAGATGTTCATAGAAAATTTCAACCCAAGATTAGCATTAATGAATCAGAAGAGAAGCACAGTGGTCCTATCTTTGATGGTGGATAGAAAAGTTTTTAGAGAAGAAGAGTGCTGCTCAAAACCTTAGCATAGCCTCTCTTAGCTACTGTCTTACTTTCCTCCACACTGGGGAGTATACAGATGGTCTCCAGCTTAAGATAAGGCTTGACTAGTGAGCTTTCGACTTTATGATGGTATGAAAGTGATATGCATTCAGTACGCACCTCAACTTATGATGAGATTATGTTCCAACAACCCCATCATAAGTTGAAAATATCATAAGTAGAATTTGACTTATGAAACATTTTTGACTTAGATATTTTCAGTTTATGATGAATTTATCCAGATGTAGCCCCATTGTAAGTTGAGGATATATATTTTCTATTTCTCTTTTTCTGTGAAGGTAGAAAAAGAACATACATGCCTATACTCTAGGTCTGTGCTAAGGATTTGGTTTTACTTTCTGGGTGCAACTGATTTGCTTAATGATATCAGGTGAGAAATAAAAGGGCAAGAATTGTTGCTGACCAAAGCTTGATGTGGTCCCCAGCTGTGCTTCTGCACATTGCAGTAATTCTGGAAGATTCTGAGATCATTGTAGCACTTGAGAGAGCCAGGCTGGTTTCCATACCACAGCTTTTGAAGGCAGAGGATGCTAGTAATCCATACGAGATTTCTAACCCCCTGTTGTCCTCTGTAGTAGGGAACTGGTTGATTAGGTTTGTTTTGGGGAATAGTCTTGGTCTTTTTGAGGTGGAATGGAAATAGAGCCTTTAAAGACTGAGTCCATTGCTATCCAAATCTCCCTTCTAAATTGGTCCCTAAAATCCTTAGAATATTCTTGGCATGACTTTTGAAATGAGTTAGAGGATTTATGGACTGATCAGGGAATAAACTTCTCCTTGTCTCCTTTCTCTCCTTTGATTTCTTCCATTTTGTGTCTCTCTTTTTCCCTCTCTGTTGTTTTTAATACTTTTTGCCTTCTTTCTTTCATTTATACCCAAGGTGGATTGCTATTCTGTGGTGGAGCTCCCTGATGGGTTAAATGATTTTCAGTGTTGTGCTCTGGGAACTTAAGCAGATATATAACCTTGATCAAATTACTCAGCTGCTATAAGTGCCACAGTTTCTTTATTTCTTCATGTAAACTGGAGTGTTGTGGTGGTGATTAAATAAGATAAACTGCTTAGAATAGTATCTGACACATAGTAAATATTTTATATATGGTTTTAATCTTCATTATAATTATCATTCTGATTATACTTCATTCAGCCCCTTGAGAAGATACAAAACTACCTGAGCTGTATTTTTTAATTTAGAGACAAAAAAAAAATGTTAGGTATGGAAGAATGGTCAATCCTTTTTGCCAGCAGTGTTCCTTGTGCTTTACACAGGTACTTGTGGAATGTATGTTGATGTCCTGTAGTGAAGGAACTGTAAGATGGGAGCTGCTTAAATCTGGTCTCTATGCTGTCCATAAGGATAGAAGGCTGACACGAATGCAAAGATGGCTGGAGGGGAGTGGCTTGTGAAAGCATATAACTGGTAAAACAGGGAACTAAAAATTGAGACAGAGGAACTGGATGTGTGACAATCATTCAAAGGAAGTGAGTTAAGAGGTAGAAAATAAGAGCACCTCCTTTTAATGCAATAAGAGCATCCCTGAAATCTGAGTTTGCAGTAATACAGATATAAATAAATTAGACATCTAGTTCCAGTCAACTAGGTTGATTCTAGTTCCATTTGCACAGGGCTTGGGGTGCTGCTTTTGAAAAATTAAGTTTTAGTTATGCTATTTGTAATGCCAGATGCCTTTGATTTTTTGGTTGGTTGGTTGGTTGTTTTGTTTTGTGTTTTTTTTGTTTTTTGTTTTTTGTTTTTGGCAGTTGAATTCAATTCACAGACAACAGTGTTTGTCCAAGTAGTTGTTGAGTTCTAAGAGGCTATGGAGATGCTACTGTAGCATCTAGTCTATAGCTGACTAGACTAGCTGACTAGTCAGACAGACCTCTAGGCCATGAGTACTTGGAAGGCAGGACTGTGTCTTACTAAACTTTATTCCTGGTGCCTGGTGTCAGTTACACAGGAATTCAATAAACGTTTGAAGTAATTAAAAGCCTTCTCTTAGAGATTTTGTACCATCACATTTTCTTTTAATAGCATCTGTTCCTTAGTACTTTTAGATTACTGTTTTTATCTCTTATCATTTTTCTTTTACCCAAAAAGAAACGTAATACTATTAATTATGTAGGTTTATACTAGAAACATGGAATTTTAGAATTGCACTTAAGAGAGAACTACATCAGTGCTGTATATTCTGAGACTCAGAGTCCACAAGTGACATGTTAGTTTTGAGTAGTGCCCATGATTTTACTGAGAAGTAACATCCATCTTATATGAGAGTCAAACAACCCATGTAGCTTGATGCCCAGTCTGCCTTTTGATTCTTTTGTCTGGATTTGTCAGAGAGAATTGGTTGCTGGGTAGTGATTATTGAGGGCCAGTGTGCTGTGTAGCAAAGAAACACCCAATGGGTGGTGGTGTGAATGGATTGGATTATATAGCATGGGTAGTCCAGGCTCCAGAAATGGATTTATAATCAGAGTTGAAATCCAGCTCTACCACTCTATTTGCATGACCTTGGGCAGATTACTTAACATTTCTTAAGTCGCAGTTAACTTTGTAAAAGTGAGAGTTTGTGAAGGACAGTGCAGGGTAGTGGGTTAAGGGCTGGAGCTCTGTGGCCAGACTGCCTCGGTTAGAATCCTGGTTCTTCTAATTTACCAGAGCTTGTTATTTTCAACATTCTGTTGTCAATCTGTAAAATGAGGATGATAGTAATAGTGGCCTACTTTGTAGAGTTGTTGTTAGGATTAAATAAATTATTACCTGTAAAGTGCTTAGCATGATGTCTGTACATAATGAGTGCTCAGTAATTGTTAGATATTTATTACTTTCTAAATTCAATTAAACCTTTTGTTAAGGAAGCTGTCAAGAAAAATAATTGGTTAAGGAAAAGACCTTTTCAAAATAAGTGGAGTCAAACTTATGTGGTAATCACTAAGAATGGGATTCTAGTGAGGAGTAACTATTTTCTACTTCAGATTTTTTTTTTTTTTTGAGATGGAGTCTTGCTGTGTTGCCCAAGCTGTTGTGCAGTGGCGCAATCTTGGCTCCCTGCAACATCTGTCTCCTGGATTCAAGCGACTCTCCTGCCTCAGCCTTGCAAGTAGCTGGGATTACAGGCATTTGACATCAGGCCTGGCTAATTTTTGTATTTTTAGTAGAGATGGGGTTTCAACATGTTGGCCTGGCTGGTCTTGAACTCCTGACCTCAGGTGATCTGCCCACCTCGGCCTCCCAAAGTGCTAGGATTACAGGTGTGAGCCACCACATCCGGCCTACTACTTCAGATTTTTAAACAGTGAACATGCTTTAATTTTATGAGCATCGCTCCCCTCCCTCCTTATACCAAAAACGTAAAGTACCTTTGTTAGTCTTGTTCACTGTAGGAACATTTTTTGTTTTAAACAATATGATTTTAAGAGACAATATGAAACAATCCTTATTTTGCTGTTAAGGAAAGACAAAGCAGTTTCAAAAAGGGTTTCATTCAGTAACAAAACTTATTCCACATCTCAGTGTTACAAGTACTGTAGTTCAAGCTAGACATTTTATTTCTATAATTTTAGCTATAATAGTGAAACTCTTAAGTAATAGGAAGAGATAAAAGAATACTTTAGTATAGTTTGTAGATTCCCCATTTCCTAATTTCAAAAGTACATTAAAAAATACTGCTTACACACATTTGTATTTTGTCCTCATTCTATTTCCATTGATCTAGATAAGTTACTTTATTTTACAGTGACATCTTTGGCTGGGATGAATTAAATGTTTTTCTCAAGTTCAACATTAACCTGATCATAGGTGAATTAAATCAATTAAATGTGTTTTAATTAAGAGATTAAACGATAGATTGTGATAATGGGTTTAAAAGCATTTTGTAACTCTGAAGTACTTTGTAAACTATGGAGTACTCTGCAAATATGAATTATTGTTGCAATGGGAAATCACGCTGAAGCAATTACCACATATACTTGATGGCCTCCAAGTACACTGCTAGGATGATTATCCCAGCAATGACAGAATGAATAGGTTTAGTGACTGCATTTAGATGCTTGAATCACACAGTTTCCTGAGCTAATTACAAGCATACAGTGAGAGGCAAAGGTATAAGATGGACATGCTAAGACACTCAAGATAGGGTTCCAGTGGGATGCAAGAACCACACTACCTGAATCCTGGGTCACTTGTTGTAGTTTGTCCAGTCTTCCTGTATGCTGCATCAACTTTTCCTGCTGACAGTGTGGTATGGTTACCAGGACCTGAGTTGACGGTGAGCCAAGGAGACTTGACAGATGAAAGGTGTCTAGATCCAACATTTGCTTGCTGTACTGGAGAGATGCAAGGCAACTGGTCACAGCTGTAATTGGCTGTTAAACTGTGGAGTTGCTTATCTGCATGCCTCTGGCAGATGACATAAGAGGCTAGGATAGCGTTAACCAATGGGTGTTTGATTCAGGGATGACGTAGCTATCAGTCTGGATGCGTGACTTAATCCATGCTTTGTGAATACTTAAGGTTTACTTGATCCTTCCATCTTTTCTTATCTATATATAACACTCTTGCTTTCTTCCTTTTTGTCTATCTTCAAACCATCCTTTGTATCTATATGCAAAACAAATGTGTTCTTTTTTTTTGTATTTATGTCCTACATGTTGTGAACACTTCCCTTAATTTCTAGTACATCATTTTCACTTGTGTTTCAAAAGTTACTTGTTTACTATCTATACTTGTTTACTATCTATGAAACTCAGGTTTCATCCATTTCCCTTGTTTCTCTTGCTCTCTGTATAGCAAATTGAACATTATTAAATGATACAGCAAACTCATCTCACAATTATTATCATTACTGTTATCTTCTAAAAGCACAAAGAACTTTTGTTTTGTTTTGGTAAAGGACTAATAAATATTGTAGCTTTGGAATCTATATCTGTGTGGAAGGGGGAAAATTGTTAAAGAGTTTGAATACCTCCAGCTTTTTCCGTGTATGTATTTCATTGAATTTGGTCTTTTCAGTGTTCAACCCTGGATAAAAATGTTCAGCTTATACAAAATTGACATGCCTTAAAAATATGATATGATGCTGCTTCTTTCCAAAAAGAAAGTCATTTTTCATAGCTAGAGCCAGAAATGCTGTAAATTTCTTCCAGTAAATCAGACCTTTATAATACAGAGAAATTAAAATGGAACACTCCTCCTGGAAGATGATCTGTCTGGAAAATTCCTTGCTAGGAAATTGTCTATGGGAAAAACTCAGAAAACAGTAGGCTGAATTAGTGTTGCTGCTCGATAATATTTGAAATAATAATCCAATTTAAGCAGTTGTATATGTTGTAAATTATATATATTCCTTCTATTTTAGTGGATGTACATTTACAAATTCAGTTTTATTTTGATAAGCTGTGATAGTAATCAGAATTGTCAAAATAATAATTATACATAATTAAATAAGTCTTTGTTTTTAATGTTATATATAAATTGGTCTTAACTTGAATATTTAAAATTTTATTTTTAGTATAACTTTGAAAATGCATCTCAGACATTTGATGACCTCCCTGCAAGATTTGGTTATAGACTTCCAGCTGAAGGTTTAAAGGTAAGACAGTTGGTAATACATTGTAAAGACACAAGGTATTTAATAAGGTGATTTTTATTGTTTATTATTTAAAGAATGAAATCATTTCTTACTATTTATTATTATAAAGCCTATATATAGTCATTTGTAAAGGGTCAGATTATTCAAAAGATATCAGAAAGAAAGTGAAAATCACCTAGGATTGTATTATTCTGAACTAGCTGTGTTTAACATTTTGGTATATCACATTTCAGACCTGTTTTTTTAGGATATGTGCTATGCGTGTGTTTGTAGATGTATGTATGTGTGTGTACATATATATATGTACACACACATTTACATATATATGTAAATGCTTTCATATACAGTAAATCTGTATTTAACACTAATAGAAACATGCTATTTGGTTACCTGCCTTTTTCTTTTAATTGTATGTTTTGATCATGTTTTTTCATGCTGATAGGTAAGGATTTACATTATTAATTGTAACAGCTGCATGGTTTTGCAATATCATGAAATAGTATGGATTTTGAACATTGCTTTAGTTTTTCATAGTGGATATTTAGGTTGTCTAGTTTTTACTATTACAGTGCTACAATGAATGTTTTTGTCTTTGTGTATTCATCCATTTATCTCCATAGGATACATTTCCAAATGTAGAATTGCTTTGTGGCATGAATGTTTAAAGTTTTGTTCTGTATTTTCAGTTCTTCCTCCAAAAAGTTTGGAACGATTTAGAATTCTATCAATAACATCTGAGACTGTCCTTTTCCCTATACCCTCTTAAATACTAGATATTATCAAACTTTTGCTAATTTGATTTTAAAAAATCTAATGAACTTAAACATATTTTTTGCTGTGTGTGTGAGAGAGAGAGAGGGAGAGAGAGAGAGAGAGAGAGAGAGAGAGAGAGAGAGAGAGAGAGAATGGACTATTAATGCTCTTTGCCCAATTTGAAATGAAAGTGTCCTTGTGCTTTGTAAGAGTTCTTTATATATTGGAAGTATCAATTTATTGTTTGCCATATATGCTTCAGATTATCCCTTCTTCAGTTTTTCGTTTATCTTTTAATTTTTTTTAAGATTTCAAAAGTTTTGTTTAAGTAGTTAAAAATTCTTCTTTTTCCTCTACCTCTGGGGGTTAGAAAGTCCTTTCTCATTCCAAGATAATATTAGTTTTTTGTTATATGAATTCATGAAGTTGTGTGGATATGTACCATAGAATGTTTTCAGTTTATTCTAATTTTCTTAAAATTTCTCTTTTTTTTTTTTTTTTTTTTAAGGTAGGGTTTCACTCTGTTGCCCAGACTGGAGCACAGTGGCACAATCTTGGCTCACTGCAACGTCCGCCTTCTGGGCTCAAGTGATCCTCCCACCTCAACCTCCCGAGTGGCTGAGACTAAGTGGGCACCACCATGCCCGGCTAGTTTTTGTATTTTTATGTAGAGATGGGGTTTCGCCATGTTGCCCAGGCTGGTCTTGAACTCCTGGGCTCAAGTGATCCGCCCACCTTAGCCTCCCAAAGTACTGGTATTTCAGGCATGAGCCACCGTGCCTAGCCAGAATTTCTTAGTAAGATACCACAAACCTATTATTCTTAATTAGGATGGCAGACACCTCTGGGAGGGGCATTGAATTTTTAATTATTAAAAAAAAATTCATAGCATTGTATGACTATTTCTCATAAAAATATTTCAACCGAAAAGTAATATACATAAGAAAAAGGAAACACCTTCTTTTATTCTTTTCTTACCTATATGTAGCAGTCACACTTCCCTCTTCAGAGTTAAATATTATCAGTGATTTTACAGGCCTTCAGATCCTTTTCTGAACATGTAATGCTTTTTCATTCTTTTTTGTTCATAAACTTATGAACATGTATAATTCATAAATGGTTATCATTTGTATATATGAAAAGTTTCTTAATTCTTACAATGGAATCCGCTCTAGCTAGTTTTACCCAGAAAGGGATTTATAAAGGGATAAAGATGTTCAGAGTATCATAGCCTGGACAGGCAGTTTCTAAACTGTTACAGGAATAAAACCCAGAACCACCTTGCAGGACTGGCTTTATAGATGAGTGGTGCAGCCAATGGACCCTCACACCACATTATTTTTTCTCTCATCAGGAAGCCTTTGTGGTTTTACCTCACAACATTTGGCCTCTTCTGCCATCCAAGCTAATCGAAGAGATACCCTTTTTCAGACTGTTTCCTTACATGTCTACTTCCAAATCCAACACTTGGATTTTTCTGAGTGATAGACTTTTGGCCACATAGTTACTTGCTACATATTTTGGTGAAATACCTAGCTATGAGGAAGGCTGGGAAATACAATGTAGGGTTTTTGTTGTTGTTATTTTTGTTGTTTTAGCCTACTTTGGGAAGGTGGAATGCGTAGTGGGTTCAGAAAATTTGGAGCACCGTGAGTGACAGATGTCTACTGCAATAATTACCCTGCAAGGCTGGGCTGGGTGCAGTGGCTCACATCTGCAGTCCCAGCACTTTGGGAGGCCAAGGTGGGTAGATCACTTCAGGTCAAGAGACCAGCCTGAGCAACATGGTGAAACCCTGTCTCTACCAAAAAATATAAAAAGTAGCTGGGCATGGTGGCGCAAGCCTGTGGTCTCAGCTACTTGGGAAGCTGAGGTGGGAGAATCGCTTGAACCCAGGAAGGTGAGGTTGCAGTGAGCCGCGATCAAGCCATTGCACTCCAGCCTGGGCGACAGAGTGAGACCTTGTCTCAAAAATAAAAATAAATAAATAACTACTCTGCAGTTTGATTCCCCTACTTCTTCTGTTTTAGAACTCTTTCCACAGCAGCATCTATAAATCTAGTATGTTCCTGTTAAGCACTGCATGGTATTCTGTAATATGAATGATCATAGTTTATTAGTAATTTCCTCTTTAAAAATACATATATATGTATTTTTACATTTATGCATTAAAAAATATATATGTATCTTTACATTTATATATTAAAAATACATATATACGTATATATGTGTATATATATACGTGTATATATGTGTGCATATATATGTGTGTGTATATATATATGTATTTTTTTTCCCCCAAAGTTGTTATTTCTCTAGGATAGAGGTCTGGAAGTAGAATTGATGAAACCAATGGGTATGTACATCTAAAAGTTTCATAGATACTGCCAAATTACCTTTGCAAAGGCTGTGCTAATTTATTCCCATTAACACTGTAGGAGAATACTTATCTCCCTATACTCTTGCCAACACTGGATATTATCGGTCTTTCTAACTCTTGCCAATCTGATGGGCAAAAGTATTATCTTGTTTTAATTTGCATTTCTCTGATTACTAATGATGATCTGGCAACCTTTCTTTCATTCTATCATAAGGAGTCAGACTATTCCTTCTCACTGAAGAGCTTTTCTACTGAATAAGCTTATTTTAAAGAGCTCCATTAATTCTCGATAAGCATAATCTTATTGGTGCTCCTCAATTACTGTGCTACTATAAATTTGGTTTACATTTAAAAGATATGTTGATGAGTTTGTTTATTCACTGCCTGACCAAAAAAAAAAAAACGGTGTTAGATATCTGTCTGCTTTTTGCACTTGACAATATAGGGCAAGAAGAGAAGTGAAATATTCTAACAAAATTATTGGATTATTATGGGTAGCTTTTATAGTTGCGTGACTGGTTTTGCCATTGCCCAGAATCAGAATTTAAAATGCCAGCCATGCAAAGATTTACATTTGTTTACAAGGACTTGATAATAATGAAGTGAGGTAGCTCACTATAGTATTATGTCTGTAAAACCAATTAAATAAATACGTTAAAAATATAACTAATTTAAAGATATAATATGGTTATTATGAGACTTAGCTGAAAAATACTTTTTTTTTTTTTTTTTGAGACAGAGTCTCGCCCTATTGCCCAGCCTGGAGTGCAGTGGCATGATCATAGCTCACTGAAACCACCAACTGCTGGGTTCAAGCCATCCTCCCACCTCAGGCTCCTGTGTAGCTAGTACTATGGGAGTGTGCTACTGTGCCCGGCTAATTTTTAAATTTTTTTAGGAATGGAATCTTGCTATGTTTCCCAGGCTGGTTGCGAACCCCTGGCTTCAAGCAATCCTCCTGCTTCGGCCTCCTAAAGTGATGGGATTGTAGGCATGAGCTACTGCACCTGGCCAAAATATCTTACTTTTTTTATTGAGACGGAGTCTCACTCTGTCGCCCAGGCTGGAGTGCAGTGGTGTGATCCCGGCTCACTGCAAGCTCCGGCCTTCTGGGTTCACGCCATTCTCCTGCCTCAGCCTCCTGAGTAGCTGGGACTACAGGCGCCCGCCACTACGCACGGCTAATTTTTTTGTATTTTTAGTAGAGATGGGGTTTCACCGTGTTAGCTAGAATGGTCTCAATCTTCTGACTTCATGATCCACCCACCTTGGCCTCCCAAAGTGCTGGGATACAGGCGTGAGCCACCATGCCCGGCCCAAAATATCTTACTTTTAAACTCTGCCCAGAAAGTTTAGGTGAGATAGTTTTTGTAGGTCTAATTTATGTTCTATATTTTGTAGCTTTTATAACATCCCTGGATTCCATCAGAATCATTTATAAGACTTCAGATATTTATAGTATAATATATCAGTTGAAATTCTGTTTACATTCTATTTATATATGCCCCAATATTAGGTTAATTGTATTTAAAGCCTTTTTCTGTCCTCTCCTGTATCTTAAAAAATACTATTATTCAAGTATAAGAAAATGAGAAAGCCAAGGAATTTTGACCTATTTGAACTTTAATGCAAAAATGTAAATCTTTTCATGGATTAAAATATGGCACATCAGTGTTACAGAAGTTTTAAAAGAAAGATTTTATTTTTGTATCTAGGTAAGTCCTGTGTTTGTAGTTTTATATTTTAATTGGCTGTTTAGGAAGTTACCTTTTCCAGACAACCTTTTTAGACCTTGTAACCTTTGAGTACCATTAGTAATTAGTTTACAGTTCTTTTGAACAGTATATTTATATGTTTTGGCAAAATTCAGAACTATACAACTGTTCTTTTTGGAAAACATGTTTTGTCTTTGAAAAGATAAATAATGTTACTTAGCAGTATAAATATACTTTCCTACGTCCTCAAAAAATTGGTAAAGATTACCTTTCCCCATCCCCTTCCCCCACTCTATGCTTAGGAGGCCAAGAATTATTATTGTATAATGTAACGTATGACTCTATTTTTACCTTTTTCAAATGGATAACCAAGTATTAAAGAATCATTATTGAGTAGTTACTATGGTTTGGATATGGTTTTTTTGTCCCCACCAAATCACATGTTGAAATTTGATCCCCATTGTGGGGGTGTTGGAAGGTGGGGCCCAGTGGGAGGTGTTTGGGTCATGGGGGCAGATCCCTCATGAATTGCTTGATGCCATTCTCTCTCTGGCTAGATGGAATTAGTTCCAACGGAATAGGTTAGTTCCCTCAAGAGTGGGTTGTTATAAAGCCAGGACACCGCTTAGGTTTGGTCCCTCTTCACATATGCCCACTTCTCCTTTGGCCTTCTCCATCATGTTTTGATGCAGCCCTCACCAGAAGCTGAGCAGGTGCCAGTGCCATGCTTCTTAAACAGCCTGCACAACCATGAGCTAAATAAAACTCCTTCCTTTATAAATAACCTGCCTCAGGTGTGCTGTTATAGAAACACAAAATAGACCAAGACAGTAGTCAAGACTTTACATGTGGATTTGTAATGGTAGCAAGCAAGGTCTCTTGCTATACTTTTTATTATCAGTATAATTGGAATAATTTAGTTACACATTGAGGGCCAGTCTCAGGAGAACAAGCTTCTCCAGATTTCTTGTTTCTATATTTTTAGGAAGTGCCTTGATAGGTGGAGGAGATAATGATTGTTAAAAAATTGAAAACAAGATTTATCTCTGATAAGGAAGCTTTGATCAGTAAGCCAAGTGTCAGATTACCTGAGTATAATTATCAATGGCAAATCTCATTTTCAGCAACACAGCTTTTGGGCTAGATTTGCCATGATCCATATATACTGTGTTTTGTAACCTGGTAGTCAGGGTATATTCTTTATGTTGAAGAGGAAGAAGATAGAAGAGATGAAGATCATGGGATGCGGATTTGTCCTAGACTATGCTGTTCCTACTATCCAGAACAAAGTTGCAAATAAGCAGTTTTTCTTATATGATGTATAATTTATTTCCCCTCATCATTATTCATTAAATTAGTGCCTTATATCATCACCAGTTAATTTTCCACAAACTAGGCTTGTTCTTTGAAAGTTAATTTACCAGTTAATTTCAAAATTCTTATTACAGGAAATGATTTTGTTTAATATAAAGTCTTGAGATTAGAAGAGAGTTTTTTTCCCTGGTGAAGGAAAATGCAAACATTGCAAAGAAATGTGGTTGTTTGGATGTTTTATTTGTGTTACGTCCTTTGCCTGCTTTCTTTGCAGGAAAGAAGCTCAGTGCCACTTAGTGTATTTTTCCTCTCAGAACACTTACACAGTTTTGTGATGTGAAGAAAGCCCTGGTTAAGGCTCAATGTGCTGGACTTCCTCACCCTTATGTTACAGTATCACCCTCAGTTTATAAACGAAAACAAAGGTCAGAGTTCCTTTTTCAAAGGATAAATAAAGAAATAGCATTGTCAAAATAAAGAGTCAAACCATCTGGTTATACATGAAATAAGAATTCTAAGATCTAAGGACATTTTCACATGCACATAGTTAGATGGTATAAAAAGAATACTTTTGAAGTGAATTTTGAGCTTCTAAAATAAACCCTTTCCTCTTAATTTCAAAAAGTAATGGTTGCTTATTCATTTATTAAATGAAGCAGGAATATAGCATTTCATTTGATTTAGAAAATAATTGTTTCATCATGGCAAATTATCACTTAGAGAAGAGGGGAGATAAAGACACACACACACAGAGGAAGTCAAAGGAGGCTCAGGTTTTTGATTTCATAAATCAACACACTCCCTTCATTTTCTCATTGCATTACTGGGCATCTTTTTTGTTCACTTAGTAGTTTTTACTAGATTTTCTTAGTGGCTTTCTCAGTTCAATATAGCTAATTTTTTATTCTTCTGCTCATGAAAAAATATTTTTCTCATTAGAAGAGTGATACATGCTCACCATTAAAATTAAGATGATATAGATATGAAAAAGAATATGGCTCATGGAGTAGAACTGGTATAATTAAAATGACCATACTGCCTAAAGCAGTCTACAGATTCAATGAAATTTCTTTCAAAATGTCAATGTCATTTTTCACAGAAATAGAAAAAACTATCTTAAAATTTATATGGAACCAGAAAAGACCTCAAATAACCAAAGAAATCCTGAACAAAAAGAACAAAGCTGGAGACATCACACTACCTGACATCAAAATATATTACAAGGCAACCAGGTGTGGTGGCTCACACCTGTAATCCCAGCACTTGGGGAGCCCGAGGCAGGTGGAGCATTTGAGGTCAGGAGTTCAAGACCAGCCTGACCAACATGGTGAAACCCCATCTCTACTAAAAATACAAAATTAGCCGGGCATGGTGGTGGGCACCTGTAGTCCCAGCTACTCAGGAGGCTGAGGAGAATCATTGAACGGAGATGCAGGTTGCAGTGAGCTGAGATCATGCCACTGCACCCCAGCCTGGGCAACAGAGAGAGACTCCATCTAAAAAAAAAAAAAAATATATATATATATATATATATATATATATAACGTGTATATATAATGTATTTATACATAATGTATACACACATATATACATATTATGCACACACATACATATAACAAGGCTGTAAGAACCAAAACAGTATGGTACTGATATAAAAACAGGCACATAGACCAATGCTACAGAGTAGAGGATCCAGAAGTAAATTCACATATTTATGGCCAAATGATTATTGACAAAGGTGCCAAGAACATACACTGGGGAAAGGGCAGTCTCTTCAATAAAGAATGCTGGGAAAATTGGATATCCATATGCAGAAGAATGAAACTGAACCCTCATCTCTGACCATATACAAAAATCAACTCAAGATGGATTAAAGAATTAAAGCCCCCAAACTATAAAACTATTGGAAGAAAACATATGGAAAACACTTCAGGGCATTGAACTAGGCAAAGATTTTACAGCTAAAATCACAAAAGCACAGACAACAAAAAGAAAAATAGACAAATGATGCTATATTGAACTAAAAAGCTTTTGCACAGCAAAGGAGTCAACAGAGTGAAGAGACAACCTGTTGAATGGGAGAAGATATTTGCAAACTCTCCATGTGACAGGGGACTAATATCCAGAATATATAAGGAATTTGAACATCTCAGCAGCAAAAAGACAGTCTGATTTAAAAAAGGGCAAATGATCTAAACAGATATTTTTCAAAAGAAGACATACAAATGGCCAACGGGCATATGAAAAAAATGTTTAACATCACTAATCATCAGGGAAATGTAAATCAAAACCACAGCGAGATAGCATCTTAATCCAGTTAGGCTGACTATCATTAAAATGACAAAAAAAAAGACAGATTTTGGCAAGGATTCAGAGAAGAGGGAACTCATACACTGTTGGTGGGAATGTAAATTAGTACAACTACTGTGGAAAACGGTATGGAGATTTAAAAAAAAAAACTTAAAAGGGGGTGGGGGAGAACTAAATATAGCACTACCATAGGACCCAGCAGTCCCACCACTGGGTATTTATCCAAAGGAAAAGAAGTGTATCAAAGGGATACCTGCACTTGCATGTTTATTATGTCACTATTCACAATAGCCAAGATGTGGAATCAACCTACTGTCCATGAATAGATGAATGGATTAAAAAAAGTATATATATGGAATGTAATACTATTTGGCTGTAAAAAAGAATGAAACCATGTCATTTGTCACAACATGAATGGAATTAGAGATTATTATGTCAAGTGGAATTATACAGGCAGAGAAAGAACAAATATCCCATGTTCTCACTCATTTGTAGGAGCTAAAAAAGTTGATCTTATGGAGGTTGAGAGTAGATTGATAGATACCAGAGGGTGAGAAAAAGATGTGGTTGAGAGGGGGAGATGAAGAAAGGTTGGTCAGTGGGTACAAACATGCAGTTAGATAGAAGGTATAAGTTCTAATGTTTGATAACAGAGTAGGGTGACTATAGTTAGCAATAATGTATTAAGTATATTTTGAAGTTGCTGGAAGACAGAACTTGAAATGTTCTCAACACATAGAAATGATAAATACTCAAGGTAATAGGTTCCTCAAGTATCCTGACTTGATCATTACACATTTTATGCATGTAACAAATTATCACACGCACCCCATAAATATACAAAATATTAAATGCCAATAAAGTTTTAAAAGAATATGAAAATCATACATAATTCTACAATTAAAGATTATAATGGTAGATGTTTGGGTACAACTGTGTGAACTTATGTAGACACATTCATGCCTTCATTTTATGCACTTATATGTGTTATTTTGCAACTTAAAAAAATTGGCAATATGTTGGATGGCATATCCAATATCATGGATATCTTCCCATATAAAAATCTATACATTCATATCATCATTCAAAATTATACAATTTATTATAGTACTTAAATTACACCATAATGTAACCAATCCCTTGTGTCATTGGACATTTAGATTGCTTTCACTTTTTAAAAATGGAAATATTTCAAGCATAGACTAGAGTATGAGAATAACAGAGCATCCTGTATATCTGCTACCTAGAGGTTAATATTTTACTATTTTTTTGAAAGAAGAAATAAAATATTACAGATACTACTGAAACATCCTTTTTATCCTACCATATTCTGTTCCCTTACCTCGCTCCTTATAGATGATCATTATCCTGAAACTTATGTGTATCTTTCCTATTTATGTTATAAAACATACATATATATATTTTTTCTACCATATATGCATCTATAAACATTGTGCTTCCATTTAAATTTTCTTTGCTGTGGTTTTAAAACTTGCTTTTCCATCTAACACTATATTTGAAATTTTTGTTATTACATATTCCTAATTCATTTTAACTGTTGCATACTGCATTTTATGAATATGCCACAATTTATTTTTTCATTCATTTGCTGGTAGATGCCAGTTTTTTACTTTCTTTTTTAGTGAACATCTTTTAAATATGTCTCCTTGTATATATTATAACTAGATGCCAATTCACACTCATCAAATTAGTAAAAGTAGGAGTCTAACAATATCCACAACTGGCAAGGATGTGAAACCAGGTACTTTTATATACTGCTGGTATAAAAGAATGTCCAGCCACTTTGATGAGTTTAGTAATATCTCCCTTCTTCTGTAAGTGATAAGTAATAAAATAATTCATTATATTTTACATTTGATATATTCCCTGTTTCATGAAATAAATGAATGAGTAATCGTCACCTTTGAAATTAACAGAATAACTAATGGCAATGACAGTACCCTTATTAAGGTATTGTAATTGTTCTCCCTACTTTTGTTTGCCTGCACTATCCCTTCTTGCCAGTTGCCATTCTCTTTGAATTCTGAATACTGAAATAATTCCTCTAGTTAGGATCTGACCATTTCCATCATTATGATCCCTTTAATCAGATTGATAAGCAAATTGTATCAACTTTAATTAACCAGGTTGTGTTCAACTATAAACTGAGTTATAATGACAAATTGCAAATGGCAAGTGCTGTGGTAAGTAATGAATGAGTGAGGGTCTTTTTTGTTGTGGTTGTGTTTGTTATGTTTTGGAAAACAGTATGTTTTATGTTTCATTACCAAAGAATTCCTCTTAGTCTTGATTCTTTTTTTTATTTTTTAAGATGGAGACTCGCTCTGTCATGCAGGCTGGAGTGCAATGGTGCAATCTCAGCTCACTGCAAGCTATGCCTCCTGGGTTCAAGCAATTGTCATGCCTCAGCTTCCTGTGTAGCTGGGATTACAGGCGTGTACCACCACGCCTGGCTAATTTTTGTATTTTTAGTAGAGACAGGGTTTCACCATATTGGCTAGGCTGGTCTTGAACTCCTGACCTCAGGTGATCTGCCTGCCTTGGCCTCCCAAAGTACTGGGATTACAGGTGTGAGCCACCACACCCGGGCTACATTTGTTCATAATACTAAAGGAGAATTTTTCTGATGCCTGTTAAGTTTTCATGGATTTACTTTTTGTATTTGTTTCTGAACTCTTGCTGTCAAAGATTTTGTTAAGAATTCTGTAGTTATTACATTTAACCTCTTTATGTTTTTACAGGATTTGTCAAATACTATAGAATATGAATTATGCATAAATATTCTTTACTGGGTTGTACTGATTATATGGCAATTGTAGAGGACATGGATTGCTAGTGTAAGCACAATCCACTTAGAATTCTTGTTTTTAGAGAAATTATTTTGTTGCATGTAGCTGGAATGGCAATGTTTGATTGGAATTTTTTTTTTTTTTTTTTTTTTTTTTTTTTTTAGAATGATGATGTGGTTGTAGTATTAGTATGAATGTAACTACCATAGTTTGGATATTTGATCCTTATGTTGAAATCTGATCCCTAGTGTTGGAGGTAAGGCACAATGGGAGGATGTTTGGGTCAGGGAAGTGGATCCCTCATGAATGGCTTGGTGACTTCTGCTGTAATGAATGAATTCTCACTCTTAGTTCCTGTACGAGCTAGTTGTTCAAGAGTCTGGCCCCTCTCTTCTCCTCTTTCATCATGTGATCTCTTCTCACACAGGCTCCCCTTCACCTTCCACTATGCATGAGTGGAAGCAGGCCATCAGAAACAGATGCTGGTGCCATGCCTTTTGTGTGTGTGTGTATGTGTGCTTTCTTGTATAGCCTGCAGAACTATGAGCCAAATAAACCTCTTTACAAATTACCCAGCCTCAGGTATTCCTTTATAGCAGTATAAACGCACCAAGACAGTAACGTATCAATTAAAAGGCATTGTCCTCCAGAGCGCACATTCATTTTGTTTTCTAAAATGTCAAGGTATCATATCCATTGAGTGAACACACATTATCTGTGTGTACCAAATGAGAGGCACACACCAGATGACCTTTTCTTCACAGAGCTGGAATATCATAAAATCAAAATCCTGACAAATCAGTACTGTGTTAAGTAAAACAAAACTGAAGGTTATAGTCATTAAATGTTTGCCAATTATGCTATTGTTATTGAGAACTAAATTTGATAAAGACAAAAAGAATGTCAACTGGATCTTTTATGATTTCCCTTTGCTTAAATCTCTCCATATCAGCTCAAATAAAAAAGAAATTATTGATCATATTTCCTAGCTTTATTCTGGACACTATGATTTGTTGCCATCCCTCCCTCCTTTTTTCTTTTAATGTCGAGGTCACTAGCAAACTATTTATGTCTGCAGATTAATTTGAAGTAGTAAACTTTGGGAGAAGATATTTATTAATTTATATGTAAATGAAATTTTATTTGCAATCAGGTTATTCTGATGATATAAAGAAAGGTATAGTGGATGTTTAATAAGATATATTGTATTTAGATGGGACAACCAAAATTCCAAAACCAAGAGAAGAAAAATTAGGCATTTGGAGTATATTTCTCCTTAACCAGTGTGATCTAAGAAATAAAAAAAAATAAAAACAAGCATCTCCATAAAAGTGTCTTTTCTGGCTGTCTGCAGAAGTGGTACTTATCAATGGTTACAGTAGACTGGAGCCTGTGCAAAGGGGCTAACCCTTTCAACACATTCATGAAACTTCTTTCTAGATGTTTTGGTGATATATATATATATATATATATGTATAAAACAGACATTATATTTGTTGTAATAATCATCACCATTAATAGTAAAAGCAGGAATATTTAAGATATAACCTCAAAAGCTGTCTTGTTCATTGACCAGCCCTATACCCTCCTGTTTCGTTTTTTTGAGAGAGAGAGTCTCACTCTGTTTCCCAAGATGAAGTGCAGTGGTGTGATCATGGCTCACTGCAGCCTTCCACTCCTGGCCTCAAGCAATCCTCCTACTTTAGCCTCCCAAGTAGTTGGGACTACAGGCATGCACCACCACAGCCAGCTAATTTTTGTATTTTTTGTATTTTTGTAATTTTGTATTTTTCTGTAAACAAAAAAATTGGAATAGATGAGCTTTCTCTCTGTCTACTAATTTTGGGTTGCATTTGGTGTTGTTTTTCTAGTTCCTTGAGGTTCATTGTTAGGTGGTTTATTTGAAATCTTTATGCTTTTTTGATATAAGCGTTTGTTACAGGAAAGGGGTCCCGATCTAGACCCCAAGAGAGAGTTCTTGGATCTCGTGCAAGAAAGAATTCAGGGTGAGTCTATAGAGTAAAGTGAAAGCAAGTTTATTAGGAAAATAAGGGAATAAAAAAATGGCTACCCCGTAGACAGAGCAGCCCAGAGGGCTCCTGGTTGGCCATTTTTATGATTATTTCTTGATGATATGCTAAACAAGGGGTGGGATTATTTCTGCCTTCCCTTTTTAGACCATATAGGGTAATTTCCTGATGTCATGACATCTATAAACTGTCATGGCACTGGTAGTGTTATAGGAAAGGGATCCTGATCCAGACCCCAAGAGAGGGTCGTTGGATCTCACACAAGAAAGAATTCAGGACAAGTCTGCAGTGCAAAGTGAAAGCAAGTTTATTAAGAAAGTAAAGGAATAAAAGAATGACTACTCCATAGACAGAACAGCCTGGAGGGCTGCTGGTTGCCCATTTTTATGATTATTTCTTGATGATATGCTAAACAAGGGGTAGATTATTTATGCCTCCCCTTTTTAGACCATATGGGTAACTTCCTGAAGTTGCCGTGGCATTTGTAAAGTGTCATGGCGCTGGTGGGAGTGTAGCAGTGAGGAAGACCAGAGGTCACTCACGTCACCATCTTGGTTTTGGTGGATTTTAGCTGACTTCTTTATTGTAACCTATTTTATCAGCAAGGTCTTTATGACCTGTGTCTAGTGCTGACCTCTTATCTCATTCTGTGACTTAGAATGCTTTAACCATCTGGGAGTGCAGCCTAGTAGGTCTCAGTCTCATTTTACCCAGCTCCTATTCAAGATGGAGTTGATCTGGTTCAGACACCTCTGACATGTTTATTACTATAAACTTCCCTCTTAATACTGCTTTTGCTGTATCCCATATATTTTAGTATGTAGTAGTTTCATTTTCATTTGTTTCAGGAAATTTTAAATTTCTTTTCTTAATTTCTTTATTCACCCATTGGTTATTCAGGAACATTTTGTTTACTTGCCATGTATTTGTGAAGTTTCCAAGGTTCTTCTTGTTATTGTAGTCTATTGTGGCCAGAAAAGATAGTGGTATGATTGCTACTTTTTGAATTTTTCAGACTTGTTTTGTGGCCTAAGATATGGTATATTCTGAAAATGTTCCATGTGCTGATAAAAATAATGTCTTTTCTATAACTGTTGGGTGAGATGTTCTGTAAATGTCAGGACTTTTCGGTTATTGATTCTTTGTTGATTTTCTGTCTGGATGATCTGTACATTTCTGAAAGTGGTATGCTAAAGTTCCCTACTATTATTGTATTGTAGTCTCTCTCTCCCTTTGGATCTGTTTATGTTTGCTGCATATGCTTGGCTGCCCCATATTGGGTGCATAAATAGTTATAATTGTTATATCGTCTTGCAGAATTGACCCCTTTATCATATATAGTGACCTTCCTTGTCTCTTTTTTTTTTCTTTTTTTGAGACAGAGTCTTGCTCTGTCACCCAGGCTGGAGTGCAGTGGCCCTATCTCGGCTCACTGCAAGCTCCGCCTCCCGGGTTCACACCATTCTCCTGCCTCAGCCTCCCTAGTAGCTGGGACTACAGGCGCCCACCACCACGCCCGGCTAATTTTTTTGTATTTTTAGTAGAGATGGGGTTTCACGTGTTAGCCAGGATGGTGTTGATCTCTTGACCTTGTGATCCACCTGCCTCGGCCTCCCAAAGTGCTGGGATTATAGGCATGAGCGACCGCACCCGGCCTCTTGTCTCTTTTTACACTGTTTGATGATTTGTAGTCTGTTTTATCTGATGTAAGTATAGCTACTACTGGAATTTCATTTTTCACTCTTCACTTTTGGACTATGTGTATCTTTATAGGTGAAGTGGTTTTTTTGTAAGCAGCATTGTATTGGGTCTTGTTTCTTTATCCATCCAGCCATTCTGTGCCTTTTAATTGGAGAATGGATTCCATTTACATTTAGTGTTATTGATGAGTTAGGACTTTTACTGCCATTTTGTTGATTGTTTTTTGTATTGTAATTTTTCTCTTCCTTTCTTACTGTCTTCCTTTGTGGTTATTTTCTCTGATAGTACTTTTTAATTCGTTGCTTTTTATTTTTAGTGAATCTGTTACAGGTTTTTGCATTGTCATTACTATGAGGCTTACAAAGCCATCTTATAACAAGTAATTTAAAGGGTGACATTTTAAGTGACATAGAAAAGAATAGAAACAAAGGAAAATGAAAAAAAATCTTCTACACTTTAACTGTGTCCCTCATATTTTGGCTTTTAGTTGTCTCAGTTCACATATTTTTATATTACCTATCTCTTACTATGTTGCTGTAGCTATAATTTTTTTTGTTTTTCTTTTTTTAAACAATTGTTTTAAATAGATTTGTCTTCTGGACATAGCTAGAGTTATGGGTGGATTGCACACCACAATTATGGTGTGAGTATTCTGGGTTTGTCTATGTACTTAATTGTACCAGTGCGTTTTAGACCTTCAACTATTTTTTTTTAATTTTAGCACATTAGTCTTTATTCTTTCAGATTAAATAATTTTTCTTAGCATTTCTTGTAAGACAGGCCTGGTGGTGGTAAACTCTCTCAACTTTTGTTTATCTGGGAAAAACTTTGTTTCTTATTATTTGAAGGATAACTTTACTGGATTTGGTATTCTTGGATGATAGGTTTCCTTTCTTCCTCCCTGCCTCCCTCCCTTCCCTTTTTCCTTTCTGCTCCTCTTTATTCCGATCCTCTCCACTCCTCTCCTCCCCTCCCCTTTCCTCCCAACCCTTCTCCTTCCCTCTCCTTTCCCTTTCTGTTCTTTCCTTTCTTTCTCTCTCTCTCTTTCTCTTGTTATTCCACTCCCTCCTGGCTTGTATTGTTTTTCAATGAAAAGTCTGTTGCCAGATGAATTGGAACTCCTTTGTATATCATTTTCTTCTTTTTTCTTGCTGCATTTAGGATCCTCTCTTTGTCCTTGACCTTTGAGAGTTTGATTAGTGTATGTCTTGGGGTAGTCTTATTTGGGTCAAATCTGTTTGTTCTCTGACCTTCCTGTAGCTGGTTATTTACATCTTTCTCAAGTTTTGGAAAGTTTTTTATTATTTTTTTGAATAAGCTTTCTATACCTTACTTTTGCTCAGCTCCCTCTTGAACACAATAATTCTTAGAGTTAGTCTTTTGAGGTAATTTTCTTTATCTTGTAGGAGATCTTTATTGCTTTTCACTCTTTTCTTTTTTCTCTTCTGTGTACTTAAAAAATAGGCTGTCTTTGACTTGGCTGATTCTTTCTTCTCCTTGATCCATTCTGATGTTGAGAGCCTTTAATGAATTTTTCAGGTCAGCAGATGTATTTCTCAGTTCCAAAATTTGTTTGATTTAAACAAAATTATTTCAATTTTCTGGTTAAAATTTTCTGATAAATTTCTGAATTTCTTTTCTGTGTTATCTTGGAGATCACTGAGTTTCCTTAAAACTACTATTTTGAATTCTTGGTTAAAAAGTTCACATATTAGGCCGGGCGCGGTGGCTCACGCCTGTAATCCCAGCACTTTGGGAGGCTGAGGCGGGCGGATCACAAGGTCAGGAGATCGAGACCATCCCGGCTAAAACGGTGAAACCCCGTCTCTACTAAAAAATACAAAAAATTAGCCGGGCGTAGTGGCGGGCGCCTGTAGTCCCAGCTACTTGGGAGGCTGAGGCAGGAGAATGGCATGAACCCGGGAGGCGGAGCTTGCAGTGAGCCGAGATCCCGCCACTGCACTCCAGCCTGGGCGACAGAGCGAGACTCCGCCTCAGAAAAAAAAAAAAGTTCACATATTGCCATCTTGTTAGGGTTGCTTGTTGGTTTCTTGCTTCGTCCATTTGGGGATCATGGTTCCCTGCTTGCTCTTGTTTCTTGTGGATGTATGTCAGTGTCTTTGCATTGAAAGATTAGTTATTTATTCTGTTCTTCTCTGTCTGGCTTGTTTTGGTTTCTATTGGATGTATTTGGTTAGAGGTTATTTACTGCTAGGTTACTGCCTCCTTTTTGGCTATAGGTGATGCCTTAAGCTTAGGTTCACCTTGGCTCTAGTAAATTATCAAAATGCTGCCCTTCCCAAAGGGGCAGTTCCCAACAGGGATATCTTGGCACTGTGGGAAGGCTGACTGTGGAGGTTCATGCCCAGTGGACCTGTGGGACAAACCTACTGTATGGTGCTACTGAATAGCTACTGTGATTTGGCATCTCCTTTGGTAGAATTACAAAGGAGGGCTCTCCTTTCCAGGGCTAGGGATTGTAGTCCTGCTTCCCCTCTTAGTCTCTATCTACCTCATGGATATTTCTCCCTTCAGGTACTTGTGATGCTTTCTGTGGGTTAAGGAAGGGACAAATCTCCTCCTAGGGAACCCAAGATAGTGGGCAATCTGGTTCCACTTTGGTCTTACTTTTCCAGTGTAGAAACAGTGAGTTGGAGGGAAATTTTCCTTGCAGTTGGTGCTCGGCAAAATGGGGGGAGGGGCATAGTAGATGTGGAAGTCTGATTCTCTGTCTGCTGGGAGTTTTTTTTACTTCTCTGTGGCCCTGGGAATGATCTCTCCTTATATTTGAGTTCTAGCTTATTTCTGGCCGTAATCTCATTGCTGTACATTTGTTTTTCTTTTTCTATGGGGGGAGTCAAACCAGCTTGCTTCTGCATCATCATTTTGGAGCTGGAAGCCAACCTATATGGCTTGAGTTTAATTGCTGTAATAATCATGTTGAAAAATATTTCCTACACTATATGATTTAGCATTGGAGCAAAAACTTAGTGTTTGCAGAAAGGCACTCAGAGCAGGATGCAAATTTAACAAGAATAAAGCAAATATTCATCATTGGAAGGATGACCACAGTTGTACTTCGTTGCAAAACAAAAACCGAGTGCTTTATGGGATTAAGAAGAGGAGCTATTATATGAGCAAATGAAAGAGTGATACATTTTATACCCAAGATATGTACAAACACTTTCCATATCACAAGCTGAGCAATATAATTTCAGGGAGGAGAAATTGCCAAATCCTGTGGAATAGATGATTGGTGTGACCAGTTCAGGACCATACAGAACTGTTGTTAAGGCATTGTCTCATAGCTTTAATTGCCTCCTTCCTTTATAAATGAAATCAGTGAATTTGATCATCTTTTTATGTGTTTATTCACTTTTTACAAAAGATAGACATTTGATTTTTCTGTTTTAGTCTGTTACCAGATTTTTTTTTTTTTTTTTTTTTTCCGAGACGGAGTTTCGCTCTATCGCCCAGGCTGGAGTGCAGTGGCAGAATCTTGACTCACTGCAACTTCCACCTCCTGGGTTCAAGCCATTCTCCTGCCTCAGCCTCCCAAGTAGCTGGGACTACAGGTGTGTGCCACCATGCTCGGCTAATTTTTGTATTTTTAGTAGAGATGGGGTTTTGCCATGTTGGCCAGGCTGGTCTTGAACTCCTGACTTCAGGTGATCCATCTGCCTCGGCCTCCCAAAGTGCTGGGATTGCAAATGTGAGTCACTGTGACCAGCCTGTTACTACATTTTCTTATGTCAAACCATCCTGCATTCCTGGGAAAGCAACTTGCTGTTTACTTTTTAAATTCATGGTTATCTCGTGGACGTCTTTTCAGTTTAGTGTATACAGGTCTTCCTTATTTTTTTAAATGGCTGCATTATTTTCCTATTGTATAAATATACTATAATTGTTTAAATAGTTACCTTGTGGATATGCATGATTTCCAGTTTTTGCTATTAAAAATAATGTACCAATGACTGTCTTTCCACATACACCTTACATACTCAGGCTAGCATTTCTGCAGAATAAATTTCTAGAAATTTATTTATTATGTGCATTTCATTGTCTGCTAACATGAAAGAAAGTTAATTTTTAAGACATATTTGCTTGGTTTGAAAATGTCAAATATTGTTCGAAAATATACCAGTGGTTGTCTTTGGGGTGATTGGCTTATGCCTGAGTTTGCTTATTATTATTATTTTTTTAACTTCAATACAAAAGATAGAACTTATTTTAGAAAACTAAATGCTTGTGAAAGCAAATGCTGCTTTAGAAGTTCCGTGATTGTGAGCAATTTTACATGCCCAATGATACATCTAGCATAATGCAAAACACATGACAAATCGAAAAGATATTTGTAGAAGTAAGTTGATTGATTTACTGAGTGAAACAGAGAGATAATTTTTACCAATTCTTTTTCAGGGTTTTTTGATTAACTCAAAACCAGAGAATGCCTGTGAACCCATAGTGCCTCCACCAGTAAAAGACAATTCATCTGGCACTTTCATCGTGTTAATTAGAAGACTTGATTGTAATTTTGATATAAAGGTATGATTATCTTTTTTCATTTTTTGTTTCCTATTTGTTCAGTTAGCTAATTTAAATCATTTACATCCTCCCTTGTTTCAGAAAACATTTAAAATTTAAAATCCAGTAAGATTGAAAATAAACTGGATTCATAGAATAGAAATAATGTTTACTGGTTCTAAGAATTTTCAGGCATTTGTTGGACATCTTGAACTGTGGTTTAACAGTGGAATGTTACTTGATCTCATCTAGGAATGAAAACTTAACTTCAGCCTTTAGTTTTATGCTTTTACCCTTCCAGTATCAATCTCAAACCTACATCTATACCTGTGTCTACATTGTCATTGAGGTTTCTCTTTTGTAATAAGTTAAATCTGCCCCTGTGTAAAGTTTTTTCTCTCTGACATGGGTTAAGCTAGCATTTCAGATAGTAAAACAAGGTTTACCCACCTCCGTCACCATATATCACCAGTGCTGCTCTAGGTGTATGGTTTTTTAAAGTCTGTTTTGGGATTGGCATTGGCAAAGGAGCCACATTGAGGCCTATGTAAAATAAACCTTGATGTAACTGTTACTGGACTACCTCAGAGCTGAGTGTCATATAGTGTCTTGCATGTATCTCCCAGAATAGGACATGGGCTATTATTTCATGTCACTTGGTCTTAGATAATTTGTCCGTTCAGCAAGAAAAACCGCCCTGTCATGCTGTGCATGAATTTTCTCTGCAATTTTGATTGCATGGAAGAAATGATACCTCCATAGTAAACTTATGAGAGGAATAAAATAATATAAAGGGATTTGAAAATGTATAGTACTGTATAAATGATAGTTATTGTTACTACTTTATGTTAGTTCCAAATATAGACTCTCAATTGCCTTTAAATGGGAATAAATTAGAGCTTGAAGTCAAAGTAGTAGACTTCCTGCTCCTCAGAGTTGTTTATGATAGTTTAAATTTAACTGTTTTATCCAGAACTAAACTATAATAATTACAGGTTGCTTCAGTTAAAATTAAATGTTATTGTAATGTTTCATTAATTTCTTGCTGCTAAGAAATTAAAAGTAAACTAATTCTATTGATCCCAAGGTTTACTACACTATTATGCTATGTAATTTCTGGACTCGGTACAGTCTGATAATTAGAAACTAGAATACTTTTTTGCTGTTGTTATAACTTTCCTTTATAGGCAGGGATGGCAGATGGTACACTTTGAAAATTAGGGAAATACTGTTATTGAATATCTGTTTTTGAAGATGAAACCACAGCTCAGGAATGAATACAGTAGGCTTGTTAGCCTTCTTGTCCCTTTAGTGGATCCTCATCATGAGTCTGAGTACTTCTAAAGGAGTTTAATGATTTAGTCATTACTCCAGCTCATCTCTTTTCACTGCTTGCCTTGAATTTTATGTTGCAGCCATACTGCCTACCTGAACTCTCTCAACTGGCTGTGCCATGCTGATCATACATTTGTGCCTTTACATGTACTATTTTCTCTGTCCAAGATCTCTGTCTCCAGTGATCTTTACCACCCATTTATCTGTCTCATCGGTTACATGCTAGCTGAGGATGTTACCTCCTCAGGGAGCCTTACTTTTCTTTCTACTTCCTCTGTTGCAGTGCAGACCATTCCAGCTCAATGTGCCACCCTTCCACTTTGTAAATACTTCCTTCATTGCTTTTTATCACATTGTTGTTACTTTTTATTGAATATATATATCTCACTTATTTGTGAATTGATGGTGTTTAGAATTCATGTTTTAGTCATATTTATGTATCCAATTTGTATTATAGTGTGTGGTAATCAATAAAGACTTATTAAATGAAGCTGTGTAATAGTCTTTTGCTTATGTGTCTAATATATTCTTGAAAAACATGTACATATGAAAAACATGGAAGAAGTTTTCAGTTGAGCCATTCTAATGTTAGACAGGGAAATGTTAAAAAAATTCTCATTGTACTTTACCATGTAGGCACAGTTTTTATGAATAAGGGTCTAGTCTGTTGTACATGTTCTTTAACTTGGTTATTTTTTCCTCCATAAATACACAGTGGAGTGTATTCTGGCCATTTAAGGCTAAAGATTCCTTACTTATGTCATTCCTAATGATTTCTGTCTTTGTCAGAGTTGTATAAATTTCTGGAACATCAGTTTATAGGGGAGACACAATGATTATAATCAAGGTCTGGAAACAGACTGTATACATTTCAATCTCATCTTTATTATTTACTAGCAGTATGATCTTGGACAAGTTATTTTACCTCTGTGTGCCTCAATTTCCTTATCTGTAAAATAAGAATTATAATGTTCCCTATATGATAGGATTGTTGGGAGGATCAAATGAACTAATCAATGTTAAATGCCTACCAAACAGCACCTTGCACACAGGAAGGAGGCAAGTGGGTCTTAGCTGTTGATGTTTTATGCTTTTTACCATTAGAATTAAATAGAATAAGGGTAAAGATGGCAAAATTCCTGACTTTTCAGAAATTAAATTGTCTGGTAAGTCACATGTGATATAGCAACTCAGTGTCAGCTGATGTAAAATTTCTGACTTGGCTTATAAAGACAGTTTAGTCATGCCATTGTGGAAAGTATGTTTCATAAATTTGTAATAGTAAGAATTATGGATCACCTATCAAGGTAGTGTGACTGGGTAAGGATAAAGTCATTATGGGTACTGGGAAAACAACTGGAATCGCACCCTAAAGAAGATTTCCTTTCTAGAGTGGTTACTGATGGATAAGCTGTTAGCCTTATTAGCTGTAATTTTCATATCAGAAATCTCTGACTGCATTTAATGAGCTTCCAAAATGGTTATATACAGTTTTATATTAAGTGTGTTGTGGAATTCAGTCATCAGTGTTAATATATATCTCTTATAGATAATCAGTAGTGGTTCATTCATGTATATCCACAATTTTGTATGATGCATTGACTTAAGATAGTTAGAAAAATGATATATTTCCTTATTTATTACATAGCTTACTAGGACTGAGTACTGAGGAAAACTTAATTCAACTCCATACATAATACTACAATTGATGGTAGTGCAGGGTTATATTTTGGCATGCCTCTTATCCAAAGTGACATACAAATTATCTCAGACAAAGGAGAATTGGCTCTATCTTTTAAAATTTTCCTTGGAGAAAGGAACTCTTTGTTGTAGACCACAAAGAGAAAAGAAACAAGGAATAAAAATTTATCGAGTTATTCCAGATGATTAATGTTGGTGAGTATTTCAGGATTTTTACAACTCTTTTAGTTTTGTTTTAAACAGATTAAAGAAACCTACACTTTTCTTACTTCTTTAAAAGGAAATGAATAAGTGGAATGTATGTTATAATTTTTAAAATGGCATATTTTCTTCATACAAACCATCCCAAGTGATTTGTGACTCAAAGATAGCCACGAAGGCAGCAGAAATGCAATTAACAATTCCTGGAGGAAAGGGAATTGCTTTCCAAATAAAGAGAGCCATTGTTTAATTTTTTATCTTCTGTTGAGAGAAGCACATATGAACCTTTTAATCTGTCTTACCTTGAGGAGATGCAGCAAAACCCATGCTCAGAATGAATGTTTGAATATGTAGAATATCCAAAAAGCCAGTAAGAAGAACTATTGATTACATGTCAGGTACTTATTCTAAAAGTAATCACTTACACTGTTTTACAAAAACTGTATCCTCTGAAAAATACAGCTCTTTAGAGGAAAAGCGAAACAGTGCTATTTTGTCTTTGTATGATGCTGTTCTTTACTGTGACAAAAATTGACTTTGAAGCATTTTGAGGGAGATATTTCTCAAAAGGCTTGAATTGGCATCCCAGTGAGAAATACGACTTTAAAAAAAATCTGTAAAAATACCTAGTAATTGAAAGGCCATTAAAATAATCACTTAACATTGAACTTTCAGAGCTATACAATTTTCTGTGTATATAACTGAATAAAGACAAGTTATAAAAAAATCTGTCCATTGTCATTTCAGTACCAGATGCTTTCATTACTTGGGTATAATGGTAAGTCACCAATTTCTTTGAGTAGCCAATTTACTGTATTTTAGCTGGACTTTAGCAAAGGCTGGTAAACAGAAATGGTGCAACATATGCACTTTATTCAGCAGTGTGTGCTGAATCTTATTCTATCTTATGTGTGAATGAGTATTTTTGAAAAATGCAGCTGCAAAGCCATCTAGGCCAGTTACCAAGACTGAAAGGACTTAGATATTATTCTCCCTTCCCACACCCCCTTTTTTGTGGGCATGAATGGAGGTACATTTGGATTGTAGATGATAAGGAATATGTTGGGTCTCTTCAGAGCTATTTTCTGCTGTAATGTGGCTTTTATAAAACTTAACTGGGATACAGATACAAAACTTAACTGGGATACTTTACCTGACTTCTGCCTCTCTCTCAAGTCTCATCTCTACTTTGCCACTCCTCCCACCTCGTAAGAATTTACAAGTCCCCATATGTGCTGAGCAGTCTCTCCCACTCTGTCTTAGTTTCTGTCATGTCCTCCATCTGGCATGTCCTCCTTCTACTTGTCTGTCTGGCCAATCTGACTTTATTTTAAATCTGAGATAAACTGTGTCCTGTCTGAAACCTTCCCTGATTTTCTTCAAGGTAGAAGTCATCATATCTTTTTTTTTTTTTTTTTTTTTTTTGAGATGGAGTTTTGCTCTTGTTGCCCAGGCTGGAGTGCAGTAGCACGGTCTTGGCTCACTGCAACCTCTGCCTCCCGGGTTCAAGCAATTCTCTTGCCTCAGCCTCCTGAGTAGCTGGGATTACAGGTGCGTGCCACCACGCCCCACTAATTTTTTGTGTTTTTAGTAGAGATGGTATTTCATCATGTTGGCCAGGCTAGTCTTGAACTCCTGGCCTCAGGTGATCCACCCGCCTCGGCCTCTCAAAGTGCAGGGATTACAGGCGTGAGCCACCACACCCGGCCCGTATCTTTTATATACTATTTAATCCCACATCAGTCTCTGTTTCTCTCTGTGAGAGAAAAATATCATGTTTTAGATTCTGTAGTGCTAGTGCCTAATGCATTATATGGCATTGGTAGATGAATAATAAATATTTGCAAAGTGATTTACTTTAAAAACCTTAAGGGCTTATAATAAAATGTGAATAGATTAGAGCCTAAACAGTATCACTGGAACTTTCCATTTGCTTCATGTTCATTTCACTTAATGCTTTTGGCATTATTTCTAAGCCTAGATATTTATTTATCCCACAGATATTTTTCTCTAGTTCTCAATGTTTATAGAATTTTTTTAAATTACCATAAACATTTTTGGGATTATTTGATCATATCATAATAACTCTTTTTCTTTCTGTCTTTTTTTTTTTTTTTTTTTTGGTGATTTTTTTGTTATCTCAGAAAGTAGCCCTCTAGTTTTCCTTTCTAGACTTACCTTTCATTACATTATCCCCTTTCAGGCCTTCAGTCAAACACATTACTTGTCCCCAGAACATACTCTGCACTACTATTTCAGTAGTAGTAAGCAAGTAGATACGACCTTAAGTAGAAATTAAACTCTGCAAATTACCTGAAAGTCATTTAATATCATTTAATTTTTCATAATGTATATATTTCTATAAAGTGATGTATAACATTTGTTATTAATCTACTTCAGAATCATGTTTAAAAGATTCCACTAAAGGAGCATATTCAAGGATATTCGATGGATGGAAACAGTTCTATCCATATATAGTTCAATCAAACAGCTTTGTGCTGCTAATTCATTCATTCATTTGTTCATTCATTTCTTCCACCCTTTAATTGGTAAATATACTTGCATTTTCATGATTAGGTTTCTTTATACACAAATTTATTCAATATTAAAATAACAAAGCAAAATTCCCTTCTTTTACCAGGAAGGTAATCTTTCATGAAAGAAAAAAGCTGAAAAATATTAATTTACATGTGCTTTATTCTAATCTAATGAAGCAGTGTAATGCCAGTAACTTTATTTATGTATCTATTCCCCAAACATTCTTTTGCTTCAGAATTTTTACATAGGTATCCTTTAATCACAGACATCAGAATGCTAGACCATATACTTTTCAAGAGACTTACTGCTTTATTTTGGACTCAAGCAATAAAATGTATTAAAATCAAGATATTCAGATTACTCAGATATACTATAAATGAACGATGTCTAGGTAAGGAGGAAAGATGGGATCGAAAGAAAGAGAGAAAGATAGTTTTTATCACTGAACTATAATATTAATGAGAGTTAAAATGTCATAAGAGCCTGATACTCTCTTCTGAGGAGTAGCTCTTCTCAACATGGCCTGCAGTAGTCCTAAAATAATGTGCAGGAAAGAACAATGTTGAAATGGAATGTAATATTGGCAGGATTGCTTGCTATAATTCTGGATCTTATTTCAATAATTGATTATTCGATACTGCAAAGTTCCCAGGAATTTTTATCCAATAGATAAAATTAATGATTTACATTCACAATCTGAATCCTCAGATCTATTGCTCCATTCTCATCTGCATTGTTTTGATCACTTGAGAAAGAGATTCTACTTCTTAATTTCTTCTTATTTCTTTGGACTCAAAAAGATGATCATAGCTAGGTTTTGAGAATTATCTCTATTCTCTATGTCTCTCATTAATTTATTTCATTTTCTTCCCTTATAGAATAAGTACTTTTTCTCCTCTATTAGACATCTGGGTGGGGAGAAAGGGTATTTTGTGTCCAGGCTGATGGTTAATTTACTGTTCCTTTGTGGCTATGCTGAAGGAAGAGAAAATCAGTTCTCCAGAGAACTTTTCCATTTTGCACTTGGAAAGGTTTAGAAGCAGAGTTAGAGTGTGTTTTCTTTAGGGAATCTTTAGAAGGTAGACATTAAAGTGAAGGTCTAGTTGTGTCACATTTCTAGAACTGCAAAAACCCAATTTATAACTAGAAGTTTGAAGAGGCCAGGCTCCAGAACCATCCAGTATCTGTATTATGCTATTTTCTTTTTCGTTTTGACTTTTCACCTTTTTGTGTTTTGAAAGATGGAAGACACAGTAAAAGTATCTATAATGTGTATATGTGCAATTTAAATAATAGTAAAATGAATTTCTGTGTACTCAATACTTAGTTTAAGAGAGACCTGTTACTTTCTAATGTATCACTTTAATCAGACTTCATTAAAGACCTTGTTATCAGGTAATTTTTTTTTTTTTTTTTTGAGACAGGGTCTTATACTGTTGCCTGGGCTGGAGTGCAGTGGCATGAACATGGCTCACTGCAGCCTTGACCTCCTGGGGCTCAGGCGATCCTTCCACCTCAGCCTCCCAAGTAGCTAGGACTATATGCACACTCCACCATGCCTGGCTAATTTGTTTTGTTTTGTTGAGAGGGGGTCTTGTTATGTTGCTCAGACTGGTCTCAAACTCCTGGGCTCAAGTGATCCTTTTACCTTGGCCTTCCAAAGTGCTGAGATTACAGATGTGAACCATTGCATCTGGCCTGGTAATTCTTTATCTTCAAGATTTTATTCCATCTACAGATTATATTAAATGAGCTGATCTTCATAATGAGAAAGCTCTATATTTGCACTAATTTTACATTGATTTCAAATGTTTTAAATAAAGTGATGTTAAGTATACCATAAAGTGACTGCTCATTAAAGTTACTCATTTTTTATCTTGTGTTTATAATAGCTTGCAAAGGGAAAGTCTCTTTGTAAGGCCAGAACAAATTCTAGCAATACTGTGTATTTTCTAATTCTTTCTTTTTGCTACATTATACTGTTTTCATTACCTCTAGCCTGATCCTAACCTAAAAAACCCATGGATATGTCTTTTCTAATTTCAGATTCTTGGGAGTAGAGCTTATGTTTTATGCAGTTCTGTGTACTGAGCTTTTAGTACAGTGCCTACAATACCAGAAACAATTAACAGGCAGTAATGGAGGAGTATACTCAGAGATCTGTCGCTGGGTGGCGCTGAACATCAAAATTCTTACTGTAATTGCTCCATCACAGTTACTTTTCAAGTGCAATGGAAGTTCCTGTGTTACTTGTGAAATTCCTAGTAAGCTGATTTTAAGTACAGAAAGTTATCCTCTTGTTGCACAGAAAGTTATTCTAAAGCCTTTATTTTCAGTGGTGGGTGGGCTGAAATGGGGCCTCTGCTATGTTAGGATGAGAAATCATTAAGATTTGATTGGAATATGAATCCTATCAGTGTCTAAAAAATATGAACTTAGATCAGATCCTTTATTTTAAATATCTACTTTAATATACATAGGTAACTAGAGAATATTTATGAATAGCTTTTTTAGATTTAAATTGCAATTCTGACAAATATTTAGGCAGCTTTTAACTAGTATAGTTTATTTTAACTGGTGTGGTTCATTACAAAGTAAAGATTTTTTTAAAGCAGTTTTAACTTAAGCATAACTTACAAGTTTTAACTTATAGCAAGCATAACTACACATAAAGGTTATTCAGATTTTCTTAATGTCACTGGGAAAAAAAGACGAATGTAATTTAACTTTTAAATTAATTTTAATTTTATGTTATTCATTTTATTATCTTTAGTACTAATCATGTTCCAGCTACAGTATTAAGCTTCATAATACTGGAAATAGCCACATTCAAAGACCTATAAGCTAATGACTTTGATTTTTTGATGGGATGTTGCAGAACATGATTGTTGCAACATGGAACAATCATGTTGAAAGGCATCAATCTTTTTTCTGATTGCCAACAACCTATGGAATATTAAAAACTATCTATATGAGTGAGTTTCAAACTTTTTTGACTGCAACCCACCCACAGTAAGAAGTTTATTTTTACTTGTTCCCTAGTTTGTATACAGCACACAGTCTGACAATAAAATTTCATGGAATAGTACTTACCTACACTACCTATACGATAATAACTTGGTATATGAAATTTCTTTTTATTAAAAAATAAAATTCACTTGGGTTCACTAAATGACTTTACTGCCTGGTAATGGATCATGACCTATAGTTTGAAAAATGCAGATTTAGGCCAATCTTTTCTGTGTAGCAGTGAAAACTGGCAGGGACACTAAGAAGTATGCTTTTTGCCTAAGCACTTCTAAGTTCAAAAATTGCTTTTTATTTGTAATTTTAGTAGTAAATTGTGTCTCCCAGTATTTAAAATTGCTTGTCCATATGCCATAGATTGACTTTAAAATGATGCCATTGGAAAAAATAACAAAAGATCTTTGTTTTTTTTTGAGATAGAGTCTTGCTCTGTTGCCCAGGCTGGAATACAGTGGCTTGCTCGCAGCTCACTGCAACCTCCACCTTCCAGGTTCAAATGATTCTCCTGCCCTAGCCTCCTGAGTAGCTGATATTACAGGCACCCACCACCAGGCCTGGCTAATTTTCATATTTTTAGTAGAGATGGGGTTTCACCACGTTGTCCAGGCTGGCCTCGAACCCCTGACCTCAAGTGATCCACCCACCTCGGCCTTCCAAAGTGTTGGGATTACAGGTGTGAGCTACTGCACCCGGCCAACATAAGATCTTTAATAATTTAAGTTCCAAGCGTTTTGGCTTCTGTTTTTTGGTATACTGTACTTGAAACAAATAAGTATGGCTTTTTGTATAACACAAGATTTTACTAGCCCTACCAAAAATGTTTTCTAATGAAATAAATAAATTCAGCTTACCTCTAAGCTTAACATGTACAGTGGTAATATGCCACTTAGCAAAAGGTCAACTTTCCCAGAACATAGCCTCAGAGAAGAGAAGGAAACATGCCTTTGTACCACCATTATGAATGTTGCTAAGCTTCAGCGTTAAAACCATGTACTTTTCCTGGCAGTTTTTCTCAGAATTCTTATGCACTTAATTTTTTTTAAAGAATAGAATTCTTATCGGGTTTAGTTCTTTTTTTTTCTCTGCCACAGAGAAGGATATACAGATGGAGGAAGTCCAGAATAACTATTAGTAGAGTACCAGTGGTAAGCACAGAGAGAGGAAGTAACATATGACACTTAACATTAAGGAGAAAAACTATAGTCTGTTGAAGCATGTTCATGATGATCTCGAGTAACTGGAAAAGGTCAAGTCACATTTGGTGAAAAGGTGGGGAAAATGCAACATATCACAAAAATTTTTATCCAAAATGACTAAAGTAAAATTTCCTGTGTGCTTTCGTGGAGGGTGGGTGGGGGAGGGGGTAGGAAGGAACTAACCAACAGATACGAGGAAATTTTATTTTTTTGACTTATATATTGCTGGATAGGGCTGGATAATCAGTTACCTTAGTTGCAGTTTACTTTAAACAACTATTTATATGAGAGATATTTTTCTAGGCTTGAGATATACATAAACAAAAAAGATTGTTCTTAAGGAACATTAAAGCCTGGTACTTAAAATGCTCTAAATGTTATTTTGTCAGATCTCTGTTTTTCAAGGTGAAAACAGGCTTAGTTTTCTAGTAATTAATGTTTATACCAAGAAGCATGAAAACAGATCTTTTGTTAATTTTTAAAGTAATACTCTGAAACATGAATTTTCACAAATTTTGCTTACTAGTATTGTGCTATGCACTTACCTTTACTAAGTGCAGGATGATTTTGTTTTTATTTTCAATTTGAGACCATGATGAAATTAGTCCATATTTATATCATGTTTTTAATGAGCCATGGTAGTTGAAAATTAATCTATTTAAAGTTAAGTATGTGAAGCTGGCCTGATTAAAATGTATCAGGTTGTCACAGTACTCAGCTGGATATTTAAAAAATAATGCCCTCAAGACAAAAGCTTGTGGTTCATGTTACAACAAAGATGAAAATACAGGTATACTTCTGAAGTTAATCCATTGTTAGTAACTACCAAGTGTTTTTTCTTAAACAGTTTTAAAATAAGCCCCATATTTTATGTCTTATACATTCTCTCTCTGTACAACAGCAGCATTCTCCTACATGTAGTTACCACACTTAAGAAATTTAATATTGATAAATATTATCTAATAATATAAACTACATGTTTAAATTTCCTAATTGTGTCCAAAATATCTCTTATAGTTGTTTTCTTTTTAACCATTTCAGGATCCAATCATGAATCCCAGACTAAACATATTCAGCTTAGTTGTCATGTCTCCTTTAATCTACAACAGCTCTTGATTCTTTTTTTCCTACTTTGTGCATTTCTGTGTTTCAGTTTAATAATTTCTATTCCTTTGTCTTCACATTTACTGATCCTTTATTCTACAATGTCTATAATCTTTTAAGCCCACCTAGTGAACTTTTCATATTGTATCTCTTTTATCTAGGAGTTTCACTTGGATCTTTAAAATGTGTGTGTATGTGTGTGTGTATGTATCATCCATTTCTCTGAGCCTTATGTTTATATTCTCCTTCAAATCCTTGAACGTAATTTATAATTTTATGTCTTTATATTACATGTAAATGTATTCTTATAATAATAAATTATAATTTATAGCTGTTTTAAAATCCTTGTCTGCTATTCATAATTCCGTATCCATGTAATTTCTGGGTCTGTTTCTGTTGAATGGTTTTTCTCATGGTTATGGGTCACATTTTCTTGCTTCTTGGCGTGTCTACCTTTTTTTTTTTCAACTTTCATTTTTTAAGTTCTGGGGTACATGTACAGGATGTGCAGGTTTGGTACATAGGTAAACGTGTGCCATGGTGGTTTGCTGCACGGATCAACCCATCACCCAAGAATTAAGCCCAGCATCCATTAGCTATTCTTCTGATGCTCTCTCTCCCCCGACCCTCCCTGAGAAGTACCAGTGTATGTTCTCCACCCTGTGTCCATGTGTTCTCATTGTTTAGCTCCCACTTATAAGTGAGAACACGTGGTGTTTGGTTTTCTGTTTCTGCGTTAGTTTGCCAAGGATAACGGCATCCAGCTCCATTCATGTCCCTGAGAAGGACATGATCTCGTTCCTTTTTATGGCTGCATAGTATTCCATGGTGTATATGTACCACATTTGCTTTATCTAGTCTATGATTGATGGGCATTTGGGTCAATTCCGTATCTTTGTTGTGAATAGTGCATGTCTAGTAACTTTTGATTAGATGTTGGACATAGTGTTGTATTGTCATATGTCTTGGTCTTTAAAGACCTTTTAATTTTGTTGTGGCTGGCAGTAAGTTACTTGCAGATGAGCTTGGTTATTTTCAGGCTTGTTTTTAAAGTTTGTTAAGTTGATGAAGAGTTGCCTTTACTGTAGCACTACTATTTTAGCTGTACTAATAAGGTATAACCCTTCTAGGGTGTCCTCTGAATGATCTAGTATTCAAGGAAGTCTCCCCTCTCTGGCTGGTCAGAGCTTGAACTCTTCCTGATCCTGTCTGAATTCTGGAAATTGTTAATCTTTTTTCCAGTAATTGTTTTTTTTTCCCTAGTGAGCTTGTTTGTCCAGGCTTATAAGGTCTCACTGTATGCATGCATATGCCATTCTTATATTTAGCCAAAGACCTAAAGGGAACCCATCTACATTTTTTTTTAGTTTTTTATTTAAAATTTTTGTGGGTACATAGTAGGTGTATGTATTTATAGGATACATGACATTTTTTGATACAAACATGTAATGTATAATAATCACATCATAGAAAATGGAGTATCTATGACCTCGAGCATTTATCCTTTGTGTTACATACAATTCAGTTTTACTTTTTAGTTCCTTTAGAATGTACAATTAAATTATTAACTATAGTAACCCTGTTGTGCTATCAAGTACTAGGTCTTATTTATTCTGTGTGTGTGTGTGTGGTTTTTTTTTTGTACCCATTAACCATCCCCATCTCCCCCCACTACACTACTCTCTTATCTCCATGAGTTCAATTGTTTTGATTTTTAGATCCCACAAATAAGTGAAAACATGTGATGTTTGTCTTTCTGTGCCTGGCTCATTTCACTTAACATAGTGGCTTTCAGTTTCATTCATGTTGCAAATGACAGGATCTCATTTTTTCTAATGGCTGAATAGTACTCCATTGTGTCTAAGTACCACATTTTCTTTATTCATTCACCTGTGGATGGACACTTAGGTTGTTTCCAAGTCTTGGCTATTGTGAACAGTGCTGCAACAAACATGGGAGCTTGGGTATCTCTTTCATATAGTGATTTTCTTTCTTTGGGGAATATACCCAGCACTGAGGTTGCTGGATCATATGGCAGCTCTATTTTTAGTTTTTTTGAGGAATCTCCAAGCCGTTCTCCCTAGTGATTGTGCTAATTTACATTCCTACCAACAGTGTACAGGGTTCCCTTTTCTCCACATACTCTCCAGCATTTCTTGTTGCCTGTTTTTTTTGGATAAAAGCATTTCAACTGGGGTGAGATGATATCTCATTGTAGTTTTGACTTGCATTTATCTGATGATCAGTGATGTTGAGCACATTTTTATTTGCCTATTTCCCATTTGTATGTCTTCTTTTGAGAAATGTCTATTCAAATCTTTTGCCCATTTATTAATTGGATTATCAGACTTTTTTCCTATAGCATTGTTTGAACTCCTTATATATTCTGGTTATTGATTCCTTTTCAGATGGGTAGTTTGCAGATATTTTCTCCTAATCTGTAGGTTGTCTCTTTACTTTGTTGATTGTTTCCTTTGCTGCGTGGAAGGCTTTTATCTTGATAGGAGTCCATTTGTCCCTTTTGCTTTGGTTGCCTGTGCTTATGGGGTATTACTCAAGAAATTTTTGCCCAGACAAATGTCCTGGAGATTTTCCCCAATGTTTTCTTGTAGTAATTTCATAATTTGAGATGTTAAATTTAAGTATTTCATCCATTTTGGTTTGATATTTTTATATGGCAAGAAATAGGGGTCTAGTTTCATTCTTCTGGATATGTACCTCCAGTTTTCTCAGCGCCATTCATTGAAGAGACTGTCTTTTCCCCAGTGTATGTTCTTGACATTATTGTCAAAAATGAGTTCACTGTAGGTGTGTGGATTTGTTTCTGTGTTTTCTATTCTGTTCCATTGTTCTGTGTATCTTTTTATGCCAGCATCATGCTGTTTTGGTTACTATAGCTGTGTAGTATAATTTGAAGTCAGGTAATGTGATTCCTTCAGTTTTGTTCTTTTTGCTGAGGATACCTTTGTCTCTTCTTGGTCTTTTGTGGTTTCATATAAATTTTACAATTGTTTTTCTCTATTTCTGTGAAGAATGTCATTGGTTTTGATAGACATTGCATTGAATCTGTAGATTGCTTTGGGTAGTGTGGGCATTTTAACAATATTGATTCTTCCAATCTATGAACATGGATTTTTTTCTCTTAATTTTATTTTGGATTGTTCATTGCTAGTGTATAGAGAAACAGTGGATTTATGTATATTGATCTTGTATCCTGTCACATTGCTAAACTGGTTTATTAGTTTTAGTAGTTTATTTGTGGATTCTTTCATATGATTGATTGATTGATTGATCGAGATATCATTTGCACATACATATAGTTTTACTTCTTCTTTTCCAATCTGGAAGCATTTTATTTCAATTTCTTGCCTAATTTTCCTGGCTAGAACTGCCTGTACAATACTAAATAGAAGGGCCAAGAGTGGAATTCTTGTCTTTCTGATCCTAGAGAGAAGGCATTAAGTCTTTTAACCTGAAGTATGATGTTAGCTGTGATTTCTCATAGATGCTCTTTATCAGGTTGAGTTCACTTCTATTTCTGTTCGTTGAGTACTTTTATCATGAAAGGATATGATTTTTTCAAATGTATAGTGTTAGTAGTATCCAAATAAGTTTTGATATGTTTTGTTTTTGCTTTCATTCATCTCAAAGTATTGTAAAATTTCCTTTGTGATTTTTTGACCCATTGATTAGGAGTGTGTTATTTAATTTTGAAATATTTGTGAATTTCCCAAATTTCCTTCTGATGTTAATCTTTAATTTCATTCCACTATGATCGGAGAATATACTTTGTGTGATTTCAGTACTTTTAAAGTTATCCAGGGACGTTGAAGAGGACAGGAGAAACAGACTTGAATCGCTGACACCACCCTTCTTCATTCCCCGCCCGCTTCCCGGCAGCAACCACGCAATGCAGAGTCTGTGCACTAGGAGTAGCGAGAGCACAGTGACTAGAGGACTTTACATGGAACTCAGTGCTGCCCTGTCACACAGTTCAACAATGATAGTTGGAGACTGCAATGCCCCAATTTCAATAATGAATAGAACAGCTTGTCAGAAAATCAGTAAGGAAACACAAGACTTGAGCAACAGTATAAATCATCTAGACCAAACCGATACCTATAGAATGTTCCATCCAACAACAGATGTTGATCTCCAGGGCTCAGGTGATCCTCCCACCTCAGCCTCCTGAGTAGCTGGGACTACAGGCATGTGCCATCACACCCAGCTTATTTTTAAATTTTTTGTAGAGATGGGGTCTCTTTACATTGCCAGGCTGGTCTTCAGTTCCTGGAATCAAACAATCCTACTGTCTCAGCCTCCCAAAGTGCTGGGATTACAGGCATGAGCCACCATGCCCTGTCTTCTAGAAGTCTTTTTGCAGATTCATTTAAGTAGATGATTATGTGAACTGCAGATAAAGACTGTTTTAGTTTTTCATTTCTTCATCCATATGCACTTTTACACACTCTCTCTTCTCTCCTCTCCCTTTGCCCTACTCCCACCACCTTATTGCATTGGCTAAGAGCTTCAGTACAATGTTGAATAGAAGCAGTAAGAGTGAATATCTTCATTTTGTTGCTGTTACTAAGGAGAAAGCATTCAGTCTTTTACCAGCAAATAGAATGTTAATTGTAAGAGTTTTGTAAGTAACACTATTAACAGAAGATATTTTAAAATAATATGAAGCCAAGTTCATACTTGAACATGAAAGTTGATTGGGAGCAAAAAGAAAAGAAAGACGCTTTAAAGCTACTGAAGACATCATGAGTAAATTGGAATTCAAGAAAATGTAGTCATTCTCTTCCTAGTGAGTAAGCACTTAAAATACACCTTGAGAGAGGTGTATTTTTATATTTATTCCTAAACCATGGTAGATGAATTTTCCCAGTATTTATTACTTTTTTCTACTTCTATTCTTATTAGTTTACTTGTTTTAGTAATAAAATTATGACTTGTCACTGAAATTTTCCTCTACCTCACATATATTTTTATTCTGCACGCATTACTGTTTGACATATTTCAGTATATCCTCTTTTAACTTCCCAATTAAAATAAATGATCTATTTGTACTTATAAAAATGTTGAAATAGTGAACTAAAATTTATGTTATTAAAATTAGAAGAGAGTATATTTGTAAAAGCTACTATTTATCATCAGATATCTTTTGCCCATTATCTGAAGACAGATGTTCTCAGAAACACTGGGCATTTGCAGGAAATGAATGTATGCTGTTGCTGGAATATCCTCTGTCTGTCTGAAGTAGTCCTGCTTTTGGGCTTGCCTTTTCTCTGTTCTTCAAACATTACAAATTACTCTTCGTGCAAAACAGCACTATAATTCAGATAAAAGTTTTAGAACTTGAAATGCAGATTTGTATTTCAAGTAAATAATGTTCTAGTTCTAAGTATGTATCATTTTACATGAATATCCAGACTCCTGTCTAATATAATAACTGGATTCTTTTCAAGGTTATTGTTCACCAGGGAAAGTCACCTCTCTTACATTTTTACCATTCTTGCAGGTGTGTAGCCTGGACATATACACATGTCTGCTTATTTGCAACATCTCTTCCCAGAGAAACAATGAAGTACACTTAACTTCGTTCATATATAGAAGTTAAAGAGGATTGAAGATTATAGGAAATGTAACAATGTGAATAGATTGCATTTTATTAGAAGTTTGTTTTAAACAACAAGGTAGCCAGATTTGTCTTTTTTTGAGATGGAGTCTTGCTCTGTCACCCAGGCCGAAGTCCAGTGGCGCGATCTCAGCTCACTGCAACCTCCGCCTCCTGGGTTCAAGCGATTCTCCTGCCTCAGCCTCCCGAGTAGCTGGGACTACAGGTGTGTGCCACCACGCCCAGCCAATTTTTGTACTTTTAGTAGAGACGGGGTTTCACCATGTTGGCCAGGATGGTCTTTATCTCTTGACCTCATGATCCCCCCGACTCAGCCTCCCAAAGTGCTGGGATTACAGGCGTGAGCCACTGCACCTGGCCCCAGATATTTATTGAATGAATAGATTAATGTGCTGAAAATCTGAATTTGAGTGTGCGTGTGTGTGTGTGTGTGTGTGTGTGTGTGTGTGTCGGAGTCTTGCTCTGTTGCCCAGGCTGGAGTGCAGTGGCGTGATCTCAGCTCACTGCAACCTCCACCTCCTGGATTCAAACGATTCTCCTGCCTCAACCTCCCAAGTAACTAGGACTACAGGCGTGTGCCACCATGCCCAGCTAATTTTTGTATTTTTAGTAGAGACGGGGTTTCACCTTGTTGGCCAGGATGGTCTTTATCTCTTGACCTCGTGATCTGCCCGACTCAGCCTCCCAAAGTGCTGGGATTAAAGGCGTGAGCCACTGCACTTGGCCCCAAATATTTATTGAATGAATAAATAGATTAACTTGCTGAAAATCTGACAATTTTTTTTTTTTTTTTTTTGAGATGGAGTCTCGCTCTGTCGCCCAGGCTGGAGTGTAGTGGTGCGATCTCGGCTCACTGCAACCTCTGACTTCCGGGTTCAAGCAATTCTCCTGCCTCAACCTCCTGAGTAGCTAGGACTACAGGCGTGCACCACTGTGCCCAGCTGATTTTTGTATTTTTAGTAGAGATGGGATTTCACCATGTTGGCCAGACTAGTCCCGAATTTCTTGGCCAGACTGGTCGAACTCCTGACCTCGTGATCTGCCCGCCTCAGCCTCCCAGAGTCCTGGGATTACAGGCATGAGCTATCGCGCCCGGCCTGAACATTTTTGTCTTAAGTTCTAACCTGTTGTGTTCTACCTACCTAGGAAAACTTGCTACCTCTCAAATTTAGTATGTTTAAAGCCAGTCTCTGCTACTTTCCTATCAAAACAAAGTTTCTCAGCTTTCCTATTTTGGCCAAAGGCATTCTCCAAGTTCCCTAAGTTCAAAAATTGGCTATGAAGTATAAGAGATAGTATTCTTTCACGTCATTGCTGTCATCCTGCATTGTCATAAAAGCTTCTAAATCTTCAGTCTCTCCTTTCCAAGTCAATGTAATCATTACCAGATTGTTCCAAAGCAGTGTTTTAGCCATGTCAACCCCTTATTCAAGTGCCTACTGTGAACTCTTGACTGAGGAGACCACAAGTCTACTTTTCTAAAGAGCCTTCAGGGTACTGCACAGTCTGTCCTTTTTTTTCTCTCTCTTCTCACTTCTGACTGTCCAACAATAAACACTAGTAGCAATGGCAATAAACATAACTCTTAGTATGTGCCAGGTAATGTTTAAGCACTGTTTTAAGTGTTTTTCATATATTAAATTATTTAATCCTCAGATTAAACAATAATAAATGTGTATATTGTAATACTAGTAATGTAGACATTAAATCACTTGCATGTCTAATAAAAGTAGGATTTGAGCCCAGGTCGTCTAGTTCCCAGAGTCTGTACTTTTAACTAATCTGCCATTCTGCCTTTCAGTAACACTCTTCTTTAAGTCAAGTCACTATGTTTTTTGTTTTGTTTTGTTTTAAATGTGTCTTTTAAGATACCATTTGCCCTGTTGTAGCTCTCTTCTTCCCATATGAAAAAATATCCCCACCTTTTCCCACTGTTAACCAGAATTTCCTGTTTTTATTGAGGTGTAATTCAAGTCTTATAAAATCTGTCATAGGTATTTCATCCCACAGCCTTTTTCCCTCTAAGTTTCTATCAGCTCTTCACACAATATTTTAACACATTTCTTCTTGGCTTGTGTTGTTTTGTTTATAGGTTTTATTTTGCCCACAAGATTTTAAGATTAATGTTATCTGCATCTTGATGCTTTCTCAGTTCAATTCCTCTTTCTAGACATTTGTAAAATGTTACATAAGGTTAATGATCCTGAGCCTCATCCTGATCCATTGGGCAACCCCATGCTTCTCTATCTAACCTGACAAAGCAGTGTTTAAATCTCAGCTCTGCCTAAGTGTGACCTTAGGGTAGTTACACTTACCTATCTTTCCTCATTTCTAAACTATAGAAAAGAATATCTACATTGTGGAGTTGTATTGAATATTAGAGATAACATGTATAAAGCACTAGCACACAGAGATTTCTTTTTAAAAGGTCTCTATTCATGATCATCTCAAAAGCATAATCATCTCTATTATAAGGCATGTTTTATTAGTGTCAGTATTATAAATTTGTTCAGGCTAGAAATAAGATGAATTATTGTGTTGTTCCCAGGGTTCCTTTTAGAACCTGTCTTATTGAAGACTTTTCTATTAGCAGTCTGCTATCTTCTGACAGACTGGCTATTTATAATAACAAGCCAACAGTTCCATTATTTCTTTAAACCTCTTGGTTAGGTGCCACCTGGTCTATGTAATTTAGTTGCATGTAATTTGTTTATTGGATGTAAAATACTCAGTGCATTTACCACAATTTGGGCTAATAGCTCTGATCAGTCTCCTTAAAAAGGCAGATTGCCAATACAATTTAGAAGGCTTTATAATGTAGTTTTCAGTTTTGGTGGCTGTTTTGGATTTAGATTTGTTCACTGTGCATGCTTTGTTTCATGAATCTTTAAGTTCTTTGCTTCCATCTGACACCATGTGTTTGAGGTTGCATTTTATGAATGGGAAACTTTGCAAATGCTTACTAAATGATTTAACATTTATTTCTGCCTCATGTGTTCTTAAAAATACCAGCTGCTGCTTAGTTGAAAATGTAATTTAATTTGACTGACACATGAGTTTTATAGTTCATAAACATGGATGTATTTTCCTTGTTTGTATTCATAAGCCTGTTAGTCCATATGTTAATGTGTTCTTTGATTTAATTTCATTTCTTTATTTTAAAAATCGATAAAAACAACAACAAAAACCTTGGGAAAGCCTTCATACTTGCTACATTTTTGAAAACATGCATCTATTTTTTGGAGATCACACTTATGCCTACAGAATTTCTTCCCATTTTAGTGGTTTCCTAAGGTTTCTATTTTAGGAGTTTTATTATTATGTTAACAGAGAACAGCTTTTGATATTGATATAATTTTGTAGTGTATTTATAGAAACAAGTGCATTTTGGATGTGTGAAAGACATATTTCTCCTAAGTTGCTTGGTACAGTTTTAAAAGCCTAATGGTTAGATTTAGTTAAACATGGTGGACTGTTATAAATCCATTCATGTATATAGATGATTCTTAATAATTTGAGAGTGAGAAAGCCTCTTGAAAGATTATTACTTTGTCTCCTCTCCAGAAAAGTTTATATGTAGACAACCGCAGATTTAAGGACCCCCTGGAGACCTGTTGGGGAATTGGGATAGTACAGGGGTCCCCAAGCCCCCAGCCGTGGTCCCGTACCTGTTAGGAAATGGGCCGCATGGCAGGAGGTGAGCGGTGGGCCGGCAAGCATTACTGCCTGAGCTCTGCCTCCTGTCAGATCAGTGGTGCATTAGATTCTCGTAGGAGCGTGAACCCTATTGTGAACTGTGCATGCAAGGGACCTAGGTTGCACACTTCTTACGAGAATCTAACTAATGCCTGATGATCTGAGGTGGAACAGTTTCATTCTGAAACTATTCCCCCGGTGGAAAAGTTGTCTTCCACAAAAGTAGTGCCTGGTACCAAAAAGGTTGGGGACCCCTGGGGTATGACATGTATATGTGTAAGTATAAGACACTATATAAGATCTTGAAGAAAAATATAAATAGATTAACGTAAATACTCTAAGCAGGGAGCAATTAATATAGGTACATGTGGCATAGGGGTACAGGACAGGGCAAGCTTCATGGAGATAATGGAATTTGAAGTACTGACAGGCATTCAGAAGACAAAGCCAGTTCTACACAGGGTCAAGAAAGCAACTGACCTGTTTGGCTACCCATGAGTACTGAAATTTCCTTAAGGATAATGACTTTCTGATTGATCCTCAAGTTCCACATTGTGCCTAGTATGGATACAGTTATCTTACTCATTATGTAAGCTCAGCAAACTACTTGCTGAATTCAGCCACAGTTTTTACTCGTTGTGCTTTCTGAGACCACTTTTCTCTGTGTTCTAACATGTTGCATGTTTGCCTTCACACATATTTTTATTCAGGGAAAAAAGTTAAATTATGTAATTTCAATGACTATGTGCTTTGGTTGGCTTTAAAAAGAAATTTAAAACTTAAGTTTTGTATTAGCAGGAAACAGCTTTTGATATTGGTCTAATTTTATATTTCTTAAATTGTGTCTTTGGCAACAGTTACTTTTTGGGTGTGGAAAGAAACATTTCTCCTCAGCTCCTTGGTTAGCTTTTAGGGAAAAGTTAAAATGGTCATGAAAGCATCAGATAAACTAATAGTAACCCCAACTGAGTATACTTTTGTTTAAATAAAAGCCAAGTGAAGTCTGTACTGCCATGGTAATATAATGCAGAAATAATAAGTTAATGTATGTAACAAATAATCAAAGTTTATAGACTACATTCTTAAGAGATTATTTTTTTCCTCCCTTTGGAAAGTAGTGATATCTAAGGGGAAGAGGGTGTGGGGGACTGGCATTTTCTCAACATTCATAGTTGGATAACAAAATCCACCTAAAAATAAAACATGTACTCATATGCAAAAATGCTAAACTTACTTTTTTGATTATTGACCTTTCTTTGCACAACTCTAAAACATACTTGTCACAGTTTTGTTGACTGGTGATTTCTTGCCATTCCTACAGTAGAGCAGTAAGTCCTGTGCCAACAAACAATTTATATTATTTTAATTAGTTTTTTAAAAAATCACTTTCTGCCTGATTTTATCTCCTGTGTTTATAATGTTATAATATGAGCTATTAATTTAAACACATTTAAAAAGTACGTTTAATTGATTCAAGTAATATTTAATACTGGCCTACCCTGTGTCAGGCTATTTCATAGGTGCTATGGAGGCTATAAGATAAACAAAGTATTAATTTCTTGGGGCAGTCATATCTCCTACAGATTTAGTTTTTTTTAGTAATAGGATAATATTATTCTGATTTATCCACACTGTTGTCTCTTTCAGAAATCTAACTTGAATTGGTGGGATAGTTTTAGAGAAGTCAAGAATAATGTAGAAGATAATTTTTCTCTGTGCCAAGTCAACTGACCTGACTGGGATTGAATATGTAGACCTCATTTCTCTTACCTAGCTTTCAGATCCAGTCTGAATAATTGCACATCCTTTTTACATTTGGGAACTTGACTCTTTGGGCTTTCCCTGGCCCTTTGGAACATGACTCAGGTTTTATTTTTATTGAATTATAGCAGAGTGTTGAATCATTATAATGCTGATAACTAAAACAGAACTAATATTAGACTTGGAAATTCTTCTAAAAAATTAATATGCCTGTTTCTTAAAAACACTTAACACTCAAACACTCTGAGACATACCATTGTGGAATGCTCATAAGGTAATGTATTTCAAGAGTTTCTTACTATCATTAGTATCCAGAACTATATATACTCAAAAGTATTTCAAGTATTCAAAACTATGTATATATATGTTTGCCCTCCTAATTTTTATTTTATTCAACCAATATGCAAATAATGATCTATCTGATCCTTCATTTTTGCTAATAGTCTAAAGGTCATACAATAAGTAGTTTAGGTCTGGGTTTATTTTTACTTATAACAGAATATTATTTTTAAAGTGAGACGTAATAACATGTTTTGACACTTTCCAGATCTTTCATGTAAAAAAATTCTGCCACACATCCAACTATATTCTTATGGTACAAAGGTTACTATTTTGGAGGCTAGCTTTAGGAAAGATCAAATAGCTAGATAGAACCAGAGTAAGCAACTTCAGCCTGCAGGTATTTTTAAGTTTTTAAAAAGCTTTGTAAAGGAATTTTACAGAATATTTTGGATGATCAAGCTAGTGATATGAATTGGTTTTATCTGACTCATTTCTGTGTGTTAGGCATGGTATTAAGCATTTTTAAAATATTATTTTACATATGACAAGAATATTGTCATTCTCATTTCAGAGGTTAGGAAACTGAGGGTTACAAAAGAAGTAATTTGCTCAAGTTCATCCCACTAATTCATGGCAGAGGTGGGAATTGAATGCTCAAGGTCTGGTAACTCCTAAGCCTGATTACAGCAAGTTTCTACCTCTTTAGAGCAAAACAGATTAATGCTTTGAGTCCTTTTAATGTTTTAGCTTGTATCCTCATCTTTTATTTACTTCAGTAAGTTTTTATAATCAATTGTAAAAGACAAACCACTGTCTTCCTTATAACATAATTTTTTTTTTTTTTTTTTGCTTTGCAGGTTTTAAATGCACAGAGAGCAGGATACAAGGCAGCCATAGTTCACAATGTTGATTCTGATGACCTCATTAGCATGGGATCCAACGACAGTAAGTACAGGTATCACTTTTCTTCTCTCCTGTTTGACAGATCATTTGTAACTAAAAATTAACAGGATTTTCCTTCTCTCATTTTCTTTTTAAAAAGCAAAATTTCTTCTCTATCAGATAATCCCTCATTCTTAACTCTGGATGATTTTATTCATAGTAGAGATGAAAATGACTTTCTTTTCTGAACAGTTTTTTTTTAAACATATATGTTTTATTTATTGATATTTTGTTAAAAACCAAAATGGGGGAAACAGCTTTAATAGGGATAAACATGCTGAGTTAAGAATGCCATAGAGGGTGTTTTGTAATTTATTTAGAGATTCACAGCATTATTTTAGGGTATGCACATACACTAAGTAGCTGCTATAATCTGCTGGAGTTCCAAAGCCACATACTTGTGCTTCCTTATACCAGTTGGTTATTAGCCCTTCGTCATACATTGGTATGTTCATAGTTTTTCATTTCAGATGGGAATGTCTTTCTTTACTCTCTACTAATTATTAGCTTGTAGGGAAAAACGAGCCAATTTTAGTGGCATAACTGGCTGTAATAAGACACTGACTTTGAAGCTGTATGCCTCACTTAATGTAGTTTCTATTACTCAGGGCACTATGGGGTTTTATCAAAACCTTTCTAATTGATACTAAGATGATTTACTGTCAACACTCATGATTAGAATTTATTTTATTCTTTTGAGTGCATAACCATAATATATTTTGTTATTAAGTCCTATTGATTCATATTTTCAGGGTAGAGCAAAGTATAGACATAAAGCTATAGACTGATAGAAAACACTGGAATGTATTTAGGAGTTTAAATAACTGCATCCTGAAAAGGAAATATTTTATATTCCTTAACCAAAAAGTCTTCTTTTAGCCTATGACAGTGTTTTCTGTTGTTTTTGTTTTTGCCCTTCTTCTTTATTTTTTTTTTTTTGAGATGGAGTTTCACTCTTGTTGCCCAGGCTGGAGTGCAATGGTGCGATGTTGGCTCACCGCAACCTCTGCCTCCTGGGTTCAAGCGATTCTCCTGCCTCAGCCTCCTGAGTAGCTGGGATGACAGGCACCTGCCACCACGCCTGGCTAATTTTGTATTTTAAGTAGAGATGGAGTTTCTCCATGTTGGTCAGGTTGGTCTTGAACTCCCGACCTCAGGTGATCCGCCCACCTCAGCCTCCCAAAGTGCTGGGATTACATTCGTGGGCCACCGTGCCTGGGCATTTTTGTCCTTCTTAACCCTAATAGAGTGAGGCAAAATTATAATATGTAAAAAGTAAAATTTATTAATACATTTCTTAATTTCTTTATATTTTAAATTATTATTTTAACCTCCTAGCTAATTAAATCTTCATGACTGTAGAATCCATTAAGTACCCATAAGAAGTTTTAGCATTTCAGGAATAGTTTGACAGCTACTACATGGGAATTACAGGACTTACTTAAGTGAGTTTACTTATCAAATAAACTGGTAATGTTAGTACTGCCAATTTGACACATTTTACTTCTCCTTTAACTATTTCCCTCTTAAAAAAAATTATCCCAGTTGATACATCCCATGGTCAGTAACTTTTGTGATCTGTATACATTTACTGGCAAAATGGAAAGCATGCGTAGTCTGGAAATGGATAGGCCTGAATTCGAAATCAAATCCTACTTGTATCAGTTGTATAACTTTGAGCAAGTTACTTACTCTTTGTGTGTTTTGCTAAAGGCCCAAGCCCAGGATTTAGCAAACCTTCAGGACCTTCTCAAGGGCTGAATATGTTTTGGATTGAACAAATTGATTATTATTTGTAAACTATTTACTCTTTTGACATGTTTTCAGTAAAAATTTTGCAGGCTGAAATTGTCAGTTCCCTTTATCACTTATTTTTTCTTTGTAATACTGTAAAACCTTTTTGTGATAATCATGTCAGCTCCTAAAGAAAATATGTTCAATATTAAAAGTAGCACACAACCATATAAGCCTGCTGTTGCCATGGAAATGTTTCAACTGAGTTGTTGTTCAAAGACTGCTCAGAATTTTGGTTCTTGACTTTGTTGCTTAGATTATTTTCTATGATATTTTGCTCCATCTTTGCGCATGTGTTTAAACGTTTTATATGTACAGAGACAAATGTTGTAAAGATCTTTACCATTTTCATGTTTGCTATTACTTGGTAGAGGTAAGAAAAGCATAGATTTATCAGAAGAGGCTTGTATCTGTCCCTCTTTTCAAGGCCTTTCCTAGGAATACTGGTATCTTATACCAAGCAGAGATACTAACGCCTGGAAACAAAAGGAAGTTGTAAAAGCCCCTTCCTGTTGACACTTCACGTAAGGAATATACCAATTTTTATTTCAGCCAGGAACAGAATGGATTAATTCAGTGAGCCAATAACATTCTTTATCTTTAGGAGACAGCAGAAAGTGGTAGGAAGGACACCAACTTCAGAACCAGGAAATATGTGTTTATTCTAAGCCAGGCTAGTTGTTATGTGAACCAGATACCTGCGCCCTCAGGAAAGTTACTTAATCTTTATAAGCACATTATTTTCATCTATAATAGTGTGAATAATTTTGATAATTATTTGACCTGACAAATTTGTGAAAACCTTATGAGAGAAGGTATATGAGAAAACCCATGCAATGGCAGAGTGAGAGGAGCCTAGATGAGGAGTCAGAAGCCTCCAGTTTGAGTCCAGACTGTGCAAATATCTAACTGTATAACCAGGTCAAGTTGTTAATATCTCTGGGTCATTTTTTTTTTCCTTTTTTTCTTTGATTTCTTTCTTCAACAAATGCATTTTGACAGCCTACCCTGCACTGTTTTAGGCACTGTGACTATAGGAAGTAATGATGCAGTCAGAGGCTCTGCCTTCATATCTTTCATTGAGGTAGTAGAGTGCAGTACTTAAGAGAGTACTTTCCGGGTACTGCTTGTTAGGGTTTGAATCCCAGCTTTACCACCTAGTAGCTGTATGACCTTGGGTATATTACCTAATATCTATATGCTTCAGTTTTTCTGATCTGTGAAATTAGGATAATAATAGTACCTAAGTTATTTAGTTGCGATGAAGATTGAATGAATTAAGGCCTGTTAAGTGTCTAGAGGACTTCCTGGTTCTTAGCAATCATTTAATGATTGTTCAGATATTATTATTGTGATTATTATCATTTTATTGCATTCTAGAGTAGGAGAGAAGAAATGAACACATAATCAAATAGATGTGCTATAATGTCAAGTAGTGATAAATGCTATGAAGAAAAATATCAGCATAAGGGGATATAGAATGACAGAGATGAAAGGAAGGCAGCTATTTTAGATAGGGTGGTCAGAGAAAGCTTCTGTGAGGCATTGCAATTTGAGCACCGATCTAAAGTTAGAGGCTGAGTCATGCAGATTTCTGAAGGAGGGTATTCCAAGGAGACGGAACAACAAGTACAACAATTCAAAGATAAAGCATGCTTGGTGTTTCCAAAGTGTGGCATAAAGCCACAATGGCTAGAGTAGTGAACAAGGGAGGGAGTGGGGGGATAAGGTTAGAGAAGGAGCCAGGGGTCAAATATGATGGGCCTTGTCAGCCATGATAAGGACTTTGGAATTTATTCTAAATAAGTTTTAGGCTGGGCACAGTGGCTCAGGCCTGTAATCCTAGCACTTTGGGAGGCCAAGGCGGGAGGATTGCCTGAGCTTAGGAGTTCAAGACCAACCTTGGCAACATTGTGAAACCCCATCTCTACTAAATATATAAAAAATTAGCCAGGTGTGGTGGCGTGCATGCCTGTAGTCCCAGCTACTCAAGAGGCTGAACCACAAGAATCACTTGAACCTGGGAGGCGGAGGGTGCAGTGAGCCGAGATCGTGCCACTGCACTCCAGCCTGGGCAACAGAGCAAGACTCCGTCTCCAAATGATTGAATGAATGAATGAATGAATAAATAAAAAAAAATAAGTTTTAAACAGCTGTGTAAGGCAATATGACATATTTCATAAACGGAGCACTTTGCTGTTCTTTGGAGAGAACACTGAAGGTGAAAGGTGAGCAAAAGTGCCAACAGAGAGAACATTTAGAAAGCTGCTGCAGCAGCCAGGCAAGAGTAATGGTGGTTTGGAGTATTAGTAGTTAAAGTCATGAGAAGTGGTAGGAATATGGCTATATTTTGAAGCTGACAGGATTTGGTATAGGGAGTAAGGGAAAGGGAGGAGTCAAGGATGATTCCAAGATGTTTAGTCTGAGAAACTAAGTGAATGGCTATGCTGTTTACAGAGATGAGAAACAGAGTTGATCGACTGAGAGAAAAGAGACATTCAGAGTTCAGTTGAGAAACTTTGTTTGAAACATGTATTAGGCAATCAAATGGAGATATTGAATGGACAATTGGATATACGAATCTGGAGAGTTTGGGGCTGGATCATTCAAATTGTAATCTATCTTTGTCGATATGTACTTCACAGAGTTGTTTTACAGATCAAAATAGAGTGTTTTAAAAGTATTTTGTGAAGTAAAACATATTTAGTTTTGTTTTCAGTAGATAATGTTGCCATTTTCAAGATGGCTACTCATATTTGCTTACAATATTTTCTCCCTTTTTCTTAATCATTTTATTAAAGTAAGGAGCTTTCTACATCTCTTTAGATGTCATAATTCAAAGAAGCTAGGTTACTTCCAATATTATTAGCCAGTAGTTACAAACCAAAAGTTATTCCTTGAGTTTGTCATAGTATCTTCATGAAAGAAGAAAGCATCATACAATTCCAAGTTTTAAGTATCAAATAAAATAAGCTTTAAACTCATATGTGGTAGAGAAAATATCTTAGCAAAATAGAAAATATCTCCCAAATATAAAAAAAAATATAGTCCTATAACAATACCTCTGCATCTATTAAAAAAAAAAATGCAATAATGCCTGTAGCCCCAGCTACTTGGGAGGCTGAGACAGGAGGGGCACTTGAGCCCAGGAGTTACAGGCTGTAGTACACAATGGTGCCATCTGTGAATAGCCACTGCACTGCATCCTGAGCAACATAGTGAGACTCTGTCTCTAAAAAAATAAAAATAAAAATAAATGATGAGGTAGATCTGTATTTATTGACATAACAGGATATCTGAGCTGTATCATTGTGTAGAAAAAAAGCTTACACTTTAAAAATTATATGATCCCATTGATATAAAAAATAAAATTTTATTGATCATGTTGATATAAAAATAGTGATTAAATATTTCTTGACTAATATTTTTTGTTTCTGCCCTCTTTGGGGCTTACATGTTTTTTTCTGGTGTGTATGTGCGCGCATGTGTGCGTGTGTGTGTGTGTGAGAGAGAGAGAGAATGTATGAGAGTTGAACGTTTATATTTGCATAAAACAATCTAGAAGTGAAAAAAACTTACTCTACCAAGGATATCAAGATTTTAAACCTTGTCTTTATAAGGATGAAAACAATAACAGCAAAATAGATCAGTAATTTATAAGTTTAGGGGGTAGGGGTTGACTGTATGAGGGAATTTTGGTGGGTGATGGAACATTCTATATCCAACTGTAGTTGTGGTTATAATTGTATGTATTTGTCACAACTTACAGAACTGCTTATTACTTTAAATAAAACATTTGTCCTTGGATGGGAAAGATTATGATTTTGTTTTGTTTTCTTTTTCTTTACTTGCCTCCCCCCCTTTTAAATGCATAATGAATATGCATTGTTTTTAAAATGCAGAACAAAGTTATTTTGAAAACTATAAAAAGAAAACAAATGGGCCTTCTCTAAAGCCAAATGTGTTAAACTAACTCACAGCTAATAATGAGGCTGCTTTTTCTATTAGCAACATTAAGAGGATTGTTTTTCTTTCTATTCCTGAGTAATGGGTAATTTTGACGAAATTCTTTTTGGGTGGCATTTGATTTTGGTTTTGAATATGGGTAGAAGAGTCAAATATCTTAAGATACCAATCAAACACAAAACTTTGCCATGAGCGCCAGGCTTACAAGGAAATAGAAACCAGCTTTCCTGCCCTATTCCCTTTCTCAACCCCTGTCAGCCTTTCAGTCTGGAAAGCCAGAGATGTGTGGTATTACTTTTTAGATTGTTGTGAAGTTGTCTTTTCTTATATTCTCTGGCTTATACGTCTCCTGGAAATGGGTATGTAAAAGAAGCTTTTTCTCTTTTTCATTTAGGAATTAAGTTATGTGTGGGAAGAAAACCTAAAATTTCTTCATCTTTCTTCTCTAATAAGTTATGTCTAGAGAGGAAGAAATCAAATGGAAATATTAAAAATAAAAATTACATCTCAATCTTATAGACTATTGAGAGAATTCAGGTAATGTGTATATGCAAAATGTTAGCTTTGTTACTGTAAATGTTATGTTTCTCAACCATTTTGATGATGAATAAAATCTGCAATCTGGAAAATCAAGCAATAGACAATTAAAGTTGATTGTAATTGTTTCCAGTTGCATTTGCTGCTATTATGAAGAAAAGTTGATTATACACTAAATATGGGCTTTTAAGAATAATTTCATTATTCTTTTATACAGTTGAGGTACTAAAGAAAATTGACATTCCATCTGTCTTTATTGGTGAATCATCAGCTAATTCTCTGAAAGATGAATTCACATATGAAAAAGGGTAAGTAATGGATATAAAAAATCATGTTGCTTAAAATTCTTCTTTATATTAAGGTAGAATTATATAATATTGTAATCAAGATTATGTTTCAGAATGAACTCTGTAGTGCTAAATTATCCCTTTTTAAATCATTATGCTTTTAAGACGTAGTATTTTAAAGTATTTTACTACTTTTTCTTTGTATGATTATGTTGAAAATATATTCATGCTAGTGAGAGTAAGTCACCCTTGTTGCTAAAAAGATAACTTTTCATTTTGAAGTTTAATCAAACTACTGGTATTTTAAAACAATGCAATTTATGTTTATATGACATTTTCTATTAAGAAATGTTTGTATATTACTAAAAAGATATTTTATATATTATAAACACAGAATCCAAAACATTGTGTTAAGGGACTAACATTTACAAAGGCAAAAAGTCAGTTTTCAAGTTTTAGAAGCTTGATTTGAATGAGAACTTTTATATGAAACTCTTCTCCCCTACCCCCACAAAATAATCTCATTACAAAGATAACATACAGACTGAAATTAACTTAAGGCACAGCTGTCTCAGCTAATATAGAAAACAGAGAAAACGGTACAATAAACACTTCAGAACTTCTTCCATGACACACAGATCCCCAAAACGTAGTTGACCAGAACAGACTTTGGTCTAAGAGGAACAACAACAAAAATAATAATAAAAGCAGCTAATATTTATTGAGCATTTAGCAAAGCTGGGCACTCATGAAAGCAAGACTTCTACATTTTGTTATCCATTTAATCCTCACAACAACCCTCTAGTGGTTGTTATTATTATCACTTATTATCTACATTTGCCAGAAGAGGTAACTGGCACAATGAAATCCAATTCTAATTATTTAGGGGGAAAAGAAATCCACGAATATTTCTGTTTGAAAATGCATAAAAAGAAGAGGGCAAGGTTTTCTGTTTACTGTTATTGTTAGTTCCCCACTACAGTGTTGATATTTAAAATACTGTTCACATATTATATGCTCAGAACATTTTTTTTAAGTTAAGGAATGTAATTTTGGAAGTTGTATCAAAAAACAGTTATGCAAAGTGGTGTTTTGTCAGCCGTGTTTGCTTGGTTAAAAGAGAGGAGAATTAGTACTTGCTTTTACCTCAATATTGCTCCCTCGTTTAGAATACTTCTATATATTTTAATATGTATTTTAAAGAGTATTTTTTGTTTTTAATTATAAAACCATACTTTTTAAAATTAAGAAGTAATATATAGATACTAGCAAAATATGGAAAAATTGAAATATAAAATATTTAAAGTGAAAGTCTCTATGTGACACTATTGCTTACCAACTACTGTTTTTTAAAAAGCCCTTTGTTTTTCCCCATATTTGCTTATTCACCTTAATTAGTGATCACATGCTCATAAAATGGAACCATACGGTGCCTAATAATTTGTAACTTGCTTTATTTACTTAATGTTTTGACCCTTTCCAGGTGAATACAAGTTTACAAACTCTCTTATCCCACCTCTTGGCTACAGATATATTGTGGCATTGAAAAATGTTTGAATTTTAAAAAGTTAAATAACATTCCAAATAGAATTTGAGGCAACACCCCATAATCAAACAAATTAATGTATCTGCAATAAATATATGGCTATTTTTTCATGTCAGTTCACTTCAAGTTGACTGTCAAATGAATTGCAAACATTATTTTTTAAAGCTTTTTAGGTTTTAGAATTGGTCATAAGGAATTGTAGACCCGTACATAAAGATCTACTCTATCTATCTATCTATATATCTGTCTATCTGTCTGTCTGTCTGTCTGTCTGTCTGTCTGTCTATCTATCTACCTACCTACCTACCTATACCTATCATCTATCTATTTATCTGTCTGTCTGTTTAGTATCTATCTACCACCTACTTTACCCTCAAGCCCCCTCTCTTTCAGTGGGCAGAACTAGGAAATATATATGGCTTTTAAAGATACAATAAATCATGAGTGTATACTGTTGCTTCCAATTTAAATACAAAGGTCTAGAATTTTTACTTTATTGACCTTAAATGGGTATTTTATTTTTCTATGCTGAAAGACACCAACATAATAATATATTGTCTTTTCTAAATGTAAAGTATGTACACAACAGACTCAGAAGAAGAATATCAATGCTATTACCAACATTTCTTAAAAAACAGTTCTTTCTCTGCTTAGAATATGTCATAATAGATAAGATAAAGCTAAATTATTATCATTATTATTATTATTTTTGAGACAGGCTGTTACTCTGTTGCCCAGGCTGGAGTGCAGTGGCATGGTCTCAACTCACTGCAACCTCTGCCTCCTGATCTCAAGCAATCCTCCTACCTTAGCCTCCCCAGCAGCTGGGGGCTACAGGCGAATTCTTTTTTTAAAAGAAAGTGAAATAGTCTGTGTGCTGATGTTATAAATTGAAAACACAGGTTTATTTGATTCATTTGCTTTCAGAGTTTGGCGATTGCTCCCCTTACCCCCAACTGTGATTTTAAAAATTATATATAAACTCTGAGTCAAAATCAGTGAAACAATGTATATTCAGAGAAGTTCAGATTCTAAGTATCATCCATCTTGTCCATCTTGTTCCTCTCCTTACCTTATAAGTAATAATTAAAAAAAGACTTTAATTTATTCTTTAGTTCATTAAATTTAAAAATATGTAGGAAAATATATATCTCCTCTCCCCTATCTTCTACCCTTAGTGCATAAACAATATTCCCCATCCTGCTTTTGACTTGATTGTTTATCCTTGAGTAGATAGAGATATTCTTCATTCTTTTGTACAGCTGCATAGAACTCTTATTTTGTGGATGTTCCAGTTTAATCAGCCAGTCCCCTGTTGATCAGCATTTGAATCGGTTACGTTATTTTGTAATTATAAATACTGCTGTAATGCATAACCTTATGCCTAAGTGTTTTCATGTTTTTGCCAGTATACTTTTGGAATAGATTTCTAGAAGTGGGATTGCTAGTTCAGAGTTTTAATGTATATGTATTTTTGCTAGATATTGTCAATTCCCATCCGTAAGGGTCATGCCAACAGTTTATGAGGGTGTCTCTTTTATTGTACCCTCACCAACAAAGTTGTTGTCAGATTTGCTTATTTTTACTAATCAGATAGGTGAGAAATGGTATTCTATTATAGTTTTCATGTGTATTTCTCTTATTACAAGCACATTTAAGCATTTTTTTCTTATGCTTAAGCGCTACTTATATTTTATCTTTTATGAGCTGTTTACCTCTAGGCCAGTTTTTTGTATTAGATTATTGGTCATTTTCTTCCCTATTTTTAGAAGTTCTGTATTTTATTAGTTATGTTGGTCCTTTATTTTTTAATATTACTTTTTTTTGTATTTTGAAATTTTTATTTCACTATGATGTTGGGTTTTTTTTAATGTAAACAAAAATCAAATATCTCTTCCCTTGGGCTGTTGGTCTTGAGTCTTAATAAAGTTTTCCCTACTCCTGTGTTATAGAGGAATTCACCCACATTTATACTTGTATGGTTTTGTTTTTAATATTAAATCTTTTGTTCATTTGTAATTTATCCTATATATAGCTTGAAGAATGGATCCAATCATATCTTTTTCCAAATAGCCATCAGTTATTCCAATGGGGTTTTTTTTTGTCCTTCCCAATGAAATTTTTAAAACAATTTTATTAAGATATATCTCACATACCATAAGGTTTACCCATTTAAGGTGTAAAATTCAGTGATTTGAGTATATTTATAGAATTCTGCAATCATCATCACATTCTAATTTTAGAACTTTTTCAATATTCCAAGTAGAAACCCCGTACACATTTGCAGTCACTTCCTATTCCCCAGTCCTTCTTCGTCCACTCCAGCCCCAGGCAATCACTAATCTACTTTCTGTCTTTATGGATTTGTCTATTCTGGTTATTTCACATGAATGGAATCATATAATATTTTATGATTTTTTTTCATTTAATGTAATGTTTTCAAGGTTCATCATATTGTAACATGTATTGGTACTTTATTCTTTTTATTGCTGAATAGCTTTCCATTGTATGGATATACCATGTTTTGTTTATCTATTCATCAGTTGATGGATGGACATTTAGCTTGTTTCCACAACTTGGCTATTGTGAATAATGCTTTTTTTTTCACTATTTGTGTACAAATTTTTACATGTGCATATGTTTTTATTTCTCTTTGGTATATACCTAGAATGGAATTGTTGCATTATGTGGTAACTCTATGTTTAACACTTTGAGGAACTGCCAGACTTTTTCCCAAAGTGCCTTCACCAATTTATATTCACACCAGCAATGTATGAGGGTTCCAGTTTTTCCTTCCAAAGGAATTTAATAATCAACTGGTCTAGCTTCAGAAAAACCTGATAAGATTTTTATTGAGATTACATTATATTCATAAATTAATTTAGGAAGAATTGACATTTTTAGGATAAGTCTCCTTATTCAAGAGTGTGGTATGTCCTTTCATTTGTTCAATTCTGCTTTTTTTTTTTTTTTTTTTTTTTTAATTTAGAAAGGGTCTCACTCCAGTTGCGCAGGCTGGAGTGCAGTGGTGCCAGCTCACTGCAGCCTTGATCTCCGAGGCTCAGGTGATCCTCCCACTGCAGCCTCCTGAGTAGCTAGGACCCCAGGCATGCACCACCTTGCCCAGCTAATTTTTTGTATTTTTAGTAGAGCTGGGGTTTTGCCATGTTGCCAAGGCTGGTCTTGAACTCCTGGACTCAAGCAATCTGTCCGCCTCAGCTCCACAAAGTGTTGGGATTACAGGTGTGAGTGAGCAGCGAATTCTGTTTTTATGTATTCAGCTTTGTTTAGTTTTTTTAGTCCAAAATCTATGTGAGATAAACATTTCTTGTTAAATTTATGCCAAGGTATTTTATTGTTTGCTATCATAAGTGGAGTCTCCTCTTTCATTACATCTACTAACTGGTTTTTATTTGTACAGCTGAAAGCTCATTTTTGAGTGTGGATATAATAACCTGCAATTTGACTAAATTCTCTTACTGTTGATGGCAGTTTTTTCATATAAATAGAAATAGTTTTATCTTTTCCTTTCCAATTCTTATGCTTCTAATTGCTTTCCCTTATCTAATTGCATTGGTAATAACTTTAACACCATGTTAAATAGTAGTAGAGATAGGCATCTTTCCCTTGTTACTCCCTTTAGTAAGAAAGCTTCTCGTTTCTTTAAGTAAGATTCTGGTTTTTTATCATATTAATGAAGTATTCATCAATTATTGTTTTATTGTACTTTATTCTTTTTAGCTACTGTTCACTCTTTTAACTACTTTTAAAAAGGATGGTATATTCTGGATTTAACAATAGTCCATTGTTTAGATATATCCTAATTTACTTAGCCAGTAAGCCACCGACTATAAGCATGACCTCTGGAGTAAGAGCTGTGTGGATTCAAATCCTGGCTTCCATCACTTGTTAGCTGTGTGATCTTCAACAAAAAATTTATTATCTCTGGGCCGTAGCCTCTCTCCTCATTAAAATGTGAACAATAATAGAACCTACAGCATATAGCATTGCTGGAAGGATTAAACACATTAATAAAATTCTTAGAAGAATACCTGGGACATAGTAAATGCTTCATAAATGTTAATGCTTACCTTCCAATTCTTGTCTATTACAGAAAGTGCTATAATGATATCCTTGACCATATACTATGTGCAATTGCACAAATGTTTCTTTAGCAAAAGCACCTAAAAGTGGAATTTTTTTGATTAAGGAGAAACAGTTTTAAATTTCAGTAAACAATTGTCATATTGCCCTTTAAAAAGCAGTTATGTTTCCACCAACATTTTAGGAAAGCCAATGTTTTCCCCTACTCTTGCCAGTAATACATATTATCAGTCTTTTTATGACCTCCCAATCTGACAAGAAGAAAATGAGTTGGTCCGATTAGCATTTCTTTATTCACAGTGAATAGTTTTATAAACTGTTTGGTGTCCTTTGTCAATTTTGGTCTTTTAAAAACTTAAATTCTAGAAGCATTTTGTAACTTTTATTAGGGAAGGCAAATTATTGGATAACATACAACTTTTACAAGTTGTGGGCAGAGACAAAGCTTGTTTTTGATCAGAGTGAGTAGTGCAGTTCACTGGAGGGATTGCTGGGGTGTGGCCTTTGGGAGGGTATTTAATCTTCATGGACATATTTTCTCTTGAAAATGAAGAGTTAGAACAAAGAATATTGAGGTTCCTTTAAGATTTCTATATTCTCTCTGATGGTTAGGGATTCTATTTTTTCACATTTAATCCCTAGCACCAGGCCCATTGACTGTATCACAGTAGACATTTAGTAAATTCTAATGAAATTAAACTGCTTTTATGTTACCTCAGAATTCCTCAAGAAGACAGAGCAGTGCACTGGCAGTAAATGGGGACACAGAGCCTGTTTATTAAGTGATGTAAGATGTTTAATGAGGCAGCTGTGAGCTTTGTCTGAAAGGAGCAAGTTCAAGGAAGTAGTCAGATGAAATAGTGGGGATATCCAGCAGTTGGGCTGAATACAGGTTATTGCCTGGAAAGCTGATCTATAGGACAGAAGGCTCTGCTGTGTGGCTGTAAATCCACTGAGGCTTAGTAGTTTGATTGGTGGGGGTTGGATGTCAGAAAAGAACAGACAAGACTTCATGTGTCAACAGAAGGATGGGGAAATTAGACAGGTTATTATTATCAAGCTTAAGCCTAGGCAGCTGGTTTGAAATTAGCCTGGGAAGTCACACAAAGGAAAATAAGACCCTATTTTCTGGGTTGCTTAGGACTCTGCTTCAGTGATCAAATCTTAGCTGCAGAGCTCATAAGATGTGCTGTATTTAGGCATGGACATAGAGGCAGTGTGGTAGGATAATTACCTGTTTAAATACCTTCTTCCTCAAATACAGATTAATCTGGGACTAGGGCAAGGATGAATCTGCAAGTTCAGCTGTGGGAGACCTGGGCTGACAGAAGAAATAGAAATGGAGCCAGAGGACTGAAATTCCATTGTAGTTCTGTTGTAGTTCCCTGTATCATCACTATCACCACATCCACTGTTAGCAATTTGGTTAAGAAAAAAACAGTATCTTGAGTGTACATTGAGCTTTTGATTCAAGATGCTCAAAACCTTTTTTTTTTTTTTTGAGACAAAGCCTCACTATGTCACCCAGGCTGGAGTGCAGTGGTGCGATCTCAGCTCACTGCAACCTCCGCCTCCCGGGTTCAAGCTAAGTTTCCAGCCTTAGCCCCTGGGGAAGCTGGGACTACAGGTGCTGGCCACCATGCCTGGTTAATTTTTTTTTTTTTTTTTTTTGTATTTTTAGTAGAGATGGGGTTTTGCCATGTTGGCCAGGCTAGTCTCAAACTCCTGTGGCCTCAAGTGATCCACCCACCGTGGCCTCCCAAAGTGCTGGGATTACAGGCAAGATGCTCAAAATCTTTTATCAATTGTTGACCCTTTAAAATCCCCACAATATATCTTGACGGTAAACTAAAATGGTATTTAGTTTATAATGGAAAGCATTAATAGGATATGTAGAATATTAGATTTAGAACCCGGGCGTATGAATCTTAGCATAATGCTTCCTGGGAAATTCTGAAATTGATTCCATTTCTGCCGTTACAAACACACACGAAGTTCCTAGTTCACTGGGACTTCCTGATTTGTTCTTTTAGCTTGCTCCTTCTCACCTAGAAGCTCTGTTTATTTCTGAGCAACCCTGGGGCTTGTCTCATAGGACAGGATTTATTTATCTCATCAAGGCTGAGTGTGCCTTAGGAAGTCATAAACATAAAAAGAGAAGAAAAAAAAAAACAGAATATGAGAGTTGTAAGCCTTCCTACTGCTGAGATACTAAGTTACAATGGGTTGAATTTAGGATATGCAATAGTCTGGCTTCTAAACCCTGATAGTGTTTATTTATAGCAGGTTAGTGGCTGTGGGGTAGGGAGGTTATAGAGGATTAGCGTCTCATGGAAAGGCTCTTATACTTAAAAGTGGTACCACTGGCTCAGGGCAGTTTCAGAGGGTATGTGCCGGGAACAGGGATATTAATTGCGGAGCTGGCTGGCCTCGTGCTGGAAGAGATGGTATCAAATAGAGCAGCTTAGGCCCTGCTGCTGCTGATTTTCTTTTTTACACTGATGATATATTAGTTACTTTAGTATTTTGTGCAAAGCTATACAAATGTGTGTGAAATCCTTTGTCATCCCCCATTCTGCTGGAAAGTGAAGTAAAAAGCTACTTGTATTCTAGCAATCGTAGCAATTTTTGGAAAGTTTAAATTATTGGGGTAAATTCCTGGTATTTTTTGTTTGTTGAAGCTTGATAGAGCCCCTTGTGTGTGTGTATAAGAAATAATAGCATAAAGATTTAAAAATAGTCTCGGAAAAAAATAAGTTGCATACATGTTATTTGTCTTAAGTGCTATGGTGTCCTAAGCACCTCTGTATGAGGAAAGGAGTAAATCTGTTATTTTCCTTTATACTGAGAACGATTGTTTTGCATTGAACCTTTCGGTTATGAAATACCTGGCTTCACTACTTAAAAAATTAACTAGCAGTGGATAACAGAGTAGCTTTGCTGGCACCGTACTAGTCTAGTAGCACAGTGGACCCAATGGATTCATCTGTCATATCTGTCATATTACTGAACATTATACAAACTCTTCCCTAAACTAAGGGTATTTTTAATGCAGAGCTTTGATGCCATGTAAAATTTCCTCATGTAACACAAATGATGTGCTTATTCTGATTACAGTTTTATTTCATGGGTCCCTGTCAATTTTTATAATGATAATGTCACAGTAATAACATGGTTAATGATAAATGAGAATTAAGGCATGTAGCATTTCCTATTACCCACCTTACAACATACACATTTCTGTAGTTTTTTTCAGTCCAGTGGTGGAGAAGGTGGGGGATATACAGGAAGCCATAACTCTTATGAATTATTTGACCAGTTTTTCATTCCATATCTCATAGATAATTGTAGAGTATAGGACCTGTATCCATTGTACCTGATACAACAGATACATGTAAAGCAGATAGGGAGGAAACAGTATAATTTTTATCAATACTGACGCTAGAGTTTTTCCATAGGAAGAACTTATGAACAGTAATTTGATTGAGGTGGAGGTTCTTTTTGGTACCCAAGGTACTACCATGATTTTACGTATAAAATATAACTTTTGCCCCAGCTACTAAATTCAATAAACAACATCTCTAGACCTGCCGTGGTGGCTCACGCCTGTAATCCCAGCACTTTGGGAGGCCAAGGCAGGCGAATCACCTGAGGTCAAGAATTCAAGACCACCCTGGCCAACATGGCAAAACCCTCTCTACTAATAAAAATACAAAAATTAGCAGGGTATGGTGGCAGGCACCTGTAATCCCAGCTACTCAGGAGGCTGAGGTAGGAGAATCACTTGAACCCCGGAGGTGGAGGTTGCAGTGAGCTGAGATTGCACCACTGTACTCCAGCCTGGGCAACAGAACAAGGCTCCATCTCAAAAAAAAAAAGTAAAATAAAATAAATAAATAAATAACATATCTCCAGGATAGACACAGTAAGAATTGATTGGCTAGTTTTCTTTACCCAGTTTAATCATATAGGCATGCTATTAGGAAAAATATGTAAAATAGACTTAAAGATGTAGAAAGCATTCCTTAAATTATTGAAAGTCATATTTTAGAAAATGAAATGTATGTAGTGGATTTAATTGTAATGTCTATATGTCTGTTTTTAAAAATATTTTTTCCTGTTTTTAATTAACATCAGAATTTAACAACTCTTCATTTCTCAATTATTGATTTTTGTTTTCTTCTAGGGGCCACCTTATCTTAGTTCCAGAATTTAGTCTTCCTTTGGAATACTACCTAATTCCCTTCCTTATCATAGTGGGCATCTGTCTCATCTTGATAGTCATTTTCATGGTAGGTACATTAACTTTTAATAATTTTTAAAAAATAGTATGGATGAATCTAAAAACATTGTATTGAGTGAGAGAATTTAAACAATGTGTACATAAAAGAGTACATATTATATAAATTCATTTATGTGAAGTTCTAGAAAAAACAAAGATAATGTGAATAGGAAAAAGTAAGAATGGTGATTTCCTCTGCCGCGGGGGGTTAGAGAGAAGTGATCGATTTACTGAAAAGAGTATAAGGGAACTTTTGGGGGATGACAGTCGTGTTCTGTATCTTGTTAGAGATGTGGGTTGCAAAAATGCATGGCATTTGTCTGGATTCACAAAATTAATTGTGTTGTACATTTCATTATATGTAAATTTTACCTCAAAACGAATTGCAAAAAAAATTTACTAAACCTAGTAATGACATGCATGCCAAAGTATTTTAGGGAAAGTACACTGATATCTGCAACTTACTTTAAAATACACTGTAAAAAAATAAGAGGAAAAAGTAAGATGTATTGATGGGTAAATAGGGTTGTGACAAAAAGCACAGTAAAATGTTAATTATAGAATCCAGGTGGATATATGGGTATTTATTATAAAATTCAACTCTTCTGTATGTTTGAAATTTTTTATATTAAAGTATGAAAAAAATAATGTGAGAGCTTAAGGTTAAGGGGGAATGACATATTATTTCTCCATAACGGTGGTTATCAAAATACGGTTACAAGACTATTAGTAGGTCTGCAAGCTCAAAATTATTATGTAATAATATTAAGGTAGTATTTCCTTTGGTCACTCTCATTCTCTTAGAGGTGTACAGTAAAAATTTCTATAGGCTACATGATGTGCAATATCAAAATATTTGAAAACAGAAGCAGTTTGAAAATCCCTCTGTATTCTATTTGGACAGATATTAAAATAGATTTGCAAAGATATAAAACAGTCCCACTCTTCTTGCCAACTTCTTTGTCATAAAGAATACATATTTTCATATTCAGTACATTTATTATTGTATTGAATTCATAGATTAGTTTAAAGATTAAATGCTATCTTTAAAATGTTCAGTCTTCCTATGATGCTATGGTATTTTTAAATTTACTTATTTAGGCCTTTCCATCAGTTAAATAATTTTTTTCCTATAAATGTTTTGCATGTCTTTTTTTAGACTTATTACACATATAGTAAGTTTTTCTTGCTACCAAAAAAAGGATTTTTGAAATTATATTTTTTAATTGGCTATTCTTATAATTGAGTATTAGAGCATTGCTTTTTATTAAACATTTAATTTTGGAATAATGTTAAGATTTACAGAAAGTTTGCAAAGAAGAGAATTCCTGTTCATCCGTCATCTACTTTCCCGCATTGTTAACATTTTACATTGCCAGGAGACTTTTGTCAAAACTAAGAAACTGACATTGGTACATTACTGTTAACTAAACTCCACATTTTGGATTTTACCAGGTTTTTCATTAATGTACTCTTTCTGTTCCAGGATCAAATCCAGGATACCACATTGTATTTCATTATCCTGTCTTCCCTCTGGTCTATGACAATTTTGCTGTTCTTGTTTTTCATGGCCTTGATAATTTTGAGTACTAGCCAGGTATCCTGTAGAATGTCTCTCAACCTGATTTTTTTCTCATGATTAGACAAGGCTACAGGTTTTTCAAAAGAGTATCACAGACGTGAAGTGCCCTTCTCATCACATCATATTTGAGGGTATATGGTATCTGTAGAACATCACTGATGATGCTAACCTTCATCCCTTGGTTAAGGTAGTGTTTGCTGAATTTCTCCACTTATAAAGTTAATATTTTTTCCTTTTTCTACTCTTTTCTTTCTTTAGAAGTGAGGCACTAACTATAGCCCACCCTTAAGCTGGGAAGGGGAGGGCATATCTGCATTATTTGAAATTCTTCTACAAGGAAGATTTTTCTCTTCTCAGCATTTATTTATTCAACCACTTTCATTAGTATACACTCATGTATATTTATTTTACACTTAGGTTATAATCCAGTAATATTCATACATTATTTTTGTTTTTTGATTGTTTTTAAATTGTTTAACTTTGGCTCTTGTCATGCTGGATCTTGTGTTCCTTTGATTCAACGCTATCCCTTTTTTTTATTATTAAGCACTTCTTGACTACTATCTTGTACTATAAGATGCTTCAGGTTCATCTTATATTTTTTATATTTTTCTTGTCCCAGCCCTAGCATCAGACCTTTTCCCAGGGAGTCATGTTTTTTTTAATTAGAGAGCTATATTTAGAAAGCAAGGTTTGGTCAGGGGACATTATAGATTTTTATATATTAATCATGTAATCATGTCATTAATCATGTAATCATGTAACAAATTCCATTATGGTAATTTGTTTGTTGATTCCCTTGGGGTTTCAGCATAGAAGCAAGAAAGTAGAGAGTAAGTTAGAAAACCAAAAAACAAACAAACAAAAATACCCTTGGAAAACCAGGAGTACAAGTAAATAACCTTATACAGATAAAGAATATAGACTAAAAACTTAAAATAAACATTATTAAATGGTGAAATGCTAGAAGCCTTCCCTTGAAACTCAAGAACAGCGGGGCCGGGTGCGGTGGCTCACACCTGTAATCCCAGCACTTTGGGAGGCCAAGGCGGGCGGATCACCTGAGGTCAGCCTGAGTTCAAGATCAGCCTGGCCAACATGGTGAAACCGCGTCTCTACTAAAAATACAAAATTTAGCTGGGTGTGGTGGCAGGCGTCTATAATCCCAGCTACTCGGGAGGCTGAGGCAGGAGAATCATTTGCACCCAGGAGGCAGAGGTTGCAGTGAGCCAAGATCACACCATTGCACTCCAGCCTGGGCAACAAGATCGAAACTCCATCTCAAAAAAAAAAAAAGTCAAGAACAGGAAATGGATGTCTATTGTTGTACCTCCTTTAACATTGTGCTATATTTTTTGGGAAAATAAAGGGGAAAAAGCAGTATAAGTCGTGGACATAAATCAGATTTTTATTTGCTTGACTTTTTTAAATGGGTACTGGATTATATGTTTTTTATCTGTTGTAATAATAATTGGTTTTTCTCTCTTTTATCATGTTTGTGTTGGGTTACATTAATATGCTTTGTAAATTTTGAAATTCCTTATATTCTGGGGATAAATCCTGTTTATGATGTATAAATTTTGTCCTTACATCTCTGGATTATTCAGATTTCTAATATAGATTAATTTTTTATACTTGGATATCGATGTAAAAATTCTAGAATATTAGCAATCTGGATATTCAGGTAAAAGAAAACTTTGGTTTTATGGGGCCACCTTGACATCAAAACTAGACAATCCCTTGAGCACTGTTGGTAGGAAGGTAGAATGGAACAACCACTAAAGAATACAGTATGGCAACTCCTCAAAAAATAAAACATGGATCTGGTAATTCCACTTCTGGGTATATACCAAAAAGAATTCAAAGCAAAGACTCGAATAGATATTTGTACACCATGTTTATAGCAATATTATTTACAATAGCCAATGATGAAAGCAACCCAAGTGTACATTGATGGATGAAGGGATAAACAAGATGTGGAATATGCATACAATGGAATATTATTCAGTGTTATTAAGGAAGGAAATTCTGACACATGCTACCACATAGATGAAACTTGACTTTATGCTACGTGAAATAAGCCAGTCACAAAAGGACAAATACTGATTCTACTTACACGAGGTACCTGGAGTAGCCAAATTCATAGAGACAGAAACTAGAATGGTGGTTGCCAGGGACTGAGGGGACTGAGGAAGGGGGAGTTATTGTTTAATGGATACAGAGTTTCAGCTTAATAAGATGAAGGCTGTGAATGGATGGTAGTGATGGTAGCACAACAGTATGAATGTACTTAAGCCATCGAACTGTACACTTAAACGTGGTTGAGATAGTAAGGTTTATGTTGTGTATATTTTACTGTAATTTTAAAATTAACTAGGCAATCAAAATTATAGCCTCATAAAACTAAGCTTTCTCTTACTTTCTAAAATAGTTTTTTTTTTTTAAAGAAAATTGGGGTTATCTGTTACTTGACATTTTTGTAGAGGATGCCTATAAAATCATCTAGGTCTAGTGACCTTCTCATAGTTATATAGACATTCAGATGGTTTTCCAGTTCCTACTAAAGTGTATTTCTAAGAAATTTCCTGTTTTCAAGTGTAGTGGAATAAAGTGATTTATAATATTCATATACTCAAATAACAATTTAAAGAGAATTTCTACTATTTGTGGAATAAGTTATCTTTATTCATATCCATCTGTGCCTTTCACAATGTTGTCAGAAATTATTGCCTTATTAGTCTTTCAAAGAAGTAGGCTTTCATTCAATAAATATTTATTCTGTACCTATGGTGAACTAGGCACCGTTCAAGGGTCTGCAGATTCATCAGTAAACAAAATCGGTAAAAATCCCTGATGTTAAGTAGCTTACATTTTAGTAGAACTTAATGCTAAATTCTTTACTTTCTTTATTTTTATCATGAATTTTTGTTCTTATCATTTTCTTTCTTCTACCTTGTCTGGTTGTATGTCTGGTTGTTGATTCCCTTGGGGTTTCAGCATAGAAGCAAGAAAGTAGAGAGTAAGTTAGAAAACCAAAAAACAAACAAACAAAAATACCCTTGGAAAACCAGGAGTACAAGTAAATAACCTTATACAGATAAAAAATATAGACTAAAAACTTAAAATAAACATTATTAAATGGTGAAATGCTAGAAGCCTTCCCTTGAAACTCAAGAACAGCGGGTTGTATGGCTTTTCTTTTTCTAGTTTATTCAGCTAAATGCTTATTTTTTTCTTTCTAGTATATGCATTTAGGTTATAAATTTTTCTACAACAATAACTTTAGCTGAAACCCACAACTTTTGATAAGGAAAATTCTTACTTTCATTTGACTTAAATTTAAAAGTTTTTCATTTTAATATAGGATGTTTCTTTATCACTCTTAATGTTTCAATCCATATGAAGGGGGAACTCTAGTTACTATGACTCTTAGCTGTTCTCTGCCCATTTACTCTTTCCACCTTAGAGGAGATAAAGTGTCTTATCTGACACTTTAGGAAGGGCAAATTGGGCACACTTGGTTCAGCTCCACCATCTTTGTTTTGTTATTAACCTGACTTTGGGACATAGATGTTCATTCAGCTCCTCCAGGGTTAGGGCTGGTTCTGCAATTCTGCGGCAGAGTGAAGGGAAGGCCTACTTCATTCCAAAGTTGTCTTTGTCTATATCTAAGTGGCTAAGGCAACCTAATTCTATTGCTCAATAAAAAATTCTGTTTCTTGCACTGCACGGGGGTCATGCTAATCTTCTCTGTATCATTCCAATTTTAGTATATGTGTTGCTGAAACGAGTACAGAAAGTTCTGTTTCTGTCTCCAGTGAGAAACACTTCCTCCTTCTGGCCAGTTCATGGTCTTATTTCTCAAGTTATTTAGAATCCAGGTGGCAAAGGGGCGCATGCTGATTATAACACCCCCTCAGAAACGTAGATATTCATTATGATTTGTTCTGTGACTTATGAATTACTTCAGTACAGTTTTACATTTCCAAAATATGTATTTTTTTCTATTGATTTCTAATTCAGTTGTGTTGAGGTAAGAAAACATTGTATGTTATGGATTCTTTGGTTATTTTCAAAAACCTCCTTTGTGGCATGGTTTTCTGATTAAATTTTGTAAACATTCCATGTGTGTGAAAAGATGTGAAGTGCAGTTCTATGTCCATTAGTTCGAACTTGTGAATTTGTTTTGTCTAGTCTTTTAACAGCTTTATTGAGACATAATTAATGTAACTTAAAATTAACTCATTTAAAGTACACAATTCAATAATTTTAAGTATCTTCACAGAATTATGCAACCATCACCACAATCGTTAATAATTTTCTGCGTTCTTTTTCTATTTTCTGAAGCAGTGCTAAGAATAGAACAATATTATGAGCCACATTTTATTGTAATTTTAAATTTTCTGGTAGCCAAATTTAAAAGGTTAAAAAAAGGAAACAGATGAGATTAATTTTAATACTATATTTATTTAACTCAATAAATCTAAAATATATAACAACATTCAGTTAATACAAATATATGATATTTTTATATTCTTTTTGTATAGTGTCTTTGTAATCTGGTGTCTATTTTATACTTACAGCACATCCCAGTTCAGACTATCTATGTTTCAAGTGCTCAGTAGTCACATGTACTTGGTGGCTACCATATTGGACAGCACAGGTCTATAGTCTTCTAAATTTTTTGTGTGCTTAAGCTATAAGTTGCCGAGCTTGTGAATGTATGTATTTCACTATTTTGTTTCTAGATGAGGTGTTGTTTTTATTGTTGTCATGACTCTCCTAATGATGCTTTTTGCCTTAAATTCTATTGCTTGATATTCTAGCTTTTCTTTTGCTTAATATTTTCATGGTAGATCTTTATCCCTTTATTTTATTTTGTATGTTAATTTGGTTATTTTATGCAGGGTCTTGCTCTATCACCCAGGCTGGAGTACAGTGGCACAATCATAGCTCACTATAACCTCAAGTGATCCTCCCACCTCAGCCTCCCAAGTAGCTGGGACTAGAGGCGCACATCACCATGCCCAGCTAATTGTTTTTTTTTTTTTTTTGTAGAGATGGGGCCTCTCTGTGTTGCTTAGGCTAGTCTCAAACTCCTGGGCTCAAGCAGTCCTTCAGCCTTGGCCTCCCAAAGCACTGGAATTACAGGTGTGAGCCACTGCACCTGGTCCTATCCCTTTATTTTTTACTTTTATTTTTGTCCTAATGTATCATTCAGTTTTAATCTTGTGTCTTGTAAATAGCATATGATCGGAATTTTTTTCTTATACAATGTGATACACTCCTTTTGAAAACGGTGGATTTAATCCATTTAACATATATTGTGATCACACATGTATTTGGATTAATTTCTATTGTTTACTTTTTATTCTGTATTTTCTTCTGTGTAAATTTGCAATAATAACTTTTACTTTCTTTTTCCTATTGATATGAACATTTGCATTATATTGCTGTTCTTTTAGTGGTTACCATTAAACTTTAAAAAAATTTATGGAGGTATGATTTGATATAATAAATTACACATATTTAAATTGTACACTTTGGTAAGTTTTGATGTAGGTTTATAAGCATATATATCACTTATGCATATGTATATCACATATATCATCCATATGTAACAGATATGTATGTGTATACCTGCGAAACCACCACCACCACAATCAAGATAATGAAATATTAACCACCCTAAAAAGTTTGGCAATGCCTTCCTTCTACCCCTTCCAACTTTTCCTTCATCCTCCCCTCACTACCCTTCTCCATGCCCAGACAACTACAAATCTGATTTTAGTCACTATAGATTACTTTGCATTTTCTACAGCTTTATATAAATGGAATCATAAAGTCTGTACTCTTTTGTGTCTGTCTTCTTTCTGTCACCGTAATTATTTTGAGATTTGTATATGTTATTGAGTGCATGGATTGTTCATTCCTTTTTATTGCTGAGATATATTCCATTGTGTGAATATACCATGATTTGTTTACCCATTTACCTATTGATCAACATTTGGGTTGTTTCTAGTTTTTGGCTATTACAAATAAAGCTGACATGGACATTTGTTGTATGGAAATATGCTTTCATTTCTATTGGGTAAGTATATCTAGGAGCAGGACAGTTGGGTCACAGGATAAATGTGTGTTTAGATTCATAAGAAATTGCCAAGCTCTTTTCCAAAGTGGTTGTACCATTTTACAATCCCACCAGAAAGTGTATGAGAGTGCCAGTCCCTCCACTTCCGTGCCAACGCTTGGTATAGTCAGTGTTTTACATTTTAGTCACCCTAATAGGTATATTGTATTATAGTATTTATGATTTGAATTTTTGTTTTCCTATTGACTACTAGTAGACATTGCACATCTCTTCAAGAGCTTATTTGCTGTTTGTCTTGTATAGTGAAGTATCTTCAAATATTTTGTCCATTTTCTGTTGGGTAACTTGTTTTCTTATTATTGAGTTTTGAGAGGTTTTTATATATATTCTGGATACAAATCCCTTATCTTGTATACAATTTGCAAATATTTTATTTCAGTCTGTGGCTCATCTGTATTTTTCATTTTTAAATTTTATTTATGTATTCATTTACTTATTTATGTTTTGGAGACAGGCCCTCACTCTGTTGTGCAGGCTGGAGTACAGTGGCACAAACATGAGTCACTGCAGCCTTGACATCCTGGGCTCAAATGATTCTCACACTTCAGCCGCCCAAGTAGCTGGAACTACAGGCACACGGCAATGCGCCAGGCTAATTTTTTTCTTTTTAGAGATGGGGTCTCACTATGTTGCCCAGGCTGGTCTTGATTTCCTGGCCTCAAACAGTCCTCCCACTTCAGTTGTCTTTTATTTTTTTAACAGTGCCTTTTAAGCAGAGAAGTTCTTAACTTTGACATAGTCAAATTTTTCCTTTACAGAGGGTGTTTTTGGTATTTGGTTTTTGGCCCTGTGTACTTTCTTTTTATTCTTGCAAGCATAGCAATTTATAGTTTAAAATATTTTGTACATTTTATCCGGCATTTCTGAATATTTGTAGTGAAGGTGTTCTGCATTATTTCTGCCTGTTATTCTGTAGTAACTAATAAGTGTATGTTTGAAATTTTTATCAGTTTGTAATATATAGGAATATCAACCTTCCCATTCTTTTTTTTTTTTTTTTTTTACCCATTGGAGTCTTTATAAAATCTATAGTTTACCATTTGTATTTTTGCAAGCAAACAGTTATATGATTTTTATAATGTCTCCGTAGGTAATTCAAAGATAATCAAGATCAATTAATAAAAAATTCAAGGGGTAATTCATGGGTTAACTAATCACTAATGTAATTTAATGCTTTAATTAACAATACTATTGCAATTAGAATTTAAATGAATTGAATTGATTTGCAGTAGCTATCCAGAAACTTAAAAGATATTTGTTATTTTAATGGTCACTTTCTCTTTGCACATTTAATATCTGACTCCTTTTTTTACTCTTTTATTTTTAGATCACAAAATTTGTCCAGGATAGACATAGAGCTAGAAGAAACAGACTTCGTAAAGATCAACTTAAGAAACTTCCTGTACATAAATTCAAGAAAGGTAAGTATTTGTTTTCTAAATAATTATCCTTAGTTTATTTAAGACTGCAGGGTGACTATACTCTTTAAAAAAATTTTTATTATTATTATTATACTTTAAGTTCTAGGGTACATGTGCACAACGTGCAGGTTTGTTACATAGGTATACATGTGCCATGTTGGTTTGCTGCACCCATCAACTCGTCATTTACATTAGGTATTTCTCCTAATGCTATCCCTCCCCCAGCCCTCCACCCCCCAACAGGCCCTGTTGTGTGATGTTCCCCTCCCTGTGTCCATGTGTTCTCATTGTTCACCTTCCACTTATGAGTGAGAACACGCAGTGTTTGGTTTTCTGTCCTTGTGATATTTTGCTGAGAATGATGGTTTCTAGCTTCATCCATGTCCCTGCAAAGGACACGACCTCATCTGTTTTTCTGGCTGCATAGTATTCCATGGTGTATATGTGCCACATTTTCTTTATCCAGTCTATTATTGATGGACATTTGGGTTGGTTCCAAGTCTTTGCTATTGTGAATAGTGCCACAATACACATGTGTGCATGTGTCTTTATAGTAGCATGATTTATAATCATTTGGGTATATACCCTGTAATGGGATTGCTGGATCAAATGGTATTTCTAGTTCTAGATCCCTGAGGAATCGCCACACTGTCTTCCACAATGGTTGAACTAATTTACATACCCACCAACAGTGTAAAAGTGTTCCTATTTCTCCACATCCTCTCCAGCATCTGTTGTTTCCTGACTTGTTTTTTTTTTCTTTTGAGACGGAGTCTCACTCTGTCACCCAGGCTGGAGTGCAGTGGTGCGATCTTGGCTCACTGCAGCCTCCGCCCCCCAGGTTCAAGAGATTCTCCTGCCTCAGCCTTCCGAGTAGCTGGGATTACAGATGCCTGCCACTGCACCCAGCTAATTTTTGTATTCTTAGTAGAGACGGGGTTTCACCATCTTGGCCAGGCTGGTCTTGGACTCCTGACCTTGTGATCCATCCACCTCGGCCTCCCAGAGTGCTGGGACTACAGGTGTGAGCCACTGTGCCTGGCCTGTTTCCTGACTTTTTAAGACTATACTCTTATACTACCTTCTGTGTCCCTACCATAAACTATGCCTAACGCTAAGTAGACTTTCAGTTAAGAATGAATGAATAAATAAATGAATGAATGAATGTGAGAGATGATGTTTTGCTGTGATCTGGTGAAAGCAGGAGAAGGATGCACAGTCTGCAGAGAATTTAAAAACAATAATTAAACTAACCAAAATGCTTGTAAATATTATCACCATGTGCCATTAGTTCTAAACAATGTCAGTAGATAAAATATTTTTCTGTACCAGGTGAACTACTCTCACTTACCTTCCTCCTATTCTGTCTCCCACAATATAACACTGTATAGTGTTGTATTAACTAAACACATAGGTAGGTAGCTGTTATATATCATCACTTATATATATCATCTTAATTTTCATACTTCTATGAACTGTATACTCTTATTATTTTCCCTTTATAGATGAGGAAAAATCGGGTCAGGGACATTAGGAATTTTAATATCACATAGCCAGTATTGACAGAACTAGAGGAGAGGTGTGACTATAATACCATAGCCAATGTAAGTTTCCCCTATAGTATAGTTTCTCTGTGATTTAGTGACCTTTTAGTGCAGATACCTACTTGATAAATCCTTTTGGCTGGCACTTCCCAGACTTCATTTTCATATACCAGTAAAAATATTCTGTTTTTTAATTCAGCAGTGAAAAAGTGTAGGGAGTGGAGGGAGAAAATAGAGAAAAAGGCAATAAAACATAGTTCTGCCACATTTTTATTTTTCAAATAATAAAATGTTTTATAAACCTGCCATTTACCATTAACATTAAAAAATAGAACACTTAACAAAAAAAAGTAGGAAAAAGAACATCATGTTAAAATAAAGAAATGAATAGACATTTCTAAAAATGCACTGCATTTTACATTTACATTATTATTATACAGTGATTTACATTATCATTATACAGTGTGGATTAGTTAATAGTTTTTTTTTGTTTTGTTTTTAAGAGATGGGGTCTCACTGTGTTGCTCAGGCTGAACTTGAACTCCTGAGCTCAAGTGATCATCCCACCTCAGCTTCTCATGTAGCTAAGACTATAGGCATGTGCCACTGGGCCCAGCCTGGATTAAAGATTTCCACATAGACCAGAACTAGTTTGAAGATTAGGAATTACTTTTTTAGGCTTCATTTTGTGTGTTTAAAAATATGTTTAAAATGGCCAGGCACGGTGGCTCACACCTGTAATCCCAGCACTTAGGGAGGCCAAGGCAGACAGATCACTAGGTCAGGAGATCGAGACCATCCTGGCCAACATGGTGAAACCCCGTCTCTACTAAAATACAAAAAAATTAGCCGGGTGTGGTGGTGCGTGCCTGTAGTACCAGCTACTCAGGAGGCTGAGGCAGGGGAATCACTTGAACCCGGGAGGCAGAGGTTGCAGTGAGCCGAGATCACACGACTGCAATCCAGCCTGGTGGCAGAGCAAGACTCCATCTCAAAAAAAAAAAAAAAAAAAGAAAAGTTTAAAAAATGGTGATACTGTCCTGGGTTTAAAGGGAAAACATGTCATTGGCTTTTCCTCTGAGTAAGATGGGTAGCTGTAGTAGGATTTGGAACAGAGGAGAGAGAGAATGTCTCAGTTAACTGTTAAAAGGATCCTTCTGCTGACATTAAGAATAGGTTATTAGATGGCAAAGGGTATAAACAGAGAGAACAGACAGGAAAGTTATTGTAGTAATTCAGGTGTGATATAAATGTGGCTTGGGGTGATATCAGTGGAGGAGAAGAAATCTTTAAATACTGGCTGTATCTGGAGATGGAATACACAGAATTTACTGATGGACTAGATATTGGAAGAGGAGACAAGGATGACTCCAGATTTTTTGGTCTGAACAACAAAATGGATGGTCTATTTAAGGACAGTCCTTAAATAGCAATAAGGATGGTTAATGTATGAGAGAGCAGGTTTTAGGAGGGAAATTGGAAGATTGGTATTGAACATATGGAATTTCAGATGTCTATTAGATGTTAGAAGTTTAAGAGAGAGGTCTGAACTGGAAATACCAGCATGAAAATGTATTTATATCATTAGACTGGATGAGATTACCAAGAGAGTGCGTACAGAGAGAGAGAATACCAAAGACACCGTGGGGCATTCCATCATTCAGTAGAAGAGGAATCAGAAGTGGCAGCAGTGGAGACTGAGAAGGTGTGACCAATTACATAGGAAGAAAATCAGGAGAGTGTGATTTACCAGAAACCCAGTGATGCAAATCTATCAGGGAGCAAGGAATGATAACCTGTGTCAGTGCTGCTGAACATAAGTAAGATGAGAGCTCAGTATTGACCACTAGAGACTATTGATGATCTTGATGAGCAGTTGACAGAGTGGTCAGGCCAAAAATCTGATTGTAGTTGATTTAAGAGAGAATGGTGGAAAGAGAGGAATTAGAGATAGTTTTTGTAAGAAGTTTAACTAAAAAAGGGAGCAAAGAAATGGGGTCATAGCTGCTGGGGGAAGTTGAGTCAAGAAATAACAGCATGTTTGTTTGCTAAAGGAAATTGATGTAGGTGACAGATGGGAGAGTCCCTGTAATGTTCTTGAGAAGGCAAGAGGAGATTGGATATCTTGCACAAAAAGGTGAACTGGCCTTAGGTAGTATCATAGAGACTTGAGCTAAGGGAAAGTAGAATATGTGGGTGAAAAATCACAGTAGGTGGGTATTTGTAGTGGTGAGTCTGTGGAAATGTTCTTTGCTTTAATTTCTCTCAGGTAGGAAATCACCAACTGAGGGTGAGGACAGAGGAGGAGGTATTGGAGCTTTTAAGAACAGAGGTATAAAATACTATTATTCCAGGAGAGTAGGAGGAGGAATGGACTAGGGAAATATAATATGGTTGCTTGGCAGCCTGAACCCATTTTGAACCCATCAGCATAACTGTTTTTCTCTATGGAGTGGTGTTTATCATCACTTTTTTCAAAATGTGAAGTATAACATTTATACAGAAGAGTATGTAGAATACATATTTCTAGAATCATCCAGTTCAAGAGATAGAACATTACTGCCACCCCAGGAGCTGTTATGTTCCCTTCTAGATAAATAATCCTTTCTTGTCCTCTGGAGGTAATCACTATCCTGGTTTATGATAATTTCACTGCCTTTCTCAAGTTGTACCACATACGAATGCATACCTAAACAGTTGGCTTAATTTTGCCTATTTTTGAATTGTATTTTTCTTACCTCTGATTAATTTTTTAATGAAATTTATACACTTAGTTGCATTTAGGTATAGTTCATTTACTTTCATTCTGTCTTTTAAAGATTTTACTTACCCACTTTACTGTTAATTGACATTCTTTTTTTTTCAGTTTAGGGCTATTATAAATCATACTTTTGAGAATATACTTGTACATATATCCTGGTGCATATGTCCATGAATTTCTTTAGCATATATACCTAGAAGTAGATTAATTTGATCATAGTATATAGCTATTTTCAATTTTATTGGGTAATGCAAAATCATTTCCAAAGTGATTGATGGTACCAATTTCTACTCTCACCAACAGTCTATAGGAGTTCCTGTTGTTCTATGTATTTATCCAATACTTTGTACTGATGGACTTTTAAATTTTAGCATTCTGGTGGGTTTATAACTCGTTGTTTTACTTTTTATTTCCCTTCTTGCAATGAGGTTAAATATCTGTTCACATTATTTGCCAGTTGGATTTTCACTTTCACGAAGTACCTTTCATGATATATGCCCGTGTGTCTGTTTCATATATGGGAGGAATTCTTTATATGTTCCTACAAGCCTCCAGAGGGAGGCGTAGAGTATGGCAATTTAGTTCTTCAATAATTCTTGTGTTTTAACTGTCTTTTTCTAGTTTATGGACCAGAATTCTTGCCTTTCATGGTAGTATTCTTCTATTTTTGTTTTGTTTTGTCTTGATTTGTTTTTTTGAGGCGGAGTCTCGCTCTGTCCCCTAGGCTGGAGTGGAGTGGTGTGATCTCAGCTCACTGCAAGCTCCGCCTCCCGAGTTCACACTATTCTCTTGCCTCATCCTGCCGAGTAGCTGGGACTACAGGCGCCCGCCACCATGCCTGGCTCCTTTTTGTATTTTTAGTAGAGATGGGGTTTCACCATGTTAGCCAGGATGATCTCGATCTCCTGACCTCATGATCTGCCCACCTTGGCCTCCCAAAGTGCTGGGATTACAGGCGTGAGCCACCATGCCCAGCCTCTTCTGTGTTTTTAGAGTACGTTTTCTATCCCAAGATCATACAGATGTTATTTTATATTACCTTCTGAAAGCTTTATATTTTTGTCTTTTGTGTTTAATCCACATGAATTGATTGTGTAAAACTGGAGTCCAATTTAAGTTTTTTTTCCAGTTTGATATTTTATATAAGGGTATCCAGTTGTTCCAGAGCTAATTATTGAAAATACACTGTTCTGCAGTGTCACCTCTGATGTAAATTAAGGTCCAGATATGTGTGGGTTTGTTTCTGGATTTCTCTTGGTTTTATTGTTTAACCGTTTATCAGTATCACACTGTTTCAATTACAGTAGGTTCATGGTAAGACCTGATAGAGCTAGTCTTCCCACTTTGTTTTTTTTCAATAGTGTTTACCTATGTTTAACACTTTGCCTTTCCACTTAAAGGTAAAAATCGAATTGTCAAGGCCACCCCACCTCCAAATATATGCACAAGTGATTGTATTTTTTATTGTAGCAGAATACACACAGCATAAAATTTACCATTTTAATCATTTTAAAGTATCTTCATATTGTTATGCAACCATCACCACCATCCATCTCCAGACTTCTTTATCTTCCCAAACTGAAACTCTGTACCTGTTAAACAGTAACTCCCCATTTCCACTTCCCCCCAGCCACTGGCATCCACCATTCTACTTACTGTCTCTGAATTTGACTACTGTAGGTACCTCACGTAAGTGGAATTACCTGATATTTGTCCTGTTTCTGACTTATTTCACTTCCCATAATGTTTTCAAGGATTATCGATGTTGTAGCATATATCAGAATGTCTTTACTTTCTCTGGCGGAATAATAGTCTGTTGTGTATTTTTACCACATTTTGTTTATTCATTCATCTATTAGCGGATACGAGTTGGTTACACCTTTTGGCTATTGTAAATAATACTGCAATGAACATTGATAAAAAAGTATCTGTTTAAGTCCATGGATTCAATTATTTTGGGTATATACCAAGGAGTGATATTGTTTAACTTTATGAGGAACCTGGATACTGTCTTCCACAGTTACTGTACCATTTTACATTCCCAGCAGCAATGCTCAAGGGTTCATATTTCTCCACATCCTTGTCAACACTTGTATTCTGTTGTTTTGTTTTAATATAGCTATCCTAATGGGTAGGAAGTGGTACCTTAATGTGGTTTTATTTGCATTTCCCTACTGACTAATGATGTTGAGCATCTTTTCTTGTGCTTATTGTCCACTTGGATATTTCCTTTGGCAAATTATCTGTTCAAGTACTTTTCTTATTTTCAATTGGGTGGTTTATCATTTTGTTCTTGAGTTATAGGAGTTCTTTGTATATTCTAGATAACATGATTTGCAAATATTTTTTCCCATTCTGTCAGTTGTCACTTTCTTGATAATGTCCTTTTATGTACAGAAGTTTCAAATTTTGATGTAGTCCAATTTACCTTTTTTCTTTTTTTGCTTATGATATGAAGCATAAGCAAAAACCTTTTTTTTTTTTTTTTTTTGCTTGTGAAGGAAATTAAAGAAGACCTCAATAAATGGAAAAGCATCCCACATTCATGGATTGAAAGACTTAATATTGTTAAGATATCAAGACTACCCAAAGCAGTCTACAAATTCAGCACAATTCCTATCAAAATTCCAAGAACTTTTTTTGCAGAAATGAAAAATTTAAAAATTTTGATTAAGTCCAGTTTTTACCTTATGTCATATCTAAGAATACACTGTCAAATCTAAGGTCATAAAGATTTACCCTATGTTTTCTTCAAAGTTTTATGGTTTTAGCTTATATTTAGGTCTTTTATCAATTTAGAGTTGATTTTCATATATAGTAAATATGAGGTAGGGCTCCCGGCTTATTTTTTTGTATGTGGAAATCCAGTTATCTCAGCACCATTTGTTGAAGAGACTGTTTTCTCATTGAATATCTTGGCACTCTCATCAAAAATAAGTTGGCCATAGATGTATGGTTTTATTTATGGACTCTCAGGTACATTCCTTTGGTCTATATGATTATCCTTATGCCAGTCCCACACTATTTTGATTACTCTAGTTTTGTAGTAAATTTTGAAACTGAGAATTGTGAGTCTTCCACATTTGTTGTTGTTCTTCAGTATTTTAGCTATTCAGGGTCCTTTGCAATTCCATAATAACTTGAGAATAATTTGAGGATAGAACTTTATATTTTTGCAAAAAAAGTTATAGAATTTTGATAGGGATTGTGCTAAATTTGTAGGTTGCTTTGGGTAGTCTTGACATCTTAACAATATTAAGTCTTCCAATCCATGAATATGGGATGCTTTTCCATTTATTGAGGTCTTCTTTAATTTCCTTCAGCAATGCCATGTAATTTTCAGTCTATAAGTCTTTCATCTCCTTAGATTTATTTCTAGGCATTTTATTGTTTTAGATACTATTATAAATAGAATTCCTTTCTAAATTTCTTTTATGGATTGTTCATTGCTGGTGTGGAGAAACACAACTGATTTTTATGCATTGATCTTATAACCTACAACTTTGATGGATTTGTATATAGCTCTGGTAGCTTTCTTGTGGATTCTTGGGGATTTCCTATATAGCAGATTGTATTAGCCTGTTCTCACACTACTATAAGAAATACCCAAGACTGGGTAATTTATAAAGGAAAGGTTTTAATTGACTCACAGTTCCACATTGCTGGAGAAGCCTCAGGAAACTTCTAATCATGGTGGAAGGCAAAGGAGAAGCAGACATCTTCATAGGGCATCAGGACAGAGTGAGTGCAAGCAGGGGAGATGCCAGATGCTTATAAAACCATCAGATCTCGTGAGACTCACTATCATGACAATAGCGTGGGGGAAACTGCCCCCATGATCCAATTACCTCCACCTGGTCCTGCCCCTGACACGTGGGGATTATGTGTATTATAATTCAAGATGAGATTTTGGGTGGAGACACAGCCAAACCATATCACAGATCATGTCATCTGTGAATAGGTGTAGTTTTACTTCTTTCTTTCCAACATGGATTTATTTCATTTTCTTGTGTAATTGCTTATAGAACTTACAGTACAATATTGAATAATAGTGGTGAAAGTGGCCATTCTACTTTCTTTCTGATTTTAAGGCAAAAATTTGCAGTACTTCACCAGTGAGTATTTTAGTTGTGAGTTGTTGTTGTTGTTTTTAATAAATGCCCTTTATCAAGTTGATGAAGTCCCCTACTATATAGGTTCATTTTTTTGGCATGTTGAAATCTACTTGTTCCAGCATTATTTGTTGAAAAGACTGTCCTTTCTCCCTTGAATCACCTTTGCTCCACTGTTAGAGAGCAGTTGACTATATTTGTGTGAGTCTTTTTCTGGAATCTCTATTCTGTCCCATTTATCTATTCTTTCACCAGTACCACACCGCCTTGATTACTGTACTTTTGTTTTGTTTTGTCTTGAAATGGAGTCTTGCTCTGTTGCCCAGGCTGGAGTGCAGTGGTGCAATCTCGGCTCACTGCAACCTCCGCCTCCCAGGTTCAAGCAATTCTTCTGCCTCAGCCTCCCATGTAGCTGGGAGCACAGGCATGTGCCACCATGCCTGTCTAATTTTTTTTGTATTTTTAGTAGAGACAGGGTTTCACTATGTTGGCTAGGCTGGTCTTGAACTCCTGACCTCAAGTGATCTGCCTGCCTCGGCCTCCCAAAGTGCTGGGATTACAGGCGTGAGCCACTGCACCAGCTGATTACTTTATAGTAAGTCTTAACATTGGGTAGTGTCAGTTCATTGACTTTGTTACTTCAGTATGGTGTTGGCTGTTTTGGTGTTTTGCCATTCCGTATATACTTGTGAACTAGTTTGTTGGTATCCAAAAAAAGAAATTGCTGAGATTTTGATTGGGATTGCATTGAATTTATAAATCAAGTTGGGCATCCCACTTGGTCATGGTGTATAATTTTTTATATACGGATATTCAATTTTCTAATATTTTGTTTAGGATTTATCATCTATGTTCATGGTAGTTACTAGTCAGTAGTTTTCCTTTCTTGTGATGTCTTTGCCTAGTTGTGAGATTTGGATAATAACTGGCTTCACAGAATGAGTTATGATATACCCTCTGCTGTTTTCTGGAAGAAATTGTAAAGAATTTGGGTAATTTCTTTCCTGAGTGTTTGGTAGAATTCACCAGTGAACCTATCTGGATATGGTGCCTGCTGTTTTGGAAGGTTATTATTTATCGGTTCAGGTTCTTTAATAGACCTAGGCCTATTCAGATTGTACGTTTCTTTTTGTGTGGCTTTCGGCAGATTGTGCCTTTCTGAGTAATTGGTACATTTCATCTGTTACCAGATTTGTAGGCATAGAATTGTTTAGTATTCCTTTATTATTGTTTTTATATTCATAGGATTAATAGTGATGACCACTTTTCTAAAATTTTTGATATTAATAATTTGTGTCTTTTGTCTCTTTTTCTTGGTTCACCTAGCTAGATATCGATTTCATTTATCTTTTCAAAGAACAATATTTTGGTTTTGTTGATTTTCTGGTGTTTTTTTGGTTGTGTGTGTGTTTTTGTTTTTTTGGTTTTTTTTCTGGGGGGACAAGGTCTCACTCTGTCATCCAGGCTGGAGTGCAGTGGCACAACCATGGCTGACTGCAGCCTCGACTTCCCAGGCTCAACCAACCCTTCCACCTCAGCCTTCCAAGTAACTGGAACTACAGGTGTGCACCACTGTGGCCGGCTAATTTTTTTATTTTTATTTTTTTAGAGACAGGGTCTCACTATGTTGCCAGGTCTGAACTGCTGGCCTCAAGTGATCCTCCCACTTTGGCCTCCCAAAGTGCTGGGATTACAGGCATGAGCCACCACACCCAGCCTGATTTTCTGCTTTTACTTGCATTGATTTGTTCAATTTTTATTTCTTTTTTTCTGCTACTTTGAATTTAATTTGCTCTGTTTCTAGTTTCCTAAAGGTAAAGCTTAGATTATTGATTTTAGCTCTTTTTTCTTTTCTAACATATATATATTCAGTGCTATAAATTTCCCTGTACTGCTTTCATTGCATTTTACAATTTTTTATTGATATATAATAGTTGTACATATTTATGGGGTACATGTTATATTTTGATACATGCATACAATATGTAAGGATCAAATCAGGATAATTGGGATATTTATCACCCCAAGCAATGATCATTTTTGTGTGTGTGTTGGGAATAATTCAAAGCTTCTCATCTAGCTATTTGAAATACATAACTTTATTGTTAACTATAGTTGCCTTACCATACTATCAAAAACTAGAACTTATTCCTTCTAACTGTTTTTGTAGCCAGTAGCCAGCCTCCCTTCACTGCTCCCTTCCACCCTTCCCAGCATCTGGTAACCACCAGTTTGCTCTCTACCTCCATGAGATCAGTTTTCTTAGTTCCCACATACGAGTGAGAACATGGGATATTTGTCTTTCTGGGTTTGGCTTATGTCACTTAGTATCATGTCCTCTAGTTCCATCCATGTTGCTGCAAATAACAGGGTTTTTTTTTATGGCTGAATAGTATTCCATTGTGTATATATGCCACATTTTCTTTATCCAGTCATCCATTGATAGACACTTAGGTTGATTCCATATCTTGGCTATTGTGAATAGTGCTGCAGTAAACATGGGAGTGCAGATATCTCTTCAATATACTGATTTTCCTTTCTTTTGGACACATATCCAGCAATGGGATTGCTGGATCATATGGTGGTTTCATTTTTACTTTTTTGAGGAACCTCAATACTGTTTTCCTTAGTAGCCATACTAATTTATATTCCCACCAGCAGTGTACGAGTGGTCCCCTTTCTCCCGCCACATCACATGTTCCTCTTGCGTAGTACAATACAATCATCTCTTCCCAGTAGTATCCAAAGTCTTAACTCATTCCACCATCAACTCAAAAATCCAAAGTCTAAAGTCTTATCTGAGACTCAAGACACATTTCTTTCCACCTATTAGCCCGTAAAATCAAAAACAAATTCTTAACTTCCAAGATACAACAGTGGTGCAGGTATTAGGTAAACATTCCCAATCCAAAAGGGAGGAATTGGCCAAAAGAAAGGGAAATAGGCCCCACACAAGTCTGAAACCTAGCAGGGCAGACATTAAAGTTTAAAGCTCCAACATAATCTTTGACTCTGTGTCCCGCATCCAAGGCACACTGGTGCAAGGGGTGGGCTCCCAATGCCTTGGGAAGCTCCATCCCTGTGGCTCTCACAGGTTGGAGTCTGGTGTCTGTGCCTTTTCAATGCTGAGGGTGCAAGCTGCTGGTGGCTCTACCCTTCTTGGGTCTGGAGGATAGCAGTCCTGTTCCCATAGCTTCACTAGACTGCCCTGGTAGGGAGTCTGTGTTGGGGATCCAACCTTACATTTCCCCTCAATACTGCACTAGCAGAGTTTCTGTGTGGGGGCTATGTCCTGGGACAGACTTCTGCCTGGGACCCAGGCTTTCTAATACATCCTCTGAAATCTAGGTTGGAACCTGGCAAGCCTTCTTTCCTTTTGAATGCTGCACACCTACAGCCTTAATACCACATGGAAACCAGCAAGGATTACAGCTTGTGCTCTCAGAGCAGTGCCCCAAACTGTACCAGGGGCCCTTTTGAGCTGAGGCTGGAGCAGCCAGGATGCAGGGAGCAGCCTCTTAAGATGGTGCAGGGCAGAGGCTCCGCAGGCCTGACCCACTAAACCATTCTTTCCTCCTAGGCCTCTGGGCTTGTGATGGGAGGAGCTGCCTTTTGAGGCTTTTTTTTTTTTTTAAATTGTCTTGGATATTAGCACTTGGCTCTTTTTTAGTAATGCTAATCTATCTAGCAAGTGGTTGGTTCACAGCCCACTTGTATTCTTTTGAATGCTGCACACTTACAGCCTTAATACCACATGGAAGCCACCAAGGATTACAGCTTGCGCTCTCCAGAGTAGCTATTGTAAATGAGATTACTTTCTTATTTTTCAGATTGTTTGCTGTTGGCATATACAAATGATACTGATTTTTGTATGTTGATTTTATATCCTGCAACTGTACTGAATTTGCTATATTAGTTCTAACAGTTTCTTTTCTTTCTTCTTTTTTTTTTTTTTTTGAGATGGAGTCTAGCTTTGTCACCCAGGCTAGAGTGCAGTGGTGTGATCTCGGCTCACTGTAACCTCTGCCTGCCAGGTTCAAGCAATTCTCCTGCCTCAGCCTCCCAAGTAGCTGGGACTATAGGTACCCACGACCACGCCTGGCTAATTTTTGTATTCTTAGTAGAGACGGGGTTTCACCATGTTGGACAGGCTGGTCTCGAACTCCTGACCTCAAGTGATCCACCCGCCTCAGCCTCCCAAAGTGTTAGGATTACAGGTGTGAGCCACCATGCTCAGCCTCTAACAGTTTCTTGATGGAGTTTTCTTTGGTTTTTAAAATATACAATCATGTCATCTGTGAACAAGGTTAATTTGACTTCTTCCTTTCCAGTTTGGTAGTTTTCAGCAGTGAAGCCATCCAGTCCTGGGCTTTTCTTTGATGGGAGACTTTTAATTACTGTTTCAGTTTCATTACTTGCTATTGGTCTGTTCAGGCTTTTTCTTTCTTTATGGTTCAGTCTTGACAGGTGTACATGTCTATGAATTTGCCCATTTTTTCTAGGTTATCTAATTTGTTGGCATATAATTATTCATAAAATCTCTGATGATCATTATATTCTAGGGTATTGATTGTAATTTTTTTCATTTATACTTTGAGTGTTTTCTCTTTTTTTGTTAGTCTAGCAAAAGGTATGTGGACTTTATCTTTTCAAAAAACAATTTTTTTCTTTCAGTTATCTTTTGTATTTTTCAGTCTGAATTTTATTTCTGCTCTGATCTGTATTATTTCTTTCTACTAATTTTAGATTTTGTTTATTCTTGTTTTTCTAGTTCCTTGAGGTGGATTGTTCAGTTGTTTATATGAAGTTTTTCTCCTTTTTGATGGAGGATTATTGCTATGAACTTCCTACTTAGTATTGCTTTTGCTTGTCCCATAGATTTTGATATGCTGTGTTTCCATTTTCATTTGCTCAAAAAAATTTTTAGATTTCCTTTTTAATTTCTTTATTGACCCATTTTTTATTTAGGAGCATGTTGTTTAATTTTCACATATTTATAGTTTTCAAAGTTCCTTTTTTTTTTTTCCTGAGGCAGTGTCTCACTCTTTGGCTCAAGGCTGGAGTGCAGTTGCACAATCTCAGCTCAGTGCAGTATCCACCTCCCAAGTAGCTGAGAGTACAGGCATGCACTACTACACCCAGCTAATTTTTTTGTAGAGATGAGGTTTTACCATGTTGCCCAAGGCTGGTCTCAAACTCCTAGACTCAAGTGATCTGCCTGCCTCAGCCTCCCAGATTGCTGGGATTACAGGCATGAGCCACCACACCTGGCCCAAAGTTCCCCTTTAAAAAAGAATAAAAATCTAGTTTTATTCTGCTGTGGTCAGAAAAGATACTTGATACAATTTTGACTTTTTTGAGTTTGCTGAGACTTGTTTTTTCTCCTAACGTGATCTGTCCTGGGGAATGTTCCATGTGCTGATGAGAAGAATGTATATTCCACAGAGCTGGATGAAGTGTTCTGTAAATGTCAGTTATCATTATATAGTGATTTTTTGGGTCTCTTTTTAAGTGTTTGTTGTTTATTTTATCTGATATAAATATAGCTATTCTTGCTCTTTTTTGTTTTCCAATTGCATGGAATATCTTTTTCCACCCCTTTACTTTCAGTCTATGTGTCTTTATAGGTAAAGTGAGTTTCTTATCGGCAGCAGATCATTGGGTTCTGTTTTTCTATTCATTTAATCACTCTATGTCTTTTAATTAGAACATTTAGTTCATTTACATTGTTATTATTGATAGGTAAGAACTTCCTCCTGTCATTTTGTTGTTTGTTTTCTGGTTGTTTTGTAACTCCTTTTTTACTTTCTTTTCTTTCTTTCTCTTTCACCTTTCTTTATGATTGTGCAAATTTCTCTGGTAGTATGTTTTAATTCCTTGCTGTTTATTTTTAGTGTTACCTATTATAGGTGTTTTGCTTTGTGGTTACTATGAGGCTTACAAAAAACATCTTATAAGTTATTCTGAATATATGAGAACTCAATGTTGATCACAAAGAAAACGACAAAAAACTTTACATCGTAATTTCATCCCCCACACACATTTTGACCTCTTGTTGACACAATTTACATCTTTTTATATTGCCTGACTTTTAACAGATTGTTGTAGTTTTTACTTTGGTAGATTTAGTCTTCATACTAGAGATACCACAGTTACAGTATTAGAGTATTCTAAATTTGTCTGTATATTTTTACCAATAACTTTTATAACTTCAGATATTTTCTTGTTGCATGTTAGTGTCCTTTTGTTCCAGATTGAAGAACTACCTTTGACATTTTTTATAAGATGAATTCCTTCAGCTTTCGTTTGTCTTCAGAAGTCATTATCTCTCATTTATGGTTGAAGGATAGCTTTGCTGGGGACACTGTTCTCAGTTGGCAGTTTTTTTTTTTCCTTTAGCTTTTTAATATGTCATCCCACTCCATTCAGGCATGTATGGTTTCTACTAGATGTCCATTAACAGATGAATTAGAGCTCTTTATATGTTATGCTTCTTTTTTTTCTGCTTTTATGCTCCTCTTTTTGTTTTTGACCTTTGAGAATTTGATTATTGTATGCCTTGGGATAGTCTTACTGGAGTTTAATCTGTTTGGTAATCTTTGACCTTCCTATGCCTGGATATTTATCTTTCTATAGATCTGGAAAGTTTTCTGTTATTATTTCTTTGAATAAGCTCTGTACCCCTTGCTCTTTCTTAACTATGTCTTGAAGGCCAATGACTCTTAAATTTGCTCTTTTTAGGCTATTTTCTAGATCTTATATGTGTTCTTCCTTTTTACTCTCCTATGTCTCCTCTCTTTATATATTTTCAAATTGTCTTTGAGCTCACTGATTCTTTCTTCTGCTTGATTAGTTCTGTCAAAACCCTCTCATGCATTTTCAGTTCAGCCAATGTATTTCACAGTTCCAAGATTTCTATTTTTTTAATTTTTTAATCTGTTTGTTAAATTTTTCTGGTAAGTTTCTAAAGTGTTTTACTCTGCTATCTTGGAGTTCCCCAGGTTTCTCCAAAATTGCTATTTTGAATTCTTGATCAGAGAACTTACACATCTTCATCTCAGGTTGGTAGGGTGTCACTGGCTCCTTGCTTTGTAAATTTGGGAAGGTCGTGGTTCCCTGTTTGATGTTGTTTCTTACAGATGTACATTTATGTCTTCATATTGATTTGTTATTTATTCTAGTTTTTGCTATCTGCCTTTGCTTGGTCTTTCAGGTGTCGTTTGTTGCATTCTCTTAGACTTAGATCACTGCCTTCTTTTCAGCACTAGATGGCACCCTAAGCCCAGGTTTGCCTGGCTTTCACAAACGTTCGGCGCACTGACCATCTTGGGTTAGGGGATGTTCCAAAGGGGATTCCCTGGCTGGGGTTGGTGGGGAAGGGAATTAGCTAGGAGTTTGTGCGCAGAGGACCCGTGGAATGTGCCTCCTACTGCTGCTGATCCACTGTCCCTCTGATTTGGCATCTCCTTTGGCTGAGATGAAGAGCAGCCCCAAGTTTCCTTTGCTGGAGTTGCTAGCCCTACTTCCACGTTTGTCCATAGCTGTCTTCAGATTTTCTCCCAACAGGCACTAGCAATGCTTCCTGTGGGTTGAGGCAGGAACAGCTTTCCTGCATAGTAACCCTAGACGGTAGGGAAACTGGCTGTCTACCTTAGTCTCAGTTTCTCCAGGATAGGAACCGTAAGTCTTGGGAGACTTTTTTATCCAGTGCCTAATAACTTAAGGGAGGGGCATCATGGATAGAGAAGTCGAGGGGCATCATGGATAGAAAAGTCCATTCTCTCTTAATTTTTCACTTTTTTGTGACACCAAGGATTGTCACAGCCTCAGTTTTGAGTTCTGGAATATTGATGGTGATAATGTTGTCACTGTATAGTTGTTTTTCATTTTCTGTACGGGAAAATCAACTCAGATTGCTTCTACTCTGCCATTTTGGTAACATCACTGCATTTTACAAATTTTGATATGTTGTATTTTTATTTTCACTTAGCTCAAAATATTTTAAAATTTCTCTTGAGATTTCTTCTTTGACCTGCTTGTTACTCAGAAGTGTGTTTTTTAATCTTCACATGTTTGGGAATTTGCCAGCTATCTGTATTTATATATTATTATATATTTCTAGTTTAACTCCATTGTGCTCTGCATGGTAATATTGTAAGACTTATTTTTAAAAAATAAAGTATACTTTATGTCCCAGAATGTGGTCTCTCCGTGGATGAATGTTCCATGTGAGCTGGAAAGGAATGTATATTCTATTTCTTGTTGGATGATGAAGTAGTGTGTATATCAATTAAATCCAGTTGACTGGTGCTGCTGTTGAGTTCAACTGTGTCCTTACTGATTTTCTGCCTGCTGGATCTGTACATTTCAGATAGAGGGGTGTTGATGTCTCCAACTATAATAGCAGATTCATCTGTTTCTCCTTGCAGTTCTATCAATTTTTGCCTTATATATTTTGGCACTCTGTTATTAGGTACATACACATTAAATATTGTTATATATATAGTTATGTATATATATAATTTTTTAAAATTTTTTATTTATTTATTTTGAGACAGAGTCTCGCTCTGTTGCCCAGGCTGGAGTGCAGTGGTGCGATCTCAGCTCACTGCAGCCTCTGCCTCCCAGGTTCAAGCAATTCTCCTCCTTCAGCCTCCCAAGTAGCTGGGACTATAGGTGCAGACCACCATGCCCGGCTAATTTTTGTATTTTTTAGTAGAGATGGGGTTTCACTATGTTGGGCCAGGCTGGTCTCGAACTCCTGACCTCAAGTGATCCACCAGCTCCAAAAGTCCTGGAATTACAGGTATGAGCCACCGTGCCTGGCCATATTGTTATTATTATTTTTTTTTTTTTTGGAGAATTGATCCCTTTATTATTATGTAATGCCTCTCTATCTGTGATGATTTTTCTTGCACTGATGTCTGCTCTGTCTGAAAATATGCTTACTCTCACATTTTTTGGATTAGGGTTAGCATGATATTTTTGTCAATCTCTTTACTTTTAATCTATGTGTCTTAATTTTTTTTTACTTTATTAAAATACTGAGTTTTATTTCACATGTATATTTTTGCCTCCCCACCATTTCCATGTCTGACCACCACTACTACTATGTCCTATCATAACATTCCATACATACTTAAAACCAAGCAAAGGGTGGAGTTCCATCTTTAAAAACTAAACAGGCATTTTGGGCAACACATTCTTGGCAATAGAGCCTGGACAACATTTATCAAACACAGTAGGGAAAGTTCTCACTGCATTATAAAAAGGACAGCCAGATATCAACTGTTACAGAAATGAAATAAAATGGAAAATTTTTAACAAATTGTTTAAACTATTTTCCTAAAGAGACTTCCTCCACTGCCAGAGATTTTGAATAACCTCCTGGTCAGTCATCCGGAAGCACTCCTCACATAATTGATGAACTGCTTGCATTTTAATGTCTTCTACAGAACTAGGTCCTTTTCGTGTTTTAGGAGTTTTTTCCTGTTTTTTGAAAGATTCTTGTCCTTTTGATCTTGGTGTTGATGGTTTTCAGTCTTTTCCATTCTGATTTGACTTCTGTGCATTTTTGGCTGGAGTATCTCGTATGGATTTCCTCACTGGTGCTTTTTATCCAGTTTCCTCATCATCAAAATCATCATCATCGTCATTTTCATCATCATCTTCTGCATCAGCAGCAAGTTTTACTTTTTTCTGTGGAACTTTTCTGCCACCTCCGGGGGCAGATCGCTTTCCAGATAAACTTGAGTTTCACATACTCCTCTTCTTCATCTTCTGACTCTGCATCTTCCTCCACAGCTACTAAGTGCTGTCCACTAATATGCACTGGCTCTGAAGCACACTTCAACCGTAAGATCACCAGTGGTGTTATTTCAAGGCCCCCAGAAACCATTGGCTGTACAGACATTTTCAAAGTTGCCAGTGTTACTTTAATCGGACTGCCTTCATAATTCATTGCCTCTGTTTCAACAATATGCAATTTATCCTTTGCTCCAGTCCCTGAAATCACCGTTCTTAAAGATAACTGGTGCTCATTTTCATCATTATTCACCTTAAAGTGATAATCTTTGTCGGCCTTTTGTTGACAACTGAAAAGATAGTTCTGGGGCCTCAGAGGGCTCATGTCCATGTCCATCAAATCTTCCATGGGGTGGTGACACGCACTTAGGTGGGAGAGAAGGTGGACAGAGATAAACGACTGCTGCTCCAGAGAACAGCCGCGCAGGATGGAATCACACCAGGGTATGTGTCTTCATATTTAAAGTGGGTTTCTTTTCAACAAAATATAGCTGGTCTTATTTTTTTTATCTGATCCACTCTGACAATCTTTTGATTAGCATATTTAGGACATAGATATTTAAAGTGATTATGAATGTAGTTGGGTTAATATCTATTATATTTATCATTGTTCTGTATTTGTTGCCCCTGTTTCTGTTTTTCTCTTTCAATCTTTTTTCATCATTTGTGGTTTTAATTAAGTATTTCATAATGATTCCACTTTCCTTTCTTAGCATATTAATGTTATTTATATGTGTGTATGTATTTTCTTTTTTAGTGGTTGCCCTAGAGTTTGCATTGTACATTTACAACTAATCCAATTTGACTTTCAAATAACACTATACTTCTTTGTGGGTAGTGCAAGTTCCCAATAATAACAAAATATTCCTAATTTCTACCCTCCATCCCTTATATCATTGCTGTTATTCATTTCACTTATATATGTTATACATTCATAGCATACATAATTGAATATATTATTGCTGTTACTATTTTGAACAAACTGCTATTTGTTTGTTCACAAGTAAAATCAAGTAAGAATAAGAAAAGTAGAAGTTTTTATTTTACTTTTACTTATTTCTCCTCCAGGATGTTTACTTTCTTTATGTAGATCTAAGATTCTGACCTATATCATTTTTCTTCTCTTTAAAGAACTTATTTTAACATTTCTCACAAGTCAGTTCTGTGGGCAAAAATTACCTCAAATTGTGTTTATGAAAGTTTTTATTTTTTCTTCACCTTTTTTTGCTTGCATTTTTTATTGTAGAAAAACACATAACAATAAATTTACAATCTTAACCATTTTTAAGTGTACAGTTCAATAGTGTTAAGTATATTTACATTATTGTGCAACCAATCTCTAGAATTTTTTTCATCTTATAACACTAAGACTCTGTACCCACTAAATACTAATAATTCCCTCTTTCTCTTCTCTCCAGCCCTTGCTAACCACATTTCTGCTGTTTCTTTTCTACAATTTGACTACTTTAGATACTTCATATGAGTGGACTGATACAGTATTTGTCCTTTTGCAACTGGCATATTTTGCTTAGCATAATGCCCTCACGGTTCACCTATGTTGTGGCATGTGACAGAATATTCTTTTATTTTTAAAGATTTCATAATACTACATTTTATGTATATACCATTTTCCTTTTCCATTCGTTGTCAATAGACATTTGGATTGTTTCCACTCTACCCCTTGTCTATTATAAATAATGCTTCCATGAACATGGGTGAAAATTTATCTTTAAGATCCTGCTTTGAATTCTTTCTGGATATATATCCAGAAGTGGGATTGCTGAATCATATTCTAATTGTCTTTTTAATTTTAGGAGTATCTCCTTACTGCTTGCTCTCTGTACTACCTGCACCATTTTACATTCCCATCACCAGTGCACAAGGGCTCTCCACATGCTCAACTTACATTCTGCTCTTTTGTTAGTGGCCATTCTAGTGAGTATGAGTCGATATCTCATTGTTTTGATTTGCATTTCCCTGATGATTAGTGATGATGAGCATCTTTTCAAGTATTTATTGGCTATTCGTATATCTTCTTTGGAGAATTTTCTATCCAAGTCATTTTCTCATTTTTAAATTAGGTTTTTTTTTTTTTTTTTTTTTACTGTTGAGTTGTAGAAGTTCCTTATATAGTCTGGATATTAACCCCAAATCAGATACATGTGTTGCAGTTATTTTTGCCCAGTCCATAAGCTGCCCCTTCACTCTGTCGATCATGTCTGTTTATGCACAAAAGTTTCTCGTAGTCCCATTTGTCTATTTTTTTCTTTTGTTGCCTGTGCTTATGGTGTCACTTCCAAGACATAATTCTCAAATCCAATATCCTGAAGTTTTTCCCCTATATTTTTTTCTAGGAGTTTAATAGTTTTAGGCCTTACATTTAGGTCTTTAATCCCTTTTGAGTTAATTTTATGTAAGGTGTAAGTTAAGGTCCAGCTTAATATTTATTTATTTATTTATTTATTTATTTAGGCATGTGGATATCCCAGTTTTCCCAGTACCATTTGTTAAGGAGACTGTCCTTTATTCACTGTGTCATCTTGGCATCCTTGTCAAAAGTCATTTGGCCATATATACAAGGGTTTATTCCTAGGCTCTAAATTCTGTTCCATTGGTGTATATATATCTGTCTTTATTCTAGTACCATACCATCTTAATTACTGTTGCTGTGTAGAATGTTTTGAAATCAGGGAGTATGAGTCTTCCAATTTTGTTCTTTTCAAGATTGTTTTGGCTATTCATAGTCCCTTGAGAATTTTACGATGCTTTTTTCTGTTTCTGCAAAAAATGTCATTGGTATTTTGATAAGAATTACATTGAATCTGTAGATCACTGTGGGTAGCATGGACAGTTTGACAATGTTAAGTCTTTCAATCTATGAGCCTGGAATATCTTTCCATTTATTTCTATCTTCTTTGATTTCTTGTGGCAGTGTTTAGTTTGTAGTGTAGAAACCTTTTAATAAGCTCAAGCTTATTCCAAAGTATTTATCCTTTTTGTTGCTATAGTAAATGGAATTGTTTTCTTAATTTCCTGTTTTGTTTTGTTTTTTTTACAGGTTCTTTGGTTGAAGGATAATTTCCTTTGTGAATTGATTGTTAGTGTATAGAAATGCAATTTTTGAATTTTGATTTTGCATCCTGTAACTTTGCTGAATTTGCTAATTTTAACAGTTTGTATGGAATATGTCTTCTGTGAAGGGAATTAATTTTACTGATTTTCCAATCTGTATGTTTTCTATTTCATTTTCTTGTCTAATTGCTCTGGATAGACCTCCTAGTACTGTGTTGAATAGTAGTGGTGAGTGTGGGCATCCTTGCCTTATTCCTGCTCTTAGAGGGAAAGTTTCAGTCTTCTTTTGTTGACTATGATGTTAAATGTAGCCATCTCATATATGACTTTTATTATGCTGGGATAGTTTTTTTCTATTCCTAGTTTATTGAGTATTTGTGTCATGAGATTGTTGAATTTTGTCTGCATCAATTGAAATGATCACCTGGTTTTGTCCTTCATCTTGTTAATGTGGTGTATTAAATAGATTTATTTTCATATGTTAAACCATCCTTTCATTCCATGAATAAGTCCCACTGGTCATGGTATATAATCCTTTTAATGTACTGTTGAATTCAGTTTACTAGTATTTTGTTGAGGATTTTCACATCAGTATACTTAAGGGATATTTGCCTGCAGTTTTCTTTTTTTGTATCTGTCTCTCATTTTGGTGTTAAGGTAATTCTGACCTCATAGAATGAGTTTGGAAGTGTTGCAGTTCTTTTTTTTTTTTTTTAAGACTTTATTTTTTAGAGCAGTTTTAGGTTCACAGCAAAATTGAGTAGAATGTACTGAGATATCCCAATATCCCCTGCCCTCACACAGGCAAAGCCTTACCAATTATCAACATCCTGCACTAGAGTGGTCCATCTGTTGCAACTGATGAATGTACATGAACATATCATTATCCTCCAAAGCCTATAGTTTACATTAGGGTTTACTCTTGGTGTTGTATGCCTCCCCTATTATCAACATCCTGCACCAGAGTGGTACATCTGTTGCAACTGATGAACCTACATGGACACATTGTTATCCTCCAAAGCCCATAGTTTACCTTAGCGTTTATTCTTGTTGTTGTACATTCTATGGGTTTAGACAAATTTAGTGACATGTGTCCATCATTATAGTATCACATGGAGTAGGTTCACTGCCCTAGCAATCCTCTGTGTTCTGCCTGTTTATCTCTCCCTTCCCCCATCCCCTAGCAACCACTGACCTTACTGTTTCCACAGTCACTTTTTCAAGGATGTCATGTAGTTGGAATCATATAGTATATTGCCTCTTCAGGCTAGCATACTGTGTTCTTTTGTCTTTTTTTTTTTATATATATACTTTAAGTTCTAGGGTACATGCACACAACGTGCAGGTTTGTTACATATGTATACATGTGCCATGTTGGTGTGCTGCACCCATTAACTCGTTATTTAGCATTAGGTATATCTCCTAATGCTATCCCTCCCCCTCCCCCAACCCCACGACATGCCCTGGTGTGTGATGTTCCCCTTCCTACGTCCCAGTGTTCTCATCATTCAGTTCCCACCTATGAGTGAGAAGATGTGGTGTTTGGTTTTTTGTCCTTGCGATAGTTTGCTGAGAATGATGGTTTCCAGCTTCATCCTACAAAGGATCCCTACAAAGGACATGAACTTATCCTTTTTTATGGCTGCATAGTATTCCATGGTGTATATGTGCCACATTTTCTTAATCCAGTCTATCATTGATGGACATTTGGGTTGGCTCCAAGTCTTTGCTATTGTGAATAGTGCCTCAATAAACATACATGTACATGTGTCTTTATAGCAGCATTATTTATAATCCTTTAGCTATATACCCAGTAATGGGATTGCTGGGTCAAATGGTATTTCTAGTTCTAGATCCTTGAGGAATCACCACACTGTCTTCCACAATGGTTGAACTAGTTTACAGTCCCACCAACAGAGTAAAAGTGTTCCTATTTCTCCACATCCTCTCCAGCACCTGTTGTTTCCTGACTTTTTAATGATCGCCATTCTAACTGGTGTGAGATGGTATCTCATTGTGGCATTTCTCTGATGGCCAGTGATGATGAGCATTTTTTCATGTGTCTGTTGGCTGCATCAATGTCTTCTTTTGAAAAGTGTCTGTTCATATCCTTCGCCCACTTTTTGATGGGGTTGTTTGTTTTTTTTCTTGTAAATTTGTTGGAGTTCTTTGTGGATTCTGGATATTAGCCCTTTGTCAGATGGGTAGATTGCAATAATTTTCTCCCATTCTCTAGGTTGCCTGTTCACTCTGATGGTAGTTTCTTTTGCTGTGCAGAAGCTCTTTTGTTTAGTTAGATCCCATTTGTCAATTTTGGCTTTTGTTGCCATTGCTTTTGGTGTTTTAGACATGAAGTCCTTGCCCATGCCTATGTCCTGAATGGTATTGCCTAGGTTTTCTTCTAGGGTTTTTATGGTTTTAGGTCTAACGTTTAAGTCTTTAATCCATCTTGAATTAATTTTTGTATAAGGTATAAGGAAGGGATCCAGTTTCAGCTTTCCACATATGGCTAGCCAGTTTTCCCAGCACCATTTATTAAATAGGGAATCCTTTCCTCATTTCTTGTTTTTGTCAGGTTTGTCAAAGATCAGATGGTTGTAGATGTGTGATATTATTTCTGAGGGCTCTGTTCTGTTCCATTGGTCTATATCTCTGTCTTGGTAGCAGTACCATGCTGTTTTGGTTACTGTAGCCTTGTAGTATAGTTTGAAGTCAGGTAGTGTAATGCCTCCAGCTTTGTTCTTTTGGCTTAGGATTGTCTGGCAGTGTGGGCTCTTTTTTGAGCCTTGGTCATTGCTAGCACAGCAGTCTGAGATCGAACTGCAAGGCGGCAGCAAGGCTGGGGGGTGGGGGGTGCCCGCCATTGCTGAGGCTTGTGTAGGTAAACAAAGTGGTTAGGAAGCTCGAACTGGGTGGAGCCCACCACAGCTCAAGGAGGCCTGCCTGCCTCTGTAGTCTCCACCTCTGGGGGCAGGGTATAGCCAAACAAAAGGCAGCAGAAATCTCTGCAGACTTAAATGTCCCTGTCTGACAGCTTTGAAGAGAGTAGTGGTTCTCCCAGCACGCAGCTTGAGATCTGAGAACAGACAGACTGCCTCCTTAAGTGGGTCCCTGACCCCCAAGTAACCTAACTGGGAGGCACCCCCCAGTAGGGGCAGACTGACACCCCACACGGCCAGGTACCCCTCTGAGATGAAGCTTCTGGAGGAACAATCTGGCAGCACCATTTGCTGTTCAGCCATATTCGCTGTACTGCAGCCTCCGCTGCTGATACCCAGGCAAAAAGGGTGTGGAGTGGACCTCCAGCAAACTCCAACAGACCTGCAGCTGAGGGTCCTGACTGTTAGAAGGAAAATTATCAAACAAAAAGGACATCCACACCAAAACCCCATCTGTACTTCACCATCATCAAAGACCAAAGGTAGATAAAACCACAAAGATGGGGAAAAAACAGAGCAGAAAAGCTGAAAATTCTAAAAATCAGAGCGCCTCTCCCCCTCCAAAGGAATGCAGCTCCTCACCAGCAACGGAACAAAGCTGGATGGAGAATGACTTTGACAAGTTGAGAGAAGAAGGCTTCAGACGATCAAATTTCTCCGAGCTAAAGGAGGAAGTGCGAACCCATCCCAAAGAATCTAAAAACCTTGAGAAAAGATTAGACAAATGGCTAACTAGAATAACCAGTGTAGCAAAGTCCTTAAATGACCTGATGGAGCTGAAAACCATGGCATGAGAACTACATGACAGATGCACAAGCTTCAGTAGCCAATTCAATCAACTGGAAGAAAGGGTATCAGTGATTGCAGTTCTTTCAAAGAGTTTCTGTTTTGATTCTTTCAAAGAGTTTGAGAAGGATTAGTGTTAGTTCTTATTTAAATATTTGTGGACTTCTCCAGTGAGGACTTCTCCAGTGAATCTATCTGGTCCTGGCCTTTTTTGTTGGGAGGCTTTTAATTACTATTTCAATTCTTTACTAGTTACAGGTATGTTCACATAGATTTCTTATTTCTTCATGATTTAGTACTGGTAGGCTGTATGTTTCTAGGAATTTATCCATTTCTTCTAGATTATCTGGTTTGGTTGTAATTTAATACTAGCCTCATAATTCTTTTTATTTCTATGACATCAGTTGAATGTCTTCTCTTTTATTTCTAATTTTAGCTATTTCAGTCTTCTCTCCATTTTAGTTATTGCAGCTAAAGATTTGCTAATTTTGTTCATCTTCTCAGAATACCAACTGTTGGTTTTGTTGTATTTTTTCTATCTTTTTTCCTGTTTGTTTCATTTGTCTCTGCTGTAAGCTAGTTGTGGATTTAGCTTATTTTTCATTATTCCTTTAAGTGTCAGGTTAAGTTGTTGATTTGAGGTCTTTCTTCCTTTTTAATAAGACTTTCCTCTTAATACTGTTTTTGTTGCATTCCATCAGTTTTGGTATGCTGTGTTTTCATTTTCATTTATCTCCAGATATTTTCTAAATTCCCTTGTGATTTCTTATTTGACCCATTGGTTGTTAAAAACTGCATTAATTCCTATACATTTGTGGATTTGCCTGTTTTTTGTTTTTTTTGCTATTGATTTGTAGTTTCATTGTGCTGAGGTTGGAGAATATATTTGTATGACTTCAATCTTCTTACATTTAAGGCTTTTTTCGTGGTCTAATATGTAGTCTGTCTTGGAGAATATTACATGTGCGTTTGAGAATGTGTATCCCCTGTTGTTGGGTGAAGTGTTCTGTATATGTTTGTTAGTTCCAATTGGTCTAAAGAGTTATTCAAGTCATCTGTGTCTTCTGTTTGATCTTCTGTCTGGTTGTTCTATTCTTACTGAAAGTGGGGTATTGAAGTCGCCTGTTAGTATTGTGTTGCTGCTCATTTCTTCTTTCAGTTCTTTTTTTTTTTTTTAAAGGCGGAGTTTCGCTCTTTTGCCCAAGCTTGAGCGAAGTGGTGCAATCTTGGCTCACTGCAACCTCCTGCCGCTGGGCTTAAGCGATTCTTCTGCCTCAATCTCCTGAATAGCTGGGATTATAGGCGCCTGCCACTACACCCAGGTACTTTTTTGTATTTTTAGTTGAGATGAGGTTTCACTATATTGGCCAGACTGGTCTCCTGACCTCTGGTGATCCGACCGCCTGGGCCTCCCAAAGTGCTGGAATTACAGGCGTGAGCCACCGCACCTGGCCATCTTCCTTCAGTTCTGTCAATGTTGCTTCACGTATTTGACTGCTTTGATGTTAGATGTGTATATATTTATTGTTATATCTTTTTGGTGAATTTACCATTATGTCATTATATAATGCCCCCGTTTTTCTCTTATGATAGTTTTTTTTCTTAAAGTCTATTCTGTTTGATATATGTATGGCCACTCCTGCTCTCCAGTTTCTCATTTGCATAGGATATCTTTTCCACCTTTTCACTTTTAGCCTATGTGTGCTTTTTGTTTGTTTGTTTGAGAAGGAGTCTTGCTCTGTCACCCAGGCAGGAGTGCAGTGGCGCGATCTCGGCTCACTGTAACCTCCACCTCCTGGGTTCAAGCAATTCTCCTGCCTCAGCCTCCCGAGTAGCTGGGATTACAGGCACACGCCACCATGTCCAGCTAATTTTTTGTATTTTTAGTAGAGATGGGGTTTCACCATGCTGGCCAGGCTGGTCTCGAACTCCTAACCTCATGATCTGCCCACCTCGGCCTCCCAAAGTGCTGGCATTACAGGTGTGAGCCACCGTGCCTGGTCCCCACGTGTTTTTAGATATAAAATGATTTTCTTGTAAGCACTTTATTGTTGGATCTCATATTTTTTAGCCATTCAATCAATGTCTTGGTATGTTTGATCTTTTTACATTTAAAATAATTACTGACAGGAAAGGACTATTACTTTTGTTCATTGTTTTTTGTCTGTCTTACCGCTTTGTCTTTCCTCTCACTGTGTTTTTTGTTGATTTTTTCTAGTGACGTTTTGATTCCCTTATTTCCCTTTGTATATATTCTACAGATATCTTCCTTATGGTTACCCTTGCAATTCCATAAAACATCTTAAAAGTTCTAACAATCTGTTTTAAACTGACCTTTTAAATATTTCAAACTGACAAATTAACTTCAATCACATATAAAAACCATGATCCTTGTCTCTCTGCCTCCCATTCTATGTTATTGATGACTCAAATTGCCTGTTTTTACATTGCTTATCATTTAATGTAATTATTACTTTTTATGCTTTTAGAAAAATTCTGGGCCACGTGCCGTGACTCATGGCTGTAATCGCAGCACTTTGGGAGGCCAAGGTGGGCGGATCACTTGAGTTCAGGAGTTTGAGACCAGCCTGGGCAAAATGGTGAAACCTCATCTCTACAAAAAAACACAAAAATTAGCCAGGCATGGTGGCAAGTGCCTGTGGTCCCAACTACTTGGGGGACTGAGGCAAGAGGATGGCTTGAGCCTGGGAGGCGAAGGTTGCCGAGAGTCGAGATCATGCCACTGCACTCCAGCCTGGGTGACAGAGCCAGACCCTGTCTAGAAAAAAAAAAAAATTATATACCAGATTTATAAGTGATTTACTCACCTACATTACAATAATACAGGATTCTATATTTGTCTATATATTTAACTTTACCTGGGACTTATGTTTTTATTAATACATGGTTTTATGTTCCTGTTTATCAGCTTTTCACTTACTTGTAGGTGCTCTTTTAGAATTTCCTATAGAATAAGTCTAGTGGTGATAAACTCCCTCAATTTTTATCTGAGAAAGTCTTAATTTCTGTTTTTGTTTGTTTTGAAAGGGCACTTTTGCTAAACATAGCATTCTTGATTGGCACCGCTTTTCTTTCGAATACATCATCCCACTTCCTAGCCTGCAGGGTTTCTGCTAAGTCTGCTGAGAATCTAATATGAGCTCCTTTGTATGTACTGGGTTGCTTTTTTTTTTTTTTGCTGCTTTCAAGATCTCTGTCACTAGACAGTTTAATTATAATATGATTATATGTCTCAGTGTAGATCCCTTAGATCCCTTTAGATTTATTCTGGTTGGAATTATCTGAGATTCTTGAATTTGTATATCCATTTCTCTCAGATTTGGGAAGTTTCCAACCATTATTTCTTCACATAGGTCCTCTACCCCTTTCTTTCTTCTCCTTCTGAGGTTCCCATAATGCATGTTTTCTTCTATTTGATGCTATCCCAGAAGTCCCTCAGATTCTCTTCATTTTCCTTCATTCTTTTTTTTTTTTTCTTCTCTTCATTTCTTCTCTTTTTCTTCTTTCTTTTTTGGGGATTTATCCTGCTTGGTGTTCTCTTAACTTCCTGGATCTGTGGTGGGGTGTCTGAAACCAATTTCAGGAAATCCCTAGTCATTATAACTTTATTTATTGCTTCTATTCTTTTCTCTTTTAATTTTCTTGATGTTTCCATTATGCATATGCTACATTTTCTGTAGTTGTTCCATATTCTTGCATATTATTCCATTTTTTCCGTCTTTTTTCTCTTTGCTTTTCAGTTTTGTAAGTTTCTAGTGACATGTCCTTAAGCTCAAAGATACTTTGCTCAAGATGTGTCCAGTATACTAATGAGCTAATCAAATGCATTCTTCATTTTTGTTAGTGTTTTTGATCTCTAGCACTTTTTAATTCTTTCTCAGAATTTCCATCTCTTTGCCTACATTAACCAACCATTGTTGCATGTTGCCTAATTTTTCCACTAGCACCCTCAGAATATTAACGGTGGTTGTTTTAAATTCCTGATCCGATAATTCCAACATTCCTGCCATATCTGAGTCTGTTTGTGATGCCTGCTCTGTCTCTTCAAGCTGTGTTTTTGCCTTTTAGTATGCTTTGTAATTTTTTGTTGAAAGCTGGACATGATATACTGGGTGAAAAGAATTGCAGTAAATAGGCCGTTAGTCATGTTAGTAGTGAGGTACAGGGAAGGGGAAGCATTCTATAGTTTTATAATTATATCTGAACCTTTTTTTAAAATTAGGACAGAGCGAAGCTCTCACTCTGGTACCTAAGCTGGAATGCAGTGGCATAATCTTGACTCACTGCAGCCTCTACCTCCTGAGTTCAAGCCATCCTCCTGCCTCAGCCTCCTGAATAGCTGGGACTACTGGCACACACCACCATGCCCAGCTAATTTTTTTTTTTTTTGGTAGAAATGGGGTCTTTCTATGTTGCCCAGGCTGGTCTTCAACATCTGGAATCAAGCACTCCTCCCACCCCAGCCTCCCAAAGTGCTGGGATTACAGATGTGAGCCACCACACTTGGCCTGTCTCAGTCTTTAAGTGAGCCTGTGGCCCAAGGGTCTGAACTTCACAAGTGCCCGTCACTTCTTTTCCCAGAATTAGGTGGGACAAGATGGCTGGCGGGAGCTGGAGTTGGGTATCTTCTGTTCCATGTAGGTTAGAGCTGATGGGAGTTGGGTATTTTTGCCCTTTCCCCAGGTCAGTTAGATTCTAAAACCACAGTAGATTATGATCTGGTAAAATAGTTTTTCTTGGGGAAAGGCCTTGTTCAGAACATAATGCTTCTCCCGACCACCCCCAATACCTGAGGGGATTTTTCCTGGTAGAGCTTCAGGAGGTAAAACTCAAAAAAGCACTGGGTCCCCTGGAAGTGTTTTAACTCTCAGACTTGTCCACACTGAGTCTCTGGCAATTTATCACAGTTCAGGCTTGGCTACCAGTACTGGTTCTTATGGTGGTTTTCTACTCAGGGTTTCTGCTAAGTTGTGACTCTTTGTATTTGCTGTCTGTCAGAAAAGGGAATGTTTCTCAGCTCTTCAAAAGGAATACTTTTCAGAAGGCCCACAAAGCAGTGAAATAACTGAGGATGCAAGTTGGGTGAGGAATTACTACCATGGCTATGGTTCCTAAGAAATCAGTGCATTCATGAGTTATTTGAAAAGGAACTGTTTTATTACCTCATGTCCAGAGATAAAGATCCTAAGGTCTGTACTGTAATAGCTTTGACTGAAGGAAACTGAGAGAGTTGGTGCTATAGGTTGATTTGTATCATGGCACTCTTTTATCATTTGCCTGTAGCTGTATTTGCTTAGGAGAACCATGCTTCAGTCCACCCCTGCCTCTTTCTACTTTAGTTGGGGTTGTTTGTACCAAATGGGTTATTTAGAATTAAGTTGGATTGGGATGGGCATTGCACCAAATCAAAATTTGATAATTTCACATTTTAGGTCTTATAAGCATGTAACACATACTATTATGTAGTATGAAAGCAAACTGTGTACTTTGCATACATGAATTCAGTTAGTTTTCAGAGCAGCCTAATTAGGAAAAACTGTCATGTCTACTTTATGGATAAGGAATATGAGACTTAGAAAGGTCAAGTAAATTACCTGAGGATACACGAGCAGCTAAAGGGAAGTGGCAGGGCTGCAATTCAACCTCCTGACTCCAAACACTAGTAAATACTACTACCCTACTCTTTTCAGTCACTACCATTTCATGGCTTTCATTCTTCCCATTCTCCTTCTCTTGTCATTCCCTCCACCCTACTCCTACTTTTCCTTCTCCTCTTCAACTCACTATGTCAAAGAGAAAAGGAAAGACCATTTTTGAGACAAACTAATTTGCTGAAAGTTCAAGTCTACTAGCAGTATATAATACTCATTTCATCATATTCTACATTAACAAGGTAAAATATCCATTTATATTTCTGCTTTAAAACCTGGCATGCCCTTTGTTCACATTTCTGTTAGGAGCATTACTATTTTATTATTGATTTGTATGCACTATTTAGAAGGAAATTTTATGTATGACTTCCTGTAGTCACCTTTGCCACTCAGAGCCGCAACAAATATTAGACTAATCTAATCAACAAGCAGAAGTCATCTAGAAGCAATTGGGCTTTATGCAAAAATAATGTAGGCCCACTGCCCCAAGTGTAACTGAAACGGACAGGTTTTTTATTTAATTTCCTTTATATGTAGGAAAAGAAAAATTTTAGATTAGGATGTACATAAATTTGAGTTTGTTGAAGTTGGCTCTGGAAGGGTGTTGTACACCCTCATTTCCTAGTGGCCTGAAAAAGAATAATAAAAGAATAATAATGAACCTTCTGTACTTAGTAAAAGGAAATGCTTTTTTTTTTTGAGATGGAGTTTCGCTCTTGTCGCCCAGGCTGGCGTGCAATAGTGTGATCTTGGCTCATCACAACCTCTGCCTCCCGGGTTCAAGCGATTCTCCTGCCTCAGCCTCCTGAGTAGCTGGGATTACAGGCATGCGTTACAACGCCCAGCTAATTTTGTATTTTTAGTAGAGACAGAGTTTCTCCATGTCAATCAGGCTATTCTTGAACTCCCGACCTCAGGTGATCCACCTGCCTCGACCTCCCAGAGTGCTGGGATTACAGGCATGAGCCACCATGCCTGGCCTAGGAAATGCTTTTTAAGTACTTGAGGTCTGGCACAATATTTACCATTCCAAAACTCCCATTACCTTTGGTTTTTCTCCTCAGGATGATAAATCTTCATTCAGAAAGGCTTTGGGTACAGTTGTAGTTTATCTGCATAGATAATATCAACCAAGTTAGACCCAATAAAGAGTAATATATAGAATGACTATTTAAAATACTATAGGGAAAAGTTGGATTTTTTTTTTTTAAGCTAGATTACCCAAAGTTAAATTTGGCCAAAGTGGATATCAATTCCTAGACTTGGGTTTTAACTTAAATGGATTTATTTATGGCCTCTAAGACAATCATTTTATTCTCACTGCATTCATGAAATAATTCACTAACACATTTCTCCCAGAGTTGCTAATGCAATGCTCTTTCCCTCAGTGGAGTCATCTGATTGTTTTAGCGCAGGCACTATCATCTCACCATCAGAATATATAAGAAATGTTTGACCTTCAATTAAAGTTGCAGAATATTATCTGCTATTGTGTAGCATTCTAGAAATGTTTATAAAAATATGAAACCATGGGAGATGGGAATAAAAAATGGTCTTCATCCCTTCTTTGTGTTAAATATCTGAAGAAAAAAGTGTTCTGGCTTATGAATTGGAAACATTTTCATCCCTAGTAAATACGTAGCTGCTTAAGTATATTTCTTAACACTATGAATCGAAGGGGAATATTTAAATGTGACCAAAAATTCTACATACATAACCTAGGAGGCAATATAATACAACATAACAGCTAAGACTGTGCAAAGGCTTTAGAGCCCAACAGACCTGGGCTGGAATTCTGGATCCCCCATTTATTGGCTGTGTGACCTTGTGCAAGTTTCTTAACCTTGCCAAGCACCCATTCATGTGTAAATGTACCTAATAGTACTTAATTCACAAGGTGTGTGGTGGGAGGGATTTAAATCAGTTTATGAAAAATGCTTACGATAGTGCTTGGCACATAGAACTCAACAAGTGGTAGCAATTATTATTATAAAAGCAAAACAACCTCTTAAATAAAAATCATAAAATATTAGTGTCATCAAAATTCAGTTATTAAACATATTTTATGATTAAAAAGAAGACTGCCAAAATCGTGAAGCAGTTGGAAAATAAAAACATTACACTTGAAATTTCAATAACAGTAAGTTTGAGCTAGTTGTATGTTTGTTTTAGAATTTTTTGGTTATCATGAGATTTGACATCTTAAGTAAAAGGTCTGTTTGTTATACCATGTTCTGGTGTACTCTAGTGGTTTTGACAAGGTATATACACACAGATGTTAGAAAAAAAAAAACCTTTGGTTGTTGCAATTTTCTCCTTATTGCATCTAATTGAAAACATAGAGGAAAGTGTAGAACACATCTGTGGGTACTTTTCATACCAGTGATAGTACCATGGAAGCCATGGAAGTCTTTAAGAGAACTCCTATAGGCTTAGAATGTAGTGAAAATGTTAGGGGACTCTATAACATTTGTATTACCACCCTTACCCTTACTCCTTACCCACCCACCTGCAAAAAAACAAAAAAGAAAAAAAGAAACTATCATAGTAATCAGCTGCTTCACTGTGCTAAAACGTATTTCTGTTTTGGAAATATTTGCCAATGAACCAAAAAGAATTTGGCATTTGGAAATATCTTCCATTGGCATAGCTTGTAATACAATTCACAGAAACTTTTAAAAACAACTTGAATATAGTATCTGTAAACTTTCCTATTTACCACACTTTGGGGACAGGATCTTAAATCTTCCTATCTTATTCATCTTCACTTTTGAAGTTCTTTCAGAAATGTTCATGCTGATTAATAGTTAAATGATTTAAGTATTAACTTACCCATTTCTAGCATATATAATATAGTAGTAGCCTTTTAGTTGTTTTCTTGCTTCTGAAGCAGCCAGCATCCTTACACATTTTTTCATTACTCGTTATTGTCCTCAAAAATTGCTCTTCAAGCAAAATGTGGTTTCCTGTATTTCCTGTGTCATTCAATTAATGTATTTCTCCAAGTCTAACCATAAGAACTAGATACCACACACTGTTTCCTAACAGATGGAAAATCCTTATGTTTTCACTTAACATCCCTCTATTAAGCAGCTCTCTCTGGGAGCTGTCTCCCTTGCCCCATTAGTATGTTAAAGCAGCCAGATCCCTGAAATATAAATGATAAAAGTAGATTTCATATCTGACATTTTAAGTTACCAGGCATTTTTCCTTTATGGCTTAATCATTGAGATTTTTGAAGATTATATGTACAGGAGGGGAAAGATTTTTATTTCAGAGACTGGAAAAAAGCAACATAGCATTTTAGTAGATTTCATAAAAATGGAGTAATAGTTAATTTTTATAATTTTTTTAAATTTTATAATTTTTTACTTATAAAATTTTACTCTAGCTATTAAAGACTTCTTTTTTTATAACTACATTTTAACAGCTTTTAATCTAACCTTAATAATAAATATTAGTTCCTTTGCCCAGGGCTTGGAAATAATCAGAAAGAGTTCTCAGGCAAATCTGGCTTTTTAAAATATTTTATCCTGTTGTATTTTGTTGAGATTTCTTGGGAACTGGTACAGGGAAAAGAAGAATAAAAAATAAGATTCATTTATTTCTTATTTGCTAGAAAAAAAGCTGCTATTCATACCAAACACACTTTTGGAC